>NC_000008.11:85714222-86964222 GCF_000001405.40 Homo sapiens | reverse complement strand
GCTATCCATGGTAGACCAGGGATTGGATGAGAGTCCCACTGCCTTCCTCAGAAATCTAAGAGGGGACTTCAGCCCCTGATATCAGGAGGAAGCTACAGAAACAGGCCATACGACCAGAGAGTACTATAGAGGACCTCTGGAAGTGGCCACCTTGGCCTTTTAAAATAGGATTGGGAGGCCCAAGAGAGGGAAGGAGACACAAGAAAAAGACAGAGGCTCTAATAACCAACTTGCAGGCTCACAAACCTCAGAGTCCTCACAATGCACCTGTCAACTGCTGCAAATGTAGATCATTGGAGGGCAGACTGTCCCTGAGACATGGGTGGCAAGGTCCAGATTGCCATCTCCCAAATGGTGCAGCAGGACTGACTGGTCCCAGGGTTCCTTTCGTTGACTCTGGTGGTTCAGACTGTCATTGCCATCCAGGAGCTAGGGTGATTCTAGGGATCAAGGAAAGGAGGTTGGACCTCCTCCTGGACTTGAGCAGGCCTTTCAGTTCTCTTCTCCAACCTAGGTCCGCCTCCTCTCTTAGCATGACCGTGAAGGGCATCTCAGGAAAAACCCAATCTCTTAGTTGTCACCTTCGTAGGCCAGGTCCCCAGTTACTGGGACTCCCTTTCTCTCTCCCTTGTTTGAGGAGGACTTGGCCCCACAGCTTCACCTACTTGTGATAGGGAGGCAATGGTAGAGCAGCCCCTGCCAGTTGCTAGCTGCAATTTGGCAAGGGCTATCTGGGACCAATTTAATGGGTTCATACACCCCCCTGAGGCACCTTTTTCTCCGAAGCTTCAGTTTGAAGCCCTGGAATGGAACAATAGACCTGAGGCAGATGACAGCGGGAGTCGAAGGGCACAGTGCAGGTGAGCATGACTAATTCCTGACAATTAGGCCTCCTGCTTCATGGATGGGAATATCATGCTTACATACATGGCATAGATAGGGTCTAGGGAACTCAAATGTGACGGAGAGTGGGAGGCTTAGGCTCTGCTCAGGTGCATGCCTGTCAGCTATGCCTCCAACTTCATGGGTGAAGGTTGCACTTGCACCCATGGTCAGCACCTGCACAGGTCACCGGAACTCAGGGATATAAGGTCGAAATAATTAAGAGGGATGCCTTTTCTCCCTGTCACATACCCCGGGTATTCGCTAGGAAGAGAGAGGAACAAAGGGAAGCCTTTTACTCCTCTTTCCAGATGGGTAACCAGTGAATCATTTTCAGCCTGCACTCCTCAAGTGTATCCTAAATCACTGGACTCCTTTGACCCTCAGGCTGGAGAAAGAAAATAGCTTTTTCCCCTTCACAGGACTCCAGGGTCAAAGCACTCCATGTCTCAGGGGAAGGGAACCCAGAAGCCTGACATGCCAGCAAAAGGGTAAAGGTTCTTGCCAGTCAGATTTCTAGCTTCTGTTTTGTTTTTTGTTTTTTGTGTTTTTTTTGAGATGGAGTCTTGCTCTGTTGCCCAGGCTGGAGTGTCGTGGCACCATCTCAGCTCACTGCAAGCTCTTCCTCCCAGGTTCATGCCATTCTCCTGCCTCAGCCTCTCGAATAGCTGGGACTACAGGCACCTGCCATCACACCCAGCTAAGTTTTTTGTATTTTTAGTAGAGACGGTGTTTCACCGTGTTAGCCAGGATGGTCTTGATCTCCTGACCTCGTGATGTGCCCGCCTCAGCCTCCCAAAGTGCTGGGATTACAGGTGTAAGCCACTGTGCCCGGCCTCTGACTTCTCTTTCTCTGTGCAAACTGGTAGCAGGAAGGATAAAAATCACTGTATTCTCTGCCCCTCCAAGAATTCAAATGGCCATTTGGCATGGCTAAAGTCAGGAAATAAGAGATTTAAAATGACTTTAAAAAGGGGTGCTATAGTTAAAAGTTAGCTTATTTAAAAGTAGATGTCCATGGTTATCAAAGCTATAGGTATATTTAAAAGGCCTGTATGTCTTTTCTCATGGATCTTCTTTTTCTGGAAAAAGGTTTTATCAGTCGACTGAATTAGTCTCCATTTTTGTCTTACCATTCTTATTGCACACATGAAGGGCCCCAAGATAACCTCTGAAGTCCTGGGACTTCTTGGGAAAACAAAGGAGGCATCATTGATTCATTTTTGAAAAAAACCTCTGTTTTCCTCATGGAGTGCCAGGGATTACAAGTGGATGTATCCCTCTCAAAATCTGTTCTTGTCTTCCAGCTATTCCTACTTATTAGGCCATAGAACCTGCCTGCATGTTTTCCTAGACCTGGTTCTTGAAGTGCTCCACCCCTAGGGTTAGCAATGCAAATAGGAGATTGGCACATGAAAAATCTTACAAGTACTGAATCTCCTTCAGTCTGTGTAGTTACACATGTGTTATGTGTATGATGTTTATATAAAAGAGCTCTGATTGGCTTAAAGAAAATCAAGTGCTTAGATCAACTATTTTGAAAGAAAAATAAAGCTGCAATGCCTTTTACTTCATGGCTGTCACTCTGGTGGAACAGGAAGCCTGAGAAAGCATGGCCTTACAAAGATCGTGGTAGGCCATTGCCTCTGGAGGGAGAAGACAAAGCAGCACTAGTGCCTACCTAAGGTCAGAGACATCTGACACTCTAAGGTTGGATCCCACAGGGGGACATCCCAGGGGATCCTCTGGACCTCCACCTCTCCAAACGGGATGCCCTTGGCAGAGGTTCTGAGGTCTAGTACTAAACCCTCCTTAGAATTTTCTCTCACAGTTACAATACTGTTTGGCCCCAATATTGTATGGAATCTGGAGTTTACTGTTGAATAGGAAAGTAAGATTGCATTGCATGTATCCAGGGTTTTGTGCTGCTGTTCTAAGCAGGGGGCCTGTTTTAACTTGTGATGTTCTCCTTTGGTGCTGTTTGGCCCCAGTGTTCTTTGGAGTCTGGGGAAGTTTGGCTTTTAAAAATCAAACTGTCATAGAAACCAATTTACCTGAAATTTTGGTTCACAGCCTTCATTGGATTGTCTATTGGGGCAAACAAAGTAAAACTGGTAAGCTTGTAGTGCTATCTTATGGCTAGGGTTCCAAGCTATTGGATCTTCATTTGTGTATGTATACATGTCTAGATGTGTTTATTTGTACACTTACTGTCATATGTTATAACAACATATATTGCTATATATAAACAGGCTAGCTTTAAAATTATTGGTAAAATAAAAGTAGAAATGTCTTCAAAATGTAGACATGGTCTAAATTATGCAAGTCAGAAACTAGGTTGGTGAAAGGCTTTAAGGTCATAAACTGCTTTGGCTTTTGAAAATTGTTCTGTTTGTTAGTTTTCCTTCTAACAGTCAGGACCCTGAGCTGCAGGTCTGTTGGAGTTTGCTGGAGGTCCACTCCACAACCTGTTTGCCTGGGTATCACCAGCGGAGACTGCAGAACAGCAAATATTGCAGAATGGAAGATGTTGCTGCCTGATCCTTCCTCTGGAAGCTTCGTCTCAGAGGGGCATCCAGCTGTATGAGGTGTCACTTGGCCCCCACTGGGAGATGTCTCCCAGTTAGGCTACTCAGGGATCAGGGACCCACTTGAGGAGGCAGTCTGTCCATTCTCAGATCTCCAGCTCCGTGCTGGGAGAACCACTACTCTGTTCAAAGCTGTCAGACAGGGACGTTTAAGTCTGCAGAAGTTTCTGCTGTCTTTTGTTCAGCTATGCACTGCCCCGAGAGGTGGAGTCTACAGAGGTAGGCAGGCTTCCTTGAGCTGAGGTGGGCTCCACCCAGTTCAAGCTTCCCGGCCACTTTGTTTACCTACTCAAGCCTCAGTGACAGTGGACGCCCCTCCCCCAGCCTCACTGCCACCTTGCAGTTCGATCTCAGACTGCTGTGCTAGCAGTGAGTGAGGCTCTGTGGGTGTGGGACCCTCTGAGCCAGGAGCGGGATATAATCTCCTGGTGTGCCGTTTGCTAAGACTCTTGGAAAAGTGCAGTATTAGAGTGGGAGTGTCCTGATTTTCCAGGTACTATCTGTCATGGCTTCCCTTGGCTAGTAAAGGGAATTCCCTGACCCCTTGTGCTTCCTGGGTGAGGCGATGCCCCACCCTGCTTTGGCTCACACTCTGTGGGCTGCACCCACTATCCGACAAGCTCCAGTGAGATGAACCTGGTACCTCAGTTGGAAATGCACAAATCACCCATCTTGTGCATTGCTTACACTGGGAGCTGTAGACTGGAGCTGTTCCCATTTGGCCACATCGGTAGGTCACCATCATCAAAGACCAAAGGTAGATAAAACAACAACGATGGGGAGAAACCAGAGAAGAAAAGCTGAAAATTCTGAAAATCAGAGCCCCTCTTCTCTCCAAAGGAACAAAGCTCCTCGCCAACAACGGAACACAGCTAGATGGAGAATGACTTTGACGAGTGGAGAGAAGAAGGCTTCAGATGATCAGTAATAACAAACTTCTCTGAGCTAAAGGAGGATGTTTGAGCCCATCGCAAGGAAGCTAAAAACCTTGAAAAAAGATTAGATGAATGGCTAACTAGAATAAACAGCATAGAGAAGACCTTAAATGACCTGATGGAGCTGAAAACCATGGCACAAGAACTATGTGATGCATGCACAAGCTTTAGTAGCCGATTCAATCAAGTGGAAGAAAGGGTATCAGTGACTGAAGATCAAATCAATGAAATGAAGTGAGAAGGGAACTTTAGAGAAAAGAGAATAAAAAGAAATGAAGAAAGCCTCCAAGAAATATGGGACTATGTGAAAAGACCAAATCTACATCTCATTGGTGTACCTGAAAGTGACGGGGAGAATGGAACCAAGCTGGAAAACACTCTTCAGGATATTATTGAGGAGAACTTCCTCAACCTAGCAAGGCAGGCCAACAATCAAATTCAGGAAATACAGAGAACGCCATGAAGATATTCACTAAGAAGAACAACTCCAAGACATATAATTGTCAGATTCACCAAAATTGAAATGAAGGAAAAAATGTTAAGGGCAGCCAGAGAGAAAGGTTGGGTTACCCACAAAGGGAAGCCCATCAGACTAACAGTGGATCTCTTGGCAGAAACTGTACAAGCCATAAGAGAGTGGAGGCCAATATTCAACATTCTTAAAGAAAAGAATTTTCAACCCAGAATTTCATATCCAGTCAAAATAAGCTTCATAAGTGAAGGAGAAATAAAATCCTTTAGAGACAAACAAATGCAGAGAGATTCTGTCACCACCAGGCCTGCTTTACAAGAACTCCTGGAGGAAGAACTAAACATGGAAAAGAACAACCGGTACCAGCCACTGCAAAAACATGCCAAATTGTAAAGACCATTGACACTAGGAACAAACTGCATCAACTAATGAGTAAAATAACCAACTAATGAGTAAAGTAACCAGCTAATATCATAATGACAGGATCAAATTCACACATAACAATATTAATCTTAAATGTAAATGGGCTAAATGCTCCAAATAAAAGACACATACTGACAAATTGGATAAAGAGTCAAGACCTATCAGTGTGCTGTATTCAGGAGACCCATCTCATGTGCAGAGACACACATAGGCTGAAAATAAAGGGATGGGGGAAGATTTACCAAGGAAATGGAAAACAAAAAAAAGCAGGGGTTGCAATCCTAGTCTCTGATAAAACAGACTTTAAACCAATAAAGACCAAAAGAGACAAAGAAGGCCGTTACCTAATGGTAAAGAGATCAATTCAACAAGAAGAGCTAACTACCCTAAATATATATGCACCCAATACAGGAGCACCCAGATTCATAAAGCAAGTCCCTAGAGACCAACAAAGAGACTTAGACTCCCACACAATAATAATGGGAGACTTTAACACCCAACTGTCAACATTAAACAGACAACAAGACAGGAAGTTAATGTGGATATCCAGGAATTGAACTCAGCTCTGCAATGAGGACCTAATAGACACCTACAGAACTCTCCATGCCAAATCAACAGAATATACACTCTTTTCTCAGCAGCACATCTGACCTATTCCAAAATTGACCACATAGTAGGAAGTAAAGCACTCCTCAGCAAATGTAAAAGAACAGAAATTATAACAAACTGTCTCTCAGACCACAATGCAATCAAACTAGAACTCAGGATTAAGAAACTCACTCAAAACCACTTAACTACCTGGAAACTGAACAACCTGCTCCTGAATGACTACTGGGTACATAATGAAATGAAGGCAGAAATAAAGATATTCTTTGAAACTAATGTGAACAAAGACACAAATACCAGAATCTCTAGGACACATTTAAAGCAGTGTGTAGAGGGAAATTTATAGCACTAAATGCGCACAAGAGAAAGCAGGAAAGATCTAAAATTGACACCCTAACTTCACAATTAAAAGAACTAGAGAAGCAAGGGCAAACACATTCAAAAGCTAGCAGAAGGTAAGAAATAACTAAGATCAGAGCAAAACTGAAGGAGATAGAGACACAAAAAAATCCTACAAAAAATCGATGAACCCAGAGCTGGTTTTTTGAAAAGATCAACAAAATTGATAGACTGCTAGAAAAACTAATAAAGAAGAAAAGAGAGAAGAATCAAATAGCTGCAATAAAAAATGATAAAGGGGATATCACCACCAATCCCACAGAAATACAAACTACCATCAGAGAATACTATAAACACCTCCATGCAAATAAACTAGAAAATCTAGAAGAAATGGATAAATTTCTGGACACATACACCCTCCCAAGACTAAACCAGGAAGAAGTTGAATCCCTGAATAGACCAATAACAGGATCTGAAATTGAGGCAATAATTAATAGCCTACCAACCAAAAAAAGTCCAGGACCAGCTGGATTCACAGCCGAATTCTACCAGAGGTACAAAGAGGAGCTGGTACCATTCCTTCTGAAATGCTTCCAATCAATAGAAAAAGAGGGAATCCTCCCTAACTCATTTTATGAGGCCAGCATCATCCTGATACCAAAGCCTGGCAGAGACACAACAAAAAAAACATAATTTTAGATCAATATCCCTGATGAACATCGATGCAAAAATCTTCAGTAAAATACTGGCAAACTGAATCCAGCAGCTCATCAAAAAGCTTATCCACCACAATCAAGTTGGCTTCATCCCTGGGATGCAAGGCTAGTTCAACATACAGCAATCAATAAACGTAATCCATCATATAAACAGAACCAAAGACAAAACACACGATTATTTCAACAGATGCAGAAAAAGCCTTTGGTGAAATTCAACAGCCCTTCATGCTAAAAACTCTCAATAAACTAGGTATTGATGGGACATATCTCAAAATAATAAGAGCTATTTATGACAGACCCACAGCCAATATCATACTGAATGGGCAAAAACTGGAAGCATTGCCTTTGAAAACTGGCACAAGACAGGGATGCCCTCTTTCGCCACTCCTGTTCAACAGAGTGTTGGAAGTTCTGGCTAGGGCAATCAGGCAGGAGAAAGAAATAGAGGGTATTCAATTAGGAAAAGAGGAAGTCAAATTGTCCCTGTTTGCAGATGACATGATTGTATATTTATAAAAACCCATCATCTCAGCCCAAAATCTCCTTAAGCTGATAAGTCACTTCAGCAAAGTCTCAGGATACCAAATCAATGTGCAAAAATCACAAGCATTCCTATACACCAATAACAGAAAAACAGAGCCAAATCATGAATGAACTCCCATTCACAATTGCTTCAAAGGGAATAAAATACCTAGGAATCCAACTTACAAGGGATATGAAGGACATCTTCAAGGAGAACTACAAACCACTGCTCAGTGAAATAAAAAAGGACACAAACAAATAGAAGAACATTCCATGCTCATGGATAGAAAGAATCAATGTCGTGAAAATGGTCATACTGCCCAAGGTAATTTATAGATTCAATGCCATCCCCATCAAGCTACCAATGACTTTCTTCACAGAATTGGAAAAAACTACTTTAAAGTTGATATGGAACCAAAAAAGAGCACACATAGCCAAGACAATCCTAAGCCAAAAGAACAAAGCTGGAGGCATCATGCTACCTGACTTCAAACTATACTACAAGGCTACAGTAACCAAAACAGCATGGTACTGGTACCAAAACAGAGATATAGATCAATGGAACAGAACAGAGCCCTCAGAAATAACTCCGCATATCTACAACTATCTGATCTTTGACGAACCTGAGAAAAACAAGCAATGGGGAAAGGATTCCCTATTTAATAAATGGTGCTGGGAAAACCGGCTAGCCATATGTAGAAAGCTGAAACTGGATCCCTTCCTTACACCTTATACAAAAATTAATTCAAGATGGATTAAAGACTTACATGTTAGACCTAAAACCATAAAAACCCTAGAAGAAAACCTAGGCAATACCATTCAGGATATAGGCATGGGCAAGGACTTCATGACTAAAACACCAAAAGCAATGGCAACAAAAGCCAAAACTGACAAATGGGATCCAATTAAACTAAAGAGCTTCTGCACAGCAAAAGAAACTACCATCAGTGCGAACAGGCAACCTACAGAACAAGAGACAATTTTTACAAACTACCCATCTGACAAAGGGTTAACATGCAGAATCTACATAGAACTTTGAATTTACAAGGAAAAATCAAACAACCCCATCAAAAAGTGGGCAAAGGATATGAAGAGACACTTCTCAAAAGAAGATATTTATGCAGCCAACAGACATATGAAAAACTGCTCATCATCACTGGCCATTAGAGAAATGCAAATCAAAACCACAATGAGATACCATCTCACATCAGTTAGAATGGCAATCATTAACAAGTCAGGAAACAACAGGTGCTGGAGAGGATGTGGAGAAATAGGAACACTTTTACACTGTTGGTGGGACTGTAAACTAGTTCAACCATGGTGGAAGACAGTGTGGCTATTCCTCAGGGATCTAGAACTAGAAATACCATTTGACCCAGGCATCCCATTACTGGGTATATACCCAAAGGATTATCAATCATGCTGCTATAAAGACACATGCACACGTATGTTTTTTGGGGCACTATTCACAATAGCAAAGACTTGGAACCATCCCAAATGTCCATCAATGATATACTGGATTAAGAAAATGTAGCACATATACACCATGAATACTATGCAGCCATAAAAAATGATGAGTTCATGTCCTTTGTAGGGACGTGGATGAAGCTGGAAACCATCATTCTCAGCAAACTATTGCAAGGACAGAACACCAAACACCGCATGTTCTCACTCATCGGTGGGAAATGAACAATGAGAACACTTGGACACAGGGTGGGGAACATCACACACTGGGGCCTGTCATGGAGTGGGGGGAGGGGGGAGGGATTGCATTAGGAGATATACCTAATGTAAATGACAAGTTAATGGGTGCAGCACACCAACATGGCACATATATACATATGTAACAAACCTGCACGTTGTGCACATGTACCCTATAACTTAAAGTATAATTAAAGAAAAAGAAGAAAATTGTTCAACTTTCCTGCTTTACAGTTTGGTAAGGCCTGGGGACATATGCCATGCTCCTAGCTATGCTGAAAATAGTCAGACCTTATCTGCATCTAAGTATGTAACTAAAATAACTTACCAGGTATTTCAAAATTAAAAATTGCTAAGAGCTACCATTATAACATGTAGTGGAGTCTACTGAAAATAGATTTACATACAAAGTGTGTAAGGAGAGTAAAATGTGTCTTTAGTAAAAGAATATAAGAACACGGAATGTAAATTTTCATCTCGTTCAGAGGATTAAAGGATTGTTTTAAATTAGATAAGATAAAGCTAATGGCTAAAACAAGTTATGCAAGGTTTGTAAAAATTGATCTTTTAAAGAGAAAATCTGTGTGTGAACATATTGACTAAATTCAAAAGAGTATTATTTGGTTTTTCTGTAAATTGAACATTAAAATAAAAACACAACAAGGTTTTCCTTAGGAACTAATATGCTCTTTAACAAAAACTTATGAAGTGTTATAAAAGATTTATAAGAATCTCAGCTCATGGTCAAACTGATTAAGATTAAATGGATTTGTCTGTAAGGTTTTATTTTTTAAAGAATTGGGGTTGACATTAATAGACTAATGCAAGGGTGAAATGTTGCTTTCTCTTTGTCAAGATTTTCATGCAATGAAAGATTTTTGTTTGCTTTGTGAATAAAATACTGACAAAAGAAGGGAAGGACATGAGATAAATTGTTTGGAAGACTAAGTCTTCCCTTTTAGTGAATAAAGTTTTTCACTTTGAGTCATGATTTAAATGGATGACTTATAATAACCTGAAATCCTATTAAGTGTGTTAAGCCTATAAAGCTTCGAAATTGTCTTTCCTAATCCCTAGCATTTCAATGCTAAAGAGAGCCCCTGGAGTGTCCAAAGGAGTGATAAACAGGATTATTTAACATGTTTAGTTACATAGGATTTTTTTATTTTTTTGAGACAGAGTCTCGCTCTGTCACCTAGGCTGGAGTGCAGTAGCACGATCTTGGCTCACTGCAACCTCCACCTCCTGGGTTCAAGTGATTTTTCCGCCTCAGCCTCCTGAGTAGCTGGGATTACAGGCACCCACCATCATGCCTGGCTAATTTTTGTATTGTTGTAGAGACAGGGGTCACACTATGTTGGCCAGGCTAGTCTTGAACTCCTGATCTCAGGCGATCCACCCACCTCGGCCTCCCAAAGTGCTGGGATTACAGGCATGAGCCACCGTGCTCGGCCTGCATAGGATTGTTGGAGTAAGGTGGTGTTTGATCTTCAGGCCATATTTTAGTGAAAAATGTTAAAATGTGTTCCAAAATTGTACGGGATTTCTAGAGTTCTGATGTCTGAGGTTGTGTTATCAATCATAATTAGGGTTATTGTGTTAGGTCATTGTAAATCACAGAGGTGACCAAATTTCTTTGTTAATTGTGTTTTTCACTGTGACTACCATAGGACATTTTGACATTCATAGACAATTATTATCTATACCTAATGATACAACCATTTTGAAAAACAGTTTGGCAGTTGCTTCAGAAGTTTAACATATGATTAAGTTTTTCCTACCCAATTATTAAGTTGTTTCTTTTCTAAGTATTTACTCAAGAGAGATGAAGGCACATGCTCACACTAAGACTTATAAATAAATGTTCATGGCAGCTTCATTCATAATAGCCACAAATGTTCATCAACATATACTTAGATAAACTATGGTATATTCATACAGTGGATTGCTATTCAGAAAGAAAAAGGAATAACTATTGTTATGCAACACAACATGGATCAAGATCCAAATAATTATGCCGAGTGAAAAACGCTAGACTAAAAAATAATAATACTATTTAATTCCATGTATTAATTAATGCTATTTAATTCCCTCCCAAAATATAAAATAAAGTTTACTGACAGAAAGCAGATAAGTGGTTGCTTGGAACAGAGGGTGGGCACAAGGACACACAAGAGGAAAGAATGACAAAAGTTGCAAGGAAACTCTTGGGAGCAATTTGATTATGTTCATTATCTAAATTGCGGTGATGGTTTATACCACAGATTTACACGTGTCAAAAGTTATCACATCGCACAGTTTATATCACAAATGGTTTATATCACACCTTTATACATGTATCAAAAGTTATCAAACTGCACAGTTTAAAATATACATTTTTATTATATATAAATTATACTTTAATAAAAATGCTTATACATTTAATAACATGTTATATATGATATATAGGTACACACACATATATATTCTTTCTTTTTCATTTGATATTTGTTAAATTTTCACATGACCAGCAAATATATATTGGATAAATATATTAGGTAAAATATTTTTCTGAAAAATTTTATTCTCCATTCCATAAATGGTACTATGTCTATACTGTAATATATCTATATAAAATATAGATAGCTCTGTATATCAGCAGTACATAATTAAAGCACAGTAGAAAATATAGGCAAAATCCACTATCAGATAATTCACACTGTGAACCCGAAATAACTGAGACAGGTCTCAGTCAATTTAGAAAGTTTATTTTGCCAAGGTTAAGGATGCACCTGTGGCACAGCCTCAGGAAGTCTTGACAACATGTGCCCAAAGTGGTCAGGGAACAGCTTGGGTTTTGTATGTTATAGGGAGATATGAGACATCAATCAATATGTGTTAAAATGGACATTGGTTTGGCGCAGAAAAGTAGGACAACTCAAAGTGGGGAGGGGGCTTCCAGGTCATAGGTAGATGGAAGACAAATGGTTATATTATTTTGAATTTCTGATTCCTTTCCAAAGGAAGCAATTAGATATGCATTTATCTCAGTGAGCAAAGGGTTTCTGCTGAGTTCTGTTTGTCCTTTGTCTGCAAGGAATTTCCTTGTGGACCAATTGTGAGGGAGGTATGCAGCTTTTTAATCTTAGTAGCTATCTTTTTTAGGAATACAGTGGAGCAGGTTTGCCCTAAGTACTTCCCAGCTTGATTTTTCCCTTTGGCTTAGTGATTTGGGAATCCCAAGATTTTTTTTTCTTTTCACAACAGCAACGTGAATAAATACAAATAGCTAATAAATGATTAAAGAAAATTTAGCTTAACAAGGAAACAAAGAAAGGCAAATTAAAATAACTGTAAATTAAACAAGATGTCTTTTGTTGTTCTATAAAATTAAAAATAAAATAATTTAAAAGCTAATATTTACTGGTAGGGGCAATATCTTTTTTTTTTTTTTTTTTTTTTTTTTTTTTTTTTTTTTGTGAGACGGAGCCTCGCTCTGTCACCCAGGCTGGAGTGCAGTGGCATGATCTCGGCTCACTGAAACCTCTGCCTCCCAGGTTCAAGTGATTCTCCTGTCTCAGCCTCCAGAATAGCTGGGATTACAGGTGCCCACCACCACACCCAGCTACTTTTAGTAGAGATGGAGTTTCACCACGTGGGCCAGGCTGGTCTTAAGCTCCTAACCTCAGGTGATCTGCCTGCCTCGGCCTCCCAAAGTGCTGGGATTACAAGCATGAGCCACCGTGCCCAGCCTATCTATTATATTCTTGCCAAAACTGAATGTAGCTAAAAAGATCAAGAATAGTTGCATTATCTGTACTTTTACCTGATATTAAATCTATTTTAAGAAAATCATTGTAAATAACTACGAATTTAATAATTTTTCTTTTAGCTTAAGAATCAGCTTCTGTTGCTTTCAAATAAGAATCCTAAGTGCTGAAAACTTAAAAACAAGAATTTACTGTAAAGTTATTAAATTTGTGATATCAAAAAGCAAACAGTAGAAAAGTAATGTTTAATCAGGGATGAAAAAGGGAACATTGCATCTGATACTGCAGAAATTCAAAGGATCATTAGTAGTCACTATGATCCTTTGGAATATATAGAATAAATGAACACAGAATAAATGAACACATAAAATACATTGGAAAATCTAGGAGAAATGAACACACTCCTAGACACATAAAACTTACTAAGATTGAAACAGGAAGAAATCCAAAAACTGAACAGATCAATAATAAGTAAAAAGATCAAATCTGTAATAAAAAGTCTCCCAGTAAAGAAAAGCCCAGGACCTGACTTCACTGCTGAATTATATCAAACATTTAAAGAAGCACTAGTACCAATCCTACTCAAACTATTCTGAAAAACAGGGGACAATGGCACACTTCCAAACTCATTCTCAAAGCCAGTATTACTCTGATACCAAAACCAGACAAAGACACATTAAAAAAAGAAACTACAGGCCAACATCTCTGATGAACACTGCTGTGAAAATCCTCAACAAAATACTAGCAAACTAAACACAACAATGCATTAAAAATATCATTCATCATGACCAAGTGAGACTTATCCCAGGGATGCAAGGGTAGTTCAACATATGCAAATCAATCAATGTGATACATCATATCAACAGAATGAAGGGCAAAAATCATATAATTGTTTTAATTGATACCTAAAAAGCAGTTGATAGGCTGGGCACAGTGGCTCATGCCTGTAATTCCAGCACTTTGGGAGGCTGAGACAGGTGGATCATGAGGTGAGGAGTTCAAGACCAGCCTGGCCAAATGGTGAAACCAATGGTGAAACTGTCTCTACTAAAAATACAAAAATTTGCCAGGCGTGGTGGCACGCACCTGTAATCCCAGCTACTCTGGAAGCTGAGGCAGAGAATTGCTTAAACCCGGGAGGCAGAGGTTGCAGTGAGCTGAGATCACACCACTGCACTCCAGCCTGGGGGACAGAGCGAGACTCCATCTCAAAAAAAAAAAAAAAAAAAAAAAAAAACCCGGGAGGCAGAGGTTGCAGTGAGCTGAGATCACACCACTGCACTCCAGCCTGGGGGACAGAGCGAGACTCCATCTCAAAAAAAAAAAAAAAAAAAAAAAAAAAGCATTTGATGAAGTATAACATCTCTTCATAATAAAAAACCCTCAAAAAACTGGGTATAAAAGGAATACATCTCAACATAATATAAGCTATATATGACAGACCCATGCTGGTACATACTGAATGGGATAAAAAGTGAAGCTTTTTCTCTAAGATCTGGAACATGACAAAGATCTCCACTTTCACCACTGTTAACACAGTACTGGAAGTCCTAGCAAGAGCAATCACACAAAAGAAAAAAAATAAAGGGCATCTAACCTGCAAAAGAAAAAGTCAAATTATTTTTATTTGTAGACAATATGATCTTATATTTGGAAAAACCTAAAGACTCCCCCCTAAAATGATTAGAACTGATGAACAAATTCAGTAAAACTGCAAGATACAAAATCAAAATACAAAAATCAACAATTTGAAAAACAAATCAAAAAAGTAATCCCATTTACTATAGCCACGAATACAATTAAATACCCAGGAATTAACTAATATGTGAAATATATCTATAAAGAAAACTATATAACACTGATGAAAGAAATTGAAGAGGACACCAAAAATGGAAAGATATTCCATGTTCATGTATTAGCAGAATCAATATTGTTAAGATGTCCTTACTACCCAAAGCAATCTACAGATTCAATGCAATCTCTATCAAAATACCAATGGCATTCTTCACAGAAAGAGAAAAAATAATCCTAAAATTTATATGGAACCACAAAAGATCCTGCATAGCTGAAGTTATCCTAAGCAAAAGGAACAAAACCAGAAGAATCACATTACTTGACTTTAAATTATACTACAGAGCTATAGTAAACAAAATGGCATGTTACTGGCATAAAAACAGAAACACAGACCAAAGAAACAGAACAGAGAACCCACAAATAAATCCATATATATACAGTGAGCTCATTTTTGACAACGGTACCAAGAAATACACTGAGGAAAGGACAATCTCTTCAACAAAATGTGCTGGGAAAACTAGATATTCACATGCAGAACAACTAGACCCCTATTTCTCCCCATATACAAAAATCAAATCAAAATGGATTAGAGTCTTAAATCTAAGAACACAAACTATGAAACTACTATGAAACATTGGAAAACTCCAGGACGTTGGTTTGGGCAAAAATTTTCTTCAGTAATAACCCGCAAGCACAGGCAACCAAAGCAAAAATGGACAAATGAGATCACATCAAGTTGTAAAGTTTACGCACAGTGAGGGAAACAATCAACAAAGTGAAGAGACAATCAACAGAATGGGGGAAAATATTTGCAAACTACCCCTCTGACAAGGGATTAATAACCAGAATAGATAAGAAGCTCAAAAAACTCTGTAAGAAAGAATTTAATAATCTGATTTAAAATTGGGCAAAAGATATGAATAGGTGTTTCTCAAAAAAATGACATGCAAATGGCAAATAGGCATATGAAAAGATGTTCAAAATCATTGATCATAAGATAAATGCAAATCAAAACTACAATGAGGTGTCATCTCACTCTAGTTTAAATGGTTTATATCCAAAAGATAGGCAATAACAAATGCTGGTGAGGATGCGGAGAAAAGGGAACCCTTGTATACTGTTGGTGGGAATCTAAATTAGTACAAGAACTGTGAATAACAGTATTGAGGTTCCTCAAAAAACTAAAATTAGAGGTATATGATCCAGCAATCCCACTGCTGTGTATATACCCCAAAGAAAGGAAATCAGTATATTGAAGAGATATCTCTATTCCCACATTTATTGCAGCACTGTTCACAGTAGCCAAGATTTGGAAGCAGCCTAAGTGTCCATCAACAGAAGAATGGATAAAGAAAATGTGGTACATATACACAATGGAGTACCATTCATCCATACGTAATAATGAGATCCTGTTATTTGCAACAACATGGATGGAACTGGAGGTCATTATATTAAATGAAATAAGCCAGGCACAGAAAGACAAACATCACATGGTCTCACTTATTTGTGGGATATAAAAATCAAAACAATTGAACTCATGAACATAGAGTGTAGAAGTATGGTTACCAGAGTCTGGGAAGGGTAGCAGGGTGGTTGGGAGGAGGTAGGGATGGCTAAAAGATACCAAAAAAATAGAATAAATAAGACCCACTATTTGATAGCATAACAGGATGACTATAGTCAATAATTTAATTGTAATTTTAAAATAACTAAAAGAGTATAATTGGAATGTTTGTAACACAAAGGATAAATGCCTGAGGGCACGAACACCCCATTCTCCATGATGTCATTATTATTCATTGTATGCCTGTATCAAAACATCTCATGTGCCCCATAAATATATACATCTACTATGTACCCACAAAAATAAAAAAATAAAAAGTGAAAAGTAGTGTTTGGAAACTTTTAACAAGAATATGGTAATATTATCAGTTTACAAAAAAATGAAATTGAGCATGAATGCTCCAGGGAAGAATTTTTGTCCAACGTAGATTTCACATCAGTCTAGTTGACAAATATCTAATGAAGAAGAAAGAACATTTAACCATACACTGATGGACCTTGCTGTACAATGAGCCCAATTTAGTGGCTCATTTGGAAACCAAATTTTATGTAAGCCATCAAATAGGTAGAGTCACACACACATTTCCTCAGAACCACAAATGGATACTGCAAACGTACTAAGGACATCTGACCACATTTTCATCTCTTTAGCCAAACCAAGCCTATTATAATATCACCTTTGAATATTAAACCAACTAAACCACCATTTTCTTAGACTAAATGTTCAGTGGATGAAAGAGGAGAGACAAATAAGGAATTATGTTCCAGGTTTTTAAAGACTGCCAAGTTGTTTATTACTTCTCTGCAGATAGACCCAGGGTTTGACTGAGAACAGTGACCATGCAGACCCACACTCTACTAGAAACAACCAAATCTTGCCAAAATTTTCTAGATATTGTATGACTTGAGCCTGGACTTAATTATCTATGTTTCTCTAAAATGGTTCTTCATATCATGAGGTAAATCCTCGAGTACAAAAGCATTCTGCTCATACATATAAAACACAATTGCATGTATGTGAAACTAAGTCATTTTGATAAATGTAGCACTACCATTCAAGATGACTTTAATACTCTATAAGAATAACTGCATGAGGAAGGCAAGTAATATTTTTGTACAGTCAGACATTAAATCTTTTAATGAAATCATGGATTTTTGTGATAGTTCAACAGATAGTTGTTACAAGAAATATTCTTAAAAGACTTTGTGTTCCATTGTTATTAAATCTGTAATACAACACATGATAAAAATTCCCAATAGAGTCATAAGATTCTCAAGTCTCACTGCATGACAAGTACGTTCTGTTACACTTATAAACCTAGTATTAATAAGAAAGAACTTACACTAAATACTTACTAAGACATTTCTATGGAAAAATAAGAGGCAAAACTATGTCACCGAAAACAAGAAGCCTCAGCTTTAATAGTCACATCTATGCTGAAATAATACATCTATACAGTGAAAAAATAATTTTTATAAGAAATATTATAATAGATGTTTGCTTATGTCTAAACAATAGAACAAAGGTATCAAGATACAATTGTTTTTGAATACTACTTAATATATGATCAAATAGTAGTTTCTTAAACTGCTGTATGAAAATTTTCCGGGCAACTTTGTAAACTAATGCAAATATATGATAAAGAAGTAATAGCTGTTATTTATTCATAAGTTGTAGGAGAAATTTGAATATTCTTTCTTGAATATATTAAAAATGAAACACATTATTATTCAGAGACACAAGGAACCCCTTTATAATTCAACTATAGCAAGAACATAGCAAAGTCTTTTGTTAAAAAGCAATCACAGTATGTAACATTCTTTGGGAGAGGGGAGATTGACATTCACATAGGGCCTAAAATGGACGAAGTAATATGTTTGGGGCTTTACATTCTAACTTTGTGAATAAAATTTTTGGAGGTAGAAATTTGCCCAAGATCATACAACTAATGATTAGAGGAGTCCAGTTGAGAACACAGTTCTTTCTGACTCTGCAGGCCAGGCATTTTGCAACATGTACATCCCAAATGTAACTTTCAATCTAGCTGCCGCAGACAGAACAAGAAGATTCAGCGTGACACGCTTTTAGAATACCAGTCTACTGTCAATGAGTTTTTAATTTCTGTCCTTTGCTAACTCATTTTAACACAAATAATTCTCTTCCTTTATTTCCCATTCTTCTGTCATAAATGATCACCATTTGTGTCAGAAATATAAATTACTTTCAGTATCCACACCGTTCTTTATTAACCTATGTTCCCTTTTAAGTTCAAATGGAAACTTTCTTTTCTAGATATGAATCCCCCTTCCACTCCATTGAAGTGCGGTTTTCCTCCAAAATACTGTATTTTTCACAAATTAATAGCCCCACAAAGTGTTTTTCTTTGATCAGCATGCAGCCCTTAAATATAGTTTGAGACTGCAATTCCCCATCTTATGTGCCATTTCACCAGAGGACGACAGCATAAGAACCATATTGCATTTGGATTTTAAACAGCCTGAATCTAAAAGGCAAAAACCCTGATGTTCTTCCAGGGAGCAATTCCTCTGAGTCATTCCTGAGAAGTGGCTTTGCATCACTGCTCTACTGAAACATAATGATCTTCAGATGCCTCATTCGCTCAAAGGAAACATCGTTAATTGGAGAAAGTAGAAGAAAAAACAATCGGGCCAAGTTTTCTCAGAGGATCTTAATCTGCATTTCACAGCTCATTTATAAGTCCCTCTCTTCTCCTACCCTTTCCACAGCTCCCACAAATACATACAAACATAACTTTTTTTCCCCAGAAATTAGTCATTTATGAAGAAACCAATTATTTTTACCATAGTATTTTATAATTGCATTTTAAAAGCCAGTGTTGTTATAAGCACTGCAATCAAATACCAACATGTGAGAGCATCAGATGATTTGCCCAGGATTCTCCATCATGTTAGTGGTCAAACTGAGCAATGAACCTGATTTGCTTCAAGGACTGTCTGTTCAGTCCTGCTCATGTCTTAAAAAGAGAGAGAAAATCAAATTCTTCATGTCAAATCTAAATCCCTAACACAGAATATGGGCCACTGTCATCTTTCACCTAGACAAATTTCACAGCACTCTAACAGGTCACTCTGAAACTCCTTTTGGCATCCACACATGACCTTTTGCCATGTAAATCATAACATGCCAGTCACACCAAGGTTAAAATCCCTTCATGGGCTATGAGACCCTAAATGATAATCTGGTCCCTGGCTACCTCTGAAGCACTATTTCCACCAGGTCTCCCATTTGACTCATGCACTTTCACAACAATGACTTTCTTCCCAATTATTATGGTTTTTATTTTTTGTAATTTGTTTTTCTATTTGCAGACCATGTTGCAATACCTGGGCTCTTGCACTTGTGTTTTCTTTCCCTAGAATGCACTTCTTCAAGGTATTTAATTGTCTCTCTCTCCTCTTTCTCCTGTTTCATAAAATCTGACTTCTCTGATCATTTCCATCATTCTCTATCCCCTTATTCTGCATTAGCTTTTCTTCCTAGCACTTATCACTAACTGACAGAATACATATGTGTTTAGTATCTCTTACATTAGAATGTAAGCTCCATGAGGGCAAAGATATTGTGTGTTCCCACAGTCCCAATACCAGGAATACTGACAGAAACATAGAGGAGTTCAAAAGTGTATGTTGGATTCATTAATTAATGGATGAAAAATAAAATGAGTCAAAATTATTTAGAAACTAAAATTCTAAGTCATGTTTCAGTTCCTAGATTTTAATATTCTTTACTTATCATCATTTCCCCCTTCTTCTGAAATATTTTCTCTTTTGAAATGCTGCCCCTTTGCCAATTGCATGTAAACTCAGTAAAACTGCCTGTCAAAGGGCACTTCTCCCTCAGCATTTATTCAAGGGTGGGTATAAAAATAAACTACAACAATCTGACTCCCTATCCCTGAAATTAAGCTGTGAGCCTAGTAACTCCCAAATGCAAGTAGTTGTAACTGATTGATTCCAGTGTTGTACCTTGAAGAGACTTCCAGAGTTGCCTTAGAGTTTGTATCTCCAGCATCTAGTTGTTGTTCTTCTATTCTGAGAGCTACCTGATATTCTTCCATCTGTCCCCCCTTCCCTTTTTGTTTATTGTGATTGTTTTAATGAACCAGAGTCAGTTTCTGTTGCTTATGATCCAAAATCCTAACTAATACACATGATAAGCTTATATTCAATCTGATATGCCTTAAAAAACAAAATTTTAAAAAGGGGCCTCCCAACTCTCTTTTTCTCACTCTGTCTCCTCTCTCCCTCCCACTGTCTGTTTAGTAATCCTCTGGTTGCTCAAATCTCTCCTTTATGGTGGCACCACCCCCATGATTTTAATGCCTCTCCCAATGATTTTAATGTTTCAAAATTATTTATTATTTTTCCCATCTATCAGTATTTACTCAGAGCTGCTGACATGAAGTGGAAGTTAAGATGTAATTAACATGATTAAGCTATAGCACACCAAGTTATCAATAGGTAATAGTATCTTAATCTTATCAGATATCTTTGCATTTCTTTTTTTTTTTTTTTTTTTTTTTTTGAGATGGAGTCTTGCTCTGTCACCAGGCTGGAGTGCAGTGGCCCAATCTCGGCTCGCCTCCCGCGTTCAAGCAATTCCTGCCTCAGCCTCCCGAGTAGCTGGGACTATAGGCACATGCCACCACACCCAGCTAATTTTTGTATTTTTAATAGAGATGGAGTTTCACCAGGTTGGCCAGGATGGTTTCCATCTCTTGACCTCATGATCCACACTCCTTGGCTTCCCAAAGTGCTGGGATTACAGGTGTGAGCCACTGCGCCCAGCCTGCATTTATTTAAAAAGTTACTGTGACTCAAAATGTTTTTTTTTTTTTAATTTTAGTCAGGGTGACAAAGTGAAAAGTTTTAAAGTATAGAAGGTAACATTTTCAAAAGTTCATTAGATAACATCACTTAAACAGCCCGTCAATCTGATCATGGTTTAATTAGTCAGAGATAAACAAAAGGCCACAGACCTGACAACTTATCCATCAATAAATAGATTTTAATTGAATTACTTTAGTGTTGTGTTTATAAAGCATACAACCCCATTGCTAATGCAATTAACAGAGTCAGAAATAGACTGATGATGTTACTAAATGTGACTAAGGGAACACCCAATCCCCTTTCCTTAAATGTTGGGAGTGGGGGCAGAATCTATGATTTGGGAATACTGCAAAACCCGATGGGATATATAGGCCCCTGATTAGGTTATATCACACTTCACCTAGTCAGAATAACAGAGAGAGAAACAGACTCTCCCTTGCTAGCTTTGAAAATTTAAGCTTTTGTGTTGCTAACAGAGCTTGAGAAAGTGCCACATGGCAAGGATCTAGGGAGTCTCTAGTAGAAAGAGGGGCCCCCTGCTGAAAGCCATCATGAAAGTGGGGATGTCAGTCCTACAACCACAAGGAACTGAATCCTGCCAACAACCATTTGAGCTTGGAAGAGGATCCTATGCTCCAGAAATGGTCACAGCCCAGTGGACACTCTGATGATCTGTGAGACACTGAGCAGAGGACCAGATAAACCTCACCCTGAGAGATACTAAATTATGTTGTTGTAAGCCACTAAGTTTATGTTAATTAATTACAGAACAATAAGAAGCTAATACATTAGTGTCCCAAGGAGAAGAGGAGAGAAAAGGCATGTGCTATAGAACAAACATAGATTGTGGATTTAGTGCATACATTGATCTTTTACTTACTATTAATAGTTTGTCATAGCTACCTCAAAGCATTGATGTGAGGATTAAATCACAAATTTTTTATAGAGAGCTTAAGGCTTTCTGTTAATATTAAACATCTCATAAAAATGAATTTCCTTCTCATTTACTCTCCTACTGTAATTTGGTGGCTGTCACAGCCCACCCATTGACAGCAGTGAGTTTTGCCATGTCAAAGTCCTGGCTGCCCAATTCTGAGCCACTGAAAGGGGGGACGTATAGTACATCAGGATCTTCTCTACTCATCCATTTTCTCACACATGAGTGAGGAAGTGGGTTCTGGAAACTGATACTGACCCAACATCTATTGTCCTGGGTGTTTGGAAACAGGCCATTAAATAGCATCCATGGAGGTCCACAAAAGAATGTAGCAAAGTAAAGTAACTTGTCTATTATTCACTGTGCTTGGACCACCTTCTACCATGGCTCCTGCTTTTCGCGGTAGTCCACTGTTAAGAAGGTACTAGGCTTCTTACCCATTTGTAGTTTCCATCCTGACATTGACCTAGATTTACCTCCTGGTATTTTGACATTGCAGTGCAGAATCATAGCTGCTTGGAAGTCCCTGTTACTGACCTCCCACATCTCAGATCAGAAACTTTGTTATCTGGAAACTGCTATCTCACTATAGTAAAAAAGACAGGAATTACCACTGCCATTAAAACTCTTACAGCCCAGCACAACCTGAAATCAGCAGAGTGATTCATGGGTTTCTGGAAACTAAAATTTTGGAATCTGATGCAATATTAATCAACATTAGAGTTTAATGGAATTAAAGTGATTGTAGCATAGTATGCCTTAGATCACTTTCAGTGTTTTAGCGATTTTCTACCACTTAAAGAATATTTTTAACGAATTTAGTGAGCATATTCTAGTTGAATTTCCTAATTTTTTCAGCTTACAAGTTTAATTTTACTCTTCTATGACAGGTGGTTAAGATTTCCTTCTATAATTCCCTCATACCTGCTTTACTAAAAAGTGATTAGTATTCATTGTTTCCTTTTTGTTATTATAAGTTAAGAGTATAAAAATCTGACCATTCTCAAATTTTCTGGAAGCTCTGATCATATTTCCTCAAATTTGCAATCATAGTCATGTGTCACTTAACAACGGGGATACATTCTGAGAAATCTGTCATCATGCGATTTTGTCATTCTGTAAACATCATAGAGTACACTTAAACCTGGATCGTGTAGTCTACTACACACCTAGGCCAGCTGGTATAGCCTGTTGTTCCTAGGCTACAAACCTGCAAAACATGTTACTGTACTGTATACTGTAGGCAGTTATACCACAATGGTATTTTTGTATCTAAACAAAGAAAAAGTTCATTCTTCAGAACATAAATGTCAAATTTTTAATTACTCATTCCCTGCTATTGATTTTTTTCTGAAAACATTCCTAGTCTTGACACTTTTGGTTTTGTTCCTGTTATCAATCTCAATTCTAATATCACATATTCTAGTTGAATTTCCTATTTTTTCAGCTTACAAGTTTAATTTTACTCCCCTATGACAGGTGGTTAAGATTTTCTTCTATAATTTTCATGGTACTCGTTTAATTTTATTCACAAATCCAATACCATCTTTGGTAATCAGCCTACACTCAGATTTAATCTTCTCCTCCACACCCCTCCTTCTTCAGGCAGTTGTGTCCCTATCAGAGCACAAAGTATTCTAGAAAATTAAAAGGAATGGGGCCGGGTGCGGAAGCTCACACCTGTAATCCCAGGCCGAGGGAGGCCGAGGCAGGCAGATCACCTGAGGTCAGGAGTTCGAGACCACCCTGGCCAACATGGTGAAACCCTGTCCCTACTAAAAATACAAAAATTAGCCAGGCGTGGTGGCAGGTGCCTGTAATCCCAGCTACTTGGGGGGCTGAGGCAGGAGAATCACTTGAACCCAGGAGGCGGAGGTTGCAGTGAGTTGAGATTGCGCCATTGAAGCAGAGGTTGCAGTGAGCCGAAACTGTGCCATTGCACTCCAGCCTGGGGCACAAGAGCAACAGTCTCAAAAAAAAAAAAAAAAAAAGTAACATGTGGTAAGTTTATTTAAAGACTCCTGGATGAGGAAGACAGTTTGTGAAGAGCCTTCCGATAACCCAAGCTAAGGACATCTTTAACAGAATTTTGAAATATCAGTAAATAATATATATTTTGCTTGCAGTTTAATTTTAAAATAATGGGTCACAAGTTTAGCATTATATCCGTGATACACCATTGAAGACTGAATTCATGAAGACTGTATTTATATAGAAACAAAGTCTCCAGTGTGTCCATCTCTCCTGAATCAACCATGAGTGCTGTATCATAACTAAAGTACACTTACCCACAAACAATAAACTTTAAAAAATAAAGCCATTCAAAAGAATTACTCAATTAGAAGAAGGAATATATTTTAAATACTTACAATTTCTTTAAGATAGCTAGGAATTCTTCAAATTTCTCTGTGGCTCTTTTTGGTCTATATAAAATATGGCCACCATGTGCTCTCTGAACATGGACAGCTATATTGTTAGAATCATCAGGTTGTTGATGTTGACTTTCCTCTTTGCCTTCATTGAGTTCCCTGAACAAGAAAATATAGTATTTTATGCTGTTGTATACTGCATAAAAATTATTTACAGGGACTTTTACTATATTGCAGGAGTATAAATGCACTGTTTTGAGAAAATTTGTCATTTTCAGAACATATTCTTTTTAAATGCATTAGAATGTTTCAATCTCCATAGTACAGTTATATATGTCATTCTGTTACATGTAGAACTTGGAATATATGAAATATTTTCAATGTATAGAATTTGATTATATGTATTATAACTGTCCTGAGCAATTGAAACACCTTTCATAATATATTAGGCTTATGTTATTTAGGAAAATATTTCAAGTCAATGGCTAACATCATTTATACTCACACATTTGTTTTTCAGTGTTTTTTTTTAGCACCAAGGATAAAATTATATTATTTAACTTTTATTTACCACTGGTAATCTATAAACATCTTGGAAGATAGCCACCATATCTTATTCTTGTGCTATGGTATGTTATACACCTAAATCCCTAAGAGATGTACAAATAAATGACCATTTTCCATTCATATTTCTAGAATTAAGCATTTCTATTAAAAGGTCATTGAAAACTCATAGGCGAGAAATACAACAAGTGCTGTCTGTGTTTAAGAAAAAAATAGTAAGGCAGGTTGCAGAAATGAATCTGGATTACATCTTGATAATAGACCTTTAATTATATACATAGGAAGATTAAAATTAAATATAAGATATGTGGAATCATAACAGCAATACTAAATTATCACATTAATATATAACTTGTTGCATTCTTAAATGTGCTGGCTACTCTGGTAACCTTATATGCACATCATCCTGTTAACACTAACCATGTGATATGGTTTGGCTGTGTCCCCACCCAAATCTCATCTTGAATTGTAGCTCCCATAATTCCCATGTATCACAAGAGGGACCCAGTGGGAGATAAAGGAATCATGGGGGCAGATCTTTCCTGGACTGTTCTCATGATAGTGAGTAAGTCTCACAAGATCTGATGGTTTTATAAAGGAGAGTTCGCCTACACAAGGTCTCTATTTGCCTGCTCCTATGTAAGACATGACTTTGCTCATTTGCCTTTGAACATGATTGTGAGGCCTCCCCAGCCATGTGGAACTGTGAGTCTATTAAACCTCTTTCCTTTATAAATTTCCCAGTTTTGGGTATGTCTTTATTAGCAGTGTAAGAACAGATGAATACAGTAAATTGGTACCAGTAAAGTGTGGAAGTGACTTCGGAACTGGGTAACAGGCAGAGTTTGCAACAGTTTGGAAGGCTCAGAAGAAGACAAGAGGATGTGGGAAATTTTGTAACTTCCTAGAGACTTGTCAAATGGCTTTGAGCAAAATGCTGATAGTGATATGGGCAAAAAAGTCTAGGCTGAGTTGGTCTCAGATGGAGATGAGGAACTTGTCAGAAACTTAAATAAAGGTGACTCTTGCTATGTTTTAGCAGAGACTGGCAGCATTTTGCATCTTCCCTAGAGATCTATAGCACTTTGAACTTGAGGGAGATGATTTAGAGTATCTAGCAGAAGAAATTTCTATGCTGCAAAGTGTTCAAGAGCTGATTTGGGTGCTATTAAATGCATTCAGCTTTATGTATTCACAAAGATATGGTTTGGAATTGGAACTTATGTTTAAAAGGGAAGCAGAGCATAAAAGTTCAGAAAATTTGCAGCCTGAAAATGCAGTAGAAAAGAAAAACCTATTTTCTGAGGAGAAATTCAAGGTGGCTGCAGAAATTTGCATAAGTAACAAGGTGCCAAATGTTACTCTCCAAGACAATGGGGAAAATGTCTCCAGGCCATGTCAGAGATCTTCATGGCAGCCCCCACCATCACAAGCCACAGGGCCTAGGAGGAAAAAATGGTTTCATGGGTCTCGCCCAGAGCCTTGCTGCTTTGTGCAGTCTCAGGACTTGGTGCCCTGTGTCCCAGCCATGGCCAAAAGGGGCCAACGTAGAGGTCAAACCGTTGCTTCAGAGGGTGCAAGTTTACACATGGTGTTGAGCCTGCAGGTGCACAGAAGTCAAAAATTGAGGTTTGGGAACCTCTGCCTAGATTTCAGAGTCTCATAGGCAGAAGGGACCTGCCTTGTCTCAGATGAGACTTTGGACTCTGGACTTCTGAGTTAATGCTGAAATGAGTTAAGACTTTGGGGGACTGTTGGGAAGGTACAATTGGTTTTGAAATGGGAGGACATGAGATTTTGGAGGGGCCAGAGTCAGAATGATATGGTTTAGCTGTGTCCCCACCCAAATCCCATCTTGAATTGTAGCTCCTTAATTCCCACGTGTTGTGGGAGGGACCCAGTGGGAGGTATCTGAATCATGGGGGCAGGTCTTTCCCATGCTGTTCTCATGATAGTAAGTCTCATGAGATCTGATGGTTTTATAAAGGACAGTTCTCCTACACAAGTTCTGTCTTTGCCTGCTGCCATGTAAGATGTGACTTTGCCCCTCCTCCACCTTCTACCATGATTGTGAGTCCTACCTCAGCCATGTGGAACTGTTAGTCAACTAAACCTCTTTCCTTTATAAATTACTCAGTCTCAGGTATATCTTTATTAGCAGTGTGAGAACAGATGAATACACAATACACCATGTGAGTAGGCAATATTATCCTCAGTTTATAAAATAAGGAAATTGTAACTAAAAGAGTTTATATAAATTTTCTAAACTCTCACAGCTAGTAGAGCTGGAAAAACTTTTTGCATCCTTCTGCTTTTCACAATTACCTGTACCTTTGAATTTTTAATAAAACTTGATACTGGGTAAAATCTGATTCCTGTAAGTCTAATTTGGTAACCTAATTCTTTAGATTATTCTTAATCCCTATAGATTTTTTTTTTTTTTTTTTTGAGATGGAGTCTTGCTCTGTCACCTAGGCTGGAGTGCAGTGGTACGATCTCAGCTCACTGCAAGCTCTGCCTCCTGGGTTCACACCATTCTCCTGCCTCAGCCTCCTGAGTAGCTGGGACTACAGGCGCCTACCACCACACCTGGCTAATTGTTTTTTGCATTTTTAGTAGAGATGGGGTTTCACAGTGTTAGCCAGGATGGTCTTGTTCTCCTGACCTCGTGATCCACCCACCTCTGCCTCTCAAAGTGCTGGGATTACAGGTGTTAGCCACCATGCCTGGCCTCAATCCATATAGATTTTTTTCCAAACAAATTCTACATGTTCCATGATAAGATTTTTCCAAAATACATAACATTTGTATTGTCATGTTACTTGTATGTGTGATAATATTTCTGTATCTAATGTAATTAGGAGTTTTTAATTTTATAATTTGAATGATCACTGTGGTTGCATAGAAAAATTTTTTCCCTTTTTCTTTAGTAATAAGCTATATTACGTAGCTCTCCCTTTTCAGTTGGCTATCTTAAGGATTTTTCAGTTAGTAATAAAGAGGCACAGATAAAACAAATTAGAAAGAAATATATTGCTTTAAATGCATTTTTTTTTGAGAAGGGATCTTTGTCACCCAGGATGGAGTGCAATGGCATGATCTCAGCTCACTGCAACCTCTGCCTCCCAGCTCATGCAATCCTCCCACCTCACCCTCCCAAGTAGCTGGTACTACAGGTGCAAAACACCAATGCCCAGCTAATTTTTTTTAAGAGATGGTTTTTGCCATGTTGGCCAGGTTAGTCTCAAACTCCTGAGCTCAAAGTGATCCACTCCTGCCTCCACCTCCCAAAGTGCTAGGATTACAGGCATGAGTCACTATGCTCAGCCCCAAATGCATGTTTTTTAAAAAAGAAAAGCTGATAATTCATGAGCTAAGATCAGATCTCAAAAAATGAGAAAAAGAAAGAGTAAGTTATACTCAAAATAAGTATAAGGAAATATATAATAAAGGATAAAAATTGTTAGAGTAATAAAACCAAAATTTAGTTATTTAGAAATCTAATAATCTTGCAAAAATAATGTATAATAAATTTGGCAAAAAATTTTTGAGAACAAAAACAGAAAAGGCAGACATAAATTACATCAGAAATGGAAAAGAAGACTTCAACACAGATCCCACAGATAGAAAAAGATAGAAAGATTATATTATGAAAACTTCATGCCAATAAATTTGAAAATTTAGATGAACAAATACTTACAAAACTACAAATTACCAAACTGACACAAGTAGAAATATAACATTTTAATTGTTCAAATATTTTAAAGAATACAACTAAGAACCTTCCTACAAAGAAAACTCCTTGTCAAAATGGTCCTATTGGTGAATTCTAACAAACTCTTAATAAATAAACCCAGCCAGGCATGTCGGCTCATGCCTGTAATCCCAGCACTTTGGGAGGACCAGGCAGGTGGATTACGAGGTCAGGAGATCGAGACCATCCTAGCTAACACAGTGAAACCCTGTCTCTACTAAAAATACAAAAAAATTAGCCAGGCATGGTGGTGGGTGCCTGTAGTCCCAGCTACTCGGGACACTGAGGCAGGTGAGTGGTGTGAACCCAGGAGGTGGAGCTTGCAGTGAGCTGAGATCACGCCATTGCACTCCAGCCTGGGCAACAAAGCAAGACTCTGTCTCAAAATAAATAAATAAATAAATAAATAAATAAATAAACAAACAAACAAACCCAAATGCTTCCAGAAAAATACAAAAGTCATATGTAGTTTCCAGCAAGTTTTATGAGGCCAGCCTAGCCTTGATATCAATAGCAGGTAAGGAAATTACCAGAAAGGAAGATTACAAGCCAGTGTCACTGATTATAGATGCAAAATTTCTAAACAAAATATTAACACTAAATCCAGGGATAATTTTAGAAGATAACAAAGCCTACGCTATTTGGGAATATATCAGGAATACTATTCCAGGATTGTTATTTAACCCATTAACAAAATACGTAAGGAAAAAATAATGGGTATCTAAAAAAACACCTCATATGGTTCAATATCTATTTGTAATACAAACTGTTAGCAAACTAGAAAGAGAAATGAAACTTAATATGACAAAATTATTTACACAAAATACAGCAAATATTATACTGAAGGTGAAATTTTGAAAACTTTGCCCCTGGAATCAGAAACGTCATGGATATTGCTTTAATTGATTCAACATTCTAGTGAAGGTCCTAAGCATTAAAATTAAAATAACTACAAAATGTAAGAATTGGAAAGGACAAGTAAAGCTGTTATTTTTTGCAGATGACGTGATCTTATATATGGAATATCCAAAAGAATCCACAGATATTATAACTGACAATAAAATTGGTATAAAAGTTCAATATACAAAAATCAGCCATACTTCTGTCGTTATGTTCCTTACATATGAATGCACGAAGGCACTGATAGAATAATCAGTTCCATAAATATGTAATTTAAAGCTGTTAAAAATAATATGAAAATTTATATGTGTTGTGAAAAATAATCATAGGTACCATTACAATATAAAAATGGGGGACCTACTTTGCTTGCCAGGAAAAGATGTTATATGTCAGGGACAGAAGGATTTAAGCTGAGACATAAAAAAATGAAAAGGAGCTAGACAAAGAATATTCCAGGGAGAAGGTATCAGGCATTCTCCTGTAAAATAAACTTCTATAGATACTAAATTTTTGTTTAAAAATGTTTTTATCCTATCAAGTAGCCACTGTACAATATATGAATAGACTATGAATCTGTTCATGCATTTTGGCATAACATCCAATTATTTATGGATTAATTTTTATTCCAGATAAATAATAGAGATACATAAAATAATGTACTCAATTGGATTGTTACACTATAGAACTAGTAATTAAAAAGGCAATTTTTCCTTTCTCTGATGTTGACATTTTAAGGTTTTTGGTATTGTTTATATTAATTATTAAACAAATAAAAAAGAATATTCATAATATATTGCAAGTTAAAGAGTAACAAAAATGAATCTTAATGTACCCACCCAGGTTTTTAAAAATGGAACCTTACCAGCTACTGTACAACTATTTCTCTAGGTGACATGTCCCTCATTCCAAGATAAGTAACCATTATCCTGAATTTTGTTGCTAGTATTCTCTTGGTTTTCATTACAGATTTATCAAAGATATATGTATTCATTTACAAAGACCATTTTAGTTTTTTATATTTTAAACTTTATAGAAATGAAGTGATTCTTATGGATTCTGTAACTTGCTTTTCTTGTTGTATTCAACATTGTGTACATGAGATTTAATGACTAATTCATTCATTTTACTGCTTTATGAGATTTCATTATATGTATGTACCACAAAGACTTTGGGGGGAGTTTGTGTGTTTTGTTTTTTCATTTTTCTAGTCTGTAGTGAATTGGATTTTTGTTAAGTTTGTTCGGTTTTTTGTTTTGTATACAAACTTGGCTACTATGACCAGTCTTATATAAGTAAGACTTCTCCAAGAGATGCTTAAGAGTAAAAGGTTATTCCCGAAGCTAGGATATGGAGAGCCTCAGAAATTATAGACTCCAAAATTGGGGGGTATATCCTTCCTATCCATATGATAAGAAGTGAGGACAAAAGGCATCACTCTTCCAATGCTGGAGATCCCTTCCCTCCCTCAGGGTATGGCCCTCCACTCCGACCTTTCTCCGTCCTCTTTGTGGTCTAAGAGGAAAGGCAAGGGTGCAGGTTTTCGAGAATGTGTCGGTAAGGGCCACTAAATACGACCTTCCTTGGTCCTCTTTGTGATCTAGGAGGAAAACAAGTGTTTCCGCTGCTGCTTCAGTGAGCGCAACTATTCCAAACAGCAGGGTCCAGGGACCATTGCAGGTTATTGGGCGGGGAAGAAAAAAAAAACAGAACAAAACCATAGGCAGTTTTTTTTCTTTCAGATGGGAAACACTCAGGCATCAAGAAGCTCACCCTTGAAATGAATCCATTGGGAACAATTTGACCCTCAAGCCCTGAAAAAGAAGCTGCTTATTTTTTTTCTGCACTATGGCCTGGCCCCAATATTCTCTCTCTGATGGAAAAAAAATGGCCACCTAAGGGAAGTATAAATTACAGCTTTCCTGCAGCTTGACCTTTTCTGTAAGAGGGAAGGCAAATGGAGTGAAATACCTTATGTCCAAGCTTTCCTTTCATTGAAGGATAATCCACAACTATGCAAAGTTTGCAATCTACATCCCACAGGAGGACCTCTCAGTTTACCTTCATATCCTAGCCTCCCTACAGCTCCCCTTCCTGTTAGTGATAAGCCTCCTCTAATCTCCCCCACCCAGAAGGAGACAAGCAAAGAAATCTCCAAGGGACCAAAAAACCCCCTGGGCTATCGGTTATGTCCCCTTCAAGCTGTAGGGGGAGGGGAATTTGGCCCAACATGGATACGTGTCCCTTTCTCCCTCTCTGACTTAAAGCAGATCAAGGTAGACCTGGGGAAGTTTTCAGATAATCCTGATAGGGATATAGATGTCCTACAGGGTCTAGGGCAAACCTTCGACCTCACTTGGAGAGGTGTCATGCTATTATTAGATCAAACCCTGGCCTTTAATGAAAAGAATGTGGCTTTAGCTGCAGCCCGAGACTTTGGAGATACCTGGTATCTTAAGTAAATGACAGAATGACAGCCAAAGAAAGGGACAAACTCCCTACTGGTCAGCAAGCTGTCCCCAGTATTGATCCCCATTGGGACCTAGACTCAGATCATGGAGACTGGAGTCTCAAACATCTGTTGACCTGTGTTCTAGAAGGACTAAGTAGAATTAGTAAAAAGCCCATGAATTATTCAATGATGTCCACCATAACTCAGGGAAAGGAAGAAAATCTTACTGCTTTCCTCAAGCAGCTAGGGGAGGCCTTAAGAAAATATACTCCCCTGTAACCTGACTCCCTTGAGGGTCAATTGATCCTAAAAGATAAGCTTATTACCGAATCAGCCACAGGTACCAGGAGAAACCTCCGAAAGCTAGTCCTGGGCCCTGAACAAAATTTGGAGGCATTATTAAACCTGGCAACCTTGGTGTTCTATAATAGGGACAAAGAGGAAGGAACAGGCTGAAAAGGAAAAGCAAGATAAGAGAAAGGCCACAGCCTTAGTCATGGCCCTCAGACAAACAAACCTTTGTGGTTCAGAAAAGACAGAAAACGGAGTAGGCCAATCACCTAGTAGGGCTTGTTATCAGTGTGGCTTGCAAGGACACTTAAAAAAAAATGTGCAATGAGAAATAAGCCACCCCCTTGCCCATGTCCACTATGCCGAGGCAATCACTGGAAGGTGCACAGCCCAAGAGGACAAAGGTTCTCTGGGCCAGAAGCCCCCAACCAGATGATCCAACAACAGGACTGAGGGTCCTCAGGGCAAGTGCCAGCTCATGTCATCACCCTCACTGAGCCCCAGGTAAGTTTAACCACTGAGGGCCAGGAAATTGACTTCTTCCTGGACACTGGCGTGGCCTTATCAGTGTTAATCTCCTGCCCTGGACCTTGTCCTCAAGGTCCATTACCATCTGAGGAATCCCGGGACAGCCTGTAACCAGGTATTTCTCCCACCTCCTCAGTTGTAAGGAGACTTTGCTCTTTTCACATGCCTTTCTTGTTATGCCTGAAAGTCCCACACCCTTATTAGGGAGGGACATATTAGCCAAAGCTGGAGCTATTATCTACATGAATATGGGGAATAAGTTACCCATTTGTTGTCCCCTACTTGAGGAGGGAAACAACCCTGAAGTCTAGGACTTGGAAGGACAATTCAGAAGGGCAAAAAATGCCCACCCAATCCAAATCAGACTAAAAGACCCCACCGCTTTTCCTTACAAAGGCAATATCCCCTAAGCCCTGAAGTTTGTAAAGGATTACAGGATATTGTTAAACATTTAAAAGTTCAAGGCTTAGTAAGAAAATGCAGGAGTCCCTGCAACACCCCAATTCTAGGAGAACAAAAACTGAACAGTCAATGGAGACTAGTGCAAAATCTTAGACTCATCAATGAGGGAGTAATTCCGCTATATCCAGCTGTAACCAACCTCTATACCCCGCTCTCTCAAATACCAGAGGAAGCAGAATGGTTCACTGTTCTGGACCTCAAGGATGCCTTCTTCTGCATTCCTCTGCACTCTGACTCCCAGTTTCTCTTTGCCTTTGAGGATCCCACAGACCACATGTCCCAACTTATGTGGACAGTCTTGTCCCAAGGATTTAGGGATAGCCCTCATCTGTTTGGTCATGCACTGGCCCAAGATCTAGGCCATTTCTCAAGTCCAGGCACTCTGGTCCTTCAGTATGTGGATGAATTACTTTTGGCTCCCAGTTCGGAAGCCTCCTGCCAGCAGGCTACTCTAGATCTCTTGACCTTTCTAGCTAATCAAGGGTACAAGGCATCTAAATTAAACACCCAGCTCTGCCTACAACAAGTCAAATATCTAGGCCTAATCTTAGCCAGAGGAAGCAGAGACCTCAGCAAAGAACAAATACAGCCTATACTGGCTTGTCCTTGCTGTAAGACATTAAAACAGTTGCGGGGGTTCTTTGGGATCACTGGCTTTTGCCAACTATGGATCCCTGGATACAGCGAGATGGCCAGGCCACTCTATACTCTAATCAAGGAGACCCAGAGGGCAAATACTCATCTAGGAGAATGGGAACCAGAGATGGAAACAGCCTTCAAAACCTTAAAGTAGGCCCTAGTACAAGCTCCAGCCTTAAGCCTTCCCACAGGACAAAACTTCTCTTTATATGTCACAGAGAGAGTGGGAATAGCTCTTGGAGTCCTTACTCAGACTTGTGTGACAACCTCACAGCCAGTTGCATACCTAAGTAAGGAAATTGATGTAGTAGCAAACGGCTGGCCTCACTGTTTACGGATAGTTGCAGGAATGGCCATCTTAGTATCAAAGGCTATCAAAATAATACAAGGAAAGGATCTCACCATCTAGACTACTCATGATGTAAATGGCATACTAGTTGCCAAAGGAAATTTATGACTATCAGACAACTGCCTGCTTAGATACCAAGCACTACTCCTTGAGGGACTGATGCTTCAAATTCGCATGTGTGCAGCCTTCAACCCTGCTATTTTTCTCCCAGAGGATGGGGAACCAATCGAGCATGACTACCAACAAACTGTTGCCCAGACTTATGCTGCCTGAGAGAATCTCTTAGAAGTCCCTTTAGCTAATCCTGACCTTAACCTATATACCAATGGAAGTTCATTTGTGGAGAGTGGGATATGAAGGGCAGGTTATGCCATAGTTAGTGATGTAACAGTACTTGAAAGTAAGCCTCTTCCCCCAGGGACCAGCGCCCAGTTAGCAGAACTACTGGTGCTTACCTGAACCTTAGAACTGAGAAGGGAAAAAAGAATAAATGTGTCTACAGATAGCAAGTATGCTTCTCTAATCCTACATGCCCATGGTACAATATGGAAAGAAAGGGAGTTCCTTACCTCTGAGGGAACCCCCATTAAATACTACAAAGAAATCATGGAGTTATTGCATGCAGTGCAAAAACCCAAAGAGGTGGCAGTCTTACACTGCCAAAGCCATCAAAATGGTGAAGGAGAAAAGGCAGAAGAAAACCATTGGGCAGACGCTGACGCCAAAATTGCTGCCAGGCAGAACTTCCCATTAGAAATACCTATGGAAGGACCCTTGGTATGGAACAACCCTCTCCAAGAGATTAAGCCCCAGTATTTCCCGACTGAAAAAGAATGGGGACTTTCACAGGGGGATAGTTTTCTCCCCTCAGGGTGGTTAATGACAGAAGAGAGTAAGGTACTCATACCCAAAGCCAGCCAGTGGAAAATACTTAAGACTCTCCACCAAACTTTTCATATGGGTATTGAGAACACTCATCAAATGGCCAAATCCCTATTTACAGGGCCAAATCTCCTACAGACCATCTGACAAGTTGTCAAAGCCTGTGATGTGTGCCAAAACAATAATCCCTTGGTCCCTCATAAGGCCCCTCTAGGGGAACAAAAAATAGGGCACTATCCCGGAGACAACTGGCAGTGAGACTTCACCCATATGCCTAAGTCAAGGGGATTTCAATACTTGTTGGTCTGCGTTGATACCTTCACAAATTGGATAGAAGCCTGCAAACAGAGAAGGCTCAGGAAGTAGTTAAAGTCCTAATTCATGAAATAATTCCTAGATTTGGGCTCCCCCAAAGCTTACAAAGTGACAATGGTCTGGCTTTTAAAGTCATGGTAACTCAGGGAATTTCCAGGGCGCTAGGGATACAATATAACCTTCACTGTGCCTGGAGACCACAATCCTCAGGGAAGGTCAAGGAGGTAAATGAAATACTCAAGAGGCACTTAAGGAAACTAACACAAGAAACTCATCTCCCATGTCCTATTCTCTTGCCCATGGCCTTGTCGAGAATCCGAAATTCTCTTCACAAAATGGGGGTAAGTCCATATGAAATGCTGTATGGATGACATTTTCTCACAAATGACTTCCTACTTGATCAGGAAACGGCCAACTTGGTCAAGGATATAACTTCTTTGGCAAGATATCAACAAAACCTTAAAACCCTAAATGAAGGATGTCACAGAGACAAGGGAACAGAGCTGTTCCAACCAGGAGATCTAGTATTGGTCAAGTCCCTTCCCTCTACCTCCCCATCTATGGATTACTTGTGGGAAGGACCATACTCAGTAATCCTCTCTACTTCCACTGCAGTTAAGGTGGCAAGAGTGGAATCTTGGATTCACCACACCCGAGTTAAACTTTGGACACCCCCTGAGGAACCTGCAAGACCATCAGCTCAGGAGTCCCAAAATCAGCCAGACCAGCCTCGATACACCTGTGAATTATTGGAGGACTTACGTCTCCTATTTCAGAAGGAAATATCCCAGACTCAAAAGGCTCCTACAGCTTATCCTGAGGAAAAACCCCTTCCTACTTAAAAAATATAAGTGAAAACCTATGTAATCTTTAACACCTCTCCTTGTCCCTTTGATGGAATCATTTTATTGTATCATTACATTATTAAGCAGTATACTAACCATACTCTTTGCAGTAGGACTATATACTGTAGCTCCTGCCAGGACGAAAATCCTAATCACATCAACCATGTTTACTGTCTTAACTTTCCAAGCCCCTTTATGCATCCAACACAACCTGTTACCAGGCCTGCCCCTGGGGCACCTACTATCCCATCAATGTAATTACACCCTACAACTTCAAGCCCCAACTGATCATAGTAACTTCAGAGTCACCTAAACAGGTCCACTCAAACAGCTTGTCTGCTTCTCAGGGCCCCCAAAAATCATCACCTTCTCCCTGTTTAACAAACAGTCTGGGTTTTGTAATGGCAAGCATACTCCCTGCATGACCATTCACCCCTGGACCCCCTGCAGCAGCGCCTCCCCCACTAATGAATGCCTTCTTATCCCCTCTTTCAGTTACTCTCTTGAATGGTTCCTAGTAAATACAAAATGGTTTTTTCTCCAATGGGAAAATAGAATACAGAGCCACTCAGTTTGCTCCCAACACCCCTTTCCAGCTGCTCACCAGAGCTACCTTGGCAAGTACTCTAGGAGTATGGGAAAATGAAAACAACAAACTCACACACCTCTTTAACATATACAACCAGTTCTGTCTACCCAGCCAAGGCATATTCTTATGTGGAACTTCAGCCTATATCTTCCTCCCCACCAACTGCACAGGCACCTGAACCTTAGTCTTCCTAAGTCCCAACATTGACATTGCCCCAGGAAATCAGACCCTATCAGTGCCCCTCAAAGCTCAAGTCTATCAGTAGAGGGCCATAAAACTAATACCCCTACTTACACAGTTAGGAATGGCTACTGCTACAGAAGCCAGAATAGCCAGTTTATCTACTTCATTATCCTACTACCACACACTCTCAAAGGATTTCTCATACAGTTTATGGGAAATGACAGGGTCTGTCCTTACTCTGCAATCCCAGGTGGAGTCTTTGGCAGCGGTGACTCTCCAAGACTGCTGGGGCCTGGACCTCCTCACTGCTGAGAGGGGAGTACTCTGCACCTTCTTAGGGGAAAGAGTGTTGTTTTTACACCAACCAGTCAGGGATAGTATGAGACCCACCTGGTGTTTACAGGAAAAGGCTTCTGAAATCAGACAATGCCTTTCAAACTCTGACACCAACCTCTGGAGTTGGGTGACATGGCGTCTCCCCTTTCTAGGTCCCATGACAGCCATCTTGGTATTACTTGCCTTTAGGCCCTGTATTTTTAACCTCCTTGTCAAATTTGTTTCCCCCAGGATCAAGGCCATCAAGCTACAGATGGTCTTACAACTGGAACCCCAAATGAGCTCAACTCAAAACTTCTACTGAGGACACCTGGACCGACCCACTGGCCCTTTGACTGGTCTAAAGAGTTCCCCTCTGGAGGACACTACAACTGCAGGGCCCCTTCTTCACCCCTATCCAGCAGGAAGTAGCTAGAGCAGTCATTGCCCAGTTCTCAACAGCAGTTGAGAGGGGAGATTGAGAGGTGAGGCCAGCTGGACTTCCTGGGTCAAGTGGGGACTTGGAGAACTTTCCTGTCTTATGAGAGGATTGTAAAATGCACCAATCAGCGCTCTGTAAAACTCACCAATCAGCAGGATTCTAAAAGTAGCCAATCATGGGGAGGATTGAAAAAAGCGCACTCTGATAGGACAGAAATGGAACATGGGAGGGGACAATAAGGGAATAAAAGCTGGTCACCCCAGCCAGCAGCAGCAAACAACTTGGGTTCCTTTTACCCTGTGGAAGCTTTGTCCTTTCACTCTTCGCAATAAACCTTGCTACCACTCCCTCTTTGGGTTCCTGCCATCTTTAAGAGCTGTAACACTCACTGCCAAGTTCCGTGGCTCCATTCTTGAAGTCAGCGAGACTACGAACCCACCAGCAGGAACCAACTCCAGACACAGGATTACAGGTGCCCTCTACCACACCTGGCTAATTCTTTTTTTTTTTTTTTTTTGGTATTTTTTTCAGTAGAGAGGGTGTTTCACCATGTTAGCAAGGCTGATCACAAACTCATGACCTCGAGTGATCCACCCACCTTGGCCTCCCAAAGTGCATATATTCCTGTATTATAGCTCTTACAAACTTTTTTCCTTTATCAGTTCCCAAAATCTTTCTTTACTGCCTTTACCCCCAATCCCACCATCACATACAGACAGGGACACACACACACACACACACACACACACACACACACACACACACTTTTTGGTAAGCCCGTATATATTTTACTAGGTAGTAATTAGAACCAGAGTAATATACAGACTCTTTCTAAAGATGTTTGCTGTAAGATTCTTCCATCATTTTTAAAAATAAAAACTGAAGTGAGCCTCACTCATAAAAATACTAATTAAATTCAGTCACACTAAGTACACTAAGTTAACTCCATCTGTTAAGCTTAGCTTAATTATCACTAGTACCAAACGAGGGAAATAACTATGGGTAAATTCTCGCTCCAGGATATAAGTTGGCAAATTCCAGGCTTTGTCTTTTGCTAACCAAGAGTGCTGACTTTGTCCCACACATTCCCAAACACATCCAAGGTTAAAATTGAGGAGTCCAAGACAAGTTCCATCATAAACTCTTGACAGTCAATATTGAAATCCTGTCATCTCTTATAATATAAGAAAGAATATTTTAAGGTTAGAGAGAGGTAAGCAATATTTCCCCGGTTTCTACTAAATTAATGTCTGTGCCAAACTCAAGGTCTTCTCTTTACATTTCCAAAAATGCAATAGAAAAATATACAGCTAAAAATCAACAGTTGGACTTACATGTATTCTTTAGGCTAAAGTAGCAATACATTTTCCAGAATATATGACAAGCTATAGAAACATGCAAGAAAGTCAACTTGTTCAGAGATGATTATTACGATACAGATTTACTTCCTAAGTACAAATTCAAATTAAAGAAGCAAATTAAAGAGTTGGGATAATCTTAAGACAAGCTTTAATATATAGCAATATATTAATAAGTATTTATAAAATAATCATCAAATATCATGTTCCATTTTCACTTATAGCCTAAATTCCTTCTATTTATAATTCAATTCAGAAACATTTGTTGAACTCCTGTCAGGCAAAAAAATATTCATTGTCTTCACTGTCTCAGCTCCCAGGAATGAATAATTTCCATTTTCCACTTTAACCACTCTACTTTTTCCACCCACAGAACATTGCTGAATTAGTGACACACCTGGATAATTACAAATCTACATTATCTAATTTTAACGGATCTTTGATTTTGTTTAGCATTCCTAAATTAGCTATTCGTGGAGTTCCTACACCCTCATCTTGATGACTCTCATCTAGCTCCTTTTTCAACCCCATTTCCACATTCTGTAGACAATTTGCCTTGGTTCAAATGCTCTCTACCTACAATTATTACTAATTGTTGAGAAATAATGAAAAAACATCGTTCTAGCCATTCAGGTATATGGTCACTCAAGCAAGACTTACAGAAAATATGGCCTGTGAATTTTCAGAATTTCTTTTTCCTTTCATTGCAAACTTCTCAAGTAGATTTTAGTCCCATAGTGCTAAGTAATGAATGGGGCATCTAATTGGGACAATAGAAGCTCCAATTTAAGGACATAGGGAGGTACATTTCCTGCCACCAATAGTAACAAAACCTGAAATTTACAAACTTTGAACGATATCATTTTGAATTGAATTGAATGGAACTTACTACTTTTAAATCAAAGATGGGCTTTTCTCCCTTCATTGCATATGGTCATGCCAGCTGGGACTCATTGGTCCCTTAGGGTCTTGATACAGTCCCATGGAAATCCATGAAAGTGTAAAGCTCTCCCTTTCAGCAGTTCCCCAGAATATTCTGTTCTGATGTCACCTGTCCTTCTATGATTCTTCTTTAAATGCTCTCTTTATTCTATGGCTTGTTTACCCAGAAATGAATCCAACTTTTCCTAATATTTTCTCAACAAAACTGAACTAAATGAAAGCAACCATGCAGAGCACTTGAAATTAGAATTTACCAAATACTGAGGATATCCTGAAGAGATGTTGCATTGAGGCAGGAGAATGGGGTCTGGAGGCAAGGAATCTAAGGCCAATTTGTGCTGACTTCTTAAAAGAGAAAACACCAAAGGCTGGGGGCGGGGAATCTGAGTCCAATCTGTGCTGATTTCCCAAAGCTGGGTCAAAAGGAAAACACCTGGGTCTAGGGGCAGGGACCCTAAGACCAATTAACACCAGCTTCCAAAAGTTAAACTAAAAGGAAAAACCGTATCTCCCCATGCCCAAGTAGCAAGGATCAAAGGCTACTCTCCCTACAACCCTCCCTTCCACCATGTCTCAGATAGAAAGGGAAGGTGCCCTGGAATGGCTGTGGGCCAAGCGGGGACCATCCCTTCATCTGCATAGGACTCCAATTCACCTCAGCCTTTAATTAGCCACAGACAAGACCTTCATCGAGACAAGGATAACTGATAGGGACTTCAAAAGGAGTACTTCAAACTTAGAAAACTTTGTAACTGGGCCCTTGAGCCGCCTGCTCGGGTCCACTCCCACCCTGTGGAGTGCTTTCTCGCTTTATTAAATCACTGCCTTCGCTGTTTTGTTCCTTTGTTACCTTATTTGTGTGTTTTGTCCAATTCTTTGTTAAAAACGCCAAGGACCTGGAGAACTCACTCTCAAGGCCCTCCTTCTGGTAACAGTATCACATATTACAACATACTTGAAATCCATTAACAGTTCTTTTTTAAAATGTTCTCACCCCCATCCCCAACATTGTAGTTTCTCCTTACTTAGTGCATACCTTTCTTCAATCATTTCCTGGCTCCTCTTGCTTCCTTCCTGTCCTCTTTTTCTCTGAATTTCTTCACTCCTGGTTGCTCCGTGACTCTAAATTAGAACATCTCTACCAGGCAGAGCAATTCACCCCTTCTCAGCACCTATACCCAGATGCTTCAAACCAAAGCAATCAGGAAGGAAGCATAAAACGAAAGTACCTTCCTTTTAGCATAATCTACCATTACTCAGTGGCAGTTATCATCATAAGTGGATTTTTTTTTAACTCAGACTTGAAACTTTCTTGTAACTTTCCACTTTACTGCAAGCAAATCTTATGCCTGTAGCCAATTTGTACAAATTGTCATCACTTGGCTACAATAATACCCCAAGCCATCCAGGCTTTCCTTTTTATGTCATGGTAGAGGGGTTAATTTGGGGTACAAAGGACAAGACCAAAGCATGGCAGAGACAATGTTAGATTTCTATTAATACAAACTTTCTTCTTCCTTCCTTCATAAAACTTCCAAAAGGTCCAAATATTGCTCCTATGACCTGGCATGTCCACTTCTCCCTCGCCTTGCCTTTTTTATTTCTCTTTCTTCTCTTTCTCTTCCTTTCTTCCTTTTTGTCTCCTCTCCCACCTCAAGCCATCACTCCCATCTTGACACCCATGGGGGAGATCATTTAAAGGTTTTGAAAAAAATTTTTTCAACAAGTTTCTGGTGACAACTACCAACTTGGGCAATTAGAGTATCAGCTAAGGTGGCTTTGACAGCATTTAGATAATCAACAACATGAAGAATTATCAGATATGGTTCTTTTTGCCTCAGATAATCTTTCTCTTCTTCTGGACAACTCTTATCCTTCAACTTAAACATTCCTTCCTCAAGAAAGCCTCCTCTGCTTCTCTGATCTTCCAGTACACCATCTGCCCTCAATGTAAGCACTCTCAATGCAACTACCCCTGCCCTGAAGTCTTCCTCTGACACCCCCTACACTGCACTTACCACCTCTTACTCAGACCCTGTCAGCACCACCAAGCTCTGAGCACAGAGGCCCTCTCTGACTTGCACTTAGCACACAGTTGGTGCTCAGTGTATATTGTCTTACTGAATAAACAAATGACAGGTTATTTGACATAGTTTGGCTGAATCCCCACCCAACTCTCATCTTGAATTGTAGTTCCCATAATTCCCATGTGTTGTAGGAGAGACCTGGTGGGAGATAATTGAATCATGGAGGTAGTTTCCCCCATACTGTTCTTGTGGTAGTGAATAAGTGTCAGGAGATCTGATGGTTTTATAAAGCATTTCCCCTTTTACTTTGCTCTCATTCTGTCTTGCCTCCCACAATGTAAGATGTCCCTTGATCTTCCACCATGATCATGAGGCCTCCTCAGCCATGTGGAACTGTGAGTCAATGAAAACTCTTTGCTTTAAAAATTACCAAGTCTCAGTTGTGTCTTTATTAGCAGTGTGAGAACAGACTAATACAGTATTATTGTGAGGTTTCTTTTCAGATAGTGTAAGTTTTATTTTTATTTTTTAGAATAAATTGGTAAAACAATAACTATAGGGCTGACTTAAAAAAAAACACAAGGAGCATCTCATTCAACAGACCTTGGAGCTCAGAGAAAATATGGGTTTTATAGTCATAACAAGAATAATTTCATTTATTCTAATGTTAAATACATATTTTCAAAGAGCCTATGGTTCAAACATTTATTATTTATCCTGAGGCCAGATCCACACTAGCATGAAATAAGTACACTTAGATGTAGCTGTATCATATGGGTAATTTCAGCTATGCTAGAGAAAGAAATTAAGTGCAAAAACTCAAAAGGGACTCACAAGTTCAAAATGCAATTTTGCAGAGATTTTTTTTAAGTCTATCAGAATCCATTTGCTCTAGGTTTTCAGTTGCTTCATCTCCAAATATTCATCTTTACTTTTGAACATTTTCTGCTCTCACACATTTAGAGAGAATTTATAGGCCATCTAGACTATGCATACACTATACCAATGATTGTCTTAAAATGTGTTTGGGAAAAAAAAATGAGTATTACAGAGAAGCCCTTCATCATTTTAACCCAGATCAAAGCTACATGTTTACTGCTTTTAGATCCAGAAGTAAAATTCTCAGTAAAATTCTTTAATTCGAGCAATTGGGATGTCCTAGCCTCTTTAGAATCTAAAATCCAAACTTATGTATCAATTTTTTGCCTAAAACGTACTTTGACAGCTTTTGGTATGACTGGCAATTTGGGTGACTGAGCATACAGACTTCTGAGCCCATGAGAAACATTCCCAACAGACTTCCTTGGGTCAGGCTGCCTTTGGCATATTAGAGAGTAGCCAGTGGAGTTCTGGGGCTAGTGGGAGAGGGAGCATACAATATGCACATTGCCAAAATTCTTTTGTTCTCCTCTGTTCAAATTATTAAGTTCTGTGTTGGTGGTATAGTGGTGGCCATAGCTGCCTTCCAAATTATTGTAAGTTATATAACACAAACTAAGAGAAAATGATTTTACAAAATACTACCATTACCTGGTTAAGTTACAAGCCTGGAAACTCCTAAACTTAGCAAGCTACCTCTTTCTCTCTTTTTCTTATCTGATTTAGTACCTAATTAAAATGGAACTTTTTAAGATAATAACTACTGGTTGGACTTCTTTAAAAGATCCTAAATTAAAATATACCAAAAAAATTTCAAACAGACATGCTATGCACATTAAGTGCAACATGCGATTGGTTGCTAAATTTAATAAATCAAGTATATTATGACCAAAGATCATACACAGCTTTGTAGTTTATCTCATTGAAATAAGCCCTTAGATGAATGAATTAATGCTTTAAAATGTGGGCTAAATTCTCCCAGTAGAAACTTTTCCCAATAGAAAAGTTACAGTTTGGTGACTTTTTTTTTTCACATTCTGAAAGAAAAAGAAACATATCAAACAGTAAACTTGCTGTTCAAATTGTGGTCCATGAACCAGTATCATTAGGATCAGCTGGTAGCTTGTTAGAAACACAGAATCTCAGGCCACACTCAAGACCCTCTGAATTGGAATCTGCATTTTAATAAGCTCCCCAGGAGATCTGTGCACATATTAAAGTTTGAAAAACACTAATCTGAAGTTTATTGAAAGTCACTTTGACAGCAAAGTCAGCTTTCTGTCATTGACTGCCTAGTAATTCTACCTCTAAATAGTTAATAATTACCTTTTAATAATAAATTCCCATTGTTAAATTAAACAAGCAGGAGGCCACTAGCCTGAGGCTGTCTCAGTACTTTGAGTTCCTAATCAACAAACCACAACTTAACTTTGTGTGTAAACAAACAGAAACCTAACTCAGGAGTATACGTTTTGTAACAAACAGCTGGATTTTAGCCAATCACAAACAGCTAAGCTTCAGCCAATCACAGGGAGTCAACTGATTGAATCGTGCTATAAAGGCAGATGTTTTATCACACCATTTGCAAATAAGGCAGATACCTTACTGGTCAATCAGGTAATTTCTACACTTTGCTCCCTTGTTTGGCCTATAAGAACTCACTGCTCACATGGCTGGTTGGGGCTCTCCAAACCTCTTCTAGTTTTGAGTACTGCCTGATTCATGAATCATTCTTTGCTCAAATAAACTGTTACATATTTAATTTGTCTAAAGGTTTCCTCTTAACACCAAAAGGAGTGTGTATGCCACTGTCATCCACAATATGTATTTCTGGATCCCAATATGAATGAATCCTATGTGTATTTCTTTGTTTACATCGTTTTGTCTTCTATAGTTAGGGTTAACTGCTGAGGGCATGAGAGGATTGTTTATTTTTCAGTCTTGTTGATACATGACATTTCATTTTTATAGGGGCAAAATTAAAGTTCCAATTGCCTTTCTCTTTTTTTTTAAAAAAAAAAGCATGATATTTTCAGAAACAGAAAATCAAATACCACATGTTCTTACAAGTAGAAGCTAAATAATGTGTTCACATGAACATAGAGTGAAATAATAGTCATTGGAGACTCAGAAAGGCGGGGCTAGGAAAAAGAAACTATGTAATGGGTACAGTGTACACTATGTGGGTGATGCCTACACAAAATTGCACTTTTACTCCCTAAATCTTTTTTTTTTTTTTTTTAAAGAAAGATAGCATGTGTATTAGTTTGTTTTCACACTGCAGATAAAGACATACCCAAGACTGGGTAATTTATAAATAAAAAGAGATTTGATGGACTCACAGTTCCATCTGGCTGGGGAGGCCTCACAATCATGGCAGAAGGCAAAAGGCATGTCTTATGTGGCAGCACAGAAGACAGAATTAGAGCCAAGCAGAAGGGGAAACCCCTTATAAAACCATCAGATCTCATGAGACTTATTCATTACCATGAGAACAGTATGGGGGAAACGGCTCCCATGATTCAATAATCTCCCACCAGGTCCTCCCCACAACACATGGGAATTGTGGGAGCTACAATTCAGGATGAGACTTGGGTGGGGACAGAACCAAATCATATCAGCATGCTTACACTTACCTTTTGTAGCAGCAGATGTAAACCTGTGTAATATGAACCAGTGAGGAAAGAAACATGTTCTAATAACATATTCTCAAAGTTTGCTTACACAGGTGTTTTTCTGTCAAACACTTCCATTCACTAAAAGAAGAGTGTATGATGCATCTTTAAGAAAGCATGTTTACAAATTTTTTTTTAAGTCATGACAGAATCCGTGCTAACTATGCTACAACCATTATGCATCCTGAGAGGTGGGCAATTAGGATTGCATGTTTTAAAGAGACAGTATCCTCTGCAGCTTCTCATATTTAAAAGGCATTTTACTCTATTCCCCTTTAAAAGGATATAGTTTAAATAAGTATTTTAATAGCTAAATAGATTAGTGGTATTGAAAATTTACTTAAATGCTAAGATGTACAAAGAAAATAGTTTACTTTCTATAAAGAAACTAAAACTTTCTCATGAGCTCACAGATCCTCTTCCTCCAATACCATTTTATGGTATCTCAGTCTCACTAATTTGAAAAAGTATAATTTAGAATAACTTTGTTTCTGTCAGGTAAATAAAGGCTGTTTTAACAATTTTCTGTAAATTTCATATCTTTTTCTGGACTTGGTTTGGGTGTGTGTTGGGGGAGGGCTGGATTGCTTACATGATTGTAGTTGGAGAGAGGAAGCTATCAGCTGATCATCATCATGTTCCTGTTGCAGAGTGGCCAGCAGGTTGGCTCTGGATTGGTATCTACTTAGGAATGAATGGATTTTTCTGCTTCTGCATCCACTCTTAACTCTCTTCTCCTCACGTCATCAGATTCCTGACTCAGCAGCTTGGTCTTCCCCTCCCCAGAGTCCTACCACCCATCAGTCCTACTGGCAACTCACTCTACCCTTACCAGTGTTCATGGGAAATTCTAGACCCCCTCAGTGCAAGCTAGACACAGACCAAGTGGATCTAATGGCACTAACTCGAGGTAGATCACAAGACATCTGTCTCCACCAGTTCTGTACTATTCTCTCTTCATGTTGAATGTTCTGTTGAGCCCAATTTAGGTCTTCCTGTACAGCAGTAATTTTCAATAATCACCTAAAAGTTATTTTTTAATTACTAAGGTCCTAGCCTGAAGCCAAGGACTCCAATTTACATAATGTCAGTGGACACAGATCTGGCATTAGTATTTTTCAAAACTCCTAAGGTGATTCTAATATGTAGTTCAAGTTGATTATCATTGTCCTAGAAGGTGCAGCTTCCTCAATAACTATCTAGATATTCTTTTTTTTTCTTTTTTGAGACAGAGTCTCGCTCTGTCACCAGGCTGGATCACAATGTCAAGAGACCAAGACCAGCCTGGCCAACATGGTGAAACCCCATCTCTACTAAAAAATACATAAATTAGCTGGGCACGGTGGTGCTTGCCTGTAGTCCCAGCTACTTGACAGGCTGGGGCATGAGAATCACTAGAACCCAGGAGGTGGAGGGTGCAGTGAGCCAAGATTGTGCCACTGCACTCCAGTCTGGGTGACAGAGTGAGATCTTGTCTCAAAAAAAAAAAAAAAAAGTTAGCTGGGCATGGTGGTGGGTACCTGTAATCCCAGCTACTCAGGAGGATGAGGCAGGAGAATGGCTTGAACCCAGAAGACAGAGGTTGCAGTGAGCCAAGTTTGCACCACTGCACTCCAGCTTGGGTGACAGAGTGAGATTCTATTTCAAAAAAAAAATAAAAAATAAAATAATAATGTTGCAGCCAGCACCAGAGAAAGGCAGGCTCCCAAAAGATAGAAAAAAACCTGAAACTAGTAATCAGCAGTTTTCCAATAAGATCCCAGGAATTGGGTGAAGTAGACTTACACGTACACATAATGAGGTAAAATGGCAGAGTTTAACAGGTATATGACTTTCTAGGGACACTCAAGTGGTAAGGGAAGAATGCCTCAAGAGAGCACGCATACAACTCTAGTAAACACACTGTGCATGCTCACCTCCCAAGTGCTAGCAGGCCAGTGTGGATGCAGACAGCCCACCCCAAGGGAAGAACCAGGGGAGAAGGAATGCAAGACCCCAGAAGTATGCCAGCGTATAAAACCCCAAGTCAAAGGTCAAACAGTGCACTTGATCTCTCCTGTTGCCCACTTGGCCCTCTTCCAGGTGTACTTTACGTCTTTTCATTCCTGCTCTGAAACTTTTTAATACACTTTCACTCCTGCTCTAAAACTTGCCTCAGTCTCTCCTTCTGCCTCATGCCCCTTAGTCAAATTCTCTCTCCTGAGGAGACAAGCATTGAGGTTGCTGCAGACCCGAACAGATTTGCCACCAGTAACACCTCCATTTTATATCTTCCTCCTACTTAAAGTAATATTTTTCCTGCTCTTTTCTCTGAGACCATGATGGCACATGGGATACAGGGAAGGAAATACTCATAAGGGAAGATACATCAAAAGTTAATACAAAAATATTATCTTCATTACATATATTTCTCTCCCTACAGTATCTGTAACATCAACTAGAAAATGGAACCTTAGATTAATAGAGCTAAAAGGAGAATTGACTGTCATCTACCCGAGCATTTTATTTTTGATATAAGGTAACTAATGCCCAGATAGATTGACTTCTCCAAAGTCATATAGTTACTGAGTGGCAAAATAGACACTATATGTCAAGGCAATGCACATTCACTCTAATGCACTCTTAATTATTAGCTGGATTCCAGTACTCATCTGAATTTCCAAAGAGTTCTTACACATCTTGTCTGGAAAGTTAATTGTATATGAATATATCATTATGAAACCACCATTGCAAAAATTATAACAGAAAATTATGGCACTGAAGGAAGTTTGATCTGGGCAACACTCATCTTGCCTTTGGCCTTCAAGCTGCCCTTAATTGTTCCTGGGCATGGGCCGAGCTAACTTTGGGAGATATTTAGTTTATAGTTTAAATGATAATAGCCCTTCCCCAAAACTCAACTGCATTTGTAAAGCTAATGGGAGACCACAAACCTAGGAGGATAGAGGAGACTGAATTCAGCTAAGGTGTAGACATAAGCAATTCCCAGCCACTATGCTGGAGGTCACAAGACGTGCAACTTCTCCAATTATACCTGAAGGTAACATCACTATTGTAGAATCTAAAATTGGCCTTTTGATATGTCTTTTCAGGCTTTTTGCATGTCCAGTGACCTATGGCTCTACCAGGACCCACCAACTGCTCCTGTGGCCCCACCCAGAAGCTACTCAGCACACAGGAGGACCATTTCCCACATTCCTATGGTTGCATCCACAATCAATCAGTAGCAAGCACTCATTTCCTAACCACCCACAACCCTTCCCCCAAACTACCTTTGAGAAACCCTAGCCCCCAAATTCTCTGAGAAACTGATTTGAGTAATAATACAACTGTGGTTCCCTGTTCAGGTGGCTCTGCGTGTATTAAACTCTCTACTGCAATTTCCCTGCCTTGATAAATTGGCTCTATCTGGGCAACAGGCAAGAAGAACCCATTGGGCGGTTATAATTACAATCTTTTTTCTATGCTAGACATGTGCCATTTTGAGTTAAGCATGTTTCTTCTTTACTATTCCATTTGATACATTTGCTCAAGCATTCAATTCATATTAATCAACTATTCTGCTCTTTTTTCTTTCTGAGAGTGCACTTTAGATAAAATAATATTGATTTTGTTAAGTATATAGCTTAAGGGAAGTGTAGATTAGGTAGATATCATTCAAGATTTTTTTCATTTTTGCTTTTAACTCTTTACAAAAAGAAACTTCTTCACTTAATATTATATATCTGACTTTTAATTTAACATTTTCTTCAAAATTAACCAACTTTCATTTTGATTAATTGAGTAATCTGAATACAGTCATATGTTGACTAATGATAGGGATACTTTCTGAGAAATGCATCATTTGGAAATTCTGTCATTGGGTAAACATCATAGAGCGTGCTTACACAAACATAAATGGTATAGCCTGCTATACACCTAAGCTAATATGGTATAGCCTATGGCTTCTAGGCGACAAACCTGTACAGCATGTTACTGTACCAAATATTATAAGCAATTGCAACACAATGTGTTGCGGGAAGTCAGGGACCCTGAACGGAGGGACTGGCTGAAGCCATGGCAGAAGAACATAAATTGTGAAGATTTCATGGACATTCATCACTTCCCCAATCAATACTCTTGTGATTTCCTATGTCTGTCTTTATTTTAATCTCTTAATCCTGTCATCTGCATAAACTGAGGAGGATGTATGTCGCCTCAGGACCCTGTGATGATTGCGTTAACTGAACAAATTGTAAAGCATGTGTGTTTGAACAATAACAAATCTGGGCACCTTAAGAACAGGATAACAGCGATTTTCAGGGAACAAGGGAAATAATCTTAAAGTCTGGCTGCCTGTGGGCTGGGTGGGACAGAGCCATATTTCTCTTATGACTGAAAACGGGTAAGAGAAATATCACTGAATTATTTCCCCAGTAAGGAATATTAATAATTAACAACCCTGGGAAAAGAATGCATTCCCAGGGCGGGGCCTCTAAAATGGCTGCCCTGGGAGGTTCTGCCTTATGCAGATGTAGATAGGGATGAAACACACCCTAGTCTCCTGCAGCACCCCCACGCTTGCTAGGATTAGGAAATTCCAGCCTGGCGAATTCTACTCAGACAGGTTCTCTGCTCTTGAACCCTGACAATGCGTGCACAGCGGGACAAGTCTACTTCATTAGTGATGCTAGTTTCGCTCTGACCTTCTGCCTTGTGATCTTTTGTTGCCCTTGAAGCATGTGATCTCTGTGAACAACACCCTATTTGTGCATTCCCTCCCCTTTGAAAATTGCTAATAAAAACTTGCTTGTTTTATGGCTCAGGGGGCATCACAGAACCCGCCGACATGTGATGTCTCCCCCAGACACCCAGCTTTAAAATTTCTCTCTTTTGTGCTTTTTCCCTTTATTTCTCAGACCAGCCAACACTTAGGGAAAATAGAAAATAACCTATGTGAAATAATGAAGAATTATCGGGGGCAGGTTCCCCCGATAACAATGGTAAGTATTTACGTATCTAAGCATATCTAAACACAAAAAAGGTAGAGCTAAATTAAAATACAGGATTAACAATGTAAAATGGTATATCTGTAAAGGGCACTTCCCTTAAATGGAGCCTGCAGTAGTGGAAGTTGCTCTGGGTGAGTCAGTGAGTGAGTAGGACATTACTGTATGTGAATACAGAATTTAAAAACACTGTACACTTAGGCTACACTAGATTTATTTGTAAAATATTTTTCTTTCTTCAATAACAAATTACCCTTTGCTTATTGTAACATTTTGACTTTATAAGATTTTTCATTGTGTTTAATGTCTTTACTCTTGCAAAAACACTTAGCTTAAAACACACATTGTACAGCTGTACAAAAATATGCTCTTTGTTTCTATCTTTATCCTATAAGCATTTTTCTATTTTTAAAATTTTTTATTTTTATTTTTACTTTTTAAGCTCTTTTTGTTGTTGTTACACATACACAATTACAAACATTAGCCTAGGCCTATACAGGGTCAGGATCATTGATATCACTGTCTTCCACACCCATGTCTTGTCCCCCTGGAAGGTCTTCAGGGACAATAACACACACAGAGCTGTCATTTCCTATGATAACAATGCCTTCTTCTGGAATCCCTCCTGAAGGGACTGTCTGAGGTTGTTTTACAATTAACCTTTTTTTTAAAATATAAATAGAATAAATACACTCTAAAATAACAATAAAAGTTATAGTAAATACATAAATAATATAGTCTTTAGTCATCATTATCAAGTATTATGTACTATACATAATTGTGTGTGCTATATTTTTATATAACTGGCAGCACAATAGATTTGTTTACATTGACATCATCATAAAAACATAAGTAATATGTTAAAGTATGACATTACAGGCAGCTATGAAGTCCCTGAGTGATAGGTAATTTTTCAGCCCCATTTTAATTTTATGGGACCACCATGGTATATGTGATCCACTGTTGGCTGAAATGTTGTTATGCAGTGCATGACTGCATATTGGAAGAAGTATTATAGCTAATAATTCAAATACATCATTGGTTTCCCCTTAGCTTCTGCCACATTATTTTTGGTCTGCACCCTTTAGAAAAATGTACCCCTCATTGATAAACATTTTGCCTAATATCTACCAATCTAGTACAAATACTATACATTGTTAAAGTTAATCTGAATTTTTTAAAATTTTTTTGATATTTTAATGCTGACTAACCCCTTCTGGAACTAAAATGGTCAAAATCTGATAACATTTTTATAAAAGTCAAATAAAATTATAACAAGTAAGCAGCCTTCTTTGTAAATACTTCAATTTCCACCCCCATAAAAATGTCACATTTTGCGTAATACTGACATTTTAATAATATTATTCTTGCAGTCCGGGGCATGGAATATCTTCTTACTTTTTTGTGTCCTCTTTAATTTTTTTCATCAGCATTAAAATTTATAGTTTTCCTAGTAGAGATCTTTAACTTCTTTGGTTAAATATTTTCCTAGGCATTTTACAATTTTTGTGTCTATTGTAAATGGGATTGCTTTCTTGATTTCTTTTTCAGATTGTTTGCTGTTGGCATATATAAATGCTACTGATTTTTTACGTTGCTCTTGTATCCTGCAATTTTATTGAATTATTTTATCATTTCTAACAGTTTTTGATGGAATCTTTAAGGTTTTCTAAATATAAGCTCATGTCATTTATGAACAAGGATAATATCACTTCTTTCTTTGTGACTACAGTAAGCAATAATCTACTGTATATTTCAAAATAGCTAGTAGAGAATAATTCAAATGTTCCCAGCATAGATAAATGTTTAAGGTAATAAATATTTCAACTACCATGATTTGATTATTATACACAATATAAATTTATCAAAATATCACATGTCCAAAAATACATACATCTACTATGTATCAATAAAAAGCCACATTTTGAATAAATACATTTTTAACAAAGGTTTCCATAATTCTTTGGATGCTTACTATTTGTTTCCTCAATTACTAACATTTCCTTAAACTTTTGATATGGGAGCTAAAAAGAAATTATTTAGGCAGATAGTGAGGGTGAAGGAGTCCTCAGCAAGGCTTGCCTTTTAACAAAAAGCAGCCCCCAAATAATTTCTTTTCTAACAAAGAGCAGCCTGAAAGTAATCCAGCTGCAAACATAGATAAGCAAGCTAAAAGCTTGCATGGGTGAATGCCAACAGCTGTGCCAATAGAAAAGGGCTACCTGGAAACCAGGTATGTTCAACATGGAGGCTCCATCTTCCCTTTTCTTTGTCACCACATGTACAGTAGAAAAGCAGGCAACATGGTGAGGTAGAGAATCCTTTTGCATAATAAAAGATTAGGGTGAGGTAGCCAGCTTCTTCGTGGGATATGCAAACAGCACAACTAATCCTAACCAGTTCTTCGTGTTATGTAAATAGCATACCTGATCCGACCAATTTTTTGTGCCCTGTGTAAATCAAACACCACCTCCTCAAGCTCATCTATAAAACCTCCTGCACTTCACTGGGGACCAGAAGACCCACTTGGGACCCCGTCTCTCTGCAGGAGAGAACTTTTCCCTTTCTTTTGTCTATTAAACCTCTGCTCTTAACCTCACTCTGTTGTGTCCACGTCCTAGTTTTCCGTGGTCATGGAACAAACCTTGGGTATTACCCCAGACAATGACTCCACTTCATTTCTTTTTCACTCCTGACATAAACTGACCTAAACACACATTGATTAAAAATCTATGTCTTTTCTTATTGCTTAAAGGGTAGATATTAAATGTATTGAAGTAAACAATGTAGCAATTTTACTGTGACTATATGTATTAATTTATCTTACACCTAGGAAAGCACTCATTGTTTACAGTGGCTATCTTCTTTGTGCAGGATGCTCCCCCTCCCCCATTTCTTTTGCTAACAGGTTCTATGCCACTGGGCAGCCAATCTCAATCCTTTTTCAGGATTATTCTGGTTGAAAAAAATTCCTTTTTCTCTCCAGTGTTACAGGTGTTACAAGTTCAAAGTTCCTGGTAACCATGTTCCCTGCCACACGGAGAAAGGTCACAATCACCAAGAGGGAATTGGGATAATCTACAAATATGAGCAGGGATGAGAAGTAGAGAGTCCGACAAGCACTCCAGATCTTGTATCCCTTTTCTCTAAGGCTGGCTTTTCCCATCCTCCAGTAGGTTAGGCGAATCAATAGGCAACTTTTTTTTAATGTTCCTCAGAGGAACTTATGTTCCTTTGAGTCCAATTTCGATTACAACTAAAAGCCTGGACTAATTCATGATCCGATCTAAAAACTGAAAGATGAATTCATGAAGACAAATCGTGCTTAAATTATTATTAGCAGGATTATTGCTTAAGGCTGTCTCCCTTGAGAAGATCTGACTCATAAACTCTAGAGGAGCAAGGACCACATTCATCTTACTCTACACTAGCACAGTGCCTGCTATATAATAGCTACTTGGTAAGTAATTGGATTAATTAATAAAAGAAACAGTTGGATGTCAATATAGAAAAGGGTGGTTATACTGTCCAATTTAACACAAAATCGGAAGATTTCTTGACGGCAGAATGTTTCTCTTCTATGTATTTAAACTACAAGCATCATAACTTTCTATCTTAAGCCAGGGTTCTCAGATTTTAAAAATATTTCTCATCATAGTACTGACAATAAAGTTTGGAGAGTATAAATTTGAGTAAATGTTCAAAGGCAAACAGATTGAGCTGCAGTTTACATATTCTGAGTAAAAATCACTGCAATGTTGCACACCAACATGGCACATGTATACATATGTAACAAACCTGCACGTTGTGCACATGTACCCTAGAACTGAAAGTATAATAAAAAAAAAACCACACTGCAATGTTTATTTAGGAATTTTTCAAGTGTAGAAAGTTACAATTACATTTAAAAAATGTAAACTATTTACCAAATTCCCTTTAACTGCACTATTCTCAGGAAACCATCTAGCTTTACGATACTTCCAAGACTGTCATTAAAAAGTAAATGAAAATATCAAAAGTTAGTGAAGTTATAATTTTTGTGAAAAAGAAAGTTCTAAAATAAGCATAGAATATGTGGAAAGCAAAAGGGCTCCCTATTTACATAAAAACTAGCATTTTGTTTAAATTAGTACCTTTACAATTATGTATTCTAAATATAAGATATAGATGTAAATCTGGATTATGGCCCATCTTTCTGTAATGAGTTAAGATGGCTCAAAATGGCAATCACATTTTGTTGTTGTTGTTTTAAAAAAAATGACCATTATGTTTATTGGGAACAGGTAAGTCAATTATTGTACAGTATCATCAAAAAGAATTCTTGGCCCCGCGCAGTGGCTCACGCCTGTAATCCCAGCACTTTGAGAGGCCAAGGCGGGCAGATCACGAGGTCAAGAGATCCAGACCATCCTAGCCAACATGGTGAAACCTCGTCGCTACTAAAAATACAAAAATTAGCTGGGCGTAGTGGCGGGTGCCTGTAGTCCCAGGAGGCTGAGGCTGGAGAATCACTTGAACCTGGGAGGCGGAGGTTGCAGTGAGCCGAGATCAGGCCACTGCACTCCTGCCCTCAGCACAAAAAAAAAAAAAAAAAGAATTCTTATGATGATAATCACAACATTGTTAATTTCATCTGGCCATTGGAATATGGAAATCATTTCATTTCACAGCCCCCTTTAAACATACTGGTACTTTATATAAGGTGAAGTTTGCCTCTTTTTGTTGCGGTTGTTTAATCTGTTTGAAAAAAGGTCAATTTCTTGACAGATGGTATAATGTACATAAAACATCATTGCCATTTATAGTGCATGATAATAATGAAAACTAGCACAATTTAAAAGTTTTTTCAATGCATAACTCTGAAGTAGGGGATTAATATTGTCTGCCCTTTTCTGAGTAAAACCTGAGTGTGAGTTAACAGACTTCTTTCTTCAAAGTCATGTTTCTGCTATTGAGTGAAACAAAAACACAAAACCAAGTCTTCTGGGTCAACACTGAGTGTTCTTTTTAAAACAACACAGATTCTTTTCTATTTGATTTCCTACATATATGAATATACCAAAATTTTACCTTCTTATCAATCCATGAATAAAATAAATTTTAAATAATGATCAAAGTCCCAAGCAATACTTCATCTTCTTATCCTATTCTTCAATTTTTGCCCATATAGAATTGTTTCTCAACGTCTCAGCCAGGTCTTCTGCTTATTTTCATCTGTGTGCCTTGCTCCACATGGACTTAACATTTCTATGTAGCATTTCTCCTACTCTCCTTGAACATGACTGTCTTCCTTCAATATTTATCAAATGACCTGGCATCACCAGCTGCCCACAACCAGGCAGGTGCCTTACTTGCTGTTGTAGCTGTCACATAATATTTGTGTTAAATGAATTACAGTGTTAAATATATGACAATGATAACAGGTAAATATTGTTGATCAATAACTGTAATAGTGTAAATGTTAACAGTGTAGGTATTTCATGTCTGCTAACATGAAAGTTTCCTCATCAGTTTTATTCCTTTAAAAATTTCTTGGATTTACATAAGCTGAGTTTCAATCATCAGGGTATCTATAGATATATCACACTGAATGTGGGAACTATGTATACTAAGCTTAGAAGAAAATTCACAATTTTCTTAATATACTTTAGGAAATTCTATTTAATTCAGTTTAAGGGGTTTTTTTTTGTTTTTTTGTTTTTGTTTTTTTTTTAGATAGAGTCATGCTCTGTCTCCAGGCTGGAGTGCAGTGGCGCAATCTTGGCTCACTGCAACCTCCGCCTCCTGGGTTCAAGTGATTCCCCTGCCTCAGCCTCCCAAGTAGCTGGGATTACAGGTGCCCACCACCATGCCCGGCTAATTTTTTGTATTTTAGTAGAGGCAGGGTTTCACCATGTTGGCCAGGATGGTCTCAAACTCCCAACTTCAGGTGATCTGCCCGCCTTGGCCTACCAAAGTGCTGGGATTACAGGTGTGAGCCACCACGCCCGGCCCCTAATTTTCTTCTGAGCTTCCACTTTCTCTCTTCTAATCTTATCCCATGTGCTTCATATAGTGTCAACAATATTCCCCACTCTTCAGGTGGGCATGTGGTTCAAGATTGGCAAATTCACAACAGTGACAATACAGGGATATGATATAATTTAGAGATTTCAGTGAATCTCCTGCTGGGCCTGTTTCAGAACACCTCCATTCTCACCTGAACAGTAAAATAAATGAATGTGGTCTTCCCAGACCTATTACATGATGTGTGACGATGAAACCAACCCAGCAAAGAGGAGGCAGAGATACAGAGGAAACTGAGTCCCAATGCCATCATTTAATGGTGAAGTTAGCTCTACAGCAAAACATTTCTAAAATGTGATTCTTAAAATTCCCCTTGATTCTTAAGCTAATTTTATTGGCTTTTCAGACACTTAAACAAATCTTAATTAGTATAGTGTATCGTCCTAGTTCTTGTGTATTTGGCAGTCCACTCTTTATTTTCACATTTAAACCACAGTTTTACTGTTAAAACACATTTGGGATCTGTCTCTTTTCTTAAAAATATGAAGATGGTATTTCATTACCAAGTATGTTGACAGCCACTGGGTGCCTCCCTGAAGTCCTCTCAAAGTTTAATGTCTTAACTAAAGAAGCAGACCACTGCTGGTAGATTAATGAATAAATATGAGGGCAAGATGATCATATCAGCTATCCATAAAAGCTCTTGGTCCCTTATTCTATAGACAGAGCTACATTTACAGGTCTCTTTCTAATCAACAAGATTAGAATAGAAATTGAGTATACTTGGAATCAAAAAGTACAAAGTATTTTTATCAGATATTTTTAGAGTGATGTTAACTTGATAAATCACAGTATAAGCATTGTATGATCATTCCAGATGTATGTACATCTAGGGATGTAGTTTGATCTACATGATAGATACAGTCTTGGAAAAAGTTATATTTGAATCTCTGTTTTCAAAAGATTTTATTAATTTAACAGAATTGTTCTTGAAAAGGCAGAGCAACTCCATCTCCCAGAGATTTTTCCCAGTCAACTAATATGGTATGTTTTACATAATACTGCCCTATGGCTATAAAGAAAAGAAAGGTATAGGATAATGAAATAGATCTATGTCTCTCATGCTGATATCTTCCAACCCCTGGAGACATATTTGTTACAATAATTTTGTTTGAATTTTTACATTTGTATCATTGATATAAATAAATGAAAACATATTCTTGATCAGCTCCCTTACACAGCCAGTAAGCAGTTTGCCCATGGGGCAACACACATCTACTATTCACAATTACAGGTCAGTCCCTCTGCTAAATGTCAGAAATAAAAATACTGACTAGCAAACACACAAGCAAAATACAGTCTTACAGATATGGCAATAGAAGTTATTAGGGAGTATGGCAGTGGGGTAGCCAAGGATGTGAACAGATCAACTCTACTTGAATAGTATGGAGTAGGAGGTTTCCATATCCACTATAAGATACTTAAGGAACAACAAAGACAACTATATCCAGGAAGTGAAAATGCCTTTCTAGATCTGGTACTGCACTGATATAAGACACTTACAGTTCCACTGGAGCCAGGGACAATTTGAGAGGAGCTGCATCACAATGTGATCTGGCAATCTACCTTCATCCTTTACTGAGAGGGCAGTTACACCTTCCGCAACACCCTTAAGTAATCTCATTCTTTGACTTTAAAAATACATAAAGCACATCTAAATGTAGGTCCACCTAGAAGCAGGAGCCCAGTAAAAAAGGCTTCACAAATGCCTTTCAGTGCCCCATGACTTTGTGATTTATACCTTGATACATGACACACCTCCAAATATCCTCCACCCACAAACACTCTAATCATTTCCATTGGGAAGTTTCTCATGAAACCCTGTAGAATATTTTAATCCCTTTCATAAACACTGCCGTTCATTAGTAAAAGGCAACAATTCTTTGATAAAAAGTTTAAATAAATATGATCTTTAGCAGTGGACACGTATTTTTGCTGAACAAAAATTGAATTTACCCTTACCAACTAATTTCTGTTTCCTTGGCTGCTCCCTAGCCCTCCACACTAAATATTTGACTGAAACTGGTCAAATATTTTCAGTTTTGAGTTCAACTTGTGTGAGCACAAGCACACTCATACACACCCATCAACCTTGCTTTCAAAAGAAGGTATCATTACCTTTGTTCCTCCTGTTTGAAAAGTTTAGGAAGTCTGGGTTTTTGGTGCAGGAATACTTTAGGATATTGCTTCATAAATGTATCGTGAGCTGATAAGATATTGCTCATACTCCGGCTTAAAAAGAAGAGAGAAATTAAATTGTAAGTGTCATAGGATAACAGCTTCCAAGAGAAAGATTTTTAACTCAATATATACGTATCAATTCTATACTATTTAGTCTAAGAAGCAACTAACAAAAATATAAAATATAAATATTTTGTGCTTTAAAAATATCCAAATCTCAGTGAGAAACATTTTAAGAAATACAAAATGTATGATAATGTATGATAATGTCAATGTCAAAAATTTAATTTTTGAAGTTCAGTCTTTTTAAAACTCATATTTCTATAATTGATTAAAGTTTTATATAATGTACTACAGAATTAAAATCCCCCTGAAATTATTTAAAATAGTTTACATCTACATTACTAGAGAGAGTATTTATTTGAATCTTTGCCATCATGTGTTAAAATCGCAGGCAGTATTTTTTAGGTCTAGAATAAAGATATGTTACAAGAACAAAAGATGAGCATTTTCCAAATTCAGATCACTGAAATTACCTACGATGCTTTTTGTAAGTAAAAATTTCTGATCCATTTATTGATAATCATAAACTCCAACAGTAGAGCCCTGGGTGGGCTTCTCTTTTTTAAATCTATTCCTCAGGATGACTCTTATATGTAGCTACACCTTGATTCATGGCAAATACCAAAAATGCCAATAAGCAAGATTCAGAGAATAGCATTGTCATTAAATGTTAGGTAATGATATTTGTTTCTGGAAAATCCACCTAATTCAATTTTCAATTGACAACACCATGAAAAGTTGGTCAATTTTTTAAAAAATGCTAAACATTCATCTTGAGAGCTTATTTCAATAATTATAAAAAATTATCATACTTCAAATTGAACACTGACAAACATCTTAGCCAATAGTTGCCGCATGACAATGAACAACAAAATCCTCAAGAGAAGGCTTTTTTAAAAAGTCTTTTTCATTTTCATTGTAAATAATAACAACACATTCTGAAATATTTATAACAGCTTTTTCTTCTCTTGGATAATGTTCCTAAAACACCATATTGATGCTTTACACAAGACAAATTCTATAGACTTTAAAAATCTTATTTCATGTAACATAATTGATTCAAACAACACAATATGATGTAATTTTCTATATTAGGCATTTTTATTCACTTTCTCACAGTGTATAGATACATTCACCAAGCATCGAATCTTTTTAAAATCTGACCACTGATTTATTAGAGGCTTCCCAGGAAAAAAAAAAAAATTCTGTTTGTAACTCACATTCTACAATCATCTGTTTTACACATCTACCTGTTTTTCACTGGATACTTGTTATATTCGAATCATTGTACTAAGATCTTTTACACTGTTTTGTATTATTGCACATTTATATAACCTGACAATATACTTTATTTGAGATACTTTATTGACCCTTCTGCACAAAAAGAAACTGCAACCTTAATAATTTGCCTAATTCATATAACTAAGAAGTGGAGGATATACGGTACAAATGAAAACTAAATTGACTCCAAAACCCATTATTTTAACCTCTGGGATATTCTGTCCCCCATTTAATAAAACACATTAGTTCTTGCTATGTGCCAGGCACTCTTCTAAGTAATGTATATGCATCTTACATAACTGTATTAACTAGATACTCCTACCCATTTTGTTCCTGAAAAGATACTGAGGTCCAAAGAAGTACAAAAGTGTAGACATATGCAGCCTATACTACAAAATTTGGAATCCTATTCCAATTTGTGCTCTGGATAGATCATCTTTGGAGTGGATAAAAAATTTATTTCCAAATACTAAGACTTTTACCCAAGTCATTTTTTATGTGTATAACCTTAGTTACACTTATACACTTTATGTGTATAACCTTAGTTAGCTGCCTCCTTCACCTAATTCTCAAGAATTTCCAAGATGTGGTGGGTAATGTACATGGATTCAGTGTCTATGATCTGGGTCTCCAAAAGTAGTGTGTCCAAGAAGTGAAATACGTGGAAGGTTGAAATGGAAGAGTCAAATGCTAGAGCTAGAGATGACATGATTTTTCAGATTGAGCCCCTAAATGGCCTGTAATGCTATAATTTATATTCTATGTCCCAAAAATGTAATGTGGAACATATTCCTACTTCTGAGGGTCTCATTGAAACAACAACATATGTCTGTGTGTTCAGTAGAAAAGTATTATTGTCTAAAACCATGTGAAATCTGTAAATAAATGTATCTAAATATGGAATATAGAAGTAGCTGAGGGGAAACATAAAATAATTAGCATGCTAGGGACAAAGAAATGTTTAGCATTATGGTAGAGTTGGAGAGTAGATCATGGACCTAAATACCTATCTGACCCTTCAATTCTGTCCTGAAGATGTTTTTCGTGATTTACCAGGCTATGAGTAAATCCTACCCATGGACAAAGAAGTTGCCACTTCATTGAAGCTTACCTGCAATAAACTCATCTATAAGAAAATAACTCCAACTTCCTCAAGCAGATGAAAGGGAAATACATTCAAAATATATAGGTTTACACAGCAGAACTCTAGAACACTTTCAGGATTCTCTATATACAGGGATTATAAAATTAAATGCTTATCGTGTCCAAGCAAGTGTCATAAGGTGGGAACTGTGGTAAGCTGAAAAGAGCATGCCCACATGGAGGGACCTGTGACCTCACCCTTAAGACCATTTTTCTCATGTATTAAAAGAAGTTCAGTGTATTCAGATCCTGTAGTTTTCTACAGAAGTCAGAGATCTGTACTCTCATGTAAAAATGACTTATTTTTAAATGTTAATAACTGCTATGGATTGTATGGCTCCCCCCCCAACTCCCAAAAAGGTATATATTAAAGCTCTGACACCCAATGTGACTATATTTGAAGATAAATGCAGTCTCTCTAACTACAAGGGAGGTTGGTAAATGTAGTCTAGCTGTGTACCCAAAAAGTAGATAAAGTTTGGAGGAGCATACAGAAGACTTTAAGGTAGATATAAAATCACTGACTATATTAGATTTGGATGTATTATTATTTAGAAATGTATTTGTCATTTTATGGATAAGGAAATGATGCATATAAAGTTTAAATTACCTGCCTACGCTTATATAAAGTAGAAAAATGAGTGAACACATTCCAATTGTCTTGCTCTAAGATTAAGGGTCTTCCATTTCTCATCAGAGGCAAAATCTATTAGAGAAGGCAGGAAGTAACACGTCATACAGTCAGGGAATACTACCAAAGGCTTTAAGTGATCACCCTTCCCCTGGTCTAGGCTAGTCTACTCGATGTTCTCATGGCTGAGTTCTACCCAGTGGAATATGAAAGAGAAGGCAGAAGGATGTGCCAAAAAAGATCCTTCCACATAAGATTCTCAATGTCCTTTTCCCATCCAGCTTGATGCAGAGGACCAAGGTGGCCCTGGAAGCCACACAATAAAGACTGAAGAGCAAATGTTTGGTAGAGGCCTGAGTTCCTAAACTAAAAGAACAAACTGTCAATGAAAAGCACCCCTTTATAGCATTATGTGGGAAAGAAATAAAATTATATTGTGCAAAGCTACTGAGATTTAGTGTTTATCTATAGCAGCCCGAAATACCCTAATACAATATTTCTTCTGCATCTCATTCAGTTTTGCTCACAGGTCTGAAAACATAATAAGCTTTTAATAAGATATTTATTGATTAATTATATTTATGTGTTTGCCCGAGGCAATTCACATTTTTTATTTTAAGTTAACTAAGGCAAATCATAAAAGTTGAATATATTCATTCACTTATATATTGTTTCCTCCTGAATTTGTCTTACAAATATCATAGCATCTACACATGTATTTGATGAAAATTAAAAGAAATATAAGTGATATCCTGATAAAGGAGGCAGGTACAATTTGGTATGAATTAAGCTGACTCTATATTTTATATATACAATATGCATATTGCATATATAAACACATTTTCATAATGTATGTCATCCTTTTATTACAATGAGTTGAAAAATAAACATTCCATAAAAATGTCAGTGTATTTAACATTAGGCCACTACAAAGTTTCATGCTATTCAGTCTCTTCTGTTCTTATTTAAAAATTTTTTGGAAATGTGAGTTTCTAGCCTTATTCATGGACAAAGCTCATTAGCCAATGATTTTATGCCTTCAAAATTATATTTTTTCAAAGAAGTTCCACATGCCATTGCAATTAAATATTAAGATTAATCTCAAACTTTTCATTTTCATAAAGTTCTGAAGGAAAATTTAAAGATCTGTTTGACAAAGTTAACTGCAAGATTGAATGTAAACCTCTTAGAGAGATATTGATCAGTCATAAAAGGTTTACTTCCCCTGAAATAACTAACTTAAGTTCTCCCTACTTTGAGAATCAATATCTGATTTGCATATAAAACTGAAGTCCTGTAACCTTATATGAAGTATTTAAACCTTTCATTTTTTTTTATCTTTAGAAAAGGACTTCCTATCTTTAGGATTGTTATAGTAGCTAGAAATAATAAAAGTAAAACTTCAGGCCCACTGTTTATAGTCTATTAGGCAAGTAAAAATGTTAATTGTTAATGTAAATCCAGGTACAGAATGTACAGCATTTAGATATCAGACAGTTTAAAAATTTTATTAAAATCACAGGGCTAGAAGCCTCACTTTTAATGGAAAAAAGGACAAGAATGTGAGTCACGATCAAATCTTCCTGTAGCAATACATACAAATGCAATGCCTGTCATGTTAAATGCGATTAAGACTGAAAAAATCTAGTTATGAGAAAGATTTCTTTATTAAAAACTACCTAGACACAGACTCAGGAAAAACTTTTATCATGAGAACAGAACTATTAAAAAGGAAATATCTGGCACTCATATTCCTGTAGTGTAGAACGTATCTTATACCTTAGAAGAACATACCTTATACCTTAGAACATACCTTATACGCACACATGCCAAAATGCAAAAAAAGAAAAAAAATCTTCAAGGTTTTTGCAGCATGGCAGTCTTAATTCTCTAAAGAGCCCTGTTGTTGCACATATCCTGCATAACAAATTTCTGGTGCATTATTGGTCTTATGAAAGGTGACCTAGGTCTCAAAGGCCCACCACATTGCAAGAAAAGAGGGGGGAAAGTGAGTGGATACTTGAGATGTGACCAATGGGCAGAGAGGAGGGGTAGGGTGTGCTGAAGGCAGTCACTGATACGAAGGAGCATGGGTGGGAGGAATTGAGCCATGACCAAGGAACAAGGAGGGGAGCCCAGCCATCTTTGTGGAAGGACTCTTGAAGGAGAATGGAGTAGCTTAGCTTGATGGTGCACACTGACCCTAGGAAGAGATAGATATAAATTCTCTGTTGAAGAATTTTTCATAATTTAGGCCACATGTTACTATTACATGTTAATAAGCAAATCTTTCACAGAAAGATCACCTGGAAAGACAAGCTGCCATAAGCGCAAGCCAGCAGCAACAACATCAGATTTATATCCCTAAGCCTATAAATTACTCTATGTTAGATATAAAATATAAAAGTTATATATAAAATCTTTATGAAAATAAAGGAGGGAATCACAATGATGATTAATAACAAGAGAATATCAGGAATAGCCAGTCAAACTTGAAGAACTAAGTGAAAATTCTCAAATTGAAAATTACATATATTTTTAGTATCTTTAAATTTTATTTTTACTGTATATATTTAAGTGTACAACATGATGTTCTAGAATACATACAGATAATAAAAAGATTTCTATAGGGAAGCAAATTAACATATCCATCATTTCATATAGTTACCCATTTTTTTTTTGTGGCAAGAACAGCTAAAATCTACTCATTTAGCATGAATTCCAAATACAGTGCAATGTTATTACCTATAATCCTCATATCGTATATTAGATCTCTTCACTTGTTCATCCTACATATATTCTACTTTGTATCCTCTGACCTACATCTCCCCATTTCCTCCCTTCACCCTTGCCCCTAGTAACCACTGTTCTCTATCTCTGTATTTGCGTTTTTTTAAATTTCACATATAAGTGGGATGATGTAGTATTTTACTTTCTGTGTCTGGCTTATTTAACTTAACATAAGGGCCTCTGGGTTCATCTATGTTGTAGCAAATGGCAAGATCTCATTCTTCTTTAGGGCTGAATAGTATTCCATTGGGTATATAAACCACATTTTTTATTTCTATTTTTTTACTTTTATTTCAGGTTCAGGGGTACACGTGCAGGTTTGTTACACAGGTAAATTGCATTGCCTTTTTATTCTTCTAACAGTGTCTTTGACAGAGCAGAAGATTTAAATTTTAAGGAAGTTCAGCTTAATCATTTTATCTTTCATCAGTCATGCTTTTGGTGTATTACCTAAGAAGTCATCACCAAACCCAACGTTACCTAGAATTTTTCTTTGTTATCTTATATGGTTTTATACTTTTGCATTTTAAATTTAGGTCTATGATCCATTTTGAGTTAATTTTGTGAATAATGTAAGGTCTCTGCCTAGACACATATATTTATTGGATATGGATATCCAGTTGTTTCAGTATCATTTATTGAAAATCCAAACTTTCTCCATTCAATTGGCTTGCTCCTTTGTTAAAGATCAGTTGACATATTTGTGTGGGTCTATTCATGAGCTCTGTATTCTGTTTAATTGATCCACTTGTCTATTTTGCTAATACCACACTGTCTTGATTGCTGTAGCTTTATAGTAAGTCTTGAATCTGAGTATTCATTTCTTTTTAAATTAGTAATTCAAAGAGTATACAAGCAAGAGAAAAATCTCTTGTAAAATTGAAAACAATGTAAGTTACTTTGAATTTTATTTTGACCACTATTCTGACCATCACTTAACATTGAACTTTTTCACCACCCTCAGAGAAAACCCATGTTAAATCAGTGAATATTCTTTTAATCTTTTTTGTGTCTTTATATACATTTCAGTGAACCAGTAGATATTTACAGATTTATGTTTACGTGTGTGGTCTTTGTATACAAAAGATATACCATATTATAAAATCTATCTGCAACTTACTTTTTTCCCATCCACAACATGACTTAGAGACCTGCCCATATTTGAACAAATAGATATGTCATTCTTTTTAACTTCTTCATAATATTTCATGGTATTAATATGCCATACTTTATTTAACTATTCCCCTAATGATGAACACTAAAGTTGTTTCATTTTTTTCTATCTCAAAAAAAATGCTGCAGTGAACACCCTTGTAAATGCCTTCCTATTTATGTGTGGGTGCTTCTCTGGGGTAAAATACTAAGAGGTACTTTTAGGGTACTGGGCATGTAATAGTTAATTATAAACACATAATGCACTCTCTATCCGTTCTGGAATGTTGAGTCTGGGAATTAGCAAACTGCACTTCATAGGCTTCCTTGCCAACTGTCTTATCCTATTAGATTTTGCCAATAGAAGGCGCAGGTAGTAGACTAGAAATCAGAAGAGGAAAAAAACATTATATTTTTGCTTTCTCTTTATCCTGTTACTGGTGACATTTCTGGAATTGGCTGTGTTCCTCTGCCTTCAGCCATTCATGGGTAGACTCACTATCTGCATTCTTGGGTAGACCCACTATCTTTAGCCATTCTTGGGTAGACTCACTATCTGCTTTCTGGTCCCTTCTTAGCAGTTCTAGCCTATCTGGGTGGTTCCTCCTAGACAATCCCAGAGCCTCTTTTCATACTCCATACCATGTCTGCTCTTTCAAGGCCCCCGTCTTAGGGTAGTAGCCACTTTGCGCAGTTACTTATTTGTGTTAACTCACCCTCCTCTTTTGGATCTTTTAACTCTTTGGTAACTAGATTTCTGTATTAAACACCCATATGTTTCAAATATTGAGGTACTTTTTGTTTTTTCATTGCATCATGGCTGATTTGGTGAGTTTCAAGACCAGCTATATAATTTGCGGGGCCCAGTGCAAAATGAAAATGTGAGCAGCTTGTTCAAAAATTACTAAGCATTTCAAGATGATGACAGCAGAGCATGAGGCCCTTTGGAGCATAAGTCACATGCCCACGAAATTGGTTCTGGTGATTCTCCCTATACATCTGCCACTTTTCCAGCAGCATATGAGAGCAGATCTTTTCCCACATTCTCACCAAGACTTGAAGTTATCAAACTTTTATAGTAGTTGATATTTTATGGATGAAATTTGTGTCTTGTTTAATTTGTATTCCATGAATTTATTGGCCATTTTAATTTTTTTTGATGATTTTCTATTCATAGCAATTTCCCATTTTTCTATTGGGTTATTTGTAGCAATTATTTACATACTTTAGGTATCAATCTTCTTTTGTGATTAACTCATGTTGCAGAATTTCTACAACTACTTTTCCCATTCTGTTGGCAAGAACACTCACTGTCTTATGGCCAAATCTAGCTGACAGGAAGCTGCAAAGAGTGGTCTTGAGTTTTTAATTTTAATAATTATGATTTTTTAACTAATGAAGGAATTCAGTAAATTTACAGGATACAAAGTCAATAAAAAATTAGTAGATTTTTATACACAAATAACAACACAAATGAAAAAGGAATCAAGAAAGCAATCCCCTTTATGATAGTATCAAAAAAACCCAATTTAGTAATAAATTAAACCAAGAAGGTGAAAGATCTGTACACTGAAAATTATAAAACAGTGATGAAATTTCAGATGACACAAATAAATAGAAAGATATACACTGCCCCAAAGACATCCCTGGATCAGAAAAATTAATATTGTTAGAATGTTCATATTATCCAAACCAATATACAGATTCAATGCAATCTTTAACGAAGTACTATTGGTACTCTGTGAAGAATGCCATTGGTACTTTTATAAAGATTGGGGGTATCACATGTACCCCCAAACATGTACAGTTATTATATACCAATTTAAAAACAATACATAAAAATAATTTTTAAAAAATAATTAAAATTAGAAATAGAATGCCTCCAACGTTGTTTTCCTTTCTCAGAATTGTTTTTACTATTTGGGGTCCTTTATGTTTCCTTATGAATTTTAAAATGGGAAAAGAATGAAATTGTACCCCTATCTTATGCCATACACAAAAATAAACTCAATAGTAGCCTCTACTTGGGAAAAATATTTGAAAACCAAAATATATCTGATAAGGGATTAATATTTAAAATGTATAAAGAACTCATACAACTCAATAGAAAACCAAACAACACAATTAAAAAATGTGCAAAGGACATGAATAAACATTTCTCCAAAGAAGACACAGAAATGACATAGAAATAGTAGAAACTATTTGCAAAACACATATTTGATAAATAGCTGGCATCCAAAATCTACAAAGAACTCTTAAAACTCAACAATAAGAAAACAAAGAAACCAATTTTAAAACAGACAGAATCTGAACAGATCCTCATCCAAGAAGACATACAGGTGGAAATTAGCTTATGAAAAGATGATAAACATCATATGTCATTAGGGAATTACAAACTAAAGCAACAAGATACCACTACACATTTACTAGAATGCCTAATATTCAAAACACCAACAACACAAATGATGATGAGGTTATGGAGCAAAAGAAACTCACTCATTTTGGGTGGGAATACAAAATGGTACAGCCACGTTGGAACGGTTTGCTAGTTTCTTATAAAGCTAAGCATAAGCTTATCATATGATTCAGCAAGCATGCTCCTTGGTATTTTCCCAAAAACCCATGTTCACACAAAAACCTGCACATAAATGTTCATAGCAGCTTTATTTGTAATTGCTAAAACTTGAAAGCAACCAAGATGTGCTTCAATAAGTGAATGGATAAAAACACTGTGGTATATCCATACAATAAATATTATTCAGCAATAAAAGGAATGAGCTATCAAGCCAAACACACACACACACACACACACACACACCATGCACACACACACAGAGAAAAAAATTTAAATACATATTGTTTAGTGAAGGAAGCTGCTGTGGTTTAAATGTGCCCCCCAAAATTCATGCTTTTGAAACTTAATCCCCAGTGCCACAGTGTTGTAAGGTGGGGCTTAATAAAGGTGATTGAGTCATGAGGGTATGACTTATGAATTAATGCCATTATCACATTAGAAGGTTAATTATCATGAGATTGATATAAAGCAAGTCTAGTCCTTGGTGTCTTTCTCTATCTTCTCTATCTTTCAAAAGCTTGCTTTCGCCTTCCACTCTTATACCATTAGATCACCCTTGCCAGATGCGAGTCTCATGCCCTTTGACTTCCCAGCCTCCAGAAGTGTGAGAAATAAATTTATTTTCTTTATAAATTATCTAATCTCTGATATTCTTTTATAGCAATAGAAAACAGACTAAGACAGAAGGCAATCTGAAAATAATATATACAGTATTATTCCAACTATATGACATTCTAAAAAAGGCAAAATTATGGAAACAGAGGAAAAAAATCAGTGGTTGTCAGGGGTTGAGGATAGGGAGAAGGGAGGGAGAAGAGATGGAGCAGAAGATTTTTAGAGTAGTAAAATTATTCTGTAACATTGAACACACGTCATTACATGGAATGGTTGTTCCATGTCATTATATACTTGTCAAAAGCCCTGCAATGTTCAACACAAACAGTAATTCCTAATGTAAATGGGCTTTAGTTAATAGTAAATAACAACATCGGCTAAAAATTGCAACATATATACCATGCTTCTGCAAGATATTGATCATATGGGAAACTAGGAAGGAGGGGTCAAGGTATGTATGGAAATTATACTTTCTACTCAATTTTTTTGTAAAGCCAAAATTATTCAAAAATTAATCTATTGGCCGGGCGCGGTGGCTCACGCCTGTAATCCCAGCACTTCGGGAGGCCGAGGCGGGTGGATCATGAGGTCAGGAGATCGAGACCATCCTGGCTAACAAGGTGAAACCCCGTCTCTACTAAAAATACAAAAAATTAGCCGGGCGCGGTGGCGGGCGCCTGTAGTCCCAGCTACTCGGGAGGCTGAGGCAGGAGAATGGCGTGAACCCGGGAAGCGGAGCTTGCAGTGAGCCGAGATTGCGCCACTGCAGTCCGCAGTCCGGCCTGGGCGACAGAGCGAGACTCCGTCTCAAAAAAAAAAAAAAAAAAAAAAAAAAAAAAAAAAAAATTAATCTATTAAAATATATGAATAAAATAGATTTAACTTGTAGTACATAATGTGGAATTAAGATGAGAAGAGATTTGAGAATGTAATTCCACTTATAAGTTTGGTAGTCCTGGATTCAGGTAATAAAAGCTAGAGTGGAGTAGTAGATTAAAAAATGAGTGATAAACAATAGAGATACAATGGAACAGCAGAATCTAATTATAACACATGGAGAAATAAAGAGAAAAGGTAACAAAACATGCCTGCAAGATTTTCATACTTTAATTACTGGGTAAATGCAGGCATTCCACAAGTATTTTTTGAATGTCAGCTATGTATCATGCACTGAAATAAGCAATAAAAACTCTCAAGAGCACCAAACTAATAGGGTTGCTTTTTTTTCCAGGAGTTTACAGGCTAACTGTAGTGATATGGATAGAAATAGAGAAAGAAAGCAAGTTTTCAGGAAAGAATGATTTGTTTCTGAAATCAAGATCTAGGGAAATCTGAAGGTTAATGAAATCCTAGCGATTATCTATAGCAACTCCTCTAATTTGAGTAAGTTTAAGATAATATCATCTAGACCAGTGTTCCTTAAGGGGAAGGGAAGATGGGAGAAGGAGGATTATTGACATTTTGGTTGGGACAGTGTGCAAGATTTTACTTCACATCACTAAAGGTTTAAAATCCCCCACTTCCTTCTAGTCGTGGTAATAACTATAAATGTGTATACATTTCAAATGCTCCCTAGTGAAGGTACTGCCCTAGGTAGAAAATCCCGCCTAAACAATTGGCTATAAGAGTGTACACGTTAGGTAAAACATTATGAATAGGCATGCCTTGAATTATAAGCCTCCAACTTGTTAACAACCTATTGAATAAATGTAAGATCCCACCTATCTCTGCCCACATTTTCTGCCATCCCAAAAGACAGGGCTGTTCTGGATTGAGAGTGCCAGCTAGTGGTCATCAGAGGAAACCTCAAAATAAAAAATGGCTTCATTCCAGACAAAGCAATGTTTAATGGCTCGAAGCTCAGATCATTTCTTTTATGTGTACATAAACCATCCTTTTAAAGCTCTCCTCCCTTTCCTTTCTCTTCCAAACTTTATATCCATAAAAATAAAAGTCCCCTATCTCTTCATTTCTTTATTTCTTAAGACAAAAATACATGTCTAATTATGTCCGGAAAGCCAACAGAATTATCAAAACATTCTCATTAAGAAAAAGAAAGGTTCTCACCAACATCCTGTGAGTGAAAAAAGGGAAGAAAAAGGAAAGTAAGATATTTTGAAACAAAAATTAATAACGAATATACTGTAAAGGGTTTTCCAGGAACCTCCTTAAAATCATCATAATTGTCTCTATCGAACTCTTAATACTTTTCTAATTAAATGTACTGAAACAATGAGAAACTACTCAATTTTTAATTTTTTCATTAAAGATTTACTATAAATCTTAAAATGTTATTTTCTTCTTTATTATAAAAGCATAACATTTCAGATATATTTTGAGCAAATGAGGGAAAATTGGGTACTCTATGACTTTGTCAGTTAGTTCTTTTGTTTTAAATAACGATGATTAACAATCATATTTAGGTTAAAGAGTTTCCACTAGATGATTGAGTTGACTTCCTGTTCTACAATTCTATGATTCTATCATATTGTGTCTTTGGAAAATTCTGAATGCTTGACAATTAATTTATAAATGGACTTTGGGCTAAAAGCTGTTCACAGGTGATAGTTTTTATAAGTATCCAACTGTTCATGGGTTATAGTTTTTATAAGTATTTGACCTTTGTTAATAATAAAAACCCTCAACAGAAGGAATGAACCTAAACACAATAAAGGCCATATATGATAAGCCTACAGTTAACACTATACTCAAAGGTGAAAAGTTGAAAATTTTTCATCTAAGATCAAGAACAAGACAAGTATGCCCACTTTCACTACTTCTTTTCAACACAGTATTGAAAGTTTTAGCCAGAGCAATTAGGCAAAATAAAGAAAAAAAATACAGCCCAATAGGGAAGGAAGCAGGGAAACTCTCTATTTGCAGACAATATGGATCTTATAAGTATAAAAGCCTAGAGACTCCACCAAAAGCTATTAGAATAAATAAATTCAGTAAAGTTGCAGGATATACAAAATCAACGTACAAAAATTAGTCATGCTTCTATATACAAACCACCCAAAAAAATCCTAGAAAAATAATTCTATTTACTATAGCAACAACAAAAATAGATTACTTAGGTGTGAATTTAACCAAAAAAGTTTAAAGATCTGTATACTGAAACACTAATGAAAGAAATTGAAAACGTAAATAGAAGGATATCCATGTTCACTGATTAGAAGAATTAATATTGTTAAAATGTCCATACTACCAAAAGTGATCTACAGATTCAAGGCAAACTGTATCACAATTCCAATGTCATCTTCACAAAAATAGAAAAAACAATTCTGAAATTTGCATGGAACTACTAAAGACCCCAAACAGCCAAAAGAGTCTCAAGCAAAAAGAGCAAAGCCAAAGGCATCTCACTCCCTGAATTCAAAATATATTATACAGCTAGTATAATCAAAAGAGTATGATGCTGGTATAAAAACAGACATACTGATCAATGGAACAGGATAGAAAACCCAGAAATAAACCCACAGTTATAATAAATTGATTTTTGACAAAATTGCCAAGAACACACAATGGAAAAAGGACAGTCTGTCTAATAAGTGGTGCTTTAAAAAACTGGATATCCACAGCAGAAGAATGAAATTAGACCCTTATCTCTCACCATATACAAAAATAAACTCAAAATGATTAAATACAAAAGATCTAAAACTTAAACATAGAACTGCTAGGATAAAACATAGGGGAAAAGTTCCATGACATTGGTCTAAGCAACGATTTTTTGAGTATGACCTGAAAGCACAGGCAACAAAAGCAAAAACAATCAAATGAGATTACATCAAACTAAAAGCTTCTGCACAACCAAGGAAACAATCAACGAAGTGAAGAAACAACCTACAGAATGAGAGAAAATATTTGCAAACTATATATCAAATAAGGAATTAATATCCAAATATACAAGGAACTCAACTCAGTAGCAAGGGAAAAAAAAACAATTAAAAATGGACAGAGTTTTTGAACACCTACTTTACCAAAGAAGACATATGTATAGCCAATGTGTTCATGAAAAAAAAAATAACAAATGCTTGATAGCACTAATCAATGGGGAAATGAAAACTAAAGCCACAGTGAGATATTACCTCATATCTGTTAGAATGGCTGTTATCAAAAAGAAAGGTAAGTGCTGATGAGGACCTGAACTGAAAGGAACCCTCATACAGGTACATTGTTAGTGGGAATGTAAAATAGTACAGCCATTATGGAAAACAGTATGGAGTTTCCTCAGAAAGACTAAAAATAGAATTAACATATGATGCAGGAATCTCACTTCTGGGTATGTATCCAAAGAAACTGAAATCAATATGTGGAAGAGATATCTGCATTCCCATGTTTATGGCAGCACTGTTCACAATAGCCAAAATGTGAAATCAACCTAAATGTCCATCAGTGAATAAACGGCTAAAAAAATGTGGTACTTATGCACAGTGGAATACTGTTCGGTCTTAAAAAGAAGAAAATTCTTCTGCAACAACATGAATAACATCAAGGACATTATGCTAAGTAAGATAGAGCAGGCACCGAAAGACATATACCATATGATCTCACATAGAGGTGGAATCTGAAAACATGAAAGTCGTGGAAGCAGAGAGTAGAATGGTGGTTACTAGGAGCCAGGTTGCTGGGGAGGAATGTGGAGATGTTGACGAAAGGGTATAAAGATTCAATTAAACAGGAGTAAAAAGATTTTAAGATCTATTGCACAACAGGGTGACTAAAGTTAATAAAAATGTATTGTTTATATAATAGCCAGAAGAGCAAATTTCAAATGTCTCATCACAAAAAAGTAAGAGAAGTGATGGATATATTAAACATATTGATTTAATTATTCCACATTGTATACATATACAAAAACATATTTTATCACAAAAATGTATATAATTAAGACTTCCCGATTAAAATATTTAAAAATAATCCGCTCTCCAGACAATAGTTAAAAAAACACTATAAATCCATATCTATCCTAACTTATTTATAATCAACACAGAAAACTCTTGTACATTTTTTTGAATCATCAGAAGATATTTATTTCTACTGAACATCAAAATAAAATCCAGTGCAAAACATTGAACTCTATGCCAAATGTCAAGGAGTAGGAAGCACTAAAATAAATAAAATAAATCTGCCTTCATGGAGCTTGTAGTCTACTAGGATGAAAAATTTGCACTCAAAAATTTAGAAATCCAAAGTGATATCATCCCCCCTTTGTTATTAATTTTTTATTTTATCTTCAATAAAAAATCCCAGGATAATATACCAACCTACTGCCTTTATTCTAACAGAAGAAACTTTTTAGAATCAAAACTAATGCCCTTTGTGAGTTCTATGTACAAAAATTTAAAACCTTGAATCATTTAATTCTCAGCCTTTCTATTTTTATTATAGGGGAAAAGTGTAATTTATTGGTCACTTTTCATCTATAATACATAAAGAACTAATAATATGGAGAAATACATTTTTCCTAAATTGCCTCTCAATTTGTTGACATCACTTGAATTCTGAAGTTTTTAAATAATTCCTGTGAATGTATTTCTGGTAAATTGTCTAAAGAAATGTCAAGTGAGAAAAGGGACCTGAACTTCCAAGCTTTTATTAATTTGTTGTAATTTTATCCTCATTCCAAATAAATATTTATCTTCCTATCTGATTTTGTATTTGTAACTATATATTGTATTTCTAACAGAATGATGCAAAACCTATATACACATACCTTAAAACCTGTTCCCCCAGGCCCCTGGTGTGTACCAGTGCTCCAAAAGAACACATCCAACAATTTCAGGATTTGGGTTTCTAACAAAAGACATAGTAAACATAAGACTTACTAGAGGGAGTCAGGCAGTACAGCCAGATTGGACCTGAATGAGATAATTGTCTCACAAGACGACACCACCCAAGAGGAATGATTCAATCCAGGAAGAGTAAGGCTGATCACATTTATTTAGAGGGGATACTTTGAGAGAACTAGCTCTAGATGATTCAAGCTCTCTTATTATGACCCCCCAAAGAGAAAAAAAAACTAGAAGTATTTTGAAAAATGAAATGCGTCTGGGCCAGAAAGCAAAACGAAAATGAAAGCAAAAAGGACATTCAAAGCCTTGATTAGCATCTCATGCATTAGAAAAGGGACCAACATATAAGATAGATTCAAAGCTTGGATGTTAAAATTTTTCAAGACACTTAAAATATTGGATGAGCTTTTTTGCATAACAAAAATAATAAAAATAACTAACACTTCTGGAACCCTTACTATGTGCCAGACGCTATTTACATATATTAGGCTCATTTAATCATCCTAGTAACCCTTTAAAGTGAGTACTGTTATCTCCATTTTACCAATGAAAAAACCAAGGCAGAGAAATGTAGTAAGCAGTCTAAAGTCACACAGAGGGTAAGTGGCTGAGACAGGATTCACATCAGGCAATAGGTCTCGGGAGTGTGTGGACTTCATTCTTTACTCCATGTCGAAAGGCACTGGGTGCAAGGAGGAGGCAGCAATGCACAGGGGAAAATGATCCCTCTTGACAGAAATCCAAGCAATATCAAAGTTGCATGCCTTCTTCTCTCTCTCTGAGACAGAAGAAATGAGAAAATAGACAACAGTATAAAAATAATTTGAAATGGATTGCAAAGTACAAGGATGTGACTTGGAGATGTTTTAAAGTAGAGAGAGAAAACTCTGTAAACCTAAGGCCTTCCTCAACAGTCCCATGAAGGATGAGTGAAGGAAGGTAAGAGGGTGGATGGACACTGATGCATATGGAAGGAAATAACCAGTTTTATAATTCCAAAAACCCAACTTGGAGAAAGGAGTTGTCAAGGAAATAGATCTCTTAAAATTAAATCTTCAAGTATTACACATCTTAGGAATCCTGAGCTTTGAACAGTGATATTTCCTAGTTCTCTGGTTCCAGTATATTTCAATGAGGCATTCCCTATTCACTGCTCAGGTACTTATTTCATTCAGTATGTGTGTTTTCAACCACTTAAGGCTTTTTCCCCTTATGACTGCTTTTTAAGTACTACAAAGAGCCAGCTAGGAATGAGTTATGTTTGTTTCACACTAAATTGTTTCCTTAAGATGTGACATATATATTCTGCCCCTTCAATCTGAAGAAATAACCCCCAGGTTTTCAACTGTTTTTATCTGTGTGATAAATCAGGTACCTCTGAGAGCCAGCAATGGTTTATTACTATACTTTATCCCTAAAACAAAAATACTCATATTCATTTGAATGACAGAAAAAGAAATGCATGAATAGCTTACCTGTGTTGTCCTCTAATGTGGCATAATGCATTCAACTGGCCATAATTAATGTGCTTAGACTTTTTCAAGTCTGAAAAAAAATCAATTAAAAATTTGAGTAATTTTCCATAATCTTATTAAGCAAGTGTGTAAATAGAGTTTAATTGCAAACATTCATCATAGTGAAAGAATTCAGTGACTATGGAAGTGAGGTATTAACAGTCTTTGTTTAATACACAAGTAGAACTGCATAGGGTGATTAAGGTGAGGAAAGAATTTAATGTTTTTTATTGATGTCAAATCTGGTCTGGCATTTTTTTTTATTTCCAGTAAATGCTGAAGTTTGTCTGTGTTCATATAATGTCACTTCTCTTAAAGCAAGCCATGCAGAATCCCTATCCAACACTGTTACAAGATGAACTGGTTCCAGAACTTCAGACATGACAATTCGAGTAAGAGTTTTCTTAATTTGGTCTCTCACTTTCACTCTTGCCCTTCGATTCAATCCTACTTATGTCGGCCTATTCAATCCTACGCAGGTCCCCATCTTTTGTTCCCCCTCTTCAGAGCACCTTCTAGTGTCTGGATTCAGTTTGCAATTCCTTCTAAAGATCAAATGTAAGCAAATCATAAAGGAGTCTTTAAGAGCAGAAAGATAGTAATCATAGCCAAAAAGCAAACTAATTGTCATTCTTCTTCAGTGCCAGAATGGGCGGACATCCTTCAAATTAGATGGAAAGGAAGATAGAGCATTGCATATTATAGCATCTTTACAGTGATGGGCTTCTGCTTACTGCAGAAGAATGAGTGCTATTAGAACTGTTGTAAAAAAAAATAATAAATACTCACTTAGGCATATTACTCCTTTCTTTAGTGAAAAGTTATTGAGAAAATCAGTGGTTTAATGTATTTCTCAAACGTTAAAAAGTGCATTCATTGACCACATTCTAATTATGAAGAATTGGAATTTGACATCCAAACTTATCTGTTTTTACTTCTAGTTTTCTGAATCATTAAATTTGACTTGGTATAAAAATTTTGTGATCCTTTAGATTAATCACCAATAACAAATTGGTTTTAATCACCAATAACAAATACTGCTTTTCTAAATAAGAAATTGAAATAAGGGAAATTTAAGCAGACAACTGATTGTTATCCATATCATATCATATATATCCATATCATATCATATAAATCATATCATAATAAACTTGGAAATACTGATTACATGATTTAGGCATTTTCTTACCCACATTGCTCAGGTAAGCCTTAAGAAACAAAAAAGTTACCAAATTGTGTGTTAGCGTCATATGGAATAATTTATTTTAAATGAACCAAGCTGTCAGCTTACATATATCTAAACTACCTTTTAGTCTAGTAATATTTCTGATATATAAAATCTTAATCATAGATTTTTATATACATAGATTAGGAAGGAACTTCTATGAAGTATTCATTTAGCCTGTTTTTCTAATGGTGTTCAAGAAGAGTGTCAGTAATAGCTCTGATGAATGATAGGGACAGGAAAGGGAGATGGTGCCACAGAGATTTGGAAAAAGGTCAAGGTTTAAGGAATTCTGACCAAAAAAGAGAGGCTTTAAAAAAGTAAATATTCTTTATCCTTCATTTAAAGCAGGTGACAAAAAAATAAGACTTATAGAACAGAGAAGATAAGATTAAGAATTGCTAGCAAAGAATAGAAGGATTAAACTACTACTTTGCTTTTTATCTAACATTAACATTGCCTGAGAAAAGCTATAGCAGTAGAGGTCAAGGCTTCATAGTAGGCTTGGAACAGCCAAGTAAACTCAAAAATAGAATGGGCTGGATAGCACTCACAGCCTAGTAGAAGAACACTTTAATTCATCAAAACATCTCTTTGCTGATCCTCAGTTCTGAGAGGTATTTGTTGCAAGGCTCTTTCCGTGGAGGGTGTTGAGCAACATAATGGATCTTGCCTTTGAAAGCAGTTTCATTAAAAAGAAAAAAAGCCAAAGGTTTCAACATGAAATTGTAACTTTGTAAAGACCAGATGTTGAGCTTTTCTTGTGATCAAATTTAATACAGGGATAAAGTTTAAAGAGGTTCAAAGAGTATAAAGTTTACATTTGTTTTCCAGTCTTGTTTTTCCTGATGGATTTGCCTTAGCCTGGCTTTTGACAGAAGCAGAAAAGACTTAACCCTATAACACGGTTAAAATCAAGGGTTTAGACTAGAGTATATTTGAAAGAGGGCTGGAAAGGGGTTAGAAAATTAATCTTTAACTAGGAACCCATTGAGAAATTAAAAAACCGATTATCTTTATTGATATAAGGCCCACTGTATATTATTGGAATAGAAGAACTAAATTCCAATGTTTTGTTTGAATGTTATATTGATGATCATTTATATGTGTTAATGATTATTTAAGGTAGATATATCTTCATATGTGTGCATATAGTAAATTAAGTATGCATGTGATGGAAGTTAGAAATGTTTTTTGTGTTAAACGTAACTAAACTATTTTTCCCCAACAAGCTTTCCTTTAAGAGGTATATAAATACCCTTTGCAAAAAGCTAAGAGGAAGCAATAGAATAAGTGAAGGCTTAGAAATTCTGTAAATACATAGCCACAATTTACTCAGAGACCAGGCTTATCTGAGTGGCTAGGAGGCAAGAAAGAGATGGACAGCATAGCCCTAGAAAAAAATATCACAATGATCCTGCGGAAATGTCAGAGCAGAGTTAGCTGGAAAACACAGTGTAAAATGGCTTCAAAGTAGTTGGAGTACATACTCTAATAATTAATCCAATGATAAATGGAACCTTGCTTAATATGATTTTTAGAGCACAAAGAAGCAGTTCAGCAGCCATAGCAACAGAAATACTGGCAACAAACTTTTGTAGTAAGAATAGCAACCCTTATACAATAATAAGCAGAAGGTGAATTCTAGCATAGGACTGAAGTACTGAACAAGAAGCTGGATGGGAGAAAATAAAGAAAAGGATCCTTCAGAGACAATAAGCATGACTAAGTCTTCCTATATACTTGGATTAGTGATTTAATTACAGGGAGGAGTATGTTTTAAAATAAGTCTAAACCTATCTAGTGAGGTCACTAAACATACCTATGTTAATGGTTCATAGTGTATCTACCCATTTTTCAACTAGTTTTTGTTTTCTAAAATCTCAAAGGTAATTTTTCTTTAAATAATATAATATTAGATAGACATAAGGCACCCAAAAAGGGTGACTAAATAAACCTTCAGAGGCAAAAGAATAATGCCCAGTCAAAGTTTTCTATTAATAAATGCTGGCACACTGACAGAGACAATTCCCAAGTGGGCCTAGATTGTCCCTGTTCATTGACTGGGTGGGTTAAGATGTTAAAATAGAACTGTATTACCTGAGAAGAGAAAATGGGGGCAGTGGGGGAGTGGTGGGGACACATGAAACGGAAAGGGGCAAGGTTTTTTTGTTTTGTTTTGTTTTGTTTTGTTTTGAGACGGAGTCTCGCTCTGTCGCCCAGGCTGGAGTGCAGTGGCGGGATCTCGGCTCACTGCAAGCTCCGCCTCCCGGGTTCACGCCATTCTCCTGCCTCAGCCTCCCAAGTAGCTGGGACTACAGGCGCCCGCCACTACGCCCGGCTAATTTTTTGTATTTTTTAGTAGAGACGGGGTTTCACCGTTTTAGCCGGGATGGTCTCGATCTCCTGACCTCGTGATCCGCCCACCTCGGCCTCCCAAAGTGCTGGGATTACAGGCGTGAGCCACCGCGCCCAGCCGAAAGGGGCAATGTTTTACAACAAATTATCAAAATAACTTCTCTTTATACCCAGCATTTTTGGAAAAAATAATCTACGTTTATCTTTTCTATTTCCCCAACCCAAATTTACTCTTCCATCTACTATAATTAATCTTCTTCATATTTTTTGAAATTTTTTTCATTAAGATCATCAGAGACCTTTTAGATTCTAGTCAAATAACCTCCTTTCAGTCTTCATCTTACTACGCCCTGTGTGATGTTTGATACTGAAGTTTCTTCTTACTGGGTTTTTGTGACACCATTCTCTCCTTTCTTGCTTTCCCATTATTAGACTGCTCCATTGAATGCTATCTTCTTCCGTTAAGCATTGACGTTGGCCAAGAATCCATTCTCATTACCCTTGTCTTCTCTTCTCAGCTTAGATCCTCTTTTTGCATAATCTTATCTGCATTCATGTCTTCAATGATCACATTGATCTTAAGATTCTCAAATCAAACTCTCCAGCCCAGATCTCTAACCAGTGCTCCACTAATATTCACGTGAATGTTGCCCAGGAAAAGCAAACTCAAGATAACCAAAACTTCACTCAAAATTTCTCCCATGTTTATTTTGCCATATAAAACATGATCCTCTCCTGAATTTTGTCTGGATTAAGAAAATCCCTACCAATTATAATAACTTTGTCACCAATCTATTTTTTTTTTTTAACTTTTAAGTTCCAGGGAACATGCAGGTTGTGCAGTTTTGTTATATAGGTAAACGTGTATCATGGTGGTTTGTTATATGCATTATTTCATCACCCAGATATTAAGCCTAGTATCCATTAGTTATTTTTTCTGGTCCTATCCTTCCTCCCACCTTCCACCCTCCAGTAAGTCTCAGTGTATGTTGTTCCCCTCTATGTGTCCATGTGTTCTCATCTCTTAGCTCCCACTTACAAGTGAAAACACGTGGTATTTGGTGTTCTGTTCCTGAGTTTGTTTGCTAAGGATGATGGCCTCGAAATCCATCCATGTCCCTGTGAAGGACATAATCTTATTCTTTTTTATGGCTGCATAGTATTCCATGGTATTTATGTACCACATTTTCTTTACCCAGTCTATCATTGATGGGCATTTAGGTTGAGTCCATGTCTTTGCTATTGTGAATGGTGCTGCAGTGAACATATATGTGCATGTGTCTTTATAATACAATGATTTATATTCATTTGGGTATATACCCAAATAATGGGATTGCTAGGTTCAGTGGTATTTCTGTCTTTAGGTCTTTGAGGAATTGCCACACTGTCTTCCACAATGGTTGAGCTGATTTACAGTCCCACCAACAGGGTGTAAGTGTTCTTTTTTCTCTACAACCTCACCAGCATCTGTTATTTTTTTACTTTTTAATAACAGCTATTCTGACTGGTGTGAGATGGTGTCTCAGTGGTTTGATTTGCATTTCTCTAATGACCAGTGATGTTGAGCTTTTTTCCATATGATTGTTGGCCACATTTATGTCTTCTTTTGAGAAATGTCTGTTCATGTCCTTTGCCCACTTTTTAATGCGGTTGTTTTTTTCTTGTAAATTTGTTTAAGTTCCTTATAGATGCTAGATATTAGACCTTTGTCAGATGCATAGTTTGCAAAATTTTTCTCCCATTCTGTAGGCTGTGTGTTTACTCTGCTGACAGTTTCTTTTGCTGTGAAGAAACTCTAGTTTAATTAGATCTCATTTGTCAATTTTGCTTTTGTTGCAATTGCTTTTGGCATCTTCATCATGAAATCTTTGCCCATGCCTCTGAATGGTATTGCCTAGGTTGTCTTACAGGGTTTTTATAGTTTGGAGTTTTACATTTAAATCTTTAATCCATATTAAGTTAATTATTGAATATAGTGTAAAAAAGGGGTCCACTTTCAATTTTCTGCTTATAGCTAGCCAGTTTTCCCAGTACCCAGTTTTCCCTATTCCCAGTATTGAATAGGGAATCTTTTTCCCATTACCTATTTTTGTCAGGCTTGTTGAAGATCAGATAGTTATAGATGTGTGGACTTATTTTTGGGTTCACTACTCTGTTCCATTGGTCTATGTGTCTGTTCTTGTACTGGTACCATGCTGTTTTGGTTACTGTAGCCCTGCAGTATAGTTTGAAGTCATGTAGAGTGATGGCTCCAGCTTTTTTCTTTTTGCTTAAGATTGCCTGGCTATTGAGGCTCTTTTTTGATTCTATATGAATTTTTAAATAGTTTTTTCTAATTTTGTGAAGAATGCGAATGGCAGTTTAATGGCAATAGCATTGAATCTATAAATTGCTTTGGGCAGATGGCCATTTTAATGATATTTATCTGTCCTATCTATGAGCATGGAATGGTTTTCCATTTGTTTGTGTCATTTCTGATTTATTTGAGCAGTTGTTTATAGTTCTCCTTGTAGAGATCTTTTACCTCCCTTGTTAGCTGTATTCCTAGGTATTTTATTCTTTCTGTGGCAATTGTTAATGGGAATTCACTCATGATTTGGCTCTCTGCTTGCCTGTTGTTGGCGTATAGGAATGCTAGCAATTTTTGCACATTGATTCTGTATCCTGAGACTTTGCTTATAAGCTTGAGAAGCTTTGGGATTGAGACAACAGGGTTTTCTAGATATAGAATTATGTCATCTGCAAACAGGGATAGTTTTACTTCCTCTCTTACTATTTGAATACCCTTTATTTCCTTCTCTTGCCTGATTGCCCTGGCCAGAACTTCCAATACTGTGTTGAATAGGAGTGGTGAGAGAGGGCATCCTTGTCTTGTGCTGGTATTCAAGAGGAATGCTGCCAGCTTTTGCCCATTCAGTATGATGTTGGCTGTGGGTTTTTCATATAGGGTTCTTATCATTTTGAGGTATGTTCCTTCAACATCTAGTTTATTGAGAGTTTTTAACATGAAGGGATGTTGAATTTTATCAAAAGCCTTTTTCTGCATCTATTGAGATAATCATGTGGTTTTTGTCTTTAGTTCTGTTTATGTGATGAATCATATTTCTTGATTTGCATATGTTGAACCAACCTTGCATCCCAGAGATGAAGCCTCCTTGATCATGGTGGATAAGCTTTTGATGTGCTGCTGGATTGGGTTTGCCGATATTTTGTTGAGGATTTTTTCATTGCTGTTCATAAAGGTTATTGGCCTGAAGTTTTCTCTTTTTGTTGTTGTATCTATAACCAATCTTGAGATCTTATTCTACCCTTTCCTCTTCAGGACCAAAGTGTTATAAAGACTGTCAATTCCATCTCTTTTGAAATATATCCTAAATATTTTCAAAATACAGTTGTCCATCAATATCCATGGGGTGTTGGTTCTAGGACACCTCTTTCACCCCTCCAGTACAAAAATCCATAGATGCTCAAGTCTTTCATATAAAATGGCATAATATTTTCAGATAACCTATGCACATCTTCCCATATAGTATAAATCTTCTCTAGATCACTTTTAATACCTAATACAATATAAATCCTATTTAAATAGTGTTATACTGTATTGTTTTGTATTTTATGTTATTTTTATTGTAGTATTACGTTTTTTTTTATTTTTTCTAATATGTTCGATCCCAAGTTGGTTGAGTCTGCACAGGGAAACCTCAGAAACAAAAGACTGACTGTGTGTCTCCTGTAATCCCAATGACAATAAGGATCGTTAATCAGAAGTCACCAAGTAGGGCTGTGTGACATGTACATTGTGAAGTAGTATTATTCACATGCTTGCCACAGCTCAATATCTTATTTCAGGTTCTCTTTGAATCTCATCTGTAATACTACAATAATGGCCTAACTAATGTCCCTGAGTTCAGCTTCTTCCTCCCCAACACATCCTCCAGTCTACTCTCACAGTACTTTCTAAAATTCTAATGTGATTGTTAAACTTTCTTGCTTTAAATCCCTTTGTATGTAATACATTCTTTTTATAATTGTACCTAAATTAACTTCTGTGACCTCATTGAACACCACCCTCTAAGTTCCTCCCCCATTCTCTCCGTCTTTCTTTTTTCCTTTTTTTTTTGACGGACTCTCGCTCTGTCGCCCAGGCTGGAGTGCAGTGGCACAATCTCGGCTCACTGCAACCTCCGCCTCCTGGGTTAACGTCATTCTCCTGCCTCAGTCTCCCGAGCAGCTGGGACTACAGGCGCCCGCCACCATGTCCAGCTAATTTTTTTGTATTTTTAATAGAGAGAGGGTTTCACCATGTTAGCCAGGATAGTCTCGATCTCCTGACCTCATGATCCACCCGCCTTGGCCTCCCAAAGTGCTGGAATTACAGGCATGAGCCACAGCACCTGCCCTCATTCTCGCCATCTTTCAACAACGCATGTTCTGGGTGCTCCATGAACATATCTTGTCTTTTTGATATTATATTCTCTTTGGATCATTACTCAACTTAAAAAACTCATCCATACTTTTAGATCCACCTCAGAAATTAACCAGTGACACTTTTTGAAACTCGTCTTCCATAGAAAAAGGTAAATGTCTTTTCCATTGTGCTCTTACAGCACCACAAGAATAGTTGCACTAAAGCAAATAATATCTTTCTTTATGACTTTTTAATTTATATCTATGTTTCTTCAGATTTATGATGCTCCCCTTAGAACAGGGTCCATTTTCTATTCATCTTGAACCAAAACACTAGAACTTATCATAATGATTGGATTTAAATAATATTTAGTAAATTATAATGAATAAATAATAATAATGTGACTCTAATTTGTCAGGTGAGAATCAGTTGTATGCAATGAAAATCAAATCAAGAAAAAATAACAAAGACAGATAAGTGGAAGTAAAAATGTTATTAAAGGAATACTTTCAAAAATCTAAAAACACCCTGCTTCTTGCAGAAGATCATATTTTAATTATTTTATCTCCCATCTACATGAGATTGAACATCAAGTCAATGTCATTTTTTTGGCATTAAAAATCTATTCATCATGACAAACAGCCCACTAAATAACATAAAGAGTAAAACATAAAAGTTAGAGGAAGAAGCCTGATCTTCAGTAAAACTGAGGATTAACCATATTTTCTAACTATGAATTCTGAATAATATCAACCAAATAGTGAAACATCAATAAACTGTAAAAGAGGTACAAGAGAAAATGCATACTGGTCTTGTTTGAGGAAATAGGAAGAGTTCTCCAGGGGAAGCTGATACAGCTCTGAAGGATGCAGCCACTAAACCTTACTTGAAATGGGAAGATGTTCAGACATGGACAGACTAAGGGGATATCCTTGAACCAGTGACATTCATGAAAGGCGGGGTTAAACAACGGTTCCACATAACACTCATTTTTTTTTTTTTTTCAGAATAAAGTTGTGATAATACAGAGGACAATGTTAAGTGGCAATCAACATAGAAGCAGCTGATCTCAGTCACTGAAAAGAAATAGATCATGGCCAAATAACTACACAGAACCTTTGGAATTTAAACGATGACAGCACAAATTAGGAGCATATTGTTTAGGGAAGAGAACAGAACAAAGTTGATGAAAAGTGTTCAACATTAACATACAAGAAAATTCAATCTGTCTGCTGAACTAGTGCACTCTCCACCACCATTTATTTTCTAACAAGTAATCTATCTTCAAAAAATAACCACTATTTAATAATCCTGGAACCTAAGCACAATATGCTCTAAGGGAAAAGGTAAAAATGATTAATTTATAATAGCAAATAAAAATCAAATAGTATGCAGTATGCACTAGAATAATAATTATGCCAGGAAATAAGCAAAAATCTGTGCTTCTCCGTCTCTCTCTCTCTCTCTCTCTCTCTCACACACACACACACACACACACACAGCTTTGATGAAAGAAAAACAAAATTACATGGCATTAACCATAAATAGGAAAACAGAAAGAAATTACAAGCAGGCAATATTCAGGAAATAAGAGGAAGATAAAATAATGACAGAAATAAAATCCACATGGGAAACTGCAAAAATGACAAAGATTTAAGAAAATATAGCCATAGACACAGAGGCTAACACATTCAAATAAATAGGAAACACATAAAGAAAGGAGAAAATAACAAATGAAAATAGGGAGCAGATACTATATGTAAAAATGATTTCTGAGTAAGCAAACAGAAATAAGAGTAGACAAAAAATGCTCAAAGATATAATGCAATAATACTTTTCTTATATAAACACTTGAATCTGGAGAATTAAATATAATACGATGACCCAGAAAGGCAAAGAGAAATCATGATACATGATTTACAAAAAGATTAGATGTTCTAGGTGTTACTCGATTAGCAGCTAATTGTTACCATATTTCAAAGATAAAGAATTATTTTAGCAGCAAGCCAAAAGAGGAAGCCTTCTCCAAGTGTGAAAAACTTTGGTCACAGACTTCTCCACAGCAATGTCCTGGCAAAGAGTAGGGCAACCTCAGGGAAGAAAAAAATGTGACTCATGAATTTTATTCCCCAACTAATAAATATGAAACCTCAGAGATATTATTTGGATATCAAATTTCGCCTAGTAAGCACTGGGTGAAGAAATCACATACCCATACAACTAAGACTTAAATAGGATGCAAAATGTACTAATAAAGTGTAGGCAAATTTTGTAAACATTAACATAAATAACTTATTCATAGATTATAATGGAGATAGTATAAATAATGAGTAACAAATGTGAAGTTTCAGCAGAGGAGAAAATGTAATATATATCTGTACATATTCCCTTACAAAGTAGATAATTAATAGTTACAGTTTAAGAAATATTAAAAATAATATTTAATAACATTTAAAGATATGAATATAACTGACCAAAGACTTAAATATTTGTTGCAACAAAATCAACATGTGAAGAGGGAAATTTTTCTCATTTCATACTAGGTTATAAATATGCATTTTCTAAAGTTGATAAATCAAGAAATAGACATTTGATTTAGGTATAGAATCAAACTATTAAACATTTTTGTTCTCAGATTATATACCATCAAAATTCATAAAGCAAAAATTGCAGGTATAAATGGAGGCAAAATAAACCCCAATAACTTCCCTTTGTTGTCAAACAAAAATCAAATAGGAAATGAATCACTAAGGATGTAGATTTTACATATATTAATCATGTACCAAATTTTATTCTTAAATCAAAAGAGGATATTAAAACTAAAACTATAAAATATAAAGTAAAAATAGTGAAGCCTTTCATGAACCTATGGAATATAGTTAAAATATGTATTTCTCTGAAGAAAAAAATGACTGATATTACAAGAAGATAGAATAAAATAAAAAATTAGCTTTTAACTCAAGTAGTACAAGAAAATTAAAATACATAAGAAAAATGGAAAGGAGAAAACAAAGAAAAGCAATGAATAAATTTATAAAACAGAAAAAATATAGAAAGTAAAAATCAAGAGCTGGTTCTTTGGAAAGGAAAAAGTAAACCACAGGCATATCTAAACAAAAAGAATAGCTTAAGTACTCAACATAAGAAAACTGGGAACTAACTAACAGTATATATCATTAAAAAGAAATCAGAAAAGAAGGTTTTACACAAAGATGTAAGGTCAAAAAAACTGAAACTAAACAAAAATGATTTTTTAAGGAAAATGTATATTACTTATATTTGACATTAGAAAAAAGAGAAAAGCCTAAGTAAATTAATTGCCTTGAAAAAAATGGGGAATAATCTCAAAGCAGTTTTCCTCCACCACAAACACACACACACACACACACACACACACAAACACACACACACAGGTATCAAACAAGGCATTATCACAGTGGATTCCATCAAATCTTCATGGAAGAGACAATACATATGCTTGTTAAATATTGAAACATAGAAAAGCTTTCAAATTTATTTGATGAAGCAAGCAAAACAATTAGATGCAAATATGACAAAACATGAAAAAGGAAACCAGAGATTAATCTCACAAATACACATGAATATTTTCCAAAAATATATACGAGGGTATAGTGCCCGGCAACATATTAACAAAGATCATACAACAAAGTAAGATTTATCCAAATAATCAAAGAAAATTCAATTAGAGAATATAGCAATATAATTTTCCACAATAAGTTGAAATTTTTAAAATTATAATCTCCCTAAATACAGAAAAAGTATCCAGTAAAATTCAACATAGTTCTTAGCAGCTTAAATTGAAAAAAGTTTATTTTTTTTAAGCTGGTAAGTAGATCAAACCAAAAGACAGAATCATGTTTAATGTTGAAACACCAGAGGCAATAGCAATAAATTCAGGAACGAGATAAAGATATATACTAGTGCTACAAATTTCTGAAAGTACCAAAGGACACAATTTAATAAAAGAAATGCACAAGATTTAGAAATTAGAAAGAAAGATACAAATCAGTGTTTGCTATTATTGTAATTATATAGATTTAAAAAAAGTACATAGACCAGAAACCCATTAGAGTACTTGCCAAAGTGGCTTATTCCAGAAGTAACTAATTCAATAGCTTGCCTTTTTCCTCGAACAGTGAGTCCTAAAACCAATGTGACAGCAGCAGATGGTAGACATCTATACCAGGAGTAGGTAGGGTGAAAGGTAAGGTATCACAGCATCCAAGACCAGGGTGTGGAGGGCATCCACATTAAGGTGGGACTGTGCAGAGTCTCAGAACAACCAGGTAAGGAGGACAGCTGCGAGGTGTGAGACAGAGGGAGTGTCCCAGAGCTAAATGTCAGAATGGATGGCAGTGAATATGGAAGATAGATTACAAACAAGGAAACTACTCAAAAGTGTTATGTTAAAGCTAATAGGAGAAAGCTTTATCACTTCAGAGATGGGAGTTAGAAATACAGAAAGGGAGAAGATAAGAATGAGCCTGTGGTGCTGCATTAGGATTAAAGAAATCAGTGTAAACTCACAATTTTTAATACATATATATATATATATATATATATATATATATATAAATTGATTTACAAACAAATATAAATGTGAATTTGTATTCCCTAGATCTGTCCACTGAGAGGGCCTGGGAGTAATGGCATCCTAAGATCAATGATGCACAGAGCACCCAGATCTTAAATTTTCATTAAAACAAAACAGGGCTCTTAGGGAAAATGTCTGATTCCAGGGATAAGACAAAGAAAGTATGAAAAGAGCTTGAAAAATCCCATTGTGTCAGAAGCAAAGAAATGCTCAAACCAACTTGAAGTGGCTCCCACTGTCCAAACTATGAACAATGTGATCAAAATATATAATAAAAATAACTCCTTAAAACTCTTTGAATAAAATAGAAACCCCAGAGTTCCTATATTTAATTTTTATTTTTTAACCCAAATAAAGAACGGTCAATGTATTTAATTTAATATTTCATGAGAAATGGAATATTTATACACCTTAAAATACATCTTCACAAAACATATTAATTTAAAAAGAGAAAAGAGTACATTTACAACTGGAAAGCTCTCTATGTAATACCTTAATCATTATTAAAGTGAATATCATCAAGAGTGGGGCAAACTGAGATCATATGGCCCCTGATAAGATGGAAGGAGAACATGAAATAACTCCTGTGATATTGCTGACAAAGATGTCTACCTCAAATCTAATCATGAGGAAATATCAAACAAACCAAATTGAAAGATATTCTACAAAATAACTGCTTTGTTGTCTCCCAGTATCAAGGTCATGAAAGTCAAGGAAAACTGAGAAACTATTCCAGACTGAAAGAATTGAAGAGACAAGACAGCAAGATCCTAAAGAGTCAAAGCAATCTGAAGAAAAAAGAACAAAGCTAAAACTATCACACTGTCTGATTTCAAAATACAAAGCTATCATAACAGTATGGTGCTGGCATAAAACAGACACATTGACCAGAAAAACATGAGATTTTGAATTGGATTGTTTTACTAGAAAGGACATTATCAGAACAACTGACCAAATTTGAATGGGGTCCAAGGATTAGATTACAGTAATGTATCAATGTTAATTTTCCTGATCTTGATAGTTGTATTGTAATTATGTAACAATGTTTTTTTAAAAATACACACTGAAATATGGGGATGACGGAATGTCAAATTGCTCTAGAAAAATAAGTTCCTTTAATCTGAACTTCCAACATCTGTAAGATTATGATTATTTCAAAAGCTTTTTAAAAATTTAAATTTAATATTTCTCACATACTGACTTTACAGTTAGAAAAAGATATCATTCATAATAGAAAAAAGATAAAATACCCAGGAATAAATTTTATTTAGTGGCATGCAAGAACACTTACATAAATTCAAGGGGAAGATTTATTTACTTATGGATTTGTTTTTTGGTAGAAACAGGGTCTCACTATGTTGCCAAGGCTAGTCTCAAACTCCTGGCCTCCAGGGATCCTCCCATCTCAGCCTCCCAAAGTGCTGGGATTACAGGTGTGAGCCATTCAGCCTGAGAAGTAGGAAGACTGAGCATTGTAAAGATACCAGTTATTGAGTAGGAAGACTCAATATTATAAATATGTCAATTCTCCACAAATTAATCCTTTTTTAAAAAAAACAGGGTCTTGGCCAGGTGTGGTGGCTCACACCTGTAATCCTAGCACTTTGGGAGGCCGAGGCGGGCAGATCACCCGAGGTTGGGAGTTTGAGACAAGCCTGATCAACAGGGAGAAACCCCGTCTCTACTAAAAATACAAAATTAGCCGGGTGTGGTGGCGCATGCCTGTAATCCCAGCTACCTGGGAGGCTGAGGCAGGTGAATCTCTTGAACCCGGGAGGCAGAAGTTACGGTGAACCAAGATCGTGCCACTGCACTCCAGTCTGGGCAACAAGAGTGAAACTCCATCTCAAAAAAAAAAAAAAACTAAAACAACAACAACAACAACAACAAAAACAGGGCCTTGTGCTGTTGCTCAGGCTGGAGTGCAGTAGCATGATCGTAGCTTACTGAAATTCACCTCAAATTCCTGGGCTCAAGCGATCCTCCTGCCTCAGCTTTCTCATATACACAGGGAACAAAAGTCAATGTAGATAAATGAGATTACATCACTCTACAAAGCTTCTGCACAGAAAAGGAAACAACAGAGTGAAGAGACAACCCACAGAATGGAGACTATATTTGCAAATTATACCTATGATAAGGGGGTAATATCCAAAATATATAGGGAACTCAAACAATTCAGTAACAAGCAAACACATAGTCCAACTTGAAAAATGGGCAAAGGGCCTGAACAGACATTTTTCAGAATAAGACCCATGAATGGCCAACAAAAAAAAGTCAATATCTCTAATCATCAGGGAAATACAAATTAAATCCACAGCGAGATACCACTCCGTACCTGTTAACATGGCTACTATCAAAAATCTAAAGATAAGTGTTAGAGAGAAAGTGGAGGAAAGGGAACCCTGATATACTGTTGGTGAGAATGTAAATTAATATAGTCATTTTGGAAAGCAGTATGAAAGTTCCTCAAAATATTAACAATAGAATTACCATATGATCCAATAATCCTACTTCTGCCTCTATAGTGACTACATAAAAATTTTATAAATGTGATTATATAAAATGTGATTATAATTAATAAATACAAATACATTAAAATAGTATATATAATTTCTTCATACTGGAAAAGCCAGGAGAGTCTTTGTGGAGATTAAAGTAATTTAGGAAAACTCTGAAGAACTGAAATGATAAGAACAAATAAAGGAAGAGCAAAGGGAACCCCAAACACAGGAAACATGAGCTAAGGCATGACAATATGGTGAAGATTATGATGGTGTAATTAAGGGAATATTTTTCCTGTCAGCATGATAACTCTCCAGCTCTGTTCCTTATAGGCCAGATTAAGGTAGAGTTAACAGTGTTGCTAGGCAACATTGCTTATGATAACAATGATCTTGGATTGATGACTTGCATTTGGACTAGAAAGCACTACAGATGATGTACGAATACCTGATGAGCAGTCACTGAAATGAGCTACGCTGAGTACTTTAACTCTAGTAATTGAGAGATTTCTTACAGGAAACTTGGAAGAAGTGCCTTTGGAATTTTTATTAAAAACGATGGTTTATGAGGGTTTTAAGCCAGGGCAATTCAGCATCTGCCCTATGTGACTCTCACTACCTTGAACCTGAGCTACTATATAGGTGGCCAAAGAGGGCTGGCTGTGTGGGATGCAGCCTAGGCATCTGGGGACTTCTTCCACAGAAGGGGAACCCCTAACAGTGTCCTTATGGAAAGCTGTAACTTTACATATTTGCCAAGTGTGTCCATCTGAATGTTTAACCTTTGAAATCTTCCTGTACCTCTAATCAGTATTGGCAGATAGGCTTAAGGAATAACAAAGTGTTTTAGCTGTAGTGGAGAGTTACATAGATGGAAGAATGAGATCTAGAACACAAGAGACAGATTTTAGCTTAATCATGAAAGATTTAAATGCCAGATTGTGGAAAATAGATTGTAATGTAAGTTTTAAAGGAGAGTAGGACCCTGACAGCTTTTGAGTGTAGAGTTAAAGTTATCAAAAAGTTTAATCGTCCTATCAGACAAGTAAATCTAGTTCACAGTATATGTTGGAAGGAAGACCAGAGATCAGTTCTGTGAAAGATGCTGGAGGACCAGCATCTTCAGTTGTCTGAAGGATTGGTAACATGGAACTAATAACAGGACTAATCTCTGATATAGGCAGATAGAGCAGTAGCCTGAGACTCAGAGGAGACCTAGCCTGACATCTAGTGGAGATGTGATTTGCAAGGCACTGCAATTTACTTCACCATTTCCTGTTTCCTGCCTGAAGTCCCAGGTACCATCAAGCTCACATTTAAGTTCCCATAGCTTAATTTCTAAACGCCACTCAAAATGGTTTGACAAAAAGTACATCAAAATAGTTATAACAGTAGTAGGAAAAAAATACTAAATGTTTGCTTTACAATAAAACATCCATCTTTTCTCCTTGGGATTAAAAATTTGACTTTTATCCTAAAAAATTAAGGTGAGGAAAAAAATTTTTCAATACTTCTGAATTTTATGATGGCACATTCCATTGGGACTATCATTGATTATATAGACACAGAAATGGACACAAACATTCAACCTTTTTCCCACCTTTTACTCCTTCTTGGAATTTTCATTCTTATTTATTTTAGTTCTTTCTTTTCCTTAAACTTGGTTTCTTTATACATTATACAACCCACTTCCCTGTTTTTCTTCGTCACTGACAAGCCTCCTTTTTTTCTTACCTGCATTCCTAGGATTTGAATGGTTTAAAACTTTTAAATGGTACAATATTCACTTTTTCAAATATATACCTTTAATCCTTGGCTACCAAAGAACTGAAAAACTCTCAAATTATAGAAAACGCCTTTGAACGCTTAGGAATGATGACACAGTGTTTTCAGATTTGCAGTAAATGTAAAGCCATAAAATGAAAAAGAGCGAAGAAAAACATTCGCTTAAGAGTACTATCGTGTTGGCCAGGCGCGGTGGCTCACATCTGTAATCCCAGCACTTTGAGAGGCCGAGGCGGGTGGATCACGAGGTCAGGAGATCGAGACCATTCTGGCCAACACGGTGAAAGCCCGTCTCTACTAAAAAAATACAAAAAAATTAGCCAGGCGTGGCTGCGACTAACATATACTGTAGTCCCAGATATTCAGGAGACTGAGGCAGGAGAATGGCGTGAACTCAGGAGGCAGAGTTTGCAGTGAAATGAAATCACGCCACTGCACTCCAGCCTGGGCGACAGAGCGAGATTCCGTCTCAGAAAAAAAAAAAAAAAGAGTACTATCTTGTTTCTAAATTTCTTGATGTGTCTCTGGTCTTATCTTGAATGCTTTTTTTTTTCCAACTCATATGTTGGAATAAATGAAAGATACCTAGAAATGTCTGGTGAATTAAAACATTTTTGGAACTGGAAAAGCACAGAAATTTTTTTTTCAAGTCAACCAGTAGTCAAAATGTAAAGCATATTTTTAAACCCATTCTTCCTCAGAAGAATAAGCCTAATTAGTGTGAAGAAAATAGAGTAGCAGCAAATTTATCCCAACAAAGGAAGTTAACTGGACCATAAACCAAACGGTGAAGGACAGCTTCTTGCCTTCCATTAAAAATTTTTTAAAATAAGAATTTTTTTTTCTTTTTTTCTATCTCTTCAGGAAATCAACTTATAAAAATAATGGGTCATGTGTGTACTTAAACCAGATGCCATTTCACTTAGGTGGTAAAACTGTACAGTTTGTTAGCTATGATGTTTTTAAAATAATTCTCATCCAGAATGAAAAGTGGAACAGCTCTTCTGCTTTTGAGAACATTCATTCCTCCCTTAAGGTTAGCAAACTGTGAAGAATCCTGAGACAGAAGTCAAAGAGACCAGAGAAGGAAAAGACTTGAAAGTTTCAAAGAAGAAAGAACCACAAGCAGCAAACTAGCTCAAGAAGCTTAACTACTTGAAGTGTCTGAGTCTGAATTTCAGAGTCAACAAGATAGCAGTGGAGGAGGGTTTGAAGATGTGTGACATGTTGCCTCCCATATATTAATAGCATTTAAGTAGCCAAATGGGCAAGAAATTCAGGGCAGGAGGTAAGGGGCAACCCGGAATGCTGCCAGCTTTGTTGTTGTTGTGAGTAGAGTTTGTTTACACAGATGACGCTACGAGGAGCCTCTGCTACTTAACATCTGTGTGAACCTTAGTATGAAACCTAAGCCTTATTATCCTTAAGTGTAAACTGGAACACGTATTAATTTTATATTGCTGCTGTAAAAGATTGCCACTGCCTTAGTGGCTTAAAAAAATAAAAACGTATTATCTAACAGTTCTGGAAATGAGAACTCTGAACCTGATTTCACTGGGCTAAAATCACATCAGCAGGACTGCAATTCTTCTGGAGACGCTAGGGGAGAATCCATTTCTTTGCCTTTCCCTGCTTCTAGAGGCTGCCTGAATTCCTTGGCTTTTGTCCCCCCTCCATCTTCAAAGCCAGCAAGGGCCAGTCGAGTCTTTCTCACATATCATTCTGACTCTCTCGCCTTCCTCTTTTGCTTATAAGGGCTCTCACAATTGTGGCTGGTACCCAGACAAACCGGAATATTCTCCCATCTCAAGTGGAGCCAATTAGCTGCTTTAATTGCATGTGCAGCCTCAATTCCCCCTAACATGTAGTATAACCTATTCATAAGTTTTGTGAATTAAGGCATGGATATCACTGGGACCGTTAATTCTGTCCACCGAAGACATAGAGTTCTTGTAAGAAATACATGAAATAACATAACGTGCTAAATGTTTACATACTAACTACAGAAAGCACTCAATTAACAATATTCACATATAAATACAGACAGCCGGGGCGTGGTAGCTCACGCCTGTAAATCCTAGCACTTTGGGAGGCTGAGGGGGGCAGATCACGAGGTGAGGAGATAGAGACCAGCCTGGCCAACACAGTGAAACCCCATCTCTACTAAAAATACAAAAATTAGCCAGGCACACCTGTAGTCCCAGCTACTCAAGAGGCTGAGGCAGGATAATCGCTTGAACCCAGGAGGCGGAGGTTGTGGTGAGCTGAGATCGTGCCACTGCACTCCAGCCTGGGCAACAGAGCAAGACTTCATCTCAAAAATAAATAAAAATGAATAAATAAATAAATAAATACTTACAGAGAAGGTGAATATGAGTCACTAAATCCAACCTAACTCAACAAATACAAAGTATCAAGGATGTATACAATGGCTGGATTTTCTTTTTAGGTATGTAAATGTGCATTCCTATTTATGCCCACTGCATTTAAAACTCATTTATATATCCTTTGTAATTCAGGTTCAGTCATTTCATAAATTGAAAGCATTCATTACACATTGGCTTCCATGAGATCATTGTTTCAGCAGTGAGACAATCAGTGCTTGCTAAGGAAAATTATTGTCTTGCTACAGTTAGCAAAAAGACACAGTTATTAAGGCAAGCAGGGCACGTCCTCAAAGAGAAGTTGCAGACATAGAAACATCAAGTGCGAACCTCTAAAGGAACACTGGGAGCTCCACCGCTTTCCATTATGCTCTATTCAGTTCTGAGATCTAAATTGCTGCTGATTTTTCGTCTTTTAATCACTTCACAGAAGTTAAGTGTCCTTGGGAGGCACTACAGAGGGTAGCACAAATCTCATCTCATTGATTCTAAATTAATTTGATCTTTTAACTCCCAGCTACCGAGTTTCCTGGGCTTTTTAAAAATATTATTTTATGGTGACTTTTATTTTCTTTTTCACAAATAAAACATGAATAGTAGAAGCTGTGTTTCTTCAGCAAAATTGCACTTAATTCTTATTTCCACTCAAGTAGAAATAGAAAACTTTGACCAGATGCAAGATTATTTTCACTATAATACAAATGGAATTAATTTTGTTTAACATAAGGATTTTGTCTAACACTATTCAAGACATCAGTGTACCCCTTCAAGGAGTATCAACTGCCACCTGTTATACCTTTTAACCTGGAGACTATGAGCATTAATTTTTTAAAATGTATTTGGAGAAATTAACTTTCACAGGAAGGGAAAAGGATGGATGGCTTAGCTTCTTCAAATCAATACTATAAATCTGCCCAATGAATAATAAAATAAGAGTTAATGCTTTATTGAAGTTGAAAAGGATCACAAGTATTACCTTTGTTATCCAGATATTTTTTAAAAATCTTAACTAACACTGGAACTCATACATATTGCTAGTCAGAATGATGGTGTTCAAATAATAGATCTTATAAATTCGATGGCCATGAGAAGTGTTTACAATCTTAAGAAAACGTTATAGGTTTAGACTAATTACATAAAATGAGAAAATACTGTCAATTATATAAACTTTGAAATATCTAGTTCTATACTTAATTCTTATAAGTAAGACTAGAAAATAAAAAAGTTAAATAGGAATAAATTTCACAGTCAGAATAGTAGGAATTATCTTTTTTTCCTTGTCAAATTGAAATGAGAATTCTCCTAGAGAATATTAAGTATTAATTATCCCATTAAGCGTAGTAGGACCAACTCTTGGTAGGGAGTAGAAGATCTGCTAGAAAAAGGAACCTGATAGCTGGTGGAACATGTGGCCTCTCTAAATCTTTGTTTTCTTTCATCTTTAGAAATATTTCAATGTATCTGAAGCTCTAAGAGTTCGTAAAGATCCTCATTTTACAGAGAAAAAATACTTAAGACCTAGAGTACTGAAATGACTTCAAGTAGACCAAGCAGGATTTACACATCTATGTTCTTTCCATTCTTCAGCACTGTCAATAAGATTCCCAATGTCCCTATCAACCCTGAAATACCCCCAATTTTCATAGCTGGGGTAAGAACCGCTGAAAACAATGGTAGGTGAATAAGAGCATCAAAGTATTTCCCACTCACTTGGTATACTGTGAAGTGGAGGAGGAGGCACATTGTTAATAGCTGTCATGTGAGACAAAATAGCTGCTGGAAGAGAAGACATCGGCATCTTGATGGCTCAAAGGCAGATAGATGACCAGAGGCTGCTTGAGAGGCAAATGATCACTCTTTGCCTGCAGGCTCATAAAGCAGAACTTCAAGGTCCTCTCTGATAGGTTGAATCCTACGGAATCTTCTTGTTCATAGTTCTTATCCATTGTTTGTGCATTTCCAAGAGTGTCATCTAGACCAGGAAGAACTATGCTACATTTTAGTCCAGTGGAAATCATAAGGAGGACTTTATGAGCTATAGAGAGTAGCAATAATGAAGAAGGAAACTGTAGCCCACAAGGCTGATACAGCAGAATCAACAGCACTCATGAGTCTAGGTGAAATGAAAGTATTCACTTCCTTGGTCTTCCATAGTCCAGAGCCCTTTTCCTGCCTACCAAATGTTTACACTGGGTATCACAGGCCCTTTCTGTACCAGCAGTAACAGAGATAGCATATTTATACTGTTCTTCATGGCCACATTTATAGGGTAAACCATCCCTTCTAATTATCATACACCAATAAACCCACCCCAGCTTACATTTAACTATATTCTGCTAGAGTGTGGAACATGTTTTTTTGTTATTTTCTGCTGCTTCACAATAATTAAGGATAGTTACAATGGCTAGGGTTTACAATCCTAACTAATGTATCTTTTGATGCTGTGTATTATCTTCCAAGGCCTTTAGAAATAGGGTCCTGGTATCATAACTGTTAGAGTGATACGGACAGGAGACAGGGAAACACTGGGTAGAAGAGGGCAGTTCCCCAGTAAAGGCCCCACCCTCAAGCCTGGAGACCTGCGGCCCTAGATTGGGACAGGCATTCCTGTTTTTGCACCTAAAAAGTTGCCTTTTGGCCTGCAACACACCCTATCCTGTACCCATATAAACCCTGAATCCCAGGCTCCAGAAGCAGACGAAGAGATGAGACAAATAGATGAATGGCAGAATGACAGGCAGAGAAAGTGAGAAAAGGAGGAACATCTGAACACTGAGAGGAGTTCAGCCACTGTACGGCCAAACTCCAGGGGAAGATCATTTTCCCACTCCATCCCCCTTCCAGCTCCCCATCCATCCTGCTGAGAGCCACCTCCACCACTCAATAAAACCCTGAGTTCTTCCTTCAAGCCCATGTGTGACCCAGTACTTCTGGGATGCTGGGCAAGAATTCAGGATACAGAAAGCTATCACACTGGCCCTCTACCCTTGTGAAAAGGCAGAGGGTCCATTGAGCTTGTTAACATCAAGCCATCCATGGAGGGTAGGGCTACAAGGGCACACTGCAACACAATGCCCACTTGGGCTCCTGCACCTGTCCGTCTGTGTGCTCCCCCTCCCCACAGGGTTTGAGCAGCAGCGATGACCAACCAAGCAGGCAAACCACAGCCCTGTCACACATTCTGTGAGGGGAATCAGGGAACTCCCCCATTTCATCAGGTAATATACAAAAGGACTGTGGCTGTCTGATACCTGAACTGGACTAGCAGAGTGTAAACCAACCATTTCTGGAGCAACTTCATCTAGATAACATTAATAACTAGAATAGAAAACATTAATTATGTTACAAAAGTAACAAATTTATTTTGCAACAGTTTCTATTAAATTATATCTGCACAATAAATTTACTCAGGTTATAACTTTTCAATTGAATGTATTTTCCTATTTCCAGTTTTACAAACTCCAAACTCACCATAGACTCAATTTTGTTGTTGAGTCTCATCACTATTGTTTTTTTTTTTTCTGGAGACCAAGTCTCACTCTGTCACCCAGGCTGGAGTGCAGTGGCTCAATTCTGACTCATTCCAACCTCCACCTCCCGGGTTCAAGTGATTCTCCTGCCTCAGCCTCCCGGGTAGCTGGGATTACAGGCAGGTGCCACCACGCCCAGCTGATTTTGTATATTTAGTAGAGACACGGTTTCACCATGTTAGCCAGGCTGATCTTGAACTCCCGACCTCTGGTGATCTGCCTGCCTTGGTCTCCCAAAGTGCTAGGATTACAGGCATGAACCACCACACCCGGCCACATCACTATTCTTCATCTTGCATTCCTTCCACACTAGCCACCTGCCTAGCTCCCACTTCAGAATGGTTCCTTGCCATTCCAACTGTCCCCTTGTTGGTAATCCCTACTGCCATCATTCCACAGGTTTTCTAGATCCATTCTCTTCCTAGTCGCACATTTAAAACCCAAAGAAATGAAGACGTGAATTTTTCATGGATGTTAAGCAGAAGGGACTATATAAAATGCTTTTTTTCTCTGACGAACAGTTCTAATCAAACAAATGTAAGAGAGGAAGTTTCCTAAGGCCCTAAAATTGTGATGACCGATTTCCTCTCTGATTCCAAGTTAGCAGTTCTTATTTTTATTTATTTTCTAGTTATCTTCCTGCTTTTCCATATTTTCACCTTTCTCTTTTCTGTATTTCATATGTAATAAACTTTACACACTGAATGCCATATAATATCGTAGTTCATATCAACCTGGACCTTGCTTGAAAATAATTTTAAAGAAAAAATGAGAAGTGACAATGCAAGTAAACAAGAACATTAAGGAGTAAATAGCAAAATAAACAACTAAAATAGCTTACTGAATTTTATCTAAGTCTCTGTAATATTCATAATTGCGTGTGAGCATCTGCTAGTACCTGCTGATATATGTCCAGAGAAAATCCATCAAATCACAAATTCAGCTCTCCTAAATGTTTTTTGCTAGGCTTTTCAATGTATTCTGAATTCTTTTGAAATTCATTCAAAGAATAATAACATAATCACACAATTTGTCTTTGAGAGATAGCTGTATTACATTGTTTACCAATGCCTGGACAGTAAAGTCTAATTGTTTCCCAACCACTTACTTACAAAATTATCTTGGAGAAGTCACTTAATCCACCTTGGCCTCAATATCCTGATCTATGCAGGGGTAATGATAATACCTCATACAAATATTATGAATATTAAATAATGAAAAAAGGTCCTAGCACAGTACCTATAGTAATAACTCCATTTTTATTAGTAATATTACTATTGCTGAAGTAAACTTTGAAAAACTCATATGGATTAAATATTTTTAATACTTTAGTAAAAGACAAAAAGATAAAGTCATTCTGAAGAGAAACCAGAGCATAAATATTTTTAATACTTTAAATATTTTTTTAAAAGTATATTTAATATGAGTTCCATTTATTCCTGCTACACAGTCACCAGTAGTATATTACAGGTTCATTTTTCAGGATGTACCTTAAGTATTCATTCTGTATTGCAAAAACCAATAATAATAATAACGAAATTTACCATGACACTATTTCTAGATACTATTCTAGTGTCTATTAACATTTCTAGACACTATTAACATATTTAATATATCAAATATGCCCTATTTTGATTTTGAGTGTTTAATTCTGGTATTATATTTTTAACTCTATTTATTAGAAAAGATATGTCAAATTAAGATAACTGGCATAATTTTATTAAGAGATCTCAAAAGATTTTCCAAAACAATGTCCCTGTTGGTCTGAAGATACACAAGTATAACATATGTTATACCCAAGTCATTTCACTGGATAAATGTTAACTAAGCATAGTTCCAATGCTTTTATAACCCGTAGCTGATGCATGTAATGTTTAAATGGCAAAGCCCAAAGAGACAACAAGCAAAAGTCCAAAACTTCTCCTGAGCACTGGCAGATAGGCTCTCAGGAGACATATCCCAGAAGATATTTCAGAATCCTAAAACTGTGGAAATCTATTAATAGGAAACAATCTCACAATATAATCAATACAGATGGAGTAAGGTAAATTTAGATCATTCTGGGGTCTGCAGGAGAAAAAAAGGGTATAAAATGGAGGCTTTTAGTTTGTTGAAGTTGTACACACTGCAGTTTTAGTTTGTGAAGTAGGGTAGACAAGTTGAGATACTTTTTAGAAATAATATAAAAGACAGGTCAGCCTAGAGAATAAGGAGTAGGAGAAGAGAGTGAGAGAAAAAGTGGGCAGTAATCATAGACAGGCTTTTAGGGGAAGAAACAAATTATTTGGAGAGGATTTCTAGCGATTTTTGCAATATAAAAAATCACTCCATCACTCCAAAAATATAGATTTTTTTCAGTAAAAATTAAATGTTAGTTAAATTTAAGTTTTGGGGGGAGTACAAGAACATTTTAAGACTGGCTTCAAAAAGTCCTAGCAAAAGCAAGAGGGTTTTGGTCACTTTGAGGTTAATGGAGAAGATATTCACACACAGAAGGCATTTTGAAAGAGTAATTTCAGAGTATATTCACATCCAAGGAAAATTACATTTTTTGATATCCTTGCTTTTTATAAAGCAATGAAATTTTACATAGAATTAGCTATATAAAATATATTTGATAAAAGCCTGAAATATTATACTAGAAAGTCATTGTATTTTTAAAATAGAATTTCGAGTATGTCAGTACTTAGAGTGTGAGGCGGAAGACAGCACAGTACAGGATAGAGCTGAGAGGCTTTGAAGCCATATTGAGCCAGACCTCTTTGGTGTGACCCCTTGGTTAAGTCATTTAATTTAACTAAGCCCTGTTTTCTCATTTTTAAAATTATAGGAGTGAGAATAACTTCATAGCGTTATTGAGAGGACTGTAAATAAGTAAAGTGACTACTTAATTATGATGATGATTATAAATGTTACATCACATTAAACATGCAAAACATTTATTGCAGTGCTTGACATATAATATACATTCCGAAAAGAATTCCAGTTCCTTTCCTTTCTCTCTGCAATTGGCATATCAAGCTAAGGTACAAGAAAGCAGCCAGTGCAACAAGGACTGGCATATACCAAAATGAGATGAGGACTCACTTGGAACACTGAAGTAGCTCAGCATGTGATTCAGAAACTAGAAAATAAGAACAACAACAAAAAAATAATAACCAGGACATAGAAAATACATTAGACATTCTTGACTAAGGGTTCCAGCAACAACTGATGTGATACAATTAATTGAGTATAGCAGACTCCACAGTATTTTTACATGTATGTTATTATCCTATGAAGTATCCAGAAGACACAAGCAGACATATTATATCAGCAAATGTTACCAAAAAGTACTAGCAGGATACACATTTCCTCAGATGGGCTGCTGATAAAAGTTTTTGTAACATTTAAGTTGCTTTTATTTTTATTTATGTTTTGACTAGGCAATACATGCATATAATAGAAATCCGAGTTTAAAAATGATATTTATACATAGTAAAAAATCTTTCTATTCTTATTATCCAGCTATATAAATTCATTCCTCAGATATAATCTATGCATACAGAACCATAAACCTGCATACTTCTCTTTTTACAAATTCCATACATTGATACATATATATATATTCATAGTTAATATATCTTGAACAGTTTTTTCACAGCAGTATATATAGGCCTGCCTCATCTTAGTTAAGTGCTATTATAAAATATTTATTTGTGCTCATCTTAGTTAAGTGCTATTATGCCCATCTTTGTGCTCTTCTTAGTTAAGTGCTATTATAAAATACTTATATTTATCTGTATCATGAGGTATCAATCCCATTATGATGGATACTCAAGTTGTTTCCAAATTGTTAGTAGTGTGACAGTTAATATTTATCTGTGTATTTATTTTACTTTGTATGTGTATGGATATATCTATAGGTCATTTTTCTAGCAGTGAGATTGCTGGGTCAAAGTAAATGTGCATTGTAAATTTTGATCAATATTACCACATTTCTCTCTATAAGGTGTACCAATTTATCCCAAAGGTGGCGATGTGTGAGAAGGCCTCTTTGTCTACAACTTCAACACTAGACCAATAGCCACCTTATTAATCCTTGGTATCCAACTTGTGACTTACTTTTTTTGTTGTTTGTTTGTTTTGTTTGTTTGTTTTTTGGTTTTTTTTTTGAGGCAGGATCCAACTGTTGCCCAGGCTGGAGTGCAGTGGCATGATCTCAAATAACTGCTGCCTTGACCTCCTGGACTTAAGCAATCCTCCTACCTCAGCCTCCCGAGTAGTTGGGACTACAGGTGCATGCCACCACACCTGGCTAATTTTTGTGTTTTTTATAAAAATAGGGTTTTGCCATGGTGGCCAGGCTTGTCTCAAACTAGGCTCAAGTGATCCTCTAGCCTCAGCCTCCCAAAGTGTTGGGATCATAGGCATGAGCCACCACGCCCAGCCAACTTGTTACTTTAATTTGCATTTTGTCTTGTTAGGAGTAAGAATGAGCATCTTAAATGTTTAAGAGCCATTTCTATTTTGTCGGTTTACTATCACGCATATCTTTTGCCTATTTTTTTCTTGAATTGTTATTTTTTTCTTACTGATTTTCAAGCCTTTACACAGTAAAGAAATGAACGCTTTGTAGGTTGCTAACAGTTTTTCCATATTCTGCATTTGACCTCTGGATTTATGCTTTTTTATTTGTGGTTATTTAAAAAATTATTTTGTAGTTAAATTTATCAACTTTTTTCTTTCATACCTTCTGACTTCTATTACATACTTAGAAAAAATCCCCTTGTTATTATTACAAAATTACAGAAATCCTCATTATAAATTCTCCTAATTTGTTTAGTATTTTCGTCTTTATTTTCTGAGACACTGCTTAACAATCCATTTTTGCGTTTGCTAATGGCTTATGCAATTTCAAATTTTCAGATATTTTTCACAATAATTTTGAAGATAGCTATTATGATCCCACTTTACAGATGAGGAAAATGAGGCTCTGAAAATGAAAACTATAGAGTTGGAATGCAGTAAAACTAGAATTTGAACCTAAGTTTGTCCTGGTCACACTGATTCCTTGACTTAAAGATGTGCAATCATCTTCATTTTTATTTGTACAAATTTAAGGAGTACTAGTGTAATATTGTTACATGGATATTTTGCATAGTATGAAGTCGGGTCTTTTAGCATGTCCATCACCTTAATTATGTATATTCCATCACCTAAATTATAAACATTGTACTCATTAAGTAATTTCTCATCATCCATTTCCCTTCCACCCTTCCAAGTATCCAGTGTCTATTAGTTTGCACTCTATATCCACGTATACCCCTTATTTAGCTACTGTTTATAAGTGAAAATATACAGTATTTGTCTTTCTGAGTTGGTTCACTGAGATAATGGCCTCATGTTCCACTGATGTTGCTGAAAATGACACTGCGTGCCCTGCCTGCATTGTAGTACAGAAATTTTCTGAATGAAAATAACATTCAGAAGATGGTGAGATCTGGTCTTCCCAGTAACGAATACATGTGGAGGATCAGAGCTGCATTAATTCATTTGTCTGTATTTTAAAGACTCCAGGTTAAGCCATTGGGAAATAATTATCTAAAGTATGGAAAGATTTATATATGTAAAGGAAGGTGGCCAGTGAGGTGGTTCCTGCCTGGATCTCATGACGGGATCATCTATTCTGTTTCAGAGCTGGAACTCTGGGACAAAGTGAAGCATAAATTGAAGAAAGAAAGTGGACCCTTCCAGAGGCTGTTAGAATAGTTCAAGGGTGTTATGATGATGGTCTCAGCTAGGGCTGGGTAATAGGGAAGAACAAGAGGGAATGGTTGATGAACAGTGGAGGCTGGGAGAAGAATGAGTTACAAGATTCCTTGGGTGCTGCCTTCCGTGTTGGAATAGCTGCAGGTACACTAACCAAAACAGAGACCCTAATGATGATGATGATAATGAAGATAAGAATTCAGCCAATATTTATTGGGTAGATTTTTGCAAGGCAGTGATTTAGATACTCCACACATATTTAGCCCTCACAACCCTATAAAGCAGGTACAATTTATTACTCCTATTTTATAGATAAGAAAATTGAGGTACAATGAGGTAATTAACTTGAAAATATCATAAAGGGCAGAGAAGGTCTTACTTTTAACCTGTAACAAATGGACCAAAAGAGGATGTGAAAAGGGATTCTTGGGAGTTCATGAAAGTAGATTAGGAAAAGACAAGAAATAGGATATCTGCTCATCTCTCCTTCCACAAAATAATTAAGCTGTGCTTTACCCATGAATCCCAACAATTGTTTTTCCTGTGTATATCCTTTAGGAAGTACCCAGAATTTTGGTATCTCATTTATAAGTAAGAGTGTCATTTTAATATAAAAAGTGCCATGAAGATGTAACCAGATGCAATGTGATTTTTTAAAACTGAGGGTATTTTCCAAAAGATGTGATAATACCAAGTGCTTTCTTACAGCATGCAAATAAACTATCTTTCTCAGTGACTCTTAGTAGTCTTAACCAACTGAATCAAAATAATACTTTCGATAAACCCTTTTTATGAGAAATGTATTCAGCAAGAAAGAAAGAGTATATTAATACCAGAGGATGGTTGTTTAAAATGTTCAGGATGTTATCAACTGTAGATGTTTGTAAACGAAAACAACATCCAAATGAAATCTACTGTCCAAGGGAATAATTAAACATTATAACAACTATGTAGTTGGGGTAACTACTGAGATTAAAAACTCTTGTCAGATTTGATGGCATTAGCAGATCCCATGCTGGTTTTTAGATAAAATTACTTGAAACACATTCAACATATCACAAAACTTTTAAAATATCTTCTCTTCCTGACTTTTAAAATTCTTTCCCTCTATAGACACTCACAAACAGATGGAGTCTCCTTATTGAAGTTGGCTTTTTCCTAAACAAAATAAAGAGTACAAAATGTTTACATTACCAAGAATTTTAACCACGACAGTACATTAAGCCATGCATTTTACTAGATTCTGAAGTGTCCTAGTATTTTAATATGTGTTCAAAATTCACTCAGAAAGTCACGAAAGCATTTGTGCTCTACTTATAAACAAGCTTGAGTATATTTGATCAAAATTAACCTTAAGAACATGCTGAGAGAAAGCTAATTCATAGCATTTCTCTTCAAATTTTCCTTCTCATAAGAGTAATAATCAAATGATCAATAACATCTGTAGACTATAACCTAATTGCCAAGCCAAGTGATTTCCATGCATTATCTTCTAATTTAATTTTCATGAAAGTCTATGAGGCAGAAATTGATACTATTCCCATTTTATAAATTTGGAAATAAATTTTTGGTGATGTTAAAATAATTTCTCAGATCTTCCAGCTGCATTGAAATGCAGTTTCAGCATTCAAACTTGGGCTGACTCCATAGCCTGTTGGTTCAGCATAGTTCAAGCAAAGGAAAATGTGTTCAACAATTATTTTCTCAGGCCTATTTTAAATGTCACTGTCTCTTGTTAGAAGGAAGCCCCTATTTAAGAGAGTACGTGTTCTTACAAAGAAGTACATTAGCTGATTGCCCTTGTATGCTGTGAATACTGACTGGCATGCGTTCTTAAGATTCATAATCTATTTTCTCCCTCAACATTTCTGCAGATACGTTACTTTGAATTCACAACAGTTTGCTCTGCAAGTGCTTAAAATTCATTTAAACTTAAAAGCACAATATCTGCTTTATACCTGGGAGGATGTGAACCATACAAGGACAAAAATTAACGTCCCTTTCTCTTTCATTTCTCCCTTTCTTGCATTTTCTTTAGTATGACACAGACATTCTCAAAGATGCACTTAACTATATTCACAACTGCCTAAAGATGCATTTTAGAAGTATCACACAGGTGTGCATGACATGTAATTGTTTTGTACAATCCTACCCATTCCTTACATATTCTCACTTTATAGTTTGTGGGAGCATGTGGCCAGAGAAGTAAGATACAGACATGGCAGCATTCGCAGAGCCTGGAAATGGCCTAAGGCATTTTCTCCTTCTTCGGGTGAAACTGATGTGTGCCTTCTGTTTTCTGAATATAATTCTCATTTTCTCCTGTGCAACAAACAGAATTGGACTCACTACTTCATCCAACCAAGGTTCAATTTTCTGAAAGTCAAATAATAAATTAGTGTAGGAGTCATGATTGAAGCCCTGATCACAAATCGTTTTTCTGCCTCTTGATTAGTATCCTTTTCCTCACTTATTTCATGAGTGAATATTATTTCCCTCTTCACCCAACCACTTGCAGTGCTTCCCAGTTTACACCATAAGTGACTTTAATGAAGATACCATTCACAACGTCAAATGAGCCATTTGTCATCTTGATTTTTTTTTTCTAATGTAATCCCATTGTCATTTAGACTCTCGACATTTCAGAGACTTGAACTTCAATGCACTGTGCTATTACTCAAAGTTGCCTGGGGACAAGTGCTGAGCTGTGCTTTTCCCCCATGATTCAAGGAAGAACATTATTCTTCTTTCTTTATTGCTCTAGTCTTCTTCTCTACACTTCCACAAATCACTATAATTTGTACCACACAGTACACTATCTTCACGAGGTGTCCTGTGACAACTTCAGAGATGGCCTATAATGTTATAAATCATTGTGCTGTTTTGGCATAAAATGTTACTTAGGTAAATATCCATTGTAGTGCATTTTTTCACCAGAGAACTATTAGTTACATTTTTATGGTTCAGAAGAAAAGCCTGTTACCATTATACTTTTCCAGGTTTTTGTTGTTGTTTGCTGCTATTGTTTGAAACTCTATTTTAGTACTTGTTAGACACAATATCTTTGAACAAAAAAACATGCCTATGTGTTTATGTGTTAGTAAACTATAGGTCACATACCAGTGGTAAAAGGTCACTAATGATCATCTAAATTTTTTTTTTTTTTTTTTTTTTGAGACAGAGTCTCACTCTGTCACCCAGGCTGGAGTGCAGTGGCATGATCTCGGCTCACTGCAACCTCTGCCTCCTGGGTTCATGCCATTCTCCTGCCTCAGCCTCCCAAGTAGCTGGGACTACAGGCACCTGCCACCATGCCCGGCTAATTTTTGGTATCTTTTAGTAGAGATGAGGTTTCACCGTGTTAGCCAATATGGTCTCAATCTCCTGACCTCATGATCCGCCCGCCTTGGCCTCCCAAAGTGCTGGGATTACAGGCGTGAGTCACCACGCCCGGCCTGAATATTTTTATTAATCATTTTGTTACATGGTATCTGCAACAAACATAGGACAGATTTATAGGCAATGGCAAATGGCTTAGTTGAAGCAAATATCTGACTTTATTAGGTCAAATAAAGGAAGAGCTACCCACAGAAATCTGGCGGAAACATAGCTTAGGAACACATCAACTCTGATGCTTTATCTGTTTTCTGTGATATATCAAATTGGCCTTCAAAATTGTGCATGATTCTAGAAAAAAACATCTATCTGTTTTTCAGAGCTTGAACTGCTGCTTCCTCTATCCTCCACATTAGTCAGGGTTTGATCAGAGAAGCAAAACCAGTAGGAGATATATGGAATAAGGGATTTATTATAGGGATTTGAACTTACACAGTAACACAGTACAAATCCATCTCATCATCTCATTGCTGATCTTTTAACTTATCCAATTTCCACTTTTTTTCTAAATAGACTCCCTAAACATATTAAGGGAAACTACCAAATCACCATCCAAAACACATTCAGGAAAACAGAACAATAACACCATTCAAAATAGTATCTGAATACAAACTCCTGTATATTTCTTCCAAATTCTCAGTAAAATAGTCATAAAAATACTTTAAAAGACAAAATGTTTAGTATCAAAAATTAATAGTGATAGACAACACAATGGCAAAATCTGAGAGAATTCTGTGCAAAATTTAAAGCATGTGGAATAGGACTGATGAGAATCCTGTTGAGTCCTAACCCCTGGTACTTCAGAATATGACCTTCTTGTTTGGAAATAAGGTATTTAAGGAGATACTCAAGTTAAAATGAGGTCTGTCATGTGGTCTCTAATCTAATATGACTGGTGTCATTATAAAAAGGGGAAATTTAGACATAGAGACAGTCACAGAGGGAAGATGACATGAAGACACACAGGGATGGCCAGGTGTGGTGGCTCATGCCTATAATCCCAGCACTTTGGGAGGCTAAGGTGGGAAGATCACCTGAGACAAGGAGTTTGAGATCAGTCCGGGCAAGACCCCATCTCTACAATTTTTAAAAAATTAGCCAGGCAAGGTGATGCACACCTGCAGTCCTCACTTCAGCCCAGGAGTGTGAGGCTGCAGTAAGTTATGATCACACCACTGCACTCCAGCCTGAAGGACAGAGTGACACCCTGTCTCAAAAAAAAAAAAAAAAAAAGGTACACAGGGAGAAAATTAACCATGTGGCTAGAGTGATGTAACTATACACCGACATACATCAAGGATTGCTAGCAAACACCAGAAGCCAGAAGAAGCAAAAAGAGACTCTCTTAGAGCCAAAAGAGAGAGCATGGCACTGTCTACATCTTGATTTCAGACTTCTAATGACCAGAATTATAAAACAGCCAACATCTGTTGTTTTAAGCCCTCTGGTTTTTGGTACTTGGTTATAGCAGCCCTAAAACATTAATATACTACTTTTGCTTCATTTCATAGCATAATTTATAATATGTTCTTAATCCAGCTCTTGTTAATGTATTCTGCATCCTATGCAAGCTTGGTATGCAAACTGTACCAGAGGCCCCTATGAGCGCCCATCCCTTTCTTCATCAGTTCTGCGTGATCGCTCTCTCTCTCTTTCTCTATTTTTTTCCCCTTACTAGATTATCAGTCTGAATTTGGCACTTTCACAAGTAGCTCAGCTCTGGAATCTTACCCCAGCCCTGGGTTCTTGCTCTGCTCCTAAGGACAGGCTACTTTGTCCACTGATTCTGTGTACCACAAAGCTGGGACACCTAGTTCAGATAATAGCATCATAAGGAGATAGAAAGACCCCAATATGAAACTTATCTAGGTAATTTAACTTACATTGTAAAGCACCAAAACATTTTTAAATGTTTCACAGTTTTAAATGGAAGTCTTTCTAAAATATTAGCTAATTAATTAATATTAACTAATTAATTAATTTGTTGAGGGGAGTTGCTGCTGAATAGATGTTTTTGACTTCTTGATTCAGGATTATCATCAAGAACATTATACTACAGGGCTACAATAGTGCCTTAGGAAGCTCTTAAGGTGTATACAGCTGTCAGAATTTATCAAATGGACTCATTCTTTAATTTGACATAATTCTTTCTGATTTTAGTATTTTTAAAAAATTTTTGGTCAGTGATTATATGGCATCGTTAATGTGGCAACTCTTCCCTTCTCATTTGTTTCTTCTAATCAGCACTGTCCAAAGATAATGAGCTAAATTGTCTCACTAGCATTACATTTGTGAACATGAAGATCCACAACCACAATCCTCCTTCAAGGGAAGACCTGTTGCTCCAGCAACAGGTTTAGTCTAGTGACAGAAAATGCTGCCTTTCCCAAGGGCACACTGTTCTCCTGGAGCTTATGTCCAATCACACACACACACACACACACACACACACACACACACACACACACACACACACACACACAGTGGTCCACCCTTATCTGTACTTTTGCTTTTCATGGTTTCATTTACCCATGGGCAACTGTGGTACAAAAATATTAAATGGAAAATTCCAGAATTCTAAAATAAACAATTTATATATTTTAAATTGCAGGTCTTTCTGCATAGAGTAGTGAAATCTCACATCATCCCACTCCATTCCATCTAAGACATGAATCATCCCTTTGCCCAACATATCTCTGCTGTATAAACTACCTACCCAATGGTCATTTAGTAGCCATCTTGGTTATCAGATAGACAGTCACAAGAAGAAGGGTAAGTAAGATATAATAAGATACTTTGAGAGAGAGACCACATTCACATAACTTTGGATTATAGTATAATTGTTTTAAATATTACTTATTGTTGTTAATCTCTTACTATACCTAGTTTATAAATTTATCATAGGTAAGTATGTATAGGAAAAAAACTTACTATATACAGGTTACTACCAGTGGTTTGATCCACTGGGGGTCTTGGAATCCATACACAGTAGTTCCCCCCAGCTCCATGAATTAGGGGGGACTACTGTATATGGATATAGTATGTATGTATATCATATATATGTGTGTGTGAGATATGACATATCATCATTCCAAATGGTTGGTTAGTTGTTTAAGAAGAAAGCTTCCCTAAGGATCTCCAAATCTCACCAGAACCCTTGCTGTATTTTATCATACTTGATGAAATCTATCTTTTCAAAGATAGTAACTACTATTTTTGTATGTAGTTTCATCACAATGCTTTTGTGTCAGGTGCTTCTTAGCAAATTCAAAGGATGTAAGTAATATTCTATTATGCCTTTTTAAGGAGTAACCAAGATTATGAGATTTATCTTTAAACTTGAATGCACTTCTTTCTTGAACAATGAAAATGAATTGTGTACTGAAACTTGCTGTCTTCCACTTAGCCATGGTGTGGCTTCACAGTGAAATGGAGGGAGACACTTGGCACCCATCACTATTGTCCTATTGCAATGCAGATGCATTAAAATAACCTACAGCAATGTTTTTCTTAGATTGTTAACTGCTCAAAAAATGAGAAATCACTTGCTTTTTTTTTTTTAACTTTCTTTCTTTTTTTTTTTTTTTTTGGATACAGAGTCTCACTCTGTCATCCAGGCTGGAGTGCAGTGGTGTGATCTTGGCTCACAGCAATCTCAACCTCCTGAGTTCAAATGATTCTCATACCTCAGCCTCCTATCTGGGACTACAGGGACACACCACCATGCCCAGCTAATTTTTGTGTTTTTAGCAGAGATAGGGTTTTACCATGTTGCCCAGGCTGGTCTTGAAATTGCCTCAAGTGATCTGTCTGCCCCGGCCTCCCAAAGTGCTGGGACTACATGCATGAGCCACCATGCCTGACCTCACTTGCTTTTAAAAGTTTTACATACAGCTGCATGTAATTAGATCTTAAAGTTTCTTGGGTATGATGATGATGATGATGATGATGATGATGGCTATAAATGTTTTGAAAGAGCTACATAGCAAAGAAAAAATAAGTGAGCCTGTATTAGCACCAATCATTGCTAAGAATGTATTACTATATGAATCATTTAAAATCTTAAACAGATTCTCAATTTTATACTCACTTACTTCATATTAAATTATCCTTATTGAACTGAAATCAAATCTAAGACATGTTTTGAGCCCCAAATTTAGAATACCACATACATTTTTAAGTTTTAAAAGCAGGTGCTCTGGGGAAAATATCATAAAAATTTTTCAAAGAAAAAAGCTAGTTCAATACTGTCTTGACTAAACATTGAAAAAGACTGTCAAGCTGAACAGTTGACTGATGATGACCCCAGTTGAGATATCTGTTCTTAGCTATATTTTCAAAAGCATCAAAGTCATTCTACAGTCTCCTGGTAAATTGTCAAAACTGTCTGGAATTGCTGTTAGGTTCCAGCCACATCTGTCTATTCATAAAAAGTTAAAAAACAAAAAAAATACCGATAAATTTAGGCCACTGAATTTGAGTTCTTATCAAAAAGAAGCCATTGTATATTTTTTCTTTCCCAAGAGCATTTACAGTTTTAGTGAATTGTCAGTATTACACTCACTACAATAATAGCAAGTTTCAGAATGGGTTGAAAGCATCAGAACAAATATCTAAGGCAAATGAGAATCCAAACAATATATAATTTTAGATTAAAAGAGATTATGTTATAAGACTTAATGGTTTTAGAATTACTACTTATGGACAAACTGATTTAACAGGCATTGCAGCACTCTTCAGCACTGGAATATCTTCATAACAAAGATATACCTAGGAAGTACTTAATTTTTGAATTGAAATTATATAGATGGAAAAAACATTAAATACGATAAGTAAGTCTTCTTTTCTCAGTAGAATCCAGGGAGCATTATAGCAGGAAAGTTGTTAAATGAGGAGAATAGTCATCACAAGTTCTTTCCATGGGTTGAGGTAGAAAGATATGGAAACTTGCAGGATGAGCAGGCTAGAAGGGAATGGGTATCCAGACAAGAGTTTGCACCAGAAAGACTCAAAACAAGTCAAATAGATTTATTTACTAGCACAAGGTTCCACCAATGGAACCCAAGACTTCTGAAGGAACTTATTATAACCAAGTTTACACTGCTCTCTGTGTAGTAGTTACACGCCAGTCCAACTGAGGCCGACTCACACACTGACATACTCCCTATCATTTGTGTAATGGACTACTGAAAATATTTGATTTTATGATGCCATCTATGACTACTGTTGGAGTGACTGAAAGTATCCAAGAGAATGATAGCTCTAATTAACTATATGTATCAACAATGTCCATCACTTTAATATGTGGCCCCTCTCTTCTTTTATGTTTTCAATGTATGATTCTGATCCTAGAAGACAGATCAGCCTTCCTCCAATTCTAAGCAACATTCTTCATGTAGGAGTAGAAGGCTGGAATAAATTTAAGATAAAAAAGCTATTATTCAGGAATGGTTAGGCATGTCCTCAAAGAATTTGATAGAGAATGTATTTCTTTAAAAAATATACTTCTTATGCCAATTACTATATGATTATTTTCATAAGTGAATACAAACATAATAAAACACAAATAAGCATCTGAACTTTCAGAATAATGTAATTAAATAAAAGATGTAATATACTCTTTTCTGTACATAATCTGGCTTCCGGTTAATATATGTACCTATTTAAATTATAATCTTACGACACAGTAAAGTGAAGAAAATAAAATTGTGCTTAAGTATTCAAGGAACCATCACTACCTAAATACATGAGTATGTGTTATCTCCACAGTTACAATTATTCTTTGGGGTGATCTGATGCTTTGGGTCAAGAACTGAACTGTGAAATAAGCACCACCAAGGAAAAAGTGATAGCGAATTTGCAATCCACTCATTATTGTAAGATCAGGAACAAGATTAGGTCCCTGGGATGATGGGGGTGGGTCATGTGGTAAAAGTCAGTTGTGGCATAAATCAGAAAAAATGACTTAGTTGTTAATTACAGCCAAATAATTAGCAGACAAAAGCACACAACTGACATGAGAGAGAATCAAAAGCAGATAAGGCATAGAGAAAGAGCTAGTATTGCAGTCAGGAGAACAACTTCACTGCACCCAAAGAGCCAAGTTAGGTACAAAACAAGCCCACAGGAAAATGTAGAATGTTAGCTTGTCTCTGGGAGAATATCTGTTCTGAAATGAAGAGAACAGATTATGACCACTATCTTCAAAGGCCTAATTGAACTGATCCCTTTCTGTGGAGGACCCCTATGGGACAAAAGAATCACTTCCAATACCTCATAGGCAATTAGGCCCACATCATCTTGCCTACAACTCTTTGAAGGCATTTCTTATTTCTTATTATGTCTCTAGTCCGTAAAACAAAGCATAGCACATAATGGACACTTTAAAAATATTTTCCCTCGGCCAGGCATGGTGGCTCATGCTTTTAATCCCAGCACTTTGGGAGGCTGAGGCAGGAGTATCACTTGAACCCAGGAGTTTGAGGCTTCAGTAAGACATGATTGCACCACTTCACTGCAGCCTGGGTAACAGAGTGAGATCCTGTCTCTAAAATGAAAAAAAAAAAAAAAATTCTTAACCCATCGAGAACGCATCTACAGACCAAAGATAACTTTGCTCCCAAGGGTTCAAAATTGTATAATTTTATTCAGAATTGGCTTTTTGTTATTATGTATTCATTTTCAATTGAAAAATAAAAATTATCTATATTTATGGTATACAAAATAATGTTCTGAAATATGCATACACTGTAGAATGGCTGAATCAAACTAGTTAAGCTATGTGCTACCTTACATTTATTTGCAGTGAGAAGACAAAATCTACTCTCTTAGGAATTTTCAAATACATAGATAATTATTAACTCTAGTTACGTTATACAATAGATCTCTTGAATGTATTTCTTCTAACTAAAATTTGGTATCCTTTTATCAACATCTCCCCAATCCTCCCACCCAGATCGTTCCCTATCGGCAAATAGAAATGCTACTGATTTTTGTATCTTGATTTTCTATCCTACAACTTTACTGAATTTGTTTATCAGTTCTAATAGTTTTTTTGGTGGAGTCTTTAGGTTTTTCCAAATACAAGATCATATAATCTGCAAACAAGGATAATTTGACTTCTTTCTTTCCAATTTGGATGCCCTTTATATTTTTCTCTTGTCTGATTGCTTTAGCTAGGACCTCCAGTACTATGTTGAATAACAGCATTATTGACAGTGGGCTTCCTTGTCATGTTCCAGCTCTTAGAGGAAAGGCTTTCAGTTTTTTCCCCATTCAGTATATTAGCTGCAGATCTGTCATTTATGGCTTTTATCATGTTGAGGTGTATCCCTTGTATACCCAGTTTTTTCAGGGTTTTTATTATGAAGGGATGTTGAATTTTATCAAATGCTTTTTCAGCATCAATTGAAATGATCATGTGGTTTTTGTCCTTTATTCTCTTGATACAATGTATCACATTGATTGATTTGCATATGTGGAATCATTCTTGTATCCTTGGAATAAATCCCACTTGGTCATGAAATATGATCCTTTTATTGTGCAGCTGAATGTGATTTGATAGTATTTTGTTGGGGATCTTTGCATCAATTTTTTTTTTAATTGAGATAGAGTTTCACTCTTGTCACCAAGGCTGGAGTGCAGTGGCAGCGATCTCAGCTCACTGCAATCTCCACCTCCCAGGGTCAAGCAATTCTCCTGCCTCAGCCTCCTGAGTAGCTAGAATTACAGGCGCCTGCCACCACGCCCAGCTAATTTTTGTATTTTTAGTAGAGATGGGGTTTCACTATGTCGGCCAGGCTAATCTCGAACTCCTGACCTCAGGCGATCCTCCCACCTCAGCCTCCCAAAGTGCTGGGATTACAGGCATGAGCTAAAGCACCCAGCCAGATCTTTGAATAAATATTCATCAGATATATTAGCCCTCCCTCCCTCCCTCCCTTTCCTCTTCCTTTTTCTTCCTTTCTTTTTCCTTACTTTTTTCCTTCCTGTTTCCTTCCTTCCTTCCTCCCTCCCTCCCTCCTTCCCTCTCTCTCTCTCCCTCTCAGATATTAGCCTTAGCTTTCTTTATTTCTTTCTTTCTTTTCTCCTTCCTTCCTTCCTTCGTTCTTTCTCTCTTTCCTTTCTTTCCTTCCTTCCTTTCCTTCTTTCTCTTTCTTTCTTCCTTCCTTCCTTCCTTTCTTTCTTATGCATCTTTGCCTGGTTTTGGTATCAGGAGAATACTGGCCTCATAGAATGAGTTTGAAGGTATTTCCTCCTCCTCTATTTTTCAGAATACTTTGAGTAGGATTTGTATTAGTTCTTCTTTAAATGTTTGGTAAAATTCAGCAGTGAGGCCATTGGTTCCCAGGATTTTCTTTGCTAGGAGACTTTTTATTACAGCTTCAATCTCTTTACTTGTTATTGTTCTATTCAGGTTTTTGGTTTCTTCATGAATCAATCTTGGTAGGTTGCATGTGACTAGGAATTTGTCCATTTCGTTTAGATTTTTGAATTTATTGGCATATAGTTTCTCATAATAGCTACTAATGATCTTTGAATGTCTGCAGTATCAGTTGTAATGTCTCCTTTTTCATCCCTGATTTTATTTATTTGGGTCTTCTATCTTTCTTAGTCTGGCTAAAGGTTTATCAATTTTGTTTATCTTTCTAAAAAGCAGCTTTTTGTTTCATTGATCTTTGGTATAGTTTTCTTCATTTCAAATTCATTTATTTTTGTTCTGATCTTTATTCTAATTTTGAGTTTGATTTGCTCTTGCTTTTCCAGTTCTTTAAGATGCATCATAAGGTTATTTGAAGTTTTTCCTATTTTTGATGTAGACACTTATACCTATAAGCTTCCCTCTTAGTACTGCCTTCACTGTATCCCATAGGATTTGGTATGTTGTGCTTCTATTATCTTTTGTTTCAAGAAATTGATCAATTTCCTTCTTAATTTCTTCATTGACTGACTGGTTATTCTTGGAGCATATTGTTTAATTTCCATGTGTTTGTAGTTTCTAAATTCCTCTCATTTAAATTCCTCTTGTTGATTTCTAGTGGTAGTCCACCATGGACAGAGAAGGTACTTGATATTATTTCAATGTTTTGAATGTTTTAGGGCTTGTTTGTAACCTAACATATAGTCTGTCCTTGAGAATAATCCATGTGTTGAGGATAAGATTGTGTATTCTGCAGCCATTGGATGAAATGTCCTGTAAATATCTATTAGGTCCATTTGATCTACAGTGCAAATTAAATCCAATGTTTCTTTGCTGATTTTCTGTCTGGAAGATCTTTCCAGTGCTGAAAGTGGGATGTTGAAGTCTCCAGTTGTTATTGTATTACAGCCTATCTTTCTCTTCAGCTCTAATAATATTTACTTTATAAATCTGAGTGATCCAGTGTTGGGTACATATATATTTGCAATTATATTCTCTTGCTGAATTGACCTGCTTATCATTATATAATGATCTTTATCTCTTCTAAAATTATTTGTTTTGAAATCTATTCTGTCTGATATAAGTATAGCTACTCCTGTTCTCTTTTGGTTTTCATTTGCGTAGAATATCTTTTTCCATTCCTTTATTTTCAGTCTATGTGCGACTTTATAGGTGAAGTGTGTTTCTTGTAAGCAACAGATTGTCAGGCTTTGTTTTCTAATTCATTCAGCTACTCAATGTCTTTTTATTGGAAAGTTTGTCAATTTACATTGTTATTATTGATAAGTAAGAGCTTACTCCTGCCATTTTCTTATTTGTTTTCTGGTCTTCTCTTTCTTCCTTTGTTTCTTCCTGTCTTCCTTTCAGTGAAGGTGATTTTTTTCTGGTGGTATAATTTAATTTCTTGCTTTTTATTTTTTGTGTATCCATTATATGATTTTTGATTTGAGGTTTCCATGAGGCTTGCTATTATCTTGTAACCCATTATTTTAGGCTGATAACAACTTAATACTGCTTGCATAAACAAGCAAAAAGAAAACGAATTAAAAGTCTACATCTGAACTTTGTCCCCCAGCTTTTTAACATTTTGTTGTTTCTATTTATATCTTATTGTACTGTACATATATTGAAGAGTTGCTGTAGTTATTTTTGATTGCTTCATCTTTTTGTCTTTCTACTTGAGTAGTTGACACACTACAGTTACACACTTATATAATATCCTGTGTTTTTCTGTGTGCTCACTATTACCAGTGAGTTTTGTGCCTTCAGATGATTTCTTATCACTCATTAGCGTCCTTTTCTTTCAGACTGAATGGCTCCCTTTAGCGTTTCTTGTAGGATAGGTCTGGTATTGATGAAATCCCTCAACTTTTCTTTGTCTGGGAAAGTCTGTATTTCTCCCTCACATTTGAAGGACATTTTCACTGGATACACCTTTCTAGGGTGAAGGTTTTTTTCCTTCAGCACTTTAAATATGTCATGCCACACTCTCCCAGCCTGTAAGGTTTCCACTGAAAATTCTGCTGCCAGACATATTGGAGTGCCATTGTGCATTATCTGTTTTTCTCTTGCTGCTTTTAGATCCTTTCTTTAACCTTGACCTTTGGGAGTTTGATTACTTAACACCTTGAGGTAGTTTTTTGGGGGGTTAAATCTGCTGGTGCTCTATAACCTCTTGTACTTGGATATTGATATATCTCCCTAAGTTTGGGAAGTTATCTGTTATTATACCTTTGAATAAACTTCCTACCCCTATCTCTTTCTCTATTTCCTCTTCGAGGCCAATAGTTCTTAGATTTACCCTTTGAGAAGATGAGGTCATGTCCTTTGCAGGGACATGGATGAAGCTGGAAACCATCATTCTCAGCAAACTATCATAAGGACAGAAAACCAAACACTGCATGTTCTCACTCATAGGTGGGAATTGAACAATGAGAACACTTGGACACAGGGCGGGGAACATCACACACCAGGGCCTGTTAGGGGGTGGGGACTGGGGGAGGGATATCATTAGGAGAAATACCTAATGTAAATGATGTGTTGATGGGTGCAGCAAACCAACATGGCACATGTATACCTATGTTTCAAACCTGCACGTTGTGCACATGTACCCTAGAAGTATAATAATAAAAAGTTTTACCCTTTGAGAATATTTTCTAGATTCTAGATTCTAGGCGTGCTTTTTTTTTTCTTTTGTCTCCTCTGTGTGTTTTAAAATAGTCTGTCATCAGAGTCACTAATTCTTTCTTTTGCATATTCATTCTGCTATTAAAAGACTGATGCATTCTTTACTATGTCAATTGCATTTTTCAACCACAGAATTTCTACTTAATTCTTTTTAATTATTTCAATCTCTTTCACACATTTATTTGATAGAATTCTGAATTCCTTCTCTGGGTTATCTTCAATTTCTTTGAGTTTCCTCAACAGAGCTACTTTGAATTCTTTATCGGAAGTGTCACGTATCTCTTTCTCTAGAATTGGCCTCTGGTGGCTTATTTACTTCATTGGGTGAGGACATGTAGTCCTGGATGGTCCTGATGCTTGCGGATGTTCATCTGTTTCTGGGCATTGAAGAATTAGGTATTTATTGTAGTCTTCATAGTCTAGGCTTCTTTATACCTGTCCTTCTTGAGAAGGATTTCCAGGTATTCAAAAAGGACTTCAGTATTGTGATCTAAGCCATGTATGCCTTATGGGGCACCTCAAGCCCAGTAATGCTGTGGTTCTTGCAGATTCATAGCAGTACCTTGGATAACATCTGGAAGAATTCTCTAGATTACCAGTCAGAGACTCTTGTTCTCTTATTTTACTTTCTCCAAAACATATGGAGTCTCTCTTTCTGTGCTGAGCTGCCTGGAGCTTGGGGAGAGATACAGAAGCATCTTTGTGGCCATCAACACTGGGACTTTACTGTGTCAGACCTGAGCCAGCATAGCACTAAGTCTCACCCAAGGCCTGCTGTGAACACCACTTGGGCTACTGCCTATGTTTGCTGAGGGACCTATGTTGCTACAATCAGTAGATGGTGAAGCCAGCCCATGCTTGTGTCCTTCCTTTCAGGGAACCAAGTTGCCCCACACCCTGGGTAGGTCCAGATGTGCCCTCAAGGAGCCAGAGACTGGAGCCAAAAATCTTAAAAGTCTACCTCGTGTTCCATACTGAAATGCAGCTGAGCTGGCATTCAAACCACGAGATGCATTCAGTCTTTCCCACTTTTCCCTCCCCTTTCCACAGGCAGAGGAGCCTCATCTATGGCCACCACCACCACAAGCCCATGGGGCATACTGCCAGGCTACTATCAAGGTTTACTTAAGGCCAAATGGCTTTTCAGTCAGATTATAGTGAATGGTGCCTTGACTGGGACTCACCCTTCAGGGAAGTAGGCTCCCCTCTCACCCAGGGCAGGTCCAGAAGTGCCATCCACAAGCCAAGGCCTAGAATTAGGGACCCCAAGAGCCTACTTGATGCTGTACACCTCTGTGGCCGAGCTGGTACAAAAGGTACAAGACAAAATCCTCTTTTACTTTTCCTTCTACTTTACTCAAGCAGAAGAAGTCTCTCCTCATAGCCACAACAGCTGAGTCTCACCTGAAGCCAGCGAGTCTCAGAGACTCATACAATGTCCACTGAGTACTACTTCAGTATCACTGCTGGTTACTGAGGGCCCAAGGGCTCTTTAGTCAGCAGATGTTGGGTCCTGCCAGGAGTAGGTCCTTCCCTTTTCTGGCTCAGGGCGTGTCTAGAAATGCTATCTTGGAGCTAGAGCCTGGGAAGGGGACCTCACAACTCTGACTGGTACTGTATCCTACTGTAGTGGAGCCAGTATCCAAGATGCAAGACAAAGTCCTCTTTTGTCTCCCTCTCCTCTGCTCAGCAGAAGAAGGGGTCTCTTTTGGAGCCACAAGCTGTGCAGCCTGAGGTTGGAAGGGGGGGTTGCAAGCACTCCCTTAGCCAGCCTGATGATGTCTCGGTAGGTCATGTGACCCCCCCCCCCCCGCCAACCCCCGCTAGGTCCACTGGCTCTAAGCCCAGTTTGATACTAGGACTAACCCAGAAGTTGCAGTCCTTGTGTCCTAGACTACCTTTCAAGTTTATTTATGGTCCCAGAGTACTTTAGCTTGAAGTGGCAAGGCTTGCTGGAACTCACATTCTGACCACTGGGATGGATGATTCTTCTCTGGGTAGGGCTGTTTTAAATATGCCCTCTGTGGACATGCATCAGCTGAGTTCAGCTCAGTTTCACTTTCTGTTGTGACTGGGCAGCACTGAGTTCAATGCAACGTCTCACAATTGCTGCACTCTCCTTCTCCGAAACACATATTCTCTCTCCATGCCACACAACCACTGCCACAGAATGGGAGCGAGATGACATCTGTGATTCAAGACTGTCTTTCCTACCTTCTTCAGTGCCTCTTTCAACAATATGAAGTTAAAACCAGATACTGTGAGAGCTCACCTGACTTTTGGTTCTTATGATGGTAATTTTTTGTGTGTAGATAGTTGTTACATTTGCTGTTTTTTCAAGGGGGATGATCAGTGGAGTCTTCCATTTGGCTATCTTGCTCTGCCCGTCCTGCCCATATTTTAATTGTTTTTTGTTTGTTTATTTCTTACTATTGAAATGTCTGAGCTCCTTATTTATTTTGACTATAAACTCCTTATCAGATGTATGGTTTGTAAATATATTCTCCCACTTCATAGGTTGTCTTTTTGCCCTGTTGATTGTTTCCTATGTTACTCAGAAGCTTTTTAGTTTAATGTAATACCACTTGTCTATTTTTACTTTTTTTGCCTATACTTTTGAAATTATATCCAAAAAATCATTGTTCATATCAACAGGCCTTTATTAAATAATATAGCAGTACTGCTTTACATGCACAGATGCTCCTTTACTTATAATGGGGTTATAATCAAACAAACCCATGTAAAGTCAAGCCATCATAAACTGGGAACCATCTGCATATAACACCTGACAATTTACAAAGTGCTTCCACCAACATTAAATTATTCTATCTTCATAGTAATTCTGAAGTAAATGTTAATTATAATAATTCAACTGATGCAACTTCTTCTCAAACAGAGACCATGTCTTCCAACCAACATCGAGTATAATGCAAAGCACAAACAAGAACGGCCTAGCAAAAGAATGCAGAAAGTTAAATTAATATAAGCATTTGCTAAAAGAATCAAAGAGAAAAGGTGTTTTAAAGAGGATCAGAATAGGCCTGAATTTCATCTAAGATAAAGATATGAAGGTATACTACGTGTCATGGACTCAATGTGTCCTACATGAATTTATATGTTGAAGCCCTAATTCCCAGTGTGCCTTTATAAGACAACACTAGAGAGAGCTTTCTTCCTTGCTCTCTGTTGCTCTCTCTTTCTCTCGTTTTCTCTCTTTATCTCTCTGTCTCTCTCCCACTGATACTTGATGAAACAGAGAAGACAGGAAGAAAGTCCTCATTATAAAATAATTCTGCTGGACCTTGATCTGGGACTTCTAGCCTCCTAAACTGTAAAGAAGTAAATTTTTGTTGTTTAACTACTAGGTCTATGGTATTTTGTTATAGTAGCTCAAGCAGACTAATACAGCATGTTTTCCAAAAAATAAGTGAGAGAGAAGAAAACAAGAGACCATTTATTTGTTAACTCAAAGTACAGAAATTCTATTTGTCAAAAACTCTTTAATTTCCTGCTATTATATTCTTTATTACAACATGACAAAAGTAGAATCATAAAACCTAAAATAAATGAATTGTAAGTAAAATTTTAAAGACAATTTTGACCAGAAATTTAAAAAAAACTAAATGTTAGATTTGTTTTTTCTTAATTTTGCATTCAAAAGGAAGATACTAGCAATTTTAGAACAAATTGAGACAGGTTGTCTAAGTTTCAGAACAAATTGAAAGTTTTCATAGAGAAGTGTTTGAAAAATCTATTTTAGAGTTTTTTCTAACTAATCTTGTAAGATGATCAGTGAAAATATATTACATTGCTCCAGAAGAAAAAGAAATGGAAGAGATATCTCTATTAGAAGATGGCAAGGTTGCAATATCTCTCCTATTCCCCAAATATGTGATCAAGTCTAGACTATATCACTCTCTCTAGAAATCCCCTCTGTCTTTGTTATTGGCTGAGTTATCAACATCTATCTAAACATAGATCCATATTGTCTCTGCCCAAGAGTTGGTTCTCTGGGTAACTGAAACTCTAACTGCCTTTCACTAGGGCATGCTCACCAAACACCAACATTGGGTAAATATTGCACACATGAAGCTCCCCCATGAAGGCAAATGTGGAAGCTAAGAAAGATACCTTTAGATGGTTTGTTCCAAAAAGACCCTACTGTGACTACTTTTTTCTCACAGTTCTTTTTATCCTCCTCTGTCCCCAGTAGGAAGCTAATAATTCTCTTTTCCTAGGGTCACTAGTCCTTTTCTATCATTTGAACAGAGGGACGGCCTAATACAATAGTGTTAAACTCAACTGAATAAAACTGGTGTAATAAAAAGCTTCAGTTCTTTCTTGGACAATAAACAAATTACAGGGTGGCCATTGATTGATGTGGTTTTCTCTCCCTTAACTCGTGACCCTTGGAAATCATCCCACTTGGAGTAAATCATCCCACTCTCCCCTCATGGCTGGATGTTTGTAGCTCAATAACTATGTTCTACACAGGATCCGCAACACTCTTAAGAGTAAGGGTGACAATTGGCATCCCAACAATAACCATAATGCTCCAGTCTGAGGATTTATTCCAATGTAGCCCATAATTAAGAGGAGAGCTGTCCCATATTACTAGAGTATAAATAAAAATTATCTGAGACATTTTCGCATGAGCTGTCCTTCTCACCACGGCCTCATCTAATTTCCTCTTTCCCAAGGTGAACAGCTGTACTTAATATAGTCATTGTAACTAAAGCTTTCCATTCTTACTGACAAAAGTCTTACAGTCTCTTCATATGATTTGTGTTTTATGCAAAGGTTTAAATAAGGCTGAAGTTAAAGGTGATTTTCGCTAGACAAAACTCTTACATCACAGAAGGCAGAAAGGAACAGGGTAAAAAAAAAATGAGTATAGACTGTATCTGTTAATAATGAAGAACATTACAGTCCTTACATATGTTTGATCCAGGTGAATTAAATAAGGGGAAAGATAGGCATTTTCTGATTGCTCAGTAAATACTGCATTGGAACATTAGAAGCATCATGATGACAGCATAGCAACATCTGTGAATCAATGCTTCCTAGTTCCCTCCCTCTTGCTCTAGAATTACATATACTCAAGGCTGAGTTCAGGGAAATGAACCACACTTATTTTTAAATGACTCCTCTTTGGCTCAAGTTTGCTGGGGATAGATATACAAACCATGTAAAATTGATAATTTAGCTAGCCTAAACGATAGAAGTATGAGAACAAGTGTGTCTTCTGAGATAAAAACAGAAAAGGAACGTCAAGTGTCACATTCAAATTCAGTATTGTTCAAAACAGATAATTCCATTTTCAGATTAAGTAAGCTTCTGAGTTTTATTTACATTGCAGGGTTTCTTTTCATTGCAGGAATGTTTGCGTTGTTCTTGTAAAACATAGCCAAAAGAATTTCTTGACTTAAATTCACAATTTGGTTATTGGATTAATAAAAGGGAGAGTAAGAATCCTCAAAAATCATAGTTAATTTAAAATGTCAGTGTAACCTGCACAACTTATCAACCTTCTTATCCATTTAAAAATTTCTGTATTGTCACTAAATTTTGTATCGATGATATACCTATTACATGCAATGACTGAGCAACTTTATCATACTCCTATGACTAATCAACTTTATCCTCTTACCTCTTGTTCCTCCCATTTGTAAAAATTTCCTCTCTTTCAATAGTGAACCCAAGTATCATTTTCTCTGCTTTGACATATGTAGTTTCCTCTTTCACAGACATGTAGGTTTTCCTCCATTAGACTCTCATTGCATTGGCCAAAACTCAAACACAGAACTTACTCTATTTCATTCTGTGTATTTCTCTCCCCATGACTAGACTGATTTCTCCTTAGTGCAGATACATTGTAATAATCATTTATTATTTATTTAACCTTGTTTCTACAGGGCAAAGTATAATGCTGGGCACATAGTAAGTACTCAATAAATGTCTAATAAATGATTAATTGTATGTTAAGAAGTAGGAATTAATCATTCAGTTGTTTTGAATTATTTGTAATCTATCTCTTGTCGATTTTTAGCTGACAGAAGTAGATAGCAAAAAGAGGTCACTGTAAAAAATCTCAAAAAAAATTATTCTTCAAAATAGCTGAGTAGTAGCTTATTCCTCTGAGATTTTTCTGTAAGGATTGCTTTAGAGGGAAAGTTGGCATTTGGGGAGGGCTATTGGATAATCAGCATTTTCTTTACACTTCATAGTGATTTATTTATTTATGCATTTTTTATTTCTGACTTATGCATATGAGTCAATGAGTAAAACAATAAATATTCCATCAGTATGGTTCTTTATTATATGCAACTGAAACAAATTCAAATTTAAAATAAAAGTAACTCATAGGAAGTATATTGGAAAGCTCACAGAATTGCTAGAAGGTCATGCTGAAAAGTGGGCAGGTGCCAAGGAGCTACAGAGGAACAAGAGGCAGAAACCAAAGGTTCAGTCAGAGCATAAAATGTCTGGTGATTACTTTGTTGCTAACCTGACCACTCTTCCAACTCCTACATTATTATCTAGATTTTTAGTTTTCCAGGCATTCATTTGACCTGGCTTATGTCATGGGCCCATTAACTGGCAAGGAGAAGGAGAGTCTCAATACTTCAGCTTCACGGTGTGCAGTCATCACCAGTATTACCTCCCACCAAGATTGCCCATAATGAGAGAGAGGTAATTTCACAAAACAAAGACAGAGTGCCATTAGAAATGGAAACTGATGTTTGACAGCCAGATAAATCACAAATATTTCTACAAATATGTATTATATGAAACACCATCTTCAAGACATAGTGTAGGTATTAAAGATGACTCAGATATAAATTCTGTCAATCAGATGACTTAATTGCTTAAGAATCACACTGTATCACTACACCCTAAAAAGGATCAGAAAAATATTGGGTTGAACTGTTTGTAATTGCTAATAATCACTCATTTTTTACTTACAAAAATGGTAATTTTATATGGTTCAATCTAAAACAGACTAAACAGCTAATAAATCACTAAATTATCATCTTGAAGGTTAATAGGCAGCTTATATTCTGTTTTTATTTCCCTCCATTACTCCCAAATTTTTAATAGTTATGATAAACTGAGTGTGCAATGAGTGTTTGCCAGTACTGGCTTCTATTTACCCAAGCATTCAGTTTTATTTCTGCTACCTAAATAATAAAATTTCAATGGTACCTGGAAGTTAAACACAATAATTGTGCAGTGTGTTTTATATCTGATATCATTAAATGAGTACATTTTAATGGAGTGAAAATAAACATGGATAATAGGAAGTAGACTATTTGGCCAATGGGAATTATTTCAAGAGAAAAACTTTTTATGACCACTATATAAATAAATTCAATGACTTCTAAGGCAATTTCCATGGAAAAATGATTGTGCTAGATGATCAAGTTAAGAGTAATATCCATAAGCAGAATTTTTTCAGGATAATATAAATAGAAAAATAAATAAGAACCCAAAATAAAAGTATTGAGTTGAATCAGGGATCAGCAACGTCCTAAATAATGTGCCAAAATGTCAAGCCCTACTCCTCTGGTCCTTCAGGACCATGGAGAGGGTGGTTACCATGCCAACATATTATAACAATGTTTCCATGCCAACTCTACTTGTCATAGTAAAAGGGTGTTATTTTTCCAATTCTTTCCTTGAGGTAGCTCTCTCAAGCAGTGAACAATAGGTCTTATCAAGTATGGCAAAGTGGTGCTTGACAGTGTACCCCCCCAACCCCTACAACTTCAGTTGCTGAATCTTGATCAATTTGACTCTAAACAAGATCAATTGATATATTTAATGCTGTAAACATTTTAAATGTGACTCAATGACAGATTCACTCAGTTACAGAGTATTCTTGTGTTTTGAAAGACTTAATGCAACTTTCTCAGATACCCAATTTATTCTCAGAAACTTTTTTAAAAGGATGGGGGAGGACATTTTTCTGAAATCGTATACATTTATGCATTTGGTTATAAGTATTTTAAAGTACTGAACTTCTTTTATTTCAGAGATGAAATTTGGGTCTGTGTCAGGTGTTCCCAAGATGGCCCTCAGGCTTGATGATTCAGTAGGAAGATCACTAGATTCAGAAAGGATATTATACTCAGCTACTCTTTATTACAGCAAAAGGACATCAGTTGAAATCAACAAAAGAAAAAGGCTTATGAAGCAAACTCTAGGAGAAACAAAACACAAGCTTATAAGTGTCTTCTCTCAGTGAAGTTGACAGATGCATTTAATTCTCCTGGCAGCAATGTGTGACAACATGTATTCAGTGTTTCCAATCAGGGAAACTCACTCAAGCCTTGGTGTATAAGATTTTTTTTTTTTTTTTTAAGACAGAGTTTCGCTCTTGTTACCCAGGCTGGAGTGCAATGGCGCAATCTTGGCTCACCACAACCTCTACCTCCCGGGTTCAAGCAATTCTACTGCCTCAGCCTCCCGAGTAGCTGGGATTACAGGCATGCACCAACACTCCCGGCTAATTTTGTATTTTCAGTAGAGACGGGGTTTCTCCATGTTGGTCAGGCTGGTCTTGAATGCCTGACCTCAGGTGATCCACCGCCTCAGCCTCCCAAAGTGCTGGGATTACAGGCGTGAGCCACCGCACCCAGCCAGTGTACAGGATTTTTAGAGGCAGTCAGTAACACAGGCACACAATACTTGTATAACTGACCTCAGCTACTCAGACTGTAGCACTCAACAGAGTGACCACAAATGTTCACCATAAATCATATTTTTGCATAAATTGTCTGATCAAACTAGTATCTCATGGCCCATGGCCTCAGGCATACAAAAACACTCATATCCAGCAGTTTATTCCAAGTGCTCTGAACTCATCTCCTAAGAGCTGACCAAAGGTTTTTCCTAGAAACCAGCTTTTCTTGGGAATGTGCAAAGTGTGAGCCATCCTGGACTGCTGAGTTAGCTCTTTCCTGCACAGGGTCTGTATTTCTTCATAAGAGACTTACCAACTTTCTACAACTAAAGCTCATTCAGCATTATCTTATAAAGTACCCACCCATTTAATATATAAATAACTTCTGAAAATCAGCAAAGAGAAACCTCAATTTTTAAATTGGCATGCAGATTTCTAATTAATATATGAAATCTACTTCCTTTTTAAATATAGTATAGTTTTAGCTGGGCACATGGCAAGACAATTAGAGATTACATTTCTTATCCTCTCTTACAGTTAATTGTGACAATGTGACTAAGTTCTTTCCATTAGAATATACAGTCATGAGCTGCAAAACAATTGGAGCAATGAGGGACCACATATATGACAGTAGTCCCATAAGATTATAATGGAGGTGAAGAATTTTTACCACCTGGTGGTGTTGCAGCCATCATAATATTGTAGTGCAATGCATTACTCTCATGTTTGTGGTAGTGCTTGTGTTAACAAACCTACCGTGCTGCCAGTCATATAAAAATATAGCACATACAATCATGTATGGTATATAATAAGTGGAGTAATGATAATAAGTGAATATGTTACTGGTTTACTCAAGTAAATATATATTTACTATACTACATTATTATTTCAGAGTGTACTCTTTCTACTTATTAAAAGAAGAGTTAACTGTAAAACAGCCTCAAGCAGTTCCTTCAGAAGGCATTCTAGAAGGAGGCGTTGTTATCATAGGAGATGACAGCTCCATGGGTATTGCCCCTGAAGCCCTTCCAGTGGGACAAGACGTGGAGCTGGAAGACAGTGACACTGATGGTCCTGGCCCTGCATAGGCCTAGGCTAATGTCTGTGTTTGTGTCTCAGTTTCTAATGAACAGTTTAGAAAGCAAATGGTAAATTTAAAAGTGTTTAAGTAGGAAAAAAAAGCTTACAGAATAAGGATAGAAAGAAAAAATACTTTTGTACAGCTGCACGATGTGTTTGTGTTTTAAGCTAGGTGTTATTACAAAAGAGTGAAAAAGTTAAAAACATTCAAAAGTTTGTAAAGTAAAAAGTTCCAGTAAGAGGTTATTATTAAAAAAATTTATTAAGTGAGTGTAGCTTAAGTGTACAGCGTTTATATCGTCTACAGTAGCATACTGTAATGTTGTAGGGCTTCACATTCACTCACCACTCACTCACTGACTCACTAGAGCAACTTTCAGTCCTACAAGCTCCATTCATGGTAAGTGCCCTCTACAGGTGTACCTTTTTCTTATTATTTATCGTGTATTTTTATTGTAACCATACCCTTTTCTATGTTTAGATGTTCTTAGATACACAAATATTTACCATTGTGTTACAATTGCCCGAATTATTCAGTACAGTAGCATGCAGTGCAGGTTTGTAGCCTAGGAGCCATGGGCTATACCATATAGGCTAGATGTGTGGTAGGCTATACCATATAGGTTTAGGTAAGTCCTCTCTATGATGTTTGCACAATGACAAAATTGCCTAACAACACATTTCTCAGAACGTATTCCTGTCATAAAGCAATGCATGACTGTATGTAAAAATTCCACCGCACTGCTCAAAAGAAAGTTGCTTTTCCTGGGCTGCCTTCATTTCCTTGTTTTCATGAGAATGCAGATGGGTCAGCAACCCAGTTTCAACTACACTGTCCCTAGCTGGTGACTGAGCACTGAAACGAAATAAAAATGTATTCCTGAATAGCCTTGGGGAGCAGAGCTACAAGATTGCTAGAGGAGAGAGAAATAAACTTTTAATCTCCATCCCCATCAGTAGCACATAGGGTTCCCACATCCTTACACCTCCATAGTACTTGACATTATTTGATCAAATTAAGGATAAGTGTAACATATGACCCAGACTTTCTGTATCTAATGATATATCCCAAATTCTCACACATATCCAGAGGGATATGCAGAAAGATGTTCATCAGGCAGAAAGTTGGCGGTGGCAGAAAGTTGAGGTGGCAGACAGTTGGAGACAATCTAGCTGTCTGTCACTAGAAGAACAAATCATCAGAATGTGGTGGATTCACAGCAGTCAGGAATGATGCTCAAAGCAATCAAAATGAATACCAGCCTTGGCACTGAAGCAGCGTCCTGGACACCTTTCACCTCCCCTTCCAAAAAGAAAAGTGGGGGAGGGTTTAGTGTTAACCCTGTAGATGCTGGATTGTGGAGAGATCCAGAGATCCAGTGGAGGAGGCTTTAGGAGACCCTAAGCAGAGATATTTGCCAATCCATATGAAGTCAGTTCTATAGTTGAACAACCTGTATGACCATGCACATGCATAACAACTGAAAAACAACCCTGCATGGAGTACTAGGCATTAGTTAGAATAAATGAACTATATTTTCACAGAGCAATATAGATGAAAACATAAGAAAACAAGAAGTAGAGCAGAATCTATTAAAATTAAATATATTTGCACATGAGCAGCAGTACATACCTTCTAAGAAGACATTAGTGAAGATATACTTTGCACTCATTACAGGAGAACAGGAAAATGGCAAAAGGAAATGGGGATGAAGAGTAATAAAGAAAACAAGTCAGGAGCTTATGTAGATCAATGACTATAATGTATCCAAAAAATTCCATTTACAACTAAATTTTTTTAGTCCAACCAAATGCAATCAGCCTGTCTCTACAAATAAATATTAATGAACTTTAATGGGCATTAACATTAAGAATTAATGAACTTATACAGAAGAAAATAACTGAATCAGAAGAAATTTTTTGTCCGGATACCTTGCCTTTACAAAAAACAAACAAACAAAAAACATTTTTCAAAACTCAGTTCATAGGAGAGAGGTGACCTATCAGGGAACCAAAGAAAGAATTATAGAGAAGATGGGATTTAGGTTGAGCCTTAAATAATAGATAATATTTCTACTAGCAAAGACTGGAGTTGATGGGATTTCTGATAAAGAAAAGAACATACAGAAAAGCATAGAGATGGAAAAGCCTGTGGTGTGGGACAGAGTGAATAACATGAGAAAACTGGCACATAGGAGTAGAAAGGAGAAAAGTCGGGGAAACAGCAGTGGGTGTAATTTGGGTCAGAATTTGAAGGGTTGTGAATGCTTAGTAAATAAGAATCGATTGGATTTTGTTGTTGAGTAGTATTATTATTAACATAGAGATTACATTCTCAAAGCCGACCTTTAGGAGGATTATTACTACAGCTCTGTTTAGAAAGGATTAAAGGGAAAGATTTCTGAAAAGAAACCAGTTAGGAGGCAATTACAACAATCCAGATCCCACATTAGGAATGTTGTCTATTGGACAGCAAGGTTAAAAATAAGAGGACAGGCATGAAAAAATTGATACGTAAACATGTATAAACTATGTGACTGATTGGAAGTAAATCTTGAAGGTGAAGAAGTTGAAATGACTCAGTTTTGATGTTTCAAAGACAGATAACTCTTGTTTCTCCCAGAAATAAGGAGTCAGAGGGAAAAATTGTGGCAGTAAAGGAAAAACAAGAGAGGGGGCAATATTAACTGTAGGTAATAGAAGAAAAATCTTTGGGGAAGGAAATTTGAGATAGGCAAAACATGAGTGTATCTGTAGGTCAGGTAAGAAAGAATGATTAAAGATGAAAATTCAAAATGCAACCTGTTAACATAAAGTCCTAAAGGAAAAGCAAGATAAAATCCCGACCTTGATAAGCACTGAGAAAATGTCTTTAGCCTGGTCAGGTGACTATATAAATATGTTTATTCTTTTGTTATGGAAATATGTCTGGTTTCTTACAATTAACTTTTTTTATCTGCTTGCAACATAGGAAAAAGGTCACACCGTGAACAGACCATTAGTTTCAAATCACGAATTATTAGAATTTTGAGGTGATTTCAGAAAGTACTAAGGCAGGAATACTGCTGCTTCTTGGTTCCATTATGCATTATATGAAAGCAGACCTAAAAGCTCAATTTCCCACTTGTTGAATGGCTATACCCTTTGAGTCCAGAGGGAGTCATGTATTCGCTCCAAGCAATGATTATTTGCTAGCATAACTTGAATGTAGATAACAATTAGTAAACTTTATTCTTTTTTAGCTGTTATGTACTCACTAAAAACCCTGACCTATTTTCCCACAATGCAATATCATTCTCACTGATAAACAACAGTACAATAACAGATATGCAGGCATTTATAAGTGAGAATTGGAATTAGGTTTTCCATTGTAATTCAGAGGCATTTTTCACTTTTAAAACAAATACAATTTTTGACATAGCTGGGGGATACATTTCGAGAACACAACTAGTACCATATGAAGACTTACAATTATGATTCTAAGATAGGTTAAATCTTTTATTTCTCTCAGGTCCAAAAGTGATTTTGTAATAGAAAACAATATTTCCCAAAGTGGTTAGCTATAAAAGGTTATTTACTCAAAAGCTATTTTCAAAGGGATTCTTTTGCAAACAAAGTCACAAATTGATTATTTTAAGTTCCTTTCTATTTCTTATTATTGGACACCTATAGTGACATTTGGAGAACCAATGTAATATATTTGTTTGTCATTTTGTTCTCTTTCATCTTGATAGTATACTTCTCAGGAATAAGTAATAAAGATTGTACAGAATAATGTGTTAAGGTTTTCACTATGCCTCAAGATTATTTTAAAATTCATTCCACTAAACAATTATTTTTTTCCTTCAAATTACCCCCAAGGTCATAATTCTGAGCCAAACTGAGCATCTATTATTTGCCAGGCATTGTGCTGCATTAATTATAGTTAGGTGAGGAACAGTCACAACGTTTGGTTTGGTTTGGTTTGGCAGGGAAGAGCATGGCGAGAGTGAATTTATCCATTTATTTTTATGCTTACTGAATATTTCTCCCATCTATCCTCTCCTTTCTAGGCTAAATTTCCATACTACTTCTCCCACAATTCAAATTCATCCTTCATATATCAGTGATATTTCTGGAAGATAAATTTAATCATATTTTTTTCATGGCTTAAAACTCAGCAGTGGCTCTTTTCATCATACAGATTAAGCTCCAAACTCTTGGTTTCCTTTTAAGTTTATCTTTCAGTCTTTCCTTTTTTTTATTTTTTTTTTTTTTTACCTTTTAAAACATCCAGTTCCTTGATTTCACAGTTCCCATAACACTGAGTGATCTTCCATGCCTATGCCTCTGCACATTTTCAGATCCAGCTGCCTCCGCCCAGGACCTTGTCCCTAGCCCTGTGCATATCCCACACAAGCACTGCTTAGTGTCTCCGCGCATTCACTACCTTCAGTCTTCCTGAGAAGGATCTATTTGCCTTTGAAGACTCAATTCAAGCTTCTATCTCATGAAGATTTTCTTTTCAGGAAATGCCAACCTCATCCCCAGCCCTTATTACTTGTATTCTGATACTTATGACTACTTTTTACTTTTGGTCTCATTTTTCTCTGATTAGACCTGCATTATGTTATCTATGACATTCAATCATACTTATTTGTTTTTATGTCTATTAGACTACAATCTCTTTGAGAAAAGGAACTGGGCAGAGGAAGCTGAATCTGCCAATGTGTGGAGGAATGGAAGAGCACTAAATGTTATGGGAACCGTAATATCCGGGAACTGGTTGTTTTAAAAGGTAAAAAACAGAAAAGAGTTAGAGAAAGATAAACCTGCAATGAAAACCAAGAATTTTAGATCTTAATCTTTATGATAAAAAGAGCAACTAGTGATTTTTAAGCCTTGAAAAAAAAATTATCAAATTTATGCAGAGGATCTGGCATATAGTGTATGTTTAGTAAATATTAATCAAATGAATAAACGAATAAATACTCAGTACAGAAGACAGCTTATTTAGAATAATCTATTCTTTCCAGGGACTAACTTTTTAGCTTTCCAAGTGGAAGCATTTTATTTCTTTTTTTTTTTCTGTCCTACTTTTTGAGATTTAGAGTAATGATACATTTATTACATAAAAGTATGCTTTTGAAAGAGCAGTGAAGTTAGTAGTTTGGAGCTAGAGTTCTGCAGTTTTATAAAGCTGGATTTAAATCCCAGTAGAGCCCTCATAAATGGGATAGGAACCTTTTTTTTTTTTGAGACAGTGTCTCACTCCTCTGTTGCCAGGCTGGAGTACAATGGCGCGATCTCAGCTCACTGCAACCTCCAACTCCCAGGTTCAAATGATTCTCCTGCCTCAGCCTCCCAAGTAGCTGGGATTATAGGTGCATGCCACTACACCCAGCTAATTTTTGTATTTTTAGTAGAGACAGGGTTTCACCATGTTGGCCAGGATGGTCTCGATCTCTTGACCTCGTGATCCGCCCACCTCAGCCTCCCAAAGTGCTGGGATTACAGGCGTGAGCCACCACAGCCGGCCACCCTAAGCTCTTTTTGCCCTCCTGCCATATGAGGACACAGCATTCAAGGCGCCATCTTGGAAGCAGAGATAATAAGCATCTTAGACCCTTAACAGACACCCAACCTGACAGCACCTTGATTTTGGATTTCCCAACATCCAGAACTGTGAGAAATAAATTTAGTATTTCTAAATTACCCAGTCTGTGGTGTTTTGTCACAGCAGAAGGAATGAACTAAGATCATGTGTTTTTAAACTCTTGAATAATGTGTTTCCCCATCTCTTTAACAAGAATAATAAAAGCACCATTCTTATAAGGTCACTATGAGGACTGAATGAGTAGATGGACCTGCAGATGGGCCACAGAATCTAGAACGCAAAAAGCACCAGTCCGTTTTATCTACGACTATGTATTATCACTCTTCTGAGAGCTATGCAGTGGAATGCAATTGGAACTATCCAGTTCTAGCCTATCCTTCTGAATGATTAATGTATTTTGAGCATGTAGACTCACTCTTCCCTTTTCTCCAACCTTAGTCATTTCAAATAGGTGCTCTCAGTGTCTGGAACACTTTCATCACAGGCTACTATGTGGAAATACCACCAAAATGGTTGTACTATGGACAAAATCCAAAACCATTTCAGCAGTCTTACTCAAACAGTAGTAATTCTGGACCCTTTGTCACCATTTTGCCTGACACATCTCTCTGGAATGTAAGTCACAAGGCTGGATGAATACACAGCCCTGCTTGGCTTATGTGGCATCCACTTCCTACCTGTGACACTCTGACAGATTTAAAATATTTTTAAAATTATTTTTTAGAGACAAGGTCTTGCTTTGTTGCCCAGGCTGATCTCAAGCTCCTGACCTCAAGCAATCTTTCCATTTTGGCCTCCCAAAGAGCTGGGATTGTAGGCATGAGTCACTGCACCCTGCCAGAATCCTTATTAAGATAATGATTTTATGTTAAAGGTAGAATGTGATTTTTATAAGTTACATGTTGTGACTTAATTCTGTTTCCTCTCCTCCTCCCCTTCCTCTACATCCAGCTGTATACCTGATCATTACAGACCCACATCTGTACACTTTCCCAATAAAAATATATACAACTGGAAATTAAAGAGATATGTGGAATTATTTTGTTTTATTTCATCTACTTTGAAATACTTCTATGTTAGAGTTGGTAATAGAGTTGATTAGAATCATTTTTAATCAAAAGATATTCAATTCTGAAATAGCTTTTCATGAAGATTAAGGAAAGCCAAAGGTGATTAGAGCTTCTTATCGCATTCAGACTATTTCTATTTCCATGTACCTGGATGTGATGCCCTTTAAGAACTGTTCATGTTTACAGAAAAGTACTCAAAGTAGCAAATGAAAGTAATCAAAGTAATAAATATAAGGTTAAAAAACCTCATATGCCAACTGAATGTCTGAAGCATGACCTGTGAGGCTAAAAATTCTCAAAAATATTTCGTGTTCAGTAGTTCTACAAAGCTCTACAAAGTATTGTTTAAAGGTGTTATGTATACTATCAGTACTTTTTTTCATTCAATAATTCAATATACAGGTAGCCTGCTTTAAGAGATTCATCATTTTTATTTCATTTTATATGTGTAATTTCTCTCTTTATGGCTGTTTTCAATCATTTTATGGCAGCAAGTAAATATACTTTGGTTCAAAAGACCAGTAGGAAATTGCCAAAATTAGATGCTTTTAATATGAACAATTGTGTTTTCTCATCCTCTCCCTGAATACTAAACTATATAACTTGAAAATTTTATTACAGGATATAAAAGAATTCTTTCAACTCCAGTGAATGTGGACAGCATCACAGGGCTTGCTTCATGATAGATGCTTACCAAGGGTGTATTAAATTGGATCTAAGTTTCAAATATTTAGCTTTGGGTAAAAATAACTAAATCATATGTGAATTAACTCTCCTCATGCTAAATTCTAAAAGCATAACCTCAGCCAAGTTATTCAGCTCAAAAAGTCTATCATGAGGACTATTTGTCTCATCTGCATCCTAAAGGCAACAGCCAAAAATCTTTTAACACCCTTGTTGCATTTTGGTATTTTCCCATATTTTAAGTCCAACTTTCTGCATTTTCAGGCTCCCTTGCACCTAATGTATTACCATGTGGCCTAGGTTTTGCCAATCAAATGCACCATATGCAGTTAGATTTGCAATTAAGCAAGGTAAGACAGAGGCTGCACTTTAGGGAACTGATCTTCTGGATGGTGACATAGCAAAAGCATTTGGTTCCTGGGAGCATTAGTAAAAGAGCCTCTGGTGTCCGGCCCCACTTGTCACCTGCAAAGAGCAGCAATAGCAATGGTGTCATCATTACAGAAGCCCCAAGGTATGATTGGGCAATCATGACCGCCAAATTTCCATGGCACCTCTGTGGCTCTCCTAGAGATTCTGTGAGCTATGCAAGCTTCATTAATAAATTCCTTTGCCACTTAAACTTTCCAAAATGGATTCTGTCTTTTCTGTTAGTGAAAATAGTAGACTCTAGACATGTGTGGTTCTTTTTCTGGCTCTGCCACTCACTAGCTGTGTAACTAAAGGTAGTCAATTATTTTCATTGGGCTATGTTTTCCTCATCAATGAAGCAGTAGTAGAAACAAATTGTAGATGTATCAAAATTTAAACATAGAAATGAAGTCATTAATGTTCTAGAGAAGAAATGGGAATATATATATTTATAATTTTAATAAGAAAAACTTAGATATAACCCATGCATTAAAATGTATAAGATTAATAACTTAAATTATAGGAAATTAAAAGCATTTTATGGCAAATAAATACCTTAAGCAGATGACAGAATGGGTGAAAGTGTGAAATATACAACAGACCAAAGGTTAATTTCTTTTTATTTTGAACAAGGTTCACATGAATAAGAAAAGATAATACGAACAGATAATCACCTCCCCACTGCCCAACAAAAAGAAAACTTTAAAGGCCAATAAACTCAGGGAACAATTCTCAGCCTCGCTCAACTATAAAGAAATTTAAATCAAAACAACAATAAGATACTATTTTCCATCTATAAGACTGGTAAAAATGTTAAAGTTGGATGATACCAAACATAGATCAAAGTGGACAAGGTACTTTCATTCACTGTTGATGAAAATGTAAATTAACACAGCCTTTGGAAAGGCAACTTGGCAATATCTATCACAAATTTAAAAGCACATATGCTTTGACTCAACAATTACATTTCTAAGAATTTATCCTAAGGTTAATTTTGCAGAAGTATGTAAAAATATCTGAAAGGATCTTCATCGCAGCACAGTTTCTAGTAGCAAAAAATTACAATAATCTAAATGTTCATCAGTGTGAAAGTAGTTTTTTAAAAAAAGATAGATTTGGCCAGGCGTGGTGGCTCACGCCTGTAATCCCAGCATTTTGGGAGGCCGAGGCAGGTGGATGACCTGAGGTCAGGAGTTCGAAACAAGCCCGGCCAACATGGCAAAACCCTGTCTCTACTAAAAATACAAAAATTAGCCAGGAGGGGTGACATGTGCCTGTAATCCCAGCTACTAGGGAGGTTGAGGCCAAAGAATTGCTTGAACCAGGGAGGCGGAGGTTGAAGTGAGCCGAGATCGCACCACTGCACTCCAGCCTGGGTGACAGAACAAAACTTCATCTCAAAAAAAAAAAAATGTATATATATATATATATATATATATATATAAAATAGAATTCCCTGAAGCCATTAGAATGAATAAGGTTGATCTAGAGTAAATATGGGAGAAATTTCTAAGATTAAATATTAAGGGGGAAAAAGCACATTGTGCAGCATTGTTGCATTGGTAAGCTTTTTAAAGAATAACAAATGCATGTAATGTTCATTAGTTGGTTGTTTCTGGTGGCAGATTTATTACCTAAACTTTTCATGATTATCTTCCATCCTATTTATTCTTCTGACAAGTGACCTTGCCATCTCTCATCAAGAAGTGGAGTCTAATCCCCTGCCCCTTAAATCTGAGCTCCTTAGTGATTTGCTAGTGACCAACAGAAGTCACTGCAATGATGCAATGGAAGTGGACTGTGACTTCTGTGACTCTGTCAGAAAAGGTCATAAAACTTCTACTTCGTTCCCTGGAATTCTTTCTCTCCAGCCCAGGTTCCAGAAACATAAGTGAAGAAACCTTCTAAAGATTTCATCCCCCAGCCTTTTAAATATTCCCAGATGACACTGCAGACATTAGAAAGAAAAGCTATTCTCACTTTGACTTTTCCAGATTCCTGACACACAGAATCAGTGAGCCTGATAAAGTGGCAATTGTTTTAAACCACATAACTTTGGGGCGGTTTTGCATGTAGTAATATATAACTAGAACACCTTACCATCTTCCATATCCTACTTTCCACCTTCCAAATGTCCCCAGTTAATGTGGGGCTCATGTTGTTCTGGAAAAGCTAAGTTGTCCCCCAACTTCATGGGTACAATAGATAATTTAGTATCATCCAATGAGCAATGCCAATCCCCTGGCCACAGAGACTAGTTCATGTAGGGGCATCTGAACTAAAACAGACTCTAGCAATCAGGGTGAATATTACAACTTTTGCTTAGAGTTCTCTGTAAAAGGTGTTTTCTCTGTCTGAACAATTCGGAGCTGCTACAGTTGTTTGATTTTTTTAACCATAAGGGAAGCCAAACCCAAAACAGGCCCAATATATGAAGAAGAAAGTTGAGAACCCCAAAAGCTGAGACCCAGGGCCCTCATTTTAAACCCTTGCCTTAAACTTCTCCTTCTTCTAAACATTTTAGTTTTATACATTTGTAAACTATTATTTAAGCCAGTTTAAGCTGAGCTTTCTGTTGCTTGCAACCAAAGGCATCCAAAAGCATCCTAAACTTTCTATGCAAAACCTAAAAGTTTTCTGGGAGGATTCATGTTAGTGGGTACCATAGGTAAAAGAATTGAAGAGACGGGAAACTTATTTTTTATATTATGTCTTTTTGTATTGTTTGAGTTATCTAAAAATGTGCATTAAATTACTTTTTTTCATATTGATGTGAATCTTTAGGGTGGTGAGATCGGCCATATTTGGGTTTTATTCTTATTTATCTACAGGACAGCCAAACACCCTCCCATGCAATCCTTAAGTCACTCATTCCTAAATATAAAAACTTATTGAGTACTTGCTTTGCTGAGTAATTACCTCTTTTAAATCTCACAAAAAGTCGAGTGGTTAATATATATGTCATCTCTCATGTTATAAAATTGGAAAATAAACCTGAGAGCTACTAAGGAATTTGCCAAAAGTCATAAAACTAGTGAGTATTAGAGCTAGTTTTCAAATTGACGTCTGTCTAAACCAAAGTCCATACTCACAAGTGCCCCACTATCAATGATTCAAGTGCTTGCCCAGCTTATATCTGAACATTCTATCTTAGGATAAGAATAAGTCTGTCAGTGATTATATTGAACAACAACAACAACAACGAGTTATCTCTGTTAATTCTACCTACTGGGAAAAGCTGGGTTTTTTTTTTCCTACTACAAAAACAATCTAATCCCTCATTCAGGTACCAGTTTTTCAAACATTTGAAGATAGTTATGTCCATTCCCATGACCCTTCTCTCCATCCCAACCCTATCCATGTTCACATGGAAATACACAGACACACACATAAACACACACCTCCCGTGAACTATTCCTTATCTAACATCTTTAAATCCTATCCAATCAAGTTTACCAAACCTTCCTTAAGTCATCTTTTTCCCATTTCCACATCATCATGATTCTACTATCTTGTACCTTCTTACACTCTTAAAACCAAAGCCCACAAAGGGTTAGCAATTTTCCCAAGAACACAAACCTACAAACTAGTTAAATGCAGGATGTTTGACTGTTGCCTTCTTATTAATCAATATTAATATTCTTTATAATGGACAGCTCATGCATTAATTTATAGTGATATTTGTGTGGATTTCTTCACATTGAATATTAGATAGGTAGGTGATAAGCAGATAGATAGATCACCATCACCATTTGGATAGCCTACTATTGTAATGTTAGCATTAGCAGCTTTGGAGGAGAAATCGACAGTGAAGGACTAAACCAAATGTTTCAGACCAAAAACTAAAAATTCAGAATACTTATGCAATAAAATAAATAACAATTGAGATATTGTATGTGCTGTGACAAACACTTTAAAGAAGCAGTATACCTAAATCAGTTTGTATTTAGTTGACAGTTGGAAACAATTCTTGGTTAAGTGACATACGCCCAGTTCAGAATTATGTATTACTCTTCCGGGGATAACAAAATAACTACCTTTAGCCAAACATTAAAGCAGCTATAGAAGAAGAAATGGTAAGCATTTCACAAGAAATTTTTATCATGTCCAACATCAGAGTCAATGAAAAAACGGAGAAATTGCAGAGATGCCAATAAGGAGGCAACAGCTTAAATGCATCTTCAGTCTCTGGCTCTTTACAGAAAGAGGAATTGTGCATTGGGAAGAGAATGATTATCATATAACATCCACCATAGCTCTCATTTACCCCAAATATTATAGCAGATAGAGCCCCAGGGTACTCACCCTTTAAATTGTATTAGACCTTTCTCACGCTGCTACAAAGAAATACCAGAGACTGGGTAGTTTATAAAATTAGGTTTAAGAGGTTTAATTGACTCACAGTTGCACATGGCTAGGGAGACCTGAGGAAACTCACAATCACGGTGCGAGGTGAAAGGGAAACAAACGCCTTCTTCACGAGGTTGCAAGAGAGAGAGGAAGAAGCGAAGGAAAAAGGGCGTCTTATAAAACCATCAAATCTCGTGAGAACTTACTGTTACGAGAACGGCATGCAGGAAACTGCCCCATAATCCAATCATCTCCCTCCCTCCACAGGTAGGGATTACGGGTCCGATTACAATTGTTAATGAGATGTGGGTAGGGACACAGCCAAACCATATCAAACCTCCACCCATTTTTCTTTCCAACCCACCTGTTTCCAATATACACCCCATACACCCACACGGACACACATTACATATGGTGCAAAAATTTTACCCATTTATCTGTAATCATCCATACAATCCCTATATGAAGTCTTCTTTTTATTTAACAATAATAATGACTACAATTTGTGTTGTGCTTAATAAATGTGATGGGAGAGGATTAGCCAATGGAAGCACCAGGTTGTACCACTAAATTGTTTTTTCTCCTTTCTCTAGCCTTTCTTAATTCACTGTCTGTGGGGCGGGGTCTCACCACAATCATTATAACATTAACTCAGACATTTCTCCTTTAAATTAAAGGATTTAATTGGGGATTCTGCCTTGCAGCTTTCTTTAATCATCCTTACACTGGTCCATATTTCCTTATAAAGCCCCAAATCATTTCCCTTCCATATTTTCTTTGATCATGTTCTAGGTTCCACTGCTTAGAAAAACAGATTTTTGTTTGACTCCAATCCTTGATGTCCTGGTTATACTTAAAAAATGCACTTAAAGATAGTTTATTAGCATATGCCATAAAAAGTAATGTTGCTACTCTAATTGATACTTCAGGGATTTTTCTCTTTCACTCATTTAAAATATGACTTCTTAAACAGAAATATTCTGTGACTCTAGGCAGGAAAACCATGTTTCCTTATCGCCTAACGATTATTCAGAACATACCTCATTTTCTATCCAAGTCCTTGAAAGAGTTGTGAGTTTTGTCATCTTGTTAATTCTTTGTTTCATGAAAACATTTTCCTCTGGTTGGTGATAATTAATAGCTTCCTTATATAAAGTGCTAGAAGTTTTTACATATTATCGTGGAGCTATGCACAGCTTCATAAAAGCTCAGACCATATGTGAAATTGACTTGGACACACTAATTTACTTAGTCTTATTCTGACTCACCACCTGTCATTGTTTGCATCAAAGTTCACAAATCTTGCTTTGTTTTAAAAAAGATAATGCAAATACAAGATTCAACTGATTGAATAAAAATGAGTTTGTATGCAATAGAGAATAAAAGTGCATGTGACTTTTGGATATACATTTTCTTTTGATAGTAATCAACTACTACAAATGGATTTTCGTATTTCAACTTAATAAATTCCAGAGTTCATTATTGTGCAAATTAATTTAAGGTCATTGTGAAACAGCAATTAAAACTACACTATGAAACAGCTACATATTTCTGAGACACCCCCCAAACATTGTGTGTACTATATTCTAAGTTTAAACTGAGAAATGTATTCCTAGCCCATCGTTAACTCTAAAGTCCAAGAAACTTCATTTAGCTAAACTTTAGGTGATATGCCCAATCAAAAAGAAGTAAACCAAAATCAACTAATATGTATTGAGAATGTATTATAAGAAACACAATTATATAGAACAACTAATTTTGGTCTAAACAGGCTACTAATGCTGGCCAAATAATTTGCTTGAATTAGATTGGGTTTTCGGAGGTGAGGCATACATAATCAAAGTCAAGTATAGAAAGTTCTGTGTTTAATTGATGGAGTATACACAAAACAAACATTTTAACTCCATTAAAATGAGGACACAGGACTAAAGAAAAAAATTAGTACAGGTGTAAACATATGTGACAATACTAGACAGATGTTTAAATGTTACTGTTTCCTGAAGCAGATGCAATACATCATTTACTGTTCTATTTCAGTAAGCAGGCAACATCATCATGAAATAAACAGACATATTTGGCAACAAGACATCATCATTTTTATGAATTAAATTTTTAGAAGATGAAACATTTCAAAGGATTTTGCTACAGTATATCATTGTACCTGGTGTACATTTATAGTGTGTCTTTTTTTTTCAAAATTGACTAAATTAAATCAAGTTTCAATGAGATGAAATGAACTGATGAAAAGCTGTTTCTGAATCTTTGAAGTGGTTTAGGCTTTTTTTGATTAAGGCAAATCTGTCTTGTAGCATGTTAATGTAAATTATAGTAGTGAATGTCATATCTCCATCTGCTCCAGCAATCTGTTAAAATATACAATTCTTTTCTAGGGAAAAGAGTTTATAATGTTTCAGAATATTGTTATCAGTGCCCCACCCCGCAGTAAACTGTGTCTTGGCAAAATCTGTTCTTCACCAATGACCTAATTCCCTGCCCTGGAAGAATTTCTTGATGATATCCCCAGAAGCTTATAAATATTTCTTCTCTATTTCTAGAAAGGGTTTTATCAGCTCTTGATAGCATCCTCTATCCTGTGTGCATCCAGCCACATCAGTGCAGCAGACACTGCATTTAGAAATCACCATGGGAGCTAAACATTCTTCACAGCAGAATATTCACTTTGGAAAAGAGAAAAAAGAAGTGAAAGGGAAAACAAGAGCTTTCACTGACAGTAAAGGCAGACTTACAGTATCTTTAGGGTTTAGTCATCTGAGGCACCAGCATTGGTTTGACAGGAAAAAACCTGTCTGCTTTCTACAGAGGAAGTTTGTATGAGTTACTTAACATATAAAGCCACACTTAATAACAATATCTACATCAATGAGAAATGAAGTCACTTTTGTGAAAGTAATTCATAAAGCACTATAGACATTCATTTTTAAGATGATTCACACTTCTCTTTCTTATAAACACCAGAGAATACAAATCTGTGTGTTATTTTCACATTATTTTTTAAGCTATAATTTAAATTTCACAAAGCAAATAATATATGTAAATTATGTATATATACATTATATATAATGTATAATATATAATATATATAATATATATAATATATTATATATATAATATATAATATATATTATATATATAATATATAATATAATATATAATATATAATATATATTATATATATAATATATAATATAATATATAATATATAATATATATTATATATATAATATATAATATAATATATAATATATAATATATATTATATAAATATATATAATATATGAATATATATTATATATTATATAATATGTATTATATATAATGTATAATATATATTATATTATATATAATATAATATATATTATATATAATATATTATATATATAATATATAATATATATAATATATATTTATATATAAATATGTATATTTTATATATATATATGTGTGTGTGTGTGTGTGTTCCTTTGTTTTTGTTTTTTTGATATGGAGTTTCGCTCTCTCACCCAGGCTGGAGTGCAATGGTGCAATCTCAGCTCACTGTAACCTCTGCCTCCCAGGTTCAAGTGATTCTCCTGCCTCAGCCTCCCGAGTAGCTGTGATTACAGGTGTGCACCACCATGCCCAGCTAATTTTGTATTTTTAGTAGAGATGGGGTTTCACCATGTTGGCCAAGCTGGTCTTGAACTCCTGACCTCAAGTGATCCGCCCACCTCAGCCTCTGAAAATGTTGGGATTACAGGCATGAGCCACCACACCTGACCAAACACAATATATTTACTAGAATCTTAGAATATTAAACTAGAAGATATCTAAAAGATTATTTAGTTCAACTCTCTCAATTTAAAGATCAAAAGATCTTTAAAAAAATGACTATCAGCAGAGTTAAATAGCTTGACACTGAAATTAGTGCAGCCTAACATAATTTTATTCAGGTTTCTTTGGGGGCAGTGGCAGCATTTGTATCAGTAATTATTTAAAACTAGTCTTACAAGTGGCTTATTGTAAGACCATATGAAAGTTTTGCTTTTAGCAAAAGAATACTTCATTGCACACATATAATGTTAGTATTTATTTAGGCAATGTGTTAGGGGCTGTTCAGCATAGGAATGAACTAGATGATGCTGGGATGGGTAGTTAGAAACATAAAGTCTCTGTCCTCAAGGTGCTATAATCTATAAAAGAAAGAAAACAAACAGAAATCATAAGACACAGGGATAGGCAAGCACCATATTAAATATGTGAAATATTGTAAAGTTTACAAAAAGAGAAATAGATCACATCCCAATCTATTATTTTACACCTATTATTAGTAACTATTGCCAATACATTTCTTGTTAAACTATGTAGAAGATTCTGTGTCTTCTTTCGCAGACTCAATTTGCTTCTGACTCACTTTTAAATTACTATTAATACAAAACTTTTCCAGGAAAAACTCCCCCTGTGGATCCTCTCTTCTCTCCCCCAGGCAGAGGTCACTTGTAGCATGTTGCTATTATAGCACTTATCAATTGCAGTGGATGGCAACTATTCATTTAGCCTTGTCTCCCCTCCATCCTGTGAGATCCATAAAAAGGAGGAAAATCACCCTTTTCAACTTGGGGTTTCCTCATACCATCATTCCCTTCCCTGCTTCTTATCCACATAGATAAATTCTATAACATGGAGGGACTCCAAAAAAATATTTTTCAATTGATGTGTTTCAAAGTGACAGTCAAAGAAAAGGATTAAGGCATTGCTCCCTACATAGAAACAAAGTTTAGTAATGAAACCAGTCAAAAGCTGCTCTTTTATGGAAAAACTCTTGACTACATTGATCAATGACTATAATAACTCCCAAGCTTCCAATCCCCTCAGGCATTTGTAGGGACAATGCCCTAAGCGGAGCCCAACGTTAGTGAAAATGGAGCTGGAATCTGATAATTAAAAGTCACAGTGAGAGAAGAAGGAATTTGTTCCATTTGGGGAAGTTAAACATGTAAATCTGTTTTTCCATGGTGACTAAATGGACCCAACAATGTCACTCCCTATTTTAGGTTACACATCTGTTCATTCATTGCTATATGCCAACAAAACCTTTAATTTATGTCTCATCAGCTTATTCATTGAGAATTTTTAAAGGTCAAAAATAAAGAAAAAAGTATTAAAATATATTTTTATCCTCACATTTCTATAGATACAAATTTTAAAGACTATATCAAACCTTACAAATAGGCATTTTGGGAATGAGCTTACCACTAACTCTAAGGGCATTTTAAAATACATTTGCTCACAAATATGCATTATACTTCAAAAACAAGAACTAACATGTAGCATAAATATATTAAAGATTCATAAGGTTTATTTTGTTTTGTTTTTGAAATGGAGTCTCACTTTGTCACCCAGGCTGGAGTGCACTGGCGCGATCTCAGCTCACTGCAACCTCTGCTGCCTGGGTTTCAAGCGATTCTCCTACCTCAGCCTCCTAAGTAGCTGAAATTACAGGTACCCACCACCATGCCGGCTAATTGTTGTATTTTTAGTAGAGACAGGGTCTTGCTATGTTGGCCAGGCTGGTCTCAAACTCCTGACCTCAGGCGATCAGCCCACCTTGGCCTCCCAAAGTGCTGGGATTACAGGCGTGAGCCAACACACCCAACCCAAAATGATATTTTTTACAAGAAAAAAATTGCAATCATTACAGATAAGCCACTGCAAGTCATCATGAGGACATATATTTGGTTTCAGATATATTATAAAACCAAGGTTTTACTCAGAAAACATGATAAGTATGCCTGTGCTGTTGAGAACTAGTATGTCAATGAGCATTAAGAGACACTCTTGGAGATTTGCTGTACAACAAAGCACATAAGTGCACATTCAGGGAAAAAGGCTTTCTGGCAAGGCATTATAAATCCTTTTCCTACAGTTTTCAGAAACAGTATTGCCTTCTGATATTAAAAAAAAAAACAAAACCTTTTTGAGTTCTGTGCCCCCAAACCCATCAAACTTACATAATAAATCCTTTATCCATTTGCAAAGAAACAGATATTTTGAGCTCAGATAAGGTATCACTTGCTTATTTTTTTAGTTATTCTATGTGGTATATTTTTACATAAACTCTTTCTGGAAAAAGAAAAATTAGGTTAGATCATTCAAATCCAATATTTAAATTTTTTAAGTATGTATCAATCTTTGCTTAAGCTTGAATATAAATTTTATTTTAAAATGTTCACTGATGAAAGCCTTAAGAAAATATAAAAAGAAATAGAAAACTAAATCCCAAATAAAATAACACAATTTTAATCAACCATGACTGAATTCCAAAGTGAATATATAATATATAAAATATTATACATATCATATAATATGTAATTATATAATAAATAACATTAGCATATAGTTAGTATACTATATATTATATTAGTACTACTATAGCCAATAGTACTATATAAATAGTATTATTATATAAGTAATATATAATATTATATATAAGTAATATATAATATTATATGTAAGTAATATATATAATATATATAGTATCTTCCTTTATGTCCAGAAGTTCATAGAGAAATATTTTATGGAAGCCAGAGAAAGTTTGAAAGCTGTGGCCTGATCACAGAAAGTTTGTCTTCTCAGTTTCTTAAGATGTGAGTCTGGGGCCACCACCATTAACCAGGTCAAAACACCACGGTTTGTGTTGTCTTCAGCAACTGATATTTCGAAGTTGAAGATATGCTCAAGATAAGTAACTCAAACAAAAAATTGTTTGAATCCCATATATACAATCTTAGGAAATCAGGATGATTCAAGGAGATCTAAACAGACTGTATTCTTAAAAAATAATGTCTGTTTCATTGAAATTATAAATAAATGACCCAAATTATTCTGGATGGCCATTGGGAACAGTTGCTACTAATATGGATTATGTATGTAAAACAGTTATAAAGTGCTTTCTAAGATATTTTTCTATGCCAAAATTCCCAGTTTCCTTGACAGGCAGAAGCTACTAATGCTAATGAAAATAATCTAAAAATTATATTCCAAAAATACATATAGTACACTCTTATGTTGTATGATCAGAGGGTAGATACTAAAAGACAATAGTTTAGATACATAGGTAGATGATAGAGAGATACATAGATACATAGAGTTAGATAACAGATACATAACACTCATGAACTTAATTTTTTAAATTTATAAGCATATCAAAAAATGTGGCAGTATCTTATTCAGTTTTCTGTAAGATGGAAACTTAATTGCTTTAGTTGTTCTTCTGTCTACTGCATTAGAATAATAGAGTGTAATTATTTCCCCTCACCTGCTGATAAGGTTGAAGATTTTGCCCTTCTTGATATCCAGTTTTCATTTGCTAATAATAATCCACTGGGGTCTTCATTATCTACTGGGGAAAATAATAAAAGAATATTAAAATTGAAGTGACAGGGAATGGGAATGGAAGCAGAGAGCAAGTATTGGGGTTCACCACAAGGAGCCATGTAAACCACAGAATTCACTCCAGAGAAGATGCCTAAAAAGGAAAAGTGCCTACTACTAGGAAAGAGTCTAGTTTGTGGGCCAAGAAACAGTCCCTATTTCAGTTGCTCAGTTCTTACATGTTGCCTGCTTGGAATTCACTCACCCAAAACCTCCTACCACCTGCATCCTCAGGATCAAAACCAGGTGATCCAACCACCAGTGTTGGAGAGGACTTCACTCTATCTCCAGGCAGCACCTCAATTACTGGCTGCCCATCAATATGGCACTGTATATGACAAGATTTCATTTGGTTCTGGTCTAATCATGCCATATGATCAGCCTCCACAATGACCTAAAAAACTGTTAAACCCAAAGGTGCAACTGTTCTATAAACCTAGACAAGTCTGCAAAGGCATCAGAAGGGGCTCAGCTGCACAAGCTTGAGCCCACTAAGGTGAGATGTGGTTAGTGTTGCTATCTTTACTTATAATTAAATGAAAACTAAATTGAATATTCTTGAAATGTTCTTTAATAAATAAGATGATATTTCAGGACCTTCCAGTGTTAAAGATTAAGATGCTATATCACACAAAATCTCTCACTTGAAAGATGAAAGAAAACAAATGCGCTTAGAATATTAAATTTTAAAAGCTAGCTTATTAAGAATTAGAGAACCAATCCAGAAAAGTGCTATCAATTTGGAGAGTTCTAAGAATGTCAGCACTAAAGACAGGCCTGAGAAAATAATGGAATTTGAATTGGGCCTTGAAGAAAAACAGTATCTGAGAAGGTAGAGAGAAGGAGATGGTTATTACATGTTAGGAAAATGGCAAGAATAAGGTTGTCTCATAATGAATATGGATTGCATATCATGGCAAATATCTCTAGATAGAGACTTCAGGTTGAAGTCAAGTTGTACATCAAATAACTTCAAATGATTCCCATGAACTAATAATGAATCAATTGATCATCTACTGTGGACAGACATTACATGAGTACCCTACATTTTGCCAAGTACTATGCTCACCACTCTGAGCAAAAACAGCCATGATTCCACTGTGGCAAAATAAGAACAACATACTTCAATCAAAGATAGCCACAGAGTCATATGAGACAGAATAATTAATGAACCATTATGCCACTAGCAAACAGAACATAGAACGTATTAATTCAGGACTGAGTGACCCAAAGCTCATGTTTATTACATAGTAATGCCTCTTGTGTCAGTGGGAAAGTGACTGTACTTAACGTGGCAGAAGAGGAAAAGATTGATTGCAAGGGTTTAAGTAATAGGGACACAAATTTTAATCCAATGAATTTCTGTAACAATTACAAATGCCTTAAATTAGACTGGTCTGCTTTGCACATGGAAATTTAAACAAAGGCTAAATTACTGCCTGCTAGGAGTATTGTAAGGAGAATTATTGTACTGGATGATTTTAGGGAACTTTATAACTTTAAGAGTCAGTTAATCCATGACTTTCTTCAATAGGTAATGTGATTACTGAACTCACAATAAACATTGATGATCCCTGTACCAGGAGATGTGTAATAAAATCATTTCAAAAAGAATAAATAATGTAACTTCTACTCTAAAATGCTTGGATATTCATCTAATATGATTGTCTTTCTATTAATCATTTTAATTTTGAAGTTTCCCTGTCACTCCTTACTTAAAAATCTTCCTTGTTGATGTATTCCATTTCGACATTATCAAATCAAGGGTAAATTTGAAACATTTGGCTTTCTTAAGCATCTTTTAAATGCTCAGAATATTCTATAGCAAATTAGTATTCAACATCATTTCTTCAAAACCTTACATTAAAACTTGATTTTAATTACCTCTCAATTATATCTTGCACCATTCCTGTGAGTTAGCTATTTTAAAGGAACTAAAGTTGTTAGGAGGAAGAACTAGATTTTAAAATGCAATATGACAACTTTAGACTTCACTTCCGTAGCAATTATAAAATAGTTCTCCCAAGCAACACGCTTTCATATTTGTTTTCCTCTTTTGATTAAGTAATCAAAGTAATCAGTAACCTCTCACAATTGGCCTCAGATTTCCACATGTACCTATGCTTTCTCAAAATGAAAATGAAAAACAGAAAACAATAAGGAAGCATTGACTGCTAGATATAAGCCCCAGGTAGAACTAGACTAAGACTGAAGCACAAAGACCTCTGCATAGATCTTGTTATTTCAGGACTTGTGAAGGCCTTTAAAAAGTGTTAAAAAGATTCATAAATGTTAACCTTTTAGAATTTGATGAATTTATAATTTGATCACCCCCTTTTTAGCTGTCTTCAAAAGCTTTCCCAGTGAACAGAGGTTCCTATTAGTATTTATACTCATTATTAATGAAGGAAACACACACAGCAAGAGTGAAATGATGATGTTGTTGTTGATGATGATGATAGCTACATTTGTCAAATATCTACTGTTCCAGGCACAGCTGTAAACACTCTAAAGGTTTACATTTTGCCATCAAAAGTAATGGCAAAAACAGCGATTACTTTTGCATCAACCTAATAACTGCTTCACAATACAACACTGTGCATACATTGATGGATCAATAAGTGTAGACAAGTAATCATGGCATCAGATTTGCAAAAAGTGAAGCAGGAGGTTTAGATAAGGAAGGTCCACAGTGAACACGAGACTTCTGACTTTAAAATGGTGCTTACCCCCTCTCTTCTCAGAAATTACTCAAAAACAAGGAGGAAAAATAATCTTGAAAGACAACTCCTTCTGTCTGAAAGTAAGAGAAATCTGGGGGCTACAAAAACAGAGCACATAGAACACTGTCGGAGCATCTCCAAAATGGCTTGTCATTAAAGAGAGGCTGGAAGCACAGAAGAGTGAGGAATTGCACAGGCAGACTGTATCTTCAGGAGGCAGAGTCTGTTGCTGAGAAAGGTTGAAATAAAGAGACTGAATCATGAGTCACCTTGAAGCTGCCAATCTTAGATGACTGGGAAGAAGTCGGCCATAAAATACCTTGCTCACACACATGTGATGTAGTGAGAAGCTCTACCAGCGTACAAAATTACCTTGGAGATATACCTAATGCTAAATGACGAGTTCCTGGGTGCAGCACACCAACATGGCACATGTATACATATGTAACCAACCTGCACATTATGCACATGTACCCTAAAACTTAAAGTATAATAATAATAAAATAAAAAAAAATACCTTGGTCTCTCTCGTATGAACCCCTGGAAAATATGTAGTCCAAGTACAATCTACCTCTATAAATAAAATGAGTAGTCATATGCAAGGACTTTGTACAAGATCTTTACTAACCTACCAAAAGAAAATTTAAAAACTGAAAGAACAAGAAAAATGAGTAATGTACCAGAAAGTATTGATGAGAACAAAATGAAAATTATAAGTATCACTATGAATTTCTTAATGTAATGAATAAATAGCTCCAAAAAATCAAAACATGGCCGGGTGCGGTAGCCCATGCCTTTTAATCCCAGCACTCTGGGAGGCCAAGGCGGGCGGATCACGAGGTCAAGAGATCGAGATTATCCTGGCAAACATGGTGAAACTCCATCTTTAATAAAAATATAAAAATTAGTTGGGTGTGGTGGTACATGCCTGTAATCCCAGCTACTTGGGGGGCTGAGGCAGGAGAATCTCTGGAACCCAGGAGGTGGAGGCTGCAGTGAGCCGAGATCGCACCACTGCACTCCTGCCTGGCGACACAGTGAGATTTTGTCCCAAAAATAAATAAATAAATAAATAAATAAATAAATAAATAAATATAAAAACTCAAAACAGAGAAATGAACTCAGGGGAGAAATTGTGAAAAAACAGTAAAAGGTAAAACACAATATGGCAGAACTTAGAAGGGGAAAAAGGCAATTCCATCATAGAAATGAGGTCCACAGGGGAAGCAGACAAAAGCAGTAAATGCTGCCACAAACACAGTAAAGGACACGGAAAACAGGATTAGGAAAAGGAAGCGAAATGAGAAAGTAAGTACAGTTAAGTGATTAGACAGAAAATCATAACACGTGAAAGAGAAATGCGATCCCAATATATACAAAATTGATGTGGAAAAGAAATTTATATTGAAGAAGAAATTCAACATAACAACAAAGAAAAATAAATGTATTTAAGAAAATTACCCCAAAATTTAAAAAGGCTTAAATCTATGAAGTCACACAAGGTATCCCAGGGGAAAAAAAATAAAGATAACACATTCAACACCAAGGCATTTCTTAAGCTAATCAAGCTAATATCAAGATGATCTTCATATCTTTTGTAGCTGGGGAGGGGCAAGAAAGAGTCATTTAAAATAGATAAACCCAGTACTTATACCTGAAGTTTGAAAATAATTAAAAATACAATATAAAAACAAAGAAAAGTAATATTCTTAATGAAAATCAATGTGGAAAGGAAAGAGCTAAGGTGGGAAAATGTAGAAATATAATTTGATTATTTTATTATAATGCTATTATTAATCACAAGTAAGGAGTCAGTAGACATTACTAAGAAATAGCAAACTAATTGCATTGTATAAATGTACGGTTAGAACTGTAACTATTAGGGGAAAAATTATAATAATTACAAATAAATTATTACAAATTATAAATTACACAAAAAAAGAAAGCAGCAAAGAACAAATTCAAGCCATATTGCAAGAGTTATAAAAATTGTTATAAAAATAAATAAAAACAAAAAAAATTTAATTACAAAAATATGATGAAATACATAGCATCAAATATATCTTTTACATCAATGGCTAAGACCACTTATTAGTTTGGTTCACAAAGACTCCTACAATGAATCAGAGAGGTAAAAATTTAAAAGATGGACAAATACATACAAGGCAAATGAAAACAAAAAGAAAAGTTATCCTGATCATTTTTATTTGAAACACAAATATAAAAAGCATAAACTATACAAAGAAGTATGCTCAATAACAAAATGTGTGCAATCCACAACTCAGAATTACAGTTATGATTAAATAACATAGCAACAATATATACACAATAAGTATAGGATATATAAAGAGAAATAGCCAAATGTCTCAGTAGTAAGGAGTATGAATTCACCTCTCTCATCCTTGATATATCAAGTGGACAAAAATAAGTAAAAATATAGGAATCCTAAAAAACATTGTTAATAATGTAGCATAGAATCCCTGTGTGTTCAACCTTTATATCATGAAAAGAGACAATACCTACTTATTACACAGCTATGAAATATTAATAAAATTTGTTCATTTATTAGGCAAAAACTCAAATTCTGAAAAGTAGAAATAGTAAAAGCAATATACACTTTATCACAAAAAATAAAACTAGAAATTAATAACAAAACTAGAAAAGAAAAACATACCACTTGAGAACTGTTGGGTCAAAATATACATAAAAAATAAACTGCAAGCCATCTGGAAAATAACAATGAAAATAACTTGCTTTAGAAATTATGTAATAAAGCTGAAGTAGTGCTGAGAGGAAGATTGATAGTCTTAAATATTTCTATTGAAAACTGAATGCAGAAGCCCTCCCATCACCAGACACATAGAGGATTAGGTAATTTTCTTAATGCCATCATAATACCCTGGAACTAATGCTAATCATTTTTTACACATTATTACATTTGCAGTAACTATCTGTCTTTCCATTGGACTGGAAACTCCTCATTTAGAACAGGGGTTATATCTTGACTGATTCACTAGCATCTACGTCATCTGAAATATTTAATCAGTGTTTTTGAGCAACCATATGAATTAATGGAAACTTTTGGAGAGGACTTACATATTTGGTGAATAGCTTGGTAGCATGTCTGCATCCAACTCTAAAAGTTTATGCATATATGATTTCCTATGAAGATTTTTAAAGAATTATTTTGCTTCTCCTGAATCTCTGGAGAACAAATGACCAAAACCAATCTTTTGAATGGACAGCAACAGATCAAAGCAAAATAAAACAAAACAAAAAAATCACAACCACGATGTGAAAGAAAAAATAAGAAAATACACAATTATTCTTAATGTCCTCCATTGGCAAAATAGGGAATTTTACTTTTTAAAATCGGCAATGAGAAACAGCAACTTTCTCCCCCAATTCCAAACTAATCAAAGAGGGTAAAAGAAGAAAATCATAAGGATTTCATATCTCAGATGGGCTACTATTGAACATGTTCACATTTACAGTGTAATTCTTTGGCTTGACATTTCATAGTATAGTCATGAGACTGGTAGGGAAAATTCATGATGTATCGAACTGCATCCAATGTTCCAACAAAATATATTTGGAAATTATTAAAAATTCATTTTTACATTTTTTAAAGAATTTAACATTCATCCCTTATAGATAGCCATAATTATGGATGACCAAAGCTATTCTTTTAACTTGTTATTTTTTGTCCCTCAAGAAGGTATTTCTTTCCTCTCTAGTGAAGAGAATTAAAGAGGAAATTAACACTGGTAACTACGTAACAACTTTCTGTCTACATAGCTTTTATTGAGTTTTTAAGAGAATATCGTATCTTCATATTTTGTCTTTAGTATCATATTGAACATTTACAATGAACATTTACAATTGTTCAGTACTGAACAATCATCCCATTAATTAATACGTTACTGACCACAGCTTTATTCTTTGGTTCATTGCCTTTATTGTGGAGAAAATTTGTTGAACTTATGTTTGAGTTTAACTTTAATTTTTTTCTAGCAAATCCTCATAAGCAAATTAAAAATAATTAGTTATTAGTCATCTTGTTAGCTATGTACACATTTTTATATACAGAAATTAGAATTTATCCTTATAATATTAATAGATGGGAGTCTTCATAGCAGTCTTCCATTGTTTCATATTAAGTTTAGCTGTGAATTACTTTCTTCTTTTTATGTATCATATTAGAATTGACTTTGAATTTTTTGTTGTTTGAATGAAGCTTTAAACTTGAGCACAAATCCACCAAAATCTACAACATAAGAGATGCTCTATTATTTCTTTTATTAGATAAGTGAATGGATTTGTTTTTTTAATTTTCCTGTTCAATACTTGTCCTCATCTGCTTTCTAAGAACCTACTACAAAAGATTTACTTTCATTTGCATAATGGTCTACAAATGATATAATGTAGAATTTTCCATGAGTTAGAATATCAAAGTTGTTGAACCAGTAAAGCCCATGATTTCTTTGCTAACATAATAAAGGTTTTTAAAAGATCTTTTCTTTAATTATATAAGCTTTCTTAAATGGAGTTTACTTAATTATGGTTGCATCAAACCAACACTAAAACATTTTAGTTTGTTTAATTGCCATTATAAGACACATTAGAAAAATGGAAAATCAAAAAGGCCACCTGTGTTCTTAACCTGGTCATGTCCATTTATCTTAAAAAGCCTGGATCTGCATCCATCTATTATCCATTACATAAACATTTTTCTTTAAAATAAATGTTCACTTTATTAATCACTTTAAAATGTTATCAACTTTTTTTTTCAATTTTTATTTTTATTATGCTTTAAGTTTTAGGGTACATGTGCACAATGTGCAGGTTAGTTGCATATGTATACATGTGCCATGCTGGTGTATCTCCTAATGCTATCCCTCCCCACTCCCCCAACCCCACAACAGTCCCCAGAGTGTGATGTTCCCCTTCCTGTGTCCATGTGTTCTCATTGTTCAATTTCCACCTATGAGTGAGAACATGCGGTGTTTGGTTTTTTGTCCTTGCGATAGTTTACTGAGAAGGATGACTTCCAATTGCATCCATGTCCCTACAAAGGACATGAGCTCATCAATTTTTATGGCTGCATAGTATTCCATGGTGTATATATGCCACACTTTCTTAATCCAGTCTATCATTGTTGGACATTTGGGTTGGTTCCAAGTCTTTGCTATTGTGAATAGTGCCACAATAAACATACATGTGCATGTGTCTTTATAGCAGCATGATTTATAGTCCTTTGGGTATATACCCAGTAATGGGATGGCTGGGTCAAATGGTATTTCCAGTTCTAGATCCCTGAGGAATCGCCACACTGACTTCCACAATGGTTGAACTAGTTTACAGTCCCACCAACAGTGTAAAAGTGTTCCTATTTCTCCACATCCTCTCCAGCACCTGTTGTTTCCTGACTTTTTAATGATCACCATTCTAACTGGTGTGAGATGGTATCTCATTGTGGTTTTGATTTGCATTTCTCTGATGGCCAGTGATGGTGAGCATTTTTTCATGTGTTTTTTGGCTGCATAAATGTCTTCTTTTGAGAAGTGTCTGTTCATGTCCTTTGCCCACTTTTTGATGGAGTTGTTTGTTTTTCTCTTGTAAATTTGTTTGAGTTCATTGTAGATTCTGGATATTAGCCCTTTGTCAGATGAGTAGGTTGCAAAAATTTTCTCCCATTTTGTAGGTTGCCTGTTCACTCTGATGGTAGTTTCTTTTGCTGTGCAGAAGCTCTTTAGTTTACTTAGATCCCATTTGTCAATTTTGGCTTTTGTTGCCATTGCTTTTGGTGTTTTAGACATGAAGTCCTTGCCCATGCCTATGTCCTGAATGGTAATGCCTAGGTTTTCTTCTAGGGTTTTTATGGTTTTAAGTCTAACATTTAAGTCTTTAATCCATCTTGAATTAATTTTTGTATAAGGTGTAAGGAAGGGATCCAGTTTCAGCTTTCTACATATGGCTAGCCGGTTTTCCCAGCACCATTTATTAAATAGGGAATCCTTTCCCCATTGCTTGTTTTTCTCAGGTTCGTCAAAGATCAGATAGTTGTAGATATGCGGAGTTATTTCTGAGGGCTCTGTTCTGTTCCATTGATCTATATCTCTGTTTTGGTACCAGTAGCATGCTGTTTTGGTTACTGTAGCCTTGTAGTATAGTTTGAAGTCAGGTAGTGTGATGCCTCCAGCTTTGTTCTTTTGGCTTAGGATTGACTTGGTGATGCGGGTTCTTTTTTGGTTCCATAGGAACTTTAGTTTTTTCCAATTCTGTGAAGAAAGTCATTGGTAGCTTGATGGGGATGGCGTTGAATCTATAAATTACCTTGGGCAGTATGGCCATTTTCACACTATTGATTCTCCCTACCCATGAGCATGGAATGTTCTTCCATTTGTTTGTATCCTCTTTTATTTCCTTGAGCAGTGGTTTGTAGTTCTCCTTGAAGAGGTCCTTCACATCCCTTGTAAGTGGGATTCCTAGGTATTTTATTCTCTTTGAAGCAATTGTGAATGGGAGTTCACTCATGATTTGGCTCTCTGTTTGTCTGTTATTGGTATATAAGAATGCTTGTGATTTTTGTACATTGATTTTGTATCCTGAGACTTTGCTGAAGTTGCTTATCAGCTTAAGGAGATTTTGGGCTGATACAATGGAGTTTTCTAGATATACAATCATGTCATCTGCAAATAGGGACAATTTGACTTCCTCTTTTCCTAATTGAATACACTTTATTTCCTTCTCCTGCCTAATTGCCCTGGCCAGAACTTCCAACACTATGTTGAATAGGAGTGGTGAGAGAGGGCATCCCTGTCTTGTGCCAGTTTTCAAAGGGAATGTTTCCAGTTTTTGCCCATTCAGTATGATATTGGCTGTGGGTTTGTCTTAGATAGCTCTTATTATTTTGAAATAAGTCCCATCAATACCTAATTTATTGAGAGTTTTTAGCACGAAGGTTGTTGAATTTTGTCAAAGGCCTTTTCTGCATCTATTGAGATAATCATGTGGTTTTTGTCTTCGATTCTGTTTATATGCTGGATTACATTTATTGATTTGTGTATATTGAACCAGCCTTGCATCCCAGGGATGAAGCCCACTTGATCATGGTGGATAAGCTTTTTGATGTGCTGCTGGATTCGTTTTGCCAGTATTTTATTGAGGATTTTTGCATCAATGTTCATCAAGGATAAAGACGTTAAAAACTTTGAAAAAAATTTAGACAAATGTATAACTGGAATAACCAATACAGAGAAGTGCTTAAAGGAGCTGATGGAGCTGAAAACCAAGGCTCGAGAACTACGTGAAGAATGCAGAAGCCTCAGGAGCCGATGCGATCAACTGGAAGAAAGGGTATCAGTGATGGAAGATGAAATGAATGAAATGAAGCAAGAAGGGAAGTTTAGAGAAAAAAGAATAAAAAGAAATGAACAAAGCCTCCAAGAAATATGGGACTATGTGAAAAGACCAAATCTACATCTGATTGGTGTACCCGCAAGTGATGGGGAGAATGGAACCAAGTTGGAAAACACTCTGCAGGATATTATCCAGGAGAACTTCCCCAATCTAGCAAGGCAGGCCAACATTCTGATTCAGGAAATACAGAGAACGCCACAAAGATTCTCCTCGAGAAGAGCAACTCCAAGACACATCATTGTCAGATTCACCAAAGGTGAAATGAAGGAAAAAATGTTAAGGGCAGCGAGAGAGAAAGGTCGGGTTACCCACAAAGGGAAGCCCATCAGACTAACAGCAGATCTCTCGGCAGAAACTCTACGAGCCAGAAGAGAGTGGGGGCCAATATTCAACATTCTCAAAGAAAAGAATTTTCAACCCAGAATTTCATATCCAGCCAAACTAAGCTTCATAAGTGAAGGAGAAATAAAATCCTTTACAGACAAGCAAATGCTGAGAGATTTTGTCACCACCAGGCCTGCCCTAAAAGAGCTCCTGAAGGAAGCACTAAACATGGAAAGGAACAACCGGTACCAGCCACTGCAAAATCATGCCAAAATGTAAAGACCATCGAGACTAGGAACAAACTGCACCAACTAACGAGCAAAATAACCAGCTAACATCATCATGACAGGATCAAATTCACACATAACAATATTAACTTTAAATGTAAATGGACTAAATGCTCCAATTAAAAGACACAGACTGGCAAATTGGATAAAGAGTCAAGACCCATCAGTGTGCTGTATTCAGGAAACCCATCTCATGTGCAGAGACACACATAGGCTCAAAATAAAAGGATGGAGGAAGATCTACCAAGCAAATGGAAAACAAAAAAAGGCAGGGGTTGCAATCCTAGTCTCTGATAAAACAGACTTTAAACCAAAAAAGATCAAAAGAGACAAAGAAGGCCATTACATAATGGTAAAGGGATCAATTCAACAAGAAGAGCTAACTATCCTAAATATATATGCACCCAATACAGGAGCACCCAGATTCATAAAGCAAGTCCTGAGTGACCTACAAAGAGACTTAGACTCCCACACAATAATAATGGGAGACTTTAACACCCCACTGTCAACGTTAGACAGATCAACGAGACAGAAAGTTAACAAGTATACCCAGGAATTAAAATGTTATCAACCTTTTATATATTTTTCCCAGTAACCTTTATTTCCAAATTTTCTACAATTAATGAGTATTATTTTTAATGAAAATGTTATAAGATAAATAAAATTAAGATTACATGATTTATCCAATATGAATTAAAACATACTACAGATTGTTAAATATAATATAACTGAGCATCAAATTAAAATAATTTTAGAATTATAATTTTATGTGAATTAAATGAAAAATAATATAATGAGAGTAAACTGAAATATTTCAAGTGGTTGCTATGTTCTCAATCTTCTAAAAATGAAAAGTTTCTTCTTTAAAGGCTGTGATAAAGCAACTCCTTTTTAAAGTGCCTATAAGGTTGGTTTTCTATATCTTCAAGATATGGAGTTCGTAAATATAATAAATTTTAGGAAAATCTCATATCATTTGGTAACTAGGCTTAAAGTACCTGAAATTGTAAAAACAAACAAACATTTTCAAGGTAACAAAAAGGAATGAAATAGAAGTTTAGAAAAATTTTACACACACAATCTAATTTATGTTCAAATAAGAAAAAGCACCTTGTAACACGGGCTCTGAAAATCAGACTCTTGGGATTATTTCTACTTTTTATTAGGCACATAAGAAGAAAATATTTTTGTAACTTCTTTGTAGTGCTGCTTGTATATACATTATGAAAAGTGAAGGAAAAGTAGGACCAAAATTCTTAAACTGAGGCTATGTTTACACAGACAAAACTGAAGAAATATGCAAGAGGCTTTTTTTTATTATACTTTAAGTTTTAGGGTACATGTGCACAACGTGCAGGTTTGTTACATATACATACATGTGCCATGTTGGTGTGCGCAAGAGACTTTTTAAAACAATCTAACTAGAGGTAAATTTTAACTGAATCATTGTAGAAAATGTCTTCAAATTTGTTCCTTTCAGTTGTAGAAATATACTTTCATATCCACATTACAATACAGTATTACCATCCAAAAAAATCTATTAAACATGTAGATAAAAATATATGCTTGCAAAAATTGTATATTTAGAGCTAAATAAGAATACTTTCTGACTTTTAATGGATTATAATATAAAATATATATTATTATATTATGGAAATTTTCAATATAAGAATACTTTCTGACTTTTAATGGATTATAATATAAAATATATATTATTATATTATGGAAATTTTCAATATATTAAAAATATACATAGCACATAATGTTCAATTAATACATGGTAAAAAATATCTCATAAGTAAATATTCTTCTAATCAGAAAAAGACAACCAAGCAGAAATCTAACTCTTCAAAAATTGTAATAATCAGAAACAAACATAAAACACCCTATAATGCTGTATAAGTAGGGTGTTAATAAATTGAATAAAGAGAAGATCAAATAAAATCTTCAAGTGAATGATAAAAATTATTCTGCAAAATTTATATTTTTAAAAAATGAATAATTTCTAATTAGACAAGTGAAAGCCAAAAGGAATGTAATAGAAATCTATAAAATCATAAAGGAGATAGGTATGGTGACTGTTGACTTTCCAAATTCTAATGTACTTCAACACTGGTAAACTCTTCTCCTCCAAACTCTACCAAGACTGAAAGACAAAGCTTTGGGAAAAATAGTTAATCAAGTGTCATATTGAAGACTCCATTTCCATTAAAATTTGGTACAGCTAAAATTTCATCAACAGAAATTTAGAGGCTAAATCCTTGTGGACTATTAAGGAGAGAAAGAGGTGTTTGAAACCAAATTTTACCTTCCTACTCATTTTGAGAGAGAGAGAGAGAGAGATTGATTCTATGCAACAAAGCGTCTTTTGTAACAAATTTATCTCTCCTTTTAATGATATCTTTTCCACTTTTCTAAATCAGTCTTTATCAAAGATGAAACAAAAACAAATCAGTAGTCACTGTATAGCCTTATCCAGGACTAAGTAGGGTTCACATCTTAGAAAATATCGCTTAAAATGAACTTTTCAAGCAGAAATATTCCTAGGCTAGGGATCATTTACTTGGCACAGAGAAAGACTTGAAGTTTGGTCATGAAAAATCTCACAAACCCACAGTCCCATTTACCCATACAAAACATTTAGACTTAAGGAAAAATAATCTCTGCATAGCATTTATTGCTATATTCTAAGTCTGTATTCTAAAATATCTTTTTTATCTTGGACCAAAAATATTTTATGTAAATCAACCTTCTTTTATAGTGTCTTGAAAGGAAAATCTGATTCTGTTTATATAAATTTTCTTAGTCTGTTCTTCCAAGAAAGTATTCTTACACAGAATATACATTTTCCCTCATGAGATGTGATGTGGATAGGCAAGGTATGCTTACTTCTTCGTTTGTATTTATATTATCATTTAGGTTTTTCTAATCAGCTTCTGGCAGCAGGGTATAGGTGAAATGTATTAAACATACTTTTTGTTTCCATGATCCTCTTAACAAATGGAGCCTCTACTATTTAGAAATCACTTATTAATCTGAGCTCAGTTGTGTGAGTTAATGTATTTCAAAACAAATAAAGACCACCTTGACCTGAAGAGTTATATCCAGATTTTTCCTACTGTTTCCAGAAGTTAAATGACTAAAGATTACTACTGTTCTCATTCACAATTCTTCAATCACGGAAAGATTGAAAATCATGGGAAAGATTAACTGTTTGGTTTGTTTTTTTTTTTAAGATGCTGTTTGCTACTGAAAAATCTCTTGAAAAAGATAGCAATTCACCATTTCTTCTGGAGACCTCTCTGACAATGAACAGACCTAGTATTTTTCCAATCTAACATCTTTATATTGTTGCTTTAACTATTAATGATCCCATTATTAGAATTGTAAGTGTTTTTTTCAAATAACCCCATCAAAATTGTGGAAAGAATATGAAATGACACTTCTCAAAAGAAGGCATACAAGCAGTCAACAAACATGAAAAAATGCTCAGCATCATTAATCATCAGAGAGATGCAAATCAAAACCACAGTGAGATATCATCTCACATCAGTCAGAATGGCTATTATTTTTCAACATCTGTCAAAAAATAAGAGATGTTAGCAAGGTTATGAAGAAGAAGGAACACTTGTACACTGCTGATGGGAATAAAAATTAGTTCAGCTCCTGTGAAAAGCAGTTCGTCAGAGAGTTCTCATAAAACTAAAAATAGAATTACCATTTGATTTAGCAGTGCGATTACTGGGTATATACCCAAAGGAAAATAATTTGTTCTCTCAAAAAGACACAGGTACTCCCATGGTCATTGCAGCACTATACACAACAGCAAAGACATGGACCTAGGTGACTATCAACAATGGACTGGATAAAAGAAATGTAGTACATATATGCCATGGAATACTATGCAGCCATAAAAATATGAAATCGTGTCCTTTGCAGCAGCATGGATACAGCTGGAGGCTATTATCCTAAGTGAACACAGGAACAGAAAACTAAATATCAGATGTTCTCATTTATAAGTAGGAGCTAAACTTTGGGTACACATGGTCACCAAGATGGGAATAATAAACACTGGGGATTCCAAAAGTGGGGAAGAAGGGAGGAGGCAAGGATTGAAAAACTACCTGTCAGGTACTATGTTCACCACATGGACAACAGTATCATTAGAAGCCCAAACCTCAGCATCACACAATATACCCATGTCACAAACCTGCACAAGTACCCCTTGAATAAAGTAAAATAATAGTAAATGACTAGACAAACTATACACTTGGAGAAAGTATTTACAAAATATATATCTTACCAAGAGTTTGTATCCAGCATATATCTAAAACATATATAAAGAATTTCTGCAACTCAAAAAAAAGTCAAATAGTGAGCGGTTTTTTTTATTTAATTAAAATGTAAGACATTTTCCCTTCCTTTTTCTGTTTTTTTCCCTCTTTTTTTATATTTCTGTTTCTTTCTTCCCTGTTATTTCTGATAGTCTTTGCAATGTGACATATTGGTAAGAAGTGATTAATGCAAGTCTCAAAAGGCCACAGACTTCGACTGGTTACAGATAAGTTAATTATCATCCTTTTCCCCTCTCTTTCTTTGTGAAATACACACAAATAAACACACACAAACACTTTTAACAGTTAGGGACCTAGTAGAAAACAGATGACAGATTCAGGGTATAAATAGTCTTCAAAGGGACAAATTACCAGTGCAGAGTATAGGGAACCCAGGGACCAGCAACAGAAGAAAGTCATTAACCACCTTAGTCCTGAAGGGGCAAAATGAAAATCTGTGCTATTTGAACTTGGTGATATCTGTTACAGTAGGAATGAGACTAATGGGAGTTGTGTCCATAAGTAAAGGAAAGTAGCCACAGCTAAACAGACCAAAGAGAATGTCTGTAGGAAGAGAAGGGTGGGAGAAAATAAATACTTCAACCTCACTCTTCTCCCACTCTTCCACCTCCTGCCATGGGAGACCACTGGCTGAACCAAATGAAAACTAGAGGGAAAGAAGCTCAGGCATATGGTACTTGGAGCTGAATTCAGGCATCCCTGATGAGACAGAGAAGAGTGGAGAATCATCAGGGGAAGGGGAAAGGGCCAAATGGAGAAATACTATTGCTCACAAACACACATGTAAACTTATATATACCCCTTCCTCACATATATATACCCATTGCTACATTGAATTAATAAGTTGTCCAGATTGGTGGATTCACTGAAATGACTAGGTATTTTAGAAAGGGAAAGGAAAGAAAATTCCACTTATAGTTTCAATAGCATGCTGTCATCAAATTCCATTTCCAGGATCTTTGTTCATAATCCAGAGATGTGACATACATTCCTTCTTGCACGTAAAGATCTATCATCTTGCAAAAACCTTTTCTTTGCTAAGCTGTTTTAAAAATATGATTTTATACGGATGGTCTAATATCCCAACATCCAGGAAAATGTCAAAAATTTACCAGTTATTTTTTACATCATTGTTGCTGTGGTAATAACTACAGTTTATTGCATTTTCTCTTTCCCAGGCAACATATTTGTAAATTTGCATGTGTTATCTAACACAGCACTTAAAATAGCTCTATGAAGGAGATGGTAGGAATTTTTAGGAAGTTTTTTTTTGGAAAAAAAATTTAAGAAAGAATTGACATTCAGAGGTTAAGCAATTCCTCCAAGGTCATCATGTGGTACTGGTGGAGCAGGGGATTTAAGCACTAACCTTTCCTATCCTGAAGTCTGTTTCTTACCATATTGCACTGGCTCTCCTTGGATCTCAAGTTATCTTCTTGGTTTATATCTTGATTTAAGAGGCCTAACACCCAAGCAACATCCAAAGCACTTTGAGGGCACATGTCATGAATTTAATATTGGTGCTTTTATTCAGAATACTCTTCACTTGTACATTTTTACATATACTTACAAATTTGCACAGAAATTCATTCTAAACCCTGCATTAGCACATTAGCACCATAACATTTAACTTATTTTCACTATAGTAGTCATTCACATAAGTCATAGTTATTCTTGGCAACTCACGTTATTAATGCTACTTATTTTATCATATTATTGAAAGTCCTACTAGTAGTTATAATAATAATATCCACTTATATTAATGGCAAATGACAAATGATGTACACCATGGAGATAAGGAAGAATGTGGTGACAGGGAGGCCAGGTAGAAACCTGCTACAAAGACGCGGGTGCAGGGAGAGTGGCAATGGCAATGAAAGAGAAAGAGTGGATATGAGCGGGACTCGTGGGTCTCAGTGCAAAATGGAAACGTGGGGCTACTTGTTCAAACAGCAGAAAAGAAGTGTCAGCAAAAGTACTAAAGCATAAGACTTTTTCCTTTCTTCTGGTTTCTGTGTCTGTCATGATGGTTTTATTCGCTATGTACCATTACTTCACATGCATTTAATCCTCACAATAGCTCCACAGGTTAGGTGGAGCTATTATTATTACAAATGTATAGATCATGAAACTGGGGACTTTGCCTTTTGCAAAAGAAAATGGACTGAAACTTTGATCTGATGAAGAAATCGATGCTAATTGCAACTACTGATTCCAATAGCCATTTGGTAATTCTTGCCTCTTTCCAGGAAAATTATCTTTTAAATATATTTCCTCTGTATAGTACCACTTACTATTGCTATCTTTAACATAATCACAGGCTATCTTTTTACTTTGTTTTTACTTATTTAGTTTCAACTTTTATTTTAGGTTTAGTTGTACATGTGCAGGTTTGTTATATAGGCAAAGTTGTGTCACGAGGTTTCTTGTACAGATTATTTCATCACTCAGGTATTAATCCCAGTACCGAGTAGTTATCTTTTCTGCTCCCCTCCCTCCTCCCACCCTCCCACCTCAAGTAGACCCCACTGTCTGTTGTTTCCTTCTTTGTGTTCATAAGTTCTTATCATTTATCTCCCACTTATATCATTTATCTCCCAGTTATATAGAAAACTAAATACTTATAGTACTTAGTTTTCTGTTCCTGTGTTAGTTTGCTAAGGATGATAGCCTCCTGCTCCATCCATGCTCCCACAAAAGATATAATCTTGTTCTTTTTTATGGCTGCATAGTATTACATGGTGTATATTTCTTTATCCAATCTGTCATTGATGAGCATTTAGGTTAATCCACGTCTTTGCTATTGTGAACAGTGCTGCAATGAACATTCGCGTGCATGTGTCTTTATGGTAGAATGATTTGTATTCCTCTGGGTATATACCCACTAACAGGATTGCTGAGTCCAATGGTACTTCTGCTTTTAGCTCTTTGAGGAATCGCCATACTGCTTTCCACAATGTTTGAACTCATTTACATTCCCACCAACAGTGTATAAGTGTTCCCTTTTCTCTGCAATCTTGCTAGCATCTCTTATTTTTTTACTTTTTAATAATTACAAACCTGGCTGATATGAGATGATATCTCATTGTCAATTTGATTTGCTTCTTTCTGATGATGAACAGTGATATTGAGCTTTTTATCATATGCTTGTTGGTTGCATGTATGTCTTTTATTATTATTATTAAGATGGAGTCTCGCTCTGTTGCCAGGCTGGAGTGCAGTGGAGCAATCTCAGCTCACTGCAACCATCACCTCCCGGGTCCAAGTGTTCCTTCTGCCTCAGCCTCCCGAGTAGCTGGGACTACAGGCATGCACCATCACACCCAGCTAATTTTTGTATTTTTAGTAGAGTCGGGGTTTCACCATGTTGGTTGGGCAGGATTGTCTCTATCTCTTGACCTCATGATCCACCCACCTCAGCCTCCCAAAGTGTTGGGATTACAGGCATGAGCCATCGCACCCAGCCATGTATGTCTTCTTTTGAGAAGCGTCTGTTCATGTCCTTTTCCCACTTTTTAATGAGGTTCCTTGTTTTTCTCTTGTAAATATGATTAAGTTTCTTATCAGAAGCATAGTTTTCAAACATTTTCTTTCCTATTCTGTAGGTTGTCTGTTTACTCTGTTGATAGTTTTCTTTGCTGTGCAGAAGTTTTAAGTTTAATTAGATCCTACTTGTCAATTTTTGCATTTGTTGTGATTGCTTTTGGTGGCTTTGTCATGAAATCTTTGCCTGTTCCTATGTCCAGGATGGTATTGCCTAGGTTGTCTTCCAGGGTTTTTATAGTTTTGGGCTTTACATTTAAGTCTTTAATCCATCTTGAGTTTATTTTTGTATATGGTATTAAGAAGGGGTCCAGCTCCAATCTTCTACATATGGCTAGCCAGTTATCCCAGCACCATTTACTGAACTTGTATCTAGACCTCCTATGCAGTATTTACAGACATAATCTCCCTAACCTGTTACTGACAATTAGAGGCCAGCCAATGTGGTGTGCTGTGATCAGTAAAATATCAATACATTTTATCCTATCATGCCTATAAATGTAAAATGTTTCCAAGAATAACAATGAAAGAAGGATATCATTTTTTTATTTCCCTCCCTATTTACAGATAATTGTTATTCATAAAGGTAGTCTCACCTTTCTTGGTGGCTCTCTTCCTAAATCCATGATGAAATGACATATTCTGTCTTTTTTTCGAGACATAGTCTCGCTCTATTACCCAGGCTGGAGTGCCGTGGTGCGATCACGGCTCACTGCAGCTTCGACCTTGTAGGCTCAAGTAATCCACCCACCTCAGCCTCCTGAGTAGCTGAAACCACAGCATACGACACCACACCTGGATAATTTTTTATTTTTTGTAGAGACAAGATCTCACTATCTTGCCCAGGCTAGTCTCAAACTCCTGGGCTCAAGCGATCCTTAGCCTCCCAAAGTTCTGGGATTACAAACATGAGCCACTATCCCTGGCCAAAATGATAAAATCTCTAGGAAATAAAACATGTTTAACTTTCATGTGTTGATAATATTGAAATATGTAGATTTCTAAATATTTGCAAAGGGAGGTAATTATTAGTGGGTGGAAAACAGTATCATTTCTACAAAAAAAGCTTTTTCTTTTCATCAAGTATCAGCAGTTTTTTATTTATTACTGTGTAAGTGTTTGACGTATGGATCATGTTTAGATAATTGTCATTGGTATAAGTAAAGAAAGATCATACATTTATAAGCATACTACTAAGTTATTCTAAAACTCTGACCCCAAAGTCAGTCTCTCCCAAAAGCAAATTGAATAGCTTAAAAAGTGATTTGCATTCTTCACACTTTCCATTTAAAAATAAAATTCTCTCAAGCCAAAATATATCCCTGAGGTAAGTTTTTGTCAGAGTATAGTCATAACATTTTTTTATTTGAAGAATTTGTTCTATTACCCAAATACCATGTTCACTCTTATACAATATACTGATAAACAGTTCCTCAAACTACTCTTCCTGAAAAAAAACAACTATGTCATGTGTATGTCAGTTACATACTGAACTCATCAGATGAATAAATAACACACACCCAAGGATTTTTTTTTTTTAATTAGTAGATTAAAAAAATGGTGAAAACAAAAGAATTAAAAGCTGAAGAAACGTGTATGTATTGGACTGTCTTTAGAAATGACACCATTTCTACCCACCTTTCCCAATGCTCTCTCTATTTCTAGACACTAGAAGCCTGGAAGCAGCATTTTTTTCAAAATTCTTATCATCAGGGTTCCAGGTTAGAATGTGCCAGCCAGAGGCGCTTGCATGAAGTTTGAGAGGCAAAAGAAACAGAAACTGTATTGTTGTTTCTCCATTAGAAAAGACAGTCACAAACTTGTGGGCTTCAGCAAATGGGATATTTTGCATCGGTTTCTGGGTGGTTTTTCGAGAATCACCTAGCTCAGTTGTGGAGGCAGCTCGGAACATAACCAATAGTTTCTTATGATTCCAGAGACTTTCTGGAAACTAGAACACTTGAGAGTAAGTGGTCACATTCTGTTTCATGCCTCTAACCCTGCCAATGGTTTTGAAAGCATCTAGTTACCTGTATTGAGTCCTTTTCTGTTTAATATATGTTGAGTGGTCTGTTTGTGTTCCTGATCAAATTTTGGACCATACATGCTATAATTTTCTGAGATGGCACATGGCTCATTAGAAGATTTTATCAGCTGGAAGGTAGATTAATTAAAATGTGTCCTTTGCTTTATGACTTGGTTAGACCACAGAATCATACTGAGCTTGTCTCAGCAGTGTTATGTCTTCTGCCTGCTGCCTCGATTGAAGGAACTACCCCAAAATGTACCGAAACTTACTATATTCATGGTGTTCTGCCAAAAAAAACAGAAAACAGACGAAATGTCATCACAGTTGCCCTCCAAATGCACAAAACCTAGTAGGAGAAGTGAGAGTAATATGCAGAAAAAAAAAATACTGACCAAAAAATGACAAAACATCCATGTCAGTAAGAGGATGAGTGGCCTTCTCTTCTTTTCACCTTTCCATCCCTCTCATCCCATCCCATCTTATTTGTAAATGAACTAAGTGGCAATCTCTAAGGCAAATTTATAGTGAGGTGGCAGGTTTTCTTTTTTTTTTTTTTTCCAAGGGAAAGAGGAGTAAGCCAACAGGGTCAGAAAGTAGACTGGGATAAAGGTCATAGGAAGGGATTCTGTGAGCAGAGACACATCTTTTCATCTTGCTTGGGGGAAAGCTAGATGTGGGATTTGAAACTATTATGCCTAATGTCAAAAAAGGTCCAAAGACTGCAAAGTATCAGAAATGACATTAAACTGGGACTCTGGACACGTGGATTTTGATCTTATTTCTGCTAATTATGCCTGACTTTTTGCTTATCATTTCACCACTTCACCTCTCTGAGTCTTCAATTCGTTATCAGTAAAATTATAGCTTGGATTTGATTATGCCCAGAGTTCACTCCAGCTCTGACACTCAGGCATCGAAACAACAAGCCATCCATGGTGTGTCGGGTAGAAGGAGATCTTTCTGCCCTTCCTTCCAATATTTTCCAAGTAATACCAGAATTTCCCCCAGGCACCTGGCAGTGTTCAGTTCTTCTCTATGTGGAGATTTTTTAAAGCCTAAATAGATATATCAATTTTCAGAATTCATACATTCAATATTTGAGGTGTCATGTCCGATGAAAAGGAGTAACAAAATAAATTATTTCTGTGCATCCAAGGCAAATCATCCTGATCCACTCCATTTGACTCAGAGAGAAACTCCCTCACTGCTACTCATTACCTTTTAAATGTACAGAAATCAACAAAGGCATCTGCCACGCTGTCTGGGAGCTCCACCATGGGGATAAGAATTAACTCTATCTCCTTATAAGAAATATGAGCACACCCTTATCTTTAAATATACAGCCATCTAAATTTGGAGACTCTTTCTCATGAATATTTAAGTAATCAGTAAATAGTAGTAATCATTCCCATTTTACAATTAAAGTAGATAGATTTTATTTTTAATTTAGGGCAAGTTTTTTTTTTTTTTTTCATCTCTGTGAGGCAATCACAGCAATTCTTGATGAATGTGTGATTTATCTGGTAAGAAACATCTACCAAAATAAAAAGTCACTCTGCTTTGGAAAAAAATATACTGGTTTAAATTAGGCAAATTTTTTTGACTGGTATAATTAAGATGATGTCTAATTTTTAAAATTTCTATACTTTAGATATATAAACCAAAATATGTAATATTAGCATACACACCTGCATGAATTCAGTTCAGTATAAGAGAAAAATATCAAATTGCCTTGCATTCATGAAGGAATCTTATTCCTGAATCCAAGTCACCTTTACTTTAACACATTTCCCACCCACTCCAATGCCCATTCTTGGACACTATGCCTACAAACTAAACATTTAAATGAATAAACATACTTTTCATATGCATTCATTCTTATCTGCAATAAGAAGGACAGGAAGATTTACATTAATTTATCTTTACCTTAAAAAGAAGTTGGGCAGCTGACTTAGTAATGAATTTCTCTGTATGTGGAATAATCTTGCTAATCTTGCTTGGGGAAAACGTAGGTGTGGGAATTGAAATTCTTACGCCTGAAGTCTAAAAAAGTCCAAAGAGTGCAAAGTATTAGAAATGACATTAAACTGGTACTCTGGAAACTGGGATTTTAATCTTATTTCTGCTACTTATATCTGAGTTTTCACTTATCACTTCACCGTTTCACCTCTGAGTCTTCAATTTTCAGAACTGATGCCTAACTCTGAAGGCAATGACCTCTGCAGTAAGCTGTACTTTATACCTAGAAGCAGGTGATTGGTAGAAGGACCATCATTCTCTTCTATTCCTTGATTCTGTCTCTGTTGGCCTGACATCCAGGGGATATTTCTTCCAGCACAATCTTAGTATAAAGAGCATTTTTAAATATCAAAATCCATCATTTACTTTGTTCGCTCTTCAACACTTCACACCTTCCTGTACCTGTCAAATAACCGACTATTCCACAAGGGGGTGCACTCCTTGAGGATAAAAACCACATCTAATGCATATTCGTCTCCTCGAAACTAGTATAACTCTTCACATAGTAGTGTTCCAGAATAAATAACTTTTATTCATCAACACAAAGATTGCCTAAAATTCGGCTCAAAATAAACCACTCCATCTGCCACCACTTTTTCTATGCTTCCTTGAATTTTTCAGACAAACCATTTAAAACAAAGCTTGTGTCAAGTCTTCCAGGCACAGAACATGAATTATTTTTGTTACTCATTTCCCTATAATTCAGTGATTGGATAGCATGGAATACTTGGAGAAGTAAGGAACATGTGACTGAAAAGGTATACTGGGGTTAATACCTGTTAAAAACAATAATAAAACCAGATTCCTCCCTCTGCTTTTTTTGGTTATGCCAAGTAGTTTACATAAAATATGTTAGGAGCTTATTTTTTCTTCGATTATTTTACCCATTCTTTGGGGTATTATAAATATATTTTGAATGAGAAGTAAAGTGGCATCATTAAAAAGTTATGGGTTTTAGAATCCAAAATGTTTCACATCAACTCAGTCTCAGCCACTTACATTCAGCTATTAAATATATCCTTTCTGACCATCTGCTAGGAGCTTGGCCCTAGGATAGGGCTAACAATGATCATTAGGACATGATTTATACCAACAACAAAAAACTAAATATTAATTTAAAGGACAGAATTCATGTTCTCAAAGGGTTTGAAATCTAGGGGTGGTAGAAGAGACATGAAATTTTTAAATGTAATGCATAAGTGCTATAATAAGGGAAAGTATAGGAAATTGTGGAAACCCACAGGAATTGAGCTTAAATTTGTGGGGATCCAATGATGCAATGTATGGGGCATGCCTCGTAAACTGAAAGCGCTATACAAAGATGAGTCTGTATGATTCTATCCTTTGTTTACTAGCATAGAACTTGGTAGAAAGTAGGAGTGGCCAGAAGAATTGGGAGACAGAGCAGATATCTGCGTTTGAGGAAGAGATTATTTGTATCCAAATAATTCTGAAGAGTACTTCCACTTCTTTGGGTTGCAAATCTGCCAATGCTTACCTGCCAAGGAAATCTCCCTCAACTTTATTTCACAAGCTAAGAGTACCAAACAAGTTTAAATATTAATAATAAATATTAATTATTGAATAACTGATTTGCTTTACCTATTTTAACAACCCCAGTGGAATATTTTAAGGCAATAATTGACACTAATGATTCCACTCATTTTCTGAAAAAAAATTTAATATCTGGGCCGGGCGCGGTGGCTCACGCCTGTAATCCCAGCACTTTGGGAGGCCGAGGCGGGCGGATCACGAGGTCAGGAGATCGAGACCATCCTGGATAACACGGTGAAACCCCGTCTCTACTAAAAATACAAAAAAATTAGCCAGGCGTAGTGGCGGGCGCCTGTAGTCCCAGATACTCGGGAGGCTGGGCAGGAGAATGGCGTGAACCCGGGAGGCAGAGCTTGTGAGCGGAGATCGCGCCACTGCACTCCGGCCTGGGCGACAGAGCGAGACTCCGTCTCAAAAAAAAAAAAAAATAACATAAATAAATAAATAAATTAATTAATTAATATCCGATGATGGAAGAAAAACTATAAAACACATTTTTTATAAAAAAATATTTTTCCTAAGAAAATGTATGTGTAGCAATTAGCATTCAGGTCAGGAAAACGGAAGCCACTGCAGGTAGTTCATGCAGAAATAAATTTAATAAAGTAAGTTAGAGGTTTATAAAACCCGTTACAGGGTTGGGACAGCAAAAGTCAGAAAAAACCTCCACTGATTTTCCAGAAATGAGGACGTGCAGGCTCACAGGCCACCACCACCAGTGAGCTCAGCTGCCTGAAGCCTCAAAGTTTGTGATGCACCAGAGGATGCTGGGAAGCTGCTGGCAGAATGTCACATATCCCATCTGCTGAGACCCATGAACCTGCCTGCAGGAACATTCATGGCTTCTGGTGCTCTTCTGCCTTCCAAATCTTGCTCAAGAGCCTCTCCTAGGTGGAATCTAATCCAGAACCCTACTGGCACAGATTTGGGAAAATGTTATTACCAAGAATTCAGGGGAAAACACAGGAGAGGGAAAATGGTGCTGAATTTCCATCAGGCCATCTGGCACACATCTCTTTAAATTCAACACTCTTACTTATTGAGAATAATTTTATTTCATATTTTTAAGGATTTATAAAATTAGCCCTTGCCTGGTTTGCCATCCTGTGCCACCTTGCACAGCTTATCTACATGAGTTGCTCCTACTATTCCCTAATTCTAAATTTACTGGAAAAAAGAATAGTCAGTTTAAAAGTACATTTCCAATGAATGCACCCGAATGAAAGCAATATTTAATCTGCTTTAACAATCTGAGCTAGACAAATTAATAAATGCTTAGTAAATTTTCCCTCTCCCATACTTTTACCCAGAAACTCCTAATAAAACTTTCAATAATATTAAAGATTATTCAAGTAAATAAGTTGTTAACATGTTTAAAGCAGTCATCAAATTGTAAAATTTAATAGTATACTGCAGTATATATTCATTTTTAACATCCGATAGTAATCATAAAGAGTAAAAATACAATCAGAACATACACATGTAAAAGCGTTGGCTTCTAGAGCCACAATATCTTGATTCAGATGCAGTCCTAACTACTAGTTGTGTGAGTTTGTCAAGTTACTTGGTCTTTCCATGCCCATTTTCTCATCTGAAAACATTGAGAAGATAAAATCAGTTAATACACTTAGAGTTTTTAGAACAGTGCCTGGCTCACAGAAAGCACTTGAATGTTTCCATTGTCATTCATAGAAATACATTTTCCATATCTTTGTTTTCATTTAACAAATATTTAGTGAGCATCTTCTATATGCCAGACACTGTCCTAGACCCTGGTAATTTTAAAACAGTAAGTAAGGCAAAGACTCTGTCTTCATGGCACTTCTGTTCTAGTAGAAAAAATGAAAAACAAATAAAGAATAATATGATACCCAGGGTGATAAGCACTAAGAGGGAAAAAAATGAAACAGAGTAAGGGGGTTAGAAAGTGATGAGGCTGTACTTCAAATGAAATTGTCAAAAAAGGCTTTTCAGGGAAGGTGACATTTGACAAGAGATTTAAATGAAGTGAGAAATTAAGCTATGCCCAATGCCTAGAAGAATGTCCCAGAGCTCTGAAGAAACAGCAATGTAAAGGCACTGAAGCAAGAATGTGCTTGGTTGCTCAAGGAGCAACATACTGGCCACTATGGATAGAGTAGAGTTAGCTCGAGGAAAGACAGCAGATGAGGTGAGAAATCCAAGTCTAATATAACTTGAGAGAAGCATCAGCTGCATTGGCTGCAAATTTGTGCCCTACATACCTCCTTCACCTCACCCTGGTCCCCACCCTGCAGCCAGGGAGGCCAGGTCATGTTGAACTTTCTAAACCATTGTAAGACTTGTGAGTTTCTACGAAGTCCTGAGGGGTTTGAGCAGGGAAGTGATATGATCTATCTTACATTTCAAAGAATTAATATAGGCCAGGTGCAGTGGCTCACGCCTGTAATCCTAACACTTTGGGAGGACAAGGCGGGTGGATCACTTGAGTCCAGGAGTTGGACACCATACTGAGCAACACAGTGAAACCCTATCTCAACAAAAAAGTACCAAAAATTATCTGGGCATGCTGGTGTAGCACCTGTAGTCCCAGGCATTTGGGAGGCTAAGGTGGGAGGATAACCTAAGCCCAGGAGGTAGAGGCTGCAGTAAACTGAGATCATGCCATTGCACGCCAGCCTGGGCAACAGAGCAAGATGATTTCTCAAAAAAAAAAAAAAAAAAGATTAATGTGGTAGGCTGAATATGGCCTCCAAAGATGACCACACATTAATCCCTACAACCTGTGAATATGTTATCTTAAATGGTATAAAGGAATTAAAGCTGCTAAACAGATGACTTTAAAATAGGGAGATTACTTGGATTATCCAGGGGTATCCAGTGTTATTACAGGATCCCTGAAACTGGAAGAAGGAGGCAGAAAAGGAGGTCAAAGTAATTTGACACTAGAAGGATTTCACTCACCATTGCTAGCCTTGAAGACAGATAAAGGGGGCCAGGAGCCAAGGAATGCAGGTGGGCTCTAGAAGATGGAAAATGCAGAGAAACTGAACAAAGTCTTTTCACCATCTTGGTGAGACCCATCTTAGACTTCTAAAACATTGAACTATAAGATAATAAGGTTGTATTGTCTCAAGCTACTAAGTTTGTGTTGATTTGTTACAGCAGGACTAGAAAATGCATACAATTAATCTGGCTGCTTTGTAGAGAATAGAAGAAGGTGATGGTTCAGGCCAATGTATTGGGAAGAATGGAGTCAGGAAGACCAAATGGAAACTATTGTAGTAGTCCAGCTAGGTAAGACATATGGTGGCTTGACCTCTGGTGTATTAATGGAGATAGGAGCAAGTGTATTAAACAAATGTTGTACTGAATGGTAACTTAAAAATGAGAAAAAAAAAACAAAGAAAACTGTGAGGTCAATGGAAAATCATTTGTTTGTTTTGCTTCTTTGTTAATAAGGAAGATATCTGTATGCCAATAAAAATCATCCATTAGGGAGGGAAAATTGATATGTTGGAAATATCCAAAACCCTTATGAGGCTTACCATTTACTGCTTGCTCTGGCCCTTGGTTACCCCTCAACTTCCACTGTCCTTCACTTACTTCATTTAAGACACCCTGATCTCTTCCATATCTTCAGACATACCAAGCATACTAATTAACTGCATTTGCTATTCCTCCTGCATGAAGAAATCCACAGTTTCCTCCCTTACTTCACTCAAGCCCCAATTCAAATGTTACCTTCAGATAGGTCTTTGGCCCTTCCCATCTCAGTGAGCAGCCTTCTGTTTCCAACCTCAAATTCTATTTCCAAGTTCTAGTCTTTTTTCTCCATAGCAGATACCACCATCTGGTAGTATTTTTAAAAATGGTTTGCCTGACTTTCCACCAAACTCAATCTTAACTCCTTAAATGGTGACATTGGCTCTGTTTCATTTCCTGTGACACTCAGTGTTCATTATCTCCTTATCACTTAGAAAGTATACAATATCAGTTGAATTAATTAATGAATGAAAGAAAGAAAGAAGAGCTAGCTGACTATATTGAGGCACAATATGGTAGCTGATCTGGCTAGAATCACTAAGAAATGTTTGATATAATTAAGGGGCATAGTCAACAAAATTTGTTAAGGCAGTCAATTTATTTAGTTGATAGAAGATTTAAAAAATTCAGGTAAGATGTAATCTCAGACTTCCAGGATGAGGTTAGAAAATGTCTCCCTGAAAAACTAAAGTCAATAATGAATTATATACATCGAATGATATTAGAAATATAAAAAGTAAAACCCACTCCCCAAGGAGGCATATTTGGGCTAGGAAATGAATAGCATATTGGAAAGAGCAATATTTGTATTTGGAAGATCTAGATTTAAACTTGAACTCTGCCATTTGCTACCTGTGCTCTCACCTTCTCTTTCTTCTCTTTTTTCTTTTATTTATTTTTCTTTCCCTTCTTTGTTTGACTCATATTTATAAAATGCTACTTTGAGCCTAGAATTTGGCTGGTGGCAAAAAGGAAAGTGCATATGGTGGGGAAGAGAGGGAACACTAAGCAGGGACTTAAAGGGAAATGGCATTTCAGGCTAAGATAGAATACACTGTGTCATGATGGTGAGAAAGAAGAAAGCCTATGAGAAGAATTACAACCCCCCAATCTATGTATCTAGCTGAACTAAGATTTCAAGCATAAATGTCCAATTCCAAAAGAAGAAGAGTATAAAGAGACAATGCCAACAGGTAAGATTTTAAAAGATCAAGGGAATTCTACAAGGGAAACAAGCAGTGCTTAGAGAAGTGTGACACCTAGGAGTTCGTAGTGTCCAGCAAGAAAGGAATTGAGAATCTCAGAAAAGAAAGATAAAGAGAGCCAAATATATCTACTAAGATTTGAGCTGAAAAAAAAAATAAGGACAAAGTGAGTAACATGGAAGAATAAGAAACCCAAGCCCTCATTCCTTCATACAGACACCAAATCAACAACAATATGTGCCCCAAAAAACCTCTATGAGAACTGCAGAAACGAGTTAGGAAGTCACAGTACCCCAGACAAGCCCAAAACCAAGAATAGCTGCATTAAAATGGGTAAGAAGAGTCATTTTATTTCAGCCATGCCAGCCCCTTCCCCAAGCTAGCACAGGGCAATGGGAGTAAAATCCCAATTTGAAACTTCTCCTTGAGAGAGAAAGGAAGAGTAGAAATTAATTTTCAAGGGGGTGCCTGAGGTGCTGGTTTCTGTCTCGCCTGACTCAGCAATTATAAGGAATTGCTATTACTTGGGATGCCTGGAGCTGCTGAAAACAACACAGAGCTCAGCAGCTTATGGCACTACCGGAAAAATTGTAATGCCACAGACAGAAGCTGCCACAGCTCACTGAGATCAGGAGAAATTACCCAGCTAGTAGCTTCTCCCTTGGGAACAAAAGAGAAGAGTGGAACAAGTATTCAATGTTCCAACTTTCTGAAGGGCTGTTCAACAAACTGGTTTCTGTCTTGTCTGATTCGGATTGCTTACAGAACTGGCATACTTTAGATGCCTAGAACCTCAGAAAACAAAAGAGAGCTCATCAGCTTGTTGCAGTACCACAGACAGACAACAGAGGAAGCAAGAGACCACAAGCCCCTGAAAAAGAAATGAGAAAACTTCTCTAATAGGGAAATTACACGTGCTTATTTTTATACCAGTACCATGCTATTTTGATAACTATAGCCTTGTATTATATAGTTCGAAGCCAGGTAATGTGATGCCTCCAGATTTGTTCTTTTTGGTCTTGCTTTGGCTATGCAGGCTCTTTTTTGGTTCCATATGAATTTTAGGATTTTTTTTTTTTTTTTTTAGTTCTGTGAAGAATGATGATAGTATTTTGATTGGAATTGCACTGAATCTGTAGATTGCTTTTGGCAGTATGGTAATTTACACAATATTGATTCTACCCATCCAGAGCATGGAAGCTGTTTCCATTTGTTTGTGTCATTTATGATCAGCAGTGTTTTGTAGTTTTTCTTATAGAGATCTTTTTCCTCCTTCCAGAGCAATCAGACAAGATAAAAATATAAAGGGCATCCAAACTGGAAAAGAGGAAGTCAAACTGTTGCTGTTTGCTGATGATATACCTAGAAAACCATAAAGACCCTAAAAAGCCTCCAAATCTGATAAATAAATTCAGTAAAGTTTCAGGATACAAAATCAATGTACACAAATCAGTAGCATGATAATAATAAAATACTTAGGAACATAATTCATTATTTTATCTGTTACATTTTGTTTCTTCTTTATTGAACTTTGTCTTATTTGTCTAGCTTCTGATGTTGAATTTTCCATTTGCTTCCATTCCTTGTTGTTCCATTCAAAATTATAATTATTTTCTACTAGGAATGTTACTAAGAATATAGCTTTGATCATATATTATTAGAGTAAAAATTTTTTGGAGCTGTGTTCAATAGCTGTTATATATCTCTTCCACGTAAGATTTCCTTAGGAGTATACCTTTCACAAATTTCAAAATGGTTTGGCATTTTTTGTTTAAATTTCTTAAAATTAATTTCTAACTTTATTAAATTATAATCTGTGACAGTGATGTACGTTTTCCTTTTGGCATTTATTAATGCTTGTTTGATTTTAACATTAAAGATACTTTAAGAATCTTTTAAGATTTTTTCTTAAGATTTAAATCTTTTTCTTTAAGATTTAAATTTTTTTAAGATTCTTAAAAAAATCTTTTAGTCTTGTCTACTTGGACAAGGCAGCTAACAGTTAAGCAAAAAAAAAAAAAAGGAAGCAGAAATCATATCAGGTTTAAGTGAGGAGTGAGGAAGAAATGCAAACAAGCTGATACAGATTTCCTTGAGCGTCAATTAACTATCTCTTAAATGCAGACGATACTCCACATGTAAGGATTATATGATACAGTGCTTAATTAGGTATAAAGATAGTTCCATGAATTGAATGGCTGCTCCCCACAAAAGACATGTTTAACTTGAACTTACGAATGTTCCAGTTACTTGGAAATTGGGTCTTTGCAAATGTAGTTAAGTTAAAGATCTCAAGACATTGTCCTAAATTAGAATATGCCTTCAATCCAGTGACAAGTGTCCCTAGAATAGAGGAAACATGGGTAAGAAGGCAATTTGAAGATGGAGACAGAGACTGGAGTGATGTGTCTACTAGTCAAGAAACACAAAGGATTACTGGCACCCACCAGAAGCTAGGAGAGGCATAAAATGGTTTTGCCCTCAGAGCTTTAAGAAGGAACCAACCCTGAACTCACCTTCATTTCGGGCTTCTGGCCTCCAGACTGGGAGAAAAAATAGTTCTGTTGTTTTAAACCACCAAGTTTGTGGTAATTTGTTAATGGCAGCACTAGAAAACTGAGCTAGATAGACAATAGTAAGATAACATTGTAGAGATATAGAGAGCTGGCACACAGATCTCTAATACATGGAAATGCCGTTAAATGTTCTATTCCTTCTATTGAGATGGAAATCATTGAAGAAATGGCATTGTTCTGATACTGTGCTCGCTGAGCAACTTATTTTAAGCTTCAGTTCATTCATACTCTCTACCATTGGCCAGAGCGAAGGCTTTCCTTTTTGTGTGTATTTATGACCTTTGGTCTCTATTCCCATTTCCTTCACCTCCTATAGGCATCTATTCTAACATGTTTGATGCTTACCTTTTTATTTGCATGTGTTCTTTTAAAATATTCAGCTTTTCCTCATTTACTACTCTCTTTCAAAATTGTCTTTCCTATTTCTTGCTCTCTATTCTTCCATATCAATTTTAGAATAAGTTTATCATGCTCCTTATAAAAGATAGGTTTTGATTGGAATTTCATTGAATTTATAATTAATAAGAGAATGCACATACACATCTTTATCATATTAAGCCATCCCATTGAAGATTATTCTTTTTATTCAAATTTATTTATGATTTATTATTTATTAATTTATTATTCTCTTTTTATTCAAATTTTAAAATATACTTTAATAGAGCTTTTGAATTTTCTTCATAAATGTTTTATATATTTTTTAATATGTTTATTCCTATAAGGTCTATGAATTTTGTGGCTATTGTAAATACTTTATTTCTGGTTATATTTTCTAGATGGTCATAGTATAGAGAAATGTTATTGATTGTTAAATGTTGAGGTTCTGTCTGGCAATTTTGCATATGCATTCTGAATTTGTCTCTTGATTCTGTTGGATTTTTTTCCTGTGTAGATGTACTGGGTTGAACAGTGTTCCCCCAAAATTTATATCCACCCTCTCCCTAAGACTGTCACTCTTTTTGAAACAGGGTCTTTGCCAATGTAATTAGTGAAAATGAGGTCATAGTGGATTAAGTGGGCCTTAAATCCAATGACTAATGTCCTTATAAGAAGGCCATGTAAAGACACACAGATGAAGAATTCAGCCATGTGATAATGAAGACAGTGATTGGAGTGCTGTGTCAAGAAGCCAAGAATGTCAAGGATTCCCAGCAACCACCAACACTAGGAAAGAGGCACAGAACAGATTGCCCCTCAGAGCCTCCTGAAGGAACCCTGCTGACACCTTGACATTGGACTTCTGGTCTCATGAAATGTGAGAGAATAAATTTCTACTGTTTCAAGTCACCCAGTTTGCGGTAATTTGTTATGTCATCCCTAGGAAACTGACATACAAGTTGAGCACCCCTAATCCAAAAATCCAAAATCTGAAATGCTCCCAAATCCAAAACCTTTTGAGCACAAACATGACATAACAAGTGGAAAATTCCACACCTGACCTCACGTGACAGGTCACAGTTAAAACTTTGTTTTATGCACAAAGTTATTTAAAATATTATATAAAATAAACTTCAGACGATGTGTATAAAGTGTGTATGAAACATAAATAAATTTCTTGTCTGGACTTGGGCCCCATCTCCAAGATACCTTATTAGGTATATGCAAATATTCCAAAAAAATTAAAATCTGAAACACTTGTAGTCTCAGTCATTTTGGATGAGAGGTACTCAGCTCGTAGAAGATAATCACAATATCTGCAAATAACAGATACATCTCTCTCCTACTAATCCTTATACCTCTTTTATTCTTTGCTTTACTTATGGTATTTGCCATAACAGCCAGTATTATGTAAAACATTTGACACTGACAGTGGAAATTCTTGTCTTATTTCTGATCTTGAAGAAAATATGTCATTTTTACATTAAGTATACCTGTTGTATTAGTCCATTTTCACACTGCTGATAGACACACCTGAAACTGGGCAATTTACAAAAGAAAGAGGTGTATCGGATTTACAGTTCCTCATGGATGGGGAGGCCTCACAATCATGGTGGAAGGCAAGAAGGAGCAAGTCATGTTTTACGTGGATGGCAGCAGGCAAAGAGAGAGGTTGTGCAAGGCAACTCCCATTTTTAAAACCATCAGAGCTCATGAGACTCATTCACTATCACCAGATCAGCATGGGAAAGACCCACCCCCATAATTCAATCATCTCCCACCAAGTCTCTCCCACAACATGTGGGAATTATGGGAGCTACAAGATGAGATTTTGGTGGGGACACAGAGCCAAACCATATCATTCCACCCCTGGCCCCTCCCAAATCTCATATCTTCACATTTCAAAATGAATCATGCCTTCCCAACAGTCCCCCAAAGTCTCAACTCATTTCAGCATTAACTCATAAGTCCACAGTCCAAAGTGTCATCTGAGACAAGGCAAGTCCCTTCCACATATAAGCCTATAAAATCAAAAGCAAATTAGTTACTTCCTAGATACAATGGGGGTGCAGGCATTGGATAAATACAGCCCTTCCAAATGGGAGAAATTGGCCAAAACAAAGGGGCTACAGGCCCCATGCAAGTCTGAAATCCAGTGGGTCAGTCAAATCTTAAAGCTCCAAAATGATCTCCTTTGAGTCCATGTCTCACATCCAGGTCATGCTGATTCAAGAGGTAGGTTCCCATAGTCTCAGGAAGCTCCACCCCTGTGGCTTTGCAGGGTATAGCCCCTCTCCTGGCTACTTTCACAGCTGACATAGAGTGTCTGTGGCTTTTCCAGGTGCACAGTACAAGCTTTCAGTGGATCTACCATTCTGGGGTCTGGAGGATGGTAGCCCTCTTCTCATAGCTCCACTAGGCAGTGCCCCAGTTTGGGGGCTCTGACCCCACATTTCTCTTTAGCACTGTCCTAGCAGAGGTTCTCCATGAGGGCCCTGCCCCTGCAGCAAACTTCTGCCTGGTCGTCCAGGCATTTCCATCCATCCTTTGAAATCTAGGCAGAGATTTCCAAACCTCAATTCTTGACATCTGTGCACTCGCAGGCTCAATACCATGTGGAAGGTGCCAAGGCTTGGGAGTTGCACCCTCTTAAGCCATGGCCTAAGTTCTACATTGGCCCTTTTCAGCCATGGCTGGAGCAACTAGGACTCAGGGCACCAAGTCCTTAGGCTGCACACAGCACAGGGATCCTGGGCCCAGGCCACAAAACCACTTTTTCCTCCTAGGCCTCTGGGACTGTGATGCGAGAGGCTGTAGCAAAGGTCTCTGACATGCCCTGATGACATTTTCCTCATTGTCTTGGTGATTAACATTCAGCTCCTCATCACTTATGCAAATTTCTGCAGCCATCTTGAATTTCTCCTCAGAAAATGGGATTTTCTTTTCTATTACATGGTCAGGCTGCAAATTTTCCAAGCTTTTGTGCTCTTTCCCTTTTGAAACTGAATGCCTTTAATAGCACACAAGTCACCTCTTGAATGCTTTGCTGCTTAGAAATTTTATCCACCCAATATCCTAAATCATCTCTTTCAAGTTCAAAGTTCCACAGATTTCTAGGGCAGGGGCAAAATGCCACCAGTCTCTTTGCTAAAACATAATGAGAGTCACCTTTGCTCCAGTTCCCAACAAGTTCCTCATCTCCATCTGAGATCGCCTCAGCCTTGATTTCATTGTCCATATCATTATCAGCATTTTGGTCAAAGCCATTCAGCAAGTCTCTAGCGAATTCCAAACTTTTCCACATTTTCCTGTCTTTTACTGAGCCCTCCAAACTGTTCCAACCTCTGCCTGTTACCCAGTTCCAAAGTCGCTTCCACAGTTTTGGCTATCTTTTCAGCAGCGCCCCACTCTACTGGTATCAATGTACTGTATTAGTTCATTTTCACGCTGCTGAGAAAGACTTACCCGAGACTGGGCAATTTACAAAAGGAGGAGGTTTATTGGACTTACAGTTCCACATGTCTGGGGAGGCCTCATAATCATGGCAGAAGGCAAGGAGAAGCAAATCACATCTTATGTGGATGGAAGCAAGCACAGAGAGAGCTTGTGCAAGGCAATTCACTATCATGAGAAGAGCACAGGAAAGACCCACCCCCGTAATTCAATAATCTCCCACCAGGTCCCCTCCACAACACGTGAGAATTATGGGAGCTACAAGATAAGATTTGGGTGAAGACACAGAGCAGGTGGAATTAATAAAACGTGTTACATAATCTCTCAAAATGAAGACTTTTAAATATCTCTCATCTCATAAGGGTATTATAATAAATAGAATTTATCAAATGTGGGTTTTTTGCAATTGTTAAGATTTTTTTTTTACATTTAGTCAATTAATGGGCAAATTTAATTCTTAGAGTGTTTTTAATATTGAAACTTTACTGTATTCCTAGATAAACTATTTTTCATGATGTATTATTTTTGATACACTTTTGAATTCTGTTGATTAACATTTTATTAAGGAGTTTCACATCTGTGTTTGTAAGTAGACATTTTCTCTTGTGCTCTCTCCATCGAGTTTGAAATCAGGCTTAATCTAACGACATAAAATACGTAGGCAGATTTTGCTAATTTTTCATTTTCTAGAAGAATTTTTATGTTTGGAATAACAGTTTCTTCAAGATTTGCTAGAACTTTGGCCCAGAAGTTTCAGAAAGGGAGCCTTTGAATATGATTTCAAATTATTTACACATTTATTAGTTTATTTAATTTTTTATTTCTTTTAATTTTGTGGTCTTTTATGTTTTTTCAAGTAGGCATATGTTTCATATTAAATTTTAAATTAACTAAAGTATAATATCTTAATAGTCTATTATTAATCTGTTGTGAATGATATTTTTTCTTTTTTCATTCTGTTTTGCCTATTTACATGTTGTTTTTCTTTTTTTCTGTTTGTCAGTCTTGTCAGAGATCTCATTATGTGATCAATCATCTCAAGAATATGTCTGGAGTTTAGTTACATGTACCTATTATTTTGTATTATATTTCACAGATCTATGCCCTTAATTATTTATTTCTTGCCTGCTTATTTGGGTTTGTTCAATTCTCTATTCCTAATTTTGTAAATTGAATGTGTAGCCGGCTTGTTTTTAATCTTTGTCATTTTCTAATAAGATTTTTTAAAGCTATAAATCACCATCACCTACCTCCCTTTGTACTACTGCTGTGACTACCTCTTACAAGGCAAGGCAAAATAAAAATGGTATAATGTATCTTCCTGTGGATCTTACCTCTGGGCAGAGAATATGCCAGTCAGAGTCTGAAAATATGCAAGATATGTCCCATACCTTATTATGAACAATCAAATATTAATGTAAGGTAAAGAGGAACATGAAGTGAACAATGGAAAAGTAAGAAATAATTAGATTCACACATCCATGTTGGTATGTAAAGAAGAGAGGCACACTAGAAGTAAGATACTGATATAGTTTGGATCTGTGTCTCCACCCAAATCTCATGTCAAATTATAATCCCCATTGTTGGAGGAAGGTCCTGATGGAAGGTGATTGAATCATGGTGGCAGATTTCCCCCTTGCTGTTCTTGTGACAGAGAGTTCCCCTGAGATCTGGTTGTTTAAAAGTGTGTGGCACTGGATCCCTCCCTCTCTTCTTCCTGCTCCAGCCGTATAAGACGTGCCTGCTTCCCCTTTACCTTCTGCCATGATTGTAAGTTTCCTGAGGCTTCCCAAGCCATGCTTCCTGTACAACCTGTATAATCATGAGCCAATTAAACCTCTTTTCTTTATAGATTACCCAGTCTCAGATACTTCTTTATAGCAGTGTGAGAACCGACTAACACAGATACCAACTCTGTCTTCAGGACAGAGACCAAAATTAAGATTTTGGTCAATAGGACCCCTTTGCTCTTTAAAGATAATTCTTCTTGTTAGTACATGTTTCATTAGTTTATATATTTTCTTTTCCTCCCATTCTGTGATCACCAAGCATCTTCTGAGTCCCAGTTAAGTTCATTGTGCCCTTCCTATATTCCAGGCACTGTGCTAAGCATTGGGAAAATAATAGTGTAAAATATAAGCAAAGCGAAGTTTTATCTCGAAGTGTTAAATCTGTAATATCTCATCTAGAGTACCAGCTGGCCTTTCCTAAACATCTTATTTGTAAGAAAACATTTGAATTATCATTAATTTTTCTGTGCTTGGGTGAAAAAACTCTCTTTATATCCCTAAGCCCTATATATTTTAGAGCTAATTCATTGAGTGGGATTCTGTCCTTTATAACTTGAGTGAATGGTTGGATTTTTTAATGTGGTGGGAAATGCTAATTTTCTGACTTGGGCAGTAGATAGTTGAAGGTGCCAGTCACAAGGATAGAAAATATATAAGGAGTAATTTGGGGAAGGAAAACAAGTACAGGTTTTTACACTTGAGCCTGGGCTTTTTTGTGGAATCCAAATGGTGATATTTAGTAACAGGTCATTGGTTATATAGGTTAAGATCTTAAAAGAGATTTCAGTTTTAGAATGAGATTCAAGAGTCATACTCCAATAGACATGCTTTAAAGGCATGGAATAGATGATATTATCCAATGTGTACAGATGAGAAGAGCACAGGGCCAACATTAACTCCATCCCCTCTAAGCTGATAGTTCTAGTGCTAACCTTTATTTTCCTACAAACCTGATTCATGAGTAGTCAGTTCTTATTTATTCTGCTTTTCTTTCCTGTGCTGTCCTCCACCTTAGTCTGAAAAAAATTTATATATCTAAGCATCACCAATGTTCTTTATCTCCAATTCTATTGACTACACTCTCCAGTTTCTTTTTAGTATCCAAACTAAGTATTCTTTCCTGGCTTCCTCAGAACTACAACTCCATGGCTATTGTTTGTTTATTCTTACAATGAATCTTTATTGAGAGCCTCCTACAGGTTGAGCATCCCAATCTGAATGTCTAGAATCTGAAATGCTCCAAAATCTTAAGCCTTTTGAATACTGACATGACATTCAAAGAAAACACTCATTAGAGATTTTTGAAGTAGGCATACTGAAATGGTAAATGTAATGCATGTATTCCAAAATCTGAAAAAATCCAAAACACTTCTGGATGTGCAAGTTGGCAAACTGCAGTTACCTCAAAGACATGTTTCCCCAAGTAATAAAGAATTGAAGATTCACTTCTGATATTATGAGAGTGACACATGGCAGAGAACACAGGCTGATTGGAGATTTGATTCTCCTTTTGGAAGAATGAAACACCAACATCAGAGCACCTAAGGGAATCTGGTCAGAGGGAAAGATGGCTTAAACCTTTCCTGAATGCCTTATTGAGGTCATACACTCTATACTTCGTTTTCTGTGTGAGCCTCTCCTATTGGAAATGCTATTCTGTGTTTGTGTAGGTAAATAAAGGCAGACATGGTTTAAAACCATGAGAATCATTAGTTGTAGAGAAGCAAGATTATAATAAATTCAAAAAAATTGGTTGTAAAAATGTTTTGGATTTTAAATAGGTATACTCAACCTGTATGTGTTTAACACTCTTTTGGGTACTAAAAATACAGCAGCAAAGAAAATAAAGTCCCTGCCCTTGCAGAGCTTACATCCTCCTAATCGTTTGGTTTGCAACTTCACTTAAATGTACTTGTAACTACCTAATTTTTTTTCCTAACAATTCCTATTGCCAAATCAATTATCTCTAATATTCTAAAGCCTACCTCTTATTTTACCTTGTTTCAAAATCTCTGGACCTAAATCAAGCAAGAGCAATTAATTCTGTATAACATTTCATTCTCTGCAAACAAAAACTATGAATATTATTGTCTCCGTCAGTTTGGGCTTCTACAACAAAGTACCATAGACTGGGTGGCTTGTAAACAACAGAAATATATTTCTCACAATTCTGGAGGCCAGAAGTCTGACATCAGGGTGCCAACATGGTCAAGTTATGGTGAAGGTCATCTTCTGAGTTGCAGACTAATGACTTTTTGTTATGACCTCACATGTCAGAAAAAGAGTGAGCTACCATCTCTTTGGCTCCTTCTTATAGGGGCACTAATGCCTTTCATGATATGGCTCCATCCTCATTACCTAGTTACCTCCCAAAGGCCCCACCTCAAATACCATCACATTGGGAACTAGATTCCAACATATAAACTTTAAGACAGGAAAATATTCAGTTCATAACAATAATCATTCCTATTTTAGAAATTGAGAAAATGAGGCTTAAAGAGGTGTACTAACTTCCCTAAAGTAGCACACATATTAAGTGGAAGACCCAAGTAAGAAGCATTAAGGTTTCTGCCTCCAATCTCAGCATTTGTGCCTTTATTCTATGGTAAATAAGCTGCCCCAAAAGACATCAAACGTGTGATATCTAAACAGAATGGATTAACTCTACTCTTTGGAAATTTTCTCATATGAATATCAGAGTCATTTTATACCTTTCTCTCCCTCACACTACGTCAAAACAATCATAAATTTCTTTAAATAGTTCATAGTCTGATATCTGTCTCCTTCTGACTCCACTGACATTGACCTGGCTCATTCCTTCATTACCTCCCTCAATGCCACCTATTCATACAAACAAAACTCACCTGATCCACATCATCACTACTCTCCCTATGGTCAATCATACAAATTTTGTCACCATTCTCCTAGCTTACCCGATGTATACCTCTATTTTTTTGCTCCAGCTGATCTTTCTAGCATAACTCATTCATTAAGAAATACTTGTTGAGCCACTATTATGTGTCAGCCCTGTGTCTCAGGTGCTAGAGCTTGGATTCGACAAGTCACCATTGAAATTTATTGAATGTTTATTTTGGCACAAATGTTGTCCCACTAATCTTCCCAAAAGGGCTATGAGTTAGACAGTATCCATTGTATTTTTCTCTTCTTTATGTGAAGAAACAGATTTAAAGAGCTTATGAATTCAGAACAGAGAAAAGGTAAATTTGAGCTTTTTCTGTCTGAATCCAAAATCCTCACACTTAATCCTATTGTATTAGAGTTTTTCAGAGAAACAGAACCAATGGGATATAGGTATATACATAGATACAGACATAGAAGAGATTTATTATGAGGAATTGGTTCATGCAACTATACAGTCTGAGAAGTCCCACAATCTGCTGTCTGCAAACTGGAGGCCCAGGAAAGCCAGTTATGTCATTCTAGTCCAAACTCATAGTCCTGAGACTCAAGAGGGCAGGTAGTGTCTTGGTCTCAGCTCAAAGGCTTGAGAACTAGTAATGGTAAGGTCTGAGAAAAGGGGTAGATGGATGTCCCAGCTCATGCAGAGAGAGCAAATTTGCTGTTCCTCTGTCTTTTTCTTCTATTCAGGCCCTCAACCGATTAAATAATGCCCAATCAAATTGTGAAAGTGTAACTTCTTTACTCAGTCTATTAATTCAAATGCCAATCTCCTCCAGAAACATACTCACAAACACACCCAGGAATAATGTTTTACCAGCCATCTGCACATACCTAAATCCAGTCAAATTGACACATAAAATTAACCATTACAAATCCATGCTTGTCAACTCAGCACCCATACACAGCTCCTTAAGCCATACTTGATCTTCAAATGAAGACAGTAACAATCTACCTACCATAATACAAATATCCTGCATATAGCCAAAAACACACTAACCCCTTCCCCAGAAGAGGAGATAAAAGTTTTGAGTGGTATTTACTCTCCTCCTGATAGCCCATAATTTGACACTCTGATGTAAAATTAGTAATATTTAAATACTGTTATTAAGGTCAACACATCTTATACATGACAAGGGGATAAGAGAGGAAAGAATACAAAGATATATGCCTAATCTAGGTATATATACTCAAAAAATGAATTCATAACTTAATAAAGTGGAAATACACATAACAATTACAGTAACTGGTCATATTTGGCATTTATAACTACCTTGTTCTACTACTTATTCTGATTTCCCTTGGCCTTTAGCAAGCACCTCAGATGATCATGGTTTTTTACCTGGTGGCATGACACAAACCTTTATTCCTCAAGGCCATTCACACTCCTGCCTGGATTGGATTGCTGTAATTTTCCTTTGATTTTAATTACTAAGGTAATACTAAGAGATGCACTAAAGGATATCCTGTATGCCAGGCATACTCTTCCTTACTTCCACTTGGTGGTCAGGATCTAACACCCCAGCAAACACCGTAATTCCCTTCCTTGTCTATTGATTCAGAGGCATGAGAAGCCCAAAGTGCAGGGTGTCAGTCATAACTTCCAGTTCAATGGAATCATTGTGACTCCTGGGTGAAAGTATTCCTTCTTCTGGAACTAAAATCTCTAGGTAACAGGATTTCCCTTCACCATTGTCCTTCAGGGCTGTCCCTGAGAAGGGCTGTAGTACTGCAGCTGTCCACTTTCAGGTGGTGCCTGCATATCATACAGAGAATCATCTGTAAACAAGTCATCTCCTCTTCCTTGTCAACTGATTATATGGAACTGCCAGTGAGGCCATAGGTGCATCAGGGAGACAGAAGATAGTGTCACAGGAGTAGGGCCATGGGCACTTATAAGACCTCTCCTCCTGATACTTCTCTTCCTATGGAAGTTTTGCTCTTCCTTTAAGACATAGTTTGAATCTTGATTTCTTCAAGAAACTTTGGCTAATCAGAACTAAATTTATCTTATCACCCCAATATTCCCAGAGTACTTTTTAATAACGTTTCCTTATATAAACTGCCTTTTTATTAGTATTTTCTATGTCTACATGAGTATAACCCTAGGACATAAATTATAAGGCCCTGAAGGAAAATGATTATGCCTTTTTTATAATTATATTAGTGCAACAAGTTGAGGAATGTGTACATAAGTAGGGGGGAAGAAATAATTGAATGGAGTAGTACAACTTCCTAAAAGCTGTAGTCTTATATGCCATTAAATAAGACAGCATGCATGTATACATGTGTATGTGTATGTGTGTGTATGAAATCATCAGGAAGAGCTTTCAAGAAGCATCTGTACATCTTTAGGTGAGGAAATTTAAGTGAGTATATTTAAATCCAATCATTTTAAAATGTGTTATTAAAATAGCAGATGTAGGATATTGATTAAAAATTGAAATTATTCAGAGGAAAATATTATCCTTCAATAAATATGAAAGTTCATTATGACGCCAGGAAGAAAAAAGCATTTTAGTATCTACTTATGCCACATCATAATTGCTATGGTATGAACTAAGTATTTGTTGACAGTCACCTATGATTATACTGTTTCAAGGTTGAACAACTTTGAAAATTTTACCTTTATTCTTTGGGCTTTCCATAGTCTTTTTAAGTCAAATGTTCTTTAGAATCAGTTAATAGCTCCAGATTTACCAAAGGCAGGAAAATACACAGTTGGTATGTTTCAGAGTCTTGTCCAAGCACAGATGAGAATTTCAAGTCCGTGACAAAAGTCCTCAGAGTTGTTTTCCTTAAGGCTGTATGAATGACAAAGAAAATTCTATCCTATTATATTTTACATGCATATTGTCCCCACTCCTTAACTTTAAAGTTGAGTACAATTTATTTTCTTGCATATCTTGCAGATATGCAACATATAATTCGCCACTGAACCCTATTTTTCTTTGCACTTTCCAAACCCTTGTGTATGTAAGCACAGCCTCATACTCAAAGTTCAAGGTGACCAGGATCTCTTTTAGTAAATGTCCACTTCATGTTACATTGTCCAACATTAAGGAGTTTGCTTAATTAACAATGTTAAATCCACACCACGAATACCACCTTGGAAGTAACATTATAATATTTACTGACATGAAACCAGGTTTATGATATGTTATTATTAAATAAAAAAGCAGTATGGCATGTGCAGTTAATTCTAAATATTATATGTGTTTATCAGTAGATATCTATGTTCATATCTACCCATTTGAAAAGAGAGAAAAGATGAGAAAACTGGTTTTCACAATGCTTCTCTCTGAACAGTAGACGTTTGGGTTAGTTATAGTCCTTTCCACTTGCCTGTATTTCTAATACTTCTCACATATTTCTGCACTAAACATGCTTTTGAATGCACTTTAAATCTTTATTTAAAAAGCCATATTGCAAAGCTACCCACTTTATATTTTGTAAACAGCTATCAATTTTTTTTACATGTTAATTTAAAAGTTAGTTTCAAAGTACAGTGATGAAACAGAAGTACAAGTATATTCTTGGTTTTATGCCAGCATCTTAGAAAGGTCTGGTGTCCTGTAACCTTGTAATTGTACAATAGAAAGAGTTTACAGATATCTTTCAATAGAACCAGGTGAATACAGTGAAGAAGACACTCATTAAAGTAAGCAAATAATATCAGAATAGAGTCCTCATAATAAGTAAATACGATTTCATTCCAGTGAAAGAATAATGATTTGGAAAATAAAGCTGCATAACTCCTAACGAATTTAATAACAATAAATTCACCCTTCTCAAATTTTAAATTTTATATATAATGACCACTTGATTAAAGTTGTTTTGTTTTCTTTTGTTTTTAATTTTTAACTATTCTAGGTCTGCCCTCTAACTATTTGATATTCAAGTTCCAATTGGAACTAGTTAATGTGATTTTTATGATAGCAAGCTTTAAATATTATGGAAAAAGAACAGGAGTCTCAGTGTCAATGCAGAATTAAGAAGTATTGGAGGGGTGCAGAAAGTAGGAGGGCTTTAAGGAATACATCTCTTTGATATTGTGATGATTAATACTGAGTGTCAACTTGATTGGATTGAAGAATGCAAAGTATTGTTCCAGGATGTGTCTGTGAGGGTGTTGCCAAAGGAGGTTAACATTTGAGTCAGTGGACTGGGAGAGGCAGACCCACCCTCAATCTGGGTGGGCACCATCTAATCAGCTGCCAGGACAGCTAGAATAAAGCAAGCAGAAGAAGTTGGAAAGAACAGACTTGCTGAATCTTCCAGCCTTTATCTTTCTCCCATGCTGGATGCTTCCTGCCTTCAAACATCAAACCCCAAGTTCTTCAGCTTTTGGACTCTTAAACCTACACCAGTGGTTTGTCAGGGACTCTCTGGCTTTCAGCCACAGATTGAAGCATGCACTGTCAGCTTCCCTACTTTTGAGGTTTTGGGACTTGGACTGGCTTCCTTGCTTCTCAGCTTGCAAATGGTCTATTATGGGACTTCACCTTGTGATGGTGTGAGTCAATTCTCCTTAGTAAACTCCCCTTCATATATACATCTAGCCTATTAGTTCTGTCCCTCTAGAGAACCCTGACTAATACAGATATCATGGCACATTTTAGCTTTCCAAGAAGCTACAGGTTACTAAAGGCAGATCCAAGTAATTAGTCTCTTATTTTTGTTCTCTATTGGAAAAAGAAAATAAAACAAAACTTTCTCTTTCTTTGATGCATAAGAGCTCTGAGACTTATAGGACCTTTTCCACAAAATAGATGTGCCTCCTCCCACCTATTCACAGGTAACCACTTACTCCAGATACAAAAATATCTAAAGAGACAGATAAAGATCATACATTCTATTTAGGAAAATTAAATCTAGTAAATAGCATAAGCTCTGATTCTATTTTTTAATTAAAAATAAAAATAAGTAAACCTAGTAAATATTACATGCGTTGTCTTTCAGTGTGAATATTATCCTAAAGATCTTGAAAGACATACTAAAGTTCAGAAGAATACATTTCCCATCAATGCATGATACATAAGTCTCTGAGGAGGATGTTTGGTAACAGAGAGAGAAAAAAATGACTGTATGACAATCAAATATGGAGTCATTTAAGATCTGAAAGCTTTCATGTGGATAAACTTGGATTGTTCTATGCTCAATATTCCAACTTTTTAATGCTTTGACTACACAACAGCCCTGAATCATTTGAGAATACACCAAGAAAAAATTATGGAGTGAGCAATCCAGCTATTCTGGAGTAAAGTGAATATATATCCCTATTTTACACCAGCCAAGTTAATTTGACCAGATTTTTACCCCTGTCCCTACACCTGGGCCACTCTATGGGACTAGCAACTGACTATACCTGATTAAATTTGTGGTAATGCAAATATCCAATTTAAGAAGGCCACTCAGAGAGCCATGTAGATTCTGGAGAATTTTGTTGTACATAGTTGGGAAAGCTGTTATTGCTGTGTTGAGGATGAACACTCAAAGACATAAATATTTTCACAAAATGGGATGACTGACTCTGCAGACACAGCCTTGGTCTGCCCTCCTGCAGGATTCTCCCAGCTCTGTTCACTATTTCCATCTCTGCAGCCTGAAAGCTCTCATCCCTTAAATATAGGGCTGGAAATACAATCCCAACCCCATTGGCATTTCCTTCCTTGCAGGACAAAAGGCCTGAAGCAAAGAGTAGGAAAGAGCCTAGTACTTAACAAAATGTTAATCAATTCTAAAGCATACATATTTCATCAATTCTAAAGCATACATATTTTGCTCATATTTTAATAGCTTTAAAATTGAGTCATGTCATTTTACAGTCACTATGAACAGGGATCATGACTGCTATTGTTCATATTGTTTATATTATATCACTTCAATTGAATTATGTGCACTTGTTGGCATAAGGAATGTAATGATCTTTTACAATGTCTTAAAACATAGATGGTGATTCATCAAAATCAAACAATTATGTATGCATAAAGACACAGAAATAGAGGGGTGTTGGAAATGATTAAATAGTCATTATTGGAGAAATAACAACAAATCCAAATTTTCCTGCAAAGGAGCAACCAAGAACATTATAGCAATTAATAAAGGAAAAATCCCACAAGTGGATAAAACTATGATGCATAGTAATGCTTTTCTAACTTGAATCATCTGGGGATCATGCTAAATGTGCAGATTCTGATTCAGTAAGTTTGAGGAGGAACCAAAGATTCTGCATTTCTAATGAGCTCCCAGGTCATGCCAATGTTGTAAGGTACTGAAGAATTACCCCTCTACACCAAGCAATGCAGCTAAGGATGAGATAAATTGCCAATTTTTTTCCAAATAAATGGGGAAAAAATTTCAAAGCTCTAAGATTCTGGTGTGATCAATTCAAATTTTACATAGGACTACCATTAGTCAGAAACTTCCTGATGACTTTAAAGATAAGTTCTTACTGCTCAGCTACGTTCGCTTCAATGGAGAAAAAAAAAATGAGTAGTCAAATAGAAATGGACTGTCATTAAAATTTGTAAAATGGTTATCAGTGATAGAGCACTTTTAAATAAATACAGCTTCATAAATGCTTTTAATGGCACTAATAGTGACATTGTATTGAAAACATGCCTGTCGATAACTGTTAAGTTGAGAAATGATTCAGAAGAATAGGATTCCTTATGTAATGACATTTAAGTAATACTTCAATAAATTTATGTTTCTTATTATTTCCTTTTTAAGTATGAAGAGGAGTGATATATGATTTTTTAAAAATCTATGTGCAAGAGAGTCTAAAAGTGCTCTTCCTGTAAGTGTAAAATAAAGAGTCCAAGTGCTAAAACATTGTATCATAACCAGAAGAGGTTTTTTTTTCTTAGTTCTAAAATACACTTTTTCTCATGAATAATGGTGTCCTAGATTTGAAAAAATACATCAGAATGACAGCCAAACATCTTACCTCCACTCCTACAGACAACACACACGCACAGCATTCAAATTATACTTTGAAAGTAAATAAAAGTATAGGAAATCAACAGGAAGCAACTTAGAATGGTTTTCTATAAAAAATAAAGAAATCATCTACCCTTAAAAAAATCCTATAAATTGTTGACTGGGGAGTTCGGTAATGTTTGGATTGTATTCATTACGACACAGCCTCAACAGACAAGGACTATTAAAACATATAATCAAATAAATTGCATTGTCTTCATTATAAAGAAAGAATATATTAACGAAAAGGGAATGATCCAGAGGAAAGACAGTAAAGGGTCTCTAAGAAGAAAGAAGCCAGGACAACCCAGGAAAGGACATGTCCCGACCCCAGAAATAAGTATCCAATCCCTCTTACAAATGCGCCCCAAGCGAAGATGGATGTAATAGACATTTGATCATCCAATTCATTCTCCCTGGATTGACTGTATGCTCACCAAGCAAACGTCTGATTATAATTTGTCCTTTTATGTAATTTTACTGCGAAGAAAGAGAATTCACGTATAACAATACAAACATTCTACTGTCCCTGAAAGTTAAATATTTAAAATGATGAGTTAATAAATTAGAATTCTGGACAACACATCAGCCTCTTAGGGATTTGGTTTGGTAAGAATGCCCAGAGGATGTCACCCCAGAGCAAGCTTGAAAAATTAATTTCTGGGCCTACAGAGCTGAGAACCAGATCCAGGAATGCGATGACCTTATCAAATAATAATTCTGACCTTGTCTAAGTCACCAGCTGGCTTCCCAAGTGTGTACTTCCCTAACTGCAATAATTACTACAATTCACATAACAAAAAAAATTCAGAAAAGTTACAGACTAGGTTTTATATACCATTTTCCAACTCTTGATTTATTCCTCAGAGGCATATGTAGTTTCTTAATTAAAAGCTACTCTGTTTTCCTGCATTTCTGGCTTATTAACCAAAATATTATCAGTCCATTGGTAGATGATAAATTATTCATAATTTCTATTTGAGTCTCATAGAGGAAAAATGCAGCATAAAGTTTACTACACAATCTCATCTAGACTAAATCCATCAGTATGGACTTACCAGGGATATAGTGAGAAATTAACTAAAAATGAGGTAAATTAGATGGGTAAAATAAAGAAATAAATACAAAAGATAAACACAGCAATACTGGCTGTCAAAGATGGAAAATAACCATTTAGACAATCTAATATTGTTTTGTTTTGGTTTGGTTTTTACTTTTTAATGTATATATTTTAAAATTTCCTTTTCTTTTAATATTTTAACTTTTATTTAAGTTCAGAGGTACATGTGAAGGTTTGTTACGTAGATAAACTTGTATCATGGGGGTTTGTTGTACAGATTATTTCATCAACCAGATATTAAGCCTAGTATCCATTAGTTATTTTTCCTGATCCTCTCCCTCCTCCCACCCTCCACCCTCCACCCTCCGATAGGCCCCAGAATGTGTTGTTCCCTGATATTTTTTACATCAATTGTTTTTGGAGTACAAGTGGTTTTGATTACATGAGTGAATTATACAGTGGTGAATTCTGAGATTTTAGTGCACCCATCACCCAAGTAGTGTACGTTGTACCCAATATGTAGTTTTTTATCCCTCACCTGTCTCCCACCATCCCTGCTTCTGAGTCTCCAAAGTTCATTATATCATTCTGTATGCCTTTGTGCACTCATAGCTTAGCTCCCACTTATAAGTGAGAACATATGATATTTGGTTTTTCATTCCTGAGTTATCTCACTTAGAATAATAGCCTCCAGCTCCATCCAAGTTGCTGCAAAAGACATTACTTAATTCTTTTTTACAGCTGAGTAGTATTCCATGGTGTATATATACCACATTTTCTTTATCCACTCACCAGTTGACGGGCACTTAGGTAGGTCCATGTCTTTGCAATTGTAAATTGTGCTAGCAATCCAATATTAAACACAATGACTTCAAAATAAAACTTTCTTACATGCAAGTGAGTTGTGGTAATTGTCTAAAATCAGTGATTCTCAAACTTTAACATGAATCAGAATTACCTAGAGGGCTTGTTAAAACACAGAGTGCTGGGCCCCATCACAAAGTTTCCAACTTGGAAGGCCTGGAATAGGGCCAGAGAATTTCCATTTCTAGCAAGTATCCAGATGCTGCTGATGCTGCTGGTTGGAGGTCCATACTTTGAGAACCACTGTGTAATCACCCAAGGGGCTTTTCCTGCCTCCTGCATGAACAAAATCAGTTCACTGAGACCATGTTATTGCAGTAAAGAAAAAAGTTTAATTGACACAAGGCCAGCCATGCAGTAGATGGAGTTATTACTCAACTCCATCTCCCCAAAAGCTCAGAGGCTAGGGTTTTTATGGACAACTTGGTGGGCAAGGGGCTATGGAAAGGGTACTGCTGAATAATTGGGGATGAAATCACAGGAGTGTGGGAAATGGTCCTCGTGTGCTGAGTCCACTTCTGGGTAGGGCCACAGGACCAGCTGAGTCCATGAGTCATGAGTCCAGTGGGGTCAGTCTGAAAAACATCTCAAAAGAACAATCTTAGGTTCCACAATGTGATGTTATCTATAGGAGCAATTGGGGAAGTCACAAACATTGTGACCTCTGGCCACATGACTCCTGAGCAGAAAGGGATTATGAAAACTATGCCCACATTTTAGCAGAACTCAGGCCCCTCCCATAATCCTAATCTTGCGGCCTTTTATTAGTTTGATAAAGGTATTTTCAGCCCCTGAATAAGGAGGGGAGTAGTTTTAGGGAGAGACTATTATCATCCTTGCTTCAAAGTTAAACTATAAACTAAATTCCTCCCACAGTTACCTTGGCCTACATCCAGGAATGACCAAAGGAGGTCAGAAGCAAGATGGAGCCAACTATATCAGATTTATCTTACTGTCATCATTTTGAAAAGGTGGTTTCAACTGTTCTTATCTTTTAATGGATATTTAAATTAATATAAAAAGAAAAATTCTTACGACAGTATTTGTTAACACTAACTGCACATTGGAATCACCTAGGGAGCTTTTGAAATTTGATTTCCTGGGATGCACCCAAAACCAATTAAATGACCATTTATGAAGGGTGGTGCCCATCTTCCATGCTTTCTTCTTTCTTAATAAAAATTCAGTTTTTTGAGTTTGGGTAAAAGTGATGAGCCTACCTCTATACCTTCATGTAAGCCATCATTGAATGCTGCATTGATGAATGACTTTGAGGCTCACGAGTTCCTCATGTGCACTTACCAATCTCACTTACCATAGCATGGCAGTTAGAAACTTAGATTCTGGAGCCACACTTCAGTCCCCAACTTAACCTCTCTGTGCCTCAGATATGCCTCATCTGTAAAACGAAAATAGTAAAAGCACCTGTCTCATACAATAGGGTGAAACAGTCAGCAGCATCTGGCCAATGCCAAGTAAACACTTGGTATTATTATTATCATCTCAACTGTGGAATATTTAAGAGGCCCCTCTAGCATTATAGTAGAATCTCGGCCCCTCTTGAAGTGTCTTCCATTGATCTCTGATTGTCCCCAAAGCAGTACATCATAAACAAGACTATCTGCAGAAGTAATTTGCCTTCTTCCTTCTTGCAAGTTCCTCCCTGCTCTGACTCTCCCTTGTCCATAAAAAAAATATTGCCTAAAAAAGTGCTTACAGAAGCCTCATTTCCACCATTACAGTTGATAACCACTACACTGCCCATGCCTCCAGTATAAATGGGCTCTGGGTTCTCAAGAAAGAAAATTCACATATAGAGTTAGGCACGCTGTTCCCTGGGCTTCAGCATAGCTTTTGTGCTAGTGTCAGACAGAGCATCTTGCACAGAGCAGATTCTGTTTCTCCTGATCACCCACAGATGATCACCTTCATTCCACAGGGCTAGACCAGGAGACTTTCCTACATCTTCCCCCATTTTCCCACTTTTTTCTTTTCCTTCTAGTATTATGGAGGAGAGGAGTCAGAAGAGCTTTCTCTTAAACAAAAATCTATTCTCTCCTTAGGCATTTGAAAAAAGAAAACTTCTTATGCATCTTCTTATGCATCTGAACAGAAGCCAAGTTAACAAATACACTGTGGTACAGTTAGGGGAGGAGAAGTTGACAGACTGTCTACAGTAGTAAGAGATAGCTTAAAAGCCTGTAAAGTATTTTCTTTTGTTATCATGATAACTCATGATCATTACATCATTGCAAAAGTGCCATTAATATTATCGTTTCCATTTCATAGGAGAGAAAAATGAGGGTAAGCAAGCAAACCCTACCAATCCTGCTGATTAAAGTATTAAAAGTACTTTCTTAGAAGTGTTGAAAAATAACTGACAAACTGTGGGAAATTACCAGGCCAAAGTTGAAGAGAAAATGGGAGTCCAGAGAAGTAAACAAGCTCAGAAGATCCTTTTGCCTTGGAGGCATTTATCTAGCCACAAAAACTTGCAATTCCATTTGGATGACTTCTGTAGGGAATCAAGGTATGAACCCCAGGGATGACAGAGGATCATTAGTTAACCAGGAGCCACAATAAACTGGGATACAATAAGAATTTGCCCTGGGTGTAAGCATGAACCAAAAGTGAAGCTACTCTTGTCCAGAATTTCAGCTTAGGTTCTAATCACCAGAGTTATCCAAAGACCCTCAAGCTCTCAACTTAGTTTAAGATGATCCAAAACAGAAGTAATGTAAAAAACAAATTCCTTCTAAGGAAAAATAACTTTATTCTGTGCTTCAAATTATTCCTTCAAAGTATTGTTCAAATATGATTAACAGCATACAGATAACCAGGAGCAGCACAAAAATAACCAGAAAACTAGATTGCATGGGAAAGATTAGCAGAAAATTTAAGAAACAACATACAAAATCAGACTTACACAGACTTCAGACAGGGACTACATGCAAAAAAAGAATTAACATAACAGGGCTGACTGCTATGAAGCCATCCCCGCAAGACTGACAAGAATTGTATGCCAGGTTCTGGACAGAAATATAGATATGATTAAGCATTAATCAGGCTGCACTTTGGCTGACTTCTTTGCTGCTAAAAGTCACTTAACACTAGATTCTGACCAACTGCATCCCCAGTGTGTGCCTATAGATAGAATTTCTGACATTACGGTCATAAGACTGTTTAAAAATTGGTTTGCATTCCCATTGTTCCTATAGACAGGATCTCTGACATTAGAATCATAAGTCTTTGTTTAAGGATTGCTTAAGATGTTTTTCAGACCCTGAATGTCAGCGTCCAGTTTGAAAACTTACACAGATGGATAGAAAACTTACACAGAAGGATCAGCATGAGACTACAGCTTCTTCATCTGCCTGTCCCGTGTCTTCATCCTGCGTTCTTTGACCAATCAATGGTTTCTGCACTTCCACCCACTCCAAAGTCCTTAAAAAGTCTAACCCCAAGTTCCCTGGGGAGATGAATTTATGGTTTCCTCCAATCTCCTCATTTGGTGACCCTACAATTAAACCCGTTTCTCTGCTCCAACCTGGCATCTCAGCATATTGACTTGCTGTGTGCATGGAGTGATAAACCTATTACAGTTACAGCTATTCTCTGAAAGGCCTACTTACAAGGCTAGCTCTTGGCTGGTGTATGGGAACTTGTACCTTGGGAGGATTCCCACCATCTCTCATTGGTAAGAGTAGCTCATTGTGCCTAAACTGTTTGTGCAAACAGTATGGTTTATGCTGAACTCCGGTCCTCCTTCTGAGAGTCTGTGTATGTGCCAGGCAGAGGTTGCCCATATGATCACCCCCAATTAAAAACCCTGAGCACTGAGTTTCTAAAGAACTTCCATTGTTAGTAACATTCAACATTCATATGTGTGGTCATGACTCATTGCTATGAGAAGTGTGTCCCATGTTTCTCCACTGGGAGAAAACCCTTGGAACCTTGTTCTTGTTTTCCTCCAGACTACTCATGTACCTGTTCCCCTTTGCTGATTTTGTGGTGTATTCTTTTCCTGTAATAAGTCTTAGTCATGAGTATGACTGTATAATGAATGCCGTGACTCCTTCTAGAAAATTACTGAACCTGGAGGTGGTCTTGGGGACACTCCAACACAGACTATAAAAAAACTACACTTATAATTATAACATTTAAAAAATACAAATCTGAAGAAAGGGAAAAAGGGAAATGTAAAAAGTGACCAATGATATTTGAAAAAAGGAATAAATATTAACTTTTAATAATATTAAATTTTAAAATTTAATACTTTAAAATTTAAATTTAATAAACAAAATTAAAAACTAAAATTGCACTTGGTTTAAAAACAGAGAAGACACAGCTGAGATGAAATTTATGAACTGAATGATAGACAACTTAATTGATTTTAAAACTATTTTTATCTCAATATCCTTGAAATTGTATACGTTTTATTTTACATCAGTGTGATAAGAAAACATTTTGTCTTAGTTTGTTTCTCTTAAACTCAATGGTGTCTTAGATTTGATGAAGTTCAGTAAGTAAGAAGAAATTATCTATTAAACGTAATGGCAAAAATTGCGATTACTTTTGCGCCAAACTAATAGAATGGAGCACAAAGAGACAAAACAAAATGAAAAATAAAGAAGGAAAGTAACTAACCTAGAATTTCTTTTTTTTTTTTTTTTGAGACGGAGTCTCTCTGTGTCGCCCAGGCTGGAGTGCAGTGGCATGATCACGACTCACAGCAACCTCTGCCTCCTGGGTTCAAGCGATTCTCCTGCCTCAGCCTCTCAAGTAGCTGGGACTACAGCCACATGCCACCATGCCCGGCTAATTTTTTTGTATTTTTAGTAGAGATTGGGTTTCACCTTGTTAGCCAGGATGGTCTCGATCTCCTGACCTCGCGATTCCCCTGCCTCAGCCTCCCAATGTGCTGTGATTACAGGCGTGAGCCACTGCGCCCAGGCTAGATTTTTTTTTTTTTTAATGAGAAGAACCAAAAAAGAAAATAGAACACAGCAGGAACAATACTAGTATAGATATGGTTGGAAGTTTTCGAGAAATTATGAGAAACACTGTATGAGTTATCTATTGTTGCATAACAAAACATAGTGACTTAAACAGTGAACATTCACTATTTTACAAAGATAAGATCAGGAAGCCAGAGGTGACTTAGCTGTGTTGTTCTAGCTCAGAGCCTGTCATGAGGTTTCAGGCAAGATAGTGGCTGGGGCTGCAGTCACCTGAAGCATGACTGGGCTGCAGGATCTGCTTCCTAGGTCACTCACATGGCTGTTGACAGGAGGTTTCAATTCATCATCACATGGGCCTTTCAAGGGGGCTGCTCACAACATGGCAACCAACTTGCCTAGAGAAAATGATCCAAGAGAGGGCAGGAGTAAGATAAACAGAGGAGCCAAGACCTAATCTCAGAAGGGACTCTGCCATATTCTATTGATTGCCCAAACCAACCCTTGCAAATGTCAGAGGGAAGTGCCTAAAGGTGTGAACTCCAAGAGGCAGGGATCACTGGGAACCATTTGGAGGTTGTCTGTCACAGACACGAAGTCACAGATTTATGAAGCCCAACAGATCTCAGGAAAACCAAATCTAAGGATATGGGAGACTTGAGCAACATGATTAACAAAATTTATCTCATATATATAATTATATTCAACAAATAAACATCCATTTATATAATGTTCAAACACAGCAAAATTCTTATTTATAAATGCAAGTATGAGTGGTAAAACTACAAAGAAAAGTCAGAAAGGGATTATGATAAAAGTCAGGACAGTGGTCACTCCTGGTGGAATGGTGGGGGAGTAGATGATTGTCTGGAAGGGACAAATGAGAGCAAGTTCTTCTGGGGTGTTTTGACATTTATTTGTTGACCTTGTTAGTGGTTTCATAGATCTTTATACTTATTTGTCAGATTGAAAATTTGTTTTCTGCATTTAAATATATTACACACATACATATTACAGCTTACATTAAAGAAGACAAAGAAAGATTGAGGCTAAGAAATTATAAATGACTTACAAACATCAATGGCATTAACTTATTGAACTAGGACCTTAACCTACGCATTCTAATTCCCAAACTCTCTCCTGTGCTTTTTCCTAAAGTGAAATTGTTAAATTCTTCCCCCTAAAATCAAACTTTTTCTAGCAATCTCTGCCAGTTATTTTGCACAAAGTAGCCAAGTGGAAAACATGCTTACCTTCCCCTTGTTTTGCTTGAAGCAATTATTGAAATTCATAGTACAACTAAAGCAATTCACTCTAGGCACCAAGGAGAGGACTGTGTGAAGGCAATTACCTGGCCTTTAATACTGGACTGTCATTCCTCTCATGTATTCATGCCAACTTCCTTCTATTTTCCAGACCTATCTACACTCACAAAGCCAAAGTACCAAATTAAAACAAGATCAAACCAAATTAAAGCAAGATCAAATATTCTACCCAATTGAAATACTGATTAAAGTTAGTCTTTTAACTATAAATTAATTCCTAACTTAAAGACATACAAACAGTTAAGATAATGTGGCAGCACACAAATCAGACTGAGGAGCAGAAAATTATTAGAGAAGAAGGTGATAATTTTCTATCTTTCTATAAAGCATAACACTACAATGAAATGAAGCAGGCTGCATGAATAAAGCTGTTGGTCTGATTATACTGAATTATTTTTGTCTTTAGTATATATAATATTAAAAATGGCTATATATGGAATTCTATCTGAGAATTATTATATGGTTAAATTCAAATCCTGGCTCTCTTCCTTTGTCTTAGTAGATGGTTCCTTCTTTTATTATAACTAGAGTTTTAAGTTTTCTTTTATTAGGTCATTTGAATAAAAAACAATCATTGTAGAAGTATAATTAATTAATAACTAGTAATCTTATGTCATCTTGAGGTAATCATGCAGGGATGGCAAATCTGGAGACTGAGGCCACAACTCCTCTCCTTCCATACACAGGACAGATGTCACTGGTCTATCACATCTCAATGCTCTAAGCCAGAGTCCCAAGAATCCTTCTTAAGCACCATCCATCTATTAGAGTGAGCACAGGAGTGGACACCCACTGAATGACTATTCAAACAATTTCTTAAAGAATATGCAATGCATAATAATGTGTTGAGATACAGAATGCTACTTTACTAAAATACTACAGTGTAAGAATGTAGAGAAAAAAGCAGAAGCTTTGGAGACTTAAAGTCCTGGGTATGAATCATGGCTCTGTCATTAGCAAACCTCACCTCCTCTTTAAAAGAGTAATAATTATTGTTATCTCATTGAGTTTTGTAAAAAAAAAAAAAAAAAAAAAATCTTTTAAAGTTTGGGTACGTAGTAAGGGTTCATTAATGATGACTATTACTCTTATTATTGTGGAAAGGGCACAAGTTTTGAATCAGACAGACCTAAGTTAAAGTCCTGGCTCTCTTCCTTTGCTGTGATTTTAAATAAGTTATTCGCTCATTCCTAGTCTGTTTTATTATAGGCAAAATAAAGACAATAATAACTGCCTTCATGGGTTGTTTTGTAAGAATCAGTGCTAATATAGAAAAATTGCCTAGACATTTGTCAAACCTTAGCCAATGATATCTCTTATGTTTCTTCTAATATTGCTTATTATTATTATTATTCCCTCTCTTTCTCCCACATATATATAGATACATACATATATATATATGAATTGAGAAAATATGTGCCAAACTATTGATGGGGTGAGGATGAAGGTGGAAAGAGAGTAGAACCTGGAGACCTTTCAGTATCTACAGTATATTTCCATATTGTTTGAAATTTGTGGCTCTTGGTTTATAGCTAAAATTAAATGCAGTATTATTTACTATGTATAAAGAATTTGTCAAATATTGATTCAACCATAATAAAATAAAGCTCCAATTGACTGGGATACAGGTATAGTCTTGTAACATCGTTTTATAGTTTTCATGTTACATTTTCTCCCTCTAGGAATCTGAATTATACACATGTTATCTGCTAGGTATTGTTGGCAGCCATTTCTGTCATGTAGATTGAGAAGCAAAATAAAAAAAAAATTTACCAGATGAGAATTAGAGAAGACAGAAGCCTGTAAGTCACCCAACAGCAACATAACACTCTCCCTGGGATCCATGAGTCACTCCAATATCCCTTTAATAAATTCCCCTTTTTGGTTAATCTAATTTGAACTGGGATTATCTTATCTGAAATAAAAAGAACCTTAATTAACATAAGAATGGAAAAAGTTTCTAATATGCCTAAAATAGGTTTATCTCCAGTTTGCAAAAATTTTCTGAAAACTTACTCAATCCAGCTAGTCTTCTCTTTTTTTAAGCTGAAACCGTTACAAATTCTACAGCACAGCTTGATGCTATTACTTAGCTACCTCTTTACAAATTACCTTGCCTAGAAGTTCCTATTAAAAAGTGTTTTCAGAAAACAAAAAACAAAAAACAAAAAACACTTTTAGGAAAGTAAATATATAAAGTAAATCCTTGAATGGAAATTTTTATATAGGTTACCAAAAAAATTCTATTAAATGTTTCCCTTCCCTCCAAAAGACAGAGTCTACCTTTCTAATTTTGAACATGGTTTGAGCATATGACTTGCTTTGACAAAATGGAATATTAACAAAAGTGCTGTAAAATACATGAAAAGAACTCGGATATAGAGGCCTGATTTCTTGCTGCACATGATACCCTGAGCCCACCATGTAAAAGAACCCAAGCCAGCTGGAGAGTGCCAGGCCACATGAAAGAGAATCAGGAAGCCAGGTCAAAAGCCTGACAACCACTCGTCTGTGAGTAGTGCTGCCCTAAATTGACCAGCTGCCAGTCCCAGCTGACCTGCCTGATGGCCACGAATGCACAAGAGAACCCAGAGATTAGCCAAGCTGGTCCACAGAATTGTTAGATAAATTAAATGATTGTGCTTTTGAGGTACTAACTGTTAAGGTGATTTTTTAAAATAAAGCAATAAATAACCAACTCAGAGATTTGAGCTGTTTCCCTTAATTTGACCAAAGAGAAAACAAAGGAAATTTACTCCACAAAAAAACAAATTCTGGAGGATAAACTAAGATTTATACAAATTCAGCTCAGTCTCTTACAATTTATAGTCATCTTTCTCTTGCCTGCAATGCTCCCCTCAGTAGCCCCATGCAACTGAGTTTCTCTCTACTTCCCTTGCCAATATGAAACTTCCACCCAAGTTTCTACTCAGTGCTCAAGAATCAGCTTCTGGAAGCCTTCTGAAAACACCATGCAACAAATAAATAACTTGTGCCATATTTTGTGCTAGCCATGTGCAGTATACATACCTCCCTTATAGTTTTAATATAATTATGTATCTATACCTACCCTTTCACTCCCCACCTCCAATGGGATGTGAACTTCTCAAGTCCAGGACTCTATCTGATTAATCCAGACACAGATTAATGTCTAGCAGTAGAAAGCAATTAAAATAAATACTTTAGTGCTCACAGTACTTTATTGAATCGTAATTAATATGCAATAAAATGCATAAAACTTAAATGTAGACTTCACTATTTTGACATATATAATACATCCATTTTATCATCACTCAGATCAAGATATAGAATATTTCCACCACCCCAGAAAGTTCATTCTTGCTTCTTTCATCTCAATGTTCCCCCCATAGCCTCAACTCCACCCCATCACGTAAAGGCAACCTGTATTCTCATTTTTATCAGCAAAGATGAGCTTTATCTATTCTTTTACTTCATATAAATGAAATCATTAAGAATATATTGTTTTGTGTCTGGCTTCTTTCTCACAACAAAATGTCTTAAAGATGTTTTCCTGCTGTTGCATATATCAGTTGTCTGTTCCTTTTGATTGTTTCAAGATATTTCTTTGTATAAACAGACCACAATTTTAACTATTTTCATGATGATGAACATTTGTATTATTTCCATTTTGGAACTAATTATTTACAAAATCTGCTCTGAACATTACCATACAAGTCTTTATGTGGACCTAAGCATTCATTTCTCTTGGGTGTGTTTCTAGGAGTAGAATTGCTAAGCAACGGAACAGACACGTGTTTTACTGTATTAGAAACTGCCAGTCTCCAAAAGTGGCCGTAAGACTTACATTCCCATTTGTATAGCAATTCTGGTGGGTAGTTAGTGATATCTCATGGTTTCAATATGTGTTTGTAGAATAAGCTTGAGCTCCTCTATAATAAATACTAAGCAAATGCTTGATGAAAATGATTTTAAAATAATATCCTGATGTATCATAACAAAGAAGTTTAACAAGAAAACCTTGTTAATCAGTTAGTTATATACATGCAAATGGACCAGAATAACCTATTTTTAGTGTTCCTGCTATAAGGTGTTCAATATGTGCTAATTTTTCTTTTTAACCTATTATTCATAATTATGATGAAAATTCTATTATCAAGCATTTTCAAAGTTGTAGATCAGTATCACAAACATAGCATTTGATTAAGTATCAAGAGATTTAATTACAGAAGGGGTATACTATAAAGGAGACACGCCTATCTCCTTTATGTAGGGGAAAAGACTACAGTTTATATAAGTTGTGAGTCGCCAAAATTTACAGTTAATCAGTGCTTAAACTGGCTCTTTAGGAAACATTCTCCAATATCAAGTCCTCTATTTTCCCTGCTAGGTCAAGTTTCTCCTTCTAGTGACTCATAAAGTTCCACAAAGTTGAAATTATGTTTCAACTTTAATCCAAATAAAAAATATAGTATGTATTAAAATGCTAAGAAGAGAAAGTGAGCTCATTGTTAGAGATTTCCATAATAATATAAACATGTTTCCTTCTGGGACACTGCCTAGAGACCAAGGGATGAATGAGTTGATAGTCATAAACCCTTTAGTTACAAGTATCCTGTAAAATCACAAATAGACATAACAGAAACTTTGCATCAATTGAATTACATAATTGGTTATACCCTACAAAAAGTATGAGGTGAATAAATTAGAAAATATCTTATAAATTAATTGCAGTAATTGAGCTCAGGTATTATAGGACCCACAAGAAGAGTCACTTAAAAATTTGTTATAAAGGTTTACTATAACCATAAAATTCTCTGCATTTGTGTCCTTATGTAGGTTTAATCTACAACCAATAGGAAAAGTGTCAATTGTTTTAGAATTATACATAGTTTCAAATGCAGGCTATTTTCACTGAATATTCAGATTAAAGTATGCTTCAGGTTAAAACACATTTGCAAATATTAGGTATAATTAGGTAACTAATTTGGATGCTTTTAAACTCCTTTTCATTAATATACTTATTTATTTAACAGGACATATCATTTGCCTACATATTAAAAGGCACTGACTGCAATGACTGAAAATGGATGGATGATATTCCCCCCACCTTGATGCTTATATTGTTCATCAGCATGCCTATACCCTCCACTAAACTGTGAGCTCTTGAAAAACAGGGTGTCTCCATGGAATACTAGGCAGCTATAAAAAAGAATGAGTTCATTTCCTTTGTAGGGACATGGATGAAGCTGGAAATCATCATCCTCAGCTAACTAACACAGGAACAGAAAACCAAACACCACATGTTCTCACTCATAAGTGGGAGTTGAACAATGAGAACACATGGACACAGGGAGGGGAACATCACACACTGGGGTCTGTTGTGGGGGTGGGGGGAAAGGGGAGGGAGAGCATTAGGACAAATACCTAATGCATGCGGGGCTTAAAACCTAGATGAAGTGTTGATAGGTGCAGCAAACCACCATGGCACATGTATACCTATGTAACAAACCTGCACGTTCTGCACATGCATCCTGGAACTTAAAGTAAAATTTTTAAAAAAAGAAAAGTATTACCCAACATAATCAATTTGGAGAAGTAAAGAAAAAGTGAATTTGTAAATTTCTGTATATAATTCTGATTTCTCCCTGTATTTACAGAAAGCCCAGGAGAAAAGTTATTATAAATTCCATTATATTTTAAAAGTTAAAAAAAAAGAAAAACAGGGTGTCTCAATCTTTATATCTCTGATGCTCAATAAATAGGTTTTCAAAAGCAATAGAGCTTTGACATTAGAGTTCCAGCTTTGCTGTTTATTCGCTGTGTAACTTTGGGCGAATTACTTAATTCCTTTAAGTTTTAATTTTTATATCTGAATATTGAGGGTAATAATAAAATCTGAGAAGGTATTAAGTGAAATAACACATGTAATGTGTCTGGCCTTCAATATAATTGATGATTATGTTTACTGAATCATTTAATACTGAATTAATGCATCCACAAATCAAAAAACACAAGAATAATATGTGGCAATACATAATAAATGTCATAGGAGTAACAGAAGCAATGTTTGGAAACTTATTGACCTCCAAACTAAACTGTAGGTATTAGAGAGCCAGTATGGGACCTACCTGAGACTATTTCAAAAACGTAATTCACCTTTTTAGAAATATTAATTTGACACAATATATAAAATAGATGATGTCGTCCTATAGAAAGAAAGGCTGGTACTTTTTTAAACTGTCATGAAAGACAGGAAAAGACAGAGGATCCATTCCAGATTGAAAGACACTGAAGAGGCATGGCAGGCAAATAAAATAGAGTCAGTACTGTATTTCATTTGAGATACAATACTTCTATATCCATGAGTTCTGTATCTGCAGATTCAACCAACCACGGAGCGAAAATATTCTAAAAGATAAAAAGTAACAATACAAAAATAAAAATAATACATTTGAAAATGCAGTATAACAACTACTTACATAGCATTTACATTGTATTGGGTATTATAAGTATTCTAAAGATGATTTAAAGTATATGAAAGAATGTACATAGGTTATATGCAAATAATACAGCATTTTATATAAGAAGCTTGAGCATTCATGATTTTAGTATCTGCAGGGGTCCTGGAACCAGTCCCCTGTGGATACCAAGGAACAGAAGAACTTATCTTATATTGGATCCTAGATCAGAAACGAAAAGGGAACATTTTTGAGACAGTTGGCAAAATCTAAACAAAGTCTGTGGATTGCATGGTAGTGTTATATCAATGTTGATTTCCTGACTTGGGGGTTGAATGATGATTATATCACACTGGAATACTTGAGAGTGATGGGACATCATGTTTGCAACCTGCTCTCAGATGGTTCAGGAAAAGATTGATGATAATTGCTATACAAAAAGAGAGTGAGAGGGAGTACACAAACACAGTAAAATGTAAAATGTTATCAAACTAGAAAATCCTGATGAAGCAGATACTGATTTCTTTGTAGTGTTCTTGCAACTTTCTTGTAAATTTCAAATGATAGGCATACTTCATTTTATTGTGCTTCACAGATATCGTGTATAAATTGAAGATGTGTTGAGCAAGTCTATGGGCACTGTTTTTCCAACAGCATGTGCTAACTTTGTGTCTCTGCGTCACATTTTGGTAATTCAATATTTCAAACTTTCATTACTATTATATTTGCGATGGTAATCATGATAAGTGATCTTCGATGTAACTAATGTAATTATTTTGGGCTGCCACAAACTATGCCCATATAAGACGGTGAACTTAATTGATGAATGTATGTATTCTGACTGCTCCACCAACCTGCCATTTCCCATCTCTCTCCCTTTCCTCACGCCTCCCTATTCCCTGAGACGCAACAATATTGGTGAATTCATAACCCTGTGATGGCCTCTAAGTATTCAAGTGAATGCAAAGTCACATGTCTCTCACTTAAAATCAAAAGCTAGACATGATTAAGCTCTGTAAGGAAGGCATACAAAAAGCCAAGAAAGGAGGAAATCTAGGCCTCTTGCATCAGTTTGCCAAGTTCTGAATGCAAAAGAAAAATTATGGAAGGAAATTAAAAGTGCCACTCTAATGAACACACAAATGATAAGAAAGCAAAACAGCCTTACTCCTGATATGAAAAAAGTTTCAGTGGTCTGAATACGTCAAACCAGTCCCAGCATTCCCTTAAACCAAAGTCTAATACAGATTAAAGCCCTAACTCTCCTCAATGCAATGAAGGCTGAGAGGTGAGGAAGCTTCAGAAGAAAAGTTTGAAGCTAGCAGAACTTGGCTCATGTGGTTTAAGGAAAAAAAGCCATCTCCATACCATAAAAATGCAAGGTGTAGCCGTAACTGCTGATGTAGAATCTGCATCTTGTTATCCAGAAGATCTAGCCGAGATCACTGATGAAATTGGTCACACTAAACAATAGATTTTCAGTGGTGACAAAACAGCCTTCTATTGGAAGAAGATGCCATCTAGGACTTTCATAGATAAAGAGGAGAAATCAATGCCTGGCCTCAAAGTTTCAAAGAACTGGCTGACTCTCTTGTTAAGGGCTAATGCTGCTGGTAACTTTATGTTGAGGCCAGTGCCCATTCCCCACTCCAAAAATCCTAGGGCCCTTAAGAATTATGTTAATTCTACTCTGCCTGTGATCTACAAATGGAACAACAAAGCCTGGATGACAGCACATCTGTTTACAGCATGGTTTCCTAAATATTTGAAGCCTACCTTGAGACCTACTGACCAGAAAAAAAAAAAAAAGAGATCCCTTTCAAAATATTACTGCTCATTGACAATGCACCTGGTCACTTAAGAGCTCTAATAGAGCTGTACAAGGACATGAATGTTGTTTTCATGCCTCCTAACACAGCAGCCATTCTGTAGTCCATGCGTAGATCAAGGAATAATTTCAACATTCAAGTCTTATTATTTAAGAAATACATTTATAAGGCTATAGCTGCCATAGATAGTGACTCCTCTGATGGATCTAAGCAAAGTAAATTGGAAATCTTCTGGAAAGGATTCACCATTCTGAATGCCAATAAGAACAAGAGAGGTCAAAATATCAACATAATAGGAATTTGAAAGAAGTTGATCGCAACCCTCACGGATGACTGAGAAATTCAAGACTCAGTGGAGGAAATAACAGCAGATGGGGTGGAATTAGCAAGAGAACTAGAATTAGAAGTGGAGCCTGAAGATGTGACTGAATTGCTGCAATCTCATGATAACATTTGAACAGATAAGGAGTTGCTTCTTATAGATGAGAAAATAATAATAATAATAATGGTTACTTGAGATGGAAACTACTCCTGGTGAAGATGCTGTGGATATTGTTGAAATGACAACAGAGGGTTAAGAATATGATACAAATTTATTTGATAAAGCAGCAGCAAGGTGTGAAATGATTGACTCCAATTTTGAAAGAAGTTCTAATATGAAGTAAAATGCTATCAAACAGCATTGCATGCTACAGAAAAATCTTTTGTGGAAGGAAGAGTCAGTTGATGAGGAAAACTCCATTGCTATCTTATTTTAAGAAATTGCCACATCCCCCCAACCTTCAGCAACAGCTGCCCTGGTCAGTCAGCAGCCATCAACATTAAGGCTGCTCTCTACCAGCAAGACTCTTTAACAGCAAAAAGATTATGACTTGCAGAAGGCTCAGTGAATGCTAACTTTTTTTATCAACAGTTGTTGTTGTTGTTTTGTTTTGTTTTGAGACGGAGTCTCGTTCTGTCGCCCAGGCTGGAGTGCGGTGGCGCGATCTTGGAGTGCAGTGGGGCGACCTCGGAGTGCGGTGGGGCGATCTCTGCTCACTGCAACCTCCGCCTCCCAGGTTCAAGCGATTCTCCTGCCTCAGCCTCCGGAGTAGCTGGGACTACAGGCCCATGCCACCATGCCCGGCTAATTTTTTGTATTTTTAGTAGAGACGGGGTCAACGAAGTATTTTTTTAACTAAAATATGTACACTGGTTTTTTAGACGTAATGCCATTGCACACTAACTAGACCATAGTATAGTGTAAACATAACTTTGATATGCACTGGGACTAAAAAATTCATGTGACTCACTTTTTTGCCATGTTTTCCTTATTGTGGTGGTCTGGAACTGAACCTGAAGTATCTCTGAGGCATGCTTGCAATTTTTTTTTATTTCTAACAAGTGCATCAGTAGATTCAACCTGAGAGACATTTATACATCAGTTTCAGAACTTGTACTCAATGAAACCAGTGACTTCCTCGCCATTACAGAAAAATACGGACAACATTGCTCAAACAAGTGCTCTGCTGGATTCCTCATTGCCTCTCAGGGGTGGGCTTCTACCTCTGCCCACACATATGGGCTAGCCATCTGGATTCCATATGCATTTCTCAGGCTTCCTCTGGCCAACCCAGAAGTTATTACAATAGTGCAGCTTTCTCTAGGTGTTTAAATATGGTGGTGAAAATGGGTATAAAGAAGAAGGGATAAGGAGCTGAAGTTTTGCAAAGGAAGAATCAAAGAAACAAGTACCAAATTCATATAATAAAGATAAGGGAGAGAATTAAAGGAATGATCATGTCATGAACAAAAGGAAAGTCAGAAGAAGCTGCTAGATTGGTAGTAAGGAAGATGAATTTATTTTTAAATGAGTTGATTGTAAAGTGATTACAAGACATTCTGAATTAAATTTCCAGTAGGAACCATAAGGCTGAAACCCAACGATAAAATAGATTCTGACTTCTAAATAAAGAACTAATAATCACTCTCAAAATCTTTAAATTGCTAAATATTATATTCATCTCTCAAATTTAAGGCACCAATAAAGTTTTACCATTGTTAAATTTGAAATTTCAAATTGTCGAAAAGGAATAATATCTTTGTGTTGGGTCAAGGATTAACATATATTAACATATAGTGGCTTTTATTACTAAGGTAACCAACAGATATTATTCATAAACCAACAACCACTTTCAATAACAGATGGATGTATTTTTTTGTTAGAACTAAGAATATTCTGGTATAGCTCAGAAATTCCCACAACATTAGATTCAGATCATTGATAAATTTAGAACACAGAAAAAAATGCAGTTAAAAGCAGCTTAGCTAGAAAGCTAATTGCATATAGACAATCTTCTTTGCAAATGGCACAATTAATCTCCTTACATAACAGTAGACCATGATGTTCAATTAGCTGAAGTGCTTTCAGTTAGTTCACTAAATGATAAAAAATAAATAAATAAGCAATGATAGTCCATAATTGGAACCAAGTACTGAAACTGGCTAATCAACTTTGTTAAAAAAAAATGTAAAAGAATGAGGAAACTTCATAGTTACCCCATCCATATTCACGGAACAAATTCATCACGACCTGATTACTGTTTATAAAATTCTAACATAAGGATTTTTTTCAAAACATTTATTCTATTAGTCACAGACTAAACCAATATAGCATTCATTAGTCACAGATGCCACTAGTTATTAACAATTTCCTGAAGACATTTTTACCGTTAATATCTGTTACATTCATTGCTCATGAATTTTAAGTTAAAAGCAATGCAAATATTATAATCAGAGAAACAGCATTTCTACCTATTGAAATACTATATTTAAAATCACTTTGGTTTCAGAAATTTTTAAGTTGCATTATCTAGTCATATTATACCTGCAGATGACTGAAAAAAATCTAAATACTCTAAATTTGTCATCACATAAAATCACACTGGCAAATATTTCTAAATAATTCTATACATATTTTATGAGGGAAAACTTCCTCTAAGTATCAGTTGCTATAATTCCACTTCATAAGATCATTAGTCAATATCATCAAGAAAAATAAATATACTCAGAAATGTTCTTTGAATATTTATTTTTTGAATGCAAAGTTAACGTTTTGCTAATCCTACAATAATTAAAAGAACATAAAATCAATGCCATCAGTTTCTTTTGAGACTGATATGGTCTACATAGTATATATAAAGAAAATTGTATATGTTTCATGTTTATTGTTAATACTCAACAGTAGTTTAACAAGTCTTTGTTATGTATCTACTATATTAAGGGCACTGTGCTGGCCACATAAACTGCTAACTATTGTAATACCTTAATTCACTGGATGTTGTTTCTGATGTCTGGACCTTTCAACATCTGCCTGGAATATCTCTCATCTTTCAAAACCTGTCATGAGCATTAGCTCCTCCGCAGAGCTTTACTCCCCATTTTACAGTCCATTCACACAAAGGCAGACTTGGTCACCTGCTCTTCTCTGCTTAGGTGGCATGGCTCGCACACTGCCATTATGGAAGCTGTCTTGAGATTGTCTATAAACCTTCCATCTTTCCGTCCCAAAAGGTGAGTGTGCACAGGCAGATGCCATATTTTGGTCATCTCTGTATACCCCACAGCAGCTAGCTGAGCACCTGACACACACTAAGAAGCCAAATCTTCACTGCTCAATAGAATTATATGCTTTAATATACAGAGTATTTTAAATTTGAGTGCTTCAGAAAACACAATTTGTTTTATTCAATTGATTGGCAAATATTTGTTGAGAATTTAACTTACAGCAGGGAATTTTTGTCTGTCATCTTATTCCTTGGCTTGTGTAATCTAGCCTGTTATTCCAGCTTCCATTTTGTAGATGAGCACCTAAACCTTGTTCGCAGGTAACCAGACATTGCTAGTAACTTTTTTCTCTAAAGTCTTATAATTTTTTTTAAAAAAGCTCATAATTTACTCACCTGTTTTCCTGCCTTATTAAGTATATTCAGCGTAGTTAATTTTTCAGAACTTGGTCAGTGTTCAGGTTTGTTACCAGGTTATTATCTTCTCCTAAAAATACACAGCCCTGAACCTGAGATGGGGGAAAACTTCTGGGAGTTTCCCTTCAATTACTGTTTTAGGTTATCTACTGTAAACCAGCTATTCCCTTTATACTCGGTGGTTGCTCTTCTCTTATTGAAATAATATTCAGACTACTTGAACTTAATTCAGAAAGATCTTGGAAAATTGCCTAAATGTTTCTTTCTAGTAGACATAGGGGAAAATATAACCTTAGTTGGTTTTATAACCTTAATTTGTTTCCAATAATTTGCCAAAAACAAACAAGTCTTCAACCCTTGACCCCGTCCAGAAGCAGAGGAGACTGTGATTTGAGAATTACCAGAAGAAAGTCCTCCTCGTTCAAAATTGCCCCCAGTGGGAATGTCTGAAATTCCATCATTAAAGATTCCCTCAAAGAAAGATAGCATTTCCCAAACCTGACTCCTATTAAGTGAAAACTTTATTACAGATCCTATTTGAATAATTCATAAGAATAATACTTAAATATGTTCCAACCTGAAACTAGATATAATCTTCATTTGCTTATAATTTTTATAGAACCATAAAGCTAAAACTTGTTTGAAAATTTAACATAAAACTTAAAAATCAATAAGATTAAAACAATGCTGTCTGTAAGATGGCTAATGCTCTGCTGAAAATAAAATTACTAGTCACAACAAGAATATGGAACTGTTTGCTAATGATGATAATCTTTTTGTTTTAGCATAGCTTTATTACCATCTGATTTGTATTTTACGTGTTATATTCCTATGTGCCATCTGTATACCATCTACGGTATCTAAGACACCATTTGTTTTAAAACATACCATTATTTTATGCATGCTTCTCTCAGCCTATCCCAACTTCAGCCTGCAATGGCTACTAATAAAAAACAATGAGGCTACAACATTTGCATTCTTCCAGGGAGATTTTTTCCACTTCTCTTACACACTGCATCTACCACAGAGAATCTCTTCACTGTTAATCTAGAACTAAGAGATGGTCTATACCATCTTCTTCCTGTTATTTATTCAACAAACATTCATGGAGTACCTAGAATATGTCAAGCACTGAGCTGGGCACAGGAATCTGAAGGTGGCCAAAGCATAGTCTCTGCCTGCAGGAGCTTATGCTCTAATAGAGAAAATAGACCTGGACATGGCTGTAAAATGAGAAGTGACAAAGTAGAGATCTCTGTATGGCACAGATACAATTGCAACAAAAAGACAGGATTATAGGTATAGCTGTCCATGGTAGAAGAGAGGAACGGTAGGAGAAGGAAACACCAAGCTTAAGCTAGATAGACAAGAAGTGGAACAGCGTTGCAGGCAGGGGAACAGTACACATGAGCAAAGACATGGGTACAGGCAAGAAAAAGCAGAGAAGTTCAAGCTATTTTAAATTACTGATTATGGCAAGAGCCAAAAGAGAGGTCGGGGTTACAGATTAAACTAGAGTTAGGCAAAGGTCAATGATATAAGGCCGGGAATGTCCTGGTAAGGAGTTTATACATTTATGCTGTAGAGAAGGAGGAGTGGCTGAGGGGCTTCAGTTAGACAAACAGTCCGTTATATTGAAGAAAAATTGTTTTTATTCCCATTGTCATACACTACCTCAGCAATATGGCAACTTGGTACAAAAAAATTAAATTGTTATTGGTGAAATTCTAGTAAGCCATTTCACCCAGAATAAGCAACCCTCCTTCTTCCCTTATCTTCTTGCTGATTAGAAGAGCTCCTCTGTGGAAGACCACAAATCACAGAATTTAAAACCAGAAGAAAACAAACATTGTTTTTTCCCAACCTAGTTATTTCCAGGTTAAGGCAAGAGATTTACTTTAGTCCACAGAGCTACTAAAGTGAAAAAGAATGATCCAAAATTCATGTCCTTCATTCCAGAATTCTTTCTAGTTGTCCATTTTCCAAACTTTGAGACCTCTGATCTAGACAAAATAAAAGTAGTCATTTATAATTTTAATGCCCATGTTAATGCCACTCTATTGTCAAAAATCAGGTTGTTGGAGGTATTTTAAATCATTTTAAAGGTGCTTGAATTATTTAATAATATCTCCATCCCATTTATTCTGACCTGTGACAAATCTAAAGGGTTAAATTGTCAAAACAGACTAGCCAGAATCACAGATCTTACATAGCACCAAACTTTATTAATGATTCGTTGGCTACAAGCCGCCATCAGGAATAAACAAAACATTCATTTTGGGAAAAACCCCAAACTGTCAGACACAGCATCCAAACAAAACAGACCATTTTTCTCCTGCAGTTGGCATATTTTGGTTTTGCATTTACAAGTAATTTTTGAGCATTGTCTGCAAAAACATTTCTCACAAAAAGAAGGCAGTTTGGTTTGGGGACATCTTCGTTCCACATTCTCTTACAGAGCTTACATAGCACCTCTCTCTCCATTCTCCAGCCAGCCTGCTAAATTCCAGGCTTATTTACAATAAGCAATCTAGACAGACCAGAAATGTCCTGCTAAAAAAGTTTCATAAATAGGGACTCCCTGGTATCTTTCCACTGATAAATACTATGAGATTTATACGAAAGTCTGGTGAGGTCATTTTTTCCTCTGCAGGTCTTAGGAAGGGAAAAAATTAGTCACAGGCTGGCTGTTAACACCTTCCCTTCCTTTGGCTTAGCTTCTATGCTTATACCCAAAGTTCAAAATGTAATCAATTACAGGATTACAGGATTATCTGAAAAGTTCCTAAAATGGCCCTATACATATTTGATAATCTATTCAGAATTATTTCTGAAGCAATAATGGAACCAAAACACCCCCCACCATTTTTTAACAAAAATAAATAGCTTTGTGTTTCCAGGCCATATAAGTCAAATCATGTATTCAATTACGTTATTTATTAGGTAAGTTTATTTTTGATAAAATGGTTGAATCTAAAATTAAAACTTCTAATTTATTTTAAAAATCCATAAGGGAACTGCGATTTTGGTAATATGAAATCTAAATTAAAATGCTTTCTTCATAAATACTTAAAGGCTTTTTTCTGTATTAACTGTAATAAACGTATCTTAAAATACATAACTAGTATCTCAAGGAAATTTCCAGATTGCAAAAATACAGAGGGCAAGAAGTATTTGATGGGTTGACTTAGGCTGCCCTGGGTGTGGGTGTGTACCTTGTTGCATAAAGGCTTTGGTTTTAATTTGAAACTGCAGAAGATAAGTGCTCTCATTAAAAACAAAAACAAAAACAGAACCCCTTTAAAAAAAATCATGCGTCTTTGGTGCACTAAAAAATCTCATCCAACAGCATAGAACATCAACTTTGTCTGGGCTCCGGGCAAAGGGGAAAAAAAAGTTCTCTTTAACAAATCTTAGTCTTGTATCTTTGCCTCACACAGGTTTGGGGTCAAAAGTGACACACACACACACAGAGGCAGAGTAGAATAAGCAGATTTTTTTTTGTTTAGCCATGTGGAAATCAACCACCAGAAGAACAGAAAAAGAAAGCTTAAAAATAGTGGCCTAACATTGCAGGACCAGAGAAGGGGATTTTGAGGAGTGAATGAGTTGCTTCATATCATAAGCCCTCATGGATTTTTTTTAATCATTTCCATATTACTTTGCATAAAGTTAGACAGATAAAGATAAGTAGGTGGGTAATTAGAAGGAAAAAAAAAGAAAGAAAACAATGTGTTGTGTGATCACATTTAAACCATTCAAATCAACTATGAAGCTGTGTTTAATCCTCTACTTCTAAATTATTCACAAGATCATTTTGACTCCCTAAAGTTCATAAACAGAGTGCAAATCACCCAAGCAGAAGTATTTTGCTGCTTTTAAGCCAAAGCCCTGACTAGCTAAGGAGTTGCCTGTAGGAATTAACCAGAACAAAATCCTGATTAAACAGCTAATTGGCTTGTCTACTAAAGAAAAGGAAAACAAAGTACATTTCTCTACCTTAAGGCACAGTCATAAATACAGAGGGTTTTCAGAACCACCTCAGAGAAGATGTTTAAATCGCTGACAAAAGTCAACAAGGTGAAGCCTATAGGAGAGAACAATGAGAATGAACAAAGTTCTCGTCGGAATGAAGAAGGCTCTCACCCAAGTAATCAGTCTCAGCAAACCACAGCACAGGTATGTCCTCTACATTCCTATGCAAGCCTTGATTTTCATCATTTCTTATCTGGTAATAGCATTTAATCACTGCTACGATATATGATTGTTTAGTAGTTTTACCTGGCACCATCTGGTACATGTACTGTGTCGGGCTTATCTTCATTAATTTATATATTCTGTATGTATTTGTTCATAAAAAGAATAATAAATGTTTAGGAGACTATACTAGGATTTGGAAAAGCCAAGTAAGACTTCTCATTGCTGATTTTCACTTCTACCATCATCCAAAATGAAACCATTTCTCAAATATTAAATTGGTTACTTGATTGAGTTTCAACAAAGAACATCAAGTATCCTGGTCTTCATAAACCACATGTTAACAATAAATCTCTAGAGCAATAGGAAACCTATTGGCTCTCAATTGAGAGCGATTTTACCACTCAAGGGACATTTGGCAAATCTGGGGACACTTTCAGTTGTCATAGCTCCGGGGTGGGGATGTTACTGGCATCCAGTGGGTAAAGTCTGCAGATGCTGCTCAACATCCTATCATGTACAGGACAGCCCTCCACAACGTAGAATTATACACTACAAAATTTTAATACTGCCAAGGTGGAGGAACTTTAAACAAGCCTTTTCACAAGTTCTAAATATATTTTTCTGCAAAATGTATATGATAATTTCTGCTTTGTTATGAGAACTAGAGACAGTAATATATAAAGCACATGGTAGGTACTTTACAAGTGGCTATTATTATTATTAATAAGAATTTGTGTTTCTGTGACAGGTTTAAGTCCTAAGTGATCATTACAAGAGCAATATTTACTTAGAACTATCCACAGAATAATTTTCGTGAATTACTCACTAGAATTATCTAAAAGAGCTACAGAAGATTTTTAGAGCAGTAGTTATTTTGCCATCTGAAACAGCTGGATGAGAGATGACAAGTACAAGCAGGAGTGCTCCTCAGGGACTAGGGGAGCATAGTCCAATGGTTCGGGTTTAAATGAGCCTAGAGGATAGACAACACTGAGACTATTTAACATGGGCCGTGGAAAATCTGCCTTCCTTTTCTGATTAATGTTGACTGCTTTGCAGTAGAGAGGAGATGAGGAGGACTGTGTTAGTATTGCTTCGAGAGAGTGCCCTTGACTTCTTTCTAATTCTTATGTCAAAATAAATAATCCCACACTAAGTTATCTATATGTTTAAGAACTCATACAATGTCACAAATATTGAGCTGGTACTTTCCTTCAGCTAGTCTTGCTGTGTTTTGCTCTGGGAAAGTCACTACATCCATCTTTAACCCTTGCCTACTGTGATTATTTTCCAAGGGAGCACATAAAAACCGTTAATAGCTAATATATTATTCTCTTGGAGAACATTGTAACTAACAGCAATTACTATTTGCCAAGCAAGGTGCTAAGCCCTTTTCTAGGGCTACTGTATTTAATCCTCACAACAGTCACAGGTCCTATTACAATTTGCTCCTTACACATAGCTAGCAAATGGCAGAGCCTGGATTGGAACCAAGTCCTATCTGAATTCAGCACCTGAGAGCTAAATCACTAGGCTATACTGCTCAAAACAGGAGGGATATTAGTTGAGTCAACCCTTTAAGATACTTTGCCTGCAGGATAAACGGAAATTAGAGAGAAGGCGAAAAAAGAAGAGAAACTTCTTAAAGAGTTATCTTTCCTTTCAAAACAGGAATATTGGAGAAGTACTTAGATTAGGCACAGGTAGAGCACCCCTTAGGTATATCCCATGCCATTCCAACAGCCATAATTTGTGGATATTAATCGCGAAGTCTACTGGCATCACATTAGATTTTTTTTTTTTGTTTTTTTTGAGACAGAGTCTCATTCTGTCGCCCAGGCTGGAGTGCAGTGGTGCAATCTTGACTCGCTGCAACCTCTGTGTCCTGGGTTCAAACGATTCTCCTGCCTCAGCCTCCCGAGTAGCTGGGATTACAGGCACATGCCACCACACCCAGCTCATTTTTTTGTATTTTTAGTAGAGACGGGGTTTCACCATGTTGGCCAGGCTGGTCTCAAACTCTCGGCCTCAGGTGTTCCGCCCACCTTGTCCTTGCAAAGTGTTGGGATTACACGCATGAGCCACTGTGCTCAGCCACATTATATCTTAAAAGTCATATTTGGGCAATTATTTGCATCTGTTCTTTCCAAGAACATGTGGGTATGGGAAAAAATAGTTTATCTCCAATTTCAAATATGCTAAATGTTAAAAATGACAGAAAGTTAAAATCCTGTTTTCTTTCACGGAATTCGACCTTTCAAAATGGCATTTAAACAATAAGCCTCTGAACTATGAATAAATGATTAGAGTCTTATAAGCAAATATCTAGGAATAAATATATCAATGTATGTTGTGTTTTTTAAAGAGTCATTTAAAGAGCTCATTTACACACCAAAATGTCATGGGTAATTCTCACCTATCAATAAACAATAATTTAAGAACTGCAAATCAGTCTAATCCAAACTCTCTCTTACCCCAGAAGAAGACACTCTTCACATAAATCTACATTTGTATACACATAAAGACTATGATATAAATATTTATGAATAACATCATAACGATGCAAAAGGACTTGATTGAAGTCAGAAGGCTTTTTCACTGTTTATAAATAGTCCTGGACTTATACCTTTCTAGCTACGTTCATATAAACTAGCCACTCAATCAATTTCATATTCAATAATATAATAATATTAATAATAATAGCTGCCTTGCCTAATGTATATGGTTATTGTGAGGCTTAAGTGAAAATCAGCCAATTAATTTATTTTTTAGTTTAAAATGCTTCTATGAAACACAAGGCTTATAAATAATGTCAAAACTCTATAGCAGGCACACAAGACTCTCAGTGTCCTTCTGGTCCCTGCCTACTCTCAAGCCTCATCTACTCACCCTTTGTCCCATCCAACCACTCCTACTGTAGTCTCTCCCCACCTATGTACAGTCACGCCTTTGGCTTTTGCTAAACCTGCATCATCTGCCTGGAATATTTTCTAAGTCCTCTCCATGTGGAAAACAAAAATCTTATCTTTATAAAGTCAAGAGTCACTTTCTTTGGAATAGTTTCCTTTCTTTCCCTTCTACTCCAGTAGAATTGACCACTTCCTGTTTATGCCCCATCCTAATCCTCTACAGACATTGATTCGTCACCTACATTTTCTTGCACTTAACATTTTTGTGTGTTTGTTTCCCCTTCTAGACTGTGCATAGCTTGGGAGTCAATCTTTATGTTCTAACCTCATATCTTGTTTCACTCTGCCCCTGTAGGAACATCCTGAGGCACACACTGGCCATGTCTAGTGGGACATAACGGCATTTCAAAGGAAAGCTTAGATGATCAGACAAATGATGAGGCAGAAGCACATGAAATCATGGAGAGAAGAAAGGGAGCTTTGTGTGAATGGGACCAAACTGCCTTCTCTCCACTATTTTAAGTTCTACCACTAAAGACCTAGACTAATGCTAGGCCTATGGCAAGTAAAGACCACAATTGAAGGAATGTGAACAAGAGAAACACAGAATCCACACTGAAAAAACCAGAGGGCAGCTGTGGAGGCTGAGGTTGATTATTCAATAGTAGGCCAAGAATGCCCATTTTAAATGCAAGAATCATTTTTAGTACATCATAAACAGTCAATTTTAATGATCTGATTGACAATTAAGTGGAAAATGGTGTTATGTTTTACATTCAACTTCATTTTTATGTAAATTCATCACATACAATCTCTATGTTTTTTCTCAAAGGAAGAAAACAAAGGTGAAGAGAAATCTCTCAAAACCAAGTCAACTCCAGTCACGTCTGAAGAGCCACACACCAACATACAAGGTCAGAATGCAGTCTGAAAAAAAAAAAAAAAAAACTAAAAAGTGAAATACATATGTATCTGAAATGTGCTGTCTGATGAAATATTTGTCCTTGACTAGGTGAATTATCTAGGGTCATACTGAGGTTATTTGAAGATCTGAATATTTCAAAAACTTTATATCCTCATTCAGTAACTCATTTGTCCATGCAATAGATGCATTTTCATCACCTGACATGTGCCAGGCACTGTTCCATGGGCTGGAGGTGCAGTAATGAGCAACATGGGCAGAGTCTGAGGTTACATAGAGCTTGTAGTCTAAAGAAACACATCATAGATAAGTAAGCATATTGTGAACGATGCAATTTCAGACATTGATAAGCAATATGAAGACATTAACATGAATGTGGATTGAACACATTTAAAGGTTTAGCACTCACACCTCTGCTCCCTCCTGCTAAACTCTCTCCATTATAAGGCTCATTTACTCCTAAGGCTACCACACTCGATTCTACAGGGATGATTCTAAATCCGTATCAGGTCAATTTCTTTTTTAAGACTCAATATTTTTCAACTCATCACTAGATGTACACGACGGTATATTCTACTGCATTACAAAGAAAGCATGTCTAAAACTAAATTCCTTATCCTCTCCTACAAATACGCTCCCTCTCCTGATTTACTTCTACCCCTGGTACTATCATTCTTTCAGCCTCCCAAGCTCAAAACCTTACTCAGGTTTTATTCCTTTAACCAGGATGTCCTGTAAAGTAAATTAGTCACCAAATCTCCTTTCATAAGGACCCTGAAACCCACTTCCCTTTTTTTTTTTTTTTTGAGACGGAGTCTCGCTCTGTCGCCCAGGCTGGAGTGCAGTGACGTAATCTCGGCTCACTGCAAGCTCCACCTCCCGGGTTCAGGCCATTCTCCTGCCTCTCAGGCTCCCAGGTAGCTGGGACTACAGGTGCACACCACCAAGCCTGGCTAATTTTTTGTATTTTTAGTAGAGACGGGGTTTCACTGTGTTAGCCAGGATGGTCTCGATCTCCTGACCTCGTGATCCTCCCGCCTTGGCCTCCCAAAGTGCTGGGATTACAGGCGTGAGCCACCGCGCCCGGCCCACTTCCTTTCTTTCCGATCTCAGCAATACCATCCTGGCTCGGGCCCTTATTAGTAGCTTATGTCTGCACTACCCCCAGGCCAAGTGGTTGCTTTTGTTTAGAACTCTATGTCACCCATCTCTCCCCTTGTTACCCAGCCCAAACACTGTTAGCAGATTATTTTCCATTAACCACCACTTTGATCTCAACCTTTGCTCAAGAAGCTTAAGTGCTTGCATATTGCCTGCAGGACAAAATCTAATTTCCTCCACCTGACTTTGTAGAACTTAATGTGATCTATTCCCAGACCCCCTTTCTAGACCTTCTCTCCTACTTCTCCCCAGTAGGAACACTACCCCCTAACCAAATAAATACAAAAATGAAAGGGAAATCACTAGAACAGAATATGCTTTGTTAAATAATAAAAATAAAATTATTGCCATAAAACTAGCACAAATGTTTTGCTTTTCATCTGTTAGACAAAGTCCGTGTATGATAATTGTTAATGACTTCCTATTTGCACTAAAACAAATATTTGAACTGAGGCACAATTGAGCTTTTACTAGCCCAAATGTCTCATCTTCAAGGAACAAAAATAAGAAATGCACAAAAATTACAAGAAGATTATAAATTTAAAAACAAATCACAAGAAATGTTTCAAATACACAAATTGCTGTCAAGGAATATCCCTGCAGTCGAAGTACTGAGGCCACTATCCCAAGCAAACTAACTCAGGAACAGAAAACCAAATACCGCATGTTCTCACTTGTGGGAGCTAAACATTAAGTACACATATAAAGATGGGAACAACAGACACCAGGATCTACTTGAGGGTGGAGGATGGGAGAAGGGTGAGGCTAGAAAAACTACCTATAGGTATGCTTATTCCCTTGATGATGAAATAATCTGTATACCAAACCCCCGTGACACAAAATTTACCCATATAATAAACCTGCACATGTACTCCTGAACCTAAAAGGTTTTTTACGTTTTTAATTTTTAAATAATTCCAAATTCCAGTACCATCTTACTTTAATTTGGAAATGCTACATTAAACCTGTTGTGTAATAAAGAAAAATTTAAAAAAAGGACCGCTCTGAACAAATGGCCCCACTCTCATACTTACTTGTTTCTATTTAGGAGAAAAGGAAAGAACCTATATGAAGAAAATAATTGAATTTTACAGACATATGTAGAATAAACTTAAATAACTGGAGGGAAATATGTGTCCACTTGGGAGGATAATATTATAAAGATGTTGATTTTTTTCCTGAATTAATTTATATTTATACTTTTTACAATCTACTCTCTACCTACTTACAAGAATAAAATTTGTTTAAAAAGGGGAAGAAAATTCACTTTAGTTTTCTTGACTTTATTTACTTATTTTGAAAAACACCTCTGTTTTTTCACTATGCAGATTAGAATGTAGAGGATACTTGTTCTTACACAGACCAGGTGTTTTTGCCACTATCTTTCATCTGTACTTTTATCTCTGCCACAAAGATGGAAAACAGTATCTTCCAAATAGAAAATCAGCATTGACTTATCCGAGGAGAAAGGGGGAAAAAAAAGCAAGTGTTCTACAATATATTTTTCAACGTGAATGCAATATAATACTTCCTAACTCATGACTAAAGCTAGACTGTTCAACCGCTAGATTATGTGATTTTAAATATTTAGGATAACGTGTCACTGAAAGAGGAAAACACTTAATAATCCTAAAACTCTATCTGATCCAAACTCACATATATAAAACTTCCATAAATAGTAAGAATCATAAACCAAGAGGACATTGTAAAAAATGTGGTCTTGCCTTTTTTTTTTATCAGTAATTGAAGACCATTATTCCATCTTCAAATTTGTTTAAAAGGAGAAGACCCTTTTGTAGACTATACAACAATCTTGAATGCATACACCAAAATGTGATTAACAAATGGAAGTACCGAGGAAGAGAGAAACATTCTGATAATTCAAACTACAATTCTTTTTTTCTGAGTTACTTTGTAATAGTAATGATTTAAATCTACAGTTCTTTGCACAGAAAAATACAACCTTAATTAGCATAAAACCAAGGATTACACCTTTGAAAAGACAAGTTTATTCTTATCTTTGTCATACTTTTTTCAAAGTGTATTTGTAAGCTTAAATTTTTCATAGCTGGTAATAAAAACTCTTTTGTGGAAGTTTCATTTAACAGAGGAGCTATTTGAGTAGAAGGAAAAAGTAGTTTCATTTAAATCTGCAGACTTGGCATGTCTCCAAAGACTTTAATAGGAATAACAGTTATATTTAAGATATTTTGTCTTGAAAAAGCAAAATTATTAGTGTTTAAAGATAGCCTCTGATATGTGCTTGGTATTTTTGTGTTCACTTCAAAACATGCAGGTGCAATGTCATAAAATCTGCAGATGTTGATTTCTGATTATAGAACTCTTATCTTCTGCAGAACATGGTTTCATTTATATCTGCCATGGAAATGAAGAATGCAACATATTTTGGATTCAAATAAAGATAACTTGCTAAGGTCCTCTTTTGATTATAATCATCTTCCTTAGGCATCTATTTCATTTATATTATGTTAAATGCTTCTTTAAATAAATGTCTTGGTACCAGTAGAGGATATGTAAGTAATTTACCTAGTGGTTTACGATACTTTTAAGTGACCCTATTTGTGTAGAAATGGGTCAAAGTTGAATTCCCATTGCTAGTATGGTGTGGTAAGCCAATTAATGGCTATCCAAAGCTGTCCACACCATAATCTCTAAAATCTATTAATTTGTTAGCTTACATTGAAGAAAATTGCTAATGTTACTAAGGATCTTGCAATAGGAAGATTATCCCAGATTATTCAGGTAACCCCAATGTAATCAAGGGGTCCTTATAAGAGTTGAAGCAGGAGAGTCAAAGGCAAGAGCTGGGACAATGAAAGCAGAGTTGGATTGATGCTCTCTGGAGGTGGAGGAAGGGACCAGGACCCAAGGAGTGCTGTGACCTCTAGAAGCTGGAAAAGAAAGAAAGGATTCTCTCCTGGAGCTTCCAGGAGGAACACAGCCCGTCAGACACGTTTTAGACTTCTGACTTTCAGAACTGTAAGACAACTGACTGTGTTGCTTTAAGCCATTAAGTTTATGGTGATAGATTACAGCAGCAATGGAAAACTATAATACATACAGCTTTAAGAGAATTCCAACTTGAAATACAAAATACAACCATTTTTCTCCTGGCTAACACGGTGAAACCCCGTCTCTACTAAAAATACAAAAAATTAGCCAGGCATGGTGGTGGATGCCTGTAGTCCCAGCTACTCGGGAGGCTGAGGCAGGAGAATGGCGTGAACCCTGGAAGCGGAGCTTGCAGGGAGCCGAGATTGCGCCACTGCACTCCAGCCTGGGCAACACAGCAAGACTCTGTCTCAAAAAAAAAAAAAAAAGGCAACCATTTTAAAAATGAAATTGAGTTTTCCTACAATCACGTTGAATTCATAGTAAAGGCAGTATACCATACAAAAAAAAAAAAAAAAAAAAAAAAAAAACCACCGGCATTTGAGAATTTGACATGCCCGAATTCAAATCACAACTCTGCTACTTTCTAACTCTTTAGTTGAGGCATTTAACATCTTTGAGTGTCATTTTGCTCATGTATAAAATAAGGACAACACTGTTATCAGTGTTGGGTTGTGAGTGAGAATTAAATTAGTTAATATATGTAAAGCATTTAGCATTGAGGTTGGTAAATCCCAACCCTGATACAAGCCAGATAGCATAAATGAGGAGCATTCATGCCCTGTCTGAAGAGGTCAGAGGCTACTCAGCTCTGCTAGTCACTGTCACATGGGGATGAAGGTCAAGTTCTGCCAGGTGTTACACCTTGTCAAGACAAACTACAAACACAAATGTTAATTTGAAAGATCTCAATTTTTAAATGTTGACTTTTTTAATGTTTAAATATTCCCTTTCTTAAATCACTGGGAACACATAACTGAATTCTTACCAAATTTAGTCCACAAGACCATTCTGTGACCTCTAACCAACCACGTGGTAGACATGTAATGTTGTCTGCATTTGTAAACAGTGAAATCCCTAGACAAAATTCTGAATCTGGCAATGCGTTTAGTGATCCTGTTACTTTTCCATTCCTCTTTACTCATAATCTCCATCCCAGTCTTTGTTTTGTAAACAGACTACAAGTAGGGTGGCCTCCCTGGAACTGCTTGCCAAATAGCTTTCCACAGCCAAGACCCCTAGGTTCCAAGTCTAGCACAATTCCAGATCTACAGAGGTGCCCCCAGCCTTGCCCAGGTCCCTATCATCTCTCCAAACTGACATAGCCTGCATTTCAGCCAACTCTCACTTTGGGCGTAATCTAAAGCTAAAAACTGCTCTGGAGCTAAAACTACTCTAAAAATAATAATAAAGCTGGCCAGGCACGGTGGTTCATGCCTGTAATCCCAGTGCTTTGGGAGCCCAAGACAGGAGGATTTCCTGAGACCAGCCTGGGCAACATAGCGAGACCTGACCTCTATCCCCCCAAATTTTTTTAATTAGCTGAGCATAGTAGCACCCGCCTGTAGTTCCAGCTACTCAGGAGAATGAGGTGGGAAGATTACTTGAGCCCAGGAGTTTGTGGTTACAGTGAGCTATGGTCATGCCACTGCACTCCAGCCTGCATGACTGAAAGAAACCCTGTCTCTTAAACCATAAATAAATTAAAATATAAAATAAAGTCCAGTTTTTCAGAAAAGGTAGTGGATGTTTAAATAGGAAACCACTCTTCAGTCCTTGGCAGTAACAATTAGCATATACAATTTAATGTGTCCTATGTGGAAAAGAAAAATAACTAGGCAATCTACTGAAATTTAGTTTACAAAAAGCAGTAAAGACTTTACCGTGTACGACCAACCAGTTTGATTGACATGCATAGGAAGTACTACTATGGCTAATTTTAGTTCTGTAGTCCACTCCCTGTAACTTTCAGTCCTATTCACCAGCCAAAGGATAAGGTGGGAAGAGAGACCCTCCTACAAAATGTATATAACTTTTTATCAAAACTACTCAAGCAGATTTCTCAAAGAACTTAAAACAGAACTACCATTCTGCACCAGCAATCCCATTACTGGGTATATATCCAAAAGAAAATAAATTGTTCTACCCAAAAGACACATGCATTCTTGTATGTTCATCACTGTGATATTCACAATAGCAAAGACATGAAATCAACCTGAGTGCCCATCAACAGTGGATTGGATAAAGAAAAGGTGGCACATATATGCCATGGAATACCACACACCCATAAAAAAGAATGAAATCATGTCCTTTGCAGCAACATGGATGAAGATGGAGGCCATTATCTTAAACAAATTGACCCAAAAATAGAAAGCCAAATACCACATGTTCTCACTTATAAGTGTAAGCTAAACACTGGGTACTCATGGACATAAAGATGGGAACAATAGATTCTGCAGGCTACTAGAGGGAGGAAGGTGGGGGGAAGAGTTGAAAAACTAACTATTTCACCTTAGAGGAGATATAAAAAATAAAATAATAACAAAAAAAAAGAAAAGTTAAATGTTGGGTACTCTGCTCACTGTGTGACAGGATCATTCACATCCCAAACCTCAGCATCATGCAGTATACCCATGTAACAAACACACACATGCATCCCCTGAATCTAAAATAAAAACTGAAATTTTAAAAAAGACTCAAGCATATTTATTTCCTTCATCCAAATAGAAATAGTCTTATGTAGCCAACAATCAGAAGTATTCTTTTAAAATGATACCTGATAGGATGATAAACAAAAGAATTGAGAAATGAATAAAGTTGGTATGACATTTCTGAAAATTTAGTCTAGAAAAAAGATAAATATTACATGCTTTCTAGTTTGAGATGATGAAGAAAATTCCTAATTGTGCTGGTTTGGCAAGAGACAGAGACATAATCAGGACACCTTCAGTGGCAGGGGCTCGTTGTAAGAAAACTTATGGATAACTGGAGCTGAAAAGCCATTCAGGGGAGGCTTTCAGACTGAGACAGCCTAGGAGCTAATTACTTTTTCTCCTTTTCCCTCAGTGAATATGGCTTCATTTCTCATGAGCGCTGTGTTTTCTCTGCATATCTACTCTGGACTGCTCTCATTTCCATTTACTCATTTTTCAGTCCAAATTCCAAAGGGAGTAGTCTGACTGACTTAGATAACAACCGTTTTCCCCATTGAGCAGAGCCCTTCAGACCACCATTGAGGTTGCCAGCCAGCTGTGGACAGGCCACCCTCTTGAGATTAGGTGCCCAGCATGTGTGTGATGGGTAACCATTCCTGCATGTAATACAGCAGAAAGCTCCCTCGCTTAAAAGAGCGAAGTTTGGCATGGAAAGCATACCCTGTTTTAAATATTGAATAGAGAACAGATTCTGACCGATAAAATTACTGTCATTACGTGTTTCATAAGCTAAAAATTTAAGAGACCCTAACCAATGTGGATAGGATGGATTCTTTTCCTTTAAAAGGCCTTTTATGTTGTAGTTTGCATGATTTAAATATATTTACATAATTCAATTAAACTCTGTGCTTTTAGGCTTCTTTCTGCCAAAGAATATAGCTGACTTATGGAAAATTGCATTACGATTTTCTGGTTCCTGGGCTCTGTTAAGTAAATGGAAGTTTTTGTATCATGCCCCACATACGTCAGTGCTATGAAGACCTGAAAGAGTTAATATACATTTTCTTTTTTTAAGCAATTTATTCCAGTCTGGCTCATGGAACACTTTGTGTTTATATTGCATTTTTCTCAAATGGAGTCTTTATCTAATCCTCACAGAAATCCCCAGGACAAAAGTATTTTTCATTTTATGGATGAGGAAACTGTTACAGAAAAGAGACTTATCCAGAGTCACCTAGAGAATTAGTTATGTAGGGATTACAGGTCTCTGTTCAGTACCCAGCACTGGTAACTCATCACACTCCTTAATACCTATATATAAAATGTGTTTTCTAGATGAATTAATCTCAGTTTTAAAAAAGTCCCTGAAACCTAGCATGACATTGAGAGAGGACTGGATTCCTCCATCCTGACACAGTAACAAAACTAACTTAGATGGATCCACGTTCTTTTTCTTTTGGCGATTTGCACATTTCTTTACTTGTGATGATGTATCCTAAAGTCAAAAATCTTCCTAAATACAAAGATCCCTTCAGGACATTATAGGACTTTAAGGCTGTCTAGAGGACACCTTAGTTTTGACCCCATGCAAAGATCCTGTCCTCCCTCAGCACAGGCTCCCTTAGCACAGGCTTCTTAGATTGGCTGGAGGCTCCTGAGTACCACCAGCCAACAGAGCCTTCACTACCTCACAAAGCAGTGCATTTTGTGGTTAGACAAGTTGCTAGAATGTTTGAGGGTTTTGCGTGTTTGTTTTGTTAATTCATTGGTAAGTCTTTCTTCTGCCTTCTAGACTACATGAAATAAATCTATTTTCTTTTCTATGTAATAGCATTTCTATGAATTTGAAATAACTATTAGGTCACTAGTTAATCTTAAATACTTTACTAAAAGAGCCTAAATTCCTCACACCATTTCTCATATGAGATGGTTTCCAGAACTCTCATCCCTTCTGAGTCCTTCTCTGGATTTCTTACAGATCACATGTTTTTAATATAAAGTATGTCATTTTTCTGTTCTTCTGAATGCCATTTTAAAACCCTCTTTCAGAATCCATTTTATGTGCACTGCTGTAATGTTGTCAACTTCCTCCATGTTGTTTGACAATCTACAAAGATACAATAAAATTTCAAGTGTGATTAAAGTATTATAGTTAAAATTATTCTAAGTACACTAGATAATCCAGCAACTCTGAAATTAGCCACAAGCTGAGTCAAAAATACAACCTCAGGTGCCAGAAAATAATCATTAATCATATACTTCTTAAAACTGTTAGTCCTTAACTCCAAATGTTCATTTAGATGGAAAATAATAGTATTGTTTATGCATCTAATTGAAGTACCCAGACTTAGTCTTTATTAATGCATCTAACATCCAGTTACTCAGGTACTGGTGGCTCCTAATAAAAGGAGATTTATTTTTGAGACAGAACCCACATGTCTTTGATGTCCTAAGACCTAGAAATTTGACCAAAGTAGTACCATCCCCCACACCAAAGATTCTAACCAGTGAAGGCATTGTCAAGTCTTGTGCTTTTCATATCCATCTAAAACAAGCCAACTGAGTGTCTTTTTAATTTACAACCTTATTCCCATATTAGGTTCTTTCTTTGAATCCCTCCTGTCCAGCATTTATGTAATGTCACTGATAAAATGTGGAAGGTTAATGGATTTCCACATCACTTATTTCATCACCTGAAGAGAGAAGCAGATGTTTCACACCTGCTCGTGTCTCCATGTTGTGCTGCTACAAGGGGCCAAGGAGATTGGAAGTATATTACACAGGCTCAGTGTGAGACGCTGCCAGGCTCAGGATGGAATCAGCCTGGTGTGTGGAGAGCAAACTCTACTTATTTTTTGCACATTCAGTAAAGGCAACCACGTCAGAATACTTTGATTCCAGATTTCACTATCTGCCACAGGTACACATTCCAGGGAAGAATTTGACCAAGTGTACTGATGAGCTCTGGCAATTGCTATACAATGTGCAAAGAGCACCATTGGCAGAAAGACTTACACTATTCATTTGGGCAGCTATGAAATCTGGAATCCTGCTGTCCATGTGTGAAGCTGGGAAGAATCACAATGTGCCGTTGACAACATTTCACCCAGATGCCAGAGCAAGATTTGCCTTGTATTTTAGATTTCTCTTTCATGATGAGGATGATGCAAACACTCTGACCATCTGTTTCCACAAACAAATAACATGTTGCATGGATAAAAAGACACCCACACTGAACTATAGTTGACAGGCATTCTTTTGTTTTGAGTCCTCATGGGTTTTTTAAGTTGTTGTTCTGCTTTGAAGCCAAGAATAGGAAATAACTGGTTTCTAATCTTCATCAATAAGCTATTAATGAGGATTTATTTTGTAATTAAATGTTTATCCACAAATCAAATTAGGCTGAAATTAATTTATAAATATCCCAGGCTTGTCAAAATAGAGGCAGGATCAATTTAGAAAGGCTTGGTAATAGCTAGAGAAGATCTGGTAAGTTGCTAAGATCTACCTAGAATTAATTTTATCCAAATGTTATGGTGATAAACAAAAATTCTTATTAGGAATGGACAAAAAGAACTATTGCAGAACAGTTGGTCATTTAATTGGTACTAGCAGAAAAGTTAATACTGAAAATGCAATACATATGCTGTAGCTTGAATGAGAGATGGAGGAGGTATATGATGCAGCTTATATCCATGTGGCTTTATAAGAAATAGCCCACCAGGCACAGTGGCTCACACCAATAATCCCAGCACTTTGACAGGCGCATTGCTTGAGCCCAGGAGTTTGAAACCAGCCTGCACAACATGGCAAAACCCCATCTCGACAAAAAATACAAAAATTAACTGGGTGTGGTGGCTCATGCCTGTAGTTCCAGCGATCCGTGAGGCTGAGGTGGGAGAATCACTTGAGCCCAGGAGGTCAAGGCTGCAATGAGCTGTGATCGTACCACCGCACTCCAGCCTGGGTGACAGAGTGAGACCATGTCTCAAAACAAAAACCCATAGCCAATAAAAGCCTTTAAGAAATGTTTTACAGTACAGATTCTATTTGTTTTACATTCAGGATTTTTTTCTGATTTTTACTCATATTTCATATTCTTTATCAGTCCTAATTTTCTTTTAGGGTAAGTACTCCTAGAAACATATGTGAACACAATGATCCATAACATGTTTCTTGGTCCGGACTCCTTTGAGAAGCCCATGATAACTCCAGATCCCCTCCATGTAATAAAAGGTATATACAACATACGGCTTCAAGGATTTCAAATGAAAAATGCACTAGACATCCATGGCCAGCAATTAAGAATTTTGCTTCTAAATATCATACAGTAATTGTCCAAGTGTTTGTGGATACAAAAAAGGATTAGGCTGCCACTTTCACAGACAGCAATACAAAATGGAAATTTGTCAGAGATCTGATCTATATGATTTTTGTTTTGATTGGGTAAAGAGAAATGGAAAAATATGACTTGACCCAAACACATAAGGAAAACAGATCCTTCTCTCTTTTTTTATCAAAAGCTTGTTAGTACAAAATGACATATTGAAAGTGCAATTTTTTTTACTCTGAAATCTGTTGGATACTGATAAACTCATTAGTGTACCACATGTGCCTGTACAGAAGGGTCCCTATCCTACAACTTTCAATATTTCACCTAAACATAATCTTTATACGCAGGCTTCAAGGATGTGATTATATTGAGACCTTTGTATCCCAAGGAAATTGGAGAATTGTTTTTTCTTTCCATTTAAACATAACAAAAACATAGCTAGTACTGTGTTTTCTCTCTTCTAGCCAAAATACTATAATTCCAAAATAAAAGTAGATAGGAGATGCGTAATGAATAAAAGCGTCTTGGGAAATCCGAGAATTTAGGCTTTCTTAGTCTTAAACTTTTAAAAATTTTAAGGAGTGACTCAATTTTTTGATTTCCTTTATTCCTGAAACTTGTTCCTGAAAAGTTTAGTACCTTGAAAGATTTTTAGATGGATCTTAGAAATGTTCATATTAAAGGACTGGTATGGTGATCATCCCCTGATTTATCACTTTTGTAAATCCAAATTTTCAATACTGGGTTTGCTTATATCTTCAAACTATATGTATTACAAGAAAATAAAATGATGATTTGGGCCTCCATTTTAATATCTTAAGCACAAGACATCCAATTAAAAATGTTAGAAGCTGTGGAAAATGAATAACTATTAAATTGTATTCGTTCTTATTTTTCTTTTCCGCTTCTACATTTTCTTTTAATATTAAGTAATTTGCTTTCATTAAAATCTTCTCTATAATCCAAATATTTACCAGTAAGTTGTTTATTCTCTGGGTAAATTACAATTTAAACTATATTAATTAGAAATTGTATCTGTAGGCTTGACGGGAAGAAATTAATTTCTGTATTGAAAATAAAGCTAGTACATATTAGTTTGTATCATTTCGTCAGAAAATATTTCACAACTTAAAGATGGTCAAGCTAAAAACAAAAATTTGATTTCATAAAAATGTAGAATGCAAGTGCTAAATAATGTCAATCACATTTTTTCCTATTTTACTTTTCTGAATTTTATGATGTATCAATTTCAGCCCAAAATTATGAATACTTTAGCAAAACTGGAAATGCCTTCTGAATAATAAATTCTTATTCTCAGCTTTGTCAATATCAAAAAGAAATATATCTTATGAACTTTTATTACATAATACACCAACTTCAATTACAATCATGTGCTGCATAAAGATATTTTAGTCAATAAAAGACTGCATAAAAGAGGGTAGTCTCATAAGATTATAATAACATATTTCAAACTGTATCTTTTCTATGTTTACATACACAGACTGACCATTGTGTTAGAATGGCTTACAGTATTTATTACAGTAACATGCTGCACAGGTTTGTAGCCTAGGATCCATAGAGTATACCGTATAGCCTTGGTGTGTGGTAGGCTATAACATCAGGATTTGTATGATATAAGTACACTCTATGATGTTTGCACAACGACTAAGTCACCTAACAATGCATTTTTCAGAATATATCTCTGTCATTAAATAGCACACGACTGTATTTTTTCATTGGCCTGAAGGTGTCTACCAGTTAATTCTTCCTGCATAAAGTCCTACTTTGTTTAGCAGAAGTCCCAGGGGAGGTGTTCTTGAGAAGACTATTCTAAAAAACAAGCAGCATCTTTGTAGCTCATGTTGCCAAATATAGCTGGGTCAAGAGTGTTGTACATTCTTCTATCTATGTGAATTTTTTTTTCATAGACAAACTCTCCAAGAAAAATTCCTCTGGAGATCTGACCACAAACCCTGACCCTCAAAATGCAGCAGAACCAACTGGAACAGTGCCAGAGCAGAAGGAAATGGACCCCGGGAAAGAAGGTCCAAACAGGTGAGCATTTAATAAAACACACAACATATTTTAGAGATATTGCTCAGCCTGCCCTAAAGAGCTCAAATATCCACTCTCCCCTTTAGCTGAATATAAGGGCAGAAAAAATTCAATAGTCACATAACACAAAAAAACTGTGTCAGAACTAAAAGGTTGGTTCTGTCCAGTTCATCGTACCTCACTGGCCCAGCATGGCCACTAACCAATATCCCTAGGCAGCCATTTGGCTATAGGCCAAATCACAACAAAAATATTGCTGTTACATGTATGAGTCATTGTATCATTATGGAAACAGCCTATATATTTACTAGGCATGAATTTTAAAAAGAAATGATGAAAATTTTCCAAGCTCACAAATAAACAGCTATTCCAATTCTGTGAATATTTTATTGTTTCAAAAGATTAATTATTATTTCCTTTTATCCACTAAAGAAAGTGTGACATGCTAACCAGGAATAATTACAGAACTGGAACATCTTTATGCCACTGAAGGAACACAGCTTTATAAGTACTTCCCGTAAGAGTATTGGAAATACTGCAAAAGAGATAACAATTTAAATGTGAACCAGTAAATCTGCAATAAATCCCAACAAGGAGGTCCTTCATTTTGCCTCTTCTTGGCATGGTATTATGTACCTGCCGATCCAGTTAAAATGGCTTAACTATAATTGATATAATTGCAATATGTTTATGAAACAATAAAAGCATATTCTTATTTAATAGACAAAAAGAGTTGTCACTTATAAAGAAGTTAAAAGTACCTATTCGTCCATCCCACTCCACCCTACCCCGCCTTCTCTCTCAGCAGCACCTCTACTGTGTTAAACCATCTGCTGTTAGTAGAAGTCATCGTGATTATCTAGGACCCAGGGAATTGCTGAATGAACAATTGGCATCAGAAACAGAGAATGCCTTTTCGATAAACACAAATTTGACTATATGAAAATAAACACAAGCTCACTCTACCACATACACGCACACACATACACACGTGTGCACATAAACACAATGTTATTTGACAAAAATAAAAGTTGACATATTATTTTGGCAGAGAGATGTTTAAACTCTGAGGTAAGGACTGTAATCTAACAAGAGAACAACTAATTATTTATATTTTATCTATAACTGTTGTTGTTTACAGAATTATTTTCAGTCCTATTAGTGGATCATCATTATCTTCACTCAACAGATAAGCAACCAAGATACTGAAAGGTTAATTCATTTGCCTGTAGTAATAGGGTCAGCTCTCCTAATATTAGACTACAAAAGATTTGAATTCCCAAAGAGAACTTTTACTTCCTCACACCAATACACTCCCAGCCTTCTAAACTAATCTCCCTTTCTAGCATTAATTTTAATATGTTTATTTTTTACAATAACCCACGGCAATTGATAGATTTTCAAAGGACTGAAGTTGAAGCCATAACTAACATTTTGGGGGATAAATTCTTTTTAATCCGTATTCATTCCTAGTATTTCTTACACTCTTCTGAAATGTGGAAGTGGAAACCTTTCAATTACCCAGGGGTCAATCAGCATAGCTCAAAAACAAAAAACTTCTTGACATGACCTCTCAGGCCCTGCCTGGTCTGTCTCTCACCTGTTTTTACTTTGTCCTCTCCCAACACACAACTTTCCCACCTCTCTGCTCCAGTCACACCTGTTCTATTTCAGTCTCTTGTATTTGTCATGTTCCCTCCTGCCGCAGGCTTTTGCACATACTACTTCCTCTGCTTGTTCTATTCTTTCCTCCCCTTATCACCTAATTAACTTCTATTCATTCTTCAGATAACAATATGACCAATACTTCCTTTGTAAGGCTTTCCCTGACATTCCTAACTAGGCTATGTGCCCCTATTATAAGATCTCTTTCACAGCATTTATTGCTGATGCATTTTATATGATTATCTGCCTGAAAAATCCATCAGTCTCAATCTCTAAATTGTGTGCTTCATGATGGCAGGGGCCATGCCTGTTTTTGTTGATGATTAGTATCCCCAGTACCTACATCAATGTCTGGCACATGGTAAATATTCAATAAATATTTAACAAATGAATTGATTGATCCAAACATATTGGATTTGCTTGAACTGCTAGATTTTCAAAACTATACAGCTTCTCCAGGAGGAGAGCAAGACACAAGTGACTCTCCAAGTCTTCCCATTCCTTCCTGCTCAGAATTCTTGATAAAAGCAAGAATAATCAGTAGCATATTGCAAAGATAATGAGGAAAAAACATGAGGCTGTAAAGCTCTCAAATCCTTACTTCTCTTCTAACATGGCTTTTCATCAGTATCACTATCCTGAGATGGCAAAACTGTTAAATCCAGAAGACTTTTTTTAAGTGTTATTTTAGTTTCATGGGTACATATGCAGGTTGATTCTATAGATAAATTTCATGTTGCAAGGGTTTGATGTACATATTATTTCATCAGCCAGGTAATAAGCACAGTACACAATAGGTAGTTTTTTGACCCTCAGCCTCCTCCCTCCGGTCATCCTCAAGTAGGCTCTGATGTCTATTGTTTTCTTCAACGTGTCCTTGTGTGCTCAATGTTTAGCTACCATTGTAAGTGAGAACATGTGGTGTCTGGTTTTCTGTACCTGTGTTAGTTCACTTAGGATAATGGCCTCAAGCTCCATCTGTGTTGCTGCAAAGGACATGATTTTGTCAGAACACTTTTTAATGTCTTCCTGGCTACAACATAGATAGCAAAGTGGTTTGAGAAGTATTAACAAACTAAGTAGACCCAAGTTAGCTTAAAGTTCTTGCTTTGTTATTAGATGGTTGTTCACATGTTTTCTCAGGATTGGGTGAAAACCAGCTGCACTGAAGGAACAACTTGAAAGGGGCATTAGAAGCTCCAGTATCAGCTTTGACTAAAATTAACGGGAATCTTTAAGTTCAATACCATGTAGAACTGACCAAAGCTTTCTGTTCCAATCTCATGGGTGACAACAGTTACCATATCTAGAATCCTAGGGACAGAGTTTTTATACATTATAAGAAAATATCAATGATAAAATAATTATTGAAATTATTACTTCACAATGCTTTTGATGAGTAAAAGGTCACCTTTATATTTTCAGTTGTTAAATATCAGCATCTTCAACCTTGGGCAAGGTCAGGTTTTAAAAAGCTCTTTCTCCTAGAAAAAAATTAAGTATTTGATTGATTGCAGGAACTAAATATAGATGCTGTGTGAGTGACCAGCTGTCACCTCAATTTTTTAAATTTGGAAAATTTAAAAGAAGTTTTCTTATTGTAAGTGCAATTACTTTATCTTCTCACGTAAGCCTTGAGCTGAATAGGGATTATTATGTCTGGACTGATCAATAGGTACTGGGGAGAATGCATAGTGTGGATTTTGCTGTCTGTGTGTAAGAAGTACAGTTTGATATTATTGATTACACCCTTAGTTTCTGCTCTGTTTGGAAGATGGGCAGAAGTGAACACCAAGAGGAATAGAGACATAGAGATTACCATCTGTATCAGTTAGGGTTCTCCACAGAAATAGAACCAACAGGATATATGCATATATAGGGAAATAAATTTATTATAAGGAATTGACTCATGCGATTATGGAGGCTGAGAGTCCCAAGATCTGCAGTCAGTAAGCTAGAGACCCGGGAAAGCCAATGATATAGTTCCAGTACACGTCTGAAAGCCTGAGAACCAGAAGAGCCAATGTTATAAGTTCCAGTCCAAAAAGCCAGCAAACTTGAGACCCAAAAGGAAACAATGTTTCAGTTTGAGTCTGAAGTCAGAAAAAGACCAATGTCCAAGCTTAAACAATCAGGCAGGAGTGCCCTCTTTCTCTCAGGAGAGTCAGCTTCTTTGCTCTATGTAGGCTTTCAACTGACTGAATGAGGTTTACCCACATTAGGGAAACCATTCTGCTTTGCTCAGTCTACTGATTCAAATGTTAATATCATCCAAAATATCCTCAAAGACACAACCAGAATAATGTTTGGCCAAATATCTGGGCACGTTATGGCTCAGTCAAGTTGACACATAACATTAATCATCACGCCATCTCCATTATGTACATAAAGGAATTGAAACTGTATAGGTCCCACTCTTCACCTCCAAAAGCAAACAATTCATTATCTTGTCAAATGAAACACTTACCTTCTGAAAGACACAGGGTTCACCCCTGTGAAGTCCCACTGATGCCATTTGTCCATTACCAAGAAAAACAGCTTATTTCTGGCACTTTATCTCAGTCCAGCCTTATTTTTTAATATAAAAATATATTTTGATGGACACTAATGAATAGCAAGCAAAAGAAGATGTGTTTTGCCTGGAAATGTCAAATAGCTATGTCTGAAAAAGGAGACAGAGTTGAATGGCTGATAGGTTAAGTGGTTAAATGATGAACAAGCAGCGAGTGAGTGAAATGTTCAGTGCCTATGACTAGGGTGTGCTGCAAGACTGACTTTTACACTATAGTATATGGCTTTTCATCACCATTGTTACTCATAATACTGAGAAGGAAGGTTATTTCTATGAATAGTCTTCTTTGTTCATAATAGCAATCAGTCTCTATTTGGGTGGTTTTAAAATAGGCAATCATTTCACAGCAGGAACAATGAGAGCAGAATAGAATTCAGAATCTTATCACCACTCATAAACACTGACGTTTATTGTCTAGTAGCTAGAAAAAGCAAGAATCACTGCAGTAAAGATGCTTAAAAATCCATATGTGACTTCATAGTTGAAATAGAAAAGGAATGTCAGCTATCAAGTTTACAAAAATAAAATGCAATTTATACTTCAATAATTTATAAGCATTTTTTTTAAAAAAGGGAAACCAGCTACACACTTGCCAATTTTGTGGGATGCATAATAAAAATAATGCACTATTACTTTTAGCCCCATATTGAAATTTTCCTCTATGGTAAGCAATACTTTTATAATTAAACATTGCAAACAATTTAAACAACAGATCATCAAATCTGTTTTTATTTATTTTTTATTTCAATAGGTTTTTGGGGAACAGGTGGTGTTTGGTTACATGAGTAAGTCCTTTACTGATGATTTCTGAGATCATCCTGAGCAGAGAACACTGTACCCAATGTGTAAACTTTTATCCTTCACCCCCTTCCCACTCTTTCCCCATAGTCCCCAGAGTCCATTGTATCATTCTTATGCTTCTGCATAAGAATACTTAGCTCCTACTTATAAGTGAGAATGTACAATGTTTGGTTTTTCATTCCTGAGTTACTTCACTTAGAATAAGAGTCTCCAATTCTGGCCAGGTGCGGTGGCTCATGCCTGTAATCCCAGTGGAGACTGACCTTTGGGAGGCCAAGGTGGGTGGATCACTTGAGGTCAGCAATGTGAGACCAACCTGGCCAACATGGTGAAACCCCATCTCTACTAAAAATACAAAAATTAGCTGGGCTGGTGGCGTGCACCTCTAATCCCAGCTACTCAGGAGGCTGAGGCATGAGAATCACTTGAACCCAGGAGACAGAGGTTGCAGTGAGCCAAGATCATGCCACTGCACTTCAGCCTGGACAACAGAGCAAGACTCTGTCTCAAAAAATAATAATAATTATTATTATTACACTCTCCAATTCCATCCAAGCTGCTGAAAATGCCATTATTTTGTTCCTTTTCATGGCTGAGTAGTATTCCATTGTGTGTGTGTGTGTGTGTGTGTGTGTGTGTGTGTGTGTGTGTGTATACATATATATATATATATATATATGCCATGGAATATATATAAGTTGTGATATATATCACACTTTATTTACTCATTGATTGACAAGCATTTGGGTTGGTTCCATATTTTTGCAACAGCAAATTGTGCTGCTATAAACATGCATGCGCAAGTACCTTTTTGCTATAATGACTTCTTTTCCTCCGGGTAGATACCTAGTAGTGGGATTGCTGGATCAAATGGTAGATCTACTTTTACTTCTTTAAGGAATCTCCAAACTGTTTTCCATAGTGATTGTACTAGTTTACATTCCCACCAACAGTGTAAGTGTTCCTTTTTAACCACACCCATGCCAACATCTATTATTTTTTCATTTTTTGATTATGGCCATTATTGCAGGAGTGAGGTGGTATTGCATTGTGGTTTTGATTTGCATTTCCCTGATAATTAGTGATGTTGAGAATTTTTCCATATGCTTGTTGGCCATTTGTATATCTTCTTTTGAGAATTGTCTATTCATGTCCTTAGCCCACTTTTTAATTGGATTGCTTGTTTTTTTTCTTGCTGATGTGTTTGAGTTCCTTGCAGATTCTGGATATTAGTCCTTTGTCAGATATATAGATTGTGAAGATTTTCTCCCACTCTGTGGGTTGTCTGTTAACTCTGCTGATTATTTACTTTGCTGTGCAAAAGCTTTTTAGTTTAATTAAATCCCATCTATGTATCTTTGGTTTTGTTGCATTTGCTTTTGGGTTCTTGGTCATGAAGTCTTTTCCTAGGCCAGTGTCTAGAAGGGTTTTTCTGATGTTATTGTCTAGAATTTTTATGGTTTCAGGTCTTAGATTTAAGTCTTTGATCCATCTTGAGTTGATTTTTGTATAAGGTGAGAGACCAGGATCCAGTTTCGTTCTTCTACATGTGGCTTGCCAATTATCCCAGCACCATTTGTTGAAAAGGGTGTCCTTTCCCCACTTTACATTTTTGTTTGCTTTGTCAAAGAGCAGTTGGCTCTAAGTATTTGGCTTTATTTCTGGGTTCTCTATTCAGTTCAGTTGGTCTATATGCCTATTTTTATACCAGTAGCATGCTGTTTCGGTGACTATGACCTTATAGCATAGCTTGAAGTTGGGTAATGTGATGCCTCCAGATTTGTTTCTTTTGTTTAGCCTTGCTTTGTCTATGCAGGATCTTTTTTGGTTCCATATGAATTTTAGAATTGTTTTTTCTAGTTCTGTGAAGAATGATGGTGGTATTTTTGACAGGAATTACACTGAATTTGTAGATTGCTTTTGGCAGTGTGGTCATTTACACAATGGGATTTGTTTCCATGTTTGTGTTGTTTGTGATTTCTTTCAACAGTGTTTTGTAGTTTTCCTTGTAGAGGTCTTTTACCTCCTCATTAGGTATATTCCTACGTATTTTATTTTACTTTTTGCAGCTACTGTAAAGGGGATCGAGTTCTTGATTTGATTCTCAGCTTGGTCACTGTTGGTGTATAGCAGAGCTACTGATTTATGTACATTAATTTTGTATCCTGAAACTTTGCTTAATTCATTTACCAGTTCTAGGACCTTTATGAGTGAGTCTTTAGGGTTTTCCTCCTATAAGATTATATCATCAGCAAATAGCGACAGTCTGACTTCCTCTTTACTGATACGGATGCCCTTGTTTCTTTCTCTTGTCTGATTGCTCTGGCTATGACTTTCAGTACTATGTTAAATAGAAGTGGTGAAAGTGGACATTTTTGTCTTGTTCCACTTCTCAAGGGGAATGCTTTCAACTTTTCCCCATCTAGTATAATGTTGGCTGTGGGTTTATCATAGATGGCTTTTATTACCTTAAGGTATGTACCTTCTATGCCAGTTTTTCTGAGGGTTTTAATCATAAAGCAATTGTGGATTTTTGTCAAATGGTTTTTCTGCATCTACTGAGATGATCATGTAATTTTGTTTTTAATCCCGTTTATGTGATGTATCACATTTATTGACTTATGAATGAAAAGCCATCCCTGTATCCCTGGTATAAATCCCATTTGATCATGGTGGATTATCTTTTTGATATGGTGTTAGGTTTGGTTAGCTAGTAATTTGTTAAGGATTGTTGCATATATGTTCATCAGGGATATTGATCTGTAGTTTTTGTTGTTATTTTTATGTCCTTCCCTGGTTTGGGTGGTAGAGTGTTATTGGCTTCATATAATGATTTAAGGACAATTCCCTTTATCTCTGTCCTGTAGAATAGTGTCAATAGGATTGGTACCAACTCTTCTTTGAATGTCTGATAGGGTTCAGCTGTAAATCCATCTGATCCTGGACTTTTTTTTCTTGGCAATTTTTTTATTACCATTTTAAACTCACTGCTTGTTATTGGTCTGTTCAGAGTTTCTATTTCTTCCTGGTTTAATCTAGGAGGGTTGTATATTTCCAGGAATTTATCCATCTTCTCTAAGTTTTCTAGTTTATGTGTGTAAAGGTGTTCATAGTAGCCTTGAAAAACCTTTTGTATTTCTGTGGTATCAGTAGTAATATCTCCTGTTTTATTTCTAACTGAGCTTGTTTGAATCTTCTCTTGTCTTTTCTTGGTTCATCTCACTAATGTTCTGTGAATTTTATTTATCTTTTCAAAGAAACGGTTTTTTGTGTCATCTCTTTTGTATTTTTTTGTTTGTTTGTTTCAGGTTCATTTAGTTCTGCTCTGATCTTGGTTATTTCTTTTCTTCTGCTGGGTTTGGGGTTGTTTTTTTTCTTGTTTCTCCAGGTCCATGAGGTGTGACCTTAGATTGTCACTTTGTTCTCTTTCTGACTTTTTGATGTACGCCTTTAATGCTATGAATGTTGCTCTTCGCACCACTTTTGATATATCCCAGGGGTTTTGATAGGTTGTGTCACTATTATTGTTCAGTTCAAAGAATTTTTTAATTTTCATCTTGATTTCGTTGTTGACCCAGTGATCATTCAGGAACAGGTCATTTAATTTTCGTGTGTTTGCATGGTTTCAAGGGTTCCTTTTGGAGTTGATTTCAAATTTTATTCCACTGTGATCTGAAAGAGTACTTAATATAATTTCGATTTTCCTAAAATTACTGAGACTTGTTTTGTGGTCTATCATGTGATCTATCTTGAAGAATGTTCCAGGTGCTGATGAATAGAATGTATATTCTGCAGTTGTTGGGTAGATAAGTCCATTTGTTGTAGGGTATAGTTTAACTGCATTGTTTCTTTGTTGGTTTTCCGTCTTGATGACCTGTCTAGTTCTGTCAGTAGAGTATTAAAGTCCTCGATTTTTTTTTTTTTTTTTTTTGAGACAGAGTCTCACTCTGTCACCAGGCTGGAGTACAGTTGCACAATCTTGGCTCATGGCAACCTCCACCCCCTGGGTTCAAAAAATTCTCCAGCCTCAGTCTCCCCAGTAGCTGGGATTACAGGCACACGCCACCACGCCTGGCTAATTTTTTGTATTTTTAGTAGAGAAGATGTTTCACTATATTGGCCAGGCTGGTCTCAAACTCCTGACCTCAAGTGATCCTCCTGCCTTGGCCTCTCAAAGTGCTGAGATTACAGGCTTGAGCCACCACGCCCAGTCTAAAGTCCCCCACTATTATTGTGTTGCCGTCTATCTCATTTCTTAGGTCTAGTAGTAATTGTTTTATAAATGTAGGAGCTCCAGTCTTAGGTGTATATATATTTAGGATTGTGGTATTTTCCTCTTGGACTAGTCCTTCTACCATTATATAATGTTCCTCTTTGTCTTTTTTAACTGCTGTTGCTTTAGTTTGTTTTGTCTGATATAAGAATAGCTTTTCCTGCTCGCTTTTGGTGTCCATTTGCTGGAATATCTTTTTCCATCCCTTTACCTTAAGTTTATGTGAGTCATTATGTGTTAGGTGAGTCTCCTGAAGACACCAGACACTTTGTTGGTGAATTATTATCCATTCTGCCATTCTGTATATTTTAAGTGGAGCATTTGGCCATTTACATTCAATATTAGTACTGAGATGTGAGGTACTATGCCATTCATCATGCTATTTGTTGCCTGAATACATTGGCTTTTTTATTGTTATTGTTATATAGACCGCATGAGATTTATGCTTTAAGGAGGTTCTATTTTGGTGTATGTTGAGGTTTTATTTCAAGATTTAGAGCCCCTTTTAGCAGTTCTTTAAGTACTGGCTTGGTAGTGGGAAATTCCCTTAGCATTTGTTTGTCTGGAAAAGACTGTCTCTTTCCTTCTTTCATGATGCTTAGTTTCACTGGATACGAAATTTTTGGCTGCTAATTGTTTTGTTTAAGGAGGCTAAAAATAGGATTCCAATCCCTTCTAGCTTGAAGTGTTTCTGCTGAGAAATCTGCTGTTACTCTAGTAGGTTTTCCTTTATAAGTTACTTGATGTTTTTGCCTCAGAGCTCTTAAGATTTTTTCCTTCATCTTGACTTTAGATAACCTGACTATGTGCTAGGCGATGATATTTTTGTGATGAATTTCCCAGGTGTTCTTTGAGCTTCTTGTATTTGGATGTCTGGATCTCTGGCAAGGCCAGGGAAGTTTTCCTGAATTATTCCCTCAAATATATTCTCCAAACTTTTAGATTTCTCTTCTTCCCCAGGAACACCAATTATTCTTTGGTTTGGATGCTTAACATAGTCTCAGACTTCTTGGAGGCTTTGTTCATTTTTGTATTCTGTTTTCCTTTGTCAGAAGGGTTAATTTGAAAGCCTCGTCTTTGAGCTCTGAAGTTCTTTCTCCTGCTTGTTCGATTCTATTGCTGAGACTTTCTAGTGCATTTTGCTTTTCTCTAAGTGTGTCCTTGATTTTCAGAAGTTGTGATTTTTTAAAATTTATGTTATCTATTTCACTGAATATTTTTGTTTTTTAATTTTTTTTATTATTATTATACTTTAAGTTTTAGGGTACATGTGCACAATGTGCAGGTTAGTTACATATGTATACATGTGCCATGCTGGTGTGCTGCACCCATTAACTTGTCATTTAGCATTAGGTATATCTCTTAATGCTATCCCTCCCCCCTCCCCCCACCCCACGACAGGCCCCAGTGTGTGATGTTCCCCTTCCTGTGTCCATGTGTTCTCATTGTTTTCCTTTTATATCCTATATCATGTTTTTTATTTCTTTAAGTTGGATTTCACCTTCCTCTGGTGTCTCCTTGATTAGCTTAATAATCAACCTTCTTAATTCTTTTTCTGGCAATTCAGATTTCATCTTGGTTTAGATCCATTGCTGGTGAGCTGGTGAGATCTTTTCTGGTTCCATCTCATTTGCGTAGACTATTTCAGAGGGAAGATCTGGGATCCAAGGGCTGCTGTTCAGATTCTTTTGTACCATGGGGTGCTCCCATGATGTGGTGATTTCCCCCTTTCCCTAGGGATGGGGCTTCTTTAGGGCTGAACTGCAGTGATTGTTTTTGCCCTTCTGGGTCTGGCCACCCAGTGGAGCTACAGGACTTCAGGGTGGTACTAGGGAGTGTCTGAAAAGAGTCCTGTGATGTGATCCGTCTTCAGGTCTCTCAGCCATGGATACCAAAACCTGCTCCAGTGGAGATAGCAGGGGAATGAAGTGGACTCTGTGCAGGTCTTTGGTTGTATTTTTTTCAGTTGTGCCAATTTTGTGTTGGTTGGCTTCCAGTCAGGAGGTGGTGCTTTCAAGAGCGCATCAGCTGCAGTACTATAGGGTATAGGGAGGATGTAAACTTGCCCTAGGGTTGCCTGGTTAAGTATTCAGGTTTCTTAGGTGGTGGGCAGGGTTATAGAGCTCCCAAGATATTACGTCTTTTGTCTTCAGCAAACGGAGTGGGTAAAGAAAGACCACCAGGTGGGGGTAGGCGTAGGTGTGTCTGAGCTCAGACTCACCTCTGATGGGGTTTGCTGTGGCTGTTGTGGGGGATGGGAGTGTGGTTTCCAGGCCAAAGGAGTTATATTCCCAGGGGGATTATGGCTGCCTCTGCTGAGTCATACATGTTGCCAGGGAAGTGGGGGAAAGCAGTCACAGGCCTCACCCGCTCCCACGTAGCATGCAGTCCTAAGGGCTGGTCTCACTCCCACAGTGCCCTACCAGTAGCACTGAGTCTATTTCCAGGCAGCCAGTGACCAGGGCTGAGAACTTGCCCAGACCACTAGTCTCCTCATTGAGACAGCAAACAGACTCAGTTTTTCAGCATCTCAGGGAGCCTGCAGCAGTGATCTAGTTCCTTCAAAGGGTCTGTGGATTCTCTCAGTTTTCCTGATATGTTCCTGTGGCAGTTCTTGGAGCAAAAGTTCATTATGTGAGTCTCCATATGCTGTTCTGTCTGTCCTAGCAGGAGCTGCAAACTTTTCCTGCCTCCTATCTCCCATCTTCTCCACAATCCCCATCAATTCATTTTTAATCATTATTGCTAACATATTTCTAGCAATATGGCAAACTATATGTAGAACATTATTTGGGGTGAATATAATTTAAAATACTAGAATCTCTTGAACCTAGGAGGCAGAGGTTGCAGTGAGCTGAGATTGCACCACTGCACTCCAGCCTGGGTGACAGAGTGAGACTCCATCTCAAAAGAAAAAGAAGCCAATCTGAAAAGGGTACGCACTGTACACACTCTATGATTACAGCTATTCTGGAGAAGGCAAAACTGTGAAGACAAGAAAGAAAGAAAAACAGTGGTTGCCTGGGGCTGGGGGGTTAGGAAGACAAATAGTCAGAAAATAGAGGATTTTAGGGCAGTGAAACAACTCAGTGTGATACTATGATGATGGATACATGTCATTATAAATTTGTCCTAACTCATAGAATGTTCAACACCAAGAGTGGACCGTAATGTAAACTATGGAATTTGGGTGATAATGATGTGTCAATGCAGGTGTACCGATTGTCACAAAGGTACCACTCTCTTGGGGGATGTTGATAATGGGGAAGGTTATGCAAGGGTGGGATCAAAGGTATATGAGAAATCTGTATACCTTCAACTTAATTTTGCTGTGATCCTAAAGCTGCTCTAAACAATGAAGTATATTTTTTTAAGTCGGAAAGAATAAAATGTCTCTTCTAAAGAGGGGTGACAGACATTCAAAAAAATTTAGTTTGATTAATTTTAGAATTTCTTAAGTAAACATGCATGTTAAATATCTTTGAAAAATATGAGATTAAAACAGAATTTTTAACCTCCAAATACTAAACTTATATAGTTTTAATATTGTAAGATCAGAGATGACAGAGAGAGCATGCAATTCTGTCAATTACAAAATGAAATTGGTAATTCCACACTCATAGGATGGATGATTTTAAAATATTTATCTTCATTTATGAATGGATCAAGGATTTAAAAATTCATTTAGGATACAGTATATTTGAACATCACAGTAGCTAGTTCCTAAAGAACAGTTGTTTCAAGTTTACATAGAGTATATATAAAAGTTGACTATATACTATGCCCAAAGTGCACTGTAAAATCTCCTAGGAACTCTTTAAAAGTGCAAATGCTTGAGTTCTATCCCCAGCAATACTGATTTAATTGGTCTGGAATGGGTTCTAGGCATGAGCAGATCATAAACCTTTGTAGGTGATTCTAATGTAAATCTAGGCTGGAGAACCATTTTTCTAGAACATAAAGTAGGTCTCAGCAAATTTTAAAGATTGCCCATCATATTGAATATATTCTCTAACCACTATGCAATAAAGAAGTTAATTTTTTAAAACTAAAATTTAGAAAACATCTCCTATAGTTAAAATTTAAAACACCTTTAAGTAACTCTGAGGTCAAAACATAAATCAAAGGGAAATTGGAAATACAACAATGAAAATAATGAACATCAAACTTGAGGAATAATACATATTCTATCAGGTACTTGTTTTTGCCTTTCTGTTTCAGGAGGTTTTTCCTCTCTCCTTTTTTTCTTTTCTTTTTTCTTTTTTTAAACTAGTTAAGTTGGTTATAAAGTTCATTTGAAAAAAAACAGATGAGCAAAAGTAGCCAGAAAGCCAGGCGCAGTATCACATGCCTGTAATCCTAGCTACTTGGGAGTTTGTAGAGGGAGAATTGCCTGAGCAGAGGAGTTCAAGGCCCGCCTAGGCAACACAGCAAGACCTCATCTAAAAAAAAAAAAAAAAAAAATTAAGCCAGGAAAACCCTGAAAAATAAAACTAATAGATATAGTAGTATTCCTACCAGATATTATAACCTATTTAAACTTCTATAATTTAAAAAGTGTGATATTAGCACATGAATCAAACCATAGAACAGAATAGAAATACAGAAATATATCTAAATGCAGATAAAAATATAGTATATTAAGGTTAACATCTAAAATCTGTAGGAAAAAGGTGGATTTAAGTAAGTAGTGCTGGAGTAACTAAGTAGCCATATGGAAAAATCTAAATTTGAATTTGTCCCTTGTGCCACACACCAGAAAAAATTCCCAATGAGTCAGAGATTTAAATGTAAAATAATAAAACCATACTAATACTAGGGGAAAAATGCTAATTCTTCTACAGCCTAGAAATGTACATTATGTCCTAAAATTCAAAATTCAGAAGTAATAAAAAAGCTTAATAAACTTTACTACCTAAAAAATAAAAAAGACTTTGCATTACAAAACAAATCATAACCAAAATAAAAAAGAAAGAATCAGCAAAGTATCCAGATATGAAAATGCTCATTGCCACTTTCTCTGATGACTGATAATTTTATTTTGGGGTTGATAACGATATTTAAATTTTGTTTTGCTATTAAGGTACTTTAAAATTGTTAATGATTTAATTAAATTGATATCTTTCATCCGTTACTACCACAATTTCATTTTCTCTTTTTCAAAATTCAATACCAGAAGCACAGTGTACTTTAATTGATAGCCTAAAGTAACCAATATATCAGGTAATCCCAGAAGTAAAACAGTGATCCTGGTACTCAAAACAGTGCAATCTGAAAGTCTGGCCTTACTTCAAAAAAAGTAATTACTCATAGTACATATATAAGTATTTATTATACATAATATTTATATACTATGTATTATATGTCATATATATATATATATAGAGAGAGAGAGAGAGAGAGTGGTAAACTACCTGCTAGAGCCTCCATCTGTGCTTTGTATCCTTAAAAGTCATTAATAATGCTGCCAAAAACTAGATGTACCAAGATGAAGCAGGCTAGGATCAGAAACAGCAAGAGTGCTTTACAGGTAGGTGGTTAGACATGAGTCAGCAGACAAAAGACAAAAATTTTATGAGTGTGTGCAGTGGCCCTGAGAGAGGAGCCAGCCTATAGGCAGTTTGTGGTCCTATCAAAAATTGCTTCACTATTTATCATGGAGAGATGACAGCTCGGTTGCCTGTTGCCATAGAAAACCAGAGCTGACAGAACTTCTGAGTCTCCTTCCTTTCTTTTGGCATAGAAAGAAGGAAATTGGACAATTACTATATTGTTTCATGGTACTTAAATGAAGACTTTCAAAAAATGGGTCTTCTTGTGTTCCTAGCAAAGTGAGGAGAGCCATGTGATGATTGATTGGTTGGTTGATTGAAAGTTTTTGAAAATTACAAGAGTGAACAATCTCAGATTTCTATGACGCAGGCAGGCAAAAATCCATGAATAAAGCACATTGGGGATATTAAAACAACAGAGTTAATCTGATAACAAAAGAGACAGGAGGTAGAAAAGAGAAACAGAGGTGAACTTAAGTGCACCAAGAAGTCCTTCCTTTCGCAAAGAGCCCATGTAGCTGAGGGTTGCCATATGGAAAAGGGGGCCTAGTGATACCATATCATCTTCTTTATTCAAAAAACCTCCAATATCTAGAAGTACATATTTTGCAATACTACCAAAATAAGTTAAAATTATTTCAAATGATAGATCCAACAAAACACAGCTATAGGTCACCAGTTTACCATTTCTCCCTTGAAAGAATAGATAAGTTCTAAACAAGTTCACTGTCAAACCAGGTAATTTCATTATAAAATCTGGCATGTGGTCAACAGGAAAAACATTCATTAATGTTGTTTCCAATATAAAGCAGTTACGGAAGAAAGAACCAAAACTATATGAAGAATCACTTTTATATTTTAATTAACTTTATTGCATTTCCTTCCAGCTTATTTTCATAAGTGTTTCTTTTAGGGTTTTGTTTTATACTGTAATTTTTTAGATGTTTATATCTTAGGTATTTTTTGTCTGACAGGATTTAATAAGCAGTCTTCCGTGGTAATAGAATGTTTTTGTAGCCAACCTCTTTAATTCATTCGTAGTAGTCTAAATATGAATCAATTAGAAAAGAGGTCTGGTTGAGTCTATTTGAAAGTTAATTGGTTGATGATGGCTGGAAGAGCTGGCTAACAGGTAAAAGGGAAGCTCCCCATGGTGAGAGAATAAATGGATGACTACTGTGTTTCTTAAGATCTTCATCCTCTTGGGAGGAGGAAAGTGATTGCTCTGCCTAGGACTGGCAATTAGCAGGAGACAAGAACAAGGTGAGAGGAAAAGAGTAGAGATGGGGGTGGGGAGTGGGGGATATCTCCCTACCTGGTGGCAATAGCAGACAAAAAAGTTGAGTCATTTGAAAAAGAAAACAGATTTCCACCTAGTGGGAGATAACTTCAGGCATGGGAAATAGCAAAAGTAGTACATTGATTTACAGTGCACAGATTTTCAAGAAGCAGCACAAATACTATGTAGATAAGTTGAGAAAACCACTTACAAGCAACCTAAAAGTAAGCTAATCTGTGGTGGCCAGGTTGGAGAATGGCAGTTTACAAGAAACCCCCATACTGTCTCCTTCCTTTACAAGAAAGGAAGAGATTTGTGAGTTGGCAAACCAAGGTATGGGGCTTAACTCATTTGCCAGAGTGAAGCAATTCCCAGAGGGACTGACCATTTTATCTCAACTGTTTAGCACAGGATCTGGCACTTAATACATACTGTTGAAGGCAATCACATTGTGAATAAAACATTATGTGCTTTATTCTAGTAGATTCCTAGAAGAGGAATCACAAAGTGAAAACATATACATATTTTTTAAATTTCTGATGGAAATTTTATGAGTATAGTTTTAGCTTTAAATATTGTTCTTGTTTTAAATATAGGAATTTTTTTCAAATATGGCTGTTTTCATTAGCCATAAAATGTCTTGATCATTCTTCCTTTATGTGAAAGGTAATGTTTTCATTTATTTTTTTTAACTTTTCCAGCATCCCACAGTATCAGGACAGTTTGTTGTACAATGCGGTAAAACATAAAACTGAGAACTTAAATGTCTAATAATTCCGTACCAATAAATGTTCACCCTAACTCTGCTGAGACAAGTAACAGTCCAACAACTCGTTTTCATGCCAACAATCAGCTAGGTAAATTGCTTCTACCTAGCCTAATGATTCATTTCATTGCAGCTGTTCATATTGCAACTGTTCACCAATGCTCTTTATGTGGGCAGCAGGCTCACAGAAACAGGGCTGTTTGAGCTCAGCCAAGCGCTGGGGTTTGTAAGACATTGACAGACAATAGAGAAACAACTGTGTTACTCTATGCTAGAGGAAAACGTAGCCAGGGGACAAGTTGACAAAATAGGTACAATTAGAGGAAAAAATCCACATGCTTCCACCGGCAAATGTAACATGTGTCTGTGTGGGTACCCATTTTATCAGCTTCTACTTCTATAACAATGAATGAACCAAACAAACTTGCATCTAAGGCCACCTCCTTTGTTAGTGTGCTAATCCCCTCTAGCCTAGTCATAGACACCACTGTGGCAATTGCATCCTTTCTTTCCCACAACACCTAGCTTGTTCTCTTTGTTGGATCATTTCTATAAGCATGTAAACATGTTGCAGCATTTTCCACATTTAAACAATAGCAACAAAATGGCTCCCTGGGCTGCACATGAGTGACCAGCCACACCCTATTTCTCTATTCCCCACTACAGCAAATTTATTCGAAACAGTTACCTATATTCACTTTTTCTGCTTCCTCTACTCCCATGTTCTTCTGAATCTGTTTCAGCCAGGATTTTATTCCTTCATTCCACAGCTTCTACTGTTATGAAAGCTTTTATTGGCCAAGGCAAGAGGATCACTTAAGCCCAGGAGTTTGAGACTAGCCTGGGCAACAGAGCAAGACCCCATCTTTACAAAAATAAATAAATAAATTCTTCAGGCATGGTGGCACATGCCTGCAGTCCCAACTACTAGGAGGTCTGAGGCGAGAGGATCACTTGAGCCCAGGAAGTCGAGGCTACAGTGAGCCGTGATCATGCCACTGAACTCCAGCCTGAGTGACAGAGTGAGACCCTGACTCAAAAAAAAAAAAAAAAAAAAAATTAAGAAAAGAAAAGAAAAGAAAGAAAGTAAAGAAAAAAAGCTTTTATTGGCTTCTGTCCACTTTTCCCAAGGTCAATAATGCCCTCTACTCTGGTAACTATTGCTTCTCAGCCTTTTGGCCAAGATCAAGTGTATACTGATGGCCATTGCTCAGTTCTGCTTTATTCCACCTATCAGCAACTATTTGAAGTTGATCTCCTTCTCCTTTCTATCTTTATCTGGCTTACCAGAGCACACTCCTTTGACTGCTACCGTCCCTCACTGGCCACTCTCTTCCTCACCGTTCATTAATGACTCCTCCTCACCTCCCCAACCTCTAAACTTGAAAGGGCACAAGCACAATCCTCAGACCCCTTCTTTACCTAGATTCTTTTAGCAAGTGATTTTATTCAGTCCCATGGTTGTAAGCAACATTGATACCCTGATGGTTCCCAAATTTATATCTTCAGTTGGTATTTCTGCCCAGAACCCTGGGTTGAATTACAAACTGCCGAGTTAAAATTTCCCCTTGGAGGAATCAGATATGGCAAAATGCATGTGTCCAAAACCAACTCTTAATTTCCCTTACCTCTTTCAGACCCACTCCTCCTGCAGTTTTCCCCATCTCAGTACAAGGAATCTTCATTCTTCTCTTTGCTCAACCCAAAAATGCACCCTATTTTTTCTCTCCTACAATACAGCCAATCCAAAAGCAAATTCTGTCGGCTATTCCTTTGTGTTATATCTAGACTTTGCCGTATCTCAGATCTCCACTGCTACTCTCCTAGTTCATCTCTCTCACATAGCTATTGCAGTAGCCTTCTAACTGCTCACCTAGCTTCCAATCTTTGCCCTCATATGGTCTATATTCACCGGAGTAGCCTGGATGATCCTGTTGAAGGGCAGATCATCCCTTTCTCCTCTAGATTCTCCAGTGGTTTCCCATCTCATGCCGAGGTAAAAGCTGAAGTCCTCATGATGGCCCACAGAGCCCCATATTATCTGCCTTCAACTTGCTAACCCCCCACTGCCTCACTAACCTCAGCTCCTGCCACTGTCATTCTCTCACTCTGACTCAACCACTCTGGAACAGTCTTCCCCCAGATATCTGCATAACTCTTCCCTCACTCCTTTCAAAGCCTCTGCTCAAATGTTATTTTCCTGGAGAGGCCTTTTCTGACCACTCTGTAGAAAATACCAATACCTTTCACTCTTTGTCTTCCTTACTTTGTTTTCCTTCATAGCATTTATCATCACCTGACATATTCTATATTTTTTAAGTTTATATTATCTGTCTCTCTTTATTAAAAAGTAACATATCTTCAAATATAAAGATAGGAGTTTGTTATGCTTATTTCTATATTCCCAATTCCTAAAAGACTTTCTGGCATATAATAGGCCTATGATAAATAAATTCTGAATGAATGTTTGAATGAATGGATGGATGGATGGGAGCCTTTTAGCTTTGGAAGGAAGATAATGTTTCTTCCCATAAATGTGTGATTTTATTCTTAAATTATTAAATGTAAAATATCATCAAGTTAATATCTCTTAAGTAACTCTGAGCCTCTTCCATGAATACATTTATTTGATCAAGCTTCATGTCTGATTTTATAATATTTTTATCACAAAATATCACCAAGTCTTTTTGAATGGTTCATAGAAAATTCACAATTTAATGTACTTTTAAGCTATTTGAGGTCAAGAACAAAATTGAACCCTCAAGCTTTAACTGATTCCACAAGTACAAGAAGTAGAAGTTATGCATTTGACTTCCTCTCTACAATTGTTGGTTTCAACTGCAATTATTCTAATGACTCATATGATAACCAGATTTGGAGAAAGCACTGTAATCAGGGATTGATTGCACTAAGTGTTCACCTCCAGAGTCTAGGACACGATTTAAGACTCAAATGAAAGGAAAACAATGGTTTAAGTCTGGACTTCAGAGGGCATCAGTCCAGGCAACAAAAGTATCAGGCTGAGGGACACAGCAAGCCTTCTATTCAGGGCAAATCTAATTGGAGAAAGGTTTTACTTCCCCCAGGATTAAGATCCAACTGGTGGCCACATGAAAGAGCTCTCAAGGCTGTTGCACTTTTACCTACTTGGAGCTCAATACAGTGCTTTTCTCACACTAATGAGCGATGCATTTACTCACATGCTTTTAAAATTAGAAGCAGAGGGTATTTTTTAAAGTAATGAATGTTTTGCTTAAACCGTACCAACATGTGTTTTGAAAGGAACTGAAAATGTAACATATGGTTCATGTAGACTTAAATAGGTCTTGTTCAGACATTAATCTAAGGGGAAGAGAGGGGCTGTTTGCCTAGTTTGCCTCCTTAGGTACAGCAATCTTTACTCAATCATCAATCTGTTCTTACATCAGCACATTGGGTTTTAATGAGACCTGGAAAAGTACTTCAGTCCCTACTTTATAAATATAATTTTTAAAAGTTCACTAAAGAATATAAACTACATTATGAAAGGAATTGTGTTTTGTTTATTAACAGGTAATTTATATAAGCAACTACAATTAAATTACCACACTTACCTCACTGTCAGTGTAGGGCCTCAGTAAAGAAAGTTCTGAAGTTAACAAGTCTTCCTCATCAATGACCAGGTGAAAAGTTATCCAGGTGTTAACAGCAGCAGCAAAAAGTTTCTGTCTTGGTTTCTTCAAATGAGCATCTGGTTCTGTATCACCCACTATTCCTAGTCTGTGTCATACTATAATCCACATCATTTAAACTAACTCCATGCATTGGTGCAAATACAAATTTAGAAAGCCCAGCAACTTACTGTCTCACTGCCGACCTAAGGCCAAAGCCTGTGCTGCTATATGTAAACCACCTGCAGCTCCACCCCAGAAGGATATAACTCAGGCTATAACTCCTCTCTGAACCCCCAGCGCTCATGTCAGCCGTGTTTCTGATATCCAGCCTGTCTTTGGTATTTGGTGTGACAATGTTTTGTCTGCAGCGTCTCTTCTGCTTGCAGCCAGAGAATATTTTTGGTTTTTAGGGGCTTACATGATTATATTGGGCCCACCCAGATAATCCAGGATAATCTCCCCATGTTAAACTCTGTAACCTGCAACATTCCTTTTGCCATGTAATGTAACATATTCACAGGTTCTAGGAATAGGAGCATGGACATTTGCGGGTGGGTTGGGGGCAGCGGGGGCAGGTCGTCTGCCAGCACTTTTTTTTTACTCACACCTGAAGTTTATTTGCTCTGGAGAATTTAAATAGTTTACTGGTGCATAGTACAATTTGGACTGGTGAACACAGTAAAGGACCAAACAAAACTTAAACGATGAAAATGAAAACTTCCAAGACCTTAGGTTTAATTGGTGAAAGAAGAAAGCTGCCTGTTCACTAACAGAAATACATATGAGAATTCAACTTAAAGTGAAATATTGGCAAAGGACTTCAGCAGTTAATTAGAATTCCTAGGCAATTTGCTTCTCCCAAGATGTATTTTGGGAGGTGTGGGGAGGAGTTTATTGACTGTCAGCTTTAAATGCTTAGACATGCTAATTTACATTAATTCTAAAGCTAATTTTTCGTGCCAATCAGCCCTCTACTACAGCTTCTAATAGCAGATTTCTAGTTCGTGGGTTGCTGGTGACCTCTGAACGAAAGAGACCTACTAGCATTCTGTCATTTGATGACACAGATGTTACTTCAAAAAAAGAAAAAAATAGACGGTATTTTAAAAGTCATTAGTTGTTTGAAACTCCTAATGCATTTTTCCATTGTAACAATGTTAAAAATGACAGTCAGATGAAAAGAGAGCCTAAAGAATTCAATTTAGATTATAATTTATTTAAGACCAGTGCTGTATGAAAAGAACTATGGAATTAATCTGTGAGAAATTGTACTCTTGAGTTCCAGCTTGAAACATGACTGCTACAGTGCCCTTGACATTGTCTCAGTGTCCCTTGGTGGACCAAGTGCCAATCAGTTAGAGAGAAACCTCCAAGTCCCTGATGTAGCTCCCAAAGCCTGGGCAGAAAGTCCTTCAGAGCATTGCCTTAAGAGAAGTGGGAAAAACAAGATTTTCCATTTCCATTACAGCCATGTTTTTATCATCCCTAGTTAACAGGATAGGAAAATACAGTCTAATGAATTTTTCTTCTCTTTCTGTTCCCATCATAAACACAATCTTTAATTCAGTTGACCCTAGAACAACAAGAATTTGAACTGTGGTACCACTTATCCCTGGATTTTCTTCCTTCTCTGCCATCTGTGAGACAGCAACACGATCTCTCCTCTTCTTGCTCCTCCTCAGCCTACTCAACATGAGGACAACTGGATGCAGACCTTTCTGATGATCCACTTCCACTTAGGCAATAGTAAATATATGGTCTCTTCTTTATGATTTTAATAACATTTTCTCTTCTCTGGCTTGCTTTATTGTAAGAATGCAGTATGTAACATGTATAACATGAAATATGTACCCATCCATATGAACAAGTAAGGCTTCTGGCCAACAGTAGGCTATTAGTAGTTAAGTTTGGGAGGAGTCAAAAGTCATATGCAATTTTCAGCTACACAGGAGGTCTAGTGCCCCTAACCTCTACATCATTTATGGGCCAACTGTAATTTGCAATAAATTTTGACTGCTAGAAATAATAAGAAATATTAGTTTTTATGATATTTATTCTTTCTTATAGTGTAATTTACATGTCCACAATAGTAAATTTGAAAAATATCACAAAATAAAAGTAAAAATGACTTATAATCACTCAGATATAACACCATACTGATTCTTTGTTGAAAAATACAAATCACTGAATGAATACATTCACCGTATAAGACCCGAATGAGGCTTTACTTGGTTGTACAAGCTCCCTGGCAACATGCAATAGTCTCCCCAGCACTGGCTCCTATTGTACAGGCTGCCGAACAAAAGCATGGATTAAGTTAAGAAAAAAGAGGCACAGTAGCAATCAGTTACAACAAAGCTTGAACTCTGCTTAGAACGGCCTTTGAACAGTGTCGTTTAACACCCATAAACATGCACTCACACTGCCCTCTAGTGCCGGTCCACTAGACATCATGCAGCCACACACAATAATTGCAAAGCTGAAAAAAGATCAAAGGAAAACAATGGCTAAGGGGTAGACGGAAATGAGAAAAAGAATTATATTGTGTGCACCCAGTGAATTCCTATTCTGGGAAAAATAAATTATCATAAAGCACTTATTTTCCTCTCCTCCTCCCACTTCTGTCTTTCTTTACCAACACAATAGACAAACTCTCTTTTTTTCATTTTAACCTTGCCTGTAAGTGGAAGGAAAATAGTCCCTATAATAAAGCGATAAATAAAGAGTCCCATGTTATTATAAATATTTGGATATATGTGAAAAATTAATTAGTCTTGTTTTAAGTAGGAATCTAATTAACAGAAAAAGCACGACGCACTAAAGAAAAATGAAGATGACATTATAAATCACAAGAAAATAACAGATTATTTTTAAAATGGTGTTAGATGGTAAACTGTATGTAAAAGAAAGAAAATTGTATTTAGCTCCTTATGGCATGCCAAAAACCCAAATAGATTTCATGGATGAAGTTAAAAGTAAAATCAATTTTTAAAAATTATATAAAAATCTTCATCAAATATATGGAGACATTTCTAAGGTGGAAGAAATGACAAAGGCAAATATGAATAATTAGACTTCATCAAAATAAAAACTCTCCTATTTTAAAAAATAGAAGAAGACATGAAAAACGGAGAAAATACTTAATATATATATTAAAAGCTTACACAGAGATTTTTTTTAAAAAAGAATATGACTCCAAAACCAAAAATTCACAAGTTAGAAAAAAGTGACTTATAAGTAAATGTGCAAGCATTCATCTTGAGAGTAACCTAGAAAATGCTCACTAAAATTACATGCCAATTTTTGGCTACCAAAATAGCAGAAATGTTTTTAAAATACTACCCAATGCTAGAGAAGGGGAGATAAAATAAACATTCTCAAATGTTAATGATACTTCTTTAGAAAACCAATGAGTAGGTATCAGGATTCTTAGAAATATCTATATCCAAAAATATTCAATGCTACTATTTGGGGGAATTTATTACAGGGAAATAAATAATCTCAAATGTATAAAATCTTCATGGTCAAAGATGACATTAAAACATCTTTGTTGGAGTATCTGTATTAATACAAAATATGTTTGTTCATTACCTATAATAATATAAAATGTGTATTCATCTTAAATGCCCAATGATAGAACAATACAGAATAGCCTTAAGGAGAATTGTCCCACTAGTGGATTCTGCCATGCTGCAGAACAGATTACTGATTCATTGATCTTCCGAGCCCTCAAAAATGATAACAAGATTTGTCTGTGCAGCCAGTGCCACAAGACAGTTGCCTCTAGCCTCAAACAGCTTCATCTGTTTGCCTCTTAATGCCTTAAAAGTAGTTACTTTCCAATGTGCTATAATGTGAGGAACATGTAAAGAACTTCTTATAGCATATATTAAATGTGTTTATTAACAACCATTAAAATATTTACAAAAAGAATACAGGGCTGTCCATATCAACTAATCTCAAATATATATTTTCAAACTGATAAATAAAACAAAGACTTAAAGAATATGCACCAAAATTTTAATAATAACTTCCTTTGAATAGTAGACTTAAAACTCATATTTTTCTTTTCCTTCACCTTTTGGTATTTTCTAAGTCCCCAATAATAACTACTTATTTTTGACCATTTAAAAGTAATTTTTAAGGTCTTAAATGGTAAAATTCGTAACAAATGAGTATAAAAATACTTCAGGGGAATTGACCATTTCCCAGTAGTTATCTATTGAATTATTTACAAAATAAAATCTACCATGAGATAGTATAATAGTGATTGTCCAGTAAGAGAGCTATGTTTTAAATATATTATTGCACTGTTCGGGCTTTCACTGGGAAAGAATTTTAAAAATAATAAACAAATGCATTATTGCATGGTTATCTTTCTGTTTTTCTAATCTTTTAAATTACTTCAAGCAGTCCACAGAGAGCCTGTCTTCAAAAACTGAGTAATTATTTATCTAGATATGATGTAGAGAGGATTCTTGTTTAAGTGCAATTGAATTAGAAGATTTATGAGATGTCCTCCAAAGCTTGTCTTCTGTGCCCCACTTCACAAAAATTATGGCATATTATTGGTGTTAGAGCCCCATATTTATTTCAAGAAATACTTCAACACTGAAAGAAATTAAATTCCATAAATTCTGTAATATTACCAATGTTGACATATTTTGCTAATTTAAACTTAAAATTTTGAAGTTCCAGTTTATACTCTCTACCTGTCTGCTTGCCAAAGAGATTTTTCTAAAGCCAAGGAACAGCTGAATCTAAAAGATGGGAGGGATAGTTACTATGTGCATAAATTTTAATTGAAAGAATTATGAGCTCATAGCTGTTAAAATAGAAAATAACAGGTTCATTTGCATACCTTCCCAAAGTATAAAAAATTAAAGCATTTGTTCTAGGCTGCGGAGGCAGGGATTTTAGTGGAGCTAGGATTCAATATTTGCAATATTGTTTATATTTTAAACTATATGGACCATGATAATTATCCAGAAACTATTAAGATTGGGAATGATTCAAAAACATTCCTTCCCAGCCGGGCACAGTGGCTCACGCCTGTAATCCCAGCACTTTGGGAGGCTGAGGCTGGCAGATCATTTGAGGCCAGGAGCTCAAGACCAGCCTGGCCAACATGGCAAAACTCTGTCTCTAAATACAAAAATACAAAAATTAGCCAGCGTGGTGGCACAGTCTATAATCCCAGCTACTCACAAGGTTGAGGCATGAGAATTGCTTGAACCCGGGAGATGGAGGTTGCAGTGAGCCGAGATCATGCCACTGCACTCCAGCCTGGGTGTCAGAGCAAGACTCTGTCTCAAAAAATAAAAAATAAAACTTCTTCACCTTGGTCTACCAGTCCATCTACTTTCAGTTCAGTCCACTGGTTTTGATTCACACCATAACCTGACGATATTGGAGATGTGAGGAGAAAAGGAAGTAGAATTTAAACAATTTAATCTCGTTAATTGTAACCAAGAGACATTTTGTAAATAGAAAATAACATTAGAAAAAGTAGTCTTACTCTAAGAAAAATTTCCAGAATTTTTACCATGACTATCACTTAAATGCAACTAGTTGAAAGTATTCATTCATGGAAATGTCCTAGTGGTAAATTTCCATACGTTTAATTGAATGGTTCTTAGTATTAAAAAAATTGAAAATGGCAGGCAATATATTTTAATAATTCCTAAGATGTCACACAAATGCCTCAGATAGAGCTGAGTTTATCACTGACAAATAGAAAGGAAAAAAAGCATAAAGAGCTTCAGATGTATGCATTAGTTAACTGAATTAAACCAATTTAAAAAAAACATTGCTTCTCATACAATGTTGCTCTTAATCTGCAGTAATTAGTTTTGGAAATGCTTAGGTCTCGTTTCTTTGAAGTTGCAATAAAAAGTTATAACAATTTAGCATCTTTGTATTACTCAAACAAGAAATTGAACATGTTAAACAAAATTTTGTGGGGGTCTTGCCATTTTATTTGGCTTGATTTGGATTGAAAGCAAAAGAAGAAAGAAAGAGAGATTGGATGATAGAGGGAGGAAAGGAAGGGAGGATGGGAAGGAGAAAAAAAGTAGGAAAGGAAATAAACTGTATTTTAGATTCCAATTGTCTCTCCTCTTAGGGAGGCTAAGAAGAAAGATTAAAGAATTCACCACCTGCAGATATTGGAAATTATGAGCATTTTTCAAATACCATACTTGGACAACCCTATAAATTTGGCAAAAGGGATCTAATACAATCAGATTGAAATTCTGGGCAATTAAATTTCTATCCAAACTAACTGCAGTTTTCAGACAATGAAAAACTTGAAAGCTTTCAGCAGTTTTTCCTTTTATTGATTGTTGTGGATGTCAGGACATTGTCATGAACCACCATCATATATCATATTCAGCAAGAATCCATAAGTACCAATAAATGGCTCATTGGAAATGGTACTTATATGCAATATATTAACATTCAGTAGTCTTTTTTATGTATTATTTTTGAGAGAGAGAGACAGATGGGGTCTCACTATGTTGCCCAGGCTGGTCTCAAACTCCTCACCTCAAGCAATCCTCCATCTTGGCCTCCCAAAGTGCTGGGATTATAGGAATGAGCCACTGCACCTGGCCAACATTCAATAGTCTTGATTTTATTGTTTACTTATAAAGTTATGGCCAATTAATTTATATCTAAATTATTATTATATAAGATTATAATGAAGAAGAGTTAAAAATTCTGTTATAATTTCCAATATGACACTAAGGTGCAACAGATGGAGTTTAAAAAAGGGGTTCAAATTGTAAGGATCTTGAAAACATGCTTTCAGAAGAAAAATCCAGTTGTGGGCGTAACTTTACTATCCTTCAAAATATAAAGGTGTACTCTAATGATCACTTCCTCCATCATTGATTAATAATTGTAAGAAAACTCTCATTTGCTGAAAAAAATAAACCCAGCACCTAGGACAATAAATACATACCATATACTCCCAAATAGATGACGGGTCTCCGACTTGTTTTCTGCCTCTTAGGAGCTTATAAAGCTAAAGTTCACAATTAATGGGGAAGGGAGGAGACAGATGATCTTCATTGCCTTAGTTATAAACTTGCTTTGGTCTATGGTGATCCTGTGTTAAATTGTGAAATAGAATCTATCATGCTGGCTCTTAGAGGCCCTTGACTTCATCCTTTTAGTGCTTTTCTTACTTATTTTCAAACCTTCACCTCTCTCACGTTGAAAATCCCAACTCTTAACACCCTCTCTAACAAACTACCCCTTCCCACCAACCACCACCACCTACCTCACTCTATCATCTAAATCTGTTTCAAGATACAAAAATCTTGGTAATTTATATCTTAACACAAATTACCTACTACCTCTTCAAAAAGCAAGTTAAGCCTGATTCTAATTGTGGGATGAAAAGCTTTTTCCCTATGAAGAAATTTTAAATATCATCAAGCATGTGGAGAGGTGCTAGCGAGGGAATGGAGCAAGGAATCAAATTCCATAGGCGATTGTTTTCTCTATCTTTGTATAAAAATGTCCTTGCCCCAATTAAAGCCTCCACCAAGTACAAGGTTGAAATGTGCTTTTTATTCCACTCATTAAAGAGAATTAGCTAACCTAGACTATAAAGTCATAATAACATTCATACAAAGGTAGATTCAAATCTGTTATTTGTCCCTGATGAAAATGATACTTATATTTGGTTTTCAAAGACTATCTAAATAACAAATGACATTTAGAAGAATCTTCATTTACTAATAACTTGAATCTGCTGTATACAAATGAACAAATGAATTCATTTTCAAAGAGGGATATGATATAGAATCTGGAAACTATCGGTCACACAGCTTTATCAGATCTTTGGCAGAACACCAGAATCAATGGCTAAATGTGATTTTTGAGCACTTAGAAAATAAAAGGTTCCCAAATGTCCACCAATGATAGACTGGATTAAGAAAACGTGGCACGTATACACCATGGAATACTATACAGCCATAAAAAAGGATGAGTTCACGTCCTTTGTAGAGACATGGATGAAGCTGGAAACCATCATTCTGAGCAAACTATCGCAAGGACAGAAAACCAAACACCACATGTTCTCACTCATAGGTGGGAACTGAACAATGAGAACACTAGGACACAGGGTGGGGAACATCACATACCAGGGCCTGTCATGGGGTGGGGGGAGGAGGGAGGGATAGCATTAGGAGATATACTTAATGTAAATGATGAGTTAACAGGTGCAGCACACCAACATGGCACATGTATACATATGTAACAAACCTGCACGTTGTGCACATGTACCCTAGAACTTAAAGTATAATAAACAATTAAATAAAATAAGAAAAGGGTTCCTAGATAGCAAGTGAGTTTTGCTAAAATTTTTTTAAAGTCCAATTAATATTATTTTAGTAAATAATTTGAAAATGTCTTGTAATATCTTTCATACAGTTGGAAAAGTGTACCAGTGAATTCATAGCAAGCTGAACAATTGTGCCCACTGAATTTTAATAAATGAACCTGATCTCTAATGACATAACTACAGACTCTGTATTAAGAGTGTTAACTTGATCTCTAATGATATAACTACAGAATCTATATTTTGTATTGTGAAGATCAACAATTCTTTGCCAGGACCAAGATAAACTCATAGATTCCAAATCCATAAATAAAATAAGATAGGATAGTTAATATATCTGTGATGGAATAAAGAGTAGTAAATTGAAATAACAGAGTAAAACAAATGCAAGCAGATTTTGGAGGCAGTGCAAGGTAGCCAAATAGAAGCCTCAAGCAATCTTACTTCCTACAAGAACACCAATTGAACAACTATCCACCCAAAATATGTTATCATCCATAAGTAAGGACTTCATCTTGCCAGTTTGTTATTTGCTTTCTGGTTGATTTGTGGTCTTCTCTTCCTTCTTTCTTTCCTTCCTTCCTGTCTCTTTTTAGTGAAGGTGATCTTCTCTGGTGGTATGTTTTAATTCATTTTTTTGCATCTGTTGCATGTTTTTTGATTTGAGCTTATCATGAGGGTTGCAAATAATATACTATAACTCATTATTTTATATTCAATGATAACATTGAAAGTAAATGGACCAAACTCACCAACCAAAAGACATACTGTGGCTGAACGGATTAAAAGATACACACTTCACCTATAAAGACACACAGAGACTGAAAATAAAGAGATGGAAAAAGATATGCCATGCCATTAAAAACCAAAACGAAGCAGGAGTAGCTATGTGTATATAAGGCAAAATAAATTTCAAAACAAAATTCTAAAAAGAGTCAAAGAAGGTCTTTATATAATGATAAAGGTGTCAATTCAGCAAGAGGATATAACAATCATAGGAAAAATGGTGGATAGAAGACAGGACTAACACGCAGCTCCCACTGGATGGATAGAACAGTGTCTGGAGACACACATTATGAACTTTTGCTCCAAGAACCACTGTAGGAACATACTGGAAAAACTGGAAGAATTCACAGACCCTTTGAAAGAAGTGGCTTGTCACTGCAGATGCCAAAAACCAGCCAAAAAACCCTGAAGACAAAAGACGTAAGCTCTTGGGATCTCTATGGCCCCACTCATCACCTGAGAAACCTGAGTACTCATCCTGGCCAACTCAGGGCAAGATTATATCCCCCTTCTACTACTGCAGCTGTACTCTCTTGGAAGCACCACCTCCTGACAGGAGGCCAATCAACTCAAGCCATTACAGCAACTCATAACAGAACACCCTGCTCTAAAGAAGGAGAAAACAATAGATAACTCCACTGCCTGCAACGCCCTGGCTAATCAGAGGTCCTGAGTCCATCCACATGACAACTTGACTGCTAGCATAACCAGCATTCAAGAAAACCAGCACACCAAAAAATAACTACAACCAAGGACTCCCATAGAGTCCCTTTTACTCTCCTGCCACCTCCACCAGAGCAGGTGCTGGAATCCATGGCTGGGAGACCTGAAGATAGATCAAATCACAGGACACTTTTCAGACATTCCTCAGCACCAGCCTGGCACCCAGTAGCCCTACTGGGTGGCTGGATTCAGAAGAACAATAACAATCACTGTGGTCTAGCTCTCAGGAAGCCCCATCTCGAAGAGAAGGGGGAGAGCACCAAATCAAGGGATTACTCCATGGGACAACAGAATCTGAACAGCAGCCCTTGAGTCCAAAATCTTTCCCAAATGAGAAGGAACTAAAAAAGTAATTCTAGTAATACTATTAAATGAGGTTCTATAACACCCCCAAAAGATCACACTAGCTCTCCAGCAATGGATCCAAACCAAGATGAAATCTCTGAACTGACAGATGAAGAATTCAGAAGGTTGATTATTAAGCTACTCAAGGAGCCACCAGAGAAAGGTGAAAACCAACTTAAAGAAATTAAAAACAAAAAGGAGGATATGAATGAAAAATTCCATAGAAAGATAGATATCGTAAAGAAAAGACAATTACAACGTCTGGAAATGAAAGACACACTTAGAGAAATGCAAAATACACTGGAAGGTTTCAACAATAGAATTGAACAAGTAGAAGAATGAACTTCAGAGCTCAAAGACAAGGCCTTCGAATTAACCTGATCTGACAAAGAAAAAAATAATTTTTTAAAAAATGAACAAAGGCTCTCCCTCTCCCTCTCCCTCTCCCCCTCCCCATGGTCTCCCTCTCCCTCTCTTTCCACGGTCTCCCTCTGATGCCGAGCCGAAGCTGGACTGTACTGCTGCCATCTCGGCTCACTGCAACCTCCCTGCCTGATTCTCCTGCCGAGTGCCTGCCGAGTGCCTGCGATTGCAGGCGCCACCGCCACGCCTGACTGGTTTTCGTATTTTTTTGGTGGAGACGGGGTTTCGCTGTGTTGGCCAGGCTGGTCTCCAGCTCCTTACCGCGAGTGATCCGCCAGCCTTGGCCTCCCGAGGTGCCGGGATTGCAGACGGAGTCTCGTTCACTCAGTGCTCAATGATGCCCAGGCTGGAGTGCAGTGGCGTGATCTCGGCTCGCTACAACCACCTCCCAGCCGCCTGCCTTAGCCTCCCAAAGTGCTGAGATTGCAGCCTCTGCCCGGGCGCCACCCCGTCTGGGAAGTGAGGAGAGTCTCTGCCTGGCCGCCCATCGTCTGGGACGTGAGGAGCCCCTCTGCCTGGCTGCTCAGTCTGGAAAGTGAGGAGCGTCTCTGCCCAGCCACCATCCCATCTAGGAAGTGAGGAGCGCCTCTTCCCCGCCGCCATCCCATCTAGGAAGTGAGGAGCGTCTCTGCCCGGCCACCCATCGTCTGAGATGTGGGGAGCGCCTCTACCCCGCCGCCCCATCTGGGATGTGAGGAGTGCCTCTGCCCGGCCGCGACCCTGTCTGGGAGGTGAGGAGCGTCTCTGCCCGGCCGCCCCGTCTGAGAAGTGAGGAGACCCTATGCCTGGCAACCACCCCGTCTGAGAAGTGAGGAGTCCCGCCACCCGGCAGCCGCCCCATCTGAGAAGTGAGGAGACCCTCCGTCCGGCAGCCACCCCGTCTGGGAAGTGAGGAGCGTCTCCGCCCGGCAGCCACCCCGTCCGGGAGGGAGGTGGGGGTCAGCCCCCGCCAGGCCAGCCACCCCGTCCGGGAGGGAAGTGGGGGGGTCAGCCCCCCGCCCGGCCAGCCGCCCCATCCGGGAGGTGAGGGGCGCCTCAGCCCGGCCGCCCCTACTGGGAAGTGAGGAGCCCCTTTGCCCGGCCAGCCGCCCCATCCAGGAGGGAGGTGGGGGGGTCAGCCCCCCGCCCGGCCAGCCGCCCCGTCCGGGAGGGAGGTGGGGGGGGTCAGCCCCCCGCCCGGCCAGCCGCCCCGTCCAGGAGGGAGGTGGGGGGGTCAGCCCCCCGCCCGGCCAGCCGCCCCGTCTGGGAGGGAGGTGGGGGGGTCAGCCCCCCCGCCCGGCCAGCCGCCCCGTCCGGGAGGTGAGGGGCGCCTCTGCCCGGCCACCCCTACTGGGAAGTGAGGAGCCCCTCTGCCCGGCCACCACCCCATCTGGTAGGTGTACCCAATGGCTCATTGAGAACGGGCCATGATGACAATGGCGGTTTTGTGGAATGGAGAGGGGGGGAAGGGTGGGGAAAAGATTGAGAGGTCGGATGGTTGCCGTGTCTGTGTAGAGAGAAGTAGACATGGGAGACTTTTCATTTTGTTCTGTACTAAGAAAAATTCTTCTGCCTTGGGATCCTGTTGATCTGTGACCTTACCCCCAACCCTGTGCTCTCTGAAACATGTGCTGTGTCCACTCAGGGTTAAATGGATTAAGGGCGGCGCAAGATGTGCTTTGTTAAACAGATGCTTGAAGGCAGCATGCTCGTTAAGAGTCATCACCACTCCCTAATCTTAAGTACCCAGGGACACAAACACTGCGGAAGGCCGCAGGGTCCTCTGCCTAGGAAAACCAGAGACCTTTGTTCACTTGTTTATCTGCTGACCTTCCCTCCACTATTGTCCTATGACCCTGCCAAATCCCCCTCTGCGAGAAACACCCAAGAATAATCAATAAAAATAAATAAATAAATAAATAAATAAATAATAATAATAATAAAAAAAAATGAACAAAGTTTCCAATAAATTTGAGATTACATTAAACAACAAAACATAATTGTTGTTCCTGAGTAAGAAGAGAAATCCAAAAGTTTGGAAAACTTATATGAGGGACTAATCAAGGCAAACTTCCTTAGTCTTGCTAAATATCTAGACATCCAAATATAAGAAGCTAGAAGAACACCCAGGAAATTCATAGCAAAAAGATCAACACTTGGGCACACAGTCATCAGGTTGTCTAAACTCAAGATGAAGAAAAGCATCTTAAGAGCTATGAGGCAAAAGCATTAGGTAATCTTAAAGGAAAACCTATCAGATTAACAGCAGATTTCTCAGTAGGAACCCTGCAAGCCAGAAGGGATTGGGGTCCTGTCTTTAACCTCCTTAAACAAAACAATAATCAGCCAAGAATTTTGCATCCAGTGAAACTATGCTTCATAAATGAAGGAAAGATATAGTCTTTCCCAGACAAACAAATCCTGAGAGAATTCACCACTACCATGCCAGCACTATAAGAACTGCTAAAAGGAGCTCTAAATCTTGAAACAAAACCTCAAAATACACCAAAATGGAACATCCTTAAAGCAAAAACTTCACAGAATCTATAACAATAACACCATGAAAAAAAAAGGTATTTAGGCAACAACTAGCATGATGAATAAAACAGTACCTACCTCACATGTCAATACTAATATTGAATGTAAATGGCCTAAATGCTCCGCTTAAAAGATACAGAATGGCAGAAAGGATAAAAATCCACCAACCAAGTGTCTGCTGTCTTCAAGAGACTCATCTAACACAAAGGACTCACATAAACTTAAGGTAAAGGGGTGAAAAAAGACATTCCATGCAAATGGGCAACAAAGGCAACCAGGAGTAGCTGTTATTCTAACAGACAAAAAAGACTTTAAAGCAACACCAGTTAAGAAAGACAAAGAGGGACATTATATAATAATAAAAGGATTAGTCCAATAGGAAAATATCACAATCCTAAATATATATGTACTTAACACTGGAGCTCCCAAACTTATAAAACAATCATTAATAGACCTAAGAAATGAGACAGATGGCAACACGATATTAGTGGGGGTCTTCAATACTTTACTGACAGCCCTAGACAGGTCATCAAGACTAAAGTCAACAAAGAAACAAGGGACTTAAACTATAAACTACAACAAATGGACTTTATAGATATTTACAGAACATTCTACCCAATAACTGCAGACTATACATTCTTTTCATAAGTACGTGGACCATTCCCCAAGATTGACCACATGACAGAATACGAAACAAGTCTCAATAAATTTAAGAAAATCAAAATTATAGCAAGTGCTGTCTCAGACCACAGTGGAATAAAATTGAAAATCAATTCCAAAAGGAACCCTCGAAGCCATGCAAATACATGAAAATTAAATCACCTGTTCCTGAATGATCATTTGGTCAACAATGAAATCAAGATGAACATTAAAAAATTATTTGAACTGAACAATAATAGTGACATAACCCATCAAAACCTCTTGGATACAGCAAAAGCAGTGCCAAGAAAAAAATTCACAGCATTAAATACCTGCAACAAGAAATCTGAAAGAGCACAAAGAGACAATCTAAAGTTACACCTCAAGGAGCTAGAGAAACAAAAACAAACCAACCCACAACCCAGCAGAAGAAAAGAAATAACCAAAGTCAGAGCAGAACTAAATGAAATTGAAACAAAAAATACAAAAGAGAAATGAAACAAAAACACTGGTTATTTGAAAAGTAAACAAAATAAATACAGCATTAGCAAGATTAACCAAGAAAAGAAGAGATAAGATCCAAAGAAGCTCAACTAGAAACAAAATGGGAGATACTACAACTGATAGCAATCGGCATAGAAGGGCCATAACTTAAGGTAATAAAAGCCATCTATGACAAACCCATAGCCAACATAGTACTGAATGGGGAAAAGTTGAAAGCATTTCCCCTGAGAACTGGAATAAGACAAGAATGCCCACTCTCACCACTTCTATTCAACATAGTACTGGAAGTCTCAAGCAAAGCAATCAGAAGAGAGAAAGAAATCAATGGCATCCAAATTGATAAAGAAGAAGTCAATGTTGCTGTTTACCAATGATATGATTGTATACCTAGAAAACCCTAAACACTCATCCAAAAAGCTCCTAGATCTTATAAATGAATTCAGTAAAGTTTCAGATTACAAAATAAATGTACACAAATCAGCAGCACTGCTATACACCAACACCAACCAAGCTGAGAATGAAATCAAGAACTCAACTCCTTTTACAACAGGTGCAAAAACAAAACAAAACAAAACTTAAAATTATACCAAACCAGAATTGGAAAAAACTACTTTAAAGTTCATATGGAACCAAAAAAGAGCCTGCATTGCCAAGTCAATCCTAAGCCAAAAGAATAAAGCTGAAGGCATCACACTACCTGACTTCAAACTATACTACAAGGCTACAGTAACCAAAACAGCATGGTACTGGTACCAAAACAGAGATATAGATCAATGGAACAGAACACAGCCCTCAGAAATAACACCACACATCTACAACTACCTGATCTTTGACAAACCTGACAAAAACAAGAAATGGGGAAAGGATTCCCTATTTAATAAATGGTGCTGGGAAAACTGGCTAGCCATATGTAGAAAGCTGAAACTGGATCCCTTCCTTACACCTTATACAAAAATCAATTCAAGATGGATTAAAGTCTTACATGTTAGACCTAAAACCATAAAAACCCTAGAAGAAAACCTAGGCAATATCATTCAGGACATAGGCATGGGCAAGGACTTCATGTCTAAGACACCAAAAGCAATGGCAACAAAAGCCAAAATTGACAAATGGGATCTAAGTAAACTAAAGAGCTTCTGCACAGCAAAAGAAACTACCATCAGAGTGAATAGGCAACCTACAGAATGGGAGAAAATTTTTGCAATCTACTCATCTGACAAAGGGCTAATATCTAGAATCTACAAAGAACTTAAACAAATTTACAAGAAAAAAACAACCCCATCAAAAAGTGGGCGAAGGATATGAACAGACACTTCTCAAAAGAAGACATTTATGCAGCCAAAAACACATGAAAAAATGCTCATCATCACTGGCCATCAGAGAAATGCCAATCAAAACCACAATGAGATACCATCTCACACCAGTTAGAATGGTGATCATTAAAAAGTCAGGAAACAACAGGTGCTGGAGAGGATGTGGAGAAATAGGAACACTTTCACACTGTTGGTGGGACTGTAAACTAGTTCAACCATTGTGGAAGTCAGTGTGGCAATCCCTCAGGGATCTAGAACTAGAAATACCATTTGACCCAGCCATCCCATTACTGGGTATATGCCCAAAGGAATACAAATCATGCTGTTATAAAGACACATGCACATGTATGTTTACTGTGACACTACTCACAATAGCAAAGACTTGGAACCAACCCAAATGTCCAACAATGATAGACTGGATTAAGAAAATGTGGCACATATACACCATGGAATACTATGCAGCCATAAAAAAGGATGAGTTCATGTCCTTTGTAGAGACATGGATGAAGCTGGAAACCATCATGCTCAGCAAACTATCACAAGGACAGAAAACCAAACACCGCATGTTCTCACACAACAGGTGGGAATTGAACAATGAGAACACTTGGACACAGGAAGGGGAACATCACACACCAGGGCCTGTTGTGGGGTTGGGGGAGGTGGGAGGGATAGCATTAGGAGATATACCTAATATAAGTGACAAGTTAATGAGTGCAGCACATCAACATGGCACATGTATACATATGTAACAAACCTGCACGTTGTGCACATGTACCCTAGAACTTACAGTATAATAAAAAATAAAAATAAAAATAAAAATAAAAAAATAAAGAAATAATAAAAATAAAAAGTAAAAAAAATATATATATATAATTGGTTTGTGTGTGTGTATATATATGCATACAACACTGGAGCACCCAGATATATATAGCAAATACTATTAGAGTTAAAGAGAAAGATAGGCCCCAATACAGTAATACCTGGAGACCTCAACACCCCACTTTCAGCATTGGATATATCTTCCAGACAGAAAATCAACAAAGAAACATTGGACTTAATCTGCACTACAGACCAAACAGAACTAATGAAATTTTATGGAACAGTTCATCCAATGGCTACAGAGCACAAATTCTTCTTCTCAGCAAATGGATCATTCTCAAGGGTAGACCATATGTTAGGCCACAAAACAAGTCCTTAAAAATTGAAAAAAAAAACATGAAATTATATCAATAATCTTCTCTGACCACAATGGAATAAAACTGACAATCAATAACAAGAGGAAACTATACACACATGGAAATTAAACAAAATGCTCCTGAATGACCCATGGGTTAATAAAAAAAAAAAAGAATTTAAAAATTGCTTGAAGCAAATAATAGAAACACAACATACCAAGACCCGTGGCCTATGGTGAAATCAGTACTAAGAGGAAAGTGTATAGCAATAAGCACCTACCTAAAAAAGTAGAAAAACTTCAAGTAAACAACTATATTAAAGAACAAGAGAAGCAAGAGAAAGCAAAACCCAAAATCAGTACAGTAAAACAAATAGTCAGAGCAGAAATAAATGAAATAGAATTTTTTAAAAAAAGACCAATGAAATGAAAAGTTGGTTTTTTAAAAAAAGATAAACAAAATCAACAAACCTTTAGCAAGACTAAGAAAAAAATATATCCAAATAAATAAAATGAGAGATGAAAAAGGAGACATTACAACTGATACTGCAGAAATTCAAAGGATCATTAAAGGCTGCTGTGAGGAACTATATGCCAAGAAGTTGGAAAATCTAGAAGAAATTGATAAATTCCAGAAAGAAACTGTCTCAAAAAAATAAAATAAAATCAAGCAGGCCTGTGGTATTCTGTTTCCTACTTGGCGTCTTGAAAGGAACTCTGACAAAGAGAGTGCTTCCAGGAAAGGCAACCACAATGATAATGAAGGGGTCTCAATATCATGCTGCAGAAAAATATCCTTAGTAACATGGCATCCTGAAAAAAATTAAGGCTTATGATGGGAAAGAAATGATGATTGTCTTCAGGTAATATTTGTCCATTTTATGGAAGAGGGGTTAGATTTGTGCCGTGTAGTTTTAGAGAACAAATTAAGGATCAATGTACAAAATTTATTGAGTATCATCTTAGCTCAGGTTCACAATAAAAATCTTCCCAGTTGAGAGAAAAAGAAAACAAGTACCATGCAAAACATCTCTCTCGTGGTCCTCTCTTAGCTCCCATAAGATCCAAACTCCTTCATACCCTCACGCTTCTGTTCATTTTCATCCCATAGTACTCTCCATTTCTTAAACCCATACACCTTTTGCAATAATCTGAAGCCCTGTTTGTTTTTTGAAGGTTGCCTGATAATTCCTTTCTTATTACTCACTGTGAATGTCACACAATTCTGTAATTGTGTTTTTCATTTCGATATTGAATTATTTAAGAATAAGTAACGTGATTTACCTTCTTAACATATTTGGATATCTATTTCATAATAGGCACTCTATAAACACTTGATTTGGAACTTACCATACTACAAGGTTGTCCTATACTGTACTATGCTTCTTGGGGGCAAGGTCTTTATATCTCCAGCTCCCAGTCAAAGGCCTAATACATCAAGAAGTGTTTATTGAGTGGATGAATAATGGTGGATTTTAAAAAAATAATTGATTGAGGGGAAATTCAGATAACACACAATTAACCAAAGTGCACTTATACATTCACAGTAGCATTTAGTACATTCAGTGTTGCGCAACTGCCACCTCTGTCTAGTTCCAAAAAGTTTCCATCACTCTAAAGTAAGATCTTTTACACATTGAACAGTTTCTCCCTATTCTCTGCTCCTCCCAGTTCCTGGTATTCAACATTTGCATTTTGTCTCTATGAACTTGTCTGTTCTCGTTATCTCATATGAATGAAATCATACCATATATGGCCTTTTGTGTCTAGCTTCTTTCACTTAGCATAATGTTTTCTAGGTTCATCCATATTATAGCATGTGCCAGTACTTCATTCTTTTATATGGCTGAATAATGCTTCATTGTGTATATATTGTATGTTTATCTAATGATGGACACTTGGCTGGTGGCCACCTTTTGGCTACTGTGAATAATGCTATTATGAATATTCTATGGTTAATTTTTTGAGAAACTGCCAAACTGTTTTTTACAGTTTAATGACTGAACCATCTCATATTCCCAACAAGGTATGAGGGTTCCAGTTACTCCACAAACTCACCAACACTTATTGTCCATTTTTCTTATTATAGCCATCCTAGTGAGTGTGAAGTGGTACTCCTGGATGGTAGGTTTTAAAACACTGTGGTGTTTTGAACAATCTTTAACATCTTCAGAGATGACTTTACTATGAAGCTAATAAAGCTTAAGCTTCAGATTCTTTCAGTGAAAATTCTATGTTGAAATTAGAATTTATAATTTTCTATTGTTTTTCTTTAAAAGAGACATAAAAATTATATAAGTTCCTGGCACTACAAAACTTGAATTTTCCCTGCATACAAGCAAATACAAATATCTAGTGTTCATGAGTATAAAAGCAATATACCTTTCTCCAGCTGTGGTACTGTGATCTCTTACTTCCAATGTCACCATAGTCACACTTAAAGCCTTTATGACAAGTACCTTATCACCTGAGTCAAAAGTTTAAGAACCTAGTACCACAGATAGCACGGTAGGAACCATAGTAATCCCAGCCTCTTATCAATGCAGAACACCCTGTATTTAGGTTACTGCTAGAAAGCCAAGTACAGATTTCAGTTTCCAAAAGGATTCTTACACAGTTTTGCTTTCAATTATCTCTTCTTCTCAAATATCAAATTAAAAAGAACAGATCCATAGGGTGTCTGCAATACTTTAAGGATGTAATATCTTTTACACTGCTTTTGCAGTTTGCTTGTAGCCAATAGGATGATTCTGTCACATTCACTAAGAGAAATCAAGTTGCAAATGCAAATTTATATGACTGTTGATGTCCTCAATTTATATAAAAATCTGTGATGCACATCCCAGATCTGTACTGACTACAAATAGATCGAACGGTGAGCTCCATTAACCATGCCCATATGATTTATGAGTAAGTTTTACAGCTATGTGCTGTTATGCCCTTCAGAAACTAGGCTATTTGAATTGAATATTCAGTGTAATACAGTATGTGACAGACCATACAAATTATTTGCACAAGACATGGTAAGTAATTTGGACCGTAAAATTTGATGACAATGTTCATCAGGAGAGTAGCCTACCTCTCTGAATAGCCTTAGAAATTTATGTTATAGTACCATATGGTGTTCTTCTTTTCTACATTTTCCTCTTGAAGATTCAAAGTGTTTTCCCATGGTTTATTATTAATACATTATTCTCCTCTGTAAAATATTAGTTTACTTTACATATATGCAAACTAAGTTTGTGTCATTCAGTTTAAATATTAAAAAATTCACCTTCTGGCACATACTGCTAACATAAAACCCTAATAACTATATTCTTATTTAGTTGTGTTCCATGTATTCTAAATGTTCTCCATTTTTTAAGGAGAAGATATTCATTATAAGACTAGTTCTGCCTCTTAAAATCAAAATACTGACTATTTAAAGCTCAATAAACATTGAGTTCTAATTATTTTCACTTCTCTCTTCTGTTAGCTCAGTCATAATTTGTTTCTAACCTTCTATCACCTATCTGCATATATGACTTTTCAGTAAGATAGACTGGGCTTTAGTTCATTCATCTGAAAGGAACCTAATAAAGCCACTGAGTTTTGCGAGAATCGTTAGTGATATAGACACAGCTAGCATTCCAGAAAACTCAGGACTTTTTACCCTTCTCTCAAGAGAAGAGAAAGGATGTTTAAGCTTTGTGGGGGAGGAAGTGTGGCTCTTGCCAACATTTTACAATATAAAATTGCAAGACTCCTCTTATGAAACAATGTTTCTCAAACGTCGACGTGCATATAAATTAACTGAGGAGCTTGTGAAAACGCAGATTCTGATTCAATAGGCCTAGGAAGGGGCCCAGACAAGTGCTCAGGGGATGCCAATGTGACAGGTCTGTGGACCACTCTGAGTGACAAGGTTATAGAACTCCAGGTTCTGCATAAGTAGGTATGCTCAGCATAACTAAGCAAACAGCCTGCCCTCAGGTTAGTGAGGCCTTTTTTATGAATTAAAAATTTAATTTGGGGATAGATTTGCATGCAGTTGTAAGAAATAATACAGAAATATCCCATATACCCTTTACCCAGTTTCCCCAATTGTAACATCTTGCAAAACTATAGTACAATAATCTCACAACCAGGATATTGAAAATGATAATTCACAACCAGGATGTTGACAATGATAATCCACTGATCTTATTCATATTTCTCCAGTTTTACTTGTACTCATCCATGCGTGTGTGTTTGTGTATGGCATATTTAGTTTTGTGCAATTTTATTACATGTGCAAGCTCATGTATCCCCCCACCACAGTCAAAATACAAAATTCCATGCTGCAAAGATCCCTCATGTTGCACTGTTATAACCACACCAAAACCTGATCCTTGACAATCGCTATTCTCCATCTCTACAATTTTGTTATTTCAAAAATGTCATATAAATTGAATCACACAGTACATAGTCTTTAGAGATTGGCTTTTAATCAATATAATTCTCCAGAGATCTTTCTAAATTGTGTGTGCATCAAGAGTTTATTCCTTTTTTTTTTTTTTTGGCTTAAGTATTCCATGACATGAACTTACCACAGTTTAACCATTCACTTATTGAAAGACATCCAGGTTACTTCCAGTTTGGGGCTATTACAAATAAATCTATGAATATGTGTGCACAAGTTTTTGTGAAAACACAAAGTTTTTATTTCTCCAGGATAAATACCCAGGAGTACAATTATAGGGGTCATATGATAATTGCATGTTTAGCTTTATAAGAAACTGTCAAACTGTTTTCCAGAGTGACTGCATCATTTTACATTCCAAGCAGCAGTGTATGAGTGATCCAGTTTCTTCCCAGGCTTGCCAGCATTTGGTGTTGTCACTATTTTTATTTTAGCCATTCTGATAGATGTGTAGTTATAGCTCATTGTGGTTATAATTTGCATTTCCCAATAGCTAATGATGCGAGACACCTTTTCATTTACTTATTTGCCATCTGCATATCATCTTCCGTGAAATGTCTGTTCATGTGTTTTACCCACTTCATAATTAGATTGTTTTGGTATTTTGCTGTTGAATTTTGAGAATTCTTTATATCCTAGATACTAGACCTTTGTCAGATAGGTAGTCTGTGAATATTTTCTCCCACTCTGCAGCTTGTAGCTTGCCTTTTCATGCTTTTAACATGACAATATCTTTCACAAAGCAAAAGTTTCCCATTTTGATCAAGTGCAATCTGATTGATTTTTGCTTTCATGGACTGTATTTTTAGTGTCCAACTTAAGAACTCTTTGCCAGCCATAGATCCAGAACTTCTCCCTATTGTTTTCTAAAACATATAGTTTTATGTTCTCCACTTAAGTCCATGATCCATTTTGAGTTAATTTTTTGTATAAGGTGTAGGTTTAGGTTGAAGTTCACTTTTCTTGCCTATGGCCGTCCAGTTGCTCCAGCACCATTTGTTGAAAAGGCTATCTTTTCTCCTTTGAATTGCTCTTGCACCTTTGTCAAAAATCACTTGGTAGCTTTTTAATGGTACATGAATATCCTGCAGGTCTGTCCCTAGCAGTAGATAACCAATCAAGACTTAGGGCAGTGACCTAGTCAGTATAAATGTCTTCATGAAAATATAATTCCTTAAAAAAGAAAAGTTATTACCATCTGTTTGCATCTTAAGGAATGTTTCAATGTACAGTCAGACTACCAGTACAGTTCTCTTGCTGAGTTTCAGCAGTTATCAGCAATTTGTTTAATTTCACCTTAGTCTTTTTTGTTAACCTACTTCTAATAGACATTTCCATTATCCTTCATTTAGTGGTTTGAAGGTCAAAAATCATTTAAATTTCACCCACATACCCAGCCACCTGCTTGGATATGCTTAGTTTGGCTCTTTAGTGCATTCAGACCAACTCAGTGTATCTTCCTGGGTTTTTGTTTAGAAGAAGAAAAAGAACCAGACATTAATTTGGCACTCAGAGTATCTCTTAACTATATGCACTGCACTCTCCTTTATTTCAACATCAAACTGAATATTCATTCTCCATTCTTTCCTTATTAGGTGCTGTTAATTCTTTACCTGAAATAAAAATAATGTCTCTATCTATACTTTCAGAGAAAAAAGCTGTGTAAATATTTTCCAGTCAAGGAAGTATAATCCTGATAACCATTTACTACCCAGTCACTCTTAAAGAAGAATCTGCCCAAGAATTTTCCCAGGCAGGCACTGAACCTCCTAATTTCTAAGTGGTCAAAAACTGGGAGCCTGGTGCTCCAGGGCTCTAACAGCTGACCTCAACCACACACAGGTCACCAGAGTTTAGAACTCTGTCTTACAGTCCTGAATCCCAATGTGCAGAAGCAGGACCTTACTCCACATTTCTGTTTATTGGCACCCTGACTTCTTCCCCCTTCCCTACTCTGATTTCCTTCTGTCTGTGCTCTTTCTGGTTTCTCTAAGCCTCACATGCGATTTTGCATTATTGACTCGGACGTTCTTGGTTTCCCTCTTTCTACAAATGTCCTCCGTTTGCATTTAGAGGATTGAATTGTTTTGAATGGAACCCCTCCCTTCCAGGAGCTCTCCACACATCTCTCCTGGCATCGCTATGAAAGAAGCCAATCTCTGCATCATGTACTTCTGCTTTCATCTCCAGACCCCAGCCACACATCCTGCTATCGAGGCAATGACAAATCAACCTCAGAAACACTGATATTTGTTTTGGGGAGTTGAAGTACTTCTACAATCCCCCTGTCAAACTGGCCTCTTGCTATCCCCTGTTTCATTCCCAATTTACTCATAGCTGGAGAAGTTGCTGACCTAATTGGTCAGAAGCCAAGATATTCATCCACCCCTCTTTAGTAGTGGTTGGGATTGCTTCACCTCAAAGGCAGGAAATCAGGACTTATTTTTCTCTAGGTGTTTCCTTCTGTCATGCAGTAAGTCCATCTGGGCATGAATTACTTCTTAGAGGAAGTCCTCACTCAAGATCAGTAGGTGGGTAAGTAGGCCCACAGCCCGACCTGTGGAAATAGCATATGTCTCTTCAGCATGTGGTTCCAAAATTTAGATTCAGGGAAAGGTCAGCAGATCTACTTTAGCCTCAAGGCCTATACTAAATATCTCAATAAAACTTTTACAGAGCTCTGCATGCTACACCAAGAAAAATTTCAACTCCTTCATTTGCTTTTTCTTTTTAAACATTTTTACCTTTTACATGATATTCCTAGTGTAAAAGGAAGAAGCCACCACTGAATAGCTGACACAAAAATGGAATTTGCTGCTTTCTTAGCAAGGAAGAGTTGTGCTTGGAAGGTGAAGTCTTCCTGAGAAAAGCAAAGAGATAATCTTATCTAGGGTTTGGCAATATGGAGTTCAAAGAAAATTTATTTTCCCTGGGAAATTTTGAGACATTGCTCCATTAGCTTCTAGTGTTCAGTGTTGTCAATGAGAAATCTGAAGCCAATCTAATGTTTTTATAAGGTTGTTGTTTTTTTCCATCTCTTGAAGCTTTTAGAATTTTTCTTTTTAATTTTAGTGTTCTGAGATTTCTGACAGTGTGCCAGGTTTGAGTTTTCTCTTATTCATTTCACTCACCGCTGGTGACCTCTTTGAATCTGAAGACTTGTACATTTCTTCAGCTCTGCAGAATGTTTCCCTACAGTTTCTTTGACTGATTTATCTTCTCTTTTTCCTCTGTTCTCTCCTTTGGGAATTTATACAGGTGTTGTAACTTCTAGATCTATTCTCCATATGCTTTTCTTACCTGATGTAACTTCAGTCCTGTCTTACTTTCCTTGTGTACTTTTACACCTGTTGTCCTGTGCTACACTCTGGGAGAATTCTTCAACTCATTCTCTCCTCTGTTGTGTTCATTCGGCAGTTTAGCTAATCTCAAATCTTTTTTTGTTGTTTATTTTTGTTTTTTGGATAATCAAATTTTTTCTCTTCACGTCTCTTATCTATTCCCTTTCGCAATAATCTATCCCAATCAACATATAATAGATATACTTTCCTACCTTTATGAAGATATCAAGCTTTTTAAAAATATCATCAGCTTTGTTATTCTGTTTCTTTAGATACTGGGGTTTTTAAATTTGTTTTCTTCAGTGCTTCTCATAGTAGTGATTTTGTGCAATCGCTTGGTAATTTGGTGTTTGTGTGATCATCTTTGTACTTGATATTGCCCCTGTAACTTGTGTATATCTGTAGTGGACACAGAGCAAAGCGTAGGAGCCGTTTACCTTGGGGATAGAAGCATTTTATCAGTGTTTTTAAGAAGTATTAGCACATGGTGATAATAAAAATCAAACCAACTTTTAGTTGTTTTAGGAGTTCTTTTAAACTTCCTACAGACAATGTCCCCCATTTATTGCCTACACCTGGGGAAGATGAGTCCCACAACCTCCTCTCACTCCACCTCCCCTCCTCACCCCACAACTTGGTACGCCATTGCTGTAAATGATGTTCACTTGACCGTATTCTTTCTACACTATGAGGGAAAACCACTGTCAAGAGTAGTATAAGACCAACTCACTGTCTGGGCATAGAGTCCCCCATTCCTTTTGATTGTTGCCATCCTGCTAAGATACAGCTCTGCTTCTCTAGTCCAAATTCCCTCTCACCACCTAGAGGAAAATGCTTCTGCACTTATCAACTGAATGCAGGTTTGGTCAAAAAGAGAGCAACCTACTTCATTACTCTGAATGCAATTGGTGTGGAATCACCCCAATGGTTGACCATGGCCCCTTCTGGTCCCTTGTATTCACTTCCTCCAAGGGTAAAACTCTCTCAGAACCCTCTCACTTTGCAATGAACGTCTCCTGTGACTGTTTTGAATGATGGTTTTTTTCATTAACATCAACACTGTTCTGAGCACTTTACAACTGTGAGCATTAAATGAGCTAACATATGAACCCATATGCTTTCTAACTTTCAGAAATGTCTCAAATTTTCTGGCTTACTGGTGGCAATGTCTTGCTTTCCAGCATTGTAGAGTTTTCACAACATTTTTTTCTGTCATCTCGGGATGTATGGCATTTGGCCTAATATCTTGATCTAATTTTTCACCTGCTTCTTAAAATAGATTTACCCCTTTTTTCTTGATATGTATGTATTCCAGGTTAGTCCACTTGAGCTTCCATAATGAAATACCACTGACTGAAATATCACAGGCTTAACAAACAGAAATGTATTTTCTCACAGTTCTGGAGGCTAGGAGTCCAAGATCAAGGTGCTGTCAGACTCGGTTCTGGTGAAGCCGCCTCTCTTCCTCGTAGATGGATAGTAGATGGCTGCCTTCTTGCTGTATTTCCATATGGACTTTCCGCTGTGAATGAGATGAAAGAAAGTGCTCTTTAGTCCCTCTTCTTTTTCTTATAAGGACACCAATCCTGGCCAGACGCGGTGGCTCATGCCTGTAATCCCAACAATTTTGGAGGCCAAGGTGGGCGGATCACCTGAGGTTAGGAGTTCAAGACCAGCCTGGCCAACATGGCAAATCTCCATCTCTACTAAAAATACAAAAATTAGCCAGGCATGGTGGTGGGCAACTGTAATCCCAGCTACTTGGGAAGCTGAGACAGGAGAATTGCTCGAATCCAGGAGGCAAAGGTTGCAGTGAGCCAAGATTGTGCCACTGCACTCCAGCCTGGGTGACAGAGCAAGACTCCTTTTCAAAAAAAAAGAAAAAGAAAAAGAAAGAAAGAAAGAAAAAGGACACCAATCCTATCAATCCTATCAGATTAGGGCCTTATCCTTATGACTTCATATAACCTTAATTCCTCCCCATAGGTCGTGTCTCCAAATTCAGTCACATTAGGGGTTAGGACTACAACATATGAATTTTGGGGGAACAAAATTTAGCCCATAACACATTCTAATGAAACACGTTTTAAATAAAGAAAACATCAATAAACAAACTAATAAGGAAGAGTATAAACTAACAAATAAATAAACTAATAAATGTAAGAGTGTGTGTAAAATGAAAGAGAGGAATGTTAACTAAAAAATCTTCAAAGTGAATACAGAATATGATGAGCTTTCCTGGTGCAAAATAAGTGCACAATAAATATTAGTTGAATAAATGAATGAGATGTTCAAAATGCACCTCATAACTTCCCCAAGACACCAATTTTCAGGAACATTGTATCAAACATTCTTTGACTCTTTCAGGCTGCTACTCCACAGAGAAAAAATGGTAAAAGCAGGGTCACCCTACTTGTTAATTTTCTACTCCCAAAAAAATACCTGAAGCCATTGAGGAATTTTAAATGTTTACTGAAATTAAATATATTAGTATTATGACTATGTTTATGCTGATATGTTTATTCATTCTTTTTCCAATTGCATTTAGATTTTGGAAGGGTTGCCATTGGTTATGTGTGTTGATTTTTGTGTATATAGGCAGGTGTGTGTACATATGGGTGTATAATATAAATTCACAATCTATGAAATTTTTTTTGTTGTTACTTTAGCCTTAAAATGGTTGACTAACTTTAAACAGGGTTAGGTACCATTACATTTTTGGGACAATAGAATATGATTCACTAGTAACAAAAATAAACAACAGAGACATACCTCCAGCACTTCCAGATTAACTAAAGAAATGCTCTAGAGAGTAGACGGCTAACATGGGGTGTGGAAACAAGTGTTGGAACCATACATGCATTGCAGCATATTCTACACAGATCATGAATCACTTAGGTTAGGAAATTGTGCATCATAACATCCATATGTACATTACCATATGTACAAACTGATGTGTGCAAACAATACCATAATGCACAAGTGAAATGTGATAAACAACTCAAAATCTTCACAGCATTTAGAGGTGAATGTGAAAAGGGAGTGAAGTGAGACTTGGTTGAGTTATATCTATACTTTCCCAAATTTGCCTAAAATGTATAGGCTTTATGGTAGACTGCCACATACTTTGGCAAAAAATCATAATTTTGTGCTATTTTCACTCAGAAATGTATTCTCACCAAAAATACTCATGTATGTAAAGTGAGATTTTTTTTCAGATGTAACTTTTGAGGGCAGCTGTATGAATTTATCATTAATTATTGCCTAAACATGGCAAAAGAAAAAGGACGTGCTCCTTTCTCCCCTAAAAACTTCCCAAATTAGAATACAATACTCTTCGCCTAATTCCTGCCTGTTATTCAACAAGATAGAAATAGTGGGTTTTAAAAAAATTGAACCAACTGGGATTTTTGAGAAATAAGTCGCTGAAAAATGAATTAATTCTTAATTAAGAATTAAAAGGAATCTAGCAAAGTTTGCAAAAGAAAATAATGAACAGAAATTCAAAATACTATTTAGAGAACAAACACAAGAGTCTACATACCTGTTTCACAAAATACTTGTTAAGACAAATGGGGAGAAAATGACAAAATTTGATGGCATTACATATCTCCCTAACCAATGTTCTTAAAGATGACCAGTGAACTCTTACTTGCCCCCATCCTACTCACTTTATGTGCAGCATAAGATGCCACTGACTTCCTTTTTCAAACTCTTACCTTCCCTGATTTTTTGTGGCATTTTTCTCTTTTAGATCTGTCTCTCTAATTGCTACTTCTCAGTTCCTTTTCTTATGCTATGCCGTAAATGTCAGTAAATTCCAAGGTTGTGACTTCCCAATTTTTCTTGTTCTATGCAGGCTTTTACTGGTAATCTCATCCACTATATCATTCCCACCACATCCTCTAGACAGGTGATTTCAACCTAGTTCAATATCTACCACGCAGTCCTCCCTTCCGATTTCCAGACCTAAATTCTCAACTGCTTTCTGTACCAAATGTATTGAAAGAGACCTTGATTCTTAACTTACGACTCAAGTTTCACATTTACTAAACTGAATGTATTGCTATTTCTCTTACAACTTATGCTTCCATATGAGTTGTCCATATGTTATCATAATTATCTGCTTTGCTAACTCTGTTAGTTTCCTAAGACTGCCATAACAAATTACCACAAACTGGGTGGCTTAAAACAACAGATATTTATTTTCTCGCAGTTCTGGAGGCTAGAAGCCTGAATTCAAGGTTGGTCCTTTTGAAAGAGCTGAGGGAGAATTTTTTCCATGCTCTCTCTCCCAGCTTTTGGTGATCACCAACAATCCTTTGTGTTTTCTGACTTAGCAATGTAGTGCTCCAATTTCTGCCACTGTTGTCACATGGCATTCTCCTTGCGTCTCTTCTCTGTCTTCAACTAGGCTTTTTTAAAAAAAATTCATACTGTTCTGATTTATTCATCATCAGTGTACCTGAGAGACTCGGCAGACATAAATTAACTATATGTAAATTACTATATTCATGAGCAGATGCAAAAATAGGAAAGGCAGCGTTACTGGCTTGTAGTTGATAGGCCACTCCAGCACTTAGGCTTCTTATAAAGACCCCAGTCACTGGATTGAGGGCCCAACCTACTCCGGTATGGCTTCATCTTAACTTAAATAGTTAAATCTATAAAGACTCGATTTTAAAATAAGGTCACATTCTGAGGTTCCAGGTGGACACAAATGTTGGCAGAATATTATTCAATGTAGTACAATGACCAAACATGGAATTCCATACTCTGACATTAACCTACATATTTTAAGTTGATTATCTCCCTTCTTCAAGTCACACTTCCTCCTTACTGCAACTAATTATCTTCTTTCTTTTTTAATTATTCTTCCAAAGCATAGCTAATCATGTCCCTCTTCTGCTTAGAATTCTGCCATGGTTCCCCATCAACCTCAACTGACCATTCAAGACAAATTTTAGGTCACTTGGGATCTTACGTTAAAATGTTTGAGCCTTTATTGTATTCTATTAGGCAGCGATGAACACCCCTTTTCTAAAGCTGTTTCCTTTGCCTTGAATACCTTCCCTTTATATTATCAAAGTGCTGTCCATCCTTCATGATTCAACTAGGAAACCACCTCTGCTGTAAACTCACCGCAGATCACCACCCACTCATGTTACCATGCTCATCAAAATTAGTCATCTCTCCATGTTATACTAAAGCAGCCATCTTAAACTAGAGAATATGTTATCCCTGCGTGCACGTCAAAACTTTCTTAGAGTCCTAACAAACACAGTTTTAAAAGAACCAATTTCAAGATCCACGTCTTATAAATGTTCTCTTTCTTAAAACTAATAATATTGAGTGCAGCTGCAGACCAGGTGTTTTTCTTTCCTATCTTCCTTTTCACAGTGGACTTCCCCGCAACCCCACCACTTTACCCCAAACAACAAAAAACTTAACTCGCCTCACCCATTCCAATCTTACTAGCATTGCCCTAGAGGGTAAAAACTTCTGTAATCCTAATTGTTAATTATACAATTTTGTTGGCCTGTGCCTCTGACTGAATTTAAAGAAATAAGGAAACTACTATAGTTCTTTTCTTTTTCATCAGCTTTTTAAAAAATGAGTTTCCCTTGTACCTTTATCAAAAAAAGTCACAAATTTTATTCTAACAATAACCAATCCTTTATTCTTTCATAGAGATATATAAATAAAATTTTAGGCCATCTTTTGTGACTGACATCTGCAATCCCAGTACTTTGGGAGGCTGAGGCAGGAGCTCCTACTTAAAGACCAGCCTGGGCAACAAAGCAAGACCCCATCTCTAGAAAAAATAAATAAATTAGCAAGGCATGATGGCACACACCTTTTGCCAGCTACACAGGAGGCTGAGGTGGGAAGATTGCTTGAGCTCAGGAGTTTATGGCCTCAGTAAGCTATGATGGTGACAGAGTGAGACCCCATCTCTAGAACAGAACAAAATAGAATAGAATAGGAAGACAACTATCCAATATGAGTTTCCTCCTATGTTTATCAAAATTTGTAGAATTGGCTGGGGACAGTGGCTCACAACAGTAATCCCAGTACTTTGGGAGGCCAAGGCAGGAAGATTGCTTGAGCCCAGGAGTTTGAGACCAGCTTGAGCAACCTGGTGAAACCTCATGTCTACAGACTCACACACAAAAGAAATGCCGGCACTCTGGGAGGCCGAAGAAGGTGGATCACATGAGGTCAGGAGTTCTAGACCAACCTAGCCAACATGATGAAACCCTGTGTCTAATTTAAAAAATACAAAAATTAGCCAGGTGTGGTGGTGGACACTTGTAACCCCAGCTACTCGGGAGGCTGAGGCAGCAGAATTGCTTGAACCTGGAAGGCAGAGGTTGCAGTGAGCCGAGATTGCACCACTGCTTTCCAGCCTGGGTGACAGAGCAAGACCCTGTCTCAACAACAACAACAACAACAACAACAACAACAACAAAAAGAGAGAAAGAAAGAAATATTAGACAGGTGTGGTGTTGCACACCTGTAGTCCCAGCAACCCAAGAGACTGAGGTGGGAGGATGGCTTGAGCCCAGGGAAGTCAAGGCTGCAGTGAGCTATGATTGTACCACTGCACTCCAGCCTGGGCAGCAGAGCAAGACCCTATCTCACACACACACACAAAAGTTAAATTGTAAGATATTTTTACTGTTTACCAAAACTTTCATCATGGAATTAGGAATAATTCTTTAAAAAGCATAAAATTGGTAATATAAACAAGAAATAGCAAACAGAGCTCAGATGAAGCATAGTTACATAAGGCAAAACCATTGGTTCTTTCTTTTATCCCTTTTGGGTTTTATCTCATGATGTATGTTTCTTCCTCTCTATTTGCCTTTCCTGTTCCATAACAAAATTACCTAAAGAAAAATACATTCATGGCTTCCATATGTATATAGGCAGAGGAGAATGGCAAGGATCCTAGAAAAGAAGCTGGAGAAAGACAAGAAGATGAAATAAAATGACATCATAATGCTCCAGCTAACATAAAGACAAAAATGCATAGTAGTTAAAATATAGATATGTATTTGATATGCTTGCATTCTTTTTCATGTGAATTTCAGCATTTTAACCATGAGGTGGGTTTGCACACTACAAAGTAATATAACTAAATGGCAATTATATGGTCAATTAGGGCTTATAGATAATTCAGGGAAAGAAAAAATATTCTCCTCAGATCTTGGGACACTGGAGAGTTTGACAGTTTGAATACCTGACTTTATAGTTAATGATTCAGCAACATTCAACATAGCTTTTTATATATATTTTAAAGCACTCAGGCACATCAACTAAGGTCAAACAAATTGTTAAAAGTAGTGGGTGTATTTACTCAATAAGCATTTATTAAAACCTACGTTGTGCTGATCTTATGGAGTATGAAGAAAAGACACAGTTCCTTGCTTTGAGAATCTTACAGTCTATGATGGTGTTATACACATAAATCACTTCAAATATTCCATAATCACTGATGAACCCCAAGTTCTTATTGTCAGAACTGTATTTCTGAATGTCTCCTGAATATCACAGACAAGGTTTTATCACACAAGGTCCTACAAACACCTCAAACTGAAGATACACACACAAAAAATTTTTTCATGCCGCTACTTCATACAAACATCTGCTTCCTGAATTCCTATTTATATTGATGTCATCTTCATGAGTCTAGTCTCTTGTAATAGAAACTTAGTCATTCTTGATTTCTTCTTTGAATTATCCAAAAGCTCCAGTACAGCTCATTAGCCTATCCTCTCACTATTGCTAATTTTCCAAAGTTCAAAGCTGTCTGCTCAGGCCTTTCGTCTGCTTAATACCCTGCATTGGCTCTCTTTGCCCACTGCTTAATGTCTAAACTCCTCAATAGATCACATGGGACCATCATAACCTGACTTCACTCACCTTTCCTTTCCATACCCAACCACCATCACTCCTGCCACCCTCTGCCACCTGGCCCCCTACACACACACACATATACTCTGTTCCAATCACACCAAAATCTGCTGAACATGCCATGTTCTTTCATGCCTTTGAACATATCACTCTCCATGCCTAAAAGACAGTCTATCATTTATCTGTCAAAGATATGCTGGTCCCTTAAGACAGTGTACTTCCTCTACAAAGCCCCTCCTTGACACCCCAGGCTAAATTCAGTGTGGAGCAAAGTACTTTGCACATGTTTTTATTATTTACCATTAGCTATGGATTGACATCCTTGTTTCCCCCATTAAACTATGAACAACTATCGGGCCTGACACTGTGTAACTTATATTTCTATTTGCAGTACATAAAGTAGAAACTCAATAACTGCTTGATGGATGAATAAACTTCTAAGCACACCTTTAAGAAGGAATCAGTGAAATTATATCTATGACAACAAGTCTTAATCAGGAAAAAAGTTATTCTGGCTTTATGGACCTAGTGTCCACCTATTTCTGAACTGTTGAAGATGAATCTGAACTATGTTCACTGCCCGTTGGTCTCTACCATCCTTAAGTAGGCTTTTATATGTCCTAATGTGACATACTTGGAGATCTTGATTCTGAGACAGGACCGTTTACCTTTGAAAGAAGTATAAATTGTACCATGATAATAAGAAGGTAAGAGAGAAAAACATGGGTAGTCTGGGAACCTGTAAACATTTATAGATGTAATATATCTGTGGGCCATGTAGGGAAGGGGTTCATGGAGAGGGGCTCATACTCAATACTGAGATTTTCTTAAGTGGAATCTACAAGTTGCCCAGATGCGCTGTGAACCCCATGGGCTGCCACTTGGAGGTGAGATGGGAAGGGCAGATATGAGAAGAGTATGGATGGAGCCTACATGGGCTCATGTAGACCCAATGTCAGACATTGGAAGGAAGATAGACAGTGAGAGCTCTGAGGGAAATCTGTGAAGAAGCTCAGGTCTTGATGAAGTATCCTAATGTCTACTCTATGCTCCATGCTAGGCTGTTTGTGTATTTTCTCAGAAAGGAAGTTCATTGGCTGGGGACGGAGGCTCAAGCCTGTAATCCTAGCACTTTGGGAGGCCAGGGCAGGCAAACCACCTGAGGTCAGGAGTTCGAGACCAGCCTGGCCAACATGGTGAGACCCAGTCTCTACTAAAACTACAAAAATTAGCTAGGCGTGGTGGCATGCACCTGTAGTCCTAGCTACTTGGGAGGCTGCGGCATGAGAATTGCTTGAACCTGGGAGGCAGAGATTGCAGTGAGCCAAGATCACACCACTGCACTCCAGCCTGGGCGACAACGTGAGACTCAGTCCAAACAAACAAACAAAAAATCAAAAGGAAGTTCATTGAAGCACAGCAGCTGCATTATTTTTCTATTGCCACATAACAAATTACCACATACTTAAGTGATTTAAAACAACACCCAAAAATAAAAGTTGAAGATATAACAAATAAATAAAATTAAATTAAAAACCACCCAGCTATTAGCAAATGGGTCCAAATCAGAAGTCTGAGTGGGCTCAACCGGGTTCTTGGCTTCAGGTCTCACAAGGCTGAAATCAAGGTGTTGGCCAGGCCAGACTAGGCTCTCACTGGGAGGCTGTGGTGAAGAATTTACTTCCAAGTTCATTCAGGTTATTGGCAAAATCAGTTCCCGCAGTTGTACCTCTGAAGTCTCTGTTTTCTTGTGAACAGCTAGCCAGGAATCACTCTCAGCCTCCTAGAGGCCTCATGAAATTCTAACCAGGTGACCCTCTTCTTCACGATCAGCCATGGAGGATTTATCTCAAGTAAAATCTCCCTTGTACTTCAAATCTCTGCCTTCTTGCTGTGTCAGCAGCTGGAGAAACTCTACTTTTAAAGGCCTGGTATGATTAGATCAGGCCCACCTATATAATCTCCTTATCAACTGTGCCACATAACATGGACTACTGATGGGAATAAAACCACCATACTTATTGTCCCTGGGATTATGCAGGCACATATACCAAGGGGCAGGGAATCTTGGGGCCATCTTAGGCTTCTGCCTGCCCCACCATCTGTAGCTTTACTTGTCCTAGTGATACAATGTAATAACAGAATCACTGTCATCAAGATCCAATATGGTCAAGAGTTACCACTTGCTATTTGAGGATTCTAATTTTTTTAATAACAAATCTGTATTCCACCAGCACTATTTCCATTAAACCTAATGTTTGAATTGTGCTATTCAATTGCAAAAAAGGGGAAGTTAATAATCTTGAATATATAAGGAAGGTGAAAAGATTTAATCTTTCCCTTATATCTATTTCTTCATGGGCCCATCTCTATTGCCATTTTTTTTCTCATTTAGCCCACAAAACAAACCGCCTGCAGCTCCTGTTATAAATGAGTATGCCGATGCCCAGCTACACAACCTGGTGAAAAGAATGCGTCAAAGAACAGCCCTCTACAAGAAAAAGTTGGTAGAGGGAGATCTCTCCTCACCCGAAGCCAGCCCACAAACTGGTAAGCATTGCTCCCTCCAAGTACTGGGAAGAAAGAAGTGCTGAGGGGACCTGTGTTTTGCAGATGTTTTAGTTTGGATCTCCCAAAAGCAGACCCTGAGAAAATGATTTACGTACAGTTTATTTTGAGAGTAATCCAGGAAGGTACGAGTGGTGAGACAGAGAACAAAGTTAAGACAGTACAGATGGGTTAATAAGAGGATTACTGGCGGGGTGCAGTGGCTCACACCTGGCAGGGTGCAGTGGCTCACATCTATAATCCCAGCACTTTGGGAGACCAAGACAGGAGGATTGCTTGAGCCTAGGAATTTGAAACCAGCCTGGGCAGCATAGTGAGGCCCTATCTCTTTTTTTTAATTAAAAAAAAGAAAAAGAATAAGAGGACTACTGCTCTGCCATTGGGGCTTTATCCAGCTGAAAAACTGTGTGGCTCATACTTGAAAATTACTTGAATGGAAGAGGAGGAAACTGGTTGGTGCTGGAGCCTGATACTGTTACCTCCCCAGCACTTTCAGTAAACCTGCTAGAGGAAATCCTCCGACAGATGCAGGGAAGCCTCCTACAGGTGACCTCCAGGCTCAGGATATATGTGTAGGACACAAACAGTATCTTCTATAACAAATTTTATTGTAAATATTTAAAATACCCATGTTATGCAAAGTACATATTATAAAAACACAGGAATATTACCTGGGTATCCAAGAGAGCAAAGGACATCAACAAACCAATCAAGTAAGGGGAGGGACTATTATCAACCACGCTAATAACTACAAAAATGTGTGTATGAAAAATTAATTGGCCAGGCGTAGTGGCTCATGACTGTAATCCTAGCCCTTTGGGAGGCCGAGGCAGGCAGATCACGAGGTCAGGAGATCAAGACCATCCTGGCCAACATGGTGAAACCCTGTCTCTACTAAAATACAAAAAATCAGAAAGGCATGGTGGCACATGCCTGTAGTACCAGCTACTTGGGAGGTGAGGCAGGGGAATCGCTTGAACCCAGGAGGCAGAGGTTGCAGTGAGCCAAGATTGCGCCACTGCACTCCAGCCTGGCAACAGAGCAAGACTCCGAAAAAAAAAAAATCAATATGATAATATAGAGCACAAAAGTAATACATACTGTGATTACATCTATGTAAAATATTTATATATATACAGGAAAAGAATAGAACAAAGCTTTGTTGTTTAACATATAAATGCAAATCAAGTTGATAATTACATGGGATGGAGTTGAGATTCCTTGTAGTTCTGTATAAGAGAATGTGGGTTTTCAAAATAAACTGTGTATTGTATAACAGTTTCTTTTTAAACAGAAGAGGCTAAAAGAAATCATAGTTATTATACTTCGATAAAGATATATTGAAAAGAATATTGTGTGTGACATGTGTGAGGGTAAAGAAGCACCAAACCAAAACCTGTGGAATGATGTACGTTTGCAGTGTTTCGGATCTCTGGCTTTATTAATGCTCCAAAGTATGTGAAAATCAAGCTTGTATTTAAAATACTCTATTTGTAACACCTTTGTGACACCTTATTTGTGAGCTTTAAACCTGTTACATATTTCCAAATTTCAGTGTTTTCATTACCTGTATATTTTCATAAATGTTACTATTTTATTTTGTTTTTATTGTATACTTTAAGATATACAACATGATTTGTTTTCTTTTTTAATGTGAGAATGTCTTTATTTTATACGCTACATTTTTATTTGAGACAGTTTAAAAACTGTAAAATCCACAAATATTAAGTGTACAGCTCAATTATTTTAACATATTCTTTTTTCATTTTTTAAAATTTATTTCCTGTAATATTGGAGTTACAATGAGCTTTTAAAGCAAATTCCAGACACTATATTTCATCCATAAATATTTCAGTGTAGACAAACATTTTATTTATATATTTATTTAATCTTATTTTATTCTTTTAATGGCAGGGTCTTGCTCTGTCACCCAGGCTGGAGTGCAGTGGCACAGTCATAGCTGACTGCCGCCTCTAACTCTTGGGCTTAAATGATCCTCTTGCCTCAGCCTTCAGAGGAGCTGGGACTACAGGCGTGCACCACCATGCCTGGATAATTTTTACACATGAATAGTCTTGTTGCATCACCATCACCACCCTCCAAGATAAAGGACATTTCCCTCACTAGAGAAAACTTCCGGTCTACCCAGGTGACAAAGCCCCCTTGCCAAGGTAAACACTATCCTGAATTTTGTCATCATTTAGTAGTTTTTCCTGTTCTTTTTTTTTTTTTGTAAAAATTTATTAACATTTATTTATTTTAAAAATTGTTTTTCCTTTAATTTTTTACATTGACGTATTTTTTCTTTATACAAACACACACACAGTGAAATAAATGTCACTATTTTAAATGTCATGAAGGTTTTGTTTCATCTGTCTGTATCAAAAGAGGAAGATTCATAAACGTTCCGACTTTAAGAAATTCAAGTTTTTTGGATTTTTTTATACTTTAAGTTCTGGGATACATGTGCAGAACATGCAGGTTTGTTACATAGGTATACATGGGCTATGGTGGTTTGCTGCACCCATCATCCCATCATCTACATTAGGTATTTTTCCTAATGTTATCCCTCCCCTTGTCCCCCACCCCCCGATAGACCCCAGTGTGTGATGTTCCCCTCCCTGTGCCCATATGTTCTCATTGTTCAACTCCCACTTATGAGTGAGAACATGCGGTGTTTGGTTAAGAAATTCAAGTTTTTAACTAAACTAACTTAACCTCTTCAAATGTTTCATCTTTTTTTTTTTCCCTATGAAGCAAAGCCCACGGCTGTACCACCAGTAAAAGAAAGCGATGATAAGCCAACAGAACATTACTACAGGCTGTTGTGGTTCAAAGTCAAAAAGATGCCTTTAACAGAGTACTTAAAGCGAATTAAACTTCCAAACAGCATAGATTCATACACAGGTATTATCAAAGGGTGAATTATCATAGTGGGAGGGCTGGCTATCACCAAGAAACCCTGTGACTCAAAGTCACAGATAGCTTCTATTTTCCTTACTTCATATTCTCAATCTAACTAGGAAGCAGAATTTAAATTAAATAACCTGCAAAGGATCATTTGCCCATCTTTGGTGAAGACAAGAAATACAATATTCCTGCCTATATTTAAAAGGCAGTCCAGATCCTCTCCTGCCCCTAATTACCTTTGAAAAGAAGGCCCAAAGCACTCCGCAATATGTGCACTGACACACTCACACATCATTATAAAGTGTCAGTCTTCTTCCATGGCTTCACATTGTTGATTATTCTAATTGAACAAATCCTTTCCTGCAGCCTCCCAGAGGCAGAGAAGGGCTATGTGTGAAGGGACATGGACTACTTTAATGGGCTGACCCTCTGCCCTCCCATTCAGTGCCATACTCCTTCTGGCAGGATGTGGCCTTTCTGCCACCTGCCCTGGGCAATCAATCCTGCAACTTAACTACTGAGGAACTAAAGATCTGTGGCTGCAGTGATGTCTGTGCAAAGTCCTTCCAACTTTTCTTGAAATTCTCGTTGCCTGATCCAAATAGTACAGCTACCTGTGTGGACAGACTCAGAGGGGCCACTTCTTAAGGAGACTGGAAGGAAACTCTCCACTTTCGGAAGAGGTGATAAGATCATTTAACATCTCTTGTAAAGCCCGGAGCCTCACAGTCCAGAGGCAGAATGGTGTTGAATGTTTAATAGAGCCTCCTATGGCAAATTACTCTGTAGAGGGTAGTGCCCCAACCTCCCCAAACTAAGCAACAGAATTCTTTCTGTGTTTGTTCTATGTCATTTGGATTTCACCACTTGCTGTTTTTCCAGATCGACTCTATCTCCTGTGGCTCTTGCTTGTCACTCTTGCCTATAACTGGAACTGCTGTTTTATACCACTGCGCCTCGTCTTCCCATATCAAACCGCAGACAACATACACTACTGGCTTATTGCGGACATCATATGTGATATCATCTACCTTTATGATATGCTATTTATCCAGCCCAGACTCCAGTTTGTAAGAGGAGGAGACATAATAGTAAGTGGGGTTCGGGAAAGGCAGAAACTGAAACGTGAATAACATCTAATTGGGCTACAAAAAGTAACAGCATTGTTTTATTTAATGTTTGACTGGCTATCTGCATGGATAATTGCAAGAAGTCATGAGCAATAATAACAAGAAAACAATTATAAAACAGCCATTGAGTGTTCACAATGTGCTGGAGAACATGCATCTCCCTGTACCTTAGTTTCCTCATATTTAAAGTGAAAATAACAAAAACACCATCATAATATTGATGGAAAGATTAAATAAGTTGAGGCCTGTGAAGTGCCTAGATTGTGTCTGGTGCCTAGTGAATGAGTATTAAATGTCAGCTAGCATTATTGTTCTAGTTAACTTATTTATAATACTTCCCTTAATCCTTTCAATGACACTATGAAAAAGATGTAATTAGCCCCATTTACAAATGAGGAAACTGAGGTTTAGAGAGGGAGGTTATTTGCTCAAAGCCCAAAGCTGGATAGTAGCTGAGCCAGGATCCTAACCCAGGCCTTGCCTCTACAATCACGCAGGTTCAGGTTAGCAAGTGTTTCAGAATTTGACAATACTTGAGCCTACAAAGAGAGTGCCAAGTCTGAAATGTTGAAACTATCCACATATTTTACCTAAATAATGTTTTTTAAATAGATCAATTATCAATACCAAAAGAAGAAACCATTTAATATATAGTCCTCTGGTAATCAAGCCTCAAACAGTCTGTGAAGCAGTTGTTTTCTATCACATTACAGTCTACCGTTCACTTCAATACTTTTAAAAATAAGATAGGTATTATTTCACTCATTAGAACCTACTCAACCTTCTTAGGAGACAGCCTGGTGTTGTGAGAAAGTACTAGGCTGTAATATTTTAGGACACGGACTGTGCCTTGTTTATCTTTGTGTAGTAGGAACCAAGTGAAGTGCCTCCATGTAGTAGAGAAATCAAGCACAGGGTTTTAGGCCTGGACACTTTGGGAAAACCTAACTTACAAAGCAAAGCTTTCATGACCCTTTTTTTTCCCCAATTTTTATTTTATATTCAGGAGATACACATACAGGTTTGTTACCTGGGTATCTTGGGTGATGCTGAGGTTTGGGGTACGATTGGCCCAGGTACTGGACATAGTACCCAATAATTAGGTTTTCTGCCCTCCCCCACTTCCTCCCTGCATTCCTCCTCCCTCTAGTCATCCCCAGTTTCTATTGTTCTGATCTTTATGTCCATAAGTATCCAATGTTTCACTTATAAGTGAAAACATGCTGTATTTGTTTTTCTGTTCCTGCATTAATTTGCTTAAGATAAGGGCCTCCAGCTGCATCCATGTTCCTGCAAAGGACATGATCTCGTTCCATGGTGTATATGTGCCACATTCTCTTTATTCAGTCCCACTGTTAGTGGGTACTTAGAATGATTTCATGTCTTTGCTATTGTGAATAATGCTGCGATGAACATGCAGGTGCATGTGTCTTTTTGTTAGAAAGATTTGTCTTCTTTTGGATATATACCCAGTAATGGGATTGCTGGGTCAAATGGTAGGTCTGTTTTAAGTTTTTTGAGAAATCTCCAAGTTGATTTCCACAGTGGCTGAACTAATTTACCCTCCTACCAACAGTTTATAAGTGCTCCCTTTTCTCTGCAGCCTTTGCCAGCATCAGCTGTTTTTTGACTTTTTAGTAATAGCCATTCTGACTTGTATGAGATGGTATCTCATTGTGGTTTTGATTTGCATTCCTCTGATGATTAGTGATGTGGAGCATTTTTTCACTTGTTTTTTGGCTATTATATGGTCATGACCATTTTAATCAATATAGATTCACCGCACTGTCCAATATGGTGACCGCTAGGCAAATATGTCCATTCAAATTTAAATTTGAATTAGTTACAATTAAATACCATTAAACATTCAGGTTTCTCAGCCACATTGTTCATATTCTCAGAACTCAACAACCATGTGTCTGGTGGACAGCACAGAAGATTTCCACCATTGCAAAATATACTATTATTCAGTGTGGTAAGAGAATGAAAGAGCAATGAGCCATCCATATCTCCATCAATACAGCCAAACCACAGAGAGGTAGCCACACCCCTCACAGATATGGGCAAATCACAAGTACGTAGAACACCTCCACTGGTGTTTTGTTTTTTAATGAATATGGCATCTACAGGTCTATCTTTTTATTCTTTACTTGCCAAATTCATCACATCCTATTTCTCATGATCAAATGCAGTGCCCTTCCTAAGAAATTAGCATTCTTACCCTTAGGAGAAATTATCTTCTCCTGGATTTATTCTCAGTGTTGAGGGAAGTTTATTGTCAATCCAATCAATCTAAGAAACAGAAAAATGTGTTTTCACAAGCACAAACCCAAGTCTTATAACCACTACCCCAAGCCCCTTCCCCAGCTAACTAGAAGGAAGCTACCTTTCCAACTGTGGCCAATGTGCCATCCTCCTCCCAAGGCTCAGCAAGGGCTGCACAGAACATGTCCTCCAATATCACAATAGGAAGAGCAGACTGACTGCCTATATGGCATCTTAGGTCCATGTAGAATTTTGAAGAAGACAGTTAGGTCGCTTAATCTCCTTAATATTTTCTGTTGAATCTTCAGAAGGTCTTAAATTATCAAAAAGCTGAAAGGAATAGCTTTGAATATTTTTTTCTTCCTTAAAATAATTGTCATTTTCTGGGAAGTGTTTTCTATATTTGAAATCTTTCCTAGAAAGAAATACTAAAGGCAAAAGCCAAAGCTATGCCAAAAGTCTATTCAAAAAATTCCTTGTGCAGACTTTATAGCATTAGTTAAATCACCAGCACCATCCCCAGAGCAACCTGGCAGCTTGATGAATGGTGATGACGGTGTACAAATAAGAAGTAAACAACAACAAAAGGAACACTAATTTCAACCTCCATTAGACTCACAAGGGGGGAGAAAATCAATGTTTGACAAATGGAAAATGACAAAATCAGTAAAGGGAGACTTTTATTTTCAATTTTCTAAGAGGCTTTTGCACACAATGAAGTGTTAAAACCAAGAAAAATAACCGGTAAAAAACACACTCAACAGGCTCTATTTAAAATGCATTATCATAAGCTACAAATATAGAGCAGGAAATAATTGCTTTGTTTGTTCAAAAGAAGTTTAATGGTTTCTTTAATTTAGAGTAAGTAGCTGCAGCCTTTGAAACTTGATTACATTTTGGTAAGAAGACTATGCACATTGAGTACCCAACCTGAAGGTCTCATATTTAGCTATCCATGCTACCATTGGTAACACCACTGAATCATTCATTCAAGAGACATTTATTAAATACTTACAGTTGCTAGGTAGATACATCTACTTAATTTATTAAATAAATGCACCATAACTGGAGGATGGAAATATGAATTCCCCAAGGCCTTGAAGGAAAATAAGCAAGTAACAGACAACAGATTGAGGTGCTAACAGCTACAATAGAAACCAGGAGGCCTTACAAGTTTTTCACAGCATTTATTTATAAAATCTTGCTCCTAAAAGTGGTGCTACAAAGATAACAGAATTTTGAAACGCAGTCAAACAAAAAGTCTCTTGTATGTAATTTCCTTTATAGATAGCAGAAATTGAGTTGGAAATGACAGTGAAGATTATTTAGATAAGAGACACTCACATGCACAGCCCTTTGCTAAACCTACCAATCACAAAATTCACAGAAATCCTCAGTGTCATCTAGTTACAATGTCAATTAGGCCTTCCTTTATAATCAACTGCTTTTGGTACTTAATCCTCTCAATTGCTCTTTATAAACCAATCTGAAGAAAACCACTCCCTTCTCTGTGTTTCCTACACTTTACTCATAATTCTGTTATTTAATTGTGTTAAATATCGATTAGGCTAATTATGAAGTAGTAGAAACCAACAGTCTGGGGTCAAATTTCACTTCTGAAATTTGCTAATAGCATTAACTTGAAGAAACTAAACTTACCCTTTTATTGAATACAATCTTTTTCATCCCCCAAAATGGGAATAGTCGTACTGTTGCAGGACTTTTCCTTAGTTCAGCTAAAGACAGGGTCCTTGGCTCTCCCATGGCCATGAAAATTTAGGCTCGGAGACGGTTTGAAGGGTGACTGAAGCAGGGCTTTATTGTGTGAAAAGGTTTAAAAAGGGGGGAAACAGGGATCCTCCACAAGGTCAGAGCCCCCTGCTAGAGTGCTTGTGCCCACTGTTCGAATTCCAGGTTCCACACAGGAAGAGGAGGGACCAGGCTCCTCCCTACTGCAAATGTAGCAAACTTTCCAAGGCTCCACCTCAGTGGGCAGGCTGGTTGGAGTTTCTCCAGCAACCCCCTCCCACCTGGCTATCGCAGTACCCACCTCATAAACCTATTATGAAGATTGAATAAGACACCTAGCTCAGGGTCTGGCATATAGAAAATACACAATTGATTGTCAAATGAATTAAATGAATGGTTGTCCACACACTTCACTTTTCCCTCTTGTCTCCTATTTGTCTATGTATCTCTCTTTCTTACCTGAGGATAAGTTTCTTGAGAGTAGGGACAGTATTCGATTCACTTATTTATCTACCCTAGGAACTTAGAGTATACTCAAGAAATGTTTGAAGGAGTGAATGAATGATAATCTCAGTTCGAGGATTTTATTTCTTTGAATAATTATTTAATCTGCATTATAATTGTTTCAGGTAATATTATTTTAAAATACTTCTTCCATCTGTCCTGTGTAAAATTATGAAGTTTCTGTGAATTGTTTATCAGAAGGAGTGAATACGGGTTGCGGTGTGCGGCTTGGCGCAGGCTCACAAAGAGCTGCAGTGGCGCCCCATGCTCAGCTTTGCGGACTGAGTTGGCGGCGGCGGCACGGGGACAGCAGCGCACCCTCGCAGCCCTGCACCTGGGCCAGTCTCCTGAATATTTACACATTGCCGAATCTCCTGTGGACAAGACACCACGGAGGCCAGGACTGTTCCATGATGGGTTGAGCCTCTTCTCGTGCCTAGAGATTCCAAGAATCCTATCCATCTTTTTCACCAATATGGTTTGTGGACTGTGATGACCCAAATCTGACATCAGTTCTGGAACGTCCAGAAGATACTGAGAACAACAATTACCTTCGTCAGCAATTGAAGTGGTTGATATGTGAACTCTGCAGATTATATAACCTTCCTAAGCACCTGGATGTTTGAGATGCTAGATCAACCACTACCCATGGGTCAGAATGGGAAAATAGAAGTGACTTCAGAAGAAGAGGAAGAAGAGATGGCTGGAGATATAAAATACTTAAATCACTGTAAGATGAAGAAAGAAGAACTTATTAGTGGGAAAAAGTTGGAGGATGAAGGAATTGAAAAAGAAAATTTGGCAACATTAGAGAAAATTAGGAAGACTCAAAGTCAAGGCCATTTAAATGTGATGTGGTGTTTGGGTCAGTGCAAGTTTCAGATGGACTTATGAAAGAGCTCAGGGACGTATGCAGATCATGGAGTTATAAAACATAAAACAGGTCTGCTGGAATTTTTTTGTCCTCTTCCTGATAGAGAATTAACTCTTACATGATTTTTATCTTCTGGCAAAAGCAAAGCAATATTGCTTGAAAAGGATTTATTCAGTGGAACTCGTAAATGACAGTACATGACTGGCATGTTAAACTGCAGAAGGTCGACCCTGATAGTCTTTTGCACAATGATCTTCAGATCAAAAAAGAAAAAGAAAGCATAGAATATATTTTGTTTAACATGTCTTTTAAGAAACTGTTGTGGTTGTCAACTGGGTTGTCGTCCTAAAGTATGAATCTGTTATATATTAACTGAAGTTGCTAATGGCTACATTTTTACTGACTCATATGGGGGAACGAATGAAGAACCAAGGCCAAACACAAAACACAAAAAAACCCAGGAAAGTAGAACTTTAGGGAGGAGGCGATCTGAGAGGTAAATGGCTGAAATGCTACTGGATTTGTGTTTCTGGACCATGGCTCCTAACACCAGAAAGAAGGGCCTTTTCTGGGGTAGGAGTATTTCTTAAGAGGCCTGGGAAGAATGTTATTGCCTTGAGCTAACTGGCCTTATGAAGAGGACCTTAAACTGAATTGCCAAGTTATTAGTATTGGTATTCATAGACTTTGGAGGGTAGCAGGACAATTTTCCATTTTATCCTCCATTTGTTTGAGTGGTGTTACCTGTTCTCTCAGGAGGATATGTATTGGATGGGGGAGCACTGTGTATGGAACTTCTCACAAAACAGGGCTGTAGCTGTGCCTACACAAAAGAATTGGTCATTATGCAAATAAATGCCATCTTAGTCAGAGGCAAAGCCAGAGTGCAGTTTGGAGCTAATAAGAATCAATATAATCTAGCAAGAGCCCAACAATCCTATAATTCCATTGTACAGATGCATGAGAAAAATCGTCCCTCTGGACATGCTGCCACCTGGCCATGCTTCCTTTCCCTTTCATCTTTCTCATTGACCAATGGGCTTGGAGCATTGAGACCACACCCTATTCTGAGTTCTAGTGTGGCCCTGGTTAACTCTCCTCTGGATCAGTTGCACATCTGCCCGGTAGATGACTGGATGTGTTTAGCAGTGGTTGCCAGGATCGTGCTGATATGGCCCCAACCCCACCTCCCACCCTGCCTGTGATGTCTGAAGAAACCCTACAGAGCAAATTGGCTGTGGCCAAGAAAACATTGAGAGAATATCAGCATACAAACAACTCTGGTGTAGGTACAAGAGCAAAAAAGGAGAAAATGAAAAATGGCAGCAATCCTGAGACAACCACTTCTGGTGGTTGCCATTCACCTGAGGATATGTGCAAAGACCATGCTTTCTCCTCTACAACTGTCTGCTCATGACACCATGTTAGCTGGTGGTGTCTCTTCCCCTGGTGCCAGTCTCACTAGCATGGCGGCACCTCAGAATCATGATGCTGACATTGGTCCCAATCTCATGGATGAAACCAAGACTTTCTCATTGATCAAGAGCCCAGGACAACTCTTCAACAGCTCAATTGTCTTGCCTCTGAGTCTACATCCTTTGTCAATGGGGAGGGCCCTGCATCATCTGCTAACCTGAAGGATCTGGAGAAACAACAAAACCAAGAAATTCTGGATCAACTGGAAGAAGAAAAGAAAGCAAGCAACTGAAAGCAGGGAGCCAAAGGGAGTGGTTACAGGTTCAAATTCAGACCATAGGGATCCTCATGTCCGAGAAGGCAGAGTTATGGACAGCTCTGTATTACACTCAGCATGCTGCCAGGCAGTTTGAAGGAGAGTCAAAGGATCTGGCCAGCTGCCTGCAGTATTCCTGGCGCGTGTGGGAGAGTTGGAGTGGGCTCTCTCTGCTGTCTCTACATAGCAGAAGAAGACACAAATACAACAAAGAGTTAACCAAGGAGAGAGATGCCCTCAGGCTGGAGTTATATGAGGATCTGAAGCCACAGAACTCAGAATTAGAAGAGAAATTTGAGTCCTAGTGACAGAGAAGTCAGGAATCCAGCTCAACTTGGAGGATCTGCAAAAGAAGCTGGAGAGGCCAAGCTCCTGCTTCAATAGTCCTCAAGCCAGTGTGAACCCCCTGATGCTAACCAGCAGTTACAGCAGGCCATGGAGGAGCAGGCACAGCTGGAAGCACACCTGGGGCAGGTTATGGAGTTGCTGAAACAGCTACAGATGGAGAAAGACCAATATACTGAAAATCTGAAAGGAGGGAGGGCCATGCGGTAGCAGAGGATGCAGCCGATGTCAGAGCAGGTGCACACATTGAGGGAGGAGAAGGAGCACAGCATGACTCGGGTACAGGAGCTGGAGACCAGCTTGGCCAAACTGAGGGAACAGATCGCTGAACCCCTGCTCCTGGAGCCCCCAGCAGGGCCCTCTGAGGTGGAGCAGCAGCTATAAGTGGAGGCCGAGCACCTGCGGAAGGAGCTGGAGGGTCTGGCAGGACAGCTCCAAGCCCAGGTGCAAGACAATGAGGGCTTGAGTCTCCTGAACCGAGAGCAGGAGGAGAGGCTGCTGGAGCTAGAGCAGAAGGCTGAGCTCTGGGAGGAGCAGGTGGAGGTGCACAGGCAAACCCTGGAGACCATGCAGAATGACCTCACCACCATCAGTCATGCAGTCTTCCAGAATGGTGAGCTCAAAGAGCAGCTGGCCAAGTTGCAGACTGGCTTCATGAAGCTGAACAATGAGAACATGGAGATCACCAGCACACCACAGTCGGAGCAGCACATCAAGAAAGAGCCGAGCGAGAAGCTGGGTGAGCTGAAGGAGATGGTAGAGCTGAAGAGCCAAGAGGCTCAGAGTCTACAGCAGTAGTGAGATCAGTACCTGGGTCACCTGCAGCAGTATGTGGCCACCTATCAGCAGGTGCCCTATGAGAAGGAGCTCCACAAGCAGTTACTGCTGCAGACCCAGCTCATAGACCAGCTGCAGCAGGAGGAAGCTCAGGGCAAAGTCGTGGCCAAGATGGCCTGCCAAGGGTTGCAGGAGACCCAGGAGCACCTGGAAGCTACCAGCCAGCAGAAGTAGCAGCCACAGGCCCAGCTGACCCTCATGGCTCTCCATGGGGAAGGAGATGGACTGGACAGTGAGGAGGAGGCGCTTCCGCTCATGCCAAGCATCCCGGAGGAACTGGAGAGTCGGGAGGCCATGGTGGCATTTTTAAACTCAGCTGTGGCCAGTGCCGAGGAGGAGCAGGCATGGCCACGTGGGCAGCTGAAGGAGCAAAGGGTGAGCTGTCAGGCTGTCAGTGTCTGGCTCACCTGGTGGCCTCAGTCCAGAAGGAGCCAGAGGCAGCAGCCCTAGTCCCAGGGACTGGAGGCGATTCTGTGTGTGGGGAGGCCCACCCGGCCCTGCAGGGGGCCATGGAGAAGCTGCAGAGCCACTTTATGGAGCTCATGCAGGAGAAGGTGGACCTGAAGGAGCAGATGGAAAAACTGGAACGTCGCTGCATCCAGCTGTCTGGAGAGACAGACGTCATCAGTGAGGGGGAGGCCAGGGCATGGCAGGGGGAGCTGCACGGTGGTCAGAGGGGTCCCAGCGTCTGAACCCTGTCCTCCCGCAGGAAAGTACATCACACTGTACCAGAGCTAGAGGTCAGTGCTGAAGACGTGGCACCAGAAGGAATACATCAGCAGCCTGGCCCAGGACAAGGAGGAGATGAAGGTGAAGCTGCTGGAGCTGCTGGAGCTGCAGGAGCTGCAGGAGCTGGTGTTGCGGCTTGTGGGCAACCACAACAAGTGGCATGGCAAATTCCTGGCAGCTGCCAAGAACCCTGTTGATTAGCCCGCTCCAGGTGCCCCAGCTCCCACAGGAGCTCGGGGCTGCCAACAAACAGGGTGATCTTTGCAAGATGAGCCTCGCCCACAGCATGGAGCCTGCACAAGAAGAGGCCAGGGAGGGTTCTCCCCATGACAATCCCACTGCACAGCAGATTATGCAACTGCTTCCTGAGATGCAGAACCCCCAGGAGCACCCAGGCTTGGGCAGCAACCCCTGCATTCCATTTTTCTATCATGCTGACAAGAAATGAGGTGAAGATCACCATCATCTAAAAGCCGGCCACTGTCAGCAAAGCTTGGAGAAGTGGGGCCAGAGGCTCCATCCCCACCAGGTCCTTACCACCCCTTCCCAGTCACCCCATTATCCTTAGAGGAGCAAGGTAAGACCCCTGTGTGATGGGGGGAGACAAACAAGTGCAGACCCTTTGCCACCTTGGCCAGGGCTGAGTCCTTAATTTCTGGATGATTATGTTGTTATTTAAGAGCCAGAGGCTCATAGGGTTGATTTATTTGCAGGAGGCCTGGTGGCCTCCCTGATGGCCTGACTCACTAAGCAACTTTTCCTTCACGGGGGCTCCCATCTTCTTACTCAGAGAGGCAGCTGAGGCAGGACAATGGGGCTAAATGTAGACCAGGCAAGAGAACAGGCTGCTGGGGGTGGCTCCCCTTCCCCAGTGTACATATTCTATCTGTGTAAAATTTTGTATATTCCAGGGTAGGGCCACCCCCTGTATCATACATAGAGGAGGTTGAAGCTGGTACATGGGGAGGAGGTTCTAGTAATTATTTGGGACTGGGAAACTTCTTTATTGATAGTACGGGACAGAGAAAGGAGGCAAGGATGGGGTCATGGTGCCCTGGTGATGCAACTTCTGTTTATTTTGCTTTTTCTTTTGGAATAAATGGATTTAGCCATTTTGGTTGGGGGGGTGGGAGCAGAAAGAAGAGGTAAATACTAAGTAAATATACTAACACCTGAGTAGATCTTCTTCAAAAGCTATCTATTGGAAAAGGATTTAGGTGCAATTAGCATATCCTTCCTAAAGTAAGCCTCCCCTGAAGAAATGTCACTGGTATAATCATGAGGCTTAAAAGAGGGAGAGATAATTAAGTGGGGTGACATTTTAAAAATAAGTACCTAATTGTTACCGGTAAGCATGCTGATCCTCATAAGGCTAATGATGCCAAGTTTATTTACTGCTCTAAAGAAGATAGATTTTAAAATCACTAAATCACATTTCATTTAATCTAGCAAGTTTTAGTTGCATTTACATTTATTCAATCATAGAATCATAGACAACCTTGAAAGTAAACAGACAAATATGCTAAGAACATTCTTCCTGAGTGCAGGGTGGAGGTAGTATTTTAACTTAACTGTCTAGCACTTGATATCTATCTGGCTGTCCCATATAAACTTTGAGGGAAGTGACTGATTTTACTCTTGTGGTACATGATTTATAACACTATTTATTTGAAGCCGTATCTATGTCTACCCATGGCTCAGTAAGCCATTTTGTTTCACAGTAAAAATCATTAAATGAGCATGTCATATATTTTCTAATATATTTCTGTAAAATTTAGTACATGTATATGAGTAAAAATTATAGCCAAAAAAGTCAGTAGTGTGGGGAGTAACTAGGGAGTTGACTAACCAATCTTTAACATTGATCAAGCAGCAGTTTAAAACTTCCAGACAGCCTGAATGATAATTGTTAGAAGACGCTACTTCCATGTGTCCAAGTTATAATGCTTTGGTCAACTAATTAAGAGCCCTTAGAAAATCCTTTACTACATATAAGTGAAACATAAAAGTCCAATATTCAAATTAATTATTTTAGGTCTGAATATTAACAAATGCCACTCTAGTCATCTATCACTCGTCACACATTTATTGAACACCTACTGTGTGTTAGACACTGTGTTAGGAACTGAGGAAATAGAGGACAAAGATTGGACCCTACTGTCTTACATAGCTCAGAATGTCTAGGACAGACCAACAAAAGAAAAATGGTGGGATTTTATGTTGTGAGTCATGAAAAGGCATGCCCAGGGTGCTATAAGGCTCAGAGAAAACCATCTGACAGAGAAGACCCTTAGTCCAAATCTTGATGGATGAGTTGGAGTTACCTGCACCTTTTTCCTCCACAAGAAAAAAAGAAAAACATGTTCTGAGCTCTGGGACAGCATGGGCAAAGGCATCCCTCTGACGCATTTGAGGAAATGCTGAACAGAGTGGGTTCTGTTTCTGGGATGCTCCGGGAAGTGAGTGGAAAACAGAAAGTAGAGCTTTGTATACCCTGAAAAGGTGCTTGCACTTTTTTCCTTAAAATCATGTGGAGTTGCAGGATTTGACATAAATGAGGATTTTAAGTGATCTGATTTAGAGATCATCTGGCGGCCACTGTAGAATGGATCAAGGGGAACAAGACTAAAGGCAGAGACAGCAGTGCCAGAAAGCAGAGAATGGCCATGAGAAAATTTTAGGAAGAATGAGTAGAACTTGGCTATTGGTTGTATCAGGGCTGAGGGAGAATGTGCAGTGTAGGACCACTAAGCAGTGTAGATGAGATTGCTCATAGGATACTCGGAAGCAGGAGGAGCAGCAGTTTGGCTCAAGGAGAATGAAGAATGATGATGAATTCAGGTTTGGTGCAGTGGATCTGCTAAGTGAAGAGGACAATGGGCAGTTGCTTACCCATCAACAGCTCAAGAAAGTGATATTAGTGGAAGTAGAGATTTGGTAGCATCAACCCGCACGGTAATCTCTGAAACTATAAATGTGGGTGAGATTTCCCAGGAAGCAAGTATGATGAGAAAAGAGAAGAGAGCTAAATCCTGGGGAATGTTGACTTTTAAATGACTAGCCCAAGAATCCAAGAAAACTGAAAAGTAGGAAGTGAAGATATAAGTAAACTAAGAGTGGGATTACAGATTCTTTGAAAAGAAAAAGTTTCATGGAAAAAAATTGTCCAAAAAATTTTTAATGCTTCAGAGGTTTTATTCATCTCTCCATTTCTTTATTCATTCAGTTAATAAATATTTATTGGGCTTTTAGTATATTCTAGGCACTAGTTAAATTTAGTTGCTAAACAAAATCAAACCTGTCCTCAGATAGATTACCGTTTAATGGAGTAGACTAATTTTAAGTAAATGAGCCAAGCAGTATACGTGTCATTTCAAATCATGATGAATGCCATAACAGGATGCTAAGTGCCATAAAGGATATCCTGGGCATGATCATTAGGAGATCATTGGTGACCTTTGCACTGTTAGCCTTGATGCAATGAGAGAAGCAGGAAGAAGCCAAATTGCCACCAAATTGCCATGAGTTAAGGATGAATGTGAGGGAAGGATATAGAGTAAAGCAGGTAGGCAACTCTCTTGAGAAGCTTGATTGTGGCAAACAATAGGGCAATAGTAAGAAGAAAACTAAAGCCAAACATTTTTTGTTTTAATACCTGGGAATATGGAGGATGTTTATTGGCTGAGATTGGAAGGAACCAACCAAGAGAAACAGTTATAAATTTAAAAGTGAGAAAAAAATAATTGATGAAATTGGCTAAAATTAATGAAAATACAAATATCTTTCAGGTGGATTCAAATGAGCTAAGGAAACACTACAGGACTTCTACAAAATTTCAGGTAGGTGACAAACAATTTCAAAGTTGCTCACGTGATCTATTACCATTTTGACTTTAAATCCCATCTATAGATTTCTATAAACAAAGTTTGTACATACGAAGTTTTATTAGACAATGATAAGCCTGAAGTTTCTGCCTCTCAATAATTACCTGATATGTTTCCTTGTATGTGCAAGTGGGTAATTCAACATATAAGCCCTTATTAAGCAGACCAAAATAAGTTAGTGCCCAGATTTGAATTCTAATTTACACATCAGTAAAGGAATATGGGTTGTATACTTTGTCTTGTCTACAAAATTCTAGCCCCCAATTAATGTAGCATGATGTTGTAAAGGTTTGCAAAATTGTTTTTACTCCCGCTTCTTTCTTGTTCTCATATATTCAAAATAAAAATTATTAATAGAAGAGAAGCAATTGTTTAGATAACATGGAACGTTCCTTTCCTAAAACATAACGTTTTATTGCCCATAATTATTTTCTAAGTACTTTGTTCTCTGAGAAATAGGCAGAGGTCAGGGGTTATTTAGGTTTACCCAATTGGAGTGAACTCTAGCCTCTCACTTCAAAGACAATTCTTTAGTGGCCTCAGAGTTTGTTTAAAAATACAAATCTGGGTTTAGGTCTCAGACTATCCTTGTTGGAAATCTACAATGATTACATCCCTTTCAATTGTTTTTTTTTTAATCTCCGACTAATTTTCTTTATTAAATATTGCCACATACTTAGGCATATTCATAAAAGATCTCTATGCTGCTTTGATGAATTCTACAAAGAGGATAAATACTTTTGTAATGCCATAAAGCTTATTCCAAACTCTTACTTTCCTGAGTTTGAATAAGGACTAAATTAATTTATATATTTAATATGTGTTAGCATAATGGCATTTCAGTCAATGACAGACCACATATATGGTGATGGTCCCATAAGATTATAAGGGAGCCGAAAAATCCCTATTGCCTAGTGACATCACAGCCATCATAACATTACAGTGCAATGTGTTATTCACCTGTTTGCAGTGATGCTGGTGTAAACAAACCTACTGGGCTGCCAGTCATATAAAAGTATAGTACATACTAATATGTATGGTACATAATATTGGGGATAATGGCAATAAACAACTATATTACTAGCTTATGTATTTACTATCCTGTACTCTTTATTGTTATTTCGGAATGTACTCCTATGAATTTTTTTAAAAGTTAATTGTAAAACAGCCTCAGGCAAATCTTTCAGGAGGCATTCCAGAAGAAGGCATTGTTATTATAGGAAATGACAGCTCCACCCATGTTATGGAGCCTGAAGACCTTCCAGTGGGGCAAGATGTGGATGTGGAAGACAGTGATATTGATGATCCTGACCCTGTGTAAGCCTAGGCTAATTTGTGTGCTTGTGTCTTGGTTTTTAACAAAAAAGCTTAAAAGTAAAAATAAAAACATTTTAAAATAGAAAAAAGCTTATATAATACATATATAATGAAAATACTTTTGTATAGCTGCACAATGAGTGTTTTAAGCTAAGTGTTATTACAAAAGAGTAAAAAAGTTTTTAAAAATTCAAAAGCTTATAAAGTAAAATAGTTACAGTGAGCTAGGTTTACTTTATTATTAAAGAAAAAATTGTTAAATAAATTTAGTGTAGCCTAACTCTACAGTGTTTATAAAGTCTACAGTAGTGTACAGTAATGTCCTAGGCCTTCAGTCACTCACTACTCGCTCATTGACTCACCCAGAGCAAGTTCCAGTCCTGCAAGCTCCATTCATGGTAAGTATCCTATACAGGTGTACCATTTTTTATCTTTCGTATCATATTTTTAACTGTACCTTTTCAATGTTTAGATGTGTTTAGATGCAAAGATATTTACCATTGTGTTACAATTCCCTACAGTACTCAGTACAGTAACATGCTGTACAGTAACATACAATAATATACTGTAATATACAGAGCATGCTGTACAGTAACATGCTCCTAGGCCTGTAGCCTAGAAGCCTAGGCTTGTATGTCTATACCATACCACCTACGTGTGTAGTAGGCAATACATCTAGGTTTATGTAAGTACATGCTATGATATTCACATGATGAAATCACCTAACAATGCATTTCTCAGAATATGTCCCTGTTGTTAAGTGACAAATGACTGTATTTTTGTACCTGATCATTCACTATTAGCTTGTTAACTTCTTGTGAATAGAAACAATATCTTACTCCTATTTCAACCCCAACATGCTTTGCAAATTGTCTTGCACAGGGTTTAGTGTTGGTCAATACTTCAATTCAATTTTCTACAGTTCAATGAGAAATAAATTATCTCTGTCTACACAAATCTGTGCCAAAAATGGTCAATGATTAATGACTGTCTGCCTAGAGAAGTTGAGAGGGGAGTTGAGGAATTGAATAGAAAGCAAGCAAAAAGATCGTTATGATTTAAGCCAAAAACTGTAAGTTTTAGGGTAGCACTATGTCAACAGTGTATCTGCTTTTTTATTTTAAATACATTATTTTAATTACGTTCTGTACACTTAACTTGTTACAAAGATCGATACCTCTACAGTGAAATCAATGAGGTTTGATGATATGATGCAATTTCTAAGCCAATACTTTTAGTAAGTAATTTGTTTATAATAGCTAATCTGGTTAATTCAAACCAGAAGTCCCTATTCTTGTTCAATATCGGCAGGCTTTGAAATTGTTAGGCAATTAATTATCTCAACTCTATGCTTTTGGGGTACAAGTGGTTTTTGGTTACATGGATGAATTATATAGTGGTAAATTATGAGATTTCAGTGCACCCATCACCAGAGTAGTGTACATTGTATCCAGTATGCAGTTTTTTTGTCCCACCCCAAACACACCCCCCCTTCTGGTCTTCAAAGTCCATTATATCACTCTGTATGCCTTTGCATACTCAGAGCTTAGCTCCCACTTATAAGTGAGAACGTATAGTGTTTGGTTTTCCATTCCTGAGTTACTTCACTTAGAATAATGGCCTCCAGCTCCATCCAAGTTGCTGCAAAAGACATTGATTCCTTTTTATGTCTAAATATTATTCCATGGTGTACATATGCCAAATTTTCTTTATCCACTCATTGGTCAATGGCCACTTAGGTTAGTTCCATATTTTTGCAGTTATGAATTGGGCTGAAATAAACCTATATGTGCGTGTGTCTTTTTCATATAATGACTTCTTTTCCTTTGGGTAGATAGCCAGTAGTGGGATTGCTGGATCAAATGGTAGATCTACTTTTAGTTGTTTAAGGAATGTCCATACTGTTTTCCATAGAAGTTTTACATATTTACATTCCCACCAGCAGTGCATACACACTCCCCTTTTACCACATCCATGCCAACATCTATTGTTTTTTGGCTTTTTAATATGGCCACTTTCAGGAATAAGGTGGCATCTCATTGTGGTTTTAATTTGCATTTCCTTAATGACTAGACAGGTCACTAAAAAGCAGACAGTGTGTCTGCTTTTTTATTTTTAATACATTATTTTAATTACTGTTCTGTACAAATCTTGTTACAAAGATCGGTTGGTTCCATATTTTTTGCAATTATGAATTGGGCTGAAATAAACCTATATGTGCATGTGTCTTTTTCATATAATGACTCTTTTCCTTTTGGTAGATACCCAGTAGTGGGATTGCTGGATCAGATGGTTGATCTACAGAAATCTGTGCCAATGTGTTAATATTAAAATGGCTAATGACTAATGACTGTAATCATAGAGGAGTTGAGAGGGGAGTTGAGCAATTGAATAGAAAGCAAGTAAAAAAAATCATTATGATTTGAGCTGAAAACTATAGGTTTTAGAGTAGCACTAGACAGGTCAACAGTGTGCCTGCTTTTTCATTTTAAATACATTATTTTAATTACTGTTCTGTACACTTCTTAACTTGTTACAAAGATCAATACCTGTAGAGTAAAATCAACGAGGTTTGATGATATGATGCAATTTGGGCGGGGGGGCATTTTTTTCATGTTTTTTGGCCATTTGTATAACTTCTTTTGAAAAATATCTATTAATAGCATTTGCCAACTTTCTGAAGAGATTATTTGTTTTTTTCTTGCTGATTTGTTTGAGTTCCTTGTAGATTCTGGATACTAGTCCTTTGTCAGATGCACAGTTTGCAAATATTTCCTCCCATTCTGTGAGTTGTCTGTTTATTCTGATGATTATTTCTTTTTATATGAAGAAACATTTTTAATCAGGTCCCATTTATTTATTTTTATTTTTGTTGTATTTGCTTTTGGGGCTTTAGTCATAAATTCTTTGCCTAGGCCAATGTCCAGAAGAGTTTTTCCAAGGTTATCTTCAACAATTTTTATGGTTTCAGGTCTTAGATTTAAGTCTTTGATTTATCTTGAGTTGATTTCTGTATAAAGTGAGAGATAGGGATCTAGTTTCACTCTTCCACGTGTGGCTTGCCAGTTTTCCCAGCACCATTTATTAAACAAGATGTCCTTTCCCCAATTTATGTTTTAGTATGCTTTGTTCAATACCAGTTGGCTATAAGTATTTGACTTTATTTCTGGGTTCTCTATTCTGTTCCTTTGGTCTATGTACTACTTTTATACCAGTACCATGCTGTTTTGCTAACTATAAGTCTGGTAGTGTAATGCCTTCAGATTTGTGCTTTTTGCTTAGGGTTGCCTGGGCTGTGAGGGCTCTTTTTCAGTTCCATATGAATTTTAGAATTGTTTTTTCTAATTCTGTGAAAAAAAAGTTGGTATTTTGATGGGAATTGCATTGGATCTGTAGATTGCTTTTGGCAGTATCGTCATTTTTACAATATTGATCCTTCCAATCCATAAGCATGAGATGTGTTTCCATTTGTTTGTGTCATCTGTGATTTCTCTCAGCAGTGTTTTGTAGTTCCCTCTGTAGAGATCTTTAACCTCATTGGTTAAGTATATTCCTAGGGATTTGTTATTGTTGTTGTTTTACAGTTGTTGTAAAGGGATTGAGTTCCTGATTTGCTTCTCAGCTTGGTCATTTTTGTATGTGTATTGGTGTATAGCAGTGCTACTGATTTGTGTACATTGATTTCACAACCTGAGACTTTATTGAATTTGTTTATCAAATCTAGAAGTCTTTTGGAGATGTCTTTGTGTTTTCTAGGATACGATCATATCATCAGCGAACAGTGATATTTTGATTTCCTCTTTTTTGATGTGAATGCCCTTTATTTCTTTCTCTTGCTGGATTCCTCTGTCTAGGACTTCCTCAGCTCTCTATTTTATATGTGTGGCCTTACAATATGTTCTTAACTGCTCTTAATTGTCTTAAAATGTCTTAAAGTTTTTCATATACCCTATTAAGACCATGTAAAATTTAATAAAAATGAATAATTATTTTACACAAAAGAATTTCTTATTGTTGTTGCCATCAAGAAAGTATGAAGTATGACATTGTCATTTCATAATGACCAGGGTAACAGAAGGCCAAAATAATTTTAATACATGACAATTTTTGAAAATTTCTTAGCTATAATAATATTTTCAATACCTTCTCCCATCAGAGCTGCTGATTAATTGCAAACATTATTGATTTCTTTGCTCTCCTCTCTCAGCCTGCACAGGCTCTGATAGATACTTTTAAAGCAGTTTATTGGTAGCAAAATGGTTCGAAGTAGACAAGAGTAGAAAGCATTGAAGAGCCTAAATGAACCACAATATAATCAACTGTGAACACAGGAGAATTGGCTGAAACATAAAAATATATCACTACAATGAAAGTACAATGCTTTCAAATAAAATCAAGAATGGACTTGATTTTTAGTCGAAGAGCCCCATGTTAAAAACACTGTTAAAACGTATTTTAACATTAGCAACTATGCCCATTGTATATGTGACAGCTCAATAAAAATCCCAGTAAATGCAACGCCTAAGGAGAGATCAGATGCATGGAGGTGGAAATGAAATATGTTGGAAGAAGGCTACAAAATAGTTTTCATGGTGCTAATACGCCTTAAAAAGCCCCATGCATAGTTAATTGAAAGCAGTTTTGGATTAAACAACAAATAATATATTGTGATTGGTCAACTTTTACAGACATCAGCGTAAATCCATCCATTCCCAGAAAGGCATGTAAACACAACATATTTGTGAATGTGTTCTTTCAACAGTTGGATGTCGCATCAATAATACCATTTGATATTTGCTACCTCTTCTTTGGGTTTAATCCAATGTTTAGAGCAAATAGGATGTTAAAGGTAAGATAACTATATTTAATTGTCTTTTCCCTTATAATGGAAATATTTCTATTTCCCTATAATGGAAATCTTGAAACAATTTAAAGTATCTTAAAATGATCAATATTCTTAATTTTTCCCAAACTCTTCTCCATCTTTCTGCCCTCATCAATGCTATAATTTTTTTTAATGAATGAAGAAAAAAATGTCTACTGGTGAAAGTTGCTCCTGGTTTTTATTTCATATCTCATAACAGATGTTTTTATAATCTAAAATAGGGATGCTTTGTATTTCTAAATTTAGCTATAATTACAAATGAGTATTTTATACTTTTTGTTTTTTTCTATTTGTCCTTTTTCAGTTGCTGAATGCATGGTGTATGGGATGTAAAATTAAGGGGTTAGGTTAGATTACCCTAAATTATCTTACTCATCTTAAATTTTGTAATTCTAAAAAAAAATGTAAACATACTTTTACATCACAGACATGCTTTCACAAGTATGTGAGCACATACTTTCACATCACATTTACTTACATACTTGAATATAACTCAAATGTTTCTCAAGAGGGAATTAGTTAAATATACCAAAATATATTTATATAATTTATATAGTAGAACATTTTGTAGCTTTAAAACAAAGAAGAGGAAGCTTTTTATGTACTGATATGGAAAAAACTTCAAGATAAATTGCTAAGTAAAAAAGCTAGTTACAGAACAGTTTATAGAACAATACTACCTTCTGTATAACAGAAAAGGAAAAATATTCAATTTTTGTGTATTTACATAAACACTGAAAAGCTACAAAAAGAAACTCATCAAAGTGGTTACCTGAGATGGCAAGGGAAAGCAGGAAGGAAAATCAGGACGGATAGGGGCAAGAGTAAGAGTGAGACTGTTGGAAGCATATATTTCATATTGTTTTTGAACTATGTGAATGTATTACCTATTCAAAATGGTTATAAGACATAAATACTTTATAACTCATAGCTTCATTTGATACCTAAAAAGAATTTGAGGAGAGTCAGAAATTGAAATTTCATGTAAATCTTTAACAATAGCAACAATATATTTCCAAAAACAACCTTCTTAAAGGGATCACAAAAGACTTTATAAATTGTAGGTAATTATCTATTTTGCATCTTGGGAAGACAAGATAACATAACCTGGTAACACCAGCAGATCCTGACAACAACAACGACAATAATAGTTGCAGCTGTCTGTTGAATACACACTTGAGGCTACACACTTTGCTAAAACTTTATATTCATTATCTCACTGATTCCTCCCAACAACTTCATTTTAGAGACGAAGAAAATGAGAATTAGCATGGCGGAAAAATCTGTCCAGACACACTGCATATGAGGGGCAGTGTCTGAACTCTATCACATTTATCTAACTCCAAATTCTTTATTATAATCAGATTGACTGGGTAGGCCTCAGGCTGAAAGGGTTTTTTTTTCTCTGCTCTGATATTTAAACTTCAGAGGTTCTTTATCCCATATTTCCAAACATCTGAGACAACTCTAGAGACTTCTGGTTTGACCATGGAATGTGAGAATAAATGGAGGTGGAACACAATAATGTTCCAAGCAATCTAGTGGTCAGGCCATCCCTTATCAAATTTTCAGTCTCACATGGAAATTTCAGAAGGTACCTGCTTGGACATAAACAATTTTCAGAAATTCTCAGGTTTCTATAGATTTAGGAGTTTATCTGGCATTATGATAAAAGCTTATAAAATGCCAACTCTTCATTCCCCATCTCTGTAACCTAAAATGTCCAAAAGCCCTCTCTATCCATTAGATGTTTAAATATAGGAGATCCTGACAGTCAACATTAATCTTCTTTTCAAAGCCCCATAGTCCATTCATATAACTTATTTTTAAGGGTGTCATCTTAATGCACAATTCCCTAGGATAAATATTTATCATCTATATGTCTCCAAGTTATAAATGAGAAAACAAATGAATATACATTTTATTTTTAGTGAACACTTAAGCTAAATTTAAAATCATGCCTTTGTGCAAACTTGTATTAAGAGCACAATAAACAAATTACCACACATTTAAATTATAATCTGAGTGTTTAAGAAGTTTTTTCCTACTTAGGAACTCTGGAAAAAACAAATCATTTGTGTATATTTCTAGTTAAATAGTCATTACTATTACATATACTATTTTTAATTCTAAACGTTCTATTGCAGTCATATCTACGTTGGGCAAAATTTTGAACTAAGTAATCTCTGCAGTCCCTTCTATCTGTAAGAGTCTATGATTTGAAGCACATTAAATATATTAACTCATGTATGCACACAACCCTTTTGGGGGGCATCTTTTCTTATTGATCTCATTTTACAGATGAGGAAACCAAGACACGGAAATAGCAAGAGACTTTTCCACAGTTACACAGTAGTAAGTGGTAGAGATAGAACTGGCATTTTGCTCTGGATTCCATACTTTACTGCCTATAGAAACAAAAGAGGAAGTAGGAAGTAGGAAGTAGGAAGTAGGAGTGCATGCAGGCAGAAAAGGTTGAGATAAAAGTAGAAGCAAGCAAGAAAAAACCTTGAGGGAAATAGTAACTCTGCTTGTATCAGATGCACATAAACTCTTTGTATCTTTGAATAATGTCAAGAACGGCCAATGCTAATACTTACTGAACTTTAAATTTTGTTTAAACAAATACACATTTAATGCAATTTACTGAAAAATAATGCTAGTGTTGAGCAATAAGACTTAACATCTATTTATAACTTTAATGCATTATACTTTTCCTCTTTTATGTATGTTTTTGGAGAGTGTGACTTTAATTGTTGGGAAACAGAGTTCTACTACATGCTTTCAAAACAAAAAGGAAAACAATGTTTTTTAAGTTTCATTTTCAACAAACATTAAAAATAAGACTATAACTACAGGGTAGCAATAAAATAAAGCAAAATAAAGCTCTGGAAGTATAATACCATGCTATAAAATGTACTGTCCAGAGGAAAATATCACTAAACAGGATCTTGGTTTTTTTAAAAAGACATATGAATGAAATTATTTTCAGTAATAAAATCTATTTCATATAGTTTTATTTAAATATATATATTTAAGACTAACATGCTTTTGGATTTCTTTTGCTTTTCTATATAGTACACTTCATTTTTTGAATTTAATCATCACCTAGAGTCTATAATGGACAAAGCATATATCTACAGGTAAAGTATAACTCAGTATACTTGGGGGAAGGGGAAAAAGCAATGGTACAACATTTTAGACGGAATTTGGCAGGGATATGACCCCCCTCTTCAAAAAAAGGATATAATTTCAGCTTTGGCTATATAAAATATAGGACTATGTTCTAGAACAGATGTGGATATTTTAAGTGAAATAAGAGTATGAAAATCATATCAGATTTTAGAATACTGGACTAAGAAAATAGGACTTATTATCTGCCTCTGTCAAAACAAGTACAGAAAAACATACTCTTTTGCAAGTTAACTTTAAACCTTTCTCATGATAATTCATTCCTAATCTGAATTTCATTCGTTTGTTGTTCTAAATTTTACTTGCACCGAAACCTCTAGTTGCCATTCATCGTAGCATAAAGTCTCATGAGCTTTTCAGAGATATCCAGTTAAATTAGCATAGTGTATTTTATGGGACTTAAACTGAAGAAGTGACCTTTGAGGCATGTCTTTCACGGAGTTGACTCACAACATCTGTGAAAAGAGAGGAAGTTTTCTTTTTCTTTTTTTTTTCTTTACACTCTGTCAATCCCAGTCAAGACATTGCCATCAGAAAACATGCAATGGCACCATCACTTTGTACTGTACTAATGAGAGTTAACAGTTCACAAATCCAAAGCAAGGGGTTCGCTGGTGACTTTAAGGAAAAGAAAATGTTAAAATAGGCTGTATTTCAGAAACAACATGAATCTTACTTTGCATCTATTCTCTCTGACAGAGTTATTCGAACAACTGGATACTTGCTGTTTATTCTGCACATTAATGCCTGTGTTTATTACTGGGCTTCAAACTATGAAGGAATTGGCACTACTAGATGGGTGTATGATGGGGAAGGAAACGAGTAAGTTCTGATTTTGAAAGAAACCTTTATTGATTATTTTTAACATTCTGTTTCATTGTATGAATTTATGAGAGCCAGTGTTTTTGAAGCTGTCATAACCCATTCAATGGCTGGTAAATGCTATTTGGCCATAAAAAAGGATAAAATCATGTCATTTGCACCAAAATGGATGGGACTGAAGGTCATTATCTTAGTGAAATAAGCCAGACCCAAAACGATAAATATCACACGTTCTCACATATATGTGGGAGCTAAAAATTTTGATCACATAGAGACAGAGAGTGGAAAGATAACAGAGACTGGGAAGGGTGAGTGGTGGGGAGAGGAGCGCATAAAGAAAAGTGGATTAAAGGATACAAACATACAGTAAGAATATATTCAACGTTTGCAACAGAGTAGGGTGACTATAGTTTCAAAACATGTATTGTACTCGAGTAATAAACACCCTAAACACCCTGACTTGATCACTATGCATTGTATACATGTAACAAAATTGCATGAGTACCCCATGAATTGGTCTAAATAAAAATTTTTAAGCTGAAAAACCTCTTTAGTAAGTCAATACATTTTTAAATGAAAGAAGATAGAGAATAATAGAATAGAAAATATCAGAGTCTGATAGATAGTAGGGGAGTGTGTGTGTGTGTGTGTGTATCCTGAGTTGGCCTGTGAAATGCATTTTTTACTCTGGATCATGATCAAAAAAGTTTGAAAGCCTCTAGACAACTGAGCAGTAAGGTAACTTTTAATAACTCCGATGCCGATTGTTAGTAATGAACAATGTTAATTATTTAAAGGGCAGGTGCAGTGGCTAATTAGTTTACCAGTGAAGGGTTTTATGGGTTTATGAGTCAGCTATAACCACTAACTCAATTAAACACTTAGAGAGTAACGAGGATCATAAATTAAACTTGACAATTAGGTATGCAAGTGTCCCAGAAATAAAAAAAGATCACTTGAAAAATTTAGAACAGTAGAATCAGGACTCAGAAATGGCAACTGGGTTATTTAATAGTGAAATTTCCTTTTGGTAAAATACAAAGACCTGGCATAAAGTTGACTTCACTAACTTTCTGCTCCAGTGAAATGACATTGAACATATAATAAGGCAATGTCCAAACTGGAAAAAAAGCAGGTCCCAGCATTACTTTGAAGGGCAACTCACTGCAGCCTTGGGATGGAGAGCAATTATAGGATAGAGCAAAGAGAGGGAAAATAACTTACAAAATTACATACTACCTAGAGTGAGTTGGATATGTATAAGGGATTATAACAACCAGAACCGATTTTAAAGAATTTAAAGTCAGAAGGACCACTGATTGGGAAACACACACACACAGACACTCAATTTCCAGAAAATTTACTAAATAAATAATTCCCTTTAGAATGTGAATTATTTACTTTGATATAAACAACTAATTTATCTAAAAATTGACTAAAATACCAGCTACAGTAAAATTGCCTCAAAGTGAATATGTAATCCAACATCATTAGATGACTGTGGCTGATAGCTGTTTTTTTCAAATTAGCAAAACAATATAGGATTGCATCAGAATGCCTTCCAGAAAGTGAAGCTATTTCTCCTTTTACACCTAGACGCCTCTCTGTGGAGTTTCTAGGGACTATATCTTGTTCCCAGTGTTAAGCTCAGTGTTAAGTATATAATAATAGACAATATATAGGTATATAAAAGCAGGAAGAGAGAGGGGGAGTAAGGAAAAACGAAAGGAATGGCCAAATCTGCATTGTAACAAGAAGAAAGAAATCTCAGCTTTAGCCCATAAGAAACTTCAAGTGTGCTAGTGTTTTGGATTTCTAATTCCAGCTACATCATAGCCCAGGTAGCCAAGATACTCTCTCTAAAATGCAAGATAAATTACCTGTTGTAATTTTGTTAAGTTACTTATTATAATTATTTGTTATAAGTTTCTAAATGAATACAATTACAACAGTTTTCAGTGATTGCTGAGTTCCCTAGAAAGTAAGAAGTATCTCCAAAGGCTAAAACACAAACATATGTACCAAACCTGGAGTACAATAGAAAATGAGTGTGAGTAACCACTAAAGAACAGAAATAGAGAGAATAACTTCTAAATTAGTATAAGGGGAAAAAAAAATGAATAAGGAAATTTAAAAAGCAAACCAGTCCAAAAAAAGACACAAAGATAAGGAGTGGCAGTTTTGGGGAGAAGTACAGGAAAGGCAGGACAATAGAAGACACAACATAAGATGGTAAGGACAATTTAAAATAGATCAGTATGTTACCAGAAAGGGGTCCTGATCCAGACCCCAAGAGAGGGTTCTTGGACCTTGTGCAAGAAAGAATTTGGGGCAAGTCCATGGAATAAAGTGAAAGCAAATTTATTAAGAAAGTAAGAAATAAAAAAATAGCTACTGCATAGGCAGAGCAGTGGCATGGACTGCTTAGAATACCTACAATTATTTCTTGATTATATGCTAAACAAGGAGTGGATTATTCATGAATTTTCAGGGAAAGGGGTAGGCAATTCCCAGAATTGAGGGTTCCTCCCCTTTTTAGACTATATAGGGTAACTTCTGGATATTGCCATGGCATTTGTAAACTGTCATGGTGCTGGTGGGAGTGTCTTTTAGCATGCTAATGAATTATAATTAGCGTATAATGAGCAATGAGGATGACAAGAGTTCACTTTCATCGCCATCTTGGTTGTGGTGGATTTGGGCCAGTTTCTTTACTGAAACCTAATTTATCAGCAAGCTCTCTGTTACCTGTATCTTGTGCCAACCTCCTGTTTCATCCTGTGACTTAGGATGCTTAACCTCCTGGGAAGGCAGCCCAGTAGGTCGCAGCCTTATTTTACCCAGCCCCTTTTCAAGAGGGAGTCACTCTGGTTCAAACACCTCTGACAAATATGTGCAGTAAATTAATGTGAACTAAACTCACATGCTAATAGAGATTGTCAATTAACATTAGTCAAAATAAGCTTTAAAACAAAACCATTTTAGAGAAAAAGTTCACCATATAATGATAAAAGTTTTGATTCATGATTGTCAAAAGACAAAATTACAACAAATTTATTTTAATGATCTTAATTGGCTTTTATTTGCAATTCTAGAATCACGCAACACCTCAATTCTATAAAATAAAATGAGTGTTCTGATGAGCTGAGCAAAGGAGGTTGGCTTCATAGGCAGAAAAGGGCTGAAGAAAGCAGAAACAGAGAACAAAAACGGACTGGTCATTTCAAAGTTACTTTCCCTCTAAAGGTTAAAGTAGAGGGGACTTCCTTACCATGCTGGATAAAACTGGCTAGTTTGGGGATTTAGCTATCTCTCTTTCTCTCTCTCCTGATTTCTTGGAATGGCAGATAAACAACTTAGTTTCAGTTTGGTGACATAGAACTTCAGCATGAGTAATTCCATTTTGCTTTGGTCTGTTTGGCCTAGTGCAAGAGTTTAGTCCAAACCAATGGCCTCCTATAAATTTTATTTACTACCATCAAGATATTCCAATTCTAAATGTGTATGCACCCAATAAAATACTTACAATCATTCAAAGAAAACCATAAAGCAAAAATTGATAGAAGGAGGAGAAATTGGCCAATATATCATCAAAGTGTGAGACACCAAACATAATTATTGACAGGTCAAGTAACCAGAAACAATAAACATATAAAAGATTTGATAACCCAAATAACAAGCTTGATTTCATGGGTACAAACAGAATCTTGCACCCAAGGATTAGAAACTACCCATTTTTCTTAATCACTCACAGAAAAACTACTAAAAGTGATCATTTTCTAGGCCCAAACCTAGTTTCGATAAATTCCACAGCCTTGTTATCATACAACTCACATTCTCTGACTATAAATATTACCCCATCAGCTCTGCTCTGCTCATTTAGACTGAAGCATTCTCACTCAAAACCAAAGCTCCAACAATCCTGTTACCAACTGTCAGGGACACAGGTTGCCACCCTTGCAATGAAAATGCTTTTAAAAGCAGCCTCTTTACTTATCTTTTTAGATAATTTGCATATGTCAGTTACTAGTATACTTATCCTAATAGTTTTTTTAACATCAATTTCTCCTTCTATTGCTTCATGTTACCCTTTGATCTTGTAAGCCAAGTTTTTGCAATAATTACCTATTTTTTAACTTAACCCTTGTGATGGTCCTGGTGACCTATAAATTGAAGGTTGCTCATTAGGCCTTTGGATTTGCAAATTTTGACCTAGTTAGAATTAGGCAGCAGACTGTGGGGCATAAATGGAACACTGTGAACATTTAAAATAAGTCAAGTTTATTATGATTCCATTAATTCTCATCAGAACAGCAATTTCTATTCACATCAATAGAAGGCATTTTTATTTATATTGAGTGAATAACATCCTTCTTTAGACTGTAAAATGTGAGAAAGAATGCAAATATTTAGTTCAAAAGGAGAACACAAGTAAGTACCTAAGATTATGTGATACTTAAAAATGTTCCCAATGTATTTTTGTCCACATATATCCCAATTTTATGTATTTTCTGACATAAATTTCCCACTGTGCACAAATTTTTTAACAAATCCACAGTCCCAGTCCCTAATGTATCTTCTTTGAAAAAAAGAGAAGTAAACAAGGCATCATGGGAATTATTGACTTTAGTTGATGTAAGGAAGGAATCAGAATTACTATACCATAGTGCTAGAAAAATTTAGGTAATCCACCTTCTCAATTTTACAGATAAAGATGATGAGACTTAGGTAGATGAAAATATTTATTCAGGATGTCCTAGATACCTCATAGCTGAGATCAGACAATGGCAGAGAGAGAGAAGGAAAGGGAGGAGGGGGGAAAGGGAGAGGAAGAGGGAGGATATTTATATTACAATTCCTAGAGGGTCACCCTTGGAATATAACAAAAACAAACAAACAAACAAACAAAACAAAAAAAAAAACCCAGAGCAAAGAATCAGTGGATCAGAAGGAAGTGAAGGTCAGTGAGAAGCATGACAGGGGAGAGTTCAGAAGGAGATTCAACAGATGTGTTCACAGATACAGTCTTCCTACATTCTCATTTCAGTAAGTCTAGGTATGCATTCACTCATCCATTCCAGTCATTCAACAAATATTAGTGAATTCCTATTGTGTGCTACTAGGCCCATAAACACCTACCTTTGTAGCACTTACATTCTAATAAGACCGTTCTCCCTCATAGCCATTGCTTCCAGTAATAAGTTTACAGAAACTAGGGACTAAGATGGATTGAGGTAGTTAGGAAGGTCCACACAGAAAGATAAGTATAGAAGGGGTACTTTTAAAAATTGCATGTCCCACTACAGATTTACCACAATGGCTGAAATTTAAAAGACTGACAATACCAAGTGCTGGGATAATGACAATGCCAGGTGTTAGGATAACATGGGGTTACTGGAACTCACATATTGTTAGAGGGAATGTGAAATGATAAAACCATATTGGAAAAAGATCTGACAGTTTATTTTACAACTAAACACAACTACCCTACAACTCAAAAATTCCAATGTAGGTATTTTACCCAAAAGTAATGAAAATATATGTTCACAGAATAAAACTTGTTCAAGAATTTTCACAGAAGCTCTATTCATCAAAACCAAAAACTTGAGGCAGGCTAGGTATTCATCCATAGGTGAATAAATAAACAAACTGTGGTATAAAGATACAATGAATACTATGCAGCAATAAAAAGGAATAAATTACCAATACACAACATAAATAACTCTCAAAACCATACTGAGTAAAAGACATCTTATACGGAAGCATATATACTGTACGATTTCATTTATGTGAAATTCTAAAACAGGCAAACTTATCCACGGTAGAAAAAAATTAGAACAGGTGATTGCCTCTGGCGCATTTGAGTAAGGATTGACTGGGAAAAGAATTGAGAGAACTTTCTAAAGTGATGGCAAGGCTCTATGTCTTAACATGTGTTTTGTTACACAGGTATATGCATTTGTCAAAATTTATTAAATGATACAAAAATCAGTAGCATTTCTACACACTAACAATAAACTCTCTGAAAAGGAAATTAAGCATCAAAAAGAATAAAATATTTGGAATAAACTTAACCAAAGGGGTGTGAGACTTGTACACTGAAAACTGCAAAATGCTGATAAAAAATTAAAGTAGAAACTAATAAATTGAAAGACATCTGTATTCAAGGGCTAGAATAATTAATATTGTTAAAATGTCCCAACTACTCACAATGATCTATAAATTCAATGCAATCCCTATCAAAATCTCAATGATTTTTTTACAGGAACAGAAAAAAATCCAAAAATTTGTATGGAACCACAAAAGACCCCGAATAGCTAAAGTAATTTTGAGCAAAAAGGACAAAGCCAAAGGCATCCCACTTCCTGATTTCAAAATATATCACAGAGCTACCATAATCAAAACAGTATGAAACTGGCATAAAAACACACATATGGTCCAATGAAACAAAATAGAGAGCCCAGAAATAAATGAATACATAGATGGTCAACTGCCTGTCCAAGGGTGCTAAGGATATGCAATGAGGAAAGATAGTCTCTCCAATAAATTGTACTGGGAAAACTGGATATCCACAAACAAAAGAACAAAATAACTACCATATGACCCAGCAATGCCACTTCTGTGAATATACCCAAAGGTATTGAAATCTGTATCTCAAAGAGACATCTGCACTCCCATGTTCATTGCAGCATTGCAGCATTATTCGCAATAGCCAAAACATGGAAGGAACCTAAATTTCTCTCAACTAATGAAAGGATAAAGATAATATGGCAAATATGCACATATATAATAGAATATCATTCAGCCTTAAAATGAAAGAAATTCTGCCATTTGTGACAATATAGATAGTGCTGGGGGACATTATGCCTAGCAAAATAAACAAGACACAGAAAGAGAAATACCGTCTGACCTCATATGACCTCACTTGTATGTGGAATCTAAAAGAGTCAATTTCGTAGTAGTAGAGAGTAGGATGGGGGTTACCAGGGGCTGGAGGAAAGGGATAATGGGGAAGTGTAAGTCAAGGAGTACAAAGCTTCCATTATGCAAAATGAGTAAGTCCTAGAAATCTACTGTATGGCATAATGCCTATAGATAATACTGTACTTTCTTTAAATTCACCAAATGGTCTTACTTAACATTAGTGCCTTTTTTTTTTTTTTTTTTTTTTTTTTTTTGAGACAGGGTCTTACTCTGTCACCCCGGCTAGAGTGCAGTGGCACCATCTCAGCTCACTGTAACCTCCGCCTCCCGGGTTCAAGCGATTCTCCTGCCTCAGCCTTCCTGAGTAGCTGGGATTACAGACACCCACCACCATACCCGGCTACTTTTTGTATTTTAAGTAGACACGGGGTTTCACCATGTTGGCCAGACTGGTCTCAAACTCCCAACCTCAAGTGATCCACCCGCCTCAGCCTACCAAAGCACTGGGATTACAGGTGTGAGCCGCCATGCCCGGCCTCATTAGTGCTTTAACTGTATATTCAAAATAAAACATAACTCTAAACAAATACTGAACTCCAGTTAACATATATATTCTGAAGTACTGTTTTTAGGAGAAAGTTTCTGGCTGTCTAGAAATTATTTTGAAATACATCCAAAAAATAAGAAGGTTTTATTGATAAATAAGTGGAGGAATATGTGACGAAGCAAGCATAGTAAAATGTTAATGGTAGAATCTAGGCAGTGGGCATGTGAGTGTTCACTGTAAAATTCTTTTAATTTTTCTGTTTGTTTAAAATGTTTCATAAAAATATATTGGGGGAAATTGCATGTTATGTTTGTTTCACAGAGAAAGGCTTTCTATTTTCATACTAAATATTTTTATGGCTTTATGTCAAATCCTGCCTTACTGCTTTAAGTATGCCTAAGTATATGTGTATGTGTATATATATATATATATATATATATATATATATATATATATATCATGTGTTATACAGTTGATGCATTGTATAGCTAATAATTAGATACTTCATGTGTTAATCCAGCCAGATAGAATCTCTTTGAAAAGATCTATCTGACTGGGATGTAGATATTAGAGATGGACACACTTGACTAATTAAGCTAATCTTAGGAAATCCATAAGAGGTCATCTAATTAAATTACAAATCTTACCTTTGGTTATGCATGTCTAGGTGTAAGATGTGACTGAGAAAAGAATCCTAAAATAAATCTCAAAGCATCAGGGCAGAAAACTTCCAATTAACATAGCAGACTATTTAATATAAAAAAAATTGTTCAAGCCAAACCCTTGAGATTTGGAAAATCCATGCCAAAATTTTACATTTGATTGTTATTTTTTAAAATCATAAAAAAGAAAATGGGAGAAAGTAATTCTTATGTTTGTTCCTGTTAAAGTAGGACAAACTTTTGAGTGACTTTGGAGGGGAAGTAATCCCAACACTTATCATGGAATTGACCATGTTGGGAGAGAATCTTGTTTCTCTTCACTCTTGGGTAATGTCAGGTTTAATAAATTTCCTTAATTTAAAGAGACCCACAGGTCCAAAACCGGTGACCAAAATAAATCAGGTAATAGGAAATTATAAATTGGAATTTGAAAAGTTAAAATGCAATCCATAAAATTAATTCCAGACTTCTTCAAGGTGGTTCTCTTTGACATCAAGTTCACTATGATATTAGTAAGTCCAAGGAAGACTGCTAGAAAAAAATTATACAGTGGTAACATTTTTATTCTCTTGGCATAGTGGTTTTCAAGCCCTACCAAAGAGTTCATTATTTTTTCTGTTCCTATAACAAGGAACTAGGTTAAAAAAAAAAAAGAGTCCTATGTCCTTCAAAAGGTATTGAATTTCAAAATGAGTAATTTCTTTCTAGATCTGTTTTTATTTGAATATTAACTTCAACTGCAGTTTCTTTCTTTCTTTGTAAACCTCAACTTCTTACTATTTGAAGATCTTAAAATCTCAAACTATTTTTACAAGAAAAGACCACCCTTGTTCAAAGCTTAGTGCCCAGTTACCCAAAGTGCTAATGTTATATGTGGCATACCTAGATAAGAAATAAAAGCTCGACTAGGGCAGGATTCCGTAAAAAGTACTCCTTTTCTGTGTCTGTACAAGATGCTGAAATAGCTAGTTGGGACACACAAAATCTTAATGTCCCTCTGTAACAAAACCTGGAGACGTTCTTTATATAAATGACATTTTTAAAGGATTCAGTGGAAATGCTTGATACAGACCAAGTTATCAGAGCTATGTAGAATTACCAGATAGTATGCCTAAGTGCACAAGAATTATGAAATATATATACAGATGTCTTTGACTTCTGATGAGGTTACATCACAATAAACCTATCGGGAAAATATTGCAAGCCAAAAATGCAGTTAATACACCTAACCTACCAAACATCATAGCTTAGCCTAACCTAACTTAAATGTGCACAGAACAATTATGTTAGTCTACAGTTCAGCAAAATCATCTACCACAAAGCCTAGTTTCTAATAAATTGTTGAATATCTCATGTAATTTATTGAATACCATACTAAAAGTGAAAAGCAGAATGGTTGTATGAGTATGCAAAGTATGGTTTCTACTGAATGGATATTGCTTTTATGCCATCATAAAATCAAACCATAGTATGTTAAGGACTCTCTGGATAGCTAAGTAAATGTTATATGTTCTTTACTAATCCTTATCATATTCTTTTCTCATCCTGTTCCTATCTGGTCTGTAATGACCTCAGCCTCTTCATTTGCAATTGTTCAAGTACAGAAATTTTATCAAGTACATTTCTGAGCATACTTGATTTTCTTCAATACCAAATTTCTAGATCAGTTGCCCATTACAATCAACAGTAATTTCCCTATTAAGATGGAGCTCAGCTCTCCTCTGTCTCTGCCATGGTTTACGTATTCAATAATATAATAATATGTGGGTGAAAAATAGAAGAGATATTCATCTGTTCTGTTTTCCACTAGTAAAAACAATTGGATCTAAACTATAGAAGATTCTCTCATCTGCATAAATACATTTGATCTCTATAATATTCCCACAAATCAATAGTGTAGTAGTTTAAAAACAGCCTCAAATTTTTGCTGCTTCTCTCATTGAGAGGTGGATTCAAATGTCTCTTCCCTTGAACCTGGGTTGGCCTTAGTGACTTGACTGACAAATACAATGTGACAACTATAAGATGATATAGGGCTTCTAAGTTATAGGAAACCTGGCAGCTACCACCTGGGCTGCTATTGCTCTGGGGGAAAACAGCTCTCATGTAAAAATCCATCTACCTTAGACATCCATGCTATGAGGAAGCCCAAGCTAGTCACATTGAGAGGCTGAATGAAAAAAGATACCCAGCCACCCTCTACTGTTCCAATCTTCCCAGCTCAGGATCAGACATGTGAGGTAAGCAGCTACCTTGGGCATTCCAAAAGGACATAATGTGGAAAGGAACAGGGGAACCCAGCCAACAGTCAGAATCAAGGTTTCAGACATTTGGTTTCAATCAAATCTTTCCAGATATCTCCAGCCATTCAACTCATACCAGCTGAGGGCCCGGTCATCATGGAACATAAATGAGTCATCTCTGTTGGGCTTTGCACAAAATTCTGACCCATAAAACTATAAGCCTAATAAAAATGGTGGTTATTTAGACTACCAAATTTTGGTAACGGCTAGTAAACACCCTCCTTGGGCTTGTTTCATCATTTCACAGCATTTATTAAGAAGTTTACATTAGCACACATGCTGTTTGCCAGTGCTGTCTAGAGAAAGAAAATCTTGATTAGTAGGAAATTTGTTATAATTTAATAGTACTATATTCTCCCAAGAATAGTGGTCTTTCGATGATATAGAAAAAAAGCAAAATGTATATCTTCTGTTTTCACAGGTATCTGAGATGTTATTATTGGGCAGTTCGAACTTTAATTACCATTGGTGGCCTTCCAGAACCACAAACTTTATTTGAAATTGTTTTTCAACTCTTGAATTTTTTTTCTGGAGTTTTTGTGTTCTCCAGTTTAATTGGTCAGGTAAGCTGAGTATGAATCACTGGATACACAGTGCTGTCATTTTGAAAGACTAACAGGTCTTTGTAAACTTTATGGAGGAAAAATTAAAATCTGTCTGGTTCTTCTTTTTTTGAACTAACTTTCTTCTATTTTAATGAGTTGAAGGAGGATGTGATTAGATCAACAGTGCTTTTCCATTTTTAAGCCATTAAATCTATCAAAAGACCTGTCAGCAAATAGCATAGTTTGAACTCTCAGAGAAAGTTGTTTCTAAGTTAACTTTTTACTTGGACCCTAATGAAAACCATTAAAATCTCTTTTATTTACTTAAATTTCAAATATTGTTATAAAATCACTGGGTTATAATTGACTTCAGAGGTCATTTAAACCAGAGGCTACAAAATGCCATATAAAATAATTAATAAGTTATTGTTTCACAAATGTTTACTATAGCATCTCCTTGTATTTATTCTCAAAAAAGTCAGTCTAGTAAGAAATTAAATACATAAATTATTATATTGAAGATAGTTGGCACTTACAAAGGATAGAGCCCTTTTTTTTTTTTTTTTTTTTTGAGACAGGGTCTTGCTCTGTCACCCAAGCTGGGGAGCAGTGGCACAAACATGGCTCACTGCAGCCTCAGCCTCCTGGGCTCAAGGGATCTACCCACCCCAGCCCCCCAAGTAGCTGCAACTACAGTTGCACCCCACCACACCAAGCTAATTTTTTTTGTAGGACAGGTGGATAGTGGCCTGAATGTAGGAGCCCATGTAAGAACCTGATACAGAAGGCAGTTGGGATATGGGTTCCAGATTAGTTAGTTTACGCATGGAAGACACACTCTCAGGAGATTTGGCCACCATCTCTAACCGTGGGAGAAACAAGCAAGGCCTCAGTCAGCAAAGTCCCTGATATTAACATATCAAAACATAGAAAATAAAACAGGTTAATACAGATACACGGGGATATGGCAGTTCCAGCCTTAACATGTTAATGAAATACAGAGAGGGGTAGTAAAGTAAACTCTATGTAGAAAATATTTAGGTTTAGGAAGATGAACACTAAGAGCTAAAAATTGTTAAGTATAAAATATCATTATCTTCATGGCTGGGGAGATTATATTAACAATGAAATAGGAAGCTGGTTTGAGAGATACTAAATTCAAATCCATTTGAATATAAATAGCAAAAATCACATTATTTTATAATTTCTAGTAAAATCAACGTGAAGTTGTCATATCACAGTCAATTTTTTCTCTGTTTTACGAATGAGAAAACTCCAGTTTAAAGAGATTAAGAGGCATCCCTGATTCATACATGTAGTTCATAGGGTCGTATGGAAGAACCATATATAATAACACTGATAATAACAGTAAAATTTAACATGTATTGAGCACTTACTATGTGCAAGACGATTTTCACATCAAGACTAAAATACTATTTCTAGCACCAGTTCAATTATCTTGTTACTCATAGTGTAATCTTTGGACAAGCAGCAGCAGCAGCACTTGAGAAATTCAGAGTTCAAGCCCCACCTCAGACTAGTGAATCAGAACTTGTATTTTAACAAAATCGTCAAGTGATTCATACACACACGAATGTTTGAAAAGTGCTGTTTTATACACCACACCACATCTGCTTTTAAATTGGATTTGAGGTTCCAATAGGAACAAGAAGGAATATCAAGTCACTGAAAATGTGGTAGTAGACCACAAGAGAAAGATTGAGGCTAGAGATACAGATATGTGCCTCAAACTCTCATAGTGAATAAAAGATGCTGAGCAGGGGAACAGATAGAAATAAAAGTTTAAAAGCCTGGGACAGAAAAAAACCCTCCACTCACTCAAAATTCCCACATAGAGACTATACGATGGAACTAATCATCACTCTTTTTTTATTAAGAGACAGGGTCTGGCTCTGTGCCCAGGCTAGGGTGTAGTGGCTTAATCATAGCTCACTGTAGCCTCAAACTCCTGGGTTCAAGCAATCCTCTCACCTCAGCTTCCCAGGTAGCTGGGACTACAGGTGCGTGCCATCATGCCTGGCTAATTCTTTTCTTCATTTATTTTTTGTAGAAACAGAGTCTCACTATGTTGCCCAGGCTGGTCTTGACCTCTTGGCCTCAAGTGATTCTCCCACCTCATCTCCCAAAATGCTGAGATTACAGACATGGAGCCACTGCACCCAGCCAATCATCACATTTTAACTACAATATTCTATTTTGTGATGCAACTCACAGAAACTGACATTTTTCTTCCTCTCATACTCTCATGTACTTCCCTAGCCTGCAATCCATTATAGAATATACATCTTCCTCAACTCCTGCAACAACAAAACCCAACATTGCTGAAGGATATCACACAAACCATTCAAATTACTGTCACTACAAATTATTGGAGCCTCAACAGCAATCAATAATGCTTTTAATAGTCCTTGCTTCCCAACTTAATACTCTATTAAATCTCCCAAGCCCTCTCCTAACATACCAAGTCTCCCAGCCTTAGGTGACTAGGTAATGTAAGTTATCAGCCAAGAACAGCATGGAAAAGTGAGATCTAGGAATTGAGGTTGTTGAGGAATATTTGGAAGAGCCACTGAGGAGTAAGAGACTCAAAAAGATATATACAGTTGGACTAGCTGCATAGCTCCTCTGCAGATAGTTTTAATATGTAGAAGAATTTTTTGGCTCTAAAAATGGAAACTGAGGAGGGCATCACAATTAAAAAGAGCCATTTGAGCTAGACTCCAAAGAATGAGTCGTTTTTCCATAAGCAGAAAAGGCTCAAAAGCTACTAAAATGAATGAGCAAAGTCTTAGGAGTGTGAAAGTGAGGCCCTGGTTTTCCTCCCTAGTATAAACCCACAGTCAAAGCATATTTACAGCCACTTGCCTCCCTCTATGTGAGAGGAAGAGTCGAGCTATATATCTTTTTTGTGCTGAGACCTTAAAGATCAGCTTTTAACCTAGAGTGGGTTTTTATGGGTGAGTTATAAACATCCAAGAACTAAAACCTGACAGTTTCTTAAGAATTGTCACAGCAGTAGATGATGCTTCAGTAATTTCAGCACATTTCAACTTCTGCTGAATACTGTGCCTTAAGCATGATGAGATTTGATTTTATCTGTCTAAACAACACAAAGGGAAGTACAGAGGTTGCAATTTCATGATGAATTGAGTCTATATAGCCAGCCACACTGGATAATCTATGAAGGATGCATTCAAAGTAAGACTCACCAAAATGGACTAGCCATTCTGCCAGACAATTGCTCAACTTTTATTGCACACTCCTTGCATAAGCACAGCTGTATAATTTTTTCAATGTATACTAACATTTCTGCAGTAAAATACAAGTTTCCAAAGAAGACTATGTGTAGTCCTATGCATTACATGGCTGAATTCTCACTTGGTTTGTCCTACAGGTCTTATTGTTGTCCTTATTGGATCAGAGAGAGAATATAATTTGCCCAATATTTTATGGAAGTGGGTGATATTAGGACCCAATATCAGTATGTTTAAAATCAATCCACTGCTGAAAAGTTGTCTGGGCAAGAATAAATAAAATAAAAATGAATGAATGAATAAAATCAAGTAATCAGGGCATTAGAAGGAAGTATATCATGTGGAAAACATGTAATTTGACTTTTATTAACTCATTTCCTCTGCTGGGCGTGGAGTGACCATATTTGTGGTTTTAGATGAGAGATGTGATTGGAGCAGCTACAGCCAATCAGAACTACTTCCGCGCCTGCATGGATGACACCATTGCCTACATGAACAATTACTCCATTCCTAAACTTGTGCAAAAGCGAGTTCGGACTTGGTATGAATATACATGGGACTCTCAAAGAATGCTAGGTAAGCATGGCAGATTACCGATTAAATTCCTGTAAACCTTGTCATATGATGAAAATTCTGTAAGGTAGCAGAGACTAGTTGGATTTGAACAAAAGGTTGAAAAACAACTAAATGATCCTTAAAGCATTCGTTTAATGCTACAGGTTTTTTTTTTTTCCTGAAATATAAATATCTTACTGGTTTTGAAAACCTTGGAAGAGAAAAGGCTAAATTTTAATCAGCATCTTCTGGATGCTCGGTATTACACACATTGTCTCATATAGTCACACATACAAAAAAGGAAGTGGGAAAATTAGGCATTGTCTATCCCTTTGAAGGGTAGAAAATGGAGGCTCCTAACTGAGAAATTTGGGCGAAGACACAGAGCCAGCACACAGTCTAAATAGAACTCAGACCCGCATCTCTTCTCTTCCAAACTCTTGCTCTTACTTCAATATCACTCTCTTACCCAGAACACAGTACAGTTGACCCTTGAACAAGTGGGGGTTAACAATGCCAACCCTCACTCCACAGTCAGAAATCCACATATAACTTTTGAGGCTGGGCATGGTGGCTTACTCCTGTAATCTCAGCATTTTGGGAGGCTGAGGCAGGCAGATCACTTGAGGTCAGGAGTTCAAGACCAGCCTGGCCAACATGGCAAAACTCCATCTCTACTAGAAATACAAAAATTAGCAGAATGTGGTGATGCACCACTACACTCCAGCCTAGGCAACAGAGCCAGATTCTGTCTCAAAATAACAGAAAGAAATCCACATATAACTTTTGACTCCCCCAGAACTGAACTACTAATAGGCTACTGTTGACTGGAAGCCTTACTATTAACACAAATTTTGTATGTTATCTGTATTATATACCATATTCTTAAAATAAACTAGAGAAAAGAAAATGTTATTAAGAAAATTATAAGGAAAAGAACTATACTTACTAGTAATTAAGTGAGACTAGATCATCATAAAGGTCTTCATCCTCCTCATCTTCACTGTCGAGTAGGCTGAGGAGAAGGAGAAAAAGGAGTTGGTTTTGCTCTCAGGTGTAGCAGAGGCGGAAGAAAATTCTTGTATAAGTGGACCTGTGTAGTTCAAACACGTGTTGTTCAAGGGTCAACTGTACTAATAGAAAGCAGCAACCTTTCAGGCCACTCCCATCCTGCCTCAGGGCACACAATTGCTTCCATGAGGTGCTAAATAATTAATGGTGTCTACAACTATACCACTATACTACTGCAGTTAAAAATAATTGTTACTGAGGGATATAAAATAAGTCGAAGATAATGCACTGCTAGTTGACAATAATGAAACTCAACTTTTAGTTTGTTCTTACCATATGAAATAGGAATTAGTGCCACTAAGAAGCCAAAAATGCTCCAGAGTGCAAATTACAATGAAATTCTCAAATCACAAAGGTTCCTAAGAGCAGACAGAAACCACTGGTTATTATGGTAGGGTCTTTTCTTCACCTTTCTGACACTTTTAAGCCTCTTAAAACTCCAGCCTCGTGTTTAGAATCTCTTCCTGAATGACCAAAACAACATGCCTCTCTCTAGAACATCTGCAGCTACTTGAAGGCATCTGAAGTGGGCAGGCAGAGCAACAAAAGGAGTGGTGCCAGGCTTCTTGCCTCGCACCCCTTAGCGAAGGCAGATAATGATTCAACTCCTTGGCTTAGGAGGTAACTAGAGACAGCCCTCGGAAACAATAAACTGTGTTTATATATGAAGGATTTTCATATTTAGAATCTATATTTGAATCAAAATAGGGATGTAATACAGCAATTTCTCTCTTTTCTAAATAATATAAGAAAACATTAAAAAAAAATCAACTCTCAGAAACTCTTGGAATTCTAACCATTAAGAATAGGGAATTTTCTGGAGGGGAACAAACGTGACCCTTGGCCTACTGGAGGGTGGAGGGTGGGTAGAGGGACAGGATCAGGAAAAACGATGAATAGGTACTAAACTTAATACCTGGGTGATGAAATAATCTCTATAACAAATCCCCATGACATGAGTTTACCGTATAACAAACTTGCACATGTACCCCAGAACTTAAAATACAAGGTTTTAAAAAAAGAAAAAAAAAAGAATAGGCAATTTTGTTTACGGAACATTTTATCAGCCTGAAGCCCATCATTTAATTCACATGTAGAAAAATCTGTAATGTATTCACATTCTTCATCGAGTTAATAAGCAAGTAAATAACAATAATTTGAATTTACTCTCTTAGCACATTTTTTCTTTAGATTCCATCCCAGCTGAGCCACCTACTAATTATGCACAATGGAGCAAGTCACTTACAGCTTCTCAGGGCTTCAGTCCTTTTTGTTTTTCTTCTTTCTGCAAAGTAGGAATGAGAACATTTACCCTTGGGGTTGTCACAAGGGTCAAATAAGATAATGGGTGTGACAGAGCTCTGTAAGCTCTCCAGTGCCACATGGTGCTCATTATTATTTGCCATCCCTTGAATGCTAAGGCTGGAATCAATAGAATCAGAAAATAAGAACTAGATCCTTCAGCCATGCTAGCTTGTTCACTAGCCTTTGTGCTATGATCATTACGTTTCATAGCTAAAGTTTCAGCAAGCATAATGTTCTGGAATTATTCAGTATGTCATCCAGGGTTAAAAATACTTCTTTTATTGCATAAGCATAATAGTGTTATTGTAATAGGTATGGAGGTCCAATAGAAGTAATGAAAATATAGAATCTGATGCATCTAATTATGTATAAAAAGTGTTTGCATTTTGTTTCCTTTATTTTAAAAATTTTTCTACTTGTACCTTGGTGACTTATTTCATTAATTATTCTGCATCGGGGTTTGATGTGTTTATCTTTATAAAGATGAGTCTGATTTGCTTAAGACCCTACCAACTACGGTCCAGTTAGCCCTCGCCATTGATGTGAACTTCAGCATCATCAGCAAAGTCGACTTGTTCAAGGCAAGTGCTTTTACAATTAATAGACTCTGTATCTATTTCTCTATGGAATCTAAGCTCTTGATTTATACAGCATTTATGAGTTTTTTTGCCTTATGTTTTAACAAAGTCAAAATAACCTAGAGAAATTATGTGGAATTAAAGAGTCAAATAAATTACAGGTCTCTCTTCAGCCAACGGCTTATTCTTTAGAACCCTCTTTCTCTTCTAATTGGTGTCAAAAAAGAAGAGTTCTTCAGACTCTTCTTGCATTAATTTAAATATAATTTAAATTACATGGCTCTATGTCTTTGCTAGTACATGTATCACCTCCCATCTATAAATGTGCCTTGGCAATTCACAACAAATCAGGCTCCAGAATAGCTCTGTAATGGCCTGACAATCAGAGAATTATACCTAATCATGTCTTCTATTACAAATACTTTGGATTTAGACTCTTAAAATGGCCAAATTTTAATTTAGAAGCTTTTTGTTTCAGGAAAAAAAAATTATAACAAAGAAATTTTTAACTTTTTGAGTGTTTTAAGTATTACTACTCTTTTTGTGCATTATATCACATATAAATTTTTCTCACCTAATATTTCCTTCTGGGTATAGCATTCACCGACTCATCCATTCAATTAATTCATTCAACAAGTATTTATGAAGTTCCCACCATGTTTCAGGCACCACTTTAGCCACTGGGAATATAATAGCTGAAAACAAATACTTACTCAAGTGGAGCTTAAATTCCAGAAGAAGGGAATGAAAAATAAACGCATAAAATGTGTGGAGGTGATAACGCCATGAACAAAGTTAAGCAGGTTGTATAGGTTGTTCTCACATTGCTATTAAAAAAAAATACCTGAGACTGGGTAATTTCTAAAGAAAATATGTTTATTTGGTCATGGTTCTGCAGGCTGTACAGGAAGCACAGCAGCATCTGCTTCTGGGGAGGCTTCAGGGAGCTTTTGATCATGGCAAAGGGCAAAGCAGGGGCAGGCATCTTATATAGCAGGAGCAGGACCAAGGCAGGTGTGGTCAGTGTCACACACTTTTAAGCAGCCAGATATTATGAGAACTCACTCACTGTCATGAGGACAGTACCAAAGGGGATGGTGCTGAACCATTCATAGGAAATCCGCCCCTGTGATTTAATCACCTCCCACCAGGCTCCACGTCCAACATTGGGGATTGCAATTCGACAAAAGATTTGGTGGAGACACAGATCCCAGCCATGTCACAGGTTAAGAAGGATGAGGGTGGTACTGGCAAGAAAGGCCTCTCTGATTAAATGCATTTGAGCACTTAAGCAGAGGACTGCAAGAAGCAAGGGAGTGAGCTACGCAGATGGGAGAGGAGAGAGAGGAATGAGGACAGGAGGGAATATTACGGGAGGATGGATGACACGATGCCCTGAGCTGGAAACACACTGCAAGGAAGCCAGAGTGGCTGGAGCAAAGGCAGAGTGGTGGAAGCAAGAGTAGTCAGAGAAGAGTGAAAAAAAAGGGAGGCTGAGGCAGTCGGCAGTTAATGGAGGGGCTTGGAGGATCTGTAGACTTTATTTACTTATTTATTTATTTATTTAGAGACAGAGTCTTGCTCTGTTGTCCAGGCTGGAGTACAGTGACACAATCCCAGCCCACTGCAACCTCTGCCTCCCGGGTTCAAGTGATTCTCCTGCCTCAGCCTCCCAAGTAGCTGGGATTACAGGCATGCACCACCACACCCAGCTAATTTTTGTATTTTTAGTAGAGACGGGGTTTCGCCATGTTGGCCAGGCTGGTCTTGAACTCCTGACTTCAAGTGATCTGCCCCCCTCAGCCTCCCAAAGTGCTGGAATTACAGGCATGAGCCACTGCGCCCAGTCATCTATAGACTGTAAATTATACTCTGAGTTGCAAAGACACTGAGGCTCTTGAGCAGAAAATGACCTATTCAAGACCAGTTTGAACAGGATCTTTCCTGCTGTGTGAAGAAAAGGCCTTAGGAAGTAAATGTAGAAGGCAGGGAGGCCAAATGGAAGTTATCACAACCATCTGTGGAAGAGATGATGGTGAACAGACCCAGGGTTATTGAAGCAGAGTTTTTGAGAAGTGGCGAAATATTGGGTATATTCAAACCCAAAAAGCCCATAGTTTTTCCTGTTTGATTACATGAAGAGGGTAAGAGACAGAAAGGGACCAAAAATGACTCCAAGGATTTAGGCCTGAGGAACAAGAAGAACAAAGATATCATTTGCAAAATAGGAAACTTTAAAGTAAGTGTAGGTTGGGTGGGCTGGAAACCAACTCTTTGTTTTTGGATGTTGCTATGATTTGGATAATGGTGTCTTCTTCAAAAATCATGTGGAAACTCAATCCCTAATGCAACAGCATGAAGACATGTGGCCTTTTGGGAAGTGATTGAGTCTTGAGGGTTCCACCCTCATGAATGGGTTTAGCACCATTATAAAAGGTCTCAAGGGGAAGGAAGAACTCTCTTGCCCTCCTAGTCTTCCACTATGTAAGGACACAGTGTTCCTCCCATCTGGAGGATGCAGCAACAAGGCGCCATCTTGGAAGAAAGAGCAGCCCTCACCAGACACCAAACCTGCTAATGCCTTGATCTTGGACTTCTCGGTCTTCAGAACTGTGAGAAATAAATTTCTATTATTTATAAATTACCCAGTCTGTGGTGTCCTTTTAATATCAGCACAAAAACAGATGTGTTTGTTTGATGAGGTGACTGTTAGATTCCAGTTGAAAATTTCATGTAGGCAGTTTGGTTTATAAATCTGAGTTCGGGGGAGACGTCCAAGCTGGAGCAATCCATTTGGACCTGTCAGCATATTGGTGTATTTCAAGCCAAAGGACTCAATGTGATCACTTAAGATGTAAGTATGGAAAGAAGAAAAAATGTAATCCAGACAGAAGGATATGTCTTAAAATTATATAATCAATAATATTAGAAACAAGATGAAGAAGCAGAAGCTGTATAGTAGAATGGTTAGGCATAGTCACTCCCAGCATTAGGTTAACCCATGACTCTAAGTTATTAGAGTTAGGTCAGTATTCTAGGACTCTTTTCTTAGCTATGGCCTGTGCTAGATTTCCATCAATATTTTGATGATCATATAAAAGATGTGGTTTTCAAATTGGCAGATGACACAAAGAAAGAAGGAATATAATAAAATGTATTACAAAATTTAAAATTACTGAATACTTTGAAACAACAAGCAAAGCCAACAAGATTAACGTCAACAAGCATAAAAGTAAAATTCCAAACCTAGGTCCAAAAGGAAAATATTGCAGGCCAGGTTCCATGGCTTATGCCAGTAATCCCAGGACTTTGGGAGGTGGAGGCAGGATGATAGCTTGAGGCCAGGAGTTCAAGATCAGCCTGGGCAACATAAATTATTCTGTAATGGTGGAAGTCAGATTAATGATTGCTTCTGGTGGTGAATGGGGATGAGGAGATTGATTAGGAAGAAGCATAAGGGAACTTTGTAGGGTGATGGAAATGTTTTTTGTCTTGCCGGGGAAGGTACATAAGTGTATACATTTATCAAAATTGATCCAACTGTCCCTTAAGATCTGTATATTTCATTTTACGTAAATTATTACTCCATTTTCAAAAAAAAAAAAAAAAAGAAGAATGGCCCCAAAAGAAAATGTGTAGATGCTGAGGATGTTTAGTTGTGAGAAAAATAAATAAATTCAAGGGCAGCAGAAGTTTCATATACTAAAGTCTGTTATATGAACAAGGAATGAGACTTACTCTACATTGTTCTGCAAAATAACACTCAACTGTAAACTCCATTTCTAAGTTGCAGACACCTCTACTACATATTGATGTATTTGTATATACACACCAATATACCACGGAATACCCATCAGCCATAAAAAGGAACAAAATAATGGCATTTGCAGCAACTTGGAGTTGGAGACCATTATTCCTTTTTTTGTTGTTTTTTGTTTCTTAAACAATGTCTCGCTCTGTCACCCAGGCTGTAGTGCAGTGGCACAATCTCGGCTCACTGCAACCTGTGCCTCCCGGGTTCAAGCGATTCTCCTGCCTCAGCCTCCTGAGTAGTGCCACCATGCCCAGCTAATTTTTGTATTTTTAGCAGAGACAGGGTTTCACCATGTTGGCCAGGATGGTCTTAATCTCTTGACCTCCTGATCTGCCCATCTCAGCCTCCCAAAGTGCTGGGATTACAGGCGTGAGCCACCACGCCTGGCTGGAGACAATTATTCTAAGTGAAGTAACTCAGGAATAGAAAATCAAATATTGTATATACTCATTTATAAGTGGGAGCTAAGCTATGAGGATGCAGGGGCATAAGAATAATATAATGGACTTTGGAGACTCAGGGAGAAGGGTGGGAAGGGGGGTGAAGGATAAAAGCCTACACAATGGGTATAGTGTATACACAGTGGGTACACTGCTTCGGTGACAGGTGCACCAAAATCTCAGAAATCACCACTAAAGAACGTATCTGTGTAACCAAAAACCACTTGTTCCCCAAAAACTATTGAAATTAAATAAAAATTAAAAAGTAAATAAAAAATTTTAAAAACAAAATAGCAGACTGCCTCATACATAAGAGTAGGTATTATAAAATTTTTGTATGTTTTATTTTTAAAATCACATATACATATTTATGTGTGTACTAAGCACAATGAAAATGTATGTCTTATTATAGGTATGGTCAGAAATGTATGAAAGTCACTAAGCTAAATTATCTTAACAGTGTTTTAAAATATTATAAAACTCGTTATACCTGAATGACGAACTTAATTGAGAATAAGTGACAGTAAGTAACTCTTTTCTAAAGGAAAACAAATGCTTTAAATTAGATACCAATGACTTTTATGGGATCATCTCCTATTTGAGAAGATATCAGTTTTTTGCCTCATAGTTTTTTTGCTTTCTATATGTACTTTTTGGTACTCCACCAAATCAGCAACATCTGATTGAGAAAAAAGGTTAAATCTTCACATCTTGCTAATGTTGTGTATAACTTAGATTCATTCTTTCCTGACATTTCTGTTAAAGATACAGTTCTTTCCAGAAAGAATCCATTTACATTTATATTTCTGTTACATGAAAAAAACTTTTTTTTTTGTAAAGCCAAGTGAAATAGAAAATATGTAGGTATGGAATCTTTCTAAATTTATTTTCATAGAGGTAGTCTTAGCAATTTACACAAATTTATTTTCTTAGGAAGGAAATAGGATGAATAGTGATCCTCCACCCTACATCTCATAATTTATACCTGACTGATCCTTGCACTGCTTCTGAACCAGTCTCCTCCCTTCACTGAAAGCCACCTATGCACCCAGGGAGCTGAGTGCACAAAGGAGGGAATGGTCCAGGTGTGGGACCTAGAAGGATGCGTAGGAGCCCATGGAGTGAGGAACTAGAGGCACCTGGGTGAAAGCTCATAAGCATGTAAAAGTATTAACCTGTTTACTGAAACAGGTGATTCAGTTAAAATGAGGCTAGGAGGATGGGTCCTAATTCAATTTGACTGGTGTCTTTATAAGAAGGGGATATTTGGACACACAGAGACACCACAGGTGCAAGTGCACAGAGGAAAAGCCATGTAACGACACAGTGAGAAGGTAGCCATCTGCAAGCCAAGCAGAGAGGCCACAGAAGAAACCAGACCTGCTGATGCCTTGATCTTAAGCCTTTAGCCTCCAGAACTGTGAGAAAATAATTTCTGTTGTTTAAAGCACACACAGCCTGTATAACTTTGTTATGGCAGCCCTAACAAACTAATACACTTCCAATGAAAGCTTTGTTACTATCCCATTTTACGGAGAGCAAACAACTTACCTGACTGAGGTCATTGAGCTCTAAGCATTGGGACAGTTTGAGCACGGCTTTCTTCACACCACTCTATCATTCTTACCTTCAGTTCTCTACCAACCCTATCCGGATCACTGATAAGGTGGGAAGGAACTGGAAAAGTTTCACTAGAGTCCAAAGTCAAGCTGGCCCAGTGCGGTAGCTCATGGCTGTTATCCCAGCACTTTGGGAGGTTGAGGCAAGAGGATTGCCTGAGCCCAGGAGCTCAAAACCAGCCTGGCAACATAGTGAGACCTCATCTTTACAAATAATAGAAAATTTAGCCAGGTGCCTGTAGTCCCTACTACTCAGGAGGCCAAGGCAAGAGTATCACCTGAGCCCAGGAGGTTGAGGCTGCAGTGAGCCATGATTGTGCCTCTGTATTCCAGCCTGGGCAACAGAGCAAGACCCTGTCGCAAAAAAAAAAAAAAAAAAAAAAAGGTCAAGACCAAGGCAATCCTTTGGCGATATTCACAGACTAAGACTTGGCACATTAGATAGATACCTACAGTCACATACACTTTTCTACTTTCCTGCTAAGAAAAGGCTCTGAATCTCATGTAGGTTTTTTCTCCTCTTAATCAAAGCAGGTGGAATTAGAGTCACAGATTTTCACTAAAACTTTGCTTCAATAAATTGTGGTTAATTAGTAAGATTTGCTGCTTCAACATGGGTGATCAGAGATTTGAAATAGCTCAGAGATGAATAGTCAAATTATATATATATATTAATTTTTCACAAAAATGATTCCTCTTCCTTGCAGATTTCACGTTATTCCAGGCCCAAGCACAAGTATTAAGCTAATAAGCAGCGATTCATTTCTATGAGATGGGCAATTTCCCCTCATTTCTGATGATTTATTATTTCGATCTCGATTTTTAAATATATGTTATCATATTAAATGCTGGGGAAATCACATTTTGCCTCTACTACTGCATTACCAGAAACGGGAGAAACTTTAATAAAAGTTCTGTTGCGCCACCTAGTGGCGTGCATTAGAATCGCATCCTTTAGAAACAGCCCCCAGTTCAGTAGGAAACCAGAGACCCAGAGATACCAAAATTGAAATGTAGGTACTACAGTCCGACAAGGAAGGCACAATATGTCTATTTGCTGCTCTGGTAATTATGCAGAACCCATCCCAACAGGACACCTCACTGGGATCTTTGACTCATTGTTTGCGATTCTGTGGCAAAGAGAGCCTGCAAAGGCTGTGACTTCTGTGGACGGAAGGATGAGAAGGAAGTGTTTTGTGTGTGAGTGACAGACTGAGCCAAGAAGAGAACCGGAATGGCAGCATGCTTTCTAGCACTCACATGCAGATCCCCAGCAGTGACATCCTACTTATCTGATATGTCATCACATATTTACTCCACAGGGCCTGAAATCAGAACGTGAGAGTGAGACTACAGTGAGACTTGTGTTTCATTTCTACCAACTTTATTTTTACCCTAATGGTATTAGAAATGAAGTATTGTTGCTAGACTTTTAAAAAATATTTTGAATAGTGAGTTTATAATCTAAATGAACTCCATTCAACTATACATCCTCAGCAGTTGACCTGTCTAAAGCACTGAGCCAGACATGGAGGGCTACTGCCCAGCTACTGCAGCCATGTTGTTTCTGCCCTCTGGAGCCCTCCGATAGGGAGGGGAGATACTAAATAAATGAGATAACATACTTGGTTGTAAGGGACTCAAAACATATGAAGCACTTATATCAGTACCTGGCATATAGTAAATTACATAGTTATTATTAAATGGAGAAATAAAACTGATGCAACCATGTGGGAGTTTCTACACAGGTAAAATCAGATTCTTCCTGTGGCCCTGCCTGATCATAGAAAAATTGATTAGATCAGGGGTCCCCACCCCAGGGCCACAGATCAGTGCCAGTCGGTGGCCTGTTGGGAACCGGGCAGCAAAGAAGGAGTTGAGTGGTGGGTCAGTGAGAGCAGCTTCATCTGTATTTACAACCACTGCTCATTGCTGGCATTACCACCCAAGCTCCGCCTCCTGTCAGATCAGCAGTGGCATTAGATTCTCATAGGAGCAGAACCCTATTGTGAACTATGCATGCGGGGATCTAGGTTGCACTTGCCTTATGAGAATCTAATGCCTGGTAATTCCTCACTGTCTCCCATCACCCCCAGATGGGACTGTCTAGTTGCAGGTAAACAAGCTCAGGGCTCCCACTGATTCTACATTATGGTGAGATGTATAATCGTTTTGTTATATATTACAATGTAATAATAAATAGAAAGAAAATGCACAATAAATGTAATGTGCTTGAATCATCCCGAAACCATCCCCATAACTGCCCATCAGTGAAAAAATTGTCTTCCACAAAACTGGTCCCTGGTGCCAAAAAGACTGGGGACTGCTGGATTAGTTTCATCCTCAGAGTTCCGTCTAACTCATGACTTCCCACTTTGACCCAAACTCCTAGAAAATTAGAACTATTGCCAATTTTCAGAGAAAGTTTGACGAAGATGATTTTTACTAGTGTTGCAAATATTGACTGTAAGTTTAGGTCTAATATTACTTAGAAGTAATATTAAAAATTATGACATCACAGCACTTTGCAAATTTTTTATCACATTTGACTTTGCTGGTCCCAACAGCTACCAATCAGTATCATGCCTCGCATAGTCAATGGCATGAAGAACTGAATTCAGAATTCCCTGCCCTAGTCATATCACCTATAACTTACTTGTTTAATGAGAATGGGGTTTAAGGTAGAACAAAGCACGTCTTTTTGTAATAAGCAGGCTGAGATGGAAAAAGCCCTGAAGACCATTGCTTATACTTGGGAGTGACTTAAATTCACAGTGAGTTATAAAATACTGATGCTATCTTAAGTTCTGTTTCAAAGAAAGCAGAAATGAGCCTAGAAATGGAGAAATTCTATAGGACTAAGAGGGTACGCATTCCAAGGAAACATTTTACCAACTTTACAATTGTATTCGGAGCTTGCCATTATTAAAAGTGGAATTTCCTGGGTACAAGAACCACCATCTAACCTATGGCTCTGTTGTGAATCAAAATAACATTTCTCCCAACTCCATTCAAATCTCTAATATCCTCATTCAAATCGGTAACACAGCTATACAGCACTGAATTTCTCATTGTCCAAAATGGAATAATTTCTAACAGCTTCATTCTATATGTCAGCCCATTTTTATTTACCATCCAACATGCCCTAAACCCTGATGAGACACTAAGGATACAAGAGTGAATAATACAAACACTTTGATCTCAAGTTGCTCCAAGTGTAGATAAAAACACACACTCTGGTGATACTCTTCCTCCAATACCTACCGCATGTGTGACCTTAGAGAAAGTCGACAGGCTTCCTGGGACTCCAGTTCTTATCTAAAAGCCAGGAGTGATGACCATATATTCATTAATGCCAGGCATCAGTGGGAGGCTGGAAGAATTAAACAGGTAAGGATAAGACAGTAAAACATAGTATAAATATTATGTACTAATATAATGTTAATGTTGATACTTTCTCAGTTACTCTCACTTTATAGAAAAAAGAGACATTTACAAAGCAATCCTGTCTTTTCATACATCAGAAAATTTCCTAACTGTAAACAAAATGGAGCTGGGTTGCCGAGAGAAAAAGCCCCAGGATGTAATTCTTTTTAATCACACAATAATGAAGCAATGTATATCTCAAGAAAATAATCATTTTCTGGAGGAAAAAAAAGAATAATAATAGTTCTCAAACACATTATAAAATATAATGACATCATAATGCAAACTTTATTTCACTAGGCCTAAATCCAAATAAGAAAGATTTAGTCCTAAACCAAAGCTGCCCCAAAGCTAGTGGCATCTTTTCATAAAGTAATCATTAGGGGACAGGATCACTTAATTGGTGAAACTTAAATTCTAAGTTTTTACTATATACAGCTGCTAAATTCAGTTTGCATGACTTGATCCATGTGCTATCCAAGTATGTTAATAAAAAGTCATATTTAGATTGGTTCAAATGTTTTTCTCTGAGAAAATCCAAGCCGTCAGCTGAAAGCTATCGATGTAAGTGCTTGTGTGTATTCCTGCCAAGAAAAGTGCTAATTGTTTGCTTATCTATGTTCAGGCTTGTCTCCTAGGTTGGTCTCACGTTTCCCATTGATCCGACTTCCTTCACTGCTGCTATCTGTCCCTGAGCCCACCTAAAGGATAAAAGGGGAAAGAAGGCTAAACACATTTCTCCACAAAGGGAGACACTTATTTTCTTAAAATTTAAAATTAATAAAAATGAAAGTTGAAGTTTCATCAGTTCTCCCCAAACCCATTCTCCTTCCTCCCTCCCTAAGGTGGCCACTAAGATGACCCTCATCTGAGGATATCCCGCCACTCCTCATCTTCACCATTTTACTTTATGGTCATATAAACATAAACTGGTAGTAGTGTGTTTAGATTTTTGTAGGTGGAATCATACTGAATATATTCTATATTCAGACCACACTATTGGTTGAGTTTAATCATATATTTAAATATATATAGTTTATTTTAATCTTTATTTTCATTTTTTAGTCAATTAATTTATTTTTTTAAGACAGGGTCTCACTCTGTCACCCAGGCTAGAGAGTAATGGTGCAATCTTGGCTCACTGCAACCTCCGCCTCCCAGGTTCTAGCGATCTTGTCACTTCAGCCTCCCAAGTAGCTGGGATTACAGTCACGTGTCACCATGCCCAGCTAATTTTTGTATTTTTAGTAGAGATGGGGTTTTGCCATGTTGGCCAAGCTGGTCTCAAACTCCTGAGCTCAAGCAATCCACCCACCTCAGCCTCCAAAATCTGGGATTACAGGTGTGAGCCACCACACCCGGCCGATCTGTAGTTTATTTTAACTACTTTGTGATATTCCAATCTACAAATATTCAATATTTTATCTGCCCATAGATTGACAGTACGTTGTTTCCAATTTTTTCAGTATTGAAAAAAATATAGTCTACCCCATGGTATCCACAGGGGATTGGTTCCAGGACCCCTGAGGAAACCAAAATCTGTGGCATAGTATTTGCATATCACCTACCCACATCCTCCTGTATACTTTAACTCACTATAGATTACTTATAGTACCAAATGCAATGTAAATAGTAGTTATACCGTATTTTTCGTTTGTATTTTGTTATTGTGGTATTGCTATTTTTTTTCTGAATATTCTCCATCCACAGTTGTTTGAACCCGTGGAGGTGGAATCCATGGATACGGAGGCCAACTGTGCTGCCACATTTTTAGGATTTCCTCTCATTTGGTCTTGGGTTCTGTCTTGGGAGAGTGGCTGTACTCCAGCCTTGCCCTCACGGGGTTCCAGAGGATGAGTGGTGGCTGTTCACAGTGTGCCTTTCATGGGATACTTCTTGATCCCGGTTGGCAACCTCATGCCTAGGTGGTCGACCATGAACAGACATTTCTTTCACAGGGAATTTGTTTATATTGGCCGATGCCGTTGTGGCTTTCGTCTGACCCGTGTCCAGTTTATTCCTATAAGATAGCCACTCCCTAGGAAAACCCTCTACTGGAAAAAAAAGTTAGGTTTGGATATGTCAGTCAGGCGAGACACAGAAGCAGCAGCACAACAAAACCCATGAAGTAATAGAAGCATTTTCATTACCTACAGATCCCAGACAGAAAAGGGCAGCACGCCTCACAGGGCCAATGGGAAGGGGTAACACTCGTGCTCAACCAGTGGGGAGAGAGAGAGAATGGGCCAAAGCCTTTTTGGGATCCAGGGTGTTACCCAGGGAGGTTTCCCAGGGGAAGTTCTAACAGGTTGGTTTACAGCAAGCAGACATGAGTTCCATGGGGCCTTGCTGTGACTGACAGGTAGTTACTGTGGAATATCTGCTCGTCTACGTGGGCTCTGGGGGTCAGTGGGGCAATTCTAGTCAATTGCATCCAGCTGTACCATAGAGCGGTGGTCACCAGGAGGCAGTGGTATAAAGCAGGTATCTGGATCAACCACACTGAGGAACTGGGAAGAGGTAGAGAACTGGAAACCTTGTCAAGTGTGACTGATCCCACTTCCAGTATGAGAAAGTTAAACTTATATTCAAAATTGGTGCCAAGGCAACATAAAATTATAAGAATTTACTATACACACACATATTTGTGTGTGTGTATATATACATATATTCTGATTACTGTGGCAGTATTTCTATTTTATATGTATATAATTATATATAAATTGTATATAATTTTTATAATATATATTTTATATTATATATTATATGTACATATTATATATACATATATAATTTTTATATTATATATGTACTTATATGAAATCAGAATTACTGCCACAGGAAAACAATATTTAAAATCACTAATATTTCCCATGAATATAACTTAATATAGTTGGGAATTTTCATCAAAATACATTCTGATAGGAGTTGTTCAAGGAATAAAAATTTCATTTTTGATTTACAAATTATAATTAAAACCTTAAAAATTAGTGCCAAAAATTAAAATTATTTATATGAAAACGAATATAAGTGGGTCTTTTGAGATCTTCTATTTCTGATCATTTACAATGTAAATCTTCTCCATGGACATGAGTGACTGAGAGTTACCTTCATTGCAGAAATATTCCAGACATGTACATGTTCAAGAACTTCCAAGCATATTTCAAGTGGATTTTCTTTACCATATCAAAGACACAAATTTTCTTTAGTGGAGAAGATCCAAAAATCAATCCAAAGTCTATTTGCCTTTTTCTAAGTGAGTTTTAAATGAATCAGAATACCAATTTCTGAAGTGAAATTATTCCAAAATGATGACAGCATTTAAAGAAATTAAGCACTTGGGACATTTATTTAATTTTTAGTAAAAAAGAACCATGCCTTTTAGAAAAAAAATTATGTTTGTAATTTGCTTTAGCAAATATGGTAACCTATCAGACATAGTAGGACTAAAACAAATATAAATAAAACGTGTATACTTTGCACAAAGCAAATACATAGCAGCCAAAGAAAAGGTAAATTTCCCTCTGCATAAAAGGGGCTTTGTGCATCTTTGCAAATACAAATCATCCTCATCCTCAAATGATTCAAATTTTGTTACCCAAATGAGCACTTTCCTGGTGCTTCCCATCTCTCCCATCCCACTCCCAAGCAAAATTAACTCTCTTTATCTTATAAGTTTTATGGATATTTGTGGAATGTTTTATGACATGATTATCTTCTACCATCAATTACAGCTTTTCTGCTTACTTACAAGATCACCCCAACTAGACTTACTTTCTTTCATCTTTAATTCCTCCAAGGTTATCATACAAAGCCTTGCTCAAAACAGCTTCTCATCAGTATTTGTTAGACTGTATTAAGAAGATATGTCTTCTGGCCTTGGCCTTTTTTTCTATCCTAGAGAAGCAAAAGCTATACTTTCTGAAGTGATTTTTAAAAATTCTAACAGCACATTCATCTGAATGCTTCTCACCAATGGCTACTTGGAGATACTTCAATCATAAATTATTAGCTTGCCTTATCAGTCAAGCAACCCTGAAGTCTAAATTTCATATGGATCTAGGTCAAGTGTCTGCTACTGAAGCTGTTACAGAAAACTGGTGATTGCTAAAGGAATGATTGTCTGATCCACAAATTGGAAGCAGACCCTTTGCTTCTCCTTTCTCTGCCACTGACTCTACAATTAGTTCACAGCAAAATCATAATTCCCTCAAGGGGTGGACAGGACCACCCACAAGAGGAAAGCTGTTACATGTTAGCAGCTCTGAGAGAAAATGAAAAAATATATATTTGTTGAAAGCAAAAGATTCAAAACTACTATGTAAGTGAGTTTTTTGTAGCACCTAAAGATTTTTTTTAGCTCATATAGATATAGTTATTTAAACAGATGACAAATACAGACCTATAGCCAAACAGTGTTTCTTACACTATTAAAGTGAATATGAACAATCATTCACTCAACAGATATTGCTTTTGTATCTATTGTGTACTTTTTTTTTCCCTGCCTTAAGAAGATAATTGAGTTGGAGAAGAAAGATAGACCAGCCTGCAAGGTTAAATAATAATATCTAACAATGGTGTGAAACATGTTTTAAGAAAGAAAAATATCTAGCAAAGATTTTGATCTATGTTGGTCCTAATATACTAACAATCTATTATTAGTATATTATCATTAATAGCTATCATTAAGTACCACATTAAGTTTTTGTTATAAGTACCATTTTTATCCCCATTTTACAGGTTAGGAAACTGAGGATGAGAGGTTACGTAGCAATATGTAGTAGAGACAGGATTCACACCCAAGTCTATCTGAGCAAGATCTAAATTCTTGCCATTATACTATAGGTATTTTTTTTCTAAATTTTGAGTCATGACATGTCCATAGCCATTGGCAGTTAATATTTTTATGCTAATGCAGACAATATATATTACTGTTTATTTTCATTGAGTTTTGAATTCATTTGGAATATTGGCCTTTAGTTGTTTCTATAAGAATTATTTTTCTTTTTATATAGGGTTGTGATACACAGATGATTTATGACATGTTGCTAAGATTGAAATCCGTTCTCTATTTGCCTGGTGACTTTGTCTGCAAAAAGGTGAGTGCATGCTATTTTTCAAATGCACAACTAATAAATGCATTTGAGGATTTCGGACATAAGTCAAGAACATTGTTTAAACAAAATTTGTTCAGGGTGAATTCCATAGTATAGAAATAATTATGATATATAGCTCTGTACAGCAATAACGTGCTCTCAGAGTTCACAAAGGAACAAGACAATATGGATTTCATTACTTATATTATAGGATAGAAGTGTGGGTAGTCTGAGAAACTGCTCTGTTTAAATGTTAATTATCAATCGTCACAGCTTATTAATTTCAAATATTTAAAGTGGAGGAAAAAGTTACAGAAGCGATAGGTGGTTCAGCCTTTTTTATGTCTTCGGCAAAATATCAGTTACCTTCATTTTGCTCTCCCAAGTAGTGAATAATCAATGCCACATTTTAAAAAACTGTACTGTGCTTTTTATGATTACAAAATAATGCATGTTCATTATTTTAAAATAGAAAACACATAAAAACATAAGGACATAAATACCACCATCCAATAATAACCACTCTTCATATATTTTGGCCTATCTTTTTATACTGACTGATGGATAGATAAAGCTTGTGCTATAAAAGTGGCATCATACTGTACATATGTTCTGAAACATGTTTTGTCATGTAACAATATATCATATGAACACTATGTATTAAGTAATCTACAATATGATTTTTTAAAGCTGCATGATGTTTCAGTCTATGGATGTATCAGGATCAATTTTCAAATGTTTGCTATTATAAATAAAAAGAACATCCCCTCAGATAAATATTTTTGCATATTTCTGATCACTAACTTAAGGGAGAGGAAAGGAATGATGACCCTGGGATTTATATCATGACAGACTCAACCAAAGATAAACTCAATAATCAAAATTTAAAAAGAAAAATGAGTAGTTCAAAAAATGCAAGATGATCCAACACCTTGGTGAGTTCACAAGCGAACAAAGATGAGAGGCACTTTTATCATTTCAAAATAATGTGTTAAATGCTATGGTCAAAGCAAGCACACGCTGTTGTAAGACACAAAGGAGGGGCACCTGTCCTTCCTGGTTACGGTAAGATTTCCTAGAGAAGATGATGTCTGAGCTAAGTCTTGAAAAATGAATTGGAGTACACCAAGTAAAAGAGGAAATAGGTGTTCTGGGTAGAGGAAAGAATGTGAGCTAAGGCAAAAAGGAAGGAACTGTGTCTATAGAGGGAGTGCAGAGAACTATAATAAGGTAAATGTTAGAACAATTTTAGAATGATTTATTCCACAAAACTCAGTAAATATTTCTCAATATGATGAGCCAGAAACAGTGGAGGGCACTGAGCAAAAAAAAGATGGTTCTTGTCCTTTAGGGGCCTACCTTTCTAGTGCTGTGGTATTCAATTCACAGTGCACATCAGAATCACCTGAATGAAGACGTCTGGGCTCCACCCCTCAGTGACTGATTTGGTCTAGATGGAGGCCATATACCAGTATTATTTAAAACTCCTATATCATTCTAAAATGCAGCCAAAACTGAGAACCACTGGCTTCATGCGAGAGACAAGCTATAAACAAGTGAAATTAAGTCAATACATAATTCCAAAATGTGCTAAGTTGTATAAAGGGAAAATAGAAGTTGCCAGAAGAGTATGTAGTGGCAAAGACACTTAATTTAGATCCAGGGTTGGGAGATGGGGAGGTTATTAGGTTGTCAGGAGTGACCTTTGAAAAATCTAAAGATAAATAGTTCTTTAGTTTAAAAAAAAAATGTGGACAGGATGGCATTTTTTATGAAGACTTGGAGCCATGAGCTGAGAGGCAAGATGGAGCTTGGCATATCCAAGGAACGGAAGCAAGTGAGTGATGGAGACTGTGGTGAACGACAAAGTCAAATGGAGTATGAGGTACTTCAAGGCATCAGGTGGAGATGCCAAGTACACAGTGAAAATCAGTCTAATGAGAGAGGATGGAACTGGGGTTTACTGGGAACTGTAATATAAAGGAAGCAGACTTCAAGAAAAGCTCAAGGAAAGGTCAGAGAAGAGGGCCTTGCCTCTAACTTTGAAGAGCTCTAGTGTTTGAAGAGATCAATGAAGAAAAGTCAGAGAGAGCAACTGAGAATGAGCTTTCAGAGATGAAGGGGGAAAATGGAAGAGAGATTATGATAAAATGGGAAGCAAGAATATACAATCCCACACAAATTAGTCCAAGTTAAAAGAAGGCAGATTGGTGATATGAAATCAATTTTATTGAAATGGGAAATACAAGCCATAGTGCAGTCCAAGAACCCCTTGGGGGCAGTGGTGTACTGAAATGACATGACTTTAATGCACCACAACATGTCCTTTCATTTGGGGCCAGTAGCAACAGAGATTGAAAACTGTGATAACTCACATAAACTCTAGCACCTGTGCCCCTAAGCAGTGCAAATTTGTTTAACAAAGTATGAAATGCAGAGTAGATGCAGCCTTTTCATTTCTAATTTCTTCTTCACATCACATTCATCACTCAATAACAAAAACATCAGTGGAGACAAATAAGGCAGGAAAAGGAATTAAGTAGGTGGGAGAGTGCAGGGACCAGCCCCACAGGGTCGGTGGGCTTCTCCCTGTGTGCGGCGATGAGAGAGTGTAGAAATAAAGACACAAGACTAGGAGATAGAAGAAAAGACAGCTGGGCCCGGGGGACCACTACCACCAATGCGCGGAGACCGGTAGTGGCCCCGAATGTCTGGCTGTGCTGTTATTTATTGGATACAAAGCAAAAGGGGCAGGGTAAAGAGTGTGAGTCATCTCCAATGATAGGTAAGGTCACGTGGGTCACATGTCCACTGGACAGGGGTCCCTTCCCTGCCTAGCTGCCGAGGCAGAGAGGGAGAGGAGACAGAGAGAAAGACAGCTTATGCTATTATTTCTGCATATCAGAGACTTTTAATACTGTCACTAATTTACTACTGCTATTTAGAAGGCAGAGCTAGGTGTACAGGATGGAACATGAAGGCAGACTAGGAGCCTGACCACTGAAGCACAGCATCACAGGGAGACGGTTAGGCCTCCGGATAACTGCGGGTGAGCCTGACTGATGTCAGGTCCTCCACAAGAGGTGGAGGAGCAGAGTCTTCTCTAAACTCCCCCAGGGAAAAGGAGACTCCCTTTCCCAGTCTGCTAAGTAGCGGGTGTTGTTCCTTGACACTTTTTGCTACTGCTAGACCACGGTCCACCTGGCAACGGGCGTCTTCCCAGACGCTGGCGTCACCGTTAGACCAAGGAGCCCTTCTGGTGGCCCTGTCTGGGCATAACAGAAGGCTCGCACTCTTGTCTTCTGGTCACTTCTCACTGTGTCCCCTCAGCTCCTATGTCTGCATGGCCTGGTTTTCCCTAGGTTATGATTATAGAGCGAGGATTATTATAATATTGGAATAAAGAGTAATTGCTACAAACTCATGACTAATGATATTCATATATAATCATATCTAAGATCTATATCTGGTATAACTATTCTTATTTTATATTTTATTATACTGGAACAGCTTGTGTCCTCGGTCTCTTGCCTCGGCACCTGGGTGGCTTGCCGCCCACAGGAGAGTAGAAACAAGGAGACGCTAGAATGACAAGTCACATTTCTTTAAGAGTGGATTTACATGATAGTAGATATTGACAGAGAAGAAAGGCTGTTACTTGACAGGACTTGAGACAGCTGAAGTCAGCTTTGTTTTGCTTATCGTTTTCACAAAATATTGAAGGCAAGGGGAAGGAAAAAAATACGTTCAATTTGAGGTTATCTATATAATTTAAGAGATGACAGCATTTGGGGCCAAGTTTGCTGACCTACTTAATCCCCAGGATGGTTCAGAAATTGACTGAGTGGTAGCTTGGGCTGGTTGAAAGAGTGGGAGTTTTCTTCAGATGCTCTATGGCAGGGCAGAAATCACCTAGAGCTCTTGTTAAAGCACCAATTTCTGGGACCTCATTCCCAAAAATTCTGATTCATATTTCTGCAGTAAGAACTCTCAGTAAACTGAGAATTTGCACCTCTAAACAAGCTCCTAGTGATGCTGATGCTGCTGACCCAGGAACCACACTTTGAGTAGCACTGCTCTTTTCTGTTGGGGTGCCCTTGAGTGTCATAAAGCCCTCATGAGCCTTAGAAATAGCTTCCTACACAGAAACCCTGAAATTTTGAAGGGCGCTATCTCCAGGGGTTACCTCACTCTACATGAAGCTCTTGTTTTTTCATACTTTCTCCAAATTAGTCCACACGCTAACAACCAGAGCTTGGTTCAATCTTATTTTGCACATGCTGTCAGCCCTTATTCTCTGAGGAATGTCTACTTAATTTGAATGCTAATTAAACTTGCAGAAAAGGCTTAAATTAGCCTAGAAATATGCAAGAAATAGTGGAAGTTTTGGTTCGTTGATTATGCCAGATCTCCTTGGAAAATTATTGAAATGATCATTAAAAAATAATTAAAAGAGCTGAACTGTATTTAAGTACCCACTATGTACTTCTACCTCCAGTCAGTTGTAATAACTGCCTTTGAAAAATCATTCCAGTTCCTTGAGAATTACTTCACGCAAAGAATAAGGAATATGACCCTGTCCTCATCATTACTTCCTAAAGTATCTCTTGGAAAACTAATTTTCAGATATCTTTCCTTATTTTTTAATTCATTCATGGCTATTTCATTGGTTTTTAAGAGATCAGTTCTGATATTGGAGTCACCGTTAGATGTGGTCTGTCTTCATGTATTATATAGAGTCAGATGACATAGGTGCTGCTAGTTCTGGCGCTGTCACCTGCGAGCCTTATAAGTTTGCTCAAGACACTTAATTTTTTAAACCTCGACTGCCAATTGTTAAATAAGAGTAATGATACGTTTCCTACTTGACTTCACTCGGATTTTTGCAAGAATTAGATGAATTAATATCTATGAGATGCTTTACAGCTATAAAGTAGCATGTTCTGCTAGAACAAATATAGGAATTAAAATAAGGAGCTATGTAAATGTCAGATAATGTAATGATTTTTTAAAGTAATATGCAAAGACATGATATTGTTATTAGCATTAATAGTATGTAAATAAATATAAGATCCATCTATATTGGAATTTCTACTTTTATCTGTTTTTGAGTATAAATATATGCTTAATATTTTGCACAGGCCAGGTGCAGTGGCTCACGACTGTAATTCCAACACTTTGGGAGGCCAAGGTGGCAGGATCACATAAGTCCAGGAGTTCAAGACAAGCCTGGACAACATGGCAAAACCCTGTCTCTACAATAAATACAAAAATTAGCCAGGCATGGTGGCTTATGCCTGTGGTCCCAGCTACTCAGGAGGCTGAGGTGGGAGGATCACTTGAACCCAGGAAGCAGAGGTTGCAGTGAGCTGAGATCATGCCCACTGCACTCTAGCCTGGGGAACAGAGCAAGACCCTGTCTCAAAAAAAAAAAAAAAAAAAAACCAACCCCAAAATTTTAATTTAAAAATGTATTTTACACAATGCAAAACTTAAACGTATTTCTTGCATTGCTCAGTTAGGAGATGTGGGTTCTAGGCTTCCTTCGCTTCTAATTACCGAGTCATATAACTTTAGCTAATTGGCTAAGCCAATCTGTGCCTTTGTTTTAATTTTTGTAAAAAGGAAATAATAGTACTTACTCTACCTTCCTTATAAGAGTAATGGGGAGATAAAATAAGAATTTCAGCTTCCTGGATGTTAACTAAAAGGTGGAGTCTGATAACTTTAAACACAACCCAGCAATTATAAAGCAACAATAGTTGATGTTCAGGAAAATAAACCTAGGTGTAAGGAAAGACTTTAGAATCTCCCAGAGAATAGTTAAGTTATATTTTCCTCATTCATAAATGAGTGTTTCCTATATGTCAAGCCTGCGTTCAGCACTGCAACAAAGTAGACATTCTCTCAGCCATCTCAGAGAGTAAACTACAATCAATATTTTTTTCTTCCAAAGAATGATGTAGGCTAAATATTTTTAAAAATAAAAAATAAATCTTTTAATCTCGAGTTGATTTTAGTGTATTCTAATTCTTTCAAAGTATGGTTAATGAGAATATTTGATTAACTCAAATAACCCAGTCCCCTCCTAAGCCAAGTAAGTGAATTTATTGTATTAATGCTATTTTTTTTTATAGCTCAAGGTGATCAAGGCACTGCTCATTCAGACATGTAGGTACTACTAGCCAAATAGTTTGCCTAGTGTTATGCAATCTGGCCTATTTAGAGTTTAACAGCCTTTCTTGACCTAAGTGCCATTTAGGTCTCTTGTAAGACATCTATTCTTTTTGGAAGTTAGAGAAGATGTGTTCCAAGGGCCTCATAACCACCCACTAGTTTGGTGATTTACTTGTAAGAACTCATATAATTCAACATAAAGTTATATTTATGGCTTAAGATTTATTATAGCAAAGGATAAAATGCAAGAATAGCAAGAAAAAGATATACATGGGCAAACACGAGAGAAATCAGACACAGGCTTACTAGGTCCTATTTCTATGAGGGTCACATGGATGCATTTTTCTCTCCAGTGGACCACAGAAACATGAGCAAAATATCTCCACCGGTGGAAGCTCATATTAGTCTTGGGTCCAATGTTCTTAAATGGCGCATATAGCTGCATGACCAGACATGATTCAGACTTTCAAACTATGTACAAGGTACACATCATAAATCTTTGTGATTATATTAAATAGTGTTGACAGCCTGATACATCCTGCTATACTGGCTCAGGAATATAGAATAACACCATTAACCAGTGGCTATGTGAACATTCCAGGAGTTTAATTCTTAGGGCTTGAACAAAGATCATTGCCCTGGTCCCAAGAGTCCCCAAAGATAGGCAAGAACTGAGTAAAACAACCTGCTGCATTAATACTTTATCTCAGTATGGAATACTAATAATAACTCAAAGATCTCCTATGCCCCAATTCCCCAAATCAGACCTCAATGCCATGGGTAGATGAATAGAATTGACCTTTGAAAGGCTGCAGTCTATGCTCTTTGGCTAGACCAAGCAACTTCTTCCAAGCATAGTGGTGGTCATCAAAGCCAGGTTCGACCATGCTTAAAATCAATTACTTCCTCTACCCAGGGTCCTTCCTAAAGCAATGTGCTAACTGAAATATCTTCATGTATCCAAGGGAGGCAAACAGTACTCACGTGTTGAGAAGTATCATCTTCCTAATCATTTTCTTTCACATGATATGTTCAACCCATGTCTGTAAATACTTTAGGTCTTAAGATAATTAATTTTACACTAATGTTCTTTGCTTCCTTCATTTATATTTACTCCTCTAAAAGAATTTATATTTCTTAATTTACAGCATAATTATCAAGAATAAAGTAACTACCATTTCCTCTTTATATTTAAAATGTAGGGAGAAATTGGCAAGGAAATGTATATCATCAAGCATGGAGAAGTCCAAGTTCTTGGAGGCCCTGATGGTACTAAAGTTCTGGTTACTCTGAAAGCTGGGTCGGTGTTTGGAGAAATCAGGTATCTGAAAGATACTTCATAAATATTGAAGTCCATCATTTGTCATAAAAGAAAAGTCTTAGGTAGTAAAATAAGTTCCCGCTCAGATTTATCAAAGGTTTGATTGTGCTGAGAGCATTCGTAAAATAAGGATTTTCATATTTTTATTCATCCCTTCACCAAAGCGACCTAAGGAAAAGAACTGGGTCATTCAGCTCTTTAGTCCAGGACCTAGAGCAGTGCCTGGCGTAAAGCAGGTTCCCAGTATATGTTGAATGGATGTGCAAATGAATTAGTAAATGAGAGAAGAGGTTTGGAGGGTTCATTGTTACCAGATTGTTGGAAAACTTGAAAGCCTTGCTAACAAGGGGGTCTTGCGTAGGCTAGTGATGTGATCATAGCTGTGGGACCAAATTTCCTGAGTTTAAACTCCAGTTTCACCACTACTGGCTTTTTTCCTCTGTTACTTGTCCCCACTGTTCCTCAGTTTCCTCACCTTAATAATTAGGATAATAATAGAACATATCTTAAAGTGTTGGTAAATGAGTTAATTCACTAAAAGCACTTAGAACACTGCCTGGCATCTATTAACAACTCAATAAATATCAATTATTTTTACCATTGCTTCTTATTGGCCAGGAAAAGTTTATCCTAGAACAAGAAACTCCCCAAGAGGAAAAATATAGACAGCAAATTTAAGCATTTTGTGAGCTAAACACTTCTATATGCATTATCACATTTATTCATTATTCAACCAAAAAATATTTATGGAGTGCCTGGTACGTGCTAGATTGTCAGGTATTGCTCTTAACTCTAGGAATAAACTATATAAAAATATTAGACAAGATATGGCCCCTAACAGAGTTTATAGTCCAGTCAGGGAAAACTGATAATAAATAGTTAATTAGCTAGACAAGATGAATTCACACTGTAATAACTACTATGAAGGAAAAAGTGGTTAGAAAGTAACAGGACACAACTTAGATGCAGTGGTCAGGAATGACCTCTCTAGGGAGATAATATTTGACCTGAGATTTGAAAGAGAAAAGGATCAGCCATTCAGAATTGGGTGAAGAGCCTGATTACCAAAGGGCTAGAGGTAAAGCAAGTTTGTCTGGTCAAGGGGTAGAAAGGTCAATATGGCTGGAGTACAGTGAATAAGAACACTGGGGAGATGAAGCCAAATAGGTGAGCAAGACCCAGATAACATGGTCTTTTACGCCATGATAGGAATTTATGTCTTTTTCTAAATATGAATGAATGCCAGTAGAGGGTTTTAGGCAAAAGAATGACACACTCTGAATTATTATTTTAAAAGACGACTTCAACAGCTATGTGGAAAAGATACAGTAGAGGAGCAAGAATGAATAGAGTCCAGTTAGAAGTCAACTGTGGTGGCTCAAGTGAAAGATGATGGTGTCTGGAACTGAGATACTGGCTCATATGATGAATAGAAGAGTACCCTGTCAGGCAGTTATTAATATATTCATTTCATAACTGAGAAAATTGCTATCCCAAGATGCCAAGTACTATATCTTTCCCAGGACACCATTGCTAATGAATTATAGGGACAACATTCAAACCTGGGTCTCCACGGATCGGGGTCCAGTGATCTTTATACCACGTCACAGAAGAAATTTCCAGTCTCTAATTTCCTAGCTGCTAAGAAGTTATCTTTGTGTTCTGGAAATATGGATAATTTTAGATGACTTCATATTAGCATTGTTAGGGTTTCTTTGGAATGTTGAAACATGTTATTTCTCTGTTGTTAATGTGGCTTCTCTTTTTAATTTTTTTCTCCTTGTTTAACGACTGATTATTTGTTAAGGTGATCCTCTGAGGATCTTGCTCTTGGGCAGTGGTGGAAACACTTCTCAGAACATACGAGACCTGAGTTCTTTGCCTGTTTTCTATCATTTCCTTCCTGGGAGTCCTTGCAAAAGTGATTTAATATTTTGTGACTTAATAATCACTGTAATCTTCAAGGTCATAAAACATGCAACAGTTTAATCTGAAACACTGCAGAAATTAATTAGCTGACCTTTCCCAAGGGTTGAGTACTCCCTGAAGAATAAGCTTTATAAATACAAGTATGTTAATTGCTGATATTATCATCACAGGAGGAAATACCCTAAGAATTGAATCCAGGTGTTTCTGAGTTGCAACTGAAAGTAATCCTAGATTCCTGACAGCAGCTTCTCAAATAAATCTCCTATTACCCATTTGGTTTCTAAGGCCAAATTGAAACCAGTAGAACAGACAAACTTTAAACTTGCTCAGTAGTTTGGTTGATTCAAGTAAAAGGGAGCTTTTTGCCTTGATTCTCTTTTTGGCTGTGGTTATGGGGAAACAGGATGCATCTGCCTCTTTCCAGATACCCACAGGCTTCACAGGCCCACAGCTGTCATATGCCGCTGAAGCTCTAGTCATTTATTCCAGAGCTGGAGGTATGCCTGCCAAACATCCAGATACTGGAAAGATCTAGTAATAGTGTTTACTACTCAAAAATGCTGTGACCTTTGTTAAAATGAGCTAAATCCAGCACTATCATGTAGCCTTTAAAAGAGTTCTTTTTCCTCAGGAAAAAAAAAAATAAAGAAAAACATTAAGGGCTTTCAAGGACATTATATATTAATCCAAAAGAGCAAAACCCTGACTAAAATATAGATTAATAGCCTGTCATTGAGAAAACCCAGACCACATTTCCAATTATCATCTGAAGAGTGCAGATACCCCATTTCTAAAAGAGAGACCCAGGGTCTGCTGAGAGATGGCCTTGTGGTGGTTCCAGGTCCATCATTTTCCTTACACGTACATTTAGTCCCAAGTCTTATTCACTGAATGTATTTAACCACTTCCTGTCTGCATTCTGTTTCTGTTAAAATGTCATTTTTCTTAAAACACATCTGAGTTTTTATTCTTGTGTTGCCATTATGATTTCAATAGGATTTTCTATTGGTTTCATCTCTCTTCGGAATATCCTCCCCTGGAAATTTTTCATTCCTCCTTCAAATGCCACCTTTTTGAAGCCATCTTTAACCCCTAAAACAACTAGTTACTCTTTATTCTATGCTTCCATAGCATTTCATTCATGCATTTATTGCAGTAATTACTACTGATTTATAATTAATTTGTTCAGACAGGTCTCTCCAACAGACTGAGCTACTAAAATGTAAGAACTAGAGGCTGGGCGTGGTGGCTCACGCCTGTAATCCCAACACGTTGGGAGGCTGAGGCGGGTAGATCACAAGGCCTGGAGATCAAGACCGTCCCAGCTAACACTGTGAAACCCCATCTCTACTAAAAAAAAAAAAAAAAAAAAAAAAAAAAAAAAAAATTAGCCGAGCGTGGTGGTGGGCACCTGTAGTCCCAGCTACTCGGGAGGCTGAGGCAGGAGAATAGCATGAACCCAGGAGGCAGAGCTTGCAGTGAGCCGAGATCGCGCCACTGCGCTCCAGCCTGGGTGACAGGGCGAGACTCTGTCACAAAAAAAAAAAAAGAAAAAAAAAAGGAACTAGAATTTATCCATCTTCATATCACCAGCAGCTACGTAAACACTATATACTAAGTGGTGATTTTTACTTGTATCATGCCTCCATTCAAAAATAATTTGCAACAGCTCTTCAGCAATTTTTAATTAATTAAGTACTTAATTGTGATTTGATAGAAACAAAAGAAAATTATATTTGGGTCCCCTTATGGCATAGTGTGAAAGTGACTCAAAGAAGGCCATGTATTCCTTCTTTGCCAGGCACAGTGCCAGTCATGAGGGTACAAAGGAGAACAAGAAACAATCACTGTCCTCCAGGGCCTTAGAAGAGACTTCAATACCAGGTGATTAAATGTATGAATTGTGTCCCAGGAAGAGAGTGTGTACAGGATGCTTTGGGGACAAAGTTTTCACAAGGACCAGTGCATCCTTTGGATCTGGCAATTACTAGAGGTTATTTGGGAACCAAAAGCTGAACGTTTATCGGGCAAAATCCACCCCCGATATTTCATGTAGGTTCTTTTCTATTTTCCCTAAGTGTTGGCTGGTCTGAGAAATAAAGGAACAGAGTACAAGAGAGAGAAATTTTAAAGTTGGGTGTCCAGGGGAGACATCACATGTCACCAGGTTCCGTGATGTCCCACAAGCCACAAAACCAGCAAGTTTTTATTAGTCATTTTCAAAAGGGGAGGGAGTGTATGAACAGGGTGTGGGTCACAGAGATCACATGCTTCACAAGGTAATAGAATATCACAAGCCAAATGGAGGCAGGGCAAGATCACAGGACCACAGGACTGGGGTGAAATTAAAATTGCTAATGAAGTTTCAGGCACGCATGGTCATTGATAACATCTTATCAGGAGACAGGGTTTGAGAGCAGACAACCGGTCTGACCAAAATTTATTAGGTGGGAATTTTCTCGTCCTAATAAGCCTGGGAGTGCTATAGGAGACTGGGGCTTATTTCAACCCTACAGCTGCGACCGTAAAAGACAGCCGCCCCCAAGGTGGCCATTTTAAAGGCCTACCCTCAGGGACACATTCTCTTTCTCAGGGATGTTCCTTGCTGAGAAAAAGAACTCATCAATATTTCTCCCATTTGCTTTTGAAAGAAGAGAAATATGGCTCTGTTCCACCCGGCCCACTGGCAGTCAGAGTTTAAGGTTATCTCTCTTGTTCCCTGAACATTGCTGTTATCCTGTTCTTTTTTCAAGGTGTCCAGATTTCATATTGTTCAAACACACAAGCTCTACAACAATTTGTGCAGTTAACGCAATCATCCCAGGGTCCTGAGGCAACATACATCCTCCTCAGTTTACGAAGATGATGAGATTAAGAGATTAAAGTAAAGACAAGCATAGGAAATCACAAGGGTATTGATTGGGGAAGTGATAAGTGTCCATGAAATCTTCACAATTTATTTTCAGAGACTGCAGTAGAGACAGGCATAAGAAATTATAAAAGTATTAATTTGGGGAACTAATAAATGTCCATGAAATCTTCACAATCCACGTTCTTCTGCCATGGCTTCAGCCGGTCCCTCCGTTTGGCGTCCCTGACTTCCTGCAACAAACCTTCACTGGTCCTCAAATGATGTGTGCACACAGGTCAGTCCTATAAACCCCTACTGAGGGGTATGTAAAGGATAATTGACGTGATGCCTGTAGTGGGTTGAATGGTGTCTCCCACAAAGATAAGTCCACATCCTAATCCTAGGAACTTGTGTATGTGACCTAACTTGAAAAAAAGGGTCAGGGTCTTTGCAGATGTAATTAAGTTAAGGATCTCAAGATGAGATCATCCTGAATTATCTTGAAGGGCCCCAAGTCCAATGACAAAGAGGGTTCTTTTTCCTAAGGACACTTTTTATAAGTGTCTTTATAAAAGACATAAGAGGAGAAGACCATGTGAAGACTGAGGGTAGAAACTGAAGTATTGCAGCCATAGCCAAGAAATGCCTGGCAGCACTAGAAGCTGGAAGAGGCAAGAAAAGATTTTTCACTGGAGTCTTTAGAGGAAACACAGCCCTGCTGATATTTTGATTTTGGACTTCTGGCCTCCAGAACTGTGAGATAATAAATTTTTGTGGTTGTAGGTCAGTTGTTTTGTGATAATTTGTTATAGCAGCCCTAGGAAACTAATACAATACCAAATTATTTAAATTGTTCACTTTCAAAATTTTACTGGGGATAAACAAAACATGCTTGACACTCTACTTCACCCTACATGGACACTCCGCCTTCAACACCTGTCAATCCTACCACCAAAGAAAGTCACAAATCATTTGTATCTTATGTTCTCCACTGCCACTACTTCAGTTCATCCATCTCTCACTGGACAACTGCAGTGGCTTACTTCAAGTCACTCAAATCCAATAACCATATCCTCCACAATCAGTCTCCACTCTGCAGCCAGAGGGATCTTTTGGAAACACAGATCTGATCATATCACTGCCCTCCCACTTAAAACCATTTAATGTTTTCATGCCATTTTTAGGGATAAGAACAAAGTGATTTTCCTTACCTATGAGATCCTGTAGAGTCTAGCCCCTGCCTACCTCTCTACTTCAGGTTGCACCTGACTCGCCTTGCTCTCTTTATTTTATTTTATTTTAATTTTATTTTATTTTATTTTATTTTATTTATTTGAGATGAAGTCTCACTCTGTCGCCCAGGCTGGAGTTCAGTGGCACCATCTCGGCTGACTGCAACCTCCACTTCCCATGTTCAAGTGATTCTCCAACCTCAGTCTCCCAAGTAACTGGGATTACAGGTTTCGCCATCGTGCGCAGCTAATTTTTGTATTTTTGTAGAGACGGGGTTTCACCATGTTGGCCAGGCTAGTCTTGAACTCCTGACCTCAGGTGATCCACCTGCCTCGGCCTCCCAGAGTGCTGGATTACAGGTACAAGCCACTGCGCCTAACCATCCTTGCTCTCTTTAATCCAGACACCCATTGTCTTCCCATTCCTTGAATGCACCACACTCTATCCAGTCACAGGGAGTTTTTTGCACATTCTATTACCTCCGCCTGGATGCTTTCCCCACCCTTTTACCAAGATCTCAGCTTCTTTCAGGCCTTCCTGGATTCCCCACTATAGGGACCTCCGAGGTCTCCCTGCTGTACACTTTCATCCAATGATGTTCCTTTCTTTTGGAGCACTTATCTTTGTAACTATACATGCATTAGTGCATTTATTTCTTCAATGTTTTTCTTCCTTCCTAAATTGCAAGCACCAGAACTACCACCTATGGCTGTGCCAAATGTTCTCTGCACCAGAATGTCCAAAGAGGAACCGGGAGGGCAGGAACCCAGTTCTCACTCCACTTCTGAGCCATGAGCCCTGGCTGTTGTGCTCCCTCTCATGCACAGTTACCTTTCACTCTGTGAAAGGAGGCATTCTTCTAGCCAAGCACAGGACTGCACATGCTTAGAAAAGCCACATTGTTTTTTATTATACTTTACGTTCTGGGGTACATGTGCACAACATGCAGGTTTGTTACATAGGTATACATGTGCCATGTTGGTTTGCTGCACCCATCAACTCATTTACATTAGGTATTTCTCCTAATGCTATCCCTCCCCCAGACCCCCACCCCCGACAGGCCCCAGTGTATGATGTTCCCCTCCCTGTCTCCATGTGTTCTCGTTGTTCAACTCCCACTTATGAGTGAGAACATGTGGTGTTTGGTTTTCTTTCCTTGTGATAGTTTGCTGAGAATGATGGTTTCCAGCTTCATCCATGTCTCTGCAAAGGACATGAACTCATCCTTTTTTATGGCTGCATAGTATTCCATGGTGCATATGTGCCACATTTTCTTTTTCCAGTCTATTATTGATGGACATTTGGTTTGATTCCAAGTCTTTGCTATTGTGAACAGAGCAGCGATAAATATACGTGTGCATGAAAAGCCCCATTTTTATTGTTTGCATGAAGACACTTTACACAGGCACCAAGGGGTCCTGCTAGACACCATGTGTGGTTTGTTCTATACTCTATCCCCAGCCCTTAGGGCAGTGGCTGGTCCACATAAGTGCCTAATAAATAGTTATTGAATAAATAAGTGAATGTAATTATCTTTCTATCTTTGTGAATGTACAAATGCACATTCATTTTTGTCGTGAATATGCATATTCAGCCTTGTGCCCTTTTTGTCAGTTTTCATTATAAGAATAACACTGCTATATTTATCTTTGTAAAATTACTTTGTTTTATTTTATTTATTTGAGGTTTAATTCCCAAAAATCGGAATAAGTAGGCCAAAAGGTAGAAGCATTTCTATAACTCTTGTAATATATGGGCAGATTATTTTCCAGAAAAAAATTGAACCAATTTGCATTACAAATCACAATGTATAGCTATTTTTCTTCAGTATTACTGATATTACTTTATTATCCCCATTGCCATTGCATTTTAATAGGTTATTTTAATTTGCAGTTCTCTAAATAGTGCCTGGAAATAATAGTTCCTCCATAAATATTTGCTAAATGAATTGATTTCCTATGGGCCCATTTATTTTCATAAACGTGATCATTTACCTTCTGCATTTCTTTCATTGTTCACCATCCTTTTTTCATCACAGATAACAAGTTATTGAGTAGAATTCAGGCATTGATATATTCTTGTATGTTTTAGATATCTGGTTGCCATTCAAAACATTTAAATGCTGTCTTTTCCCCTATTACATTAGTCAAATCACCTATTTGAGAATTTCTTTCTGATATTTACTTTATATCAATGTGAAATGGCGAAATATTTTGACAAATCATCTTAAAACTCCTTTTAACCTTTAAATCATTATTGTCTATTTCTTCTGAATACTCAGTTTTTAAAATTGGAGTACCAGAGGAGACTTTTAGGTCTTTGGACTATTTTAATTCCATATTCTTACTCTTCATCAGAATAACTCAGTTATTCCTTTTTTCCTCTTTCCTAAAAAGTAGAAATAGTAGATACAATAGGAGATTAAAAGTATGAGCAGAGATAAGACTCGATTAATACTGAAAGAGAAAACTTCATTTTCATTTTTTTCATATCTCAAACCTGTAAGCACTACCTGTGTTAAGAGTACATATTTACATTTTCACTACATCCTTTTGAATATAGTCTCTTTGATTGTATAGCACCTTTTTGCTTAGCATGAAAAGTATACCTCATCTAAGTCCCACAATATCCCACTGAACAAATATACAATCAGTGTCATTGCTTAAATATTCATTCAAATATCCTCAGGATTCCTCCTAAAGTAACTTTATCCAGTGCTAAATCAAGGCTTTTTGCCACCATTTGGAAGAGCAGAGAGGAAGTAAAGATTCTGAGAGTCATACCTTGACATGTCTTATCACACCAGCCTGTTTGGGTTCCTCCCTTATTTTTCCTAATATCCAGGGGCAAATCTGTATCATTAAAACAACAGCAGTAACTTCATTGGCATCACTAGAGTTATGGTTAAAGAAAAGACCTCTTGACTTGAAGTCAGGTATTGTCTTAGATTTTAATTTCAGAGATGAAATTCTTAAATATTTGTTCTTGAACAATTCACTTAACTGATTCTGGACCTCAGTTCCTTGTCTGTAAGTATAGGTTAAGAACCTACCTCACCAGCTGGGTGCGGTGGCTCACGCCTGTAATCCCAGCACTTTGGGAGGCTCAGGTGGCGGGATCATGAGGTCAGGAAACCGAGACCATCCTGGCCAACATGGTGAAACCCTGTCTCTACTTAAAAATATATGTATATATATACAAAAATTAGCTGGGCGTGGTGGCACGTGCCGGTAATCCCAGCTACTCGGGAGGCTGAGGCAGGAGAATCGCTTAAACCAGGGAGTCGGAGGTTGCAGTGAGCCGAGATTGTGCCACCGCACTCCAGCCTGGTGACAGAGCGAGACTCCTTCTCAAAACAAACAAACAAACAAACAAACAAACAAAAAAGCTGTCTAAAGCCAGGGGCAAGCGGGAGGCTGGGCCTGCAGACATCCCTCAGCAGGTGTCCCAGTCAGGGACACACTCGCTGCCCTGCGCTTTGCATCCCTCTCAGGGTGAAGGTGACAGTGGACCCAGACCCTTCCCTGGTCTACCGACCTGAAGTGGACCAAGAGGCTGCCAAAGACAAGGCTGGCTTCCAGAGCTACGTGTCGGGTCCCCTCCTGGACCACGTCTTTACCACCGACAAGCTCATGAACATGCACCACACAGTGGATTTCGTCAGGAGCAAGCACGCCTGGTTTGGGGACTTTTCCTACAAGAAAATGAAGGTCATGGAGGCCGTGGACCTGCTGCATGGGCTGGTGGACGAATCAGACTCAGGTGTAGACTTCTCCCACTCCTTCCAAGCCTTCCAGATGGCGGAGGGCATCCGAAAGCTCACCCAGGCAAGGACTGGTTCCAGCTTGTTGGGCTTCTATGACCTAGGGAAGGTCTTGGCCCTGTTGGGGGAGCCCCAGTGGGTGATCGTTGGAGACACATTCCCCGTTGGATGCTGTCCCCAGACCTCCGTGGTTTTGTAAGTCCACTTTTCAGGACAATCCCGACCTCCAGGATCCTGGATACAGCACAAAACTGGGCATGTATTAGCTTACTGTGGGCTTGGCAGGGTCCTCATGTCCTAGGGCCATAAGGAGTACTTGTACCAGGTGATGATGTTCAACAAGTTCTCGCTCCCACTGGAGGCTTCCTACAGGATCCGATTCCACTCCTTCTGCCCCTGGCACACAGGCGGTGACTACCAGCAGTGGTGCAGCAAGCAGGACCTGGCTATGCTGCCCGGGGTCCAGGAGTTCAATTTGACCAACTTCCCTGACCTGACAGATGTGGACAAGCTGCGGCCCTACTACCAGGGGCTCATTGATAAGTACTGCCCTGGCATCCTGAGCTGGTGACGCTTCTTCCACCCCCACCACTGCTGGACGACAGGCCTGGCCCTCAGCGTGCCTAGTGAGGTCTGGCTGTGGGCAGACAGACACCATTAGGGTCCACCTCAGTGGGGAACCCCACTCGCCCCTTATAGCCACCACCTCTCATGGCCATTTGTACCTAGTGGCAATAAAGACCTCGAAGGAGAGAGAAAACAAAACAAAACAAAACACCTAGCTCACCAAAGTGATATGGTCATTACATAGGAAAATAAAGGGATTTACTTTTAAAAAAAACTTTAAAACTATAAACTTTGTACAAATATTTCACATAGTTACCTGGTTTTCACTCCAAAGAAACATTTAGTTAGGCTAGTGTATTAGTATAGGCTTCTTTGATACAGTATTTTCCAGCCAAAGTACCATAGTTAAGTATTCTTCTGGGAAACTCGAAGGAAGATAAATAAACAGAGCATGGAATAAAGAGTCCACATTATCCTTTTTCTCCTCTTTCCTTCCTTAGAAGTTATACCCAGATTCTTCATCGCTCATCCACTTCTCTAAGGCCAATTCAGTTCTGAAATCAAGACCTGCTAAGGGGAAAAGGGACTAAGCATTTTATATCTGTAATATCTAAACTCTCTAATTTTGTTAAAAATCTGTATGTGCAGACATTCCTCAAAATGTTTTACAGAAAAAAAATCTAGGCTAACATGTGTTTGCCATTCAGTACTTTTATGAATATCAAAGTATCTGCAAAGATCAAAAATCCCAGGCAGAGGTGGCCTTAGAACATCCTCTGATATTTGCCTAGCCATAAAAGTTTTGCTAGAATTTATTTTTAGTCAAGTTTTAAAGTTGCAAGGAATAAAGTGTTTCCTAATAATGTTGACAAAGATGAAAGGATATCTCAGAAAAAGTCTACACAGGTTATCTAACCTCATGTTTCCGAAATAAAACCCAGTTAGAAATTTCCTTAATGAGAACAAATATTTGGAGTTTTAATCCCTTACTCAGCATTGAATATGATGTTCTTTCCATTGATAGCATGTAGAGTTATATATATATATGGAAATAATTCTACATGAGAAAATGTATTTAGACCAGAACCTTCTTTATTTTAGGAAATATTTTCATTTCTTACAATTATTAAAGCATTAATCATTCTAAATTGCATCTGCTTAAGAAGGCTGCCTGATTGGTTTGCATCCATGTGCCACAACTTATGAGCTATGTATCTCCAGGCAAGTTACTCAACTGAGACTTCATTTCTTCATCAGTCAAAATGGAGAAACACTAATACATGACCACCTCACAAGATTGAAAATTATTATGTGTATTAAAACATAAAAAAGAACTTGGGAAAATATCTCGCTCATAGTAAGCACTCAATAATATTATCTATTGGGGAGGAGCCAAGATGGCCGAATAGGAACAGTTCCAGTCTACAGCTCCCAGCCTGAGCGACGCAGAAGACGGGTGATTTCTGCATTTCCATCTGAGGTACCGGGTTCATCTCACTAGGGAGTGCCAGACAGTGGGCACAGGTCAGTGGGTGCGCGCACCGTGCGTGAGCCAAAGCAGGGCGAGGCATTGCCTCACTCGGGAAGCGCAAGGGGTTAGGGAGTTCCCTTTCCTAATCAAAGAAAGGGGTGACGGACGGCACCTGGAAAATCGGGTCACTCCCACCCGAATACTGCGCTTTTCCGACGGGCTTAAAAAACAGCACACCACGAGATTATATCCTGCACCTGGCTCAGAGGGTCCTACGCCCACGGAGTCTCGCTGATTGCTAGCACAGCAGTCTGAGATCAAACTGCAAGGTGGCAGCGAGGCTGGGGGAGGGGCGCCCGCCATTGCCCAGGCTTGCTTAGGTAAACAAAGCAGCCCAGAAGCTCGAACTGGGTGGAGCCCACCACAGCTCAAGGAGGCCTGCCTGCCTCTGTAGGCTCCACCTCTGGGGGCAGGGCACAGACAAACAAAAAGACAGCAGTAACCTCTGCAGACTTAAATGTCCCTGTCTGACAGCTTTGAAGAGAGCAGTGGTTCTCCCAGTACGCAGCTGGAGATTTGAGAACAGGCAGACTGCCTCCTCAAGTGGGTCCCTCACCCCTGACCCCTGAGCAGCCTAACTGGGAGGCACCCTCCAGCAGGGGCACACTGACACCTCACACGGCAGGGTACTCCAACAGACCTGCAGCTGAGGGTCCTGTCTGTTAGAAGGAAAACTAACAAACAGAAAGGACATCCACACCAAAAACCCATCTGTACATCACCATCATCAAAGACCAAAAGTAGATAAAACCACAAAGATGGGGAAAAAACAGAACAGAAAAACTGGAAACTCTAAAAATCAGAGTGCCTCTCCTCCTCCAAAGGAATGCAGCTCATCACCAGCAATGGAACAAAGCTGGACGGAGAATGACTTTGACGAGCTGAGAGAAGAAGGCTTCAGACGATCAAATTACTCTGAGCTACGGGAGGACATTCAAACCAAAGGCAAAGAAGTTGAAAACTTTGAAAAAAATTTAGAAGAATGTATAACTAGAATAACCAATACAGAAAAGTGCTTAAAGGAGCTGATGGAGCTGAAAACCAAGGCTCGAGAACTACGTGAAGAATGCAGAAGCCTCAGGAGCCGATGTGATCAACTGGAAGAAAGGGTATCAGCAATGGAAGATGAAATGAATGAAATGAAGCAAGAAGGAAAGTTTAGAGAAAAAAGAATAAAAAGAAACAAGCAAAGCCTTGAAGAAATATGGGACTATGTGAAAAGACCAAATCTACGTCTGATTGGTGTACCTGAAAGTGATGGGGAGAATGGAACCAAGTTGGAAAACACTCTGCAGGATATTATCCAGGAGAATTTCCCCAATCTAGCAAGGCAGGCCAACATTCAGATTCAGGAAATACAGAGAACACCACAAAGATACTCCTCGAGAAGAGCAACTCCAAGACACATAATTGTCAGATTCACCAAAGGTGAAATGAAGGAGAAAATGTTAAGGGCAGCCAGAGAGAAAGGTCGGGTTACCCTCAAAGGGAAGCCCATCAGACTAACAGCGGATCTCTCAGCAGAAACCCTACAAGCCAGAAGAGAGTGGGGGCCAATATTCAACATTCTTAAAGAAAAGAATTTTCAACCAAGAATTTCATATCCAGCCAAACTAAGCTTCACAAGTGAAGGAGAAATAAAATACTTTACAGACAAGCAAATGCTGAGAGATTTTGTCACCACCAGGCCTGCCCTAAAAGAGCTCCTGAAGGAAGCGCTAAACATGGAAAGGAAGAACTGGTACCAGCCGCTGCAAAATCATGCCATAATGTAAAGACCATCGAGACTAGGAAGAAACTGCATCAACTAATGAGCAAAATAACCAGCTAACATCATAATGACAGGATCAAATTCACACATAACACTATTAACTTTAAATGTAAATGGACTAAATCCTCCAATTAAAAGACACAGACTGGCAAATTGGATAAAGAGTCAAGACCCATCAGTGTGCTGTATTCAGGAAACCCATCTCACATGCAGAGACACACATAGGCTCAAAATAAAGGGATGGAGGAAGATCTACCAAGCAAATGGAAAACAAAAAAAGGCAGGGGTTGCAATCCTAGTCTCTGATAAAACAGACTTGAAACCAAAAAAGATCAAAAGAGACAAAGAAGGCCATTACATAATGGTAAAGGGATCAATTCAACAAGAAGAGCTAACTATCCTAAATATATATGCACCCAATACAGGAGCACCCAGATTCATAAAGCAAGTCCTGAGTGACCTACAAAGAGACTTAGACTCCCACACAATAATAATGGGAGACTTTAACACCCCACTGTCAACATTAGACAGATCAACGAGACAGAAAGTCAACAGGGATACCCAGGAATTGAACTCAGCTCTGCACCAAGCAGACCCAATAGACATCTACAGAACTCTCCACCCCAAATCAACAGAATATACATTTTTTTCAGCACCACACCACACCTATTCCAAAATTGACCACATACTTGGAAGTAAAGCTCTCCTCAGCAAATGTAAAAGAACAGACATTATAACAAACTATCTCTCAGACCACAGTTCAATGAAACTAGAACTCAGGACTAAGAATCTCACTCAAAACCGCTCAACTACATGGAAACTGAACAACCTGCTCCTGAATGACTACTGGGTACATAACGAAATGAAGGCAGAAATAAAGATGTTCTTTGAAACCAACGAGAACAAAGACGCAACATACCAGAATCTCTGGGACTCATTCAAAGCAGTGTGTAGAGGGAAATTTATAGCACTAAATGCCCGCAAGAGAAAGCAGGAAAGATCCAAAATTGACACCCTAACATCACAATTAAAAGAACTAGAGAAGCAAGAGCAAACACATTCAAAAGCTAGCAGAAGGCGAGAAATAACTAAAATCAGAGCAGAACTGAAGGAAATAGAGACACAAAAAACCCTTCAAAAAATTAATGAATCCAGGATCTGGTTTTTTGAAAGGATCAACAAAATTGATAGACCGCTAGCAAGACTAATAAAGAAAAAAAGAGAGAAGAATCAAATAGACACAATAAAAAATGATAAAGGGGATATCACCACCGATCCCACAGAAATACAAACTACCATCAGAGAATACTACAAACACCTCTACGCAAATAAACTAGAAAATCTAGAAGAAATGGATAAATTCCTTGACACACACACTCTCCCAAGACTAAACCAGGAAGAAGTTGAATCTCTGAATAGACCAATAACAGGATCTGAAATTGTGGCAATATTCAATAGCTTAACAACCAAAAAGAGTCCAGGACCAGATGGATTCACAGCCGAATTCTACCAGAGGTACAAGGAGGAACTGGTACCATTCCTTCTGAAACTATTCCAATCAATAGAAAAAGAGGGAATCCTCTCTAACTCATTTTATGAGGCCAGCATCATTCTGATACCAAAGCCGGGCAGAGACACAAACAAAAAAGAGAATTTTAGACCAATATCCTTGATGAACATTGATGCAAAAATCCTCAATAAAATACTGGCAAACCGAATCCAGCAGCACATCAAAAAGCTTATCCACCATGATCAAGTGGGCTTCATCCCTGGGATGCAAGGCTGGTTCAATATATGCAAATCAATAAATGTAATCCAGCATATAAACAGAGCCAAAGACAAAAACCGCATGATTATCTCAATAGATGCAGAAAAGGCCTTTGACAAAATTCAACAACCTTCATGCTAAAAACTCTCAATAAATTAGGTATTGATGGGACATATTTCAAAATAATAAGAGCTATCTATGACAAACCCACAGCCAATATCATACTGAATGGGCAAAAACTGGAAGCATTCCCTTTGAAAACTGGCACAAGACAGGGATGCCCTCTCTCACCACTCCTATTCAACATAGTGTTGGAAGTTCTGGCCAGGGCAATCAGGCAGGAGAAGGAAATAAAGGGTATTCAATTAGGAAAAGAGGAAGTCAAATTGTCCCTGTTTGCAGATGACATGATTGTATATCTAGAAAACCCCATTGTCTCAGCCCAAAATCTCCTTAAGCTGATAAGCAACTTCAGCAAAGTCTCAGTATACAAAATCAATGTGCAAAAATCACAAGCATTCCTATACACCAACAACAGACAAACAGAGAGCCAAATCATGAGTGAACTCCCATTCACAATTGCTTCAAAGAGAATAAAATACCTAGGAATCCAACTTACAAGGGATGTGAAGGACCTCTTCAAGGAGAACTACAAACCGCTGCTCAAGGAAATAAAAGAGGATACAAACAAATGGAAGAACATTCCATGCTCATGGGTAGGAAGAATCAATATCGTGAAAATGGCCATACTGCCCAAGGTAATTTACAGATTCAATGCAATCCCCATCAAGCTACCAATGCGTTTCATCACAGAATTGGAAAATACTACTTTAAAGTTCATATGGAACCAAAAAAGAGCCCGCATCGCCAAGTCAATCCTAAGCCAAAAGAACAAAGCTGGAGGCATCACACTACCTGACTTCAAACTATACTACAAGGCTACAGTAACCAAAACAGCATGGTACTGGTACCAAAACAGAGATATAGATCAATGGAACAGAACAGAGCCCTCAGAAATAACGCCGCATATCTACAACTATCTGATCTTTGACAAACATGAGAAAAACAAGCAATGGGGAAAGGATTCCCTATTTAATAAATGGTGCTGGGAAAACTGGCTAGCCATATGTAGAAAGCTGAAACTGGATCCCTTCCTTACACCTTATATAAAAATCAATTCAATATGGATTAAAGACTTAAACGTTAGACCTAAAACCATCAAAACCCTAGAAGAAAACCTAGGCATTACCATTCAGGACATAGGCATGGGCAAGGACTTCAGGTCTAAAACACCAAAAGCAATGGCAACAAAAGACAAAATTGACAAATGGGATCTAATTAAACTAAAGAGCTTCTGCACGGCAAAAGAAACTACCATCAGAGTCAACAGGCAACCTACAAAATGGGAGAAAATTTTTGCAACCTACTCATCTGACAAAGGGCTAATATCCAGAATCTACAATGAACTCAAACAAATTTACAAGAAAAAAACAAACAACCCCATCAAAAAGTGGGCAAAGGACATGAACAGACACTTCTCAAAAGAAGACATTTATGCAGCCAAAAAACACATGAAAAAATGCTCACCATCACTGGCCATCAGAGAAATGCAAATCAAAACCACAATGAGATACCATCTCACACCAGTTAGAATGGCAATCATTAAAAAGTCAGAAAACAACAGGTGCTGGAGAGGATGTGGAGAAATAGGAACACTTTTACACTGTTGGTGGGACTGTAAACTAGTTCAACCATTGTGGAAGTCAGTGTGGCAATTCCTCAGGGATCTAGAACTAGAAATACCATTTGACCCAGCCATCCCATTACTGGGTATATACCCAAAGGACTATAAATCATGCTGCTATAAAGACACATGCACACGTATGTTTATTGCGGCACTATTCACAATAGCAAAGACTTGGAACCAACCCAAATGTCCAACAATGATAGACTGGATTAAGAAAATATGGCACATATACACCATGGAATACTATGCAGCCATAAAAAATGATGAATTCATGTCCTTTGTAGGGACATGGATGAAATTGGAAATAATCATTCTCAGTAAACTATCGCAAGAACAAAAAACCAAACACCGCATATTCTCACTCATAGGTGGGAATTGAACAATGAGATCACATGGACACAGGAAGGGGAACATCACACTCTGGGGACTGTTGTGTGGTGGGGGGAGGGGGGAGGGATAGCATTGGGAGATATACGTAATGCTAGATGTCGAGTTAGTGGGTGCAGCACACCAGCATGGCACATGTATACATATGTAACTAACCTGCACAATGTGCACATGTACTCTAAAACTTAAAGTATAATTAAAAAAAAATTTAAAAAAAAATATTATCTATTAATGTTACTATTACAATATTCTTAGTAGTAATAATATTTGCTAATTGGCTATCTGCATACACACTTACCCCATGCCTAGATTACAAACAGCTTGAGGGCAGGTGTTAATCATCTTTATAGCCCCAGAAGTTGGCAGAGTATCTAGCCCATTGTAGAGTATGCTATTTCTATGTACTCCTAATTTATCTTTTTCCTTTTCTTTTCCATTTATACAGTGAATTCTTTATCTTCCCTTGCATGATTGACCTTCAAAGCACAATCATCTGTACAATCTTGGATGCATCCAAAAAAGTACTTATCAAAGCCTCTCTGAGAAAGACAAATGTTTAAAACAGATTATTTGTTTCTCTGAATATTCTAAATGTATACCATTGATCATGTCTGAGCAACAAAGAGAGAGCTGGGTATCTGAAATGCATTGTACTGACCTATCTCCTTCCATCCATAAACTTACTCTTACTGAACTTTACTTGAAAGTGATTCATAGCCTTTACTGGGGGCTCTATTACAAATGCTCCTAGCAAGCTTATTGTTGTGTCTATCGCAAGAATATGAAGTTTTCTACCACTTTGCAGAATGGCCCCTTTACTAAGCCCTTCAGGAGATATTTCTGCCTGTCTTTAAGCCAACTCTGGATCCATTTTTATGGTACAGAAGGCTTACACCTAAATTTGAAGCCCCACTGTGCCAAAGTGTTCATTTTTTTATGAATTCCATTTTATGTCCCCATTCTTGTTTTTGTTTTGCTCCTACATTCAATTTATGCTCTTTTGTATTCTACTTTTCCTTGTGAGTTCTTTCTGGATACAGTAGCTCTACTAAAAAGAGCTGTGCAGGTTGTACACTGCACAACTCCAGAGGGCTCCAATCACATTACAGTTTGTATGCAATGTGTAATCTACATGTGGCAGCCCTGGACAAAGCTTGGAATGGATGACTGACCAGGGACTATCTTAATATTCTAGCTCTGTCTGAAAAAATATATAAATATATATATATATACATACACACAAATGTATATGTATATAAATGTCTGTTGCATATGCTATTTATGTATGTATGTGAAAATGTATGTGTGTATGTGTGTGTATACTTGTTCCTCACATTTACTGAGTTTTGCATATACAAGTTATCTTACACAGTCCCTGAATACACCATTTCTCCATAACATTCTCACACCTGCTTTTGTTCATTCACCCAACTTTGGCACACTAGTACTCAACTTTGGCACACTAGTACTATTTCTTCTTAAAGATAATCAGATACCTATAGTAGGTACTAAATATGGCCTTGTTTCCTACAGGAGACATTAGTAATCTGTTCAGAAACACAGTAGATGGTAGGATTATCTGGTTCCAAAGTATGTATTCTTTTCACAAAACCATACCATGCTTTAATAATTCTCCTTTTTACCCACTTCACTGTACTGAATACATGGTAGGCACTTAATAAATACTTACATGATTAGAGTGGAAATCAAAAAAGTCTTTATGTTATTGTCTAAGGTCATAGCAAATAGAGGTGGCTCTAGGATTAGAACCATTTCTTTGTTTCCTGGTCCATTGCTCTGCTCACTCTATTTTTACCTAGGGAAACAATAGCAACCTCAACTCTTTGTACTCCAGCATGGGCTCTTTCAGAAACTCTATGTGGGGCTGGGAATATTTAGGCTATTTAATGAGTGAAACTTTCCATGGGTGGAATGCTGGAGAAGCATTTTGTGGACAAGATGAAAAAAAAAAAAGATGCTATTTTAAACATTGCTGAAAGAGTTTGGGCAAAATCCATCTGGCAGACAGACTATTTCTTCCATTTAAAAACTCATCAAGCACTCCAAACGTGTAACCTGTAGGCAAGTTTAATTAAAACTTGAGAAATCTCAAAATAACCTGACATTTAAATATGTTATTTCCGTTCTATTCTCATAGTCTAACATACATATACAGATATTCTCAGGTTCAAATTAACCTCCCCAATCCCATCCAGCCTTGCATAACTACAGGATTACCCTGTGTCCATGACAACAGGAATGTGAATGAAACAGACTCATCCAATCATTGTCCTTCAAATATTAACGTCAATTTCATAGAAAGGGAAGAAGGTAGATAGAAGAAAGCTGAGTAGATGAATGAGTGAAGATATGGTTGTGACAACAGAGGACAGACAGAATGATACGTAGATACATAGATAGATGGGGTAAAATTTATTTCCCTTGTATTCTCTGACAAAGGTGGAGCTTGTCTTAAGAGTACCTTAGGAAAAGACTAAAGTTAGTGGTTTTCCACAAAGGAAAAAATTTGAAATGTGAAATCATTGAGAACATATTTAAAGATTCCAAATATATACTTTCTGCCTTAGAGGAGGAATTCCTTTTTTTTTTTTTTTTTTTTTTTTGAGACAAGGTCTCACTCTGTCACCCAGTCTGGAGTGTATTGGTGTGACCATGGCTCTTGCTGCAGCCTCAACCTCCCAGGGTCAAGTGATCCTTCTACCTCAGCCTCCCAAGTAGCTGGGACTACAGGTGTGTGCCACGATGCCCAGCTAACTTTTGTATTTTTTGTAGAGATGGGATTTTGCCATGTTGCCCAGTCTGGTCTCGAACTCCTGGGCTCCAGCAATCTGCCTGCCTCAACCTCCCAAAGTGCTGAGATTACATGCGTGAGTCACCTTGCCAGGTCTAAGTCAATTCTTAAGTGGCCTGGAGAGTCCTGGACCCTGTCATTAATGCTAGGTGCAGGTAAGTGGCCAAGTTTGAAGCCATGAGTGGCCTTACACCAGTTTCCTCCCACTTTTTTCCTTCCTTCTCTGGCTTTGGGCATTTTATATGATTCCATTTTCTTTTTCTCCCTTAGCATAATAATTATACTTATTTTTTAAAGTTTAATGGTTACTCTAAAGTTTTCAATATGCATTTTGAACTAATCTGAACCTACCATCATATAACACTATGCCACTTCACATGTGGTGCCTTACAACAGAATGTTTCCAATTCTTCCCTTTCAGCCCTTATGACATTGCTGTCTTTCATTTCACTTATCCATAGGTTATAATTACCAAACACATTACCACTTTATTAAACAGTTGTCTTTTATAACAATTAAGAATGCGAAAAAATTGTCGAGCATGGTGGCTCATGCCTGTAATCCCAGCACTTTGGGAGGCCAAGGTGGGCAGATCACCTGAGGTCAAGAGTTCGAGACCAGCCTGTCCAACATGGTGAAACCCCTCTCTACTAAAAATACAAAAATTAGCCAGGCATGGTGGTGGACACCTGTAATCCCAGCTACAGGAAGCAGAGGTTGCAGTAAGCCAAGATTGTACCATTGCACTCCAGCCTGGGTGACAACAGCAAAACTCTGTCTCAAAAAAAAAACAAAAAGGAATGACAAAATATTTTACTTTCATTTATGCCTTTTTAAATGTCCTTCCTTTCTTTGTGTAGACCTGAGTTTCTGATCTATATCATTTTCCTTCTCCCTGAAGAACTCTAAATGTTTTTTGCAGGGCAAGGCCACTGGCAATTGATTCCCTCTGTTTTTGTTTTTCTGACAATGACTTTGTTTCTTCTTTACTTTTGAAGGGTCATTTCCCTAAATATAGAATTCTAGTTGGTAGTTTTTTCTTGCAACACTTTAAATACTGTACTCCACTGTCTTTCTTGTGTGGCTTCTAATTTAAAAATCTGCTACAACTCTTATCCTTGTTTCTCTCTATCTTAGGTACTTCCCCCCTCTGGATTCTTTCAAGGTTTTGTCTTTGGTTTTCTGCAGTTGGAATATGATATGCCCAGAAGTTGGGGGTTTTTCATTTGTTTTGTTTCTTTTGGCATTTATCTTGCTTAATGTTCTCCTATCTTCCTGGATCTATGGTTTTGTATCTGACATTAATTTTGAAAAGTTCTAGGCCATTTTTTTTTTTTTTTGAGATAGGGTCTCCCTCTGTTGCCCAGGCTGGAGTGCAGTGGTGCAATCTTGGCTCACCGCAACCTCCACCCTCTGAGCTCAAGCGATTCTCCCTCCTCAGCCTCACAAGTAGCTGGTACCACAGGGCATGCCACTATGCCCGGCTAAATTTTTATATTTTTAGTGGAGATGGGGTTTGACCATGTTGCCCAGGCTGGTCTTGAACTCTGAGCTCAAGTGATCCACCCATCTCAGCCTTCCAAAGTGCTGGGATTACATATTAATCATAGTTTTAAAATATTTCCTAATAACTCCAATATCTGTGTCATATTTCGTCTATTTCTGCTGCTTATTTCTTTGGACTGTTTTTTCTTCCCTTTTAGAATTCCTTATAATTTTTTTGTTTTTTGTGGTTCAAAGCTAAAAATTATGTAACAAATAATATGGACTGAGGTAAACAGGCCTCTAGTGTGACATTTTATACTAATTTGGCTAGGACTCGGGCTGTGTTTAACATTTGGTATAGCTGTTGGTGCCAGAGGCTTCAAATTCCTTCTAGTTCCCTGTCTTTGTCTCCACTGTTGACTGGGCTTACAGAGGCTTCTCAGAGAGGGTTTGCATCTTGCTGCTGTTTCAGCTGTAATTCGTTAGTATTATATAGGAGACTTGGTGGGGGGGTAAGGTATGGAGAAGGGGAAACAATTTATAATTCTGTGATAAAGTTTCAGTTTTTTGTATTTCCCAATGCTGTGACATTCACAGGAGTTTCTTAGCTTTCCATCTCCCTTAGATAAGACAGGAAGTCTTAAAGGGGCTGCATTGGGAAAAATGTTCTTCCCTCAGGTAGCACAAAGCTCTGGTAAAGTATTTTTCTCTAAATAGTAGGCCTGCGGTATGGAGAACAAATATGCTCTGGGTATATTTCACAATGATTAATCTTCCCCTATGCCTGCCAGAGCCGAGAGGGGATCTTCCTTGGCTCTTCACCCTAAGAACCTGATGAGGTTCCTGGTGGTAAATCCCACAAAAGTGTGAGTGACTTTATAACCATGGCCCCCAAGAGTTTCTCACTCTCATGCTAGTCCACATTCAGCCTCCAACAATTTATTAAAATGAGCATTTAAGCATTCTTACCAGTTATGACTCCAGGGGCTTCTGCTGCAGTAAGCAGATATGGCTGTAGTTTTATGGATTCACCTCTCTCTCCAGATTTGGGGGCGGTAGTTTGCCCTGTGACTTCAGTTCTCTGAAGGATCTAAGAAAAGTCGTTAATTTTTCAATTGTGCAGCTTTTTCTTGTTGTAAGGACAGGAGTAATGATTTCCAGGCTCTTAACCTGTCAGAGCTAAAACCCTATATAAGTTTTTTAACAATTAACAGCCAACTGGAATCCTCCCTTTTCTGCAACAACAGAAGTTGTTCATACTGTATAACATAAATCTTCAGGCACAGGGCCCATGCAGCTTCTTATATCTCATTGCTTCCAAAGGTCAGAGTGTTTTCTCTGTCTTCTCCACCTGTAGAAACTGCTTTTGTTAATGTGATCCTTCTTTCTCAGTTTCTAACAGATTAACTCCAAGGGGTTCAATCTGTTGTGTTATCCTCTCAATGCAGATCCTATGGTGTCTTTTTTAAACATTTGAAATGTGGTTTTTCTTGTTCTGTTTTTACAAACCAATCCTTCCTTCTCAGATCACCGGTAACGACAGACTTTTTATTCATTTATCTTATTCCTTTCTGTGTTTATTCCCCCACTCTTTTTTGCTTATTTCTCAAATGCAAAATGCTCTTTTATATCCCTCCAAGACATAAAGCCCACAATTCCCTGGCATTCCAGGTGGGGAGATGTATGTGAATGACTATATTATAGAGCAGCTTATGACACTGAGGAACAAGTTGATTTTGGAGTATAGTAGGAGATGAGATTGGATTCACCTGAGGTGACCAGGGCATCATGAAGTGCTGGCTTTCACATTTGATGTTGAGAGTTGTATCAGCCAGAGCCCAGGTGGGAAACAGACACACTCAAGTGAGGCAATTGAGTAAACTTTAATAAAGAGATTACTGACAGAAGTGAGGAAAAGTCTAAGAGTACCCAACTGACATGGTTTGGCTTTGTGTCCCCACCCAAATCTTTTCTCAAATTGTAATCCCCATGTTTTGAGGGAAGGACCTGATGGGAGGTGACTGGATCATGAGGGCAGTTCCCCCCGCCACCCCCCCCGTGCTATTCTCGTGATAATGAGTGAGTTCCCAGGAGAGCTGATGGTTTTAAAGTGTGGCACTTCCTTGCTCTCTGTCTTTCCTGCTGCCATATAAGATGTGCCTTGCTTCCCAATTGCCTTCCACCATGACCGTATGTTTCCTGAGCCCTCGCCAGTGATGCAGAATTGAGTTAATTAAGCATCCTTTGTTTAGAAATTACCCAGTCTCAGGTAGTATCTTTATAGCAAGGTGAAAATGGACTACTACACCAACAAAAGGTGGCAATGCATCTCAAATTTAGCAACAGCAAAGGAACTGTTACTACAGTGAGGCCTGAATGGGAAAAGAAGAGGGTATGTTTACCAGAACTCATCAAGAGTGATGGGAATTGCACTTCTAGAAGACATCCATGTGTCAGGAGCTGTAGATTTTGGTAGAGAACTGCAGCCACTGCTAACCTAAGGCTTGGCAGGAAAATAACAGGGGAGATAAATGCTCTGATCCCACTCTCTTCCTGCTTTCTGATTTCCTATTAGTCTTTTCCAATGGCTGAGCCCAAGTGAAGTCAGAGGGCAAGCCTACAGAGGTCAGCTTCCTGGGAAACAAAGGAGCATGGGGAGAGGTGAAAAGTGGATCTGAAGGAGCAAATGAGGGATACCCAGTCCAAAAGGATTCTGCATTTCTGGAATCTGGGATGAAGGATCTGACAGGATACTGACAGCCACAAGTCCTTGATTTGTGGGACTTAGAGGTGAGAGTTAGAGAAAAAATATATTGAAAACTGAGCCATTTCTATTCCCACATCTTGACACTCTCTGCACAATCACCTGGACCCTCACCTCTAGGGAATGATTTCTGAAGCAGTATAAATACTTATAATAGTTGCTATTTTTTTAAAGAGATTTCAGTGGAGGAAAACTGAAACTGGTGGCAAAGACTCATTTTTCTCTCTTACAGCCTTCTAGCAGCAGGAGGAGGAAACCGTCGAACTGCCAATGTGGTGGCCCACGGGTTTGCCAATCTTTTAACTCTAGACAAAAAGACCCTCCAAGAAATTCTAGTGCATTATCCAGATTCTGAAAGGATCCTCATGAAGAAAGCCAGGTACAACCTTTAAAACACCATTAGAGATGGATGGAGTTGGTTTTACTTTGTAAACTCTGAGATAGGGAGAACCGTATTATGATTGTGATAAACTTGATCACAGTGAGATATGCTTAATGAACAACTATTAATGTAGGTACCCATTGAAACTACACAGGTTAGGATAAATTGCAGTTTTTTTAGTAGATTTTGCCAGAACTCTCACAGAGTTACCTAAAACAGCTTTTCTCTCTTACCCACAGAGTGCTTTTAAAGCAGAAGGCTAAGACCGCAGAAGCAACCCCTCCAAGAAAAGATCTTGCCCTCCTCTTCCCACCGAAAGAAGAGACACCCAAACTGTTTAAAACTCTCCTAGGAGGCACAGGAAAAGCAAGTCTTGCAAGACTACTCAAATTGAAGCGAGAGCAAGCAGCTCAGGTAATAAGGTGGAGTGAATGGACGGCTGTCATGGAGAAGGCCCCAGACTAAGTATATACACACAAACGCCCACTCTAATTCCATTTCAGACACTGGGATGATTTGGACTAATCTAATACTAATACTTCCTGCTTTATATATAGCACATTATTATTTAAACTGCTGAATTCCCACATATCATCACATTTAACCCTCACAGGATGTTTATAGATGGCTTTAATATGCATGTATTTATAAACAGAGTATACCCTCATTATTCATAGATTATTTGCAGATTCTATATTGGTGAATCTACTTACTATAATTTATTAGTAACTTAAAATCAATACTCATGGTGCTTTTGTGGTCATTTGTGGACAACAGCACGTGCAGGGTGGCAAAAAATTTAAGTTGCTTGATGCATACATTTTCAGCTGAGTTTGAAAAAAGAGGCACTCTCCTTTCTTGTTTCAGCTCTGATACTATAAACGAATGACCCTTGGCCGGGTGCGGTGGCTCACACCTGTAATCCCAGCACTTTGGGAGACCAAGGCGGGCGGATCACGAGGGCAGGAGATCGAGACCATTCTGACTAACACGGTGAAACCCTGTCTCTACTGAAAACACAAAAAATTAGCCGGGCATGGTGGCACACACCTGTAGTCCCAGCTACTTGGGAGGCTGAGGCAAGAGAATTGCTTGAATCCGGGAGGCAAAGGTTGTAGTGAGCCGAGATCACAACACTGCACTCCAGCCTGGGCGACAGAGCAATACTCTGTCTCAAAAAACAAACAAACAAACAAAAACAACAACAAAAAAGAGTGACACTTTTAGTGCCATGCTTTCCACATTTTTGTGCTTTTTGCATGTGTGTGATTTTGCTGCTTAAAATAGCCCCCAAGCATAGTCCTGAAATACTGTCTAGTGCTCCTAAGTGCCAAAATGCTGTGATGTGCCTTCCAGAGAAAATATGTGTGTTAGGTAAACTTCATTCAGGCATTACAGTGCTGTTTGCATGAGTTCAATATAATGAATCAATAATACCTCAAATTAATCAATTGATCAAATTAAATAGTGTATCTCTAAACAAAAACACACATGAAACAAAGTTATACATTGACCAATTGACAAAAATATTATGGCTTGAACCATAATATCTCATAGGAACCTAATGCTGTATTTCCTCCAAGAACAATGGTTCAGTACTTGCTAACTTGCTGTTTGTGGAAAATTTATAGAACAAAACTACATGAATAAAAATCAACTGTATATATACAGACATACATATGGATATATAAATAAATAACCCATTTTATCAACATTTTCACAAATATTCAATTACTATAGATCACAAATGTTTAAAGCCCAAAATAACTTTGTAAATTTCATCCAAGCTTTTCATGTTATAGATGAAGAAACTGAAAACCAGATCAAGGGATTTGGATAAGATCATAATTAGTTACAGAGCAGAAAGCTATTACTCAGGTGTTCAGACTTACAGGCCTACACTAAGCTGCCTTTCAATTCCTAAAAATGTAAAGAAACTCAAATGTTATTGTTTCTCTCTCTCTCTCTCTTTTTTTTTGGTTTCATATTTCTTTGATTCTCATAATTAGCCTATGAGGGCAGATATTGAGAAACAGACAGAGCAGGGATTCAGGTTTTCTGAACCTAGTCATTATGTTATCTCTAAAACTGTAGAAATGGGTAGCTGTGGACCTTTCAGAAAATAAGTAAAGCACATATTATAAAGTCAGTCACATACAAAAGATGAAAACTTGCATTTTCCTTTTCCACACATACAACACTGTGGTGAAAGTTAGGGATCCAGTATAAACCAAATGCTTCATTTGCATCAGCATAGAAATAATAATTTGCATAAAAAATGTATGGGAGTAAAGAAATATATAAGTAAATGTGTTAAGAATCTCAACTTTATCTGTGCACATTCATATGTCAGGCAAGCCTTTCTCAAATTGATCCCAAGCATTACCAGTAAAGAGCATAGTGTACCTTTTGCTATGAAATTTCTATAGCTAGTGCTAAACACGATAGGTACAAACATGACAGGTCAAGCACCTGTGGGACAAATGGAAAAGATCATACTAGGAAAGGGATAAGTTTCTCCCTGAGGTTCTCCCACAAGCTTAGGCAAGAGGAAAACCCTACTTTTTACAGTATTTTTATATAGTATTGGTTAATATGTTTTTATTAAAAATAAATATTTAAAATTTTATCTCTACAGAATAAGTAAATATTTAAAAAGCAAAAACAGAGTCCTGAGCACTGAGTCTAATAATTCAGAGAGTATAAGGACCAATAGGAAGAGAATTCCTTGGCAGAGACAAAAAAATGCAATTCAGACTAACATCATGAGTCAAAGGCAACAAGTCCATTCTCTAGCACACCAGAAACTTCATCAAATGATAGTCAGAAGCAAAGCAGACATGATTCCTGGATTCACTTAATTCAGACAGTCTGTCTTGGTGGTGATCTTAGCCATTGCATGCTAATCAAAATCTAATCCAATGTTTTTAATTACGATTTCAACACCAGTTCTTTGTAATTGCTCCTTCCAGAAGAAAGAAAATTCTGAAGGAGGAGAGGAAGAAGGAAAAGAAAATGAAGATAAACAAAAAGAAAATGAAGATAAACAAAAAGAAAATGAAGATAAAGGAAAAGAAAATGAAGATAAAGATAAAGGAAGAGAGCCAGAAGAGAAGCCACTGGACAGACCTGAATGTACAGCAAGTCCTATTGCAGTGGAGGAAGAACCCCACTCAGTTAGAAGGACAGTTTTACCCAGAGGGACTTCTCGTCAATCACTCATTATCAGCATGGCTCCTTCTGCTGAGGGCGGAGAAGAGGTTCTTACTATTGAAGTCAAAGAAAAGGCTAAGCAATAAATGTTTGATTATCTTTAGATGTGATATAGCTAGTTCCCAAAGTGATTGTACCTAGGATTGTAACTTAAATTAACGAGGGGAAACGACATGCTGGGACCCTTGAGAAACGAAAGGCAAATCCCTAGCTTAGTTTCTAGGACTTATCTGAGAGTGTGATTTCATGCAGTGGTAATAAGAAGATTATTAAAAGCCATCCCTATTCTCCGTTTTCATTAACTTTATGCAATTGCTATATCTTCTAATTGTATGTAGTAAGTTTCCTTTTCCTTTGGTTCTTTCCTGATGATGTCTCTTCCTTCCAGTTTTATTAGCTTGCTCTTGGCTGTGATGTGATTCACTAACCTTTTCTCTTAATTTTTATTGTGTTTAATTTCTTCTTTGGCACTCTAAAGCCTGGCTAATTGTTCTAGGTTTATGAATTTCACCTCTTACATGTAAAGGGTATAAGATTTTAATGTAATAGGTCAAAAATCAGATTATTTTCATTCAAATGAGGATGATGAGTCACTGTAATATCAAAAAATCCCCAGCAGCTGGGACTGAAGGGAAGCAGAGATCATGAAGCTTTCTGAATGAGAAGTCTGATTTTTGGAACAGTCCCCTGAAGACCAATGTTGGTCGGCAGAATTAGCAAACTGGCAAAATCACATTGCAGGAACATATTGGAAAAATTGTACCCTTTACTAAAGAAATAAACTTCAATATTTTCTCTTCTAACCAACTTAAAAGACACCAATCTACCTAACTCATCTGGCTCAAGGGACTTGGACTGGAGGATACAGGCTAAAGTGACACTTATCAGAATCTTCCTCAAGCACTTGCTGGAAAAGATATCAGATTGGAACTTCTTGTTTAAAATTAAGCTTTAGTAAAACAAAGTGATGAGGTTAGGAAGGCAGACTCTACACATGTCAGATTGACATATCCCCACAATTTCCGGAACCTACATGTATAGCTGTTTACAAAATCTCCAAGTTAATTAAGGGCACTTTAGGAAGTTGTCCTCATGAATTAGCTAGCATTAGCATAATTACCGACGTTGCATGCTGTGAGGAGGCTACAAAGGCCAGGCTGGTGTCGGAAGTAATAATACATATAGAATTCCATTCTAATAAATGCCATTAGTGTATAACATCAAGTTCTGTGTAATGAGGCTATTTCCAAGTCTCCAAAGATGGTCACTGTAACAGCACTTTGCTGAGAGGGTTTTAACAAATCATATTAGCCAAAAAGCCTACAACATAGATGCATTTAGCAAACCATGTACAAATCAATCACTATAATAAACTGCATCATTTGATAGAGTCACCGTTTTTGCATGTAGTGTTAGAGTATCACAAAATATAACAAGTTTTACTAAAGGATGGTTGGTTTTTTCAGGATTTAAGGGAATATGGACAAATTGTTAAATAGTATTTATTTGATAAATGGGAGTTTGTATGCAGAAAGAGTGAATTGCGTATAAAAAGGGTGATTTAAAAACCCAGAAACAAAAGGTAGAATAGGGCTGAAGCATCTGATAATAGGAAAAGAAAAGGACAAAAGTCCTCAACTTGTGAGCAATATGCTTTCCCTTTACACCCTGTAATTTATTCAAATGATATTAAAATACAAGACCATTGCAATTTATGCTTTTCGCCTGGCAGTTATTTTCCCCCCCAAGCTATCCTGTTTCAGATAATATCAATTTATTTCCAATCCATCAGACTAAAATCTAAGAAAATTCAAGAACTCTTTTATTGTTGATTTGGTGCCACCAAATTCTTTTTCTTTTTAAATCTTTCTAATTATCCTTTCTTTTTCAATCCCATTGCTAACACCCAGAACATATTTTCTGTTCAATGCAAATAAACATTCACTTTTTACCTATAGTCTGCTCTTGTCACTGGTCTGCCCTCTTAGTCCCTTTGCTATTGGAAAATAAAATCTTTCTAAAACCCTACTTTTGACCATGTTACTTCCCTGCTCAGTGGCTGTATTAGAGTTTTCCAGAGGGAGAAAAAAAAAATAGGGGATATATATCTATCTCAGGCCATTGGATTCAGACTGGAACTTAGACCACTGGTTCTTCTGGTTCTGATGCCTTCAGACTCAGACTAAAATTATACAACGGGCTTTCCAGGGACTCCAGTTTGTAGATGGTAGATCATGAGACTTCTTTTCCTTCATAATTTCATGAGCCAATTCCTTATAATAAATATATTTAAATATATATTATATATTACAAATATGTGTAGAGATTTATTATATATTTTAATATATATCATATAGAGATATTTATCATGTTTTTTATTTATATATTTTATATATACATGATTTATTATTAGGAATTGGCTCACACAATTGTGAAAGCTGAGATGTTCCATGATCTGCAGTCTTTAAGCTGGAGACCCAAGAGAGCTGGTGGTGTAGCTCTAGTCTGAATCCAAAGGACTGAGAATTAGGAGAGCTAATGGTAAAGGTTGCAGCCTGAGACAGGAGAAGATTAATGTCCCAGGATGAGCAACCAGGCCAAGAGAGCAAATTCTCCCTTCCTCCATATTTTTGTTCTATTCAGGCCCTCAACAAACTGTATTATGCCCACCTACATTGGGGAGGGCAACCTGCTTTACTCTGTCCACCAATTCAAATGCTGATCTCATCCACAAACATACCCAGAAATAATGTTTTACCAGCTATCTGGGCATCCTGTGGCCCCATCAAGTTGACACAAAAAACCAATCATCACAGGAACCTACTAGTCCTCCTACCAGTTAAATCCTATTTATACAAATTTAATTTCCACTACCCTAACCATATCCTCCACTTAAGTGGGTCTCCTTGCTTTTTCTCTGGAACAAATACCTGCCCTTCTTCCTCTGGCCTTTGTCGCTGCTGCCTGCCTTACTCTGGAAGGTTGTTGTCTCTCCTCCGTCACTTACCTCTGTCCTATACTTCCAACTCTGCTCACATTTTCTGTCTCCCAACTGCCTCTAAAAACATCAACCTATGATGGTTCTATCTCACGGGATTATCTTTTGTACTTTCAGGAAGTGCCACATAGTACAGCATGTCCTCTAATTTCCTCTTAATTGTAAATTATTTCTGCTTAATTATAAATTATAAGAAGGCAACTAGCTCTTGTGCTTTCTTTGCATAATGACAAAAAGCCCAGTTTTTTAAAGGGAGAGAGAATATGAGTAAGTAATTCATGGAAGAAAAACAAATAAGCAATTGACAGAGAAAAGGTGCTTGACTTCACTTGTGCTCAAAGAAATACAAATCAGAACAAAATGGAATACCACCTTATACCCATCTAACTGGAAAAATACTTGAAAGCAGATAATAGTGCCAAGTGCTGGCAAGTGTGTACACTGGCTCTACTATTTTAGCAATCTTAGCAAAATTTTGGCAGCACACCTTAGAACTCAGCAGTACCATTTCAGAGTATATATGCCAGAAAATTCTTAAGCAGGTCCATAAGAGGAAATCCATGAGGATATATAGCATTGTTTATAGTACAAAGGAATTGGAGGCAACTCTAATATCTACCTCTAGGAGAATGGGAAAAAAAATATGGTGTGTGGGAGTATAGTTGTGTTTGTAAGATGAAGTTCTATCCAGCAGTTAGAAGTAATGAATTAGATTTACATAAAGCAAAAAGGATAGATATTTTTAAAATACTAGTATAGTTTGTTTAAAAGAAAAAAGAATGAAATCTTCAGTAATACCATGCATGTATATTTCTATAAAGCTTGTCTGATAAAGACCACCAGGAACAAACTATAGTATAATACAATAAAGCCAAGTTTATTAACATGATGCAACAAATTATTCACCAGAGAAAATCTGAGTGTCCCACCAAACACAGGAAAAGACAAGGTTACTATAGGATATTCGGGATGGGGAGAGGTTAAGTGGAGTTTAAATGAAGTGATATTTTGATGGGCTCAAATTAAAGCAAGACAGTGTTTAACATCAGGCTTCAGCTAAGAAGCAAATGTGGGGCCCTGTTTCCTTGAAAACTATTACATTAAGATAAACAGAGTGTTGTGTCCAAAACTCTCTTATTTGAAGTTGTGCACCTGGATGCTTTTCTGTGTCAAAATAACTCAGACCCTCCAGGCAAAAATGGAATGTTTCAGTCTTACTGATAAAATTTCAAACAGCACTGGGTGAGGTGGCTCATGCCTGTAATCCCAGCACCTTGGGAGGCTGAGGCGGGTGGGTCACCTAAGGTCAGGAGTTTGAGACTAGCCTTGCTAATATGATAAAACCCTGTCTCTACTGAAAATACAAAAATTAGTTGGGTGTGGTGGTGGGCGCCTGTAGTACCAGCTACTTGGGAGGCTGAGGCAGGAGAATTGCCTGAACCCAGGAGGTGGAGGTTGCAGTGATCCAACATCATGCCACTGCACTCCAGCCTGGACGATACAGCGAGACTCCGTCAAAAACAAAAAACAAAAAACAAACAACAAAAAAAACCCCAGCTATTTTAAAACAAGATTTTTTTCTTAATAATATGTGAGTAGACAGGAAGCAATTATCAAACATACACACATGCACACACACAAAGTTGAGGCAAAAGAAGTCCCCCATGCTAAGTGTATTAGTCTGTTTTCATGCTAATGACAAAGACATACCCGAAACTAGAAAGAAAAAGAGGTTTCATTGACTTACAATTCCACATGGCTGGGGAGGCCTCACAATCATGGAAGAAAGCAAGGAGGAGCAAGTCACATCTTACATGGATGGCAGCAGGCAAAGAGAGAGCTTGTGCAGAGAAACTCCCATTTTTTAAACCATCAGATCTCCTGAGACTTATTCACTATCATGAGAACAGCATGAAAAACCCACCCCTGGCCAGGCGCGGTGGCTCACACCTGTAATCCCAGCACTTTGGGAGGCCGAGGTGGGCAGATCACGAGGTCAGGAGATAGAGACCATGGTGAAACTCCGTCTCTACTAAAAATACAAAAAAAATTACCCGGGCTTGGTGGCGGGTGCCTGTAGTCCCAGCTACTCAGGAGGCTGAGGCAGGAGAATGGTGTGAACCCAGGAGGCGGAGCTTGCAGTGAGCGGAGATCGCGCCACTGCACTCCAGCCTGGGCGACAGAGCAAGACTCCATCTCAAAACAAACAAACAAAAAAACCCACCCCCATGATTCAATCACCTCCAACCAGGTTCTTCTCACGATATGTGGGAATTGTGGGAGTTACAATTCAAGATGAGATATGGGTGGGGACACAGCCAAACCATATCACTAAGGTTTAGACAGGCTGAAAATAATAATAGCTAGCACTTACACAGCATTTACTGTCTACCAGATACTGCTCTAAGTGTTGTACCTCTGTTAGCTCATTTAATCTTCGTAATAGCCCCATGATGTAATTATTGTTTTTATCATCCTCACCATTTCTCAGATGAGGAAAATGAGACATCTCTTTCCCTAGGCACTGTGAATGCAAAGATTTCCCATGTCCAGATATTGGAAAGAGCTCACCACATTCCACAGAGCATACTCATACACATGTGGGGCTTTTACGTAAAGGCCATGGAAAAGATGCAGCAAGAGAAAAAGAGCACAGGCAAGCAGTGGGAGCCTGACAATCATCCCATGAGCAAGCTCCCCAAGGTGGTTACACAAGGATCTGACCAGACTCTGTCTCAGGGATTGAACCACCAAGATCTGTGCAAGGAATCTAGGCTTTGGGAGAGCTCAAAGCTATAAAATCAACAGTGGGCTTCATATACCCCTCTCTCCACATATCAAAGGCATGCTGCCTAACCAATTAGATCACTAGAAAACCTTTAGTGAAGAAACTGACTCGGAGTCGCCAGAGTTTAGCACTTTAAACACCGCATTATTCTCACTGCCCTTATCTTGGCCAAGAGTTAAAATCCAGACATCCAGGGGTCCCCAGAGATAATAGGTGAGCTTTTCCCTACTTCTTTCTTTCCCTACTACTGCTAATCCACATATATCTCTTCTCTGGACTCCCTATAGTCCATGTTCATTAATCATTTGACTAATTAATTGATGATTTATAGATACAGCAGGTCCTCAAGTAATGTAGTTACATACAATGTCGTTTTGTTATAACATGAGTGAGAAAAAAATAGATTCCTCTCTACAGCCACTGTCTGCATGGATTTTGCACGTTCTTTTCATGACTGTGTGGGTTTCTCCAGTTTTCTCCTATGTCCCAAAGAAGTGCCTGTTAGGTGGGCTGCTGTGTCTAAATGGTCCCAGTCGGAGTGAGTGTGGGAGTGTGTTTGTGTGTGTGTGTGGGTGTGTGTGTTTGTGAATGTGGGTGTGTGTGGGTATGTGTGTGTGTGTGGGCATGTGTGATTGTGTGGGTGTGTGTGAGTGTGCATGTGTGTGAGTGTGTGGGTGTGTGTGAATGCACCCTGTGATGGATGGCATCCTTTCCAGGGTCAGTTCTTACCTGTGTCCTTCACTGCTGGGATATTCTTAGGTCACCTGAGACTCTGAACTGGAATAATTGAGTAAGTAATTATCTTGTTTTAATTAATCTTTCCTAAATGTGCGTACAGCTCACACTTATTTCAATGTTTAATATTATAGGTGTCTTGGTCATTATTTTGAAGTTTGGTGATGTTTTTATGACCAGAAATATGCCATGGGAACTTAACTCTTGTTTATACTAATCAGCCTATGGTAAAATTGGTTAATGTCAAGTGAAGACTTATTATATATGAAAGTTCTTCCCAGACCAGGTCTTTCCTCACTGCCCAGGTCTGACCTCGACAATTAATCACCAGAAATACAGTGCAGCATGGGCTGGTTAAAAGAGATGTATCATGATAAGATCTGCAGAGAAAGAAGGAAGAAGCCACTCAGCAGAGGTTCTATATTTTAAATCTTAAATAGTTAAAGAAGGAAAACAATATCTCTATAAGAAGTAATTTTTTCACCCTGTGGGCACAAGTGTTTATTTCAACAAGCAATTTCCTCTGATTCACTGAAGCCATTCCAAGTGTTATTTGCTCAAAATTGATTATAATATCACCTTCTATTTCACTTTTATCTGTGGCCTCCAAAACTCAGCACAACCTATAAGCTGTCCTCTGGTCTTAAAAATGCCCAGCTCTATTTTGCATTGTCAAACTACATTAATTTGCTTTTGCTAACTAAAATGTAGTAAGTTAAAATAATCATTTATTAGCTCCTGAATCATTTATTGGTTTCTATAGATTGCCAATTTGAGCTCGTTCTTCTGGTCTTAGCTGGGCTAATTCATGCTCTATAGTCAGCTGCCGGATTGACTGGGGGCTGGCTGGTGTAGAACAGTCTCAGGACAGTCTCAGATGGGACAGCTTTTTTCTAACCACATGGTCTGTCATCCTGAAAATGGGTACACTGGGTGTGGAGACTGCACAAGGTTCTGAGAGGAGACAAAGCAGAAGTGAGCCAGGCTCTTGAGGCATAGGCTCAGAATTCACACATCATTATGTCTACACATTCTATTAGCCAAAGTAAGTCACAAAACCAGCCTAGATTAAAGGGGTAGAGAAATGAAATCCACTTCTTAATGGGGGGACAGCAAAGTCACATTGCAAAAGGAGTGGATCCAGAGGCAGCGGAAGGATTCTGGCCATTTTTCAATCTATCAAACAGAATTGTCACATAAAACACAGGACACTCAGTTAATGAATCCTTTTTTTTTTTTTTTTTTTTTTTTTTGAGATGGAGTCTCACTGTTGCTCAAGGCTGGAGTGCGGTGGCACGATCTCAGCTCACTGCAACCTCCACCTCCCGGGTTCAAGCGATTCTCCTGTCTCAGCCCCCCGAGTAGCTGGGATTACAGGCGTGTGCCATCACGCCTGGCTACTTTTTGTATTTTTAGTAGAAACGGGGTTTCACCATGTTGGCCAGGCTGGTCTCAAAGTCCTGACCTCAGGTGATCTGCTCACCTCAGCCTCCCAAAGTGCTGAGATTACAGGCGTGAGCCACCATGACCAGCCTGAATAATTTTTTAGTATAGATATGCTCCATGCCATAATTGGGACTTGCCTATATGAAAAAATATTCATTTTTGTCCAAAATTCAAATTTAACTTGACATCTTGTATTTTTGTTTGCTAAATCTGCCAACCCCACACAAGGACCACGTCAAAAATAAGCAAAACCTTTCTTTAAACAAGAGAGAACTTGGAACTAGAAATGACTTTTAAATTGCACAATTTCATCCAGGTGCAGTGGCTCACGCCTGTAATCTCAGCACTTTGGGAATTTGAGACCAGCCTGCCCAACATGGTGAAACCCCGTCTCTACTAAAAAAACAAAGAAACAAAAAGATTGGCTGGGCGTGGTAACATGTACCTGTAATCCCAGCTACTTGGAAGGATGAGACACAAGAAAAAAGAATCACTTGAACCCGGGAGGCAGAGGTTGCAGTAAGCTGAGATCGTGCCACTGCACTCCAGCCTGGGTGACAGAGCGAGACTCTGTCTCAAAAAAAAAAATTAAAACGCCAGGTCCGGTGGCTCACACCTGTAATCCCAGCACTTTGGGAGGCTGAGGGGGGTGGATCACTTGAGGTCAGGAGTTCCAAACCAGGCTGACCAACATAGCGAAACCCCTGTCTCTACTAAAACACAAAAAATTAGCCAGGCATGATGGTGCATGCCTGTAGTCCCAGCTACTCGGGAGGCTGAGGCAGGAGAATCGCTTGAACTTGGGAGGCAGAGGTTGCAGTGAGCTGACATCGCGCCACTGTACTCCAGCCTGGCGACAGAGCAAGACTCCATCTCAAAAATAAATAAATAAATAAATAAATAAATAAATAAATAAATAAATAAAATTAGCTGGGTATGGTGGCGGGTGCCTATAATCCCAGCTACTTGGGAGGCTGAGGCAGGAGAATTACTTGAACCAGGAGGCAGAGGTTGCAGTGAGCCAAGATCATGCCACTGCAATCCAGCCTGGGCAACACAGTGAGACTCTGTCTATAAACAAAGAAGGACTTAAAAAAAGAAAAATAAAATGAATTGCACAACTTCACCAATTGTAGTATTAGAATGGGCCGAAAGCTCTAAGTATACTCAAAGGAAAGGAGTAACTTGGTCCCCTCTTAACATAATATATAATAAGCTTATCGAACCTGCAGCCTGCAGGTCGTATGCAGCCCAGACAACTTTGAATGCAGCCCAACACAAATTTGTAAGCTTTCTTAAAACATTATGAGTTTTTTTGTAAATTTTTTTTTTTGGCTTATCAGCTACCATTAGTGTTAGTTTATTTTATGTGTGGCCTAAGACAATTCTTCCAATGTCACCCAGGGAAGCCAAAAGATTGAACACCCTTGATATATAAAAATCTATTTTATTTCAGTTGTATTAGATGAAAAATTGCTACACAGAAAACCAATAAGAGAAGAATCTGTACTTTTAGTAATTTGGACCTGTTCTATATTTACAATAATGCCTTTACCCACCTACGGGAATTTTTTAAATCTTTAGAAGGTGTTAATTAATCATTATGCTGTTCTGGAATTTATTATAACTAATCAGACCAAAGATACTTGAAACTGATATTTTAAGTACCATACCCACACGCTGTAGTAAAATTTGATGTTTTTCTCTATGGGTTTTTATGACTGACTGTATTTTTCCTACTATAACTTTTGTGACTAGAAGTGACGGTGCAAAGGTCAAATAAATGTGCATCATTAAGCAATGCAACCTGACATTTCTAGATAATAACTCCCTCGGATGAGGAAAGGGAGTGATACCTGAAAGGTCACAGCCCCCTTACTGTCCGTTTGCACCTCTAGTCATCTCTGCCCAATGCACACAATGATTCTGCCACAAATTTATGAGAATCCTCTCTGCTGGGAATCCTAAGCAATACAGAATTCAGCATATAGTGTATGCTAAGGGTTATTAACTGGGCTCGTGATACAGCTTCTTGCATCCAGCTTTGAATAAATCAAGCTCTGTTGTTTACACCAGAATCTTAGACTTGCAAGGGAATTTAACGATTCCTACCCCAAGTCCCATTTTACAAAACATTCGTGTTTTGTAATAAGACCCTTTGTCCAGGGCTACGCCAGAGTAAAGCAGAGTTCAAGGTCAAAAGATAACACATGCTTTTCAAACATGAAGCCCATGGAAAGGCTTGATAAAAGTAGCATCCACCTAAAGCAGGCCTTTTTCAAATAAACAAGTACATTTGCCAAGATTTTATGGGGTCAAATGATGATCAAGTCTGCCATGTTAGGACCATATTTATATTCCAAATCTGAGAGGAAAAATTCAGATTTAGCATGTCCTTCAGAAAAGGACTAACCACAGATTTCATTAAAATAGAAATATGTGTGGTCGGGCATGGTGGCTTATGCCTGTAATCCCAGCACTTTAGAAGGCTAAGGCAGGCAGATCACTTGAGGCCAGGAGTTTGAGACCCTGTCTCTATAAAAAATAAAGAAATAAAATATGTGGAAGATCAATATTGTTTGAATTTCAATATCACATTTGTAAAAGTGAATAAAGAGATTTAGTTATGAAACAAAACGGTTCATTCATACATTCATCTCCCTATACTAACAATGTTTCTCAACCCACGCTTTCTTAATCCATGCCACTGACAATGCCAATTTCTTTGCTGAAAGGCTCTTCCGCTTTCTCTACATTATAAAGCCCCATAAAACCTTTAAATCCCAGATGAAATGTCAAACCATCCATGAAGCTCTCCAAGATCTTCCCACTGCCCTGACGACTCTCCACATTGAATAGAAAATCTTCCCATTCTAAGCTTCAATATTTTCTCATATAAACTAACTTCTATCTTTATATATTCTCTAGTATATACTTCATTCATTCATTCTTTCAGTGTTTATTTAGGGAATGCCTTCTAAATGCCAAGGTATCTTCTAGGCTCTGAGGAGAAAGCAGTGAACAAACAGGCAAAAATCCCAGATTTCTTGGAACTGACATTCTAGTGGGTGAGGGAGGACAAGAAAAAAAAACAAAACAACATCAACAACAAAAAAACAACTTCCCAGGCTCCAGCAATCCTCCTACCTCACAGCCTCCTGCGTAGCTGGAACCAAAAGTGTGCTCTACCACACCCAGCTAATTTTTGTATTGAGACAGCTGATTTGGTTTGGCTGTGTCCCCATCTTGAATTGTAGTTCCCATAATCCCCACATGTCATGGGAGGGACCCAGATGGGAGGTAATTGAATCATGGGGGTGGTTACCTCCATGCTGTTCTGGTGATAGTGAGTCAGTTCTCATGAGATCTGATGATTTAGTAAGGGGCTTTTCCCCAACTTTGCTCTGCACTTCTCCGTGCTGCCACCAGGTGAAGAAGGATGTGTTTGCTTCCTCTTCCGCCATGATTGTAAGTTTCCTGAAACCTCCCCAGCTATGCTGAACTGTGAGTCAATTACACCTCTTTCCTTTATAAATTACCCAGTCTTGGGTATGCCTTTACTAGCAGCATGAGAACGGAGTAATACAATGGGTTTTCACCATGTTGCCCAGGCTGGTCTCAAACTCCTGAGCTTAACCAATCCACCCAACTTAGCCTCCCAAAGTGCCATGATTACAGGCGTAGGCCACTGCACCTGGCCAAAATAAATATAAACAGAGAAGAAAAATAAAAAGTACTAGGGAAAGAGGTACACTTTTAAATAAGGTGATCAGAAAAGGCCTCACTGAGTGATGCTTAAATAAAGACCTGAAGGAGGTGAGGGAGCAAGGTTCCCAAGTGGCTAGGGGAGGCTGGGTTTTCAAGAAGGGGCAACGGCAAGTGCAAAAGCCCTGAGCCAGGAATATGCCAGGCATATTCAAGTAAGAGCAAGAAAGCCCATGTGGTTGGAGTGAATGACAATGCAGAGATTAGTAGAAAAGAAGTTTAGAAAAGGAAAGAGCAGGAGGGGCCAGACCATCGAGACACTGAGAAGTTGGTAGGATTTGTGATTGAAGGCATGGAGGGAGACTTGTTAGAGTTGTGGTACTAAAGGGAGTGAACTGCAAAAGTGGTTGTTATTGAAAAACTGAATACTTGAAAATGCGATCAGGGAGGGTTTTTTTTAAATCAATAACGATAAGGTCTAGCATATGACCTTCAGAATGTGGGCTGAGGTTGAATAGAGAGCAGTATTATTATAAGGAGGGATAGAGAGTGATCTAATCTAATGATGCAAGATTCAAAGCCAGAGGTTTTAAAGAGGAGGGAAAAGCTCTCTGAAAGCAGAAGGGAGGATCAAGGAGGGTACCTACGCAGCCTCCAAGCCCAGGGGTAGATCAGGAAGAGGAAATTACCATCACTTGAGAGGGCAGCAGAGGAAGCAATGTTCTTCAAGAGAGGCAGGTTTTAATTAGAATTAAAAGGTGAAGGGACTATTCAGAAAAAAACATTGATATCAGAAATTTCTGCTAATGAACGACCCAGTTCTTGAGGGCAGAGTGGAAGGGTATGGGGCACTGGAGAGAAGTGGGATATGGAGTCAGAATACAGGGGTTGGAAACTAATGGTCTGGGCTTCTTGTGAGGACTGGCATGAACAGTGATCACAGGATGGTAGTGGAGAGCAATGAATGATAGCAGGATGGGCAGGAGAAGCATCTTTCCAGAAGCAGCATTCAAGGGACCCTCTTTCCTCATCACCATGGATGCCTGAAGGCACAAGAAGGGCCAGTCTTACTCCAACACAGCAGAGTCCCTCACCTTGCTCACTCTTGTTCTGTTTAACATATATACTGTCTCCTTTTCCATATTAGATCATAAGCTTTGAAGTCAGCAAGAATTTTTTTACTCTGTTTGAATTCCCCTGTTGATTGCCAGTAATAGACTACCCAATAAATATTTGTTCAAAGAAAAATTGAATACTTCTTACTGAAAGGAAGGGATGGTTGAAAAAAGCAAATTATTTCCTACTCAGACTTTTCTCTGAGAACTCCTTAAAGCTCCCCATCCTTGAAATTCTTCTGATTCCAGTCCTAGAAGACCAGGTGCTGCTATAAAACTTGGTGCTTTGTGAGCACCAATAAATGCTTTGTAAGCATCTGCTGATGAAAGACCAGAGATAGCTCTCCTTTCCCAAGCAGTAAGAAGTCACAATTCTGCTTATAATAATACTTTCCATCATTTTGGAGGAAGGAATCAACAGCCAAGCCAAAGTGTAATTCTGTATGGACATTTCAAACTACTGTGGTTTTTCTGGAGAATCTGGCCAAATGTAGTGATGATCAGGAAGTGATGTTATTTGGTGACAAGTGACAAGGGTGATGGTCTTGCTACATGCAAGGGTTTGGCATTCCTGAAGACATATTATCACCAGGTCTGAACCAGCCTCTGCACCATTAAGGAACCAACAAGATACGGGTCTACCAGACAATTTGATAGTGAGGCAGGAAAAGCTCAGAATTTGGAAACAGACCTAGAATCAGACACTTAGAAAGTATGTGACCAAACAGCTGAGTGTCTGCCAGAAGGTGACCACTATCAGCTCTGCCATCTGGCCTTCACCAAGGCAAAGCCATTGCGACTAGACCCACATTTGGTCACAGGGTTCCATGTGGAACTCTGTGGGCTTCTGAACTCATCTGTCTGCCCTAAAAAGTATGGTCCTCTGGTTTTTCAAATGCACAAATATAATCACATCATTCATTTGCTTAAATCAATTTAGTGGCATCCCATTACCCTAAGCCTCAGTCTGAACTCCCTTACCTGCCCCAAAAGGCCCTCAGGATGTAAACACCACCAACCACTCCACCTCATTTCTTTTACCACTTTCCCTCTTATACTTTATATTTCAGCAAACTCAAACTTCTGTCCACTCCTAGAACATTCAACTCTATACTTGCTGTTGGCCTGACAGCTTCATAAGTGCTTTTAACCTTCTTCACCTAGCTAACTTTCAGGTCTTAGCTTACATGGCACATCCTCAGGGAAGTGCTCCTTGCCTCTCAGATGGGTTAGGTCTCTCTCTACTGTATGTTGTTTCACGCACAGATCTCACATCTCTATAATTACTTGCTCAATGTTTTCTCTCCCCCACTAGACCATTATTTCTACAAAGGCAGCAATCGTGGCTGTCTTGGTTACCACTGGCAAAGTCCTGCCCAATGCCCATGACAAAAGCAATTAAAACATTTTTTTTAAAATTAGGTGGTTACACTATCCTTCTTAACATGATTGATAATCTCAGGCCATTCTAGCTATAAGCTAAGAATCTTTCCTTTACTGTACCCAGAAGAGTATCTTGGACCCACTCAATATCTTTTAAACAAATAAATCCCATAAAATAATATCCCCCAAATTGTTTAATTCAGTAAAATATGAAGTCAAAGGCCACCTAAAACACTATATTTTATTTTTAACTTTTCTATTGTTTTGGTCACATGTAAAGAATAAAAATGAAAACACACTACTCTGTCACATCAAGAAATAACTTTATCCAAAAGGAATTCAAATGTAAGATATATTTAGCATCAATTCATATATTAGTAACTTACACATGTATTGTCAAGTATGACATCCATAAAAGCACAAAACAGTTTCTAACACGTTCCATCAAACTTCTGGCGTACTTTATGTGTCATTTCCATGACTACTAACCACATATATAGAGACTAGGGGATACTTAGTGAAGACAGCTTTCCAGGAAGTTTACAAAATTGAAGAAAAAAAAAGTATGTCCAAATATGGCATAAGTAGCAATGGGGCCCTGAATTTACTTTGGAAAGATTGCCTAAGGCACCACTATAATGAACAGTTGTAAATCTCTGATCAGACTTCAAATTTTTCTGGTCTTAAAATTGCAATTCTAACCACAAGGTTAGGTGACTAGATTAGCTGGTATATTATTTCCTCTGTGCCAGCATCTGTAAGAAATATTACATCTATCCTGGGCACCGTCACTCCGATATATATTTGTAATAGATCTGATTATATGAGGTGTGAAAGTCAATATGGGTAATTTTTCTTTAAATGCATTTTAAGAACAAACAGCACTTAAATGAATGGTGGCACAACAGGGAAAAGGACTATTTTAATGTAAAACAATATTAAATCAGCGTATGATGAGGTTGAGTGCTGAAACTGTGAAAACTGATAATTTAGAAATTGTAAATGCTTTTATTCAAAACTGTAAAAAGGCACCAATTACCCTAGTTTGCTGGAATCACAGTTCTTATGAATAATAGCATCTACTGATGAACATGATCATGAATTAAATGTTTTAAATTTTAAAACAATTTTAAAATAGAATAATTCTGATAAAATCAGAATATAAAATAATGAAGACCAAATCCAATTGACAGTGATTACCTGTTATTTGGCTGAAGAAAACCAGGAATGCTCATAACCAGCAGTTCCCAAGCACCTTGTGCAGGTGACTCAGGGGCTGCTGTGGAGCTGGTTAAGGAGAAGGAGGATATGCCCAGTGACTGGGACCCTGCCACAGCATCAAACAGATAAGCTCACTTCTGTCTGTTTTACTGTACATTGAGAATATGTGTAAGTCATTTTTTAAAAGGCTTCTTGTGATTAAAAGAGAAAATTCTGAAAACCACAGCAACATATCTATGCTGTTTCCAAGCATACAAAGAGAATTAGAACATCTGAGACAACTATGGCTCCAAACAATCAGAAGAAGGGTTAGTTTTCTTTTCTCCTATTGATAATGTCAAAATGATGTGTCATCTATTGAGCCATACTATGGAGTAGCAGGCTACTAGTTAGATGCCTTCCCCAGTTAACAGCACATATCCAAAGGACAGCTAGCCAAGTGGGAAGGTGGTAGGTAAATGCTCATCTGGGCTAGGCAACCACCACAGCAAGCAGGTCCCCTCTCAGCCTGGCCTTGGCAATGAGCTGCTTCTGAGAAGCCACAGCTATCTGTGGTTGAGAGCTCACTCCCTTGAGGCATTGCAGAGAACAAGAGACATGGGCTGTGGGGCAGCTTTTCAATAAAACTGAGAGGCACATCAACATGGCACTGTATGTGTCCACTTAAGGATATATGATAAACATGCAATTTCAAAAGGTAAATTATTAAAGATAATTGGCCAATATATAGATATGCATAGTTTTTAGCACATAGGCCCTCAATAAAATATTAGGATCTATTCTGAAAATGTAATGTTCACTAAGTAATACGCTGTAAAAGGTAAAAGTCAGGAAAAGAAATTCAACTCTTAAAAAAAAAAAGCACATAAAATCCACCCTATCTTAATGCAGCAGTTGGAAAAGTTTTCTTTTTTCTTTCCTTTTTCTAAGTTGCAGTAGGTTTTATACCTAATAAGGTATGCTGTAGACATAGGAAATATCACATTATTAAATTGTAAAATGCAATTTTGATTAACAGATAACTGGTATCGTGAGTTTAAAAATCAGATGAAAATGGTTCTTAAAAAAAGGAGAAAATGACTAAGTGGATCTGTACAAATCAATATATGGGACCTTAGCAAGGAAAGTATAAAATTTTTTTTTAGTAAGCAGTTTTTCATTAGTTAGAAGGAAACGGAATTCTGAATTTCACCTTATATGTTTGGTCCTCTTATCTTTCCTGGACAAAACAGTCCTAACCGTTTTAACAAATCTCAATTAAAGTAATCTAATAATGTAGAATTCAGGACAACCTACCATCTGTGCATCTACAATATCCTGAAAGTCTTGCTCAGTTAATGAAAAAAAAAGCCAAATCTGACCATGTTTACAGTTTTCCACAATAAAATAAAATATCTAGAAAGGCAAATAAAAATGGCTTACTTACATGAGGTTATTTTTACTTGTTGATTGTACATTTAAAAAACTGAGTATGTGCCTTTTCCTGCTCATTCAGTACTTTTCATAAAGTCCCAAGTTGAGTGCATGCTGTTTTGTAAACCACAGTGTCTAAACTGTAGCAAAAATCAGATGCATAGACAGGTTATTTTTACCTTGCAGAAAAGCACTGTATACAGAGTTACAGGAACAAATTTGATATCATATAATTTAAGAAGCTCTCATAATCAGGTATGGACATTGGCTTATACAACATACACTGTGAATCAGGCACAGCAACCTGCAAACCACATCATCCCAACAGTTTTCCATTCTTCCTATTGACAAACACTTAAACACAGCATTTTCATCATATGAAAGTAAACAAAAACAACAACAGAATAAGCTTTCCCCACACTAATTTCTAATCCAAAGAGCTTTACTGCAATTAATGTAAATTGCTATCAATCACTGAATTGACTGGGCAAAGATGGACTTGGCACTGTCCCCCCAAAATAACCTAGAAAGAATGCTTTAAACAGATATAATCCATAGAGAAAGAGATTTACATCATAAATGCTGGGGGTAAAAAGTACGTAGAATGACAGATACACGATTTGGGGTGAGAGATGGCATTGCTCCACATAACACAAAAGAATTCTGTTGAAGTGGTCACTGCTTCTGTTGTTTCGTGGCTGGGTTCTTGGGAGGAAGGAGTTTGTATGTATTGAAGTAGCCCACCACCTGCTGGGGAATCTCTGCCAAGACACACTGAGCAAGTGCTTCTTTTGGAGCCTTGTGAAAAACAAAATAAAAGTGACTTTATTAGCAACTGAATTTTCCTGGCTTTTTCATAAAAGACTAGGGATACTTCAGCAGCCACTAAAATGAAGCAATTCTAATTCATAGGCCTGTACCTTTTCTTAGGAACCGCCCATGAAATATGGAATGAGTTAACTAGCCAATGTTACTTATGATTGCTATTACTATCCCTGCTAACATTTGTCAAGTCCTTTTTCGGTGCCAGCATTCTAACATTTGATGATTTTGTTGTTGTTGTTTTATAACTTTTAAATGTGGTTCTTTCACTTACTTGGTATTAATTTTTTTTTACTTTTTTTTACAACATTTATAGATTCATAGGAAGTTGCAAAAACAGTAAAGAAAGGTACCATGCACCCTTCACCCAGATTCCTCCAAAGGTAACATCTTGCATAACTATAGTACAGTATCAAAACCAAAACCAGGCAGCTGACACTGATACAGTTCACAGAACTTACTCTGATTTCTAGTTTTACATTACTCATTTGTGTGTGTGTGTGTGTGTATGTGTGTGTGTTTGTTTCTGTATAATTCGATGCAATTTTGTCATCTGGATAGATCTGTTTAACCACCACCACAATTGAGATACAGAACTGCCTCAACACCACAAAGATCCCTACCTAACATTACTACTTTATAATCACAACACTCCACTTCCTCCCCTTCCATTGCTGGTGGGAATGTTAAATGATATAGCCACTTTAGAAGAGTTTAACAACTGCTTTAAGAATTAAACATGCAACTACCGTATAACCCAGCAACTGTAGTCCTAGGTATTTATCCCAGAGGAATAAAAACTTATGTTTGCTCAAAAATCCATGAATAGGCTGGGTGCGGTGGCACACGGCTGTAATCCCAGCACTTAGGGAGGCCGAGGCGAGTGGATCACTTGAGGCCAGGAGTTTGAGACCAGCCTGGCCAACGTGGTAAAACCCTGTCTCTACTAAAAAATAGAAAAAAATTGCCAGGCATAGTGGTGCACACCTGTAATCCCAGCTATTCGGGAGGCTGAGGCATGAGAATCACTTGAACCCAGGAGGCGGAAGTTGCAGTACTGTACTCCAGCCTGGGTGACAGAGCAAGACTCTGTCTCAAAACAAAAACAAAACAAACAAACAACAACAACAACAAAAACCCATGCGTAAATGTTTATAGTAGCCTTATGTATCAGAGAGAAAAACAGGCAACAGCCAGCTGTCCTTCTGTGGGGTAACGGTTACACAAATGGTGGTGCATCCATACCATGGAATATGACTCAGCAATAAAAAGAAGTACTTGCAAAAACTTGGTGATTCTCGAGAGTGATGCTGAGTGGAAAAAAAGCCAATCCCAAAAGGTTGTATATTGTACGATTCCATTTATATGATATTCTTGAAATGATAAGATTATAGAAATGAAGACTATATTAGTAAGTGGTTTCCAAGGTTAAGGAAGGGCTAGAAGTAGAAAGAAGGGGATGTGGTTATAAAAGGGCAACCAGGGGGATCCTTATGATGCATCTTGATTATACCACTGTAAGTATCCTGGTTGTGATTCTGTACTATAGCTCTGCAATATGTTACTACTGGAGTAAACTGGGTAAAATAGTCTTCTAAGAGATATTCATCAAACTAAACTTCCAGCTTGAGGGGGATTTGGCATACAGTTACATAAGAGTTTTTTCCTGTTGTTACAAAGGTAAAGATAAAATACTTGAGAGAGTCACAATACTATTTTAAAACAATTTATCATATAGCCTGCAAGAAGCACATAATGAACATCCTGAAGCAACACTGCTAAACCAAATCGGAGCTCTCAAATGGACAAAGGAAAGTGTTCACACATCCTCTAACCCTGCACACCTAATCAACTGCCTGGTTGTAGATGGGCAAAGGTCTGTGTTCAGTCACTTTAGTGTTTGAGTAGGGAGGAGTGGTACTCACATTCTGGAACTGTCTGAAAGGCACAAACTGGACAATATCTCTGATGGCCACTTCGCCCAATGGGGAGCGGAGACTTCCACCATCACCATCCAGAAACTCCATGGCGCTGAAGTCAGCACCTCCAACTCCAACAATTATGATGGACATAGGCAGCCTGGAGGCATTAACTATAGCTTGTCTGGTTTCATCAAGGTCTGTGATCACACCATCAGTAATAATCAAAAGCACAAAATATTGCTGCCAGAAAAAGAAAACATGTCCCCTGAGCAAGTCAAGCAATGGCTAATGGCATCTCTGGCTTGATGAGTCATCCAGTCTTTCTTGTTCATTTTCCTTGCCAGTCTCTACCCTAGCTACCACCACATAAAATATTCTAAGCTTCTCTGATGACAAGGAAATTGACTCTTACAAAAACTGCAGGTTCATTAAAAGCGCAGCAGACCACAAAATAGGGTTGGCAAAATATATGGAAGCAGGACATCTAAATGTCAAAGATTAACCTTTCAGTAAGGCTAGGAATAAACAGTTTTAACTCAAGTATTAAATATGTCAAAGTATCTATCAAGGAGGCAAGTGGAAACTTCATTCTCAGAAGATCAAATAAATACAAAAATTATTAGAATTAGAATATTAGAATACAAAAATTTTAGAAGCTAAAATACACACAAAAAAATAGATATGGTTTAAGTGATGAAATCATCCCCCAGATTGTGTCACCTAAGATAAACCTTTTCAGAGAGCAGTAAAATGTTACATCAAGTAGTGACTCCATCTTTTGGGCCATTTAAGTCTAGAATAGGAATAAGATTTACAATATTAGTTAACATATGTTGAGTGTTTACTCTGACCCAGGCATTGTGTACTTTATATGAATTATCTAACCTTTTCAACAACAGTATGAGGTAGTTTCCCCTAACTTACTTCTGAATATGCTGAGGCTAAGAGAAATTTGGTATCCACGGTCCAATAGGTAATGGTTACCTCATTCAAATATCTTTAGTACAATAAGAAATCTTGCAACAGCATCTGATGTGGTAACTTTCCTTAAGCTTAATTTGTTATGTCTACTTCAAAAAGGTAGATGATAGGCATTTTTTTTTTTTTGGTAGAACCTATCTAAGAAAGTTAATTCCAAGGATAAAAGACTCATGAATGCCAAGTGTTGTTTTGCTGTTGTCTTATTTTTAACGATCACTAGTATAACAACAACAAAAGTTACTCCCAAACCAAGAATGACTGTGTTATTGTATCTTGCCCTGACTTTGTATTATGACAAACCAAAAACATAGAAAAATGGCACCAGGAGCTGCTACCAATCCACATTCTTCCCATTCCCTGGCCATAGAGCACTTACAGAAGCTGTCTGCTGTTGCGTGGCTGCAGCAGCAAACCTGGCCACGTGATTTATGATTGGAGAAAAATTAGTTGGTCCATAGAGTTTTATCTGAGGAAGACAAGACCGATACGCCTCTACAATGCCTTGGATTCCTAGAACAAACAAACAAATAAAAAACAGTACTAAAAATTCTCAAGCACAATGTGTTTATTCACAATACTGGCTAATTTGATTATATGTATCAACATATAGTGCTTTAAATAGTCAAAAGTTCTATAAGCAGTAGTTCCTCTAAGCTATGTATTACATAACTCCATAGGTATGATCCATTGCAAAAACCTATAAGCTCTGTCCTCCCCCAATAGAAGGGATTTACTTTCATCTCAGTCAAATTACTTATTAGTCTACGGTAGGACTGTTACATCTGTGCTTAATTTTTAATACATGTTGGGAATGTGGCTCTGATAGAAAACCATGAAAAAGGTTTCACATCATACAACTGATGATGAAAGGTAAGAAAGAGTTATTAATAAAATGAAAAATCATTTGCATATATGGCCAGAGGTTCTACAAAAATACCAGATGGCGATAAACCTAATATTAATTCTAGTTAATTAACTGATACAAGTGTTTATTCAATAAGTTAAAGGTTAATCATTGTATCACAGACTGCATTAGTTCCAAATATTCACTTCCAGGTTACTTATCCATTTTGCTGCAGAAGCACTGATGTGTTTGTTTAGGGGTACTACCCCTAGACCTGCTGGTGCATTTTATAATAGAAAGTTGGACAGGACCATTTGATTAGCTTTGACCAATGCATGTGACACCCATACCTAAGGAGATGTCTTAAGAACTACTGCCTGTTTTTTCCAGCTCTCTTGCTCCTTTCCTCTGCCGTAGGAGCAGCACATCCCAGATAAGGCTGTTCCTTCAGCCTGAGTCCCAATATAAGAAACATGGAGAGAACTCCAGCCTAGCTGCATGTAAAATGAGCAAGAAATAAACTGTTGTCATTAAAGCCACTGAGATTTAGAGATTGTTTATTACAACAGCACAACCCAGTGAAAGCTGACTGACATTGCTGGTCAAAGCACTGCTGATGAAACTTGTATCCCACACAAGCACCTGTTGAATCTGCCCTTAATATCACAGCATTTAGGATGCAGACAGGATAACAGAAATTCTAAAGAATTTCCAACAATACTTGCTGAGATCATCACAGATACTTGCCACAAAAAAAAAAAAAAAAACTTAATGTAAATCAAAACAGGTCTCTTGCTTTTAAAATGTCTAAGAGAACACAGATCAACAAAAAGGAGAAGCATATACAGTCATGTGTCACTTACCAATGGGGATAAATTCTGAGAAATGCATCGTTAGGTGATTTCATCATCGTATGAACATCATAGAGTATACTTACACAAACCTAGATGGTATAGCCTATTACTCCTAGGTTAAAAACCTGTACTGCATATTGCTATGCTGAATAATGTAGGCAATTATAGCAACTGTACCTTTTCTATGTCTTTACAGTAAAAATAAAATATTAAAATCTTATGGGCCTACTGTCATACATGTGGTCTGTCCTTGACTAAAATGTCATTTTTAGTGCATGACCATACTTGGCTTGAAAGCTTCAGGAAACCAACTCTCTTCTCTTAAAATGTAAGAGTTCCAATAAACTCCTCTTAGTTTCTTTGAATTTAGGAACAGGTAGTCTTATGAACAACCTTTGAGAACATAACTAATTCATAGGCAGGGGTGATTTTACATGCAGAAGGTCCATGTTACTAGTAGTCAGTCCAGTAGTAACAAAGGTATAAATAATTCATTTAGGGCTGGGCACGGTGGCTCATGCCTATAATCTCAGCACTTCGGGAGGCAGAGGCAGGTAGATCACAAGAGGTCAGCAGTTCTAGACCAGCCTGGCCAACATGGTGAAACCCTGTCTTTACTAAAAATACAAAAATTAGCCGAGCGTGGTGGCAGGCGCCTGTAATCCCAGCTACTCGGTTGTGGGCGGGGGGGGGGGGGGGGCGGGCTGTGGCAGGAGAATTGCTTGAACCCGGGAGGAGGAGGTTGCAGTGAGCCAAGATCGTGCCATTGCACTCCAGCCTGGGGGAAAAGAGCAAGACTTCGTCTCGAAAAAAAAAAAAAAAAAATTAATAATAATAATAATTTCTTCACAAATATCAAGAGCTTTCAATTCCTTAATTAAAACTGAATTATGCCAAAACCCTTTCTATGCATCAAAGTAACAAGTTATTTCTAAGGCATATTATTTCTAAGGCAACTAGATTCAATGATTAGTTAGGAAAAGGGGATTAAACTTCCTTGCCTTAAAATAAGGCTCTGAGCTTTTTGCTGTATAGTATCTCCTTTGTTTAAAACCAAACTGATGCTTTTTCCAGAGTGTAAACCACTTGGTGAACAGCCCAAGGATGGGCTTACATTACTCACAGAGTGACTGAACTTCTAAAATGAATTATCATATGATATGTCATCCATATTCATTTACAATAAATGAAAGCTAATTACAACAAATTCTAAAGATTATCCACTTTCATTATAAAAATGAAGCATATTTCTTAAAAAGAATAACATTCCCAGTTTCAAATGGCTAGGGAATAAAAGAGGTCACAACCAGTCACTGAAAGTGCCTCAAAGAACACTGAATTAGTATGGAAAAAGTGTTCTGGGGAAAAGAACAAAACCATATTGCAAACGGCCGCCACAAAAATTGTTCATGCTCTTCCACCTTATGAATATTGTTTAGGAAGAAAAGGAAAAAACATTTTCTTCTGTTAGAAAGCTATACATTTGTAATTGTCAAAAGGACCCTTTGCAGAAAATTAGAGTATTGTCTAGAATTTTAAATTATGCCTCTGCTCCCACACCTACCTTGCCTTCTCCAAACTCTTTAGTCTGATATATAATTTAGTGGAAGAGCTGGCATTTCTGGCTGATTGCTCAATGTGGTAAAAAAAAGAAGCAGCACTTGGATACTTGAGGTATAAGGAAAAAAGTAAAACGTGGCTGGGCATGGTGGCTCACGCCTCTAATCCCAGTACTTTGGGAGGCCAAGGCAGAAGGCAGGAAGATAGCTTGAGGTCAAGAGTTCAAGACCAGCCTGGCCAACATAGCGAGACCTTGTCTCTATTTTTTTAAATAAATAAAAGAAAAAAGTGAAATGAAAGACAAATATTTGCCTCCTGCTCTCTACACAGAGGAAAGCTGCTATAGAAGATCAATTCTTTGTTCCTTTTGCCCATCCCAGCTACTTATAGAATACTGTGTGAGCAACAAGTATTAGATGCTGGATACTTTTCTCTTCGTAGAGAGTGACTACCACTCTGAAAAAAGCTTCAAAAGATCTGTATATCAAATTACTCATTTTATTGAAGGTTTGTTTTTAAATAAATTTATATGTAAAAATACTTTTAATATATGATATTTTTACTGATCTACTCCAAAGATTGAGAATGTTTTTGTCCTATTAAAGTTCTTAAGGTAGGAGGATTTAGCTTACCACCTTCATCATCATAATACTGATTTGCCCCGTAATTACCATTACCACCCTAACCACCAACCTGGTGCAATTCTTCTACCTTATACAACAGAAAGTTAAATATGTAAGAAAATGAAACCTAGAGATGAAATTTGAGTAGTTTTAATCACAAGAAAAAAAACAAAGAACAAAGAACAAAATAACAAAGACTAGTGAGCCTTTCCATTTGAAGTCTTCATGTTTATTTTTTAACTTACCATTGCAGTAGGGATTGGATGGGTTGAAGTTCATTGGAAATTCATGTGATACCTGTCAAAGATGGACAAAGGACTGATGAGGGCTGGGCTGCTTTTCTAGGAGGCAAAGCTTTAAAATAGAGATTTCCTCTTACCTGCCACTGAGGAGGTATCTGAGCGCCAAAACCAAAAGCTGGAAACATCTTATCACTAAAAAGAAAAAAATATTTAATAAAATACTGTTTTTTCCAAAATAAAAAGCTTTATCTTTGCCCACAATAAAATCCATATGAGCTCATTTCAAAAAGTATGAAGATAAAACAAAGATTACCTATATTAACTGCCAAAGAGAATCAATGTTAATATTTGACAACTCTCATCCTAAATATTTTTCTGTGCACTGAGGAAGAAAAATGTTTCTTTCTATAGATTTTGTAGAAATGGAGTTTACATGCATGTTTTATAACCTACTCTGTTCTACTTAAATCTTGTGTATCATTTCAGTGATCAAATGAGTAAATAAATACATGAAGCCCTGAAAATCACAATTCTTTTTTTACTAATTGATGGCAAACTCATTTGGTAGCAAAACCTGACCTCAGATGATCAGAGGTTATTGGTAGCTTTTATTTATGCCACTTAATACAAACATTCATACATTAGGGAGAGGGACAGTGGACCGAATATATAACATCACATGAATAGCCACTGAGTATCCCACAAAATGGATATCCTCCCCCAGATGTCTGATAGCCAATGTTCCGCCATTATAAAACACCATAATGAACATAATTTTTCTACGAGGAATATTCCTTTCATATTTATTCTTAACAGTTAGTTTTGCACTGAAGATAGAGCCTATGCCATGTCAGAAATATTTCCCCCAGGCTGAGGTGGGAGGATTGCTTGGGTCCAGGAAGTGGAGGCTGCAGTGAACTGTGACTGCACCACTGTACTCCAGCCTGGGTGACAGAGCGAGACCCTTTCTCAAAAGAAAGAAAGACACATTTTTCCCCAGTTTGTAGTCTGTCTTCAACTTTGTTTAAAGCATCTTTCTTTTCATAGTTTTTAATATTAATGAATATGAACACAAAAAAGCTGCATGATTTTTGCCTTTGCTCTCTTGCTTAAAGGTTTTCCTCACTACAAGATTATAAACAATTCACATACACTTTCTTCTAAAACTTTAAAGTTTGCTTTTGACATTAAACTTCTAACTCATCTGGAAAGTGTTTTGAAGTAGGATATGAAGCAGGAATTGCTGCTCTCCGGCAATATCCATTCTCTCCTTTAATAATAGAACACCTGAGCTAGAGACTGCTCTTCCTAGCTTCTCTGGCCTGGATGTGATCAGATGGCTGGGATCTAGAGATGGAGATGTGAGTAGAAGTGATTTGCCAGCCACTTCTGAATCATGCCCCTAAAAGGGAATGCACATTCACTCCCTGGTCCCTTTCTTCTCTTCCCCCTGGCTGGAGAAGATGAGAACCAGAGCTATGGAACCCCGGAGGGAAGCTGTGAATTGAGAACAGCAGAACTCCCCTATCAGTTCTTAACTATTATATTTACCCCTAGCAATGTGAAGTGAAATAAACCTCTATTTTGTCAAAGCCACTTTGTTTTTGGGTGTCTATTTCAGCAGTCTGGTCTGTACTCTAATTTATACAGAATAATATCCTAAAACATGCAAGTATGAGTCAGGGATCCAAATTCAATTCTTGTCCAGTTTGACAGCTTTTACAACCCCCTCCCCTAAATTCACTTATATGCATGGGTCTATTTCTGGACTGTTTGCTTGGTTCCACTGGTCATGTCCTAATTCCATACTCTTAAGATAATTGCAATAATACTTTTAATATCTGCTAGTGAGAAATTATTAATTTTTTAATCCTATGTTATATTTGACCACCTTTCTAAGCTCTCACTACTGTCTAATAAAGTAACTTTCTATATATGTTAAATATATTTAATGATTTTTACCTTAAAACTTACTAGCCTGAAATTGGAATTGCCACCTTACTTTAGATTTCTTTGCATTTGCCTAAAAATTTCACCTCTTTAAATGCTACAGATTAATGAAAAGCCCCATCAATATGTAAATAAAATAATAATAGACAAAAGCAAGTGAAATTTTATTCTGTACTCTTAACGCTACATCAGGAAAAACACTACTAATGCAGATGTTTTCCCTATTGTTTAGTAAACCCTCAATAGGACCTATTTAAATCTTTTCAAAACCTAACCATTGATAACCATTCAGAATATTTCATAGCAATTAGATCTAGTTATCCTTCAGCACTTGTTAAAAGTCACCGTTAAAAAAATAATTTGGCAACTGCCAAGGACATAGATATGCTAAGAAATAGTTTTTATTTCTTAACATAAATAGTATTTAGTATTTATAAATAGTATTTAGTATTTAACATAAATAATATTTAGTATTTATAAACAGTATTTATAAAACATGTCATCTGGGCTTCAATCACTCATACAACTTATGCCTAATGAATAAGCCCCAAGGAAACCAGACTAAAGAAACAAGAGCCTTGCTGACATTCAGTCAGGAAGTAAGTAGCAAACTATATGTAATATAAAGCAAAGTACATGCCATATATGATAACTAATCACAGAAAGATATTAGAGATCTAAGGTAAACAGCAAGATTGCCACAAGGAGAAAAATAGAAGATAAGACGGGGGGATTTTAGGGAGAAAGCATCATCAACCTACCACCTATATCAGAGTGCTAGCCGATGAAACAAACTACCCTTTCTGGGGAATTGTGAAAACATGTATTTTAGTTTTTCCAAAGTCATACTCACGCATCATAATCTTGAATGACCAGTCCCACAGACCAGAGAGCAGTCAAATACTCATTAACGCCATTGGGGCTGATGTAATGAAGGGAGTCTGGAGACCTTGGGTCACCATTGGAGCCAGTGAAGTCCACTCCCACCTGCCAAATAACAATTGCAGCCCTTAGTAAGGAGAAGGCAGGGACACCTGTGCTTGATGTCCAGGAAAACTTCAAGAGATGGGATACAATCATGCATCCTGGCGCCTACTTCCTAACAAATGCCTACCACTATTTCCATAGACAATTAAACAAGTAAAGCCTAAATGTGAAACAACCTGATGCTTCTACTTTTCTAGATGGCTTAAATAATGAATTATTGTATCCATTACTTAAGCTTAAGGGTTGTCTTTTATAAGGTTGTCTCACTAATGCTTTCTAGTCCTTAAATTAGTTCAGGATAACCACTAGTTTGTAGGTTTGTATACATCTGCTTTCTCTCAGGAGGAAGAGATCTCATCAACAAAACTGAGAGCTTCATGATGAGCCCAGACAACCTGCCTGAGGACTCTAAGAGGACTATGCTAAACAGATTGTGAAAATTTCATTACAAAGTCAGTTTTGCAGTGAAAGAAAATATACTGCAACATGGAGGAAAAAGCCTATGCTGAAAAATTCAGTGTGTTACTTACAGTAAAATTCAGCTGACATCCTCCCATTATATAGTCAAGGAATGTGCATTCTACTGTAATCTAAAAATAAGAGAAAACTTAAAATTACAACTCTCCTACTATACAAGAGAAGCAAAAAACTCTTTGGCATATATTTTTAAAAGTCTGTAAATTGAACAGGACATGATATAAACATGGAAATTACCCCTGCATTCAGGTTTAAGATACCCCTTCCCCTATGTGCCATGAATCTGTAAAATTCTGCTTCAAGATAATTGTAGCAATGTTAAGATTAGAATACTAATGGCGAAAGATGAAATACACTCATTTTAAGTTTTAAGATATTAGTAATGAATCCAATATGTTGAGGGCTTTAAAAAGCATAGCAGTCAACATTTTAAAAAACAAAAACTCCATTCCACTTGTTCACCCTAAAAAATCTTGGCTTTTCCCCTTTACTCATAACATTTTATATTGAAAGTATGAAGAGGATAAATGCATTGGGTAAGGTCATTTCCACTAAAGAGCTGAGAAAATACTATGATGCTTTATATTTCCTAAGATAACGAAAAACTTATCCTTGTCCTTTGCAAATAAGTTGTCAAACCTTGGAAACAGGTTACTTGATTTTTTTGTTCTTCCCTACTTGATTCTTTTTGCTAAAGGTGACCAGATGCTCATGTGATTTTCAACTGCCTGAAATTCAAGTATTTGTTTAATATAAACATACTAACAGGAGAACTTGAAATATAATCTCATTATATTATAAGTAGCCAAGGCTTGGGTCGGATGCGGTGGCTCACACCTGTAATCCCAGCACTTTGGGAGGCCAAGGTGGGTGGATCACAAGGTCAGGAGTTCAAGACCAGCCTGGCCAACATGGTGAAACCCTGTCTCCACTAAAAATACAAAAATTAGCCAGGTGTAGTGGTGGGTGCCTGTAATCCCAGCTACCTGGGAGGCTGAGGCAGAGAATTGCTTGAACCCAGGAGGCAGAGGTTGCAGTGAGCCGAGATCACACCACTGCGCTCCAGCCTGGGCAACAGAGCGAGGCTCCAGCTCAAAAAGAATAAATAAATAAATAAAAATAAGTAGCCAAGGCCAACGGACCTCACACTGTTTCACACTGATAACACCTGAATTCTTGTAGCTTTTTTTCTTTTGCCTTTTTTTCTCATTTATGCATTCAAATTCAACCTGTAGGAAGAGAAGACAAAAATGTTACTTTTTATTAGCAATATTAGAAATGCCAATGTGACTTTAAATGAATGACTTTTTTTCCTTTAGAATCAAACTACCTACTGATGTAGGTCTGTTGCAAAATATAACTCTGAAACAATTACATAATATGTTAAGTATGTGGAATATTTATCAGGTAAATTTCCAACAATTAAGGCACTCCTAAAATTGCATACCTTTCAAAATATTTCTCCCAAATAAATTTTACCTCTGCAGGTAATTTCCTTGCAAATGTTCCAAGGCATAATCTTTTTTCTCTTTGCTGCATATTTTACCATAGAGTTGGGCCCTATGATATAACATGGTATAATAAAGGAAATAAAATATTACTCCTAGCTGTTACCAACATAAAGAACGAAAATATGCTGCAAAGAAAAGAAAAAAAAATAACATCATAAAACAAATATATGAAGCCCAACTCTATGGTAAAATATGCATCAAAGATCTTCTCTTTCCACTGGGAATACATGTTAAAAATTGATCTAACACCTCCTCTTGTTTATATTTCCTTCCCCCAAAAGAATGATCTTCCTTCCCCTTCCTATCCCCCTATCCATCTTTAGGGCTTGGCTCAAGTTGTTCTCCTCTGTAACTTCCACTGCTACTCTAGTCTTCTCTGATCTCTATCTACCTCTTTAAATTTCTACAACTATATGAAATTTAGTTACATACTCTGTGTTATTTTCAAGTGTCTCATTTAATTTTTTCTTCACAGTGACATTATAATCACCTCCAACTTATACCTTCAAATTCTCACTGTCTTGCCTAATAATAATATAAGAGATATTCAATAAATGCTTGATAAGTCACCTCTTCTGGTTAACACAAAGCCACTTATGTACTTCAGACAGTCATTACTAGTTTTCCAAGAATCAAACACTAAAAAATACACGTGGTATAATACAATGATGTGAAACAAAATTATGTTAAACAAATTCTTTGATGGTTCAGGATCTTGCTGGAGTCTCAGTCACAATCATAAGTATTAATTGTTGAGTATTAGAAATTAAAGAAAGGAAAAACAATAAAAAATTATTATATATTAGAGCTAAAGAAATTCCACAAACCGAATTCTCATTGAAAAAGGGCTAGATTACTTCACTTATTCATTTATACCTTCAGGCTCCATAAGTGCTCTTTGGTCCTGCTGAAGCCTGTGCTTAATGACTCTCAGGTCTGCCCCCAGCTTTCAGTATTTCATAGTCTTGAGAGGGGCAGGGTCATTCTTCTACAGCACTAGATAAGCACACTGGGGCCAACTGCCCTGCATTGGTTGCTGGATGGAACTGCTGGCCACGGAAACCAATGCCTACTTTTAAAGCTGATATTGCTCTGCCTCTTCTCTCTGTAAGTAAAGTGTGGTTCCCTCTAGTGCTTGCCTGCATTGTGTTTGCCTTGACTTCAATACGATGATACAATAGGCAAAAGGATTGGACTTCTATTCCTAATGACTGACACTGTGATCATCTTTGCTGTCCTCCATGTAGTTGGAGTCCTCATCTGGCATTAGTAACTGTTACGTGGTGTTCTGCTCAATAAAATTCATGCCCCAAGTATGAATTGTGGATTATGTGATTACTAAACATTTCGGAGCATTATGCAATATAGACTAAAAGCATAGTAAACCGTTTGATGCTATGGGAAAAAAATGAAATACAGTAATAAATACATAGCCAAACTATAAAGTATATGCAAATGCAAGGATGTAACTTACAGGTGAGCTTCTGGAGGCTTCTTTCAGTTTTGTCATGGTGGTCTGAAATGTTCCAATGAGATCATGTGACCCATCATTGTCATAATCATAACACTCCACCTGAAATTAAATATAATAAAAATATATAAAAATCAATATAGTTTTATTAAAAAGTATTGGCTGCAATAAATATAACCTATCATGAAGTGCCCTTTTAATTAAAGTAAATGAAAATGTGTACTATGCAGTCCCTACTTGGGACAGTAGGAATTAACATCCTAGAGAAGCAATATTGAAACACTTTCAAACCCCAGCTATCCTTGGGATGGGGATCTAAGATAGATCACAGGCAGATGAAAAACACAAATACTGTTTCAATTCCACATTAAGCAGTTTCCAGCTCCTCTATCATGCCTTCTATAAGTGCTGATAAAGGGCAAAATGGAGTTATATCTTCTTTCTCATCCACTTCTTTGCCTTATTACTATGCAATGGCTAAAAGCCATTATATGGAGAAAGAAAGGAAGTCAACATTCTAGAAAGCTAAAATTTATATAATTAAATCCTAGATACTTTAGAATTATGAAAAATATATTTCATTAGCTGCAATCTGGTGAGGTTGGCTTGTATTATAAGTTAGATATGATGAAGCCAGATTTGCATCATTGTGAAGATCACAACTCTTACAATGAAAGGAACAATTCCAGGCTAAGAGTACTTAGTCCACTGAGGAAGTATCCACACCGGGTCATATTTACTCTATTTCCATGTGAGACAGGGTGAGTTCTAGTCTTAGATCTGGCTCTGATTAAATGCTTTCTCTCTCTGAAAGGAGAGAGAAGAGAGGTGAGAGTATTTGAGATGCATGTAATTTCGTGACAGGTTGACAGACAGTCAAAGAGTAAATATTCACCAGAATACTAGAATATTCTTTGCAATGGGAAAAATTAGGTGGCATGAACTATTGCCAAGCAGAAGTGTTCAAGGGAAGCTGAAAATTGACTGTGATTGTGAACATTTAACACCAATGTTTTTATAGTATTTTATCTCAAAACAGATTATTTCACTTCTGCAAACATTTATTATGTACACTGTGCACATTCTCTAAATAGTCTTGTGAGGTAGACAGAGTTGGAATCCTGTTACTATGATGCCCATTTTGCAGAACTAAGACTTACAGGAATTAAATAAAAAGTCTTAGAAGACGGTATGCCTTGTGTGGTAACCAACACAGGTAAAGTAACGCTGTGCTAAGGACACTTTGAAATCCTAGAGCCTGTAATCTAAAATAAAAACTTGTAACTAAGAAGCAATTTGCATTTACCATCAGCCAATAGAGAGCTTTATCTTGCTAATATCCTTCTCAAACTTAGATTAACTGCCAAGCTAAAATACTCAGGATTTTTTATGTTTACTTGGCAAAGTGACTATTTTTCCCCTCAGTTCTATGAAATGAATGCTTATCATAACTGGAAGTCTTTCATTCCCTACTTATGTTTTCATTATTCTTCAGGAAGACTACAAATCAATCAATCAAAACAGTCAAGACCGAGAATTTCAATTTTGAGTAACAGAAAGGGATTTTATTTTTTTAAGAAAATGCTTTGCAGGCATTTTGGCCACTGACCAAGTCTGACAGTTTGACTCTTGCCCTACTCAGTATCCAATTTTTAAACCAAAAACCTTTTATATGACTCTTTAATGTGCCAAGGGAAAAGAAATTTAATAATTTCCATAATTTTTAGAGGAAGTAATATTTAGATAAGGTAGAAAACAAACTATCTTAATATTTTAATAAGTTCATGGTTTTTAAACAGACATTTTTCAATTATGGAAAACAGAACTTTACATTTTAGATTTGCAATCAGGGAACACCAATTTATATCTAAGACAAGATTAAGCTTTGACAAGGCCAAGATTTTATTTGAGTAAAGATTATGAAGGGCTAAAACGGTTCATATCTTTAGACTATTCATACGTTAAAATTTCAGGAAATGTAAATAATATTTTTAAACTAAAAATTTTGATTACTCACTATAATAAATATATAGAAAAAGCTCCCTCTTGTCCCCTTGAAGGCAGACATGATATTTATAATGCTGGCATATGTTCAGATACGGTATGAGGTAAGACAATTCGTGTCATTTAATTTCTCTCTTTTCAAGAATTCAAAGACCAGTATTATTGGCTTTTTAAACAATGGTAAGCATAACAATATATGCATATATACATATGCATATGTATATGCAAGTATATAATATATACATGTATTCATATACATTTAATGGATATATAATATACATATACACATGCATATATAGTATACATAATAAACATATGTGTAATAAATAAATAAATGTATACATATATACACATGGGCATATGTATATATGAAAGAGAATGCACACACCACACAGATACTACATTCAGTAAGGCACTCCCATTTTAGGCAAAGTGGCAGCATGCATGATTATTTTTCGTATTCACTTGATCTTAATGAAAATAATACATGCTAGAATGATAACACAACATGGCAAAGAAACTACTGAGGATTCTGACTCTATTCACTGCTCTATAACTCTTTACTATCCCTATAAGCAATTTTCGAACAGTAAGAGAATCACAAATGTATGACTTTTTGATATTGCAAAGAAATGCAGAACTAAATGAAATAAAGTCAGTGATGACGTAGCAAACCAAGTTGTGTATAGTTAAAAACAAACCAAGAAAGTTTTAAGAATGGAAGACATTCATTAGAGAAAGCTCAGAAAATCAGTTTACTTACTATAATAAAATAGCCCTGTAAGCATGCCACTGTGAGCAAAAAAGTTTAAAAGATATTGTTTTGTTGTTAACATATCATTACACACAATCAAATAGTTATGGCTTAGACATTTTCCCCTAGATTTACCTGCCTTCTGACATCTAATGATGTTTACTATTTTTAATATGAAAAGCAAAAGTCTGGATTTGGCAAAATGATAAAAAATAATTTTTATAGCTAATTTTCAACTATTTATTTCGGACCTGGATTTTCACTACTGTTTCAAATACCTTACAAATCATACTTAGATTGATTTTTAAAGTTCTTTACAAACTGGAAGCAATTTTTTATGGATCTCAGTAATGAAGCAGTTTTTTTTTTTTTTTTTTTAAGACACGGTCTCACTCCATCACCCAGGCTGGAGTGCAGTGTGAAGCAATATTGGCTTACTGAGACCTCCTCCTCCCAGGATCAAAGGATCCTCCCACCTAAGCCTCCCAAGTAGCTGGGAACACAGGTATGCGCCACCACACCCAGCTCATTTTTGTATTTTCTGTAGAGACAGTATTTTGCCATGTTGCCCAGGCTGGTCTCAAACTCCTGAGCTCAGGCAATTTGCCCGCCTCGGCCTCCCAAAGTGCTGGGATTATAGGCCTGAGCCACCATGCCCGGCAAAAATGAAGCAGTTTTTCAGTAACAATGGCACCTCTACAAAATTTTTACAAAACTTTCACTTCTGCTAATTTAATTTTTGCTTTTCTGGAAGGTAGAAATTCTTAACTCTATTATAAAAGTGAAGAATCCAGGTGAAGCTTCCTACTAATAAGCAAAATAAATAAATAAGTAAATGTGAAGAAGTGTGGTTACCTGCCCAAGATCCCTTAGCCAGTTAAAGGACTAAGTCAAAACTTGAACTGTGGTCTGACTCCAAATCTTATACTTACTCCTCATTATCCTGCCTGCTTTTACCATATTTATTATCAGAAAAAGAGAAAAACAAACCAAAAAATCCCTTTGATCGACTGAAGTCTGAACATAAAAAAGACCTCTATCTGTAATCATGTAAAGTTAATAATTCTAGTACAAAAGTTTCTTTTATGTATATGTATGTATATATTTTTCATTCTCAACACCACTCCATGAGTTTTCTTTTATTTATATTTTTACTCTTTTTTTAAATAAATGCCTATGAATAAAAACATTTAAAAAAATACTGACATCTGCTATTTGCTGTTCATACTCCACTTCCCTGATACTCTAAAACTAAAGCCTTCTAAAAGCTTTCAATTAATTACTTATCTCATTCTGAAAATAAGGAAGAAAAATGCCATCAATACTGCCCTCCCTTGCTAAGGGCAGAAGCAAGCTCTGAGTTCTTACGGTAACATCTGCTTCTATCTGCAACAGACATACCAAAGGCAAATAATGTAGTTCGAGGTTCCTATTAGCAGAGCAGAGGAATCTTATTAAAAGGAAAAAAATATTAAACTGGACATTTTATTTTTTAAAATACAGAATAAAATAGAAACGACACTGTTTGACTAAGCATTAGGTCAACAGATTAGTCAAACATGCCTACTCCTCAAACTGTGTCACTTACCAGAAGACATTTCTATTTTAGTATTCTACACACATAAAATTTAACTCTGTAGGTGTCTTACATCATTTACTTTCTTTAAATACTATCTTATGTATTAATTTTATAAAATAGGTGAACATGGGTATATTTAAGTATTTTATATATATATAATTTCAACTTACCTTAATGGTTTTGTCCATATCTCCGTAACACAGTGAGTTAAGAGAGATCTTGAAAGGCCTCCAAACAGGATTCAAGTTGTTTTTAACAACCTATAAAAATGTGGTTTCAAAAAGCTGTTAGAAAAACTTCCAGTTCATTAACATTTTGCTCCTGCCCTTCCTAGGTTCTTGCTATACTCTCACCATTCGTCCTCCACCTCTTCATCAACTCAACTATTTCCACAAAAAAACTACCTAGAACAATATTATACAACTGCTACATGAAAAATGTAATAAATTGTCCAGTTGTGATACATTCTGAGGAAAAGTAGAAAACTATTTGGAAAATATATCTACCTATTACAAGGAGCACTTAGGAACTACAGAGGATGGCTGGGCGCGGTGGCTCACACCTGTAATCCCCACACTTTGGGAGGCCGAGACGGGCAGATCATCTGAGGTCAGGAGTTTGAGACCAGCCTGGCCAACATGGTGAAAACCTGTCTCTACTAAAAAAATACAAAAATTAGCTGGGTGTGGTGGTGCATGCCTATAATCCTAGCTACTCAGGAGGCTGAGGCAGGAGAACTGCTGGAACCTGGGAGGTGGAGGTTGCCGTGAGTGGAGATCGTGCCACTGCATTCCAGCCTGGGTGACAGAGCAAGACAACGTCTCAAAAAAAAAAAAAAAAAAAACTGCGGAGGATTATTGATTTTAATAGCAATGAGGGTTTCATTGCAGGGCACAGAAGATTCAAATATGAAATAAGAAAAGGTAAATATAGAATAAGAAACTATGTTGGAATTGAATTGGAGAAATAAGTCCACATTTATAATTTAAAATTTTAATACCATATATACATACATAATAAACAGATAAACACAAATATACATATTTCTTAGCTGTGTCCACTTAAAAGGCATAAAACAATGATATCCAGTAGCAATGAGCACATTCAGCACTCAGATGTCAGTGTCTAAATACTACTACCCTCTTGCAGGAATAGGGCTTATTAAGAGACATGGCTCATACCAGCTCTGGGACAGAAAAAGTACAAGGGGAACTGAGAACATACTCTAACTTAAGAGACTGCTCAAAGATGAATGAAGTCAAAAAGAAAAACCAAGAGCCATTTTAGAGACTACGAGCTCTCTCTAGTCAAACATGGATGAATCTGAGCAGCAAAAATACAATAATGAGTTAAATACAAAGCATACACTGTTATAACAATCCATGAATTTATAATGATACTAAAAATAAAAGCAGAGAAAGAGAGAGATGAAAGAGGAATGCCTGCTAATATAACTAAAAAGGATGAAAGATTTTGAAAAATCACTATTTTACTACCCATAATACAATAATTGATTAGGCAAGGATCACCAATGGATGCTAAAACCACTGGTTGAAGTGCTAGAGAACATGTAATTCATGCAGTCTCATAGTTTCACACCACATAGCACTTATTAATTAAAAAGGGGAAAAATGAGACCTTATCATGGTGAGATCTGGCGGTCACCAGCTTAACCAAGTAGCCAAGCATGACATCATCAATGCTGGGCAGCCTGGCACCATGAGCCTCCTGAAAATGTAAAGAAAAGGAACACACATAGTGTTTTTGACAGAAATGTTTGATCTGGATCTAGTTGTGAGGAAACAGAAGAATCCAGAATGTTGGACATTCTGGTCTTGATTTTCAAGAGATTCAATGGCATCAAGGTATAAGGAAGGTAGGGAGAAGAGTCCTCTATTGGGAATATAATAGTCAAATCCAAAATTTGAGCCTTGACTGGATTCTGAACAAAACAAAGCAAAACAAAATACACACAAAACCTGTGGGACAACTGAGGAAATCTGAAGATTAATGGTATACCAAATAATGTTACATTTAGCTATGTCAAATGTTAATTTCTCAAGTATTATTGTATAGAATGTCCCTGTTCTTTAAACTACCTGCTGTAGCATTTATTTATTTATTTATTTTGAGGTGGAGTCTCGCTCAGTAGCCTGGGATGGAGTGCAGTGGTGCGATCTCAGCTCACTGCAACCTCCACCTCCTGGGTTCAAGCAATTCTTGTGCCTCAGTTTCCTGAGTAGCTGGGACTGCAGGCAAGTGCTACCACACCTGGCTAATTTTTGTATTTTTAGTAGAGACGGGGTTTCACCATGTTGGCCAGGCTGGTCTCGAGCTCCTGACCTCAAGTGATCCACCTGCCTTGGCTTCCCAAAGTGCTGGGATTACAGGCATGAGCCACCACACTTGGTCTGCTGTAGCATTTAAAGATAAGAGTTATTATATCTGTAGCTCCATTAGGATGATTTTGCAAAAGGAAAATACATGTGTGCATAAGTGTGTGTGTGTGTGTGTGTGAGAGAGAGAGAGAGAGAGAGACAGAGAGGGACAGAGATAGAGAAAGACAGAGAGCACAAGTATGTGGGAGTGTGTGTTCATTTGGTGAATCTAGGTGAGGGGTGCAGAGGAATACATTTAGTGTTCTTTATAGGACTTAAAATTTTTCAAAATAAAAATCATAAAGTACGGTAGCACCTCCTCATTGAAAGAAAAAAATATGAACATGGTGATCTTGTGTCTCTGGCTATATGTAAGTATGAACTCAGATTGATACTTTTATAAATATAAGCTTTTTAAAATTCAGATTACAATAATTTCAAAGAACACCTCCACTCTGCTTTTCAAATTCAAATATTCACCTCTGTCCGATGAACCATTAGCCAGTTTCCATCAGATGTCTGCTTGTGGAATTCCAGGTATGGGTCTGACTTTCCAAATAGATCCTACATTTAAAACAAACAACAAAAAGCATTTGTTCTCCTCTGAACCCATGAAACCATGTGTGACCATACTTTACACATGTTGGCAACCACCTGAAGTCTAACTCTATAGTATTGATAGTAAATATACATCCCATCACCTTTCTCCCTAACTTAGAAACTTACGGAAGTCTACTAGGGAGAATTATCAAAGTGCTTGTGATAAATGCTCATAATCCTGTATATCATACCCTGACTTCTCAAAAACATGACAGTTTTAAAATACAGTGGTCAAATATACCATAAAATATGTTTTTGCCTTGTTTTCACCTTTAACCATTTTCATTCACATATCACTGAGTAGTTTTATATAAATGATATCACAAACATTAGCCATACCAACTCTATGGAGACAGGGCAGTTATCAGTGAGAAAATGGATTCAGAGGGGTAAATGATTTTCCCAAGATCACATATCTAATTAATTAATGGATCCAGGCTTTAACTTCATATCTCAGCCTTCTATGTCCAAAACTCCTTCATCAAAACCACACATTTCTTTACATACACAAATGACCAGAGGTAGATATGTGGAACACATAATAGAAACACTTCAAGGGCACAAACTACATCTTCTATTTCTCCTGTAATTCACCACAGAACTCCTATACAATGCTCAAGCACACTAAATGCTCAAAAATACCGTTATCACCATCCTCAATACACACATAACCACACACATACAGAGAGATAAAATTCAGGAAAAATGTACGAATCACTCACAGAGGTTAAACTCAGGTGGTAAGACTATGGATGATTTTTTCTCATTTTCATGTATCTTCATTTTGAAATGTGCATACTCGTTAACATTTATGACTTGTTATTTTTGAAAATGAAAGGACATTTGTTAATCCCACAGGAATATATGCAGATACATCCCTGAGCTGAAGATTTCTTTAGTCCTGAATTAACTTCAGTATTAAATTAAGAACTAAAATAAAATTATTTCTCTCTTGAACACAAAGTTTAATGTCAAGCAAATAAGATATTTGGTACAGTCAAAAATATAAACACAAAGACTGTGTTTAACCTTATCTCTAAGAAGAATCTTAAGTGAATGAAATAAAAGCAGAATATCCTTGTTATTATTTTGAAGGCTAAAAACCAATACTTGTTTGAAGGTTAAGTTGCTAGTATTAGAACTAAAACAATAATTAAACTCCCTGGCTCTGATCTCCAGGATATGTTAAGTAAAAGAAGCAAAGTGGAGGAAAGTGTACATCTAGTATGCTATGTTTATGCAAGGGCTGGGGGTGGGGAACATAAATACAAATACATACATACACACATACATATGAACACATACACACACATGAGTATACATACACACAGAAAAACCCTTAGATATTTAGGAAACAGAATGATTAAATTATAAAACACAACTTTTTAAAAATTATTATCTACATGGAGGAAAGCGGAAGCAAGGTAGACCAGGAGAGATGTTAAATTTCTTAAGTACCTTGTTTTGTAGATTTTAGAGCCATGTAAATTTTTTACGTGATTATAAAACAAAATTAAATCAAAATGGTTTTTTAAAAAAGCAATCCCTAAATATCAAAAGCAAAATGAAAGTAGGTCTGTGACAGCATAACCACACAAAGGAATTATTTCTTTAAATCATAAGAATGTGACTATGTAACAAAAGTGGAATATACACACCTTAAAGACAAAAAGAACTTCAAAGAAAGCTCAAACTTTTCAGTAAAAATACTGTTAATAATATTGATATTTTTATTCTAAAACTATTAACGTTGTGTGAGACAAAACAGATAAGCAATTGTGTTAATATATTTAAAAACCAAGAGAAATGAGGTATGAATATAAAATAAGTGCCTGTAATTCTATATTTTTTTTAATTATCTCTGTTGTTTTGGAGACGTCACCCAGGCTGGAGTGTAGTGGTACGATCCCGGCTCACTGTAACCTCCCCCTCCTGGGTTCAAGCAATTCTCATGCCTCATCCTCTTGAGTAGTTGGGACTACAGGTGCATGCTACCATGACCGGCTAATTTTTGTATTTTTACTAGACACAGGGTTTCACCATGTTGGCCAGGCTGGTCTTGAACTCCTGACCTCAAGTGTTCCACCCACCTCCCAGAGTGCTGGGATTACAGGCGTGAGCCATCATGGCCGGCCAGTAATTCTATATTTGAATTGGAAATAGTTGTGTAATTTCATGATTTAGTTTTTCTTAAAAAAAAAAAAAAGTCTTTTCTGTATCTGTCCACTGAAAAGCCCTAGAAACCATGAATGACAATAACCCACAACAGTGAGTACCCCTAGCAGTGGACTGTGGTCTCTAAATACCAATTCCACCAAAATAAAGTAAGGTTCCTTTTAATCTGCCAGTCTAAGGCAGAAACTAGATAAAATAAGCTTGGGACATGGCTTATTAAAGACAAAAAGAACTTCAAAAAGAAGTTCTTTGAAGCTCTTGTCATCCCACAGAGCAAGAAATTATCCAAAGACTCCTGGAGTTGTGTTAAATGGTCTCACAAACAAGCTTAAAGGAATTCCCTCAGGCCAAAATTGGAATAACTTAAGTATCTATGAGAAGTAATCCATTACAGTTATAAATATTTAAATCTCTTACTTTACAGCAATTCTAAAACAGAACAAAACACACAAACATAAAAACTTCACTGGTCACATTTAGTGGATGCTAGGGAACCAACTTATAATTTTGAAAAATGGTAAATATGGGGGAAAAGTCAAACATTTTAACTTACTTTTCCTATATAAACTATACCACAAAGTAAATAAATACTTAATGTGGGGAAGTTTCTCTCTATAGAAAGATTCTTGCTAAGAAACAAAAGCAATGATAGAGTGACGATATCACTATTTTACAAATTTTTTTTCCTTCTTTTTTTGAGACGGAGCCTTGCTCTCTCGCCAAGCTGGAATGCAGTGGCATGATCTCGGCTCACTGCAACCTCCGCCTCCCAGGTTCAAGTGATTCTCCTGCCTCAGCCTCCCAAGTAGCTGGGACTACTGGCACGCACCACCACGCCCAGCTAATTTTTCTATTTTTAGTAGAGATGGTGTTTCACCATGTTGGCCAGGCTGATCTCAAACTCCTGACCTCAGGTAAGCCACCTACCTCGGCCTCCCAAAGTGCTGGGATTACAGGCATGAGCCACCACACCGGGCCTACAGACTCTTAATAATAAAACCAGGTAGTTATCATCAATGATCACAAACTTCCCGAAAACACACAAGTCAGTGTGAGCCTCCTGATGGAATTACATGCCACCATTGATGAAACTGTCTTGCCAACAATTAAAAATGCCAGCAGATCATACTTCTAGATTCAATTGCCAGGTTACAGAAATCAGAAAATAAAAGTAGAGAGAGAAACATGTTAAATGACACCACAGGATTTAATTAGCCATATGCAGAATATGGAAAATTCTTTTTTGAAAAAAAAAAAAGATGGAGTCTTGTAATTATAATGCACTACAGCCTTGAACTCCTGGGATCAAGCCATCTTCCTGCCTCAGTCTCCTGAGTAGCTGGGACTACAGGTGTGCATCACCTGTGCCCAACTTGAACGTGGAAACTTGTGTAGGATAAAGAAATCAGTTTTCTCCATTGAATAAATTCCACAATGGATGGAAGAATAGATACAAAGGAAGGAAGGGAGGGAGGAAAAGAAGAAAGAAATAAAAGAAAGGAAGAAATTTACAGATTTAAAAGGACGTAAGACACACTTTAAACAATTATATTTTTTAAAGTGTCTTCAGAGATACATCAACATATTGATGGATGAAATGATATGAAGTCTGGGAGGAGAGAAAGTAGATAAGGGTAGAGATTAAATGAAATTGGCCATGAGTTATAATTGTGGAAAATGGGTGATGAGAACATGAAATTTTTTAAAAAGAGTCTTCTAGTTTTGTATATATTTAAATTTTTCCACAATTAAAAAAAAAAAGTCCCCAGCCTATAGTCTAAAATGTTTTCTTTAAGTGTTTTTTTGTTGTTGTTTTTGTTTTTACTTGAGACAGAGTCTTGTTCCATTACACAGGTGAGAATGCATGATCACTGCTCACTGTAGTTTTGACCTCCTGGGCTCAAGCAATCCTCCCACCTCACATGGGATTACAGGCACATGCCACCACACCCAGCTAATTTTTGTATTTTTTGTAGAGATGGGGTTTCGCCATGTTGCCCAGGCTGGTCTCAAACTTCTGAGCTCAAGTGATCTCCCCACCTCGGCCTCCCAAAGTGCTGGGATTACAGGCATGAGCCACCATGCCTAGCCCTAAAATGTTTTCAAACTGAATTGCAAACAATGAAGAATATTGACTAGATTATAGAATTAAGTACAAAAAGCTGGGCTCAGGGGCTCACACCTGCAATCCCAACACTTTGGGAGTATGAGATGGGAGGATTGCTTGAGCCCAGGAGTTCCAGACCAGCCTAGGCAACATAGTGAGACTCTGTCTCTAAAAAAGATAGATAGATAGATAGATAGATAGATAGATAGATAGATAGATAAGATAGATAAAAGAATTATTATAATCCATGCTATATACTAAATTGTTGTGTTATTATGTATTGGCACTCATCCTTCATAAAAAAAAATTGACCTTTGAATGCAAAGAGGATAATTGACCTATAATTAATAAAGCACAGAGTTTTCACTTTTTTCCTAAAGATAATTCAACTGTATTCTTTCATGCCTTTTACAGTAACATTAATGCTTCTATTCAACTCCTCTCTTAACCTAAACAAATCCTTTGATTACATCTAGATGAAAGAGGTGAAGAGAAATGGGTTCTGCTTAAACATACAACACACACACACACATGCAAAATTTGAAAGTAACTAGTACCCTATGTGATGCTCAATGATGGAGTTCATGATATTAACTGCATTTTTATTTTCTTAAAAAAGAGGCAAAACATGACAACCTTTTTGAAATCTGCATAGTCTACCCACCTTATTATCCAGTTTTCTGGCTTCCATTTCAAACAAGACCACTCTATTATCTTTTATTTCTTCAGCTGAAATCTATGAGTAGATCAGGTAAGTGAAAGAAAATATGTTTTAGGAATTCTGATAGACACTTAAGCACTGATTTATTCTGTTATCTAATATAAAGCCTACACTAATATAAATGAATTCTAAAATGTTTCATAAGAAAATGGCATCATTAAAAAAGATCTACCATTATTTCTTTTATGTGTGTGAAATAAAGATTTTCCCAAAATATGCCCAGGTCTGCATTAAGCAATGTCTTTTGAAATGTGGTTGCCCAAATTGGATCTTCCCTATTCAAGAGAAATGTCAAAACCCCAGAAGACTGAGAATACCCTCTACACAATACTGAAGTTCCCTAAACACTGAGAAGCATGAATAAATCATACCTAGAATACTCTATACATTGATATTATCAGATCAATGTTTTTCATCCAGTGTAACTGAAAAACTCATTCTTCTTAAAAATAAGTATCAGTCTATCATGCCCTACAACAAGGAAGCTAACTACTGATAATGTTCTCTTTCCCACAAAAATCAACACCCTGAACATTCTTATGCCTTTGGAGATTTAAACTACAGCAAAACAGCTGCTCAGAGAAATGTATTTGATAATCATGATAACCTTGAAACATAGCTCTCTCAGGGAACTAGCCTTACATTCTCAGAGGGAGCTAAAGTTAAAATACTATCACTCCAGGCAGCAGTTATCTGTACAGACACTCTAGAAGATAAGGTTTACAGGCTTGGCATTATATAATGGGAAATGTGAAATACAATAAAGCATATATTCATTTGCTTAAAGCCAGTAATCAGCAATGAAAAGCCCAGGTGGAAGGATGGGCAGCAGATAGCAAGCACAAAAAATGATGGTAAAGAGTTTATAGGTTCATTGACCATGTCATAATATAACATCCTTCTGGAATAAAATCCACTAGGGAAAATTTCTGTCATGTTGAGAGGACTATGTTCCTCCAGTAGAGAACCAAACTGATACAGATTATTAAGCAGTTTCTCTCTCACGTAAGAATAGACACTTCCACAGAGAAGGGGCAGGTATCGCTAAAGGTGCACTTGACCTCTACGGGCAACTTAGAAAAACTGAAAGAAGGGATTACTACACTGCATGTTTCCCCTGGTTTGCACAATACATTTTCCATTTGTGATAACTACAAGACATGGGTGGATGGAATGCAACATTCAAGATTGAGTGACAAAGCATGGCTGTAGAATATTTCTCTGATATGGACAGTTTCGGCATGTCCTGTTATGCTAAATCTTTTGAGACAAAAGACAAATATCTTATTTTTACCGTAATGCTCCCTTTTCCTGCAGGTCTGCCAGTTTTCATCACCAGTGGTCGAGTTAGCTTCTTGCTGGAAACAATCTGTTAGAATTAGAAAGTGATACAGAGTCATTTCCCTTCAACCTAAGAATTTTTAAATGAAATAGTTTCAGCAAAAAAGACTGAGTATAAGGTTCACTTAAAGTCATTAGAAATAGAAACATTCAGTTGGTTTCTTAAAGATTTAGATCATCTACATATTTAGAGCCAGGTGCAGTGGCTCATGCCTGTAATCCCAGCACTTTGGGAGGCTGAGGCGGGCAGATTACCTGAGGTCAGGAGTTTAAGACCAGCCTGGCCAACATGGTGAAACCCCATCTCTACTAAAAATACAAAAATTAGCCAGGCATGGTGGTGGGTGCCTGTAATCCCAGCTACTCGGGATACTGAGGCAGGAGAATCACTTGAATTCAGGAGGCAGAGGTTGCAGTGAGCCAAGATCGCACTGTTGCACTCCAGCCTGGGCAACAAGAGTGAGAGTCCATCTCAAAAAAAAAAAAAAAAAATCTAAATATTTAAAACTCATTGGAAAAAACTTCTAAGGAGCCTACCCTGGCAGATACAATCTACCTACCCACTAGTTTCTTAACTTCCTATGTATGTGAAAGTTTAAATTGTTCCTTGTAATGGAAAAAGAGGACTGGATTCTCATCGCATAAACAAATCACTTAGCTGAAACCTTCTAGGTAAAAGATGGGCTTCAGAACACTCAATAAATAAGATTCAAGGCCAGGTGCAGTGGCTCACACCAATAATCCCAGCACTTTGGGAAGCTGAGGTGGGAGGATTGCTTGAGCCCACAAGTTCAAGACCAGCCTTGGCAACATGCCAAAACCTGTCTCTACAAAATAATACAAAAATTAGCCAGGTGCAGTGGCGTGTGCTTATAGTCCTAGCTACTTGGGAGGCTGAGGTGGGAGGATCACTTGAACCCGGGAGGTCAAGGCTGTAGTGAGCTGTGATTGAGCCACGACACTCCAGCCTGGGTGACTTAGTGAGACCCTGTCTCAAAAAAAAAAAAAAAAAGGATTCAATTTTTCTACTGAGACACAACTTCAATATTTAACTCCCCAAAAATGTCATATTGCTTTAAGGAATATAGTATACTTAGGTTCTTTCAAACAGATATACATCTGATGTATCTGTTTGAAAGATATATCAAATTCATAGGAATTTTAGCTACACTGGGATTTTTTTCCCCAAAAAAAGAAATACTTCCTCAATTTTTTCTTTGATATTATTTATCAAAGTTTCAGAAAACTGATCAGTTTCATATTGCTTTTGAGATACAGAAAATACCATAATCTCCAAACAATTCAACCTTGAAAAATAAACTTGTAAAAGACATATGTGAGTGACAAATGTCACATATTGAAAAAAAAATTACTCCTCCCTCCTAAAACTTTCTTCAGTCTATGCAAATGGTCATAATCTCTCCTTATGAATCAGATTAACCTAGGAGCAAAATGGGGAGCCATGAGACACGTCCCTACCCTGACCAAACTTATCATATACTGGGAAGACAGATAATTAAGCAACTATTAAAAAGTATGGTGAGAAGTACCAGATAGTAAGTACCAAGTGAGCTCAGGAAAGGATTCCAAACTAATCTAGAGGGTCAGAGAAGGTTTATCAGGGGGAATAAGGTTGAGTAAGAGCAAGCCAGGTAAAGGGGATGGTATTGGGGCATTGCGAGTCAGCAGGTGCCAGTCTCACTAGTTAGAAGATCAGAGAAGTTGCTGTTATCTTGAATGCATTTATGGCTTGAACATAACAAAACCGTAGAGAACTCTGCAGCAGCTAAAGCGGAGGTATTACTTAATAAAATGCCTCATGAAGCATCCCTTACTCAAAAGAATTAACAGGCTTTTTCATAAATACATAGTTCCTGCCCATACAAAATATAAGATGAATTCTATAATGTTCAAGCCAATCATATTAATATATAAACTGTCTTTAAAGTGATTACATGTTTTTCAACTTTAAAAATTAAATGCTGCTTACCAAAAACACCACCAAATTCATTGATTAAAATTTAGACAAAATAGAGTACAGTGGCTATTTATACTTACTTGTCCAAGGGTACATTCACATTCCCCTAAGAAGTCATCATCACTCAGCTCAATAGTTTTGTTGTCGATGTCATAAACCCCAAATTTCAATTTCTGAACCACTTCAAAGTAGTAATCAATAATAAATGTCTTGGAAAATTGGGGATTCAAGCAATTCTTAATCCTTTCTGTGCGCTCAACCTACACCCATCCGCAAAAACAAAAAAGTTTCTTCAGATCAAAGGTGCACTTGGATTTTCACATCTTTATATACTAAACATAAACATAGGCATGACAACTAAAGGAAGTTTCTATATGTGTATGAAAAATTCTACAATCAAGGACAAACTTTCACAAAAAACTCCATTAACAGATGAGATAGTGTTGTTATTTTTAACATTAAAAAAACTCTTCACATTGTTAAAAGGGTAATTCAGATTACTTTTTAGGTAAAGTATTTGACATTACCTCATACCACTGTTGACCACTTGTATTCAAAAACAACACACATAAAGGGTCTGACTTTGACCCTATATCTTTATCCAAAAGATTGGCACAGGAAACATTCAGCGCCACCTTTGTGACACACTGGGCAGCCATGTCTTGAGTTCTGAGAAAACCAATAAAAAGAGAAAGCAAGTAAAACAGTGCCTTTAAGAAGCACACTCATTCCTAACAAAAACAGGTGACTTCTTAAGACCAATTGTCACAATAGGCTTATAGAGTGAACTTGCCAGAATCAGACTGTTATATGCACCTCCTCAGGATGTGGGTGTCTATTAGCTCATTCCAATGATACTGCCTGCATCAGATTCTCTTGCTAGGATAAAATTCATTTACTGAATGACAGTAAAATACAGCTTTTAAGATGGCTAATAAGACATACTAATCTTCTTGGCCAGGCTCAGTGACTCATGCCTGTAATCCCAGCACTTTGGGAGGCTGAGGCAGAAGGATGGCTTGAGCTTAGGAATTTGAGACCATCATGGGCAAGACAGCAAGACCTCGTCTCTACTAAAAATAAAAAAAATTAGCCAAGCATGGTGGTGTGTGCCTATAATCCCAGCTACTAGGAAGGCTGAGGCAAGAGGATTGCTTGAACCCAAGAGATTGAGCCTGTAGTGAGCTATAACTGTGCCACTGCACTCCAGCCTGGGCAATAGAGACTCTGTCTAAAAAAAAAAAAAAAAAAAAAAAAATTTCTTTTTACCTTAACTATAAATTTTATCATTCAGAAAAACTCCAAGTATTATCTTGACCCTTCACTTAAAGGTATGCATAGCATTATACTACAAAACAGATTAAGTTTTATTTTTATTTGTTTATTTAACAAGACACTGAGTGGGATATTTTCTGTTTTCAAGATTTTTTGACTAAAACCAAAAGCCCCCAAAGCCCCCTTTCCCTCCACTCTACCCCCAGCTCCCAATATTTTGCAGCAGTGGTTCTCAATATTGGCTGCTTCCTGGAATCATCTGGAGGAGCTTTCAAAGCTACTGATGCAGGAGTTCCACTTAAAGAGATTTTAACTGGTTTAGGGTACAACCCTGACATCAGTTCCTTGGATGATTCTAATGTGTAGACAAGGTTGACAAGCCTACTATTCTACAGAGAGAAGGTGTGGCCCATCTTCCCTTATGACTTGCTAAGAAATATCAGAGTTAGCTTAACTTCCATAGACCCCTCCTTCCCCAGTCTCCAATCAATATATGAAAAGGACTGGGGATGGGATGGAGCATATGATAGGGGCTGGACTTGAGAAGGAATGTAGTATTGCTGGTGAGCTGCCTTCATCCATGAACCCAGGGAATGAAAGGGGCTGCAGGTGTCACCATGAAAAGGAACTAGGCATTGCATTTCCCATCTGGATGTCCACTTAGCCAGTGGAGGTTGATGGTGCTAGGGCAGGTTCTGCAGGAGGGAAGGTACCTACTACCCTAGAGCTGCTGGCAAACATCCTTGCAATGGGATAGTATTTAATGCCCTTTGCCCTCCACTTTGAGATTTAGCTGAAGTTCTAGGACCACAGAAACAAATCCACTCATTATCTTGTTATATTTAAATATGGCAGTAAGATTCCTGTGCTGTATAAAATGCCTAAGCAAATCTGAAGTAACAAAGATTATCATTAGAAGAGCCCTTTGTAATGTCAAAAAACAACTAACATCTTATTTAAAAATTTTGATAATTCTATTGAACTCTCTAAAAACAGTAGCAGTCCTCAACATATGTCAAAAATCAATACTAAGATTCCTAAATAAATAGAGACTAAGAAAAATGAAGTAGGTTGCATAGTCTTAGAAGTAGCTAGAAAACCCGTTTAAAAACAAAGCTGGCCGGGCACGGCAGCTCACACCTGTACTCCCAGCACTTTGGGAGGCCAAGGCAGGTGGATCACTTGAGGTCAGGAGTTCAAGACCGGCCTGGTCAACATGGTGAAACCTCGTCTCTACTAAAATACAAAAACTAGCTGGGTGTGGTGGCATGAGCCTGTGATCCCAGCTACTCTGGAGTCTGAGGTAGGAGGATCGCTTGAGACTGGAAGGCAGAGTTTGCAGTGAGCCAAGATCATGCCACTGCACTCCAACCTGGGTGACAGAGTGAGACCCCATCTCAAAAAAAAAACAAAACAAACAAACAAAAAATATGTATCTTATATATTTATATATGTGCCTAGTATACAGTAAGTGCTCACATTTTATTATCATTTTATCACTATCTGCCTCTAGGGTCTGATCCTATCTTATCTATCCCATGTTTCATATTTTTTTATTATTCCATTCCATGATTATCCTGATTATTCCAATCCATACTAAGGTGTTCCTTTGAATTCCTATTGCACTAATAGTAACAGATTACTGCATTACAGGAACAAGATCAAATTTGGGGTAATGCACACACCCAATTTTTTTTTTTTTGAGACGGAGTCTTGCTCTGTCGTCCAGGCTGTACTGCAGTGGCGCGATCTCAGCTCACTGTAGCCTCCGCCTCCCAGGTTCAAGCAATTCTCTGCCTCAGCCTCCCAAGTAGCTGGGATTTCAGGTGCCCGCCACCGCCCGGTTGAACCCTCCATCTGGCACTTGCTGTGTGACCACGTATAAGTAACTTCAACTTCCTGGGCCTAGATTTCCTCATCAGTAAAAATGGAGATAATGCAAGTAAATTTGTAAATCTGGCACGTGCCAGGCATACTGTTTTTTTGCATCTAATACAGAATCTGTAAAATAAATGTGAGTTGTATGATTTTTTTTTGCATAAGGTAGTTTAGAGTCTTGTAAGTTGTATGTCAGCAATATCAAGCATAATGCAGTGCCCTGTGGATGAACATAGAATGAGCAACAATAGCTAAAGCTTCCCCCAAAAAAACATGTAGAGGATTCTCTACCAGCCAGCAGAAAAGTCTTCAAATTTCCAAGGATGGGAAGAATTCAACAGAGAATGAAGACATCTACATGTGAAGTCAGTCTCACAGCAAAGAGACACCACATATCAGAAGAGCATTATTTTTTTCCCTAAAAATGCTTATACAAAAGCTACAAAAACAACATGCCAGGCACAGCTGATTATTTAACCAATTGCTGACAGTTATACTACTGCATTGCTGCCAGGAAACAAATTTCTTCTATTAGCAGCATTCCTCTCTGAAAAATGACTCTGTGCTGGTCTCAATGTTATCCTGAAACCCATTATGGCTGAATGGCAAATGGAAGAAATTACATAAACACTAGGGTCTGGAATCTTGTTAATGGTAATATTCATGAAGATACTGTTTTCATTTCCTTTTAATGTAATTATCCAGTACATGATATACAATTTTTTAAGAGAGCAATAGTATACTTTATCCACAAATCATAATGGGAGCTGGGCATATTGGCTCATACTTGTAATCCCAGCACTTTGGGAGGCTGAGGCAGTAGGATTGCTTGAGCCCAGGAGTTCAAGACCAGCCTGAGCAACAGAGACCTCATCTCTACAAAAACAAAAAATTTTAGGCTGGGCGCAGTGGCTCACACCTGTAATCCCAGCATTTCGGGAGGCCGAGGCAGGTGGATTATCCCAGGTCAGGAGTTTGAGACCAGCCTGGCCAACCTGGTGAAACCCCGTCTCTACTAAAAACACAAAAATTAGCCAGGCATGGTGGTACATGCCTGTAATCCCAGCTACTCAGGAGGCTGAGGCAGGAGAATCACTTGAACCTCAGAGGCGGAGGTTTCGGTCAGTGAGATCACGCCATTGCATTCCAACCTGGGCGACAGAGCAAGACTCCGTCTAAAAAAGAAAGAAAGAAAGAAAGAAAAATGAAAAAATTAGCCAGCCAAGGTGGCATGCACCTGTAGTCCCAGCTACTCAGTAGGCTAAGGCAGGAGGCTCACTCAAGTTCAGGAGTTCGAGGCCACAGTAAGCTATGCACTGCAGCCTGGGTGACAGAGCAAGACCCTGTCGCAAAAAAAAAAAAAAAAAAAATTATGATGAGGAAAAATAAAACAAACGTTTTATACTCTTTTAGTATGAAAGATTTGGCTGGGATAAGTCACCTGGCAAAGAATGCATGAGCAACTAAAGAAGAATTCTATGTAGTATTTTACTCCTTAAAGAGCAGGATAGAAAACACAAATAATCCCTAGGATTAGACAACAGCTTCCCTACTGTACAGATTATTACTTGTTGGACAAAATTTGATCCAAACACGTCTTCTGAAATGCAAATAATCCCTAGAAACACCAAATATATCAATAATTCTCCCAGTCACCCTAACGTTCTGAATCAATATTATAACAGAGATAAACATAAGGAGCTGAGAATTAAGACCTAATATTTAAAGTGGTACCTGATATGTGAAATTTAAGGCATCTGGTCATTCCCATGCCCTGGCTGAAAATCCTGAAGTCTTATCTACTTCCTCTTTTCCCATTCCTCCTTAAACCTACTCTTAGATTTATCCAGTAAAGATGTCATAGAGATTCTGCCTACTAGAACCCCAAATCTCTCCCAAACATGGAGATACAGCCGCTTTCCCATACCCAGAGTCACAACCCTAACTTCAGGTCTTCTGTATCTCTCACCTGCCTTATATAATAGTCTCCTAATGGGTATTCCCACTGCCATTTTCTCTCCATTCACATTATGGTTTTATCACTTCTGATTAAAAAGTGATAGTCCAATGAACTAAGCCTGGAATTCATGGCTCTGCCAACATCTACCCCTAATCTACCTGAACAGCTACCTCTGCCCACCCAAGTTCTTCAAGATCCACTTCAGGCCGGGCACGGTGGCTCACACCTGTAATCCCAGCACTTTGGGTGGGCGAGGTAGGGGGATCACTTGAGGTCAGGAGTTCAAGAACTCAGCCTGGCCAACATGGTGAAACCCTGTCTCTACTAAATATACAGAAATTAGCCAGGTGTGGTGGCAGGTGCCTGTAATCCCAGCTACTCGGGAGGCTGAGGCAGGAGAATCACTTGAACCAAGGAGGTGAAGGTTGCAGTGAGCCGAGATGGTACCACTGCACTCCAGCCTGGGCGACAGAGTGAGACTCTATCTCAAAACAAAACAAAACAAACACTTCAAATGATACTTCATTCATACAGCTGTTGCTGATACCCTGCTGATACCCCTCATGCTGTTATGGCACTGATTCTATTTTCTTTCCACTATTGTTACTTGTATTTGTGGCTCATCACTCCGTCTATATACTGTGAACTGTGGGCAGCGAACATATTTTACCACTTCCTCTTCTTCCTGAAGCATGACATCTGGCACAGGTTATTTGTAGCAGAAAGAGCAATAATGCTGGAGTCAGCGTGTGTCATTCAAATTTCTTTCCCATCACTAATTTGGATGTGTCACCTCTGCCAAATTGTCTATCTGAACTTCAATTTCCTAATTTATAAAATGGGGATATTAAAAAACCCTGACACTAGTCCTTCAATGTAAATAAGGCTAAGAGAGAAAAATAAACTTAATAAAAACCCTGACAACTGTAGGTCTGTAGCATGCTCAGCATATAATAGACACTCTATGAATTGTAGCAATTATTTTATTACTGAGTCAGGGATTTTAATTGATTGTCTCAGCATAGATGGCTTGTTATTAAGTAGTAAGACATAAAGCAGCTTTCTCATCCTTACTTATGAAAAGCTTCTTGAAACAATAATGATTTTTGGGATTTACATAAAATTAATTTGGTGAAATAGTCAGCCTTGAGTATAGATAAGGTACGCAGGTGAGGGGAGCGCAGGCTCATGTCAGTGACTCAAAATGTGTCCTAAAACAATTGTGAAGGAGAAGTCGGTGCCTATCTACAAATCCCTTTAGTAAAGTTCCTTCAGTCTTCAGCTGAAAAATGAAGAGACTGGCCTAATGTAAAAAATTCTCAGAAGTTCTTTCTGGTTCTAATACCATGATTCACTAACTGCTATTCTGCAGTACATCCTGCCTGACCGCTATTGAAAGCAAGCAAGGGCAACCCTGGGGCAGCTGGAACCGGCCCAGCAACATCAGCAAAACACACCCTAGGCAGTGTTTCTCAAATTGTGTTGCTCAGAATAGTAATAAGTGTTCCCCTACTAAAAAAAAAAAAAAAAAAAAAAAAAAAAAGCAGCGGGCGTCAGGTAATATGGCTGTAAATCCAAAGGCTGCTATGCTCCTCAGAGTTCCCAGGTCAGACTAGCAAATGTATTTATTACCAGGTTACTGTAAACCCATTATTTTGCTAAGGACAGCAGGGACATTATACAGCAACAGAAGCGCTTGTAGCTCATTATAATCAAATTGGGGAGACCCATTCATAAAACAATTACTTACTGAATACTTTCTAGGTGTTCCAAAAGTGAGGGTTGGGGGAGGCAAAAACGAAATAAATACTTAGCTACTTAGCTAACTATGTATACATAGAAATAGTATACAAGAGTATAAAATTGTGTGGTACAGACAGGGAACAATCAAAGTGCTCTTGGAGCTGAAGAAGCTCCCCAGAGATTTCTACTTTTACTGACGATTAAAACTATACTCCACTACAAAAAGAATTTGCAGTATTATTGCTACTGACTACCAGATTTCTTTTTCACCCTTACATTCAAGGGTAGACAGTAAGAAAGTGGGGAGTAGAAGAATAAGGGGAAAGAAAAGATAGTTAATAATTCCATACAACTGGACAGATTTTGTTTTTTTTTACAATTTTCAAAGTGCTTCCAAATAATATATTATCTTCTGAACCTTACAAAAACTCTGTGAGTTAGGCAGGATAATGATTACTACATGGTGGAAGGTCCATATGTCACAGGTATGACTATAATATAAGGCACTCCAGTGTCTGAATTGATTGACCCAGAATATGTTGATAATTTTCAGCACATTGTTAATCTTCAAAATAATGCATAGTATATATTAGGAAAAAAATATAAATTTCTTCAAAAAGGTTAAATTACTTACATGGGATCACAAAGCTAGTAAGTGTCACCACCACAGCATAAACCCAGGTATTTTCCCCTTTATGCCAAAATCCCTTCAGAGCACTAAAGCCTCTAATTAATAGTTAATTAGCTGTCAAGTAAAAATAGTATTAGTAAAAATAAATAAACTCCATAGATGTAAACAATTATGATTTTTCAATTAAAAACAATATCAAAAAATAGTTACTTAGTATAACAGCAATATTCTCTATTAATTTCCTTAAGTCTTGTTAATATCAAAAGTAATATTCAGCCTGACACAAATTAATAAAATAGGAACTTTAAAATTACAAGGTTAATACTGAGGCTAAAACTAGTTATATGGTTCTTAAACAAACGTAACCAGAATAACAAAAGCTTGCCAAAGAATGGAAGAACTGGAATGGTTTATATTTTATTTACCTCATAGCAGTTCCTCTTCAAGATAACCCATTAAATTGTAAATTACTTAAGGCTAAGAAAGCAAGTTCTCCTTGCTAGTGTGTCTCTACACACACAGGTCTGCCATGTGTGTAGGTGCCATTAGATCGTCTTAGAGCAGCAACATTTATTCTCAGGAATATACTGCACTTAATATCCAGACTCTGAGAGTAAAAAACTCACATTAAAAGAATTTAAACTACGCTTGTTCTGTATTTAGTAACAAAGTGATGCCCAGATGTATTTTTTTAATCACTACCACAGGATACCAGAAATGAAGATAGGGAATAATGTCAAGCATAAATATACATAAAACAAAACAAAAAAGAAACAAAAAGGAAGAATCACTGGATCAGGTGTCAAAAGAAATGGACTGGGCAGATCACCTGAGGTCAGGAGTTTGAGACCAGCCTGGTCAACATGGCAAAACCCTGTGTCTACTAAAAACACAAAAATTAGTTGGGCATGGTGCACTGTAGTCCCAGCTACCTGGAAGGCTGAGGCAGGAGAATCACTTGAACCCAGAGGTAGAGGTTGCAGTGAGCCAAGATTGCGCCACTGCACTCCAGCCTGGGTGACAAAGCAAGACTCCGTCTCAAAAAAAAAAAAAAAGAAATGCCTGGTTCTGTGTTAGTCACACCACAATGGCAGGCATTTGGGCAACTGCTGTAACTTCTCCAGGCTTCAGGTTTTTTCAGCTGTTAAATCTTTTTTTTTTTTGAGATGGACTTTCACTCTTGTCGCCCATGCTGGAGTGCAATGGAGATCTTGGCTCACTTGCAACCTCCGCCTCCTGGGTTCAAGTGATTCTCCTGCCTCAGCCTCCTGAGTTGCTGGGATTACAGGCGCTGCCATCACGCCCAGCTAATTTTTGTATTTTTAGTAGAGACGGGGTTTCACCATGTTGACCAGGCTGGTCTCGAACTCCTGACTTCAGGTAATCCGCCTGTAATCTGCCCACCTTGGCCTCCCAAAATGCTGAGATTACAGGCGTGAGCCACTGCGCCCAGCCTTCAGCTGTTAAACCTAAGAGTTGAGTCAATCCCTTTCTTTAAGTAATTCTTAAGGTCTTTTCCATTAATGTACTATAACCCTAATTTAATTACAGTGAATATGGAACTTGTTTAGGAAGTGGTACTAAAGGATTTTTTAAAATGAATAGAAAACATTAGAATATTTATAAGTACAAAAAGGAGAAATGGAAGAAAAAGGATAAAGTTTTCCAAACTCAGTCTCCATCTCTATCAAAAAAGCTATATCTGGGGCCAGGTGCGGTGGCTCACGCCTGTAATCCCAGCACTTTGGGAGGCTGAGGCGGGCGGATGGTCTGAGGTCAGTAGTTCAAGACCATCCTGGCCAACATGGTGAAACCCATCTCTACTAAAAATACAAAATTAGCTGGGCATGATGGCGCCCACCTGTAATCCCAGCTACATGGGAGGCTGAGGCAGGAGAATCGCTTGAACCAGGGAGGCGGAGGTTGCAGTGAGCCAAGATCGTGCCATTGCACTCCAGCCTGGGCAAAAAGAGCCAAATTCCATTTCAAAACAAAACAAAAAAAGCTATATCTGAAAAAAATGTATCTAGAAACTTCTCCACTAGTTAGGTACCTTTGCTCAAAATTGTTATTAAGTGCTCAGATGACTTAAATAAACAAACAAACCACAGGGCCCAGTCTATTAAGTAGATGCAGCACAATAAGGAAATAAATTTTATTAGCATCCATGAAATCTCACATTATTAAGCTCTTAGCATCTATCATGGCAGCAAAATAAATCAGCTTTTAGCCACACTTCAAAAAGTTTCCAGATTCTTAAACTATCTTGAGCAGGATCTAAATAGTGATACCATTGCTGATGCTTGGACATGCAGAACGGAGGAAAGCAGGAATTAACAGGTGTGATCACTCTAACTTCAAAAATAAAAAGTAGGTGCAGTTTTACCTTCTCTTTATCATTACAAAGTAAGCAATCAACTAAAGACCCTTCATTAATTTCTCTAAAATCCTGGTATTGTTCTATTCCATGATTCATAACTGGCTACAAAGTTTACTTAACATATGTTTCAGGTTTTACCACTTTTCTAATCCCTTGGCTACTGTATATACATTTTGGAAGTATCACTGATTGTATTTTCAAGTCCATCAATTCAACAGTTCATCATAGGTTCATTTAGTGAGGTATTAATAAAAGTTATTAATAGAAGCAGGGTTGGGCCAGGCACGGTGGCTGATGCTTATAATCCCAGTACTTTGGGAGGCTGAGGCAGGCAGATGGCTGGAGCTCAACAGCAGCCTGGACAACATGGCTAAACCCCATCTCTACCAAAAATACAAAAATTAGCCAGGTGTGGTGGGGTGTGCCTGTGGTCCCAGTCATTCTGGAGGCTGAGGTGGGATTGCTTGAGCCTGGGAGGTGGAGGTTGCAGTGAGCCGAGATCATGCCACTGCACTCCAACCTGGGTGGCAGAGTGAGGTCCCATCTCACAAATAAATAAATAAATATTTTTTTTTAAAAAAGAAGGGCTATCAGAACTTATTAGCTACCTAAGCAGAAAAAATAAAATTAAAGTTAAAAAGTTAAAAATAAGAACTTACTAACATCAGTGTTGCTAAAGTTGGTATACACCCCCTACTGCTAAATTTGACTGGCTTAAGAAAAAAAGAAGCAGTGGTGATGTCTCACTACTGTCCCACTTTATGGAACATGCATCTTGGCAAAGCTGGCTATAAAATACATGTCTACAAAGTGAATCACCGTTTACCCTCAATGAAAATCAGTGCTGCATCCCCTAGCTGAAAATCCCAAGTGTTCAGTTGAAAAGTTTTCCATTATAAGGACTAAGTAAAGCTGCTGGCCAGCTGTGCAGCAGGCAGGCTGGATCTGATATTAAGGTACACCAACCTGTGAAGACTGAAGTCTCCTGGGGTTCTCATTCCCCTCAGACCACATTAAGAATTTCCCCCCTTCTGGAATTTCCCAGATGTTGAACCAGCCACCAGAACCTCTCACCTGCCCTGGTGTCCACCATGCCCCGACTCTAAATGCATGCTTTCCAAAATTTGACTCCTTTCCTTTTCTTTGTAGGGGAGCATGTATATTTAATTGGGCAAGATGGGCACTTCACAATTCATCACCGTGTGCTCCTTTCTAGTTCACGGTGAACAAATAATCTAAAAATGCCTTCAGTTTAAAGCAGCAACAACCACAACCATGTGGTTCTCAAGGTTTAAAAAGTTTGTATATTGGGCAAAGGCTGTTGAGATGTTTATACATTTCCTGATTTCAAGAATATTCATGTCCTGGTTGCTTAACACATCGTTTCAGCTGTTTTTAATTAGGGCAAATCCCTTTATATTTCCCAATCATGAGCAGTTTAATAGTACTATTAATTCATTCAACACTTATTGAACAAATATTATAGATTGCCTACTGTGTGTCAGGCACTGTTCTAAGGTGCTGGAGAGCCAACAATAAACAAAGCAGGCCACCATCCCCATCAGGGAGAGGTTAGTTACACTGCAGGAAGGCAGACAACAATGAAGACAAATAAGTAACATATATAGTATATTAGGTGGCAGTAAGTGCTACAGGGAACAATAAAGAAGGAGAACAAGAAGTACTGAAGGTGGGGTGCAATTTTACATATTTTATAAAATTGTTTTGACAATACCATCAGGAAGTATTTGTCTTAATTTTCACTTCTTTTTAAAAAATTCTGACACATAAACATGAAAATGTGGACAGATAAGTAAGTTCCTCTTTACAGTTGCAGGTACCTCTTTTAACAGGTACTGACCGTCACCTTGAAGTCTAAAGGCGTGGTAAACTAAAAGCCAGGGAAGGTGAAATAGCCGGATAACAATGTGTCCAGAAAACCACACAGTTGCTCTGGTAATTTTCACAGGAACTAGATATAATACAACCATTTGCAAGAGACATTTCAAAATGATTTACTAAAATGAGTATGTAGTATTTCCTTCTTTTTTTTTATGAGGAAACTTACTAATATGCTATCCACCTAATTCATATTGGTAAATGTGACCATAATACTGATGAATTTTAATGTCTTTTAAAAAGTTATGATTGCATACTGCTAAGCTGTTATATTAAAAGAATAAATAGTCTCTCCAAAAAAAACCCCAATACGATTCCCACTCACAAGCAAGAACAAGAAGGGAAAATATTGGTGGGAAGGAAGCTAGATTGTAGGCTGAAGGTAATGGTGGGTACAGTAAAGGAATGCTCTAGTTAGGACTCCTGCAGGTCACTGAGTACCACCAATGGAAGTGACATTGAGTCTTGCTAAAAGATCCACCTGAAATATCATGCTTTGGTGAGCAGTGGTGGCATTATGAATCTTTGAAGGTCAAATGACATATAATCATTTTTCACATCTAACATTAACTTTTATAGTTTTGCTAACAGGCATACTTTCTAGCATAATAAATCACTGACTAAAGAACATTTGAAAGGGAGGAAAAAAGAGAAAACTCTAACAATAGTAAGAAAAAAAGCCCAGTGATAGTACCAAAAAATAAAGAAGGCAAAGGAAACAATGGATAAGCCATACCAAGAATTGATAGGGCCGGGTGTGGTGGCTCACACCTGTAACCCCAGCACTTTGGGAGGCCAAGGCAGGAGGATCACTTGAGCCCAGGAGTTCAAGACCAGCCTGGGCAACATAGTAAGATCTCATCTTTATTATAAAATAAATAAATAAGTAAATAAAAGAATTGATAGGTGTTGGAGTACAATATGAACTAGGTACCGAAACAGATGCTGCAAGGGAAATACCCAGGGCAGCAGTGATACCATCATAAAGAGCATAGAAAATAAAATATTTTAAAATGTATAATAGGTTGCCATAAACTTATATGAAAATGAAGACCATTGTCTATAAAGTGTTCACAGTTATAGGTAAAATTAGAAGAGGTGTCCAGTCATTATGCAACCCTTAATGGCAAACACTCCTTCTGTTTCTCCCGTCCTGGAGCCTCCTCTCCCTTCCTATTCTTCAGGGACTAGACCTGAAAGAAGAAATCCTGAAAGAGAACTGCAGACTTCATTGTGGGGTTTGTGCCAGGCACCTTTTGGTCTGTGGGGTCCTAAAATTCAGCTCCACCTCACATCTAGAGTCTCAAAATGATCCAGTCCCAGAGTTTGAAATTTTTCAGCCCAGAGTGGGATGTATTTTTCCAATTCATCAGCCAAAAGGAACTGACCTATTAATAATTCTCGCAAAGGCAAAAAGTGGCCCTGGGTACCACAGATCAATGACTGAGACATCTATTGTTGTCACTATAATTGCCATTATATATGTCATCTGTTTTCAGTTCCCTTTTCGTTTCCCATCCTTTGCTGTTTCCCTCTACCTATGTTCTAGGCTTGCACAAGTTCTGTTTGGCTCTGGCTGGCAGCACACACAGAGAGCTAGTTTGCTGACCCTTATTAATGACATCAGGATATATGTGGCTATATATAGCTTACCACTAACTACGTGTCAAGCACTTTGCTAAATGTTTTACAAGTAGGATCTAATTTAATTCTCATAGCAACCTTGTGACATTTTATCTCTATTTCACAAATGCAGAAACAGGCCCTAAAAGGTGAAGTATCCTGCCCAAGGTCATACAGCTAACAGCCCTCATAGCATAGATTTGAAACCTAGGTATCTGGCTTATCCCAAAGAATAATGTTCTTTTACATTAAGCAATAAAGCCTGTGCCCTAAAACCATACGGACTTGAATTCCAAACCCTAATGCCACCACTTACCAGTTGTGTAATTTGATGAATTATTCAACCTGAGTTTCCTGGAGAATGAAACAGAGTAACATCACTTTAATAAGTGCTTGGGAGCGTTAAATAACCTAACATATAAAAACTGTCTAGCACAGTTGTTGTGGGACATTGAAATCAAGTCACAATATTCAATCCCGCCCTTCCCTCTATTTGATTATCCATTATAGAGGTGGCCTCACAAAGACAACACTAAGGATATGCAAAAAGTGCAGATGATCATTAAGTGCAACATAAATGGTTGATCTGCTCGGTCCCAACGGGTTCTGGCCGTGCGCTTCCTCCACAATCCTGGTGTAGGGAACCCAAAACACTAGACAGAAGAATCTTGAAGCTGGAGGAGAAACGGGAGCTGCTAGACTACTTCTCACAATCTCCTTGTTTACCCTGAAATCAAGAGTCACCTCTTCCCACTCCATCTGCCAGCTTCTCGGGTGCTCTGAAGCGCGCGCCCCCCGCTCAACTGGGCATTGGCTTCACCACGGACGTGGTGTGGGTACCCTATCCCTCTCCCCGCGTGGTGCTGCAGCGATTTCGGGACCTGTCACCCTTCTCTGGGCCACAAGCCCGACCCTCTCCGCCCAGGGAAGGAGGGCGGATCCCAGCCTATCCCCAGCCCCAGGTGCGCGAGCGCCAGGCCCAGGCGGGGCCTTGCGGCCCGGAGCTGAGCCCCGAGCCCGGGCTCCTCCAGGAGGCGTCGGCGGTGCCTGGGTCCAGCCAGGCCGCGACCTAGCTCGGGAGCCTCCCCGCGACCTGCCGATCCCCAGCTGCGCGAAGCCCACGGAGCACTTCCAGCAGCAGGGCCCGGCGGGACCTGCCGCACGGAGCCTGCGGGCTCGGATCCTCCAGGCCAGGACTTTCCTTTTCCCCCGGGCGGTACGGTTGCTGGGCTGCTGCCTCACCGGCCCAGGAACTGGGAGACGCCCGCACTCACGTGGGAGTCTTAGAGGTGGAAGTCGAGCGACGGTGGAGAACAGGTTGGCAGCGTCCGGAGCGACGCTGGGACCGCAGGGATTCAGGAGAACCTAGGGCTGGACTGGCAGAGCAAGGGGGCGGGGAGGGGGCGGGGATGGGGCGGGTCCAGTGCGCGCCCGCCCCGCACAGCCTGCGCGAGGATCAGCCCATCCGCAGGGAGCTGACTCCGGGCTGCATGTCAGCTCCTTGCCAGTAGGCTGGCGCTTCGAGGCCATTCTGGAGGCCAGTCGCTTACTGAAAAGGCAAAACTGACTTTAAGGTAAGTGGTTTGGTGCACCAAAATAAATTCCTTAAGGATTAAATAATTTAAATATTTGAGAAAATTTATGCCATATCTGAACTGAGAAGACTGGGCGCAGTGGCTCACACCTGTAATCCAAACATTTTGGGAGGCAGAGGTGGGAGGATGGCTTGTGCCCAGGAGTTGGAGACCAGCCCCAGCCTGGGGCAAAAAAATGAGACCCCCTCCACCGCTACAAAAAGTAAAAAAAAAAATAGCTGGGCGTGGTGGCACGCGACTGTGGTCCTAGCTACACAGGAGGCTGAGGCAGAAGGATCACGGGCTCAGGCTGCAGTGCGCCATGTTCGTGCCTCTGCACTCCAGCCTGGGTGACAAACAGACCCTGTCTTAAAAAAAAAAAAAAAAGTTACCAAGACAAATTATCAACATGAAAATAGCGAAATACATCTTAGCTGTTAACCATGCTTATATGCTTATTTAGGGCATTCTTAATGTGCACACTACCAAGGACATTTTATATCCTTCATTACCTTTAATCCTCATGATTCTGTGATGTATTTGGTGCCAGTATACCCATTTTACAAATGAAAACTGCAATTGAGTAACATGAGATTTGGAAGCTAAATAATTGGCCTACTTTTCTGAAGTCACACAAATTGTAAGTAAACTAACCTCAAAGTGCAGGCTGGACTGCTTGCTACTCCATGCTGCCTGCAGCTAAACAAAACACTATGGAAAATATTGATACATGACTGCTCGATAATTTAGAACTTCTTCCCAAGGAAACAGGGACAAAATCAATAAAACACATTGGGAAAAATATTGGTCCCAAACCTGACAGAGTTAGTATCTTAAGTTCATTTATTTTTTATTTTTATTTTTTTGAGACGCAGTTTCGCTCTTGTTGCCCAAGCTGGAGTGCAATGGCGCGATCTCAGCTCACCACAACCTCCGCCTCCCGGGTTCAAGCGATTCTCCTGCCTCAGCCTCCTGAGTAGCTTGGGATTACAGGCATGTGCCACCATGCCCAGCTAATTTTGTATTTTTAGTAGAGCCAGGGCTTCTCCATGTTGGTCAGGCTAGTCTTGAACTCCCGACCTCAGATGATCCACCCACCTTGGCTTCCCAAAGTGCTGAGATTACAGGTGTGAGCCACCGTGCCTGGCCTCTTAAGTTCATTTAAATTGATAAGAAAAAAAAAAACACCCAATAGAAAAATGGGTGAAGGTTTTTTTTAATTACAGAAGAAATGGAAAGGGTATCAAATGAAGAAACACAGACATTCTTAAGTAAAAACTTTACTCTTAATCCAAGAAATGCAAACTAAACATTTTTATTTTATTTATTTTTAAGAAATGGGGTCTCACTATGTTGCTCAGGCTGGTGTTGAACTCCTGGGTTCAAGTGATCTGCCAGCCTTGGCCTCCCAGAGTGCTGGGATTACAGGTGTGAGCCACCGTGCCTGGCCTGCAAATTAAACATTTTTAAAATCGTATCAGTGCCAGTGAGGATTCATTCATTTATTCAACAAACACTATGTGCATTGCTCTAGACTTGTGAGCAAGACAGACAGGAACTTCTATCCTAGAGGACGGTTGAATCTTAAGTTAGTTGTTAAAGACAAATGAGATTTCAGCCAGCCAGAAGTGCCATGAGAAAAGTTAAGGCAGGGTGATGTGATAGAGGGACTTGAGGATAGTGTGAGCTTATTTAGACTGGGGATCTGAAAAGAGCTCTCTAAGATGGTATTTGATCTGAGATTTGAAAAATAAGCAGCAGCCAGTTATGCAAATATCTGGGGCACAGGAATGGTAGCAGGGGCAAAGATAAGAACAAACTGCCAGTGCAGAAACAAGGCCTTTGTTGCTGAAGTGTACTGGGGAGGTACTACAAGTGTTTTAGTTTTTACTAAAGGTTTCTGGCTCTATTTTTGATTCTACTTTCACATGTAAATGAAGGTTCTTAGGCACCACTAATTGGATTGCAAGTTTCAAATTTTCCAGAATATATAGTATCCATACCTAACCTTCAAAACTTTTCTTTACACTAAAATAGGGAAAGAGTAGAGGCAAGGGGATGGTTTTGTACTTTTAGTATCCAAACAGCAATCTATCATCTAAATACATAGTGCCATAGCTATTCAATGTATTTATTCATTTTCCTTAACTACAGTCTAAATCCCATTCTACTTTTGTTCTCATTCATTCACCCATTAATTTAACATGTGTTGAATTCATGTTAGATACCAAGCCTAACAAGGTTCTAGAAATAAAACACCACCTGGTGGAGAGTTAAATGCATGTTAAAATGAAAGATATTCACAAAATATTCTTTCTCCTATGTATTTTGATCCTCATATTTCTACCTTCACTCTTTCAGTCACATTTTTAATTACCTCATCCTGTCTTATAGCTTTTTTTTTTCTTTTTCTTTTTTTTTTTTTGAGAGACAGGTTCTTGCTGTCACCCAGCCAGGCTGGGATGCAGTGGTGCGAATACGATTCACCACAGCTTCAACCTCTCAGGCTTTAGCCTGAGGCGATCCTCCCACCTCAGCCAGTAGCTGGGACCTACAGGCACGAGCCACCGTGTCTGGCTAATTTTTGTACTTTTTGTAGAGATGCGGTTTCACCATGTTGCCCAGGCTGGTGTCAAACTCCTGAGCTCAAGAAATCCACTGGCCTTGGCCTCTCAAAGTGCTGGGATTACAGGCATGAGGCACCACGCCCAGCCTTAGTCTCAGAGCTTTGAATTCCATCTATATTTTCTCTCTCTTTTTTTTTTCTTTGAGACGGAGTCTAGCTCTGTCACCAGGCTGGAGTGCAGTGGTGCGATCTCGGCTCACTGCAAGCTCCACTTCCTGGGTTCACGCCATTCTCCTGACTCAGCCTCCTGAGTAGCTGGGACTACAGGCACCCGCCACCACACCCGGCTAATTTTTTGTATTTTTAGTAGAGACGGGGTTTCACTGTGTTAGCCAGGATGGTCTTGATCTCCTGACCTCGTGATCTGCCCGCTTTGGCCTCCCAAAGTGCTGGGATTACAGGCGTGAGCCACCGTGCCCGAACTTCTTTAATTTTCTTTTCTTTTTTTTTTAAAGACGGTGTCTCACTCTGTTGCCTGGACTGGAGTGCAGTGGTGTGATCACCGCTCCCTGCAACCTTGGACACTTGGGCTCAAATGATCCTCCCAGCTCATCCTCCTGAGTAGCTGGGACTACAGCATGCACCACTACATGCAGCAAATTAAAAAACAAAAACAAAAACAAAAAACAAACAACAACAAGAAAAACATGTTTTTGTAGAGACAGAGTCTCACTGTGTTGCCCAGGCTGGTCTCAAACATCCTGGGCTCAAGCTGTTCTCCCGATTTGGCCTCCCAAAATATTGGGATTACAGGTGTGAGCCACTACGCCCAGCCTATATTCTTAAGGTTATCAAACTTCCACACCTTTCCTCTGAAACTCCACACTCCAACTCTCTATGCTTTACTTGGCTGTTATATTAGTTATCAGTTGCTGTGTAACAGATTACATCAAATTTAGTGGCTTAAAACAGGAACAATCATTTATTATCTGTCATAGCTTCTGTGGTTTAGGAATTTAGAAGTGGCTTAGCTGGGTGCTTCTGGCTCATCATCTCTCTTGATGTTGCAGTCAGATATTGGCCAAGGCTGCAATCATCTGATGGCCTGACGGGCTGAAGGAGTTCTTCAGCCCAAAAGTTCAATTGTGCCAAGGCTGAGAAACCCTGCTTTAAACCGATGGGACTATACATTTAAAAAATACTAATGTCGTGAAAGACCAAGGCTGACGATTTAAAGATTTAAAGAAAGTAGAAACATAACAAATGCAAGACATTATCAAGATTTGATCTTGAATTTAGAAAAAAAAATCATTAGTATAAAGGACAGTATTGGGAATTAAACAAAATTTGTATATTAAATAATAGTATTCTGTCAATTTCAGTTTCCTGAATTTGATAATTAAACTGGGACTAAGTAAGGGAATGTCTTGTTTCTAAGACTGAAGAGTCATGATATCTGTAATCTACTCTCAAAAGGCCTTACAACAGAAAATACTAGGAATATAATATGTGTATTATAGGTAAGATATGTAAAGAAAGATAAAGCAAATGTGAGAAAAAGGTAACAATGGCTGAATCTAGCTGAAGAATATATGGGAGTTCCTGCAACTTTTCTTAGGATCTAATTTTTTTTTCAAAGCTAAAAACTTAATTACAAATTCACTCTAGCAGAGATATCAGAAACTTAATTTCACTGTTATCATGGTATCCAGTGGCATAAACATTTAGCAATGTTGAGGGGGTAGCTGCCAGTAGAAATGCATAAAATAAAAGTGATTCTGTCTTTGGGAAAAAACAGCTAGGTTTCAGAAGTTGGGAAGGAGATCTATATATTTTTAAAGATAGACTTTAAAGACATAATCCTAAAGAAATACAGCTGATTTAATGGGACTAGTGGAGGTAGCAATCATATAGTAGAAGGAGCACTGGACTCAGAGTAGAAAGACATGGATTCCTGTCTTCTAACATATCCTTGGTTAGGTTAATACATCTCTTTGAGTTACAGTTTTTTCATTTGTAAACCTGGGATACCACTTACTTCACAAGGTAGTTCGGAAGATCAATACGACTATGTATTAATTCCCTATACAGTATTAAAAGTACCATAGAAATGCAACCTAATTTTTTAAAACCATGACTCGCCTCCCTTATTACCCATAAGATTTTTCGTTAAACCCATATAGTAGGTACTCCCTTTGCAGTCTGTGTTTCCACCCACCCTGATCAGGCCTCAAGTAGGATCCAAAATTTCTTCATTTTCCCACAAAAGAATTCCACTCGAGCAAGAAATTTTATTTTACTCGAGTAAAATAAAATACTTTGCTCGAGTAAGTAAAACATCTTATTGAAGAATTTTAGGGGAGACCAGGGTTTGTTTTTGTTTCTGTTTTTTACTACACATGCCCTAGCATTCAAGGGCATCAGTATCCTTTCCAGAGGCCTCCTCCCGCTAGTTCCTCTTCCCAAAACGCTTTGCATTTTTTGTTTCTTTGCTCTGGACTCTCTCTTGAATCTACCCCCTTGAGTCGCTCAGTCGAAGAGACTGAGACTTTCCCTTCTTCATGTTGGGCAACATAATTCTTCCAATTATTTACTTCCAAAAAAGACCCACTAGTACCAAGATTCAATCTACTTTTGAAGGCAGCAGATAATTAAAATGACAATTTTTTTTCTGGCATACTTGTATTCTCGGGTCTATTTCCGAGCTTTCAGTTCTATTCTGGCGACGAATCCTTGTGCCCAAACCATGAAAGACCCCCTAGAGAGATGGAGCAGAAACAAGTCAGAGCGCCTGAAGAGAGCGCTCTCACGGCCTCAGTCCTGGACGCAGGCGCGGAAAGTCCATTAAGTCCCACCCAATCGGGGTATTTCCCACCCCCTAAGCCCGTGCACCGGAAACCATGGGGGCGGAAGAGGTGCTGGGCAGGAGGCGGAAGAGGTGCTGTGCAGGAGGCGGGCGGGCGCGGTTCTTTCCGGAAGGATTGAATCTCCTTTAGCCCCGCCCGCCTCCGTAGCTGCCTGAAGTAGTGCAGGGTCAGCCCGCAAGTTGCAGGTCATGGCGCTGGCTGCTCGACTGTGGCGCCTTCTGCCTTTCCGACGTGGAGCCGCCCCGGGGTCTCGTCTCCCTGCGGGGACTTCGGGCAGCCGCGGGCATTGCGGCCCCTGTCGATTCCGCGGCTTCGAGGTACCCCCGTGGTCCTGGCTCCCGCTCCTCACTTCCTACTCAGTGGGTTCCGGCTCCCCCTTAACTTAAGTGGTGGCGGCCCCGCGCTGCCTAAGGAATGTGGTGAACCGAGGAAAGAACTCGGGGCCACTGTGCCTGGAACGCCCGGACAGGTCCCTTCCATTTTGCAAACCTCCACTATCCTTAACTGGGGCTGTCAGAGAAGGAGTGGGGTTTGCCCCCACGCGCCCCAGAAGCTGCCTGCTACCCGCCCTTCTTGTGCGAAATGTAAAACAGGACGGGAAAGAACCTTGACCGCTGTGAAATTATTCTCCCTGTAGGCGATGACAGATACAACAGCGCTTGAGGCTGCCCCTTTCAGACTTTGAAAAGTGTGGTGTGTGATTTAAAAAGTTCTACGACTCAGAAGCAGAGATTTCATACTGTTTAGGTTTTTGTTTAAAAATGTTTATTTCTCAGTTGCCCGTTGTATCTGCATAACGTCAATGAAGGTTGTCGGCATGTTGTAGTCTCAGTTCTGGTATTTCTATTAGACTGCTCGTGGGCCTCTGTTTATTCTTGTCAGGGAATTGGAATGGCATTAATGCATATGATATATTTCACATGAACTAGGGGTTTCATTATTTTAAACTCAAATTTTTAACTGCTCAGTTAAAATCTTTCAGAATTATTATGGGACTGATGGTGGGGAGGGGTGGTTAAAATTTGGCATATTCCCCTTCCTTGGAAGTTTATAACCAAATGGGGAGGTTATAGATAATATAGGCAGAGAGATGGGAGGAGTTCTAAGTATGAAACTAGTTAGCCGTAAGTTTTCAAATTGGAACAATGATGAGTTTGAAGTCCCATTTTAGGCCTGGCCCCTTGGCTCAGCCTGTAATCCCAGCACTTTGGGAAGCCGAGGCGGAAGGATTGCTTGAGTCCAGGGGTTTGAAACCAGCCTGGGCAACACAGTGAGACCCTGTCTCTACAAAAAAATTTAAAAGTTAGCCATGTACATTTTTATATGTAGTAATTACTATATATGATAATCTTGTCTGTAAGATTCATTTTTATTATGTGTTGGTGTCTCATATTTTACTTCATACAATTTGCAATATCCATGCATTTGCAAATAAGTTGTAGCAAATAAGTTGTAGCTCTTCCTTTCCAGCAGGAGTGTGATTTTTAGATGAGCGGCGACTCCAGGGGATATCTTTTTCTCAATAAGATACGCTTTGAGATAGTTTTACTAAAGATTTTGATGAAGTAATTTTTAAGCTTCCAGTATTATGATCGATTGCTTTGGGGGTGGGAGAAAATTCATGTAATTTTTGCTTGGGGTAGCAGTACCTTCAAATTTTCAAAGTTTGTAACTCTTAACATAATTGTTTCCATAGGTAATGGGAAACCCAGGAACTTTCAAAAGAGGCCTTTTACTCTCAGCTTTGTCGTATTTGGGTTTTGAAACTTACCAGGTTATCTCTCAGGCTGCTGTGGTTCATGCCACAGCCAAAGGTAAGCATAAATTAGATATATGGAACATTTAGAGTTTTTTTGTGTGCGTACATTCAGAATTTTTATTTTAAAACAAAGAATCAGGGTAATGTTAATAATAGAAAATCCATATGGAAATATTCACAATCTGCTCAGTGAGAAATGGGAAAACAACTTCCCTGCCTAACTGCCAACCTACTGTTTGAGGAGCCAGAAGTTGACGTGAAGTTGGAAGAAGGTCACCTTTTCCAGCTAAACCCCACTCCATAGCTATGTGCATTTTTATTTGAAGTCTCCGTGACCAGAGGAAACAGTGAGAACTGAGAACCAAGATACCGTTATCAGCAAGGGTTTGGCTAAAGGGTCTGAGATGTGTAAGCACCAAGAAGGGGAAGGGAAATTGAGCAACATATGAAAAAGGGGCTGTAGGAACACAGAAAAAATAAGTCAACAATAACCTATTTCCATCCAGAGCAAAGGGACAGTGCACACATATTCATCCTCTCAAGTGTGGGCTACACTGTACATTGACTCATACTATCTCGAACATGGTCTGTTGGAAAGATTGAGACCCCCTAAGGGCACTTGGCATAGGACCACAGTGACATGGTAACAGACATAGACAAGCATGGCATGACCCTAAAGGCAACAACACACCTTTAGATAATAATCGTTCAGAAAAAAATCCCAGAGCTGAGGTTATAAATTCCAAGTTAGCTATAAACATTCTTTGGGGAATTCCTTTAAAGATATGAGTTAAAATAAAACAAAATCAACACCTAAAATCTCCTAAAGCACAAAATGGAGAAATAATGAATCTCTACCAAGAACTGATTATTTTAAGTTTCTCATTTGGATGGCTCTCCCACCAGATAGGTGGTGGGATTACTTCAAAAGTAATGAGTCTCCTACAAGGAGGAGTTGTTTGGTCCAGTGAGGGGGAACAAGCTTTCTAGAAATAACTTTCCCTTCCCTTGACTCCATTCAAAATTAGAACCCATCAACCACCATTAACTACAATGCCCATATTAGTTAATAATCCTAGATTTCAAGTACTACTACATGTAAACTATTAAAAGAAAAAAGTTCCAAAGGAAATCAATAACTTTATTATGTAGGCATATGACTTTTATGGGAAATTAAGAGTTTCCATCTGAAGGACAGAAATTGTCAAGAGGTAATGTGCAGACTTCAGGCACCACATAATATACCCTCCAATAATGAACTACATTTCTCCCTAAATTCTTCATATTGCACGCTAACCTCCCCAGCATGAAATCTTCTACTGTATAACCTCTCTTTAAACACCTCCCTCCAATCTCAATTTCCTTCTGTTTTTATTATTTGGCAAAATTACACTTAAAAAAATAAACATTTCCATCATGGGACATGTATACCTATGTAACAAACCTGCGCATTCTGCACCTGTATCCCAGAACTTAAAAAATTATGTAATTAAACCAGAGGGTAAAATAAATAAAACTCAAGTTAATTTGCCTTGTAGAGCTATATGGAAGTGAGGAAGGTGCTCTTACATAAACCCCGTCTGCCTTCCACACTCATATGTATATCTTCTTCCTGATAAGTCTGAGGTTGGGGGAACTGCGCCTTACTTTTCCTCTCCTATATCCCCTAGTGCGGCAATATTAGAACCCAAGGAAGGAAAAACTGGCAAAGTTGTCATATGCCAAGTGGCCATTGCCTCCTGAAATGAAGGTAGGTTCACTTGGTCTCTCCTAAGCAGAAGAGAATGTCCAGGAAATAAAATATTTAAAAAACCATTGAAAATCCAACAAACCCCAGCCTTGAGGTGCGCATGGAGTGCGTGGGATAAGAAAGGAATCAAGTAGCAGCATTCAGAAGCAGTCCTGGGTTCATCCTGATGAGGTCTCTCATTCAGGGAGAGGTGGCTTTCCCATGCTGGGAGGGAGGTGGAAGGAGGCATGACTTAGACATTGGTGGTGGTCTCCTTAGCAGCCTGGATGCTGTTCATCTCCATGATGCCATCCTTCCCAGATCTATCTGCACCATGTGCCTGCCTTTTAAAGGCCCATGTGATATCCTCAAAAGCCCTGCCATGGGTCTCAGGGACTTTGAAGAAGGTAAAGGTCAAGAAGGTGATGAGGAAGCTGGCGAAGATAATAAAAATACAGGCTCCTAAATAATAAGCAGCAGAGGGGAAGAGCAGTCCGACTAAGAAGTTGGAGGTATAGTTGGAGCAGCCGGCCATTGCAGTCGCAGCTGGGCGGGGGCCCTGGCTGAAGAGTTCGGCCACAATAAACCAGGAAATGGGACCTGGTCCAATTTCAAAGGCCACAAAGACCAAGATAGCCCCGATAAAGACAAAGCTCATCCCATTATACTCATCCTTTAATAACAAACAGTCATGAGCATGGAACAAAAAGCCATCCCTCCAAGGCCTATCATATGCAGGGTCCGCCTTCCTGCCCTTTGCAGCAGAAATAGGGAAACTACAGTGAAGATAGTATTAAACACACGTGCACCAATGGTGGCATAGATGGGCTCTTGAACACCTGCATCCTTGAAGATTCCTGTTGAGTAATAGAACACAACATTGATTCCAGAGAGCTGTCGAGAGAGCTGGAGCACAATGGAAATGATGATTGGCTGTTGGTAGCTGGATACTCTAAAGAACTCCAGCACGGTGACTTGCTTTTCTTGTGACATCCTTGCACTCTCATCTTGCATCTCCTGGTTGTCTTGGGATACATCCTGGGTGCCCCACAACTGCTGGAGGATCTACTTAGCATTCTCCTCTTCTTTTCTGTTAATGAGCAAAAACCTGGGACTTTCAGGGCAAAATGGAAGGGCTGCACTTTGTAGGATAGCAGGAAGGATGGTAAAGCCCAATAATACCGGCCATAGCTCTTCAGACCCAAGGATGAATTTGAATTCCAGACCAAAGATCTGGGCCACCAGAATTCTGACAATGATGCCCAGCTGGTTGAGAGTGCCAAAGGTACCCTGCAGGGCAGTAGCTGAGATCTCTCCAATGTACATGGGCATAAAACCTGTGCACAGTCCACAGAAGAGGCCAATAACCAAGCAGCCCAGGGTCAGCATTTCAACCAACTCAGCTGCTTTACACAATCCCATAAGGCAGCCACCAGAGACAGCCAACAGGTTGACGATAAGCATTGAATTGCACCTGTCAAAAAGTGGTTGATAAAGAGTCTAACGGAAAAGGAGCCAGTCATACCAACAATGGAGAATATGGCCACAGACAAGGACCAGAGGGACGTGAGCAACATCTCAGAGGGAGGGATATTTGCCTGGTCACTCAAAGTGTTATTGATAAATTCCTTTATGATCATCTCAGGAGCACTGATGACTCCCGTGTTGTAGCCAACTTGGAAAGAGCCAATTGTAGCAACTGTAATGGCAACGATCAGAGCTGGGGTGACCTTCTGTGTCCGCATGGTCCTAATCTAATTCTTTTCAAGTCTTCAATAAAGATCTAGGAGTGTGATTCCAGAGATAACTTTTTCAGGCAACAAAACCTTCAAAATGTCCTTCTCAGAAACGAGTTTTCTCCAGGTCCTCAGGAATGCTCTAAACTCTCACCATTACAGCATCTCTCAAGTTATTTTTGTTATTTTTTTTTGTTTTTTTTTTTTTTTTTTGTTTTGTTTTGTTTTGTTTTGAGACGGAGTCTTGCTCTATTGCTCAGGCTGGAGTGCAGTGGTGCGATCTCGGCTCCCTGCAACCTCTGCCTTCCAGGTTCTAGCCATTCTCCTGCCTCAGCCTCCTGAGTAGCTGGGATTATAGGCACGTATCACCATACCTAGCTAATTTTTGTATTTTTAGTAGAGACGGGGTTTCACCATGTTGGTCAGGCTGGTCTCAAACTCCTGACCTCATGATCTGGCCGCCTCGGCCTCCCAAAGTGCTGGGATTACAGGCGTGAGCCACCGCACCTGGCCTAACTTAGTTATTTTTATATAGGTAATGGAGCTAACATTGCTGTGGTCTAGATTATTTTCTGCCTTTCTCTATGTGTCTGTCTAATATCATGTATATATATTTTTTCCTAGAAATTAGAGCTGCCTCAGTGATGCTTTATTAACGGTTTATATTTTTGTAGAGCCCTTAACCTAAGAAGAATATTCTTTTACATTTTTAAAGGGTTGAGTTTGAAGAGTTGGGGGGAAGAAAAAGAACATGCTACAGAGACCATGTATGGCTCACAAAGCCTGAAATATTTTATTCTCTGGATCTTTACAGAAAAAGTTTGCTAATCCCTGCTTTATAGTGACAAAATGAAACCAATCCCGGGGTGTTATATTCTTCTTGATTTGGTTAACAAAAGGCTCTAGTACTTTGAGATAGATAGATTTTATTTACAAACAGAATGCTGCTTGGTAAGTAACAAGTTGAAAGCGAAAAAAAGAAAAATCCATCAAATTTCTTATTGGCGTAATATAGATAAGTAAACGTATATTAAAACTTGGCTGGGCATGGCGGCTCATGCCTGTAATCCCAGCACTTTGGGAGGCTGAGGTGGGAGGATCACTTGAGCCCAGGAGTTTAAGACCAGCATGGGCAAAGTGGTCTTAAACAAAGTGAGACCCCCATCTCTACAAAAATTCAAATGATTAGCTGGGTGTGTGATGCGTGCTTGTCCCAGCTACACAGGAGGCTGAGGCAGGAGGATCACTTGAGTCCAGGAGGTCAAGGTTGCAGTAAGCCATGATCTCACCACTGCACTCCAGCCTAGGCAACGGAGCAAGACCTTGTCTCAAAAAAAAAGACTTGCCAGTTAAAAAAAAATTAGTTAAACCAATTGTGAGCCAAAATTTCTGTATATTAGAGCAATATCATATGAAGAAATTAATGAGTGAAGCTTTTTTGTTTTTTACAATCCTCACTTTTTAATTATAAAGGAGAGGGTGATTGGGGAAAGAAGCAGAGATTTGATTTTGAATAGATGGTCTTATTCAACTTCTGATAGAAGAATTTGAGAACATGATCTAAAGATTGCTAGTTATCTATTGATTTCATTTATCTGTGATTATCTTTCCGTTAAAAAAGCAGATAATTGAGAAGCCCTGCACTGTTCTTTTTTTTTTTTTTTAAATGTATTTATGAAGAAGGACAAAGCAGAGAACTTGGTTTTGTTACTGGCTGAATGATTTATTTTGGCAAATACTTAAAATAATTCATCTTTTTAAAGCAACCTAGACTTTAATTCTCACAGCAGCCTTATAAAATAGTTAGGACAAGTCTTATTATCTTATCACATTATAATAATTTTTGAAAAGAAGTTCACAGAGTTAAACTTGAAAGTCAAAATGTTAGAGTGGAGATTAGAACTTATTTTTTTTTTGAGACAGGGTCTCACTCTGATGCTTAGGCCACAGTGGCATGATCACAACTCGCTGTAGCCTCTACCTCCCCGGGCCCGGGTGATTCTCCCACCTCAGCCTCACAAGTAGCTGAGACTACAGATGCACACCACCATGCCTGCCTAATTTTTGTATTTTTTGTAGAGACGAGGTTTCACCATGTTGTCTGGGCTGGTCTTGAACTCCTAGGCTCAAGCAATCCACCTGCCTCAGCCTCCCAAAGTGCTGAGATTACAGGCATTAGCCACGACACCCAGCTCCTTATCTCTATTTCTTCTTTGAATCTATCACATTTAGTTTCAGTGTATTTTGGTAGCATTATAGAAATGATTGTAAAGATGTAGTGCTTTCTGAAGTAACAAAATTCAGTACTTTGAAAGGGAAAACCAGAATTACTTTTGGCTTTATCATAGTCCATTTTTTTCTTGTTTATTTTTTTTCCAACTTTTATTTTAGATTCAGAGGGTACACGTGCAGGTTTGTCACGTGGGTAAATTATGTGTTGCTGGAATTCGGTGTACAAGTGATTTTGTCACCCAGGTAGTGAGCATTGTACCCAGTAGGTAGCTTTTTGACACTCGCCTACCTCCTGCCCTCCCCATTCTAGTAGGCCCCAGCGTCTATTGTTCTTGTCTTTGTGTCCATGTGTACTCAGTGTTTAGTGCCCAGTTAACAAGTGAAAACATGCAGTATTTGGTTTTCTGTTCCCATATTAATTTGCTTGGGATAATGGCCTGCAGCTGCATCCATGTTGCAGCAATGGATGTGATTTGGGTTTTTTTAAAAATGGCTTTATAGTATTCCATGGTGTGTATGTATCACATTTTCTTTATCCAGTTCACCATTGATGGGCATCTCAGTTGATTGCATGTGTTTGCTAATGTGAACAGTGCAGTGATGAACTTAAGGACGTGTGTGTCACTTTGGTAGAACAATTTGTTTTTCTTTGGGTATATTCTCAGTAGTGGGATTGGTGGATCAAGTAGTGGTTCTATTTTAAGTTTTTTTAAAGAAATCTCCAAACTGCTTTCTACGGTGGCTGAACTAATTTATATTCCCACCAGCAGTGTATAAGTATTCCCTTTTCTCCACAACCTCACCAGCATCTTTTTTTTTTTTAATTATTTTTTTTTGAAATTTTAAGAATAGCCATTCTAAGTGGTATGAGATGGTATCTCATTCTGGTTTTGATTTGCATTTCTGTGGTGATAGTGATGTGAAACATTTTTTCATGTTTATTGGCTGCTGCTTGTATGTCTTTTTTTGAGAAGTGTTCATGTCTTTTGCCCATTTTTTAGTGGGATTGTTTTTTGCTTGTTCAATTGTTTTAAGTTCCCTATAGATTCTGGATATTAGACCTTTGTCAGATGCATAGTTTGCAAATGTTTTCTTTCATTCAGTAGGTTGTCTGTTTAAGAAACCTGTCGATAGTTTCTTTTGCTATATAGAAGCTCTTTAGTTAGGTCCCATTTACCTATTTTTGTTTTTGTTAGAATTACTTTTGGAGACTTTGCCATGAAATCTTTGCCAGGGCCTATGTCCAGAATGGTGTTTCCTAGGTTTTCTTCTAGGTTTTTATAGTTGTAGGTCTTATATTTAAGTCTTTAATCCATTTTGAGTTGATTTTGTATATGGTGAAAGGGGTCTAGTTTCTATCTTCTGCATATGGCTAGGCAGTTATCCCAGCACCATTTATTGAATAGGGATTCTTTTCTCCATTGCTTGTTATGGTCAGCTTTTTTGAAGGTCAGATAGTTGTAGATGTGCAGCTTTATTTCTGAGTTCTCTAACCTGTTCCATGGCCTATGTGTCAGTTTTTGTACCAGTATAATGCCGTTTGGGTTACTGTCTCGTAGTATAGTTTGAAGTCAGGTAGTGTGATGCCTACAGCTTTGTTATTTTTGCTTAGGATCGCCTTGGCTATTTGGGCTCTTTTTTGGTTCCATACAAATTTTAGAGTAGTTTTTTGTAACTCTGTGAAAGATGATATTGGTAGTTTGACAGGAATAACAAATAAGAATCTGTAAATTGCTTTGGGCAGTAAGACCATTTTATCAATATTGATTCTTCCTGTCCATGAGCATGGAATGTTTTTCCATTTGTTTCTGTCATCTCTGATTTCCTTTTCATTGTGGTAAAACATCTAACTGTATTCCTAAGTATTTTATTATTTTTGTGGCTCTTATGAATGGGGTTGCGTTTTTTATTTGGCTCTCAGCTTGGGTGTTATTGGTGTATAGAAATGTACTGATTTTCATACATTGATTTTGTAACCTGCAAGTTTACTGAAGCTGTTTATTAGTTCCAGGAGCCTTTGAGCAGACTGTTTATGGGGTTTTCTAGGTAAAGAATCATATCATCTGTAAGGAGAGATGGTTTGAGTTCCTTTCTTTCTATTTGGATGCCTTTCCTTTCTTTCTCTTGACTGATTGCTTTGGCTAGGACTTCCAGTACTATATTTAAAAGGAGTGGTAAGAGTGGGCATCCTTGTCTTGTTCCATTTTTCAAGGAGAATGCTTCCAGCTTTTGCACATTCAGTTGTTGGCTGTGGGTTTGTCATAGATAGCTCTTATTATTTTGAGGTGCGTTCCTTCAGTGCTTAGTTTGTTGATGTTTTTTAAGGTAAAGCGATGTTGAATTTTATCAAAAGCCTTTTCTGTGTCTTTTGAGATGATCATGTGGTTTTTGTTTTGTTTTTAGTTCTGTTTCTGTGATGAATCCCATTTATTGATCTGCATGTTGAACCAACCTTGCATCTCAAGAATAAAGCCTACTTTTGTGGTGTATTATCTTTTCAATGTGCTGCTGGATTCAGTTTGCAAATACTTTTTTGAGGATTTTTATGTTTATATTCTTTTTTCTTTTTCTTAAGACAGGGTCTCACTCTGTCACCCATGCTGGAGTGCAGTAGTGCAATCTTGGCTCACTGCAACCTCCGCCTCCCAGGCTCAAGTGATCCTCCCACTTCCACCTCCTGAGTGGCTGGGGCTACAGTTGTATACCACTACGCCTGGGTAATTTTTTGTATTTTTTTGTAGAGTCGGGGTTTCTCCATGTTGCTCAGGGTGGTCTTAAACTCTTGAGCTCAAGCAATCGGTCCACCTCAGCTTCCCAAAGTGCTGGGATTACAGACATGAGCCACCATGCCCAGCCCATCTGCCTTCACCTGAGTTAATGACCTGAAGTTTTCCTTTTCCATTGTGTCTCTGACAAGTTTTGGTATGAGAATGATGCTGGCCTCATGGAATGAGTAGGCAGGAGTCCCTTCTCTTTGATTTTTTGGAATAATTTCAATAGGATTGGTACCAGCCCTTACTTGTGCATTAGGTTGAATTTGGCTATGACTCCATCTAGTCCAGGGCTTTTTCTGGTTGGTAGGTTTTTTTTTTTTACTACTGATTCAATTTTCGAACTTGTTATTGGACTATTACAAGGATTTCATTTCTTCCTGGTTCAATCTTGGGATGTTTCTAGGAATTTATCCATTTCTTCTGTGTTTTCTAGTTTGTATGCCTAGAGGTGTTTGTAATAGTCTCTGAGGATTTTTATTTTTGAGATGGAGTTTCACTCTTGTTGCCCAGACTGGAGTGCAATGGCACGATCTCGGCTCACTGCAGCCTCCACCTCCCGGGTTCAAGCGACTCTCATGCCTCAGCCTCCCGAGTAGCTGGGATCACAGGCATGCGCCACCACACCTCGCTAATTTTTTATATTTTCAGTAGAGACGGGATTTCTCCATGTTGGTCAGGCTGTCTCGAACTCCCCACTTCAGGTGATCTGCCTGCCTCAGCCTCCCAAAGTGCTGGGATTACAGGCATGAGCCACCGCACCTGGCCTGGTTTTTGTATTTCTCTGGTGTTAGTGTTAATATTCCCATTGTCATTCTGATTATGTTTATCTGGATCTTCTCTGTTTCTTTTTTTTTCTTTCTTTCTTTTTTTTTTTTTTTGAGATAGTGTCTTGCTCTGTTGCTCAGGCTGGAGTGCAGTGGTGCGATCTCAGCTCACTGCAGCCTCCGCCTCCCGAGTTCAAGCAATTCTCCTGCCTTGGCCTCCCAAGTAGCTGGGATTACAGGTGTGTGCCACCATGCCTGGCTAATTTTTGTATTTTTAGTGGAGACAGGGTTTCACCATGTTGGTCAGGCTGGTCTCGAACTCCTGACCTCATCATCCACCCACCTTGGCCTCCCAAAGTGCTAGGATTACAGGCATGTGCCACTGTGCCCAGCCTCTCTTTGTTTCTTGATTAATCCAGCTGGCAGTCTATAAATTTTGTTTATTCTTTTGAAGAACCAAGTTTTGGTTTCATTGATTTTTTTTGTATGGCTTTCACATCTCAATTTTGTTCAGTTCAGTTCAGCTCTTAATTTTGTTATTTTCTTCTGCTAGCTTTGGATTTGGTTTGCTCTTGTTTCTCTGCTTCCTCTAGATATTATGTTAGGTTGTCAATTTGAGATCTTTCTAACTTCTTGATACAGGCATTTAGCACCATAAACTTTCCTCTTAGCACTGCTTTAGCTGTGTCTCACAGATTCTGGGATGGTAAATCTTTGTTTTCATTAGTTTCAAAGAAGTCTTTGATTTCTGCTTTAATTTCATTGTTTACCCAGAAGTCATGCAGGAGCAAATTGTTTAATTTCCATGTAATTGTGTGGTTTTGAGAGATCTTGATATTGATTTCTATTTTTATTGAGCTGTGATCTGAGAGAGTGCTTGGTTTGATTTCAGTTTTTTTTTTTATTTTGTTCAGAATTGCTTTATGGCCAAGCATGTGGCCTATCTTAGAGTGTGTGCCGTGCTCAGGTGAGAAGAATGTACATTCTGTTGTTCTTGGGTAGGGTACCTTGTAGATGTCTGTTAATGTCCATTTGATTGTCAACTTTAGATCCTGAATATTTTTGTTAGTTTTCTGCCTTAATGATATGTGTAGCACTGTCAATGGAGTGTTGAAGTCTCTCAGTATTATGGTGTGGTTATCTAAGTCTCTTTGTAGGTCTCTAAGAACTTGTTTTATTAATCCGCGTGCTCCAATGCTAATTGTATATATATTTAGGATAGTTGTCTTCATGTTTAATTGAACTCTTTATCCTTGTGTAATGTTCTTCTTTGTCCTTTTTTATCATTGATGATTTAACATCTGTTTTCTCTGAAATAAGAATAGCAGCCCCTGCTCTTTTTTGTTTTCCATTTGCTTGATGTTTCTCCATTCCTTTTCTTTGAGCCTGTGGGCATCATTGCATGTGAGATGAGTCTCCTGAAGACAGCATACAATTGGGTTATGCATCTTTATCCAACTTGCCACTCTGTGTCATTTAAGTGGGGCATTTAGCCTGTATACATTCAAGGTCCATACTGATATGTGAGAATTTAATCCTGTCATCATGTGGTTAGCTAGTTATTATGTGAACTTGATTGTATAGTTGCTTTACAGTGTCGCTATGAACTTAAGTGTGTTTTTGTTGTGGCAAGTATTGGTCTTTCATTTCCATGTTTAGCACTCCTTTAAGGACCTCTTGTAAGGCAGATCTGATGGTAAGAAATTCCCTTAGCATTTGCTTTTCTGAAAAGGATTCTATTTCTCTTTTGCTTATAAAACTTAGTTTAGCTGGATATGAAATTCTTGGTTGGAATTTTTTTTTCTTTAAGGATGTTGAATATAGTCCCCTAGTCTCTTCTGGCTTATAAGGCTTCTGCTAAAAAGTCCACTGTTAACCTGATGGGATTCCCGTAGTAGGTGACCTCCTTCTCTCTAGCTGTCTTTAAGAGTTTTTCTTTCATATGGACCTTGGAGAATCTGATGACTATGTGTCTTGAGGATGGTTGTTTTATATACTATCTTGTAGGGGTTCTCTGCATTTCCTAAGTTTGCATGTTGTATGTGTGCATGCTGGCGAGGCAGTGGGCAGAGGCTCTGAGTGAGTGTGCACCTGTGGGGGTCCAGCTTCAAAAGTCCTCCCTTGGGAAGGTGGGGGCCACTGGCAAGTGTTTCACCAGGACAGCTGAGGCTGTGCTGCCTACGGGTGCGGCCAGGCAGGGACCCTGGGAGAGGCTGGCAGACAAGGATGTTCAGATGAGATAGGCCCCATTCCGTGCACAAGACAGCCCTGCTCTCTCCATGTCTGGCTGCTAATAAAGGCTAAGACCACCTAGAGGAGTATGGTGACCTTGGGGAATGGATACCCATGGCAATGCTGCACTGTAGCTGTTCCCATGCTAAACCCTCTGTTCTCCACAAAGACTAGAGTTCTCTCTCTGGCAGCTCTCCAGGTAGTTCTCCCTGCCATTTCAAATGTCTTGGAGGGGTCTTAGGGTCTCCTGCAGCTAGGATCTCTAAGGTCTGTGATGAGAGTGGGCCACTCCACACCAGTTTCACTTACCCTTTCCCTAGGAGCTTCTAGGTGCCAGGAATGAGTCTTGGTGCTTGGCAACCCCATGCAGGGTTCCCAGCTTCCTCCTTTTTCAGATTCAGGGTCTGTGTCCTCCCCATATCCACTCTCAATGTCTTCTTTCTGAGTATCTGTTCAGCATGTGCCAGTCTACTCGATGATGGTCTCTCTCAGTGGGAGAATGTCATGTCTTCCTGGCTGTGCCTAGTCAGCCATCTTGGCTCCTCTAGTTTTTCAAAAGTGTCTTGAGGACATAAAAAGTTACTACATATTTGTTTATTTTTATTTTTTGAGACAGAGTCTCGCTGTGTCACTGAGGGTAGAGTGTGGAGGTGCGATCTCAGCTCACTGCAACCACTGCCTCCTGGGTTCAAGTGATCCTCCCACCTCAGCCTCCCAAGTAGCTGGGATTACAGGCATGTGCCATGATGCCCAGGTAATTTTTGTATTTTTAGAAGAGATGGGGTTTTACCATGTTGGCTGGGCTGGTATTGAACCTCAAGTGATCCGCCCACCCCAAAGTCTGGAATTACAGGCATGAGCCACCACAGCCAGCTGATATTTGTTAAGTTAAAAATAACATTTTAAGGTCCTAGGCCTCTATGAGGCCTGCACAAGTTGGATGAGGCCTTCATAGCCGCAGTAGGGGAGGGTGAGGGAGTCAAATGATCACTGGTTTCTTTCACACTTCAAGAAGCTTTTGTTTTTTGAGACAGAGTCTCGCTCTGTCACCCAGGCTGAAGTGCAGTGGCATGATCACAGCTCATTGCAGCCTCGACCTCCTGGACTCAGGCAATCCTCCTGCCTCGGCCTCCCTAGTAGCTGGGACTACAGGCATGTGTCACCATGCCCAGCTAATTTTTGTATTTTTGGTAGAGACGGGGTTTTGCCATGTTGGCCAGGCTGGTCTTGAATTCCTTGCCTCAAGTGATCTGCCCACCCCGGCCTCCCAAAATGCTGGGATTACAGGCATGAGCCACTGCACCCGGCCTCAACAAGTTTTTATGCCACTTTCCAGCATTCTCTTTTCTACCTCTTAAGTGAGCTAAGCTGTGGAGTTCTGTAGTCTATTCCATTAGCAATTTCTAAATACGTAATACATTATTATTAACTATGGTTATCATGCTGTACAGCAGATCTCTAAACCTTATTCCTCCTGTCTAACTGAAACTTGGTACCATTTGACCAACATCACCCCATTCCCTCCTGCCACTCAACCCCAGCCTCTGGTAACCGCCATTCTACTCTCTACCTATGTGAGTTTGACTTTTTTAGATTCCACATATAAGTGAGATCATAGAGTGTAGGTATCCCTTATCCAAACTGCTTGGGACTAGAAGTGTTTCCGATTTTGGATTGTTTTGGATTTTGGAATATTTGCATATACCTAATGAGATGTCTTAGGAATGGGACCCAAGTCTAAACATAGAGTTTATTTATGTTGCATTTATATCTTATGCACATAACCTGAAGGTAATTTTATACAAGATTTTAAATAACTTTGTGCATGAAACAAAGTTTGTGTGCACTGAACAATCAAAAATAAAAGTGTCAGGTGTGGAATTTTCTACTTGTGGCATCATGTTGGCTCTCACAAAGTTTTGGATTTTGAAACATTTCAAATTCTGGATTTTCAGATTAGAGATGTTCAACCTATATTTGTCTTTCTGTACCTGGCTTATTTCACTTAACATCATGTCCTCCACTTCATATAATGTTCATCCACATTCTTACAAATGACACAATGACAGAATTTTCTTCTCTTTTAAAGCTAAATAATACTCCATTTGTGTATGTGTGCTACTTTTTTTGTTTAATCCATTCATCTATTAACGGGCACTTAGGTTGTTTCCTAAGGCGTGGCTATTGTGACTAATGCCTTAGTGAATGTGGCAGTACAAATATCTCTTTGACATACTGATTTCAGTTCCTTTGGATATACATCCAAAAGTGGGATTGCTGGATCATATAGTAGTTCCATTTTTAGTTTTTGAGGAACCTCCCTGTTGTATTCCATAATGCAATAGCTTTATTTTCTTAAAACAACAAAAAAATCACTTTATAATTAGTTGCTCGGCATGTTTATATAACTTGTGAGACTACAGACCATAGCCCTTGAAAAAAGATTAATTGAAAAATACAGAAACACTTTTTTTTATCCTGGAAAATGATCCATATGTTTCTATAAAAATATAACTTCGCTGGCCCTTAGAAGTTTTTCTTTGTCCTATATCTCTTCCATTTGCTGTTTTTTTTTTTTAAGGAATTGATCTTCAAATAATTCCATGCTTCAAAATTTCTGCTTAATTCTCTTTTGATCTGCTTTATGCTTATTCAAAGCCAATTTAAAAGCTCTTTCTTCCTCCATTTTCTGGAACTAAGTTATATTCTGAAGTGGGAGTTTTTTGGAAATGAGTTGAAGTTTAAGGGCATAAATATCATTGACATTTTAGTTGGATGGGATTATAGGATGACTTTTAAAATGGTTATATCTATATTTATCACCAGGTGGTACCAGATACCCACTTGTTAACAGGAACTGAAGCACTCCTGTGGGAACGTTTCATTATCTCTTTATTATTATTATTATTATTATTATTATTATTATTATTAAGGCGGAGTCTTGCTCTGTACCCCAGGCTAGAGTGCATTGGTGCGATCTCATTTCACTGCAACTTCTGCCTTCTGGGTTCCAGCGATTTCCCTGCATCAGTGTCTCAAGTAGCTGGGATCATAGGCACCTGCCACCATGACCGGCTGATTTTTGTATTTTCAGCAGAGATGGGGTTTCACCATGTTGGCCAGGATGGTCCTGAACTCCTAACCTCAGGTGATCCACCCGCCTTGGCCTCCCAAAGTGCTAGGATTGTAAGTGTGAGCCACCACGCCTGGCCTCATTACCTCCTTAAAATAGACAAAATTTAAAGCCCCAAGGTATGCTAATACATTCATAGTACTCTTTGTGCATATGAAAGCTCATGTGTAAAATGCTTAAAAGATAATCACAAGTGCCCAACTTAAAGGTTCTTTTTTATTTTTTAGTTTGTTTTTGTGTGTTTTTTAAAATTTCTTTTCTGTTTTTGTCACAGTCATTAAAGGTTCTTTATCACTTCACTTGTGTTTTCATATATATTTTCAAAATTCCTCTTTATTGATGAACCTACAGAACTGAGATCAGTGTTCCTTTGTATGTAGTTATTTGTTGTACTTCAGTGCATTTTTGGTTGCACTGTTGCTGGTACTGCTGAGACACAGTATTATTGGTATGAAAGAATTGCCTTAAACTTTGATGATGTTACTGCTACTTAGGGGCTTGAATCTAGATATTCAGATTTTCTACTTCTTAAGTCTTATATAGAGAAATCTCAGGAATATAGCTATTTATCTTGCCAGAGGAGTATTCTTGTCTTGACACTGCTCACATGGCTAGAGTACAGTCAGCTAGAAAAGTAAAAAATCAAAGTTTACTAACATATATGTAGGAGGTCACATCATTGGCATTTCTTTAAAAAATTCTAATTATTATGATCTTGCACATATCTATTTTAGGTTACATTTAAGATTTCACTATACAGTTTTAGGTGAATTAACATGTCATTTCATCTTAGAATATTTGCTTATTAAGTTGAAAATAATTTACATTAAAAGTTTAGTCTGTTTTATAGAATATGGTCTCTATGTTAGTAATGTAACTTAGTTGTAAATATTTTCAAGATAGTATAAAATGTTAGGTTAGAAAACAACTGATTTGCGGATATGTGGAGTTGTCTACAAGCTCTCACCCGAGTGCCTATGTCAGTCTGTAGTACCATAGGAAGTGTACTTTTTTCTTATAAATTGTACAGTGTTTGATTTTAGAAAAAATCATACACTGATTTTTTGCAGTGCAGACCACGAGGTCAAGACATCAAAGCCATCCTGGCCAACATGGTGAAACCCTGTCTCTACTAAAAATACAAAAAATTAGCTGGGCGTGGTGGTGCGCACCTGTAGTCTCAGCTACTCAGGAGGCTGAGGCAGGAGAATCGCTTGAACTTGGGAGGCAGAGGTTGCAGTGAGCCGACATAGTGCCGCTGCACTCCAGCCTGACGACAGAGTGAGACTCCATCTCAAATAAATAAATAAATAAATAAATTTATATATATATTTAAAGCCATTATATTATAGCTTATAGTATTTATGTAATTTGGAGCTAAGTTATTTGAGAGATTATAAAAGAATGCACACAAAAAAGATTTAGATTATTCACTAAATTTCTACTTTTTTTTTTAAAGATATGGTGTCTTGCCATCTTGCCCAAGCTGGTCTTGAACTTCTGGGGTCAAGTGATCCTTCCACCTCAGCCTCCCAAAGTGTTGGGAGTATAGGCGTGAGCTGCCATGCCTGGCTGACAATTTCTACATTTTTAATCGCATGAGTAATGTGATTTAGAATTCCTGGATCATGTTAAGGACAGTAATTAGTCTTTTTAGTAAGTCAGAGAATAATCAATGAATATATTTAAAAGTAACTTTTTTACTTATACATACTATGTACACATTCAAATATGCCAGATCAATATATTTAATATTAATTTTCTTTCACTGCTGTGACAAGCTCAGTGACTTAAACAACACAAATTTATTATCTTAGGGTTCTTTAGTTCTGTATCTTGCCGTTCAGAAGCCAAAAATGGGTCTGACTGGCTAAAATCAGCATTGGGAGAGCTGCATTCCAGAGACCCTAGGGAATATTCCCTTTCTTTGCTTTTTTCAGTGTCTGTAGGCTTTCTGCATTCTTTGGCTGAAGGTGTCTTCCTCCATGTTCAGAACCACCATCAAATCATCATTCTGATCTTGTTTCCATTGACACTCCTTCTCTGACTTTTGCCTTCCTCTTTCACTTTTCAGGACTCTTGTAATTATATTGGGCCTACCTGGGTAATCCAGGATAATTTCCTGTTTTAATATTAGCTGATTAGCAGCCTTAATTCTATCTACAGTTCACCGTTGACATGTAACCAAACATTCAGATTCCAGGGATTAAGATTGGGGCATCTTTGGGGGCCATTATTCTACCTACCATAAATATCAACTAAAGAATAAAGACTACTCCTTATCCTTTGGGTTGTTAAAACACAAACTTTGTGATTCAGCCACGTATCCGATAAAAATATAGAATAGAGTGGAAGCAAAATTTGAAAAATTAACCAGCCATATGAATATTATTAAACTTTATAACACCTAATCAGAATGAAGTGGGATTACTGAGAAAAATAATCTTTATTTAATTTTAGGGGTTTTTTTTGCCATTGTCATTTAATTTCTTAACTAGTATAATTATTACATTATGATGTTAACTTAAAAACACGATTGCATCACAAATTTCATTGTATTTTTCTTTTTGCTAATTTTTTAAAAACTAGAACTACCCCCATCCCCCCCCTTTTTTTTTTTGAGACAGAGTCTTGCTGTATCGCCCAGGCTGGAGTGCAGTGGAGCGATCATGGCTCACTGCAACCTCTGCTTCCCGGGTTCAAGCGATTCTTCTGCCTCAGCCTCCCAAGTAGCTGGGATTACAGGCGCACGCCATCACGCCCAGCTAATTTTTGTATTTTTAGTAGAGATGGGGTTTCACCATGTTGGCTAGGCTGGTCTCAATCTCCTGACGTGGTGGTCCTCCCACCTCAGCCTCCCAAAGTGCTAGGATTACAGATGTGAGCCACCGCACCCAGCCAAGAAACCCTTTTAACCTCAAGTATACTGTGATTAATTAAAGTATACCAAGTGTATACACATTGGAATCTTGGCTTAGGACTAAGTAGTACAGTACCCTTATAGAAGACAAAATTAAATGTACATGTTTCTGAATAATAATTGGAATTTCCCGAAATTCAGACTGTTTTTTTCATTAAGTAGACAGTTTTCTTAGGGCACTACACTGTCAATAATGTTTATGTATTTTGTAGTCATATATAAATTAGTTTTAAGAGTCAGTCAGAGCATAGTGTCAGTAAGTTCCAGATTTAGTGTGTAGTTAGCTTCATCTAAATTTCTGATGACAGCTCTGACCCTTTGAACAACATCTCTGTATAAAGAGAATTTATTAAAACAGTGTGGTTTGGTTCATGCAAATTACTAACATTCAGTGCTGTTTAAGTAGATGACTTTTATTTTCTACAATGGTTGGTAGTTAACAGCAGCAACAACAAAGACTGTGTAGAGCAAGCTTGTCCAACCTGCGGCCCCTAGGCCACATGGAGCCCAGGACAGCTTTGAATCTGGCCCAACACAGATAAGTAAACTTTCTTAAAATATTATGAGAGTTTTTGGAATTTTTTTAGCTCATCAGCTATCGTTAGTGTTATATTTATTGTTAGTGTTTCATATTTAGTCACTACCAGAGTAAGTTTTCTAATTTTTTATTTCCCATGATTTCAATAAATCATTTTTTATGATAGCATTATGCTTATTTCTACTTTGTTTCCATCTAGGTTCTTCCTAATTTCTGCTGTTTCATTGTAGGTCATTTCTGTATCTAATTTCATTTGCTTATATATAAAAGTGTTTAAGTTTCTTTGAATTATTGTCATCTGACTTGGGAAGACCTATTTTATTGTGTCTTTTTTCCTTTATAATCTTTGAAGTTGAAGAAATACTTGAACAAGCAGACTACCTGTATGAAAGCGGAGAAACAGAAAAACTTTATCAGTTGCTAACCCAATACAAGGAAAGGTAAGCAATGTAGGATAGGCCTAGGCTTGTGGTTTCCTCAAAATTTTTGTTATTTAACAATTAAAATGACCCTTAGTGCTTGAGGTTTTAAAAATTGATTATTGTAGTTTTTACTTCAAAATATTTCTTAGAGTTTAATTTATAATATACTATTTGTTTCTTACGTTAAATGCTGCATGTATCTCATTGATTTAGAAAAGGTGTTACTACTTTAGTGGAATGTTGAAATTTTTTTTGATTTTTCCATTTTGCTTTAGATGATACAAGATAGTTATTGAATATATGTTTATCCCTTCTAGCTATATTGTATATTTCTCATTGTTTTTCTTTTAAAGTAACTTTTTATTGGTATAGATTAAATGAATTCACTGAGATGTAGGATGTTGCATGCCACCATTGAGTGGTAACTGTGTATTACTTTAGAAGGATAGTCTTTCAGAGAAACCAAAAATACCCCCTTTTTCTATTTTTATTATTAGATTGTATGTTTAGTGTAGAATATCAGTGTGTACTCATTTTTGGGAGGAGTGTGGAGCGAGAGAAAGACTCAACCCTATGAAGTAAGTCATATGGCTAAATAGCATTTCTAGATCACTAATCTACCTCATCTCCTAAACTAAAAATATTGAGTCATTTTCATCTGCCTTTTTTAGATTTTCAAAACCAGTTTTCTCCCCAGGACCCATCAATTTTACTTTCTAAATATCTACAGGATTGATCTTTTCTTCTCCATTCTTCCCTTAGTAATTCAAGGTGGCTGGTTTGGCATTTTATTGTCATTTCATTGATAACTTGAAAAATAAGCTGTAAGGTAGTTACTCCATATTCATTGAATGATAACTATCTTAATTAAAGGAAGCTTTAGCTTCAAATTTTTTTTTATGTTAAAAAAATAAAGTTAGGATTAAAGGCAAACATTTAATAAAAAAGAATTTATTATTTATTTTATTTTATTTTATTTTTTTGAGACAGTTTTGCTCTTGTTGTCCAAGCTGGAGTGCAATGGCGCAATCTTGGCTCACTGCAACCTCTACCCTCCAGGTTCAAGCGATTCTTCTGGCTCAGCCTCCCGAGTAGCTGGGATTACAGACATGTGCCACCACACCCGGCTAATTTTGTATTTTTAGTACATGTTGATCAGGCTGGTTTTGAACTCCTGACCTCAGGTGATCTGCCCGCCTTGGCCTCCCAAAGTCCTGGGATTACAGGCGTGAGCCACTGTGCCTGGCGGAATTTAATTTTTACAATTATTTCTGTCAGTTGTGGTGGTTAATAATTTATTAACCATTTCTTATGTCATTATATGGAAATGGCAGTTCTTCAAAGAATCCAATGCTCTTACTTGAAGTAACCCATGCATCATGGCATGGTATTCAAACATAGGATTTATTTTGAGATTACATTATATTCAACCATTCATTCATTAGCAAATAATTGTCAAAAACAATTTTGTGTCAGGTGCTGTATTTGAGACTAGGGATTCAGCAGTTTTGTATTTTTAGAACATGACCCTGTCTATAAAATTTATGTATTTTATGATACTGTATGAACTACTGAGTGAGTTATTTGAAACACAGTGCCAGTGAGGCCAAACCTCAAGTTAATATGTTGAGTTTTGTAGGGCAAATGTTCAGAGAATTTGAATGCAAAGATATTTTTGAAAGAAGTATTTTAGATACTAGAGGTAAGTTAATATTTATGGATATTAGACATTTTTATAGGAAATTTTAGCAAGTAAAGGTTTTATATTAAAGAAAATAATAAATTTAGCATTATTACTAATGGCTTTTGATATCATGTTGCTAGCTTCCTAAGCTGAAAGACCATAATGTATTCATTAGTAATGTAACCCTTAACAATTTTTAAATGTGAGCTAAAATGGTTGTTTTATATTTTATTTCAAATTAGTGAAGATGCAGAGTTACTGTGGCGTTTGGCACGGGCATCACGTGATGTAGCTCAGCTTAGCAGAACCTCAGAAGAGGAGAAAAAGCTATTGGTGTATGAAGCCCTAGAGTATGCAAAAAGAGCACTAGAAAAAAATGAATCAAGTTTTGCATCTCATAAGGTGAGTTGCTTAACTAAGCTATTAACCATGTACTGAGAGGTACATTTTCTATATTTTTCTATTATCTCTGATTTACATTGGAAGAACAATTTCTCTATTTTAAGTTTTTTTTTCTTTTTATTCAATCTTATATCTTAAGGATAATTTCTCTATTTTAAAGAAGTAGGGAAGATAGTTATTTTTATAAGTTTTTCAAAAAGAAGTCTTTGTTTTTGTAAACATTTGGTCTAACTTCATATGTATTTGATAAATTACTTTTGTGAATGCTTATTTTTAAACAGGAGTTTAGTAATTTCATGAATTACCTATATCTATATTCTTAGTAGTATAAGCACTTCACAGATGTTTTCTCATTTTCCTTACGTTATATTTCTGTTTTATTTAGAGGTAGGAATATAACAGCTAGACAACTGAGACCTAGAATGACTTTTCACATGTAACTTAGCTGCTTTCAGGATTTCTTGTTGGTTCACAACAACGTTTTTCAGTAAATCGTACGGGGAGACGAGGTGGTCATTAGCCTTCTGGATTGTTGGACTTCATAGAACCCAAAGGCAGGGTGAAGTTGGACCTTGGGAAACAATTGGCTTGATTGCTCCGAGGCTTCATTAATTGTTTCTCTACTCTGCTGTTACCTGAAAATCTTTTTCATTGCAGACATTTTTTTTCTCCTTATCCTAAGTCTTGTGACTTTCCACAGCACCTGGGTTTTTGAAGTGTGGCTATTTTAGATTCATTTCTTGGGAAAGAAACTCAGGTCATCTCAGTTTGGGTCTGCCGTCCAACTGTGGCTGTGGAGACAAGGTCACAGTTGACATTGTGGCTGTTCTTACTATAACAATGCAATGTGAGAGTAGATGGAACTCCAAGAAAAGAGAATGAGAAAATAAAACATTCAATTACATATTCTTCTAAATTGATACTCAGACCATAAACATGAACCATTATCTCATTGTGTTGGTAACTTTCTTGGAAAATTCACCACTTTCTACCTTGTATTATAGTTCTCTATAAACATGTCCTATCCCTGAGGTTTTTTTGTTTTGTTTTGTTTTGTTTTAGACATAGTCTCATTCTGTTGTCCAGGCTGGAGTACAGTGGTGTGATCTTGGCTCACTGCAACCTCCATCTCCCGGGTTCAAGTGATTCTTCTGCCTCAGCCTCCCAAGTAGCTGGGATTACAGGCACATGCTACCATGCCCAGCTAATTTTTGTATTTTTAGTAGAGATAAGGTTTCACCATGTTGGCCAGGGCCTCAAACTCCTGACCTCAGGTGATCCATCCACCTCGGCCTCCCAAAGTACTGTTACAGGCGTGAGCCACTGCGCCCAACCCTATTCCTGAGTTTCTAGAGGGCCATGTCCACTTCTCTTTATATATTCCATTACATTTAATACAGTTTTTATGCTCAGTAACTTTTTGTTGGATGAGAATGACTATTGAAGAATATTATACAGTTTTACCTTGTATTGAATGGAATATTAAGAATATTATTGTTCTTACACTTTTTTAAATTTTCAGTGGTATGCAATCTGCCTTAGTGATGTTGGAGATTATGAAGGCATCAAGGCTAAAATTGCAAATGCATATATCATCAAGGAGCATTTTGAGGTACTGATGAATTATTCAAATTCATGAATTTTAAAAGTCATATTTTTCTGAATAGATTTTTGTTTTCATTATCTATTGCTGTATATCAAACCACCTATGATAACAGTGGAGTAGAGCCATGACAGTTTGTTATTTCTTTTTTTTTTTTTTTTTGAGACGGAGTTTCGCTCTTGTCATCCGGGCTAGAGTGCAATGGTGCTATCTCAGCTCACTACAACCTCCGCCTCCCGGGTTCAAGCAATTTTCCTGCCTCAGCCTCCCGAGTAGCTGGGATTACAGGGGCACACCACCACATCTGGCTAATTTTTGTGTTTTTAGTAGAGGTGTGGTTTCACCATTTTGGCCAGGCTGGTCTCAAACTCCTGACATCAGGTGATCCACCTGCCTCGGCCTTTCAAAGTGCTGGGATTATAGGTGTGAGCCACTGTGCCCAGCCGACAGTTTGTTATTTCTTGCAATTCTTTGGGTTAACTGAGCGCAGTGGCACTTCTACATTGCTTGGTATAGCTGGGGTCATTTAGACAGCTGCATTCACCTGGGCCCTCAGCTGAGACTACAGTGTCCAAGATGGCCTCTTACCTATGAGAGTTTCTCCTCACTTGTTTTTTTATCACTTAGTTGTCTAGCTCAACCTTCATTATAGCATGGTAGTCGGCTTCCAAGAATGAGTGTTCCATGGGAAAAGATCCAATGTACAAAGTTCTAGCAAGCCTCTGCTTGCATCACACTTGGTAATATCCTGTTAATCTAAACAAGTCACAAGGGCAAGCCCAGTTTCTGTGGGAGGGGAGCATTGACACAAGTTCCTGAATATGGAAAGCGTGGTCCAGTGTAACAGTCTTTAACACAATTGACACACCACTCCTTGTAGTAATAATTCTATTTAAGATTGATATCTGTGTGTATATTGTATGTGTGTTTTATTAAAAATATTTTCCCCTAAAGTTAATTATTTATAGTAAGCTGTTAGGTGCAAAGAATTGCATAGGAGTCTGTATATTTCTTAACATGGATGAACTTCATTGTCTCAAAAAAAAAAAAAAAAACTACCACAAAAATACCAGCATATTTATTTCTCTTTTGAGATTATAGGAAGGAAAAATGATGGAAACATACATAGGGATAGTGCTGAATTTGCTATTTAAATAGTTTTTCATAATTTTATGGTTTAGTGTCAATTCCTAGTTTATATAACAACTAGTGAAAAAGAATGACTGGGAGTCCAGAGACCTAGCTTTTCTTGTTCAGGTATGGATAGTAATATATACATAATAACTGACATTTTATAATGTAACAATTTACCTGTTTCACAGTTTAAAATCCTTGAAATGAGATTACATGATGTAATTGCTGGAACCTTACATTGTAGTTGGCAGTGATACTTTCTTTCTTAGTGGCACATAAACTAATGGTGTGTCATTTTTGATATTTTAGATTCAGGGAAATACAGTAATTTTCTCAGTGGCATTAGATAAATTGCTTAATTTCTCTGTGCCTCAGGATGTAGAAATACATGACATAACTTCCAAAGGGAATAATGAAGAACTGTAGAAAATACACAAATGTATACTTTCCATTTTTTTAAAAAACAGTGAAGGTTATAGATTATAAAAAACAATGTTTTATATAAGCTTTCAAATGTACATGTTTATATTTTAAATGGCAATATTTAGTATTTACATATAAAAAAGATCATTTATACTGCTTACATTTCAAATTCCATTATATATCTAAAGTGGTAACATCTTTGGATTATTTTTGAAAGACCAGTGGCAGGAAGGATTGATTATAAAAGAGTTTGCTTGAAAGTACCCCTCTCAACCCTTCTCATAAGAAAATTAAACCCTGGCCTGGGCGGCTGCCTCCACGATGCCACTGCTCATCGAGGGGCAGCGAGTGCGGCTGCCACAGTCCGCCGGGGACCTCGTCCGAGCCCACCTGCCTCTGGAGGAAACAGCCAGATGTATCAGAGGTCAGTCTGTTCAACAACTGGGACCCCAGGGCCTTCTGTATGTTCAGCAAAGAGAGCTCGCAGTGACCTCCCCAAAGGATGGCTCCGTCTCCATTTTGGGTTCTGATAATGCCACTACTTGTCACATTGGGGTCCTGTTGCACACAGGTTATGGCGCCACCTGCTTGACACATTGTGATGGAACCGACACCAAAGCTGGGGTCCCCTTGATCATGAACTCCATAAAGTCTTTTTCCGACTGCGCTCAATGTGGAAGCCTGGAAGTATACCTCGTGGGAGGCTTCAGTGATGTGGGAGGCAGTTGTCACAAAAACTCACTCATTAACTTCTTAGTGAATTTGACAGGCAAGAAGATGACATTCACTTAGTGATACTATGATTATGTGTGACAGAATTAAATGACCAGGAAGAAAACGAATAACACTTTCTAATAATATATGGCATTGCTGTCAACTTAAGACTGCAAAGATTTACAGAGCCTCCTTTCTTTTTTTTGTTTGAGACAGAGTCTCCTCTGTTGCCCAGGCTGGGGTGCAGTGGTGTGATCTCGGCTTACTGCAGCCTCTGCTTCCAGGGTTCAAGTGATTCTCCTGCCTCAGCCTCCCAAGTAGCTGGGATTACAGGCGCCCACTGCCACACCTGGCTAATTTTTATATTTTTAGTAGAGACAGCGTTTCACCATGTTGGCCAGGCTGGTCTCAAACTCCTGACCTCAAGTGATCTGCCCACCTCAGCCTCCCAAAATGCTGAGATTACAGGCATAAGCCACCGTGCCTGGCCTACAGAGCCTCCTTTCAAGATCGAGGTCCAGAGGAGCAGCTGCGTGCCGCGTGAGCTTTAGCAGGAGGACCAGTGATTAGCATTTACGATGCAAAGACAGAACAACTTCGTATAGGACTGTACTCCTGGACACCATTTCCACATGTGGATTTCTGCTTGCAGCAAGATGACAAGCAAATACTAGAGAATCTTTCCACTTCGTGTCTGGCCGAGCCACCCCACTTTGTTGAACATATTAGATCTACCTTGATGTTTTTAAAAAAAAATACTGCTCCAACTAACACACTGTTTCCTGGAAATAAAGCCCTACTCTACAAAAAAAATGAAGATGGCTTGTGGGAAAAGATCTCTTCTCCAGGAAGCTAAAAAAATAGGAATTACCAAAGAAAGCAGAACCTTCTTGGCCTGACAGAGACCATTGGTGGGGCCAGCAAGAATCCAAATTTGGAACCTACATCCATTGGGTCTTAGGTCTTCTCCTTCCTTCCTCAGTGTTTTTCAAATGACTTTCAAAATAAAACCTTATTTTGGCAAAGGCAAAAAAAAAAAAAAAAAAAAAGGAAAATTAATTAAACCCTGATCCCCCCAGGCATCCATTGTGATGAATTAACTTCCTTCCTATGCATCTAGAATGGGACTACAGTATTTCTGTATCATTCTTAGGAAATAGAAAAAAATAGTTACTTACACAATTTTTTTGTAGGGCTTAATTTTTAGTGGAACTCCCAATTGAGAAAGGTTGCTTAGAGCATAAGTTGCATATAAACATGTTAAGATACTTATTTATTTTTTACCACAACCTTATGAGTTAAGTACATGACTTTTCCATAAAAGAGAAAAAACTCAGTTGTGGTAAGAATATAGATCTTGCAACCAGTTCAAGGTCATTAAGCTGTGACTTGAATCCTGGCAGTCTGGTTTCAGAGACCATGCTCTTAACCATTACAAATATTTGAAAATGTGTACCTCACACATTACTAAACTGAAAGCAAAAGTGTGGGTTTATAGAAAAGCATAAACTAGGAAATCTTAATTTTTTCAAAAAGAGTCCTTTTAATATGAACATTAATCTGTAAGATTTCTTTAGTTGTTTTCAACAAAATAATGGATAAAAGGAGGAACAGTTTCTTTATTCTGTAGTTTATATTCACATAGTAAATATAAATTAGGGAGATTCAACATATTTTACATTGCACATAATTATTCTATTAATATTCTATAAACTGTTTATTTTTCCTTTGGTAAGTACAGATGGGGAAGTTGAACAAAATCTGCATACAAGAAGACTTTCTAAAAATAGAAAAGACTTTCTAAAATCTGCATAGAAGAGACTTTCTAAAATTACATTTTTTCTAAAAAACTAAAATGCACTTTTCTTCTTTAGGAAAGAATGACTTTTATTCAGTATTCATCTACAGTTTGCCAAGAAAGTACTTCCTTATCCATTTTTCCTTTAATTTGGAAGAAACATTAAGAGCTATAGATTAATTTGCAAGATTAATTTGCAAAATTAATCCATTTATGTATTTCATGTTTTTTCTCATCTTGATAGACACTTACTATAAATGTCTGAACCATACAAAATAGTAACATTAGTATAAGTCATTAATAGTGTTTTGAAATGAATTTAATCAAAGAATCAGGAGGAAGAAAGTTGATATTATAATGGGAGAACTGAAACACACAGTTGCATTTTTTAAAAAATCATGGCTTCTTCAGCAAACACAGTAAAGCACTTATTGGTGTTTAGAAAACAAATATGATTTATTTTTCTCATTTCTTGTTAGAAAGCAATTGAACTGAACCCTAAAGATGCTACTTCAATTCACCTTATGGGTATTTGGTAAGAAAATTTCTTTAAATATTTCAGTAGTATTTAGTGTGATATTTTGTAGTATGTATAAATATCTTCTTTTGCATATATAAAAGATATTAAATATTTTAAAATATTATCTGACAGAGCTTAGAGTGCTAAATCCATTAACTAGCCCTTGTATATATATTGTTAGAACATACTAAATTTGATTATGACCATGTTAAACATTGTTATTCAGGTCATTTAGAAACATGTACAGACTGAAAAGACTATTCTTATTTACCATGCTAAATGAAATTAGATTAATGTAACTATAGTAAAACAGTAGAATGCCCCAAGAGGGTCTTTGTATCTTCAAAGTGTGTCAGATACAGTCTTGATTAATCTGAGGAACCATATAATCTGATTTTCAGTATCTTTCTATTTTTATGTGATCTTATGTCCACTGTAGATTATTATTTTGCTGGTATGAGGCTTTATCAAAGTGTTACGTACTTGATGGTTTAAGAGTCTGTTTTGAGATAGATGGGACACTCTTTTGAGTATAGCCTGCAGAGCTGAATATTTACTGCCATCTAAGAAGGGTACCAGTGTAAACTGTCCTGTATCAAACTCTTTTAAAAGAGAAATATATTCTTCAGGATAAAGGACATATTAAGCTAACACTCATTCACTGAGGATTAATGATAATTGAGGGGCAGTCACTAAGTCAGATGCTAGTAAGCAAACCCAAATGAAATAGCAATTTCTGCCTTAAGGACTTCAGACCCTAGTCAAAGATGCAACACTTTCTTTCCTACTTATTTCTGAAAGTTGTAAAGATCTTTGGAGGTTAATCATTTGCTTTGCTGCTTTAAAAATAGATTTAAGTTGTTGGTTGCTGTTATTTATACATTTGATGTTTAGCTTTGTCATTTTTCTTGTGTAAGGTTTAACTTCTCTGAGTTTTTCTTATAAGAAAAATAGGGGAAATTATCCTATCTCATATATAATTGTTACAAGGAATAAATGAGAGAATCAACCCACTACCTGGCACAATGCACTCAGTGGTAGATGTATATTATATTACTGTTATTAGTATGACTGCTTACTATTTATATTTAATCACAAAATACACCCCCCAGCTAAAGGATCACTATGTCAATCTCTGGATTACCTAGTAGATATCATGTAAAGCACAAGTTGTTTAAACATACAGTAGAAGATTCCTTTTATAGTATTAAGATGCTTAGTTAACTTTAAGAGAAAAGAAGGTACAATTTGAATGTATAAAATTGTTTTATTTCCCTGTAGGTGCTATACATTTGCCGAAATGCCTTGGTATCAAAGAAGAATTGCTAAAATGCTGTTTGCAACTCCTCCTAGTTCCACCTATGAGAAGGTAGTATGATGTCCTTTGTTAAGTTAGTACGGATTTCTTAACCACAGCGCCATTCTACCATGTGTTCACACATGTGGAGCTCTGATTCAGTGAGGGACTTGAGCAATTTCTAATGATCCAATTCAACTGTGTTATCACAAGGCTTAACACTTATTATCCTTGACTGGTGAGTGGTTTTCTTTTTCCCCGTTAGGTGAGTGGCTGGTAATTCTGGAATACTGTCATCTAAAATGGCTCGTGGCTAAAATCTACCTTCATTTTCTGTTTGAAATCTAAACTATATTGAAGTCATAAAATAGAACAAGAAATACAGCATCTGTTACCCAGCATGTTTTAGCTGTATTACACACAATAACAGAAAAGTAAAGCAGATGCTTAAGTTGATAAAAGAAGAACACTCATTATAACTTCTATTTTAAAAAGCATATGAAAGGTTCATATTCTCTCATATTTTCAAGGCCTTTTGCTTTTCTTGTTAAAAATAAGATTTGAGAGGAATTTCTGGTTAAACTTTGGGTTTACTCATCACAAGCTTTTCAGAGTAAGAAAACAGGCAATCGAAAAAGCTGTACTTGTATTATTTACATTATAACAAGGAGCTTTTTTTTCTTTCTGGGAAGCTATAGTGTAGAAATTGATGTAAAAAATACTTAGTTGTATTCTTTACACACAGTTGAGAAATATTATTAAAATAATGCACCAATATTTTATAATGGTATTATTAAAATAATGCCCATTTGCTGGACACGGTGGCTCATGCCTGTAATGCCAGCATTTTGGAAGGCCAAGGTTGGTGGATCAGTTGAGCCTGGGAGTTTGAGACCAGCCTGGGCAACGTGGCAAAACCTCTGCAAAAAAAATACAAAAATTAGCCAGGTGTGGTGGCCTGTGCCTGTAGTCCCAGTCACTCAGCTAAGCTGAGGGAGAAGGATCACTTGAGCCTGGGAGGTCAAGGCTGCAATAAACAGTGATTGCGCTACAGCATTCCAGCCTGGGCAACAGAGTGAGACCTGGTTCTTTTTTTTTTTTTTTAAGACAGGTCATTTTAAGGACAAAAAATATAGTCAGCTCTACTTTATCAAATTAGTTATGTTTCTAGAAATCAAATGTCATTAGAGAATGCATTACAAAAACAGTAGCTTAAGTAGGACAAAAAGAGTTTCAGACTTAACATTGTATGTAGGAATTTCAATAATAATGGACTCTTAAAAATTCACTAGTACAACGAATAAATTCAGCTTTTGATTATATTTTGTTTTTACTAAAAATCACTAGTTATGATTTAAGAGAACTGTCAAAATAGCTGAGTTACACGTGATAATGTTCTTTCCTTTCTGCACATGATGTTAGTTTGGTACAAGTTCTAAACAGCAACCAAGTTATTACCAGAAGTAGTCCATATATTGTAATCTTGATGATTGAAGTGTTACGTTCACTTTGGGTGTTAACTCTCACTGTTGAAGAAGTGACCATTATTTTAAGATGATTTACTTCCTGACTTAAATATAATATAGCAGTAGATCTTTGAGACAATGCTTTTTTAATATTGTCTTCTTTAATCTTTTTTATTATGTTTGGGCTCTTTGTGTTTTTGACAGGCCTTAGGCTACTTTCACAGGGCAGAACAAGGTAAGGTATTTTTGATTACACATATTAATATAGTTAAAATTGTATGAATGCTGAATATATACTATAATAGCAATGTCTAAAGCAGTTGTTTATTCTGTTATACTTATTTTTGTGCTAGATACTGTAAAACAATTTTTAAAGTCTTTATTCAGTAAAGATCACCTGAATGAGAAATAGGCTGCTATTGAACTTAGAGCTGCAGTTCTGGAATGTCTATCATTTGATGTAATTCTGCTTCCTTTGTGAGAGCAGTCTCTGACATGGTAATTGTCTTATTCAAGACTGCACATATTGGCCAGATGTGGTGGCTAACACTTGTAATCCCAGCACTTTGGAAGGCCAAGGCAGAAGGATCACTTGAACCCAGGAGTTTGAGACCAGCCTGGGCAACATAGCGAGACCTCATCTCTACCAAAAAATAAAAATAAAAATTAGCCAGGTGTGGTAGCACACACCTGTAGTCCCAGCTACTCAGGAGGCTGAGGCAGGAAGGTCACTTGAGCCCAGGAGTTCCAGGCTACAATGAGCTGTGATTGCACCACTGCACTACAGCCTGGGCCACAGAGTGAGACTTGTCTGAAAAAAACAAAAAAAGATTATGCATCTCATTAGAGGCATTTAAATGGGAATTCTGCTATTCAGCCAGGCTAGTTCTATTGCAGATATTGTGAAAAAGAGTTTCGGGTTATGTTTGTTTTGAAAAAATGACTAGTCCTATGAAACTGCCACCAGCCCATCCTAAATTTATCCTTTTTAATATTCATACACCAAGTGGGGGAGATAAGAGACATAAGCATATGATACCAAATAGACCATAAAAACCATTGAAATATATTCTATAAAACTTAATCAGGAGAAGACATACCATGTTTATTAAATTTGAGATCCCACACATAATGGACTTGTTCATTTCATGATAACAGTTATCTTCTACAGAATTTTATCTGAATGTTTTATCTCTGTAATTCATCAATTCTGATTTATTCATTATTACCTTCACTGATACCCTCTCTTGATCATACTGTTTCACATATCATGAATATGAATCTAGGGATGACTTTTTTTAACAGATTTAAAAGTTAATTACAAAGTAAAAATATAGGACCTTAGAGACTTAAGGGTTGGGGGTGTTGAGAAAAACATGGTCCTACCCTCATGGAGCTAAAATAATCCCTGGTAACTTCAGTCATTCTTGAGTGACCTTACCTTATTTCTTTCTGGCCTATATTCAGTTCAGAGGCTCCTCTGATGCCCTTAGTATCTTTTATTTTTCCAGTGATACTTATCACTCAATACTATGAACATTTACATGTGTAAGACTGTACATTCTGAGAAGATGTGGACTTTGTCTTTTCTGGCTCACAATTGCACACTCATTACTTGGCACAATGCTTGGCAAATCTGTTGAATGACTGAGTAAATAGATGAATGATCGGATGATTGAATATACGAATATATTTAACCCCAGGACAACTTAAGTATATCAACATGGCATCACACAAATCTGCTCAAATAAAAGAAGTAAAACAATTTTGGTTAAGGAGCAAATGGAGTTAATCATTAATTGTATACAGGAAAAAGTATGCTTTGAATACAGAGGATCTCAGATTGTTAGGGGGACACTTTGTGAAGAATTAAGTTGGTGAGATAATTCCATGTTTTCATTCATAGGCTTTCTGTTTATGCTTTTCTTTCAGCCAAGAATGTTCTCCACTTTTTTTTTTGGTTTCTTGTAGCAGTTCAAAGTTTGTATATCTAGTAAAGCATTCCTTTCATTTTTATATTACATTTAGTTGTGTTCATGTTTCTCTCTTCATTATAAAGTTGAAAAAAACAGAGGTTTTGTTTCATCCTCTATGTTTAAGTATAGCTGACATCCAGTAAATGTTGATCAAATATATATATGTCATCATCATTTCATTCACTTATTCAGCCGATGTACACTGAATGTATGTTATGTTTCACACACTGTTGTAGGCACGTGGGGTACCATAGGGAACTAAAGAGATTAAAAAGAGTATTGCTGTCCTCAAATAGCATACATTCTATCGGGAGCTTCAGCTTCTCATCTATAAAATGGAGATACCTACTTACAAAGTTGTGAAAATGAGAAATGTGTATAATGCAGTGCCTAGCACATTTGTAGATGTTTATTCATTGGTAATTATTATTTTACAAATATTTGTTTGAGATATAAACAGTTGAACAAAAGAGAATTCCCATTAGTCTAATCACTTATTGACCACACAAATTTATTGAAATTTAGACCTCAGAAACAAACCTTTAAAAATAAAAGCAACACTGTTTCCTCTGAGATCATTTTTTCTTTCTTATGTGCAGTGGATCCAAACTTCTACAGCAAAAACTTACTTCTTTTAGGAAAGACATACTTGAAACTACACAACAAAAAGCTTGCTGCTTTCTGGCTAATGAAAGCCAAGGACTATCCAGCACACACAGAGGAGGATAAACAGGTAAAACATCTCCCATAAAGTAAGGCAGAAAGGTTTTGAGGCACTATTAAATGGTGAATTAAGAACTTCTTTAAAAGCATAATTTTCTAAATGCATAATATTGTTGAAAACAAGTGTGTTCATTTCAAGTGTAAATTGATTGACATTTATATTTCTATATAGGAAATAATTTAGTTACTATCACCAGGTGGATGTTACGGGTTGCCTGCTACAATGCAGAATTATTCCTGTTTGACACACATGGCAGATCGAGTTAACATTTCTAAAACATAAAAGTCATGGGATGTGTACTAAAGTGGAAGAGCTGAGAGTCTCATCTGGTCACTGTCAAGACATTTTATTGTTATAATGTCCTATCTGGTTTTTGGAAACTCTTAGAAACCCCACTTTATAAACTTAAATTTCACAAGTTAGTCTCTTAGCTCTCCTGTTTACTTATAACATGTATTTTTCCATTTTAGATACAGACAGAAGCTGCTCAGTTGCTTACAAGTTTCAGTGAGAAGAATTGAGAACTTTTCAGAGAAGATTTATGAAATAGCTAATAAACATTGCCTTTTCTTTTAATTCTAAACTTAATATATGAACTATAACTGTTCTACGGCTTTTTAAATGTTGTGACCATTTAACCGTGTAAATATAAAATATTCTAGGCTTCTTCACAAATAATAGGGTAAAATAAATAATCGCCATAAGAGTGGTAGAAATAAATCTCCATGGCTCAGGCAAAGAGATTATTTTGCATCCTGGATACCAGCAATGCAAAATGGTATGAGATTTCTAAGGATTGATCACATTGGGATGGGAGATCAAGCAAAGAAATATTTGTAGAGGAGGGGAAATGGATCTATAGGGGATATACAGGGGGATGGATTTTCAAATTGGATTGATTCTAAGTTGAAATCTTGAAGAGAAGGTGTGGTGACAGTGGTTAGGATGTTGTGGGTTCCTGACATAAAGTAGTTAAATGATATATCTTGGAGCTAACCTGTGTAAGTAAAGAACTAAGTAAGGAGATGACTAAAAATGGAGTAGTTTCCTTTTTTATTTTTTTGAGACAGAGTCTCACTTTGTTTCCCAGGCTGGTGTGCAGTGGCACAATCTCGGCCCACTGCAGCCTCCGCCTCCCGGGTTCAAGTGATTCTCCTGCCTTAGCCTCCTGAGTGGCTGGGATTACAGGGTTGTACCACCACACTCGGCTAACTTTTGTATTTTTGGTAGAGATGGGGTTTTGCCATGTTGGCTAGGCTGGTCTCAAACTCCTGGCCTCAAGTGATCTGCCCGCCTTGGCCTCCCAAATTGCTGGGATTACAGGCGTGAGCCACCGCACCTGGCCAGTTTACTTTAAATGTGGTGTAGTCTCATGGTAAACTGAATTTGTCATCAGATGCAAAGTTCTATTCCCTAATGGAATGGAAGGAACACAAAACTTAAGAGTGAAATGGAATACTAAGATGTTTTTAAATAGGCAGGACTATGCTACTCACTTGAGGCTGGAGTGCCACCACTGCAAAATCTTTTTAAGTTTTGTAAAAAGGAGCATCTTGAATCCACTTAGATAAAGACAGACTGTGTGTGTAGGTGGATTTTTCCCAAAGGATTTGGGAATTGTAATGTTACAATGAACTGTATGGATATGTTTGTCATGTACATTTTCAAACAAAAAGGAAAACTGAAAGTAGTGATCTTTGTATACCCATCTCTTAGATTCAGTGATTTTGCTATATAGGTTGTGTATCCCTTATCTGAAATACTTGGGACTAGTAGAAGCATCTTGGATTTGGGATGTTTTTCCAAATTTTGGAATACCTGCATACACACAATAAGATATCTTGGAGATGGGACCCAAGTTTAAACACAAATTCACTTGTTTCATATATACCTTATGCACATAGCTTGAAGGTAACTTTATATAACATTATTTTTAATAATTTTGTGCATTGAGACCAAGTTTGCATACCTTGAACCATCAGAAAGCAAAGGTGTCATTATCTCAGCCACTCATGTGGGTAATTTGTGGTTGGTTGATGTCACCATCATTCCTGACTGAATGTATATGCTACCAATAAGCAGTTATTTTCTTATACTTATTCATGCATAAGTACTTAACAGTAAAAAATATGACATAACTCGCACAGGAACAAGGATGGCAAAAAAAAAAATATGACACACCACTGATACAGTGAAAAAATAATGTGGTCAGGGTAGCTAGGCAACAGTAGCATCACCAGAAACCTGTATCAGCTGTTAAACGGCAACAACAATGGCAGGCTTTCAGTTTCCCACTTAATGATGCTGTATTTTAAAAGGTTATTGTATACTGTAATTTTATTTTTGTAGGTGAAGAGAAACAGAAGCAGCTGAAGGGCCAGGAAGTGGGTCTTTCTAGGGATGTGGCATTCTGCTGGATGGCTTTTTAAAATGGGTTTTTTCCTTTAGGGAGACCGAATAAACTGTGTTGTGCACCTGCATTTTGACTGTGACCTGTTATGTGAGGTCAGATGTGGAATTTTCTACCTGTAGCATCATTTTGGTGCTCAGAAAGTTTTGAATTATGGAGCACGAATTTCAGGTTTCAGATTTTTGGAAATAGGGATGTTCAACCTGTATTTATACATGTGTGTTTGTGTGTGTATAGACACATACATTTCTAAACCTTTTGAAACTGATTGCAAGCATCATAATAGTTCACCCCAAATGTGTCAGCATGCATTTTCTCAGAATAAAGACATCTTCCTAAACAAACACAAAACCATTATCACAACTGGAGAAGTTAACAGTTCTCTAACATCATCTAATATCTACCCATATTCAAATTTTCTCAAATGTCCCCAAGATGTCTCATGCTTTCTAAAATCAGGATCCAAAGATTATACATTGCATTTGATTTGTTGCTAATCTTTCCATCCACAACAGTTCCCCATCTTTTTCTTCTTGCAACATTGACTTTTTGAATAGGCCAGTCCGGTTGTCATAGATTCTCTCGCATTCCAGATTGGTCTAATTGACCACACTTTGAGAACCGCTGTTCCAACTTATTTCCAGGACTCAAATTAGTTCTATTAGATCTTTGCCTGACTTTCACATTTATCACTTACTGATTTTTCTTTTAGCCTTTTTGTTTCATTTTCTTGGCTCTTTTCATTTATATCTTCCATATCCCTTATTTTACATTTGGTTGTATCTCTTCTTCCTTAGATACTTTATAATTGCCTTCACATCTGATATGTGTTTGTCTTTTTCTCCGAATTTTTTTCCTGATTTTAGCCAGTCATTCACATCTGCATTTTGTTTGTCCAGTTCTGAGTTTTTAAGTTGCTATTTCAGATTTTTTAAATATCTAATAATTTAATTCATATTAGCATATTGTGTTAAAGTTTACTCTCCTTTTTCTCATTTTCAATTTCTCTTTAGAGTGACTTTATTTTTTTTCCCTAGGGATGTAATTTTATGTTGAGTTACCAGCAATACTAGGTCATCAAATGGGAAGAAAGGGTCTGGGTTAGTTCAAGAATATTTTCTGCTTAGTTGTTTGTTTTTTGTGAGATCAGGTATCATTCAATAATAAAGCTTTTTATGGAGGTCTTACCTCCTGATTCCTTATTAGAACTTTAAAAAATATTTTTACTTTCAAAAAATCATAGATTCACAAATTGAAAAAAAAAAAAAAAAGATCCTGTGTACCTTTCTCTCAGCCTATCCCAGTGCTAACATCTCATATAACCTGTAGTACAATAGCAAAACCTGGAAACTGACATTGGTACAGACCACAGACCTTATATTTAAATTTTACCACTTTTAAATGCTCTTGTGTGTATAGTTGTATGCAATTCTATCACATGTAGATTTTTGGTAACTGCCACCATAATCAAGATACAGACCTGTTCCGTCATCACAAAGATCCCCAGTGCTGTCCCTTTACAGTCACACCCATCTACCTCCTCCTCTCCCCCACCCATCCCTAACTCTGACAGCACTAATCTGTTCTCCATAATTTTGTTATTTCAACAATGTTATACAAATGGAATCATACAGTGAGACCCTGTGATACTTTTTTTCACTCAACATAATTCCCTTGAGACCTAAGTTCTATCAATAGTTTGTTTCTTTTTACAGTTGACTAGTATTTCATTTTATGGGCATACCATATCAACCATATGCTGAGGGGCATTTAGGTTATTCCTGATTTTTAGCTATTACAAATAAAGCTGCTATGAGCATTATATGCAGGTTTTTATGTCTACATAGATTTTATCTCTCTGGGATACATGCCCAGGAGTGTGGCTCCTGGGTCCTTTTATCTTCATTTTTCCCCTTTACTCTCTGAGGGTTAGGTTTCTTCTGCAAGACATGGTGCCTTCCCAAGATTCTGATTCTGTGCACTAAGTCTCTTCCATTTGACTTCCCAGGAGCCTGATTCCCCACGTGTCACATTGGTCCGTGACGTTTCCCCACTAAGGGTGAGACCCATTACTGAGAACAAACCCCAGGAATCCCTTACATTCTCCTTCCCGTGCAGCCCCCACCTGATTGTTCTTGTGTGGATTCCAGAGCTGACTGCTGGATTGAGATGCTTATTTCCCCACGTACATGTATATCAAAGTAAGTTGGTAGTACTCTGTGTTCTAAGTGTTATTACATACATAGGCTATATCTCTCCATTATAGATGTTTCCTTCCTTCCTTTTGAGGATATGAGTAGAATACTGATTTTGGAAAATGGCCGTGATTCTATAAGAACCTAAAAGCTCTCAATTTCTTGATGGCCAAGTTATCTCAACTGAGTTTTTAATCATGGGCTGTGTACTAGCTGTGGGTGTTGTAAAAATGGCTTCTCTCATACTCACTTTCCTCATGTATAAAATAAGCATCATTAAAGACAACCCCACCAATTTCATGGAATTGTAAGGATCAAGAGAATAATTTATGTAAAGGATTTACCATGAATACCAGTAAATACAACTACTATTATCTCTGATTTTGTTCTTGGTTGAGAATTGAGGAGAGAAATTTTGGAATATAGGAGATGTCACTTTTGGACTTAGATCAAATCCTCAGTTGACCTAAAGCTTGGCTTTTAAGGCCAACTGAGTGTTACAGGAGAACTTTTAGTTGTGTATTATTTCAACAGAGGAAGATTTTTACTTCTGCAACATCCACCACATCATCTTAGGTTCAACCAAACATTCAGACTTAATAAGTCTACAATAGGCTGTATTTGGCACCAGTCTACTCAGAAGGCTATAGGACAGGAACCACACAGCTCACCAGCAGGACAATTTTGAACCTCCTCTCAGAAGACGGTCTTCTAACAGCAATCTATGAAATGGTATCTCCCCAGGTGACAGCTCACGGTCCTCCTTAAAGGACATACAGTTACAAGAGTTTTCCACTCAGGTATGCCCAAAGCTGTGGCTTTCTGTCGTGTATCTGGAGATTTCCCAGTCCAGATGCAACTTACCAGTCAGGGTCATATTTACCAAAAGCAAAGCTGCATGGCAATAAATACAGTTGACACATACCATCCTATTTAGTTGTCAGGGTAGGAAGAGCTAGGTAGTTAACAGAAGTCATCAGGGGAAAAGGTTTTGTTAACCTTTTCATTTTCAACTACTTGGGAAGTACATGGGGGGGGCGGGACAAACAAACAAAAAAAACACTGGTAAGCTGCTTTCCCTGGAAGACAAACAACTAAACTGATCTAACAGATAGAATTGTGTTGCTTAACTGATCTAACAGACAGAATTGTATTGGGCCTGTGAGCTATTCCCTGGGCCATTTACTGGTGGTGGGGGTGGGGGAGTCACCAAAATGAAGTAGCAATATAAACCTGTCTCTGAGCCTCCCTCTTGTCTGTTTCCTCATGAACTGTGTTTTGGGCACAGAGAGTCTTGCACTCCTAATTTCTTTCGGTTAGTCCAGCACAGAACAGGAATGGGAAGGGAAGAAGGGGAGAAGGTGAGTGGGGGACCATATTTCTACAGTTTTTCTGACTGCTACTGGGTAGATAAATCAAGAGCTCTGCCTGTAGGTCTTGGATATCTATAATTGGGTATGAAAAGTGGAAGACCCTGATGAATTCTCCAAAACAAAGCTGGTTTTGTCTCTTGTAGGGTTCTGTGTAGCCTCACCTAGTGCATCGTAATTTCTTACTTGAGGGAGACCAGCACCCTGAAAACGAACTGGAAAGCTGCCTTCTTCAGTCAAATCTGCTAAATCATACCTACAATGAATGATATTCAATAACTTCTGTCATGGCAAAATTTATACAGCAGTGGTACCATTTGTAATTCTAATACTTAACTCTTTTATGGTATACGCAGTCCTTTTTGAAGGCCAGTTTCCCTCTATCACATAACCTGTCACATACATTAGAATTTTTTTTTTAATTCTTTAGGCTTGAAAATTACCAGAGTGTTCATAATAAGGATTTGGAAAAGGAGTCTATTCAACCAAGCAGATCTCTGCCTTTCTTTCGTCTTTACTATGAATTCTGAATAAAATGGAGAACACACTCTCAATATGTAGAAAAATAAAATTTTGGCAAAACAATAATTACTGTTTTTCTGTATGTACTTAGCAGTGAAATATTTATAGGCAACAGATTTTAAGAAGTCAGTTCCATGGCTATTAAAAAATGTTTAAGTTAATGAAATTTACAGTGCATATTAAAAGCATGATACAAATGGAAATTTAAAATTTTGTATTAGGAAGCCCAGTTTGCTAAAAGTAGCATTAATATCATTCACATCAGATTTTAATTTGTTACACATTTTTGTAGTTCAGCAAAGGCCCCTATGATGAAAAACAATTAAAAAGTGTTATGACAAAAATAATTATCTGTGTAAAAAGGGGGAGACCCAAAAGATTTTTCATATGGTTATTTAATTCAGTTAAATAGAACTGTTATGAATTTGAGAGGAATGAAGATATTCAAACACTAACAGAAAATCATTAGCCTTATATTAGAGCATTCAAATGCTTATGTAACTCTTCAATCCATCTGGCTTCATAAAAACCAAAATTTTGAACACAAAAAAGTGGCAGAGTTTACATTACCTTTTGTATGTTCCTAAGTATGAAATTGCATCAATTTATTATGAATTAAATTTGAAAAGCATCACAGATTTAAAAACAAAGTACAAAAGAGCCTGATTCTTTTTAATTCCACAAATACCTAGCATCTCAAAGTAACATGTAAACAAACTTCTATGCTGCTCAATGAATCCTTCCAATTTCGATAATAAACTAAATAGTATTGGATCTAGTATATGACTTTCATGTGTAAGTTATGGTTCTATCCATTACTTTAACAATATTACTGATGTAACAGAGAAAAATTTTCAACTATTGTATTTATTTAAAACAAACTGACAAGTTCAAGCACCTGTCTTCAGAAAAGCCAGCAGCATTTTTTTTTTTTTAACATACTCAAAGTAAGATTTGGCCTAAGCCCTTAATACCTTTCTGAACAGCCATGCAACTAAACACCCTCAGGAGATGTTACATAAGGGAGAGAAGAACATGGAGCAATTTGCACTTTTTCCCCTAGATAATATTAACAAGGTAAAGCAAATCCAGATCTTTATGAATGAATGGCTGTCATGTTTAATACACTTGGAGCTCTATAAAACTAGAGCCACTATCATATATGTTTATATAGATATATATGTATTTTTAATAAAGTCTCTCACTTGCTTCAAAATTTAAGGATGATCTTTTTCCTGGTCAGTCATTTCAAGGGAACAATAAATAAAGTAGAAAAGGATGAACTGTTTTGCATATTTCTGTGGAAGAACGGAAAACATACTTTGAGAGGTTCGGAAAATTCACTGTACAGAATGAACAGCTTATATACACTATCTGTGCAATTTTTCTTGGCTGGGGTATTTAAATGCAAGAGCTCCTCCAAAATAAGAAGCCACATTCATTCTTGTCCAAATCCCTCTGTCTCTTCTATTGCAAAAAGAAGTTTTTCCTTTAGTTGTTCATAACTCTTATATGGTGGTAGATCCAAGCGATTAAAACTGAACAGAAACAAAAACAAAATCAGATGTTTTCAATAAAATGAAAAAAATCTAATAGAATACTTTTCAAAGCACATAGAAATGCTGAATGGATATATGTATACTATATATGTTAAAATTTTGCCAGAAGTATTTAGAGTAATCTAAATTTAAGACTTACATATAAAAACTATTTTAACATCTCCAAGAGGAAAATGGAATTACAAATAATAAGTGTAGCAATATGGATAAAGACAAATTTAAAAAAAAAAAAAAATCCATTTTCTTTTTACTATTCCTGTTACATGTGTCATGAGTCCTCTTAACTTCTCTTAGGATAAGAGTCCATTTCTTTCATCCACTCAGTCACTCATTCATCAGTCATTTACCGAGAATTTTTTATATAACTGATAAGCTAGTGATACAGTGAAGAAAACTAAAATCCCTGTCTTCATGGAATTTACATTCTGGGGTAGAGACAGTCAATTAACAAATATATATGTTTCTTTGTCTTTTCAAATAATCTAACCACATATATAAACTCTTCTAAAATGACACTTTTTCAATCTTGCCATACTCAATTCCATTCTGGTATTAACTGATAAAAATTTTAAAATACTAAAAAATGCTTAAAATAACTATTATTTTTCAGTTTACAAAGGTGGAATAACATTTCGTTTTGTGAGGTACAGCACTGAGTAGCTAGATTAGGATTCGGGTGTTCAGGGTTTTGGTCCCTACAGTAGCAGTGACTAGTGAGATAGCCCTGAGTAAGTCAGAACCCTTCTGTACCTTCATTTTCCCATGTGGAAGGTTTCTAGAGATTATCCAGGTGCCTTCTTACCACTGTCACCACTTTCCATGTGCCCTTGACCCTCCCATGTCAGAGTCAGGAAAGAGCCTTTGAAACAAGGCATCTAAATAAAACAGTGCTGTTCTAAGACTGTATTCTTTGTATTTTAAATGAAGTTAAAGATATTAATAGCAGCAACTAAGCAGACCATATACTGCCCTCCCCTTTATACTTCAAGGTAGAGTATGATAACAAGGTCAGAAAAAAAAATTATTTTTTAATACTTCCTATACAAGACAACCAGTCACTTTCTGTTCTCTTACATCTTTCACATATAGCCTTTGCCAAATTCTGTCATTCTATCTACCAAATATTCCATTTTTTCTCCTGATTATTTATTTGGAGACAGGGTCTGGCTGTGTCGCCTAGGCTACTGTCTCGGCTCACTGCGACCTCGACCTCCCAGGCTGAAGCAATCCTCCCTCCTCCCACCTCAGTCCCTGGAGTGGCTGGGAGTACAGGCGCATGCCACCATGGCCAGCTAACTTTTGTATTTTTTTTTGTAGAGACGAAGTTTTGTCATGTTGCCCAGGCTCCTCCTCATCATTTCTACTGCCACTACATCCCTTTGTATATGCTTCCCCATCATCTCTTACCTGGACCATCAGAGAATTCTTTGGGTCTATTTGTTTTGTTTCTTTTTTACTTTTTGCTAAAAAGACATACCAGTTTATGCCACTCTTCAAAAACTTTTGCTGCTTTCGAGTTGCTATGGGTGGGGAGGGGGCTGTGGTGGGGAAAGGAAGCTTATGCTCTTTGCTGTCAACTTGTTTCATGCTCTAATCCAAGTGAGCAATCCAATTTTGCCTAGCAATCTTAGCCGTGTTCCTCTAATGAATACTTGCCTATTCTCTAACAATTCTCCCAATTCCTTCTTTCTCTCAAAAGTTTTTCCTTTCTTCACTCTTAGCCAGTGACTTCTCCTTATACTTTGAGAAAACAGAAATCAGTGGGTGGTAATTACTTTCCTTTCACAAAATTTGAAATCTATTTTAATTCTCCCTTTGACTCAAAAATCTCTCTCTCAATACACACACACACGCGCGCGCATGTGTGTATACATATGGATCTATCACTTTTATTGAAGGCAGAGGTCTTCAAATTTTGGTCACAGGACTCCTTTTCACTCTTAAAAATACTGTCAACCTTGGCTGGGAGCAGTGGCTCATGCCTATAATCCCAGCACTTTCAGAGGCCAAGGCAGGACAGCTTGAGCCCAGAGTTTAAGACCCACCTGGGACAACACAGCAAAACTTTGTCCCTACAAAAAATTAAAAAATTAGCCAGGCATAGTGGCGTGCACTGGTGGTCCCAGCTACTGAGGAGGCTATGGCAGGAGGATTGCTTGAACCCAGGAGGTTGAGGCTGCAGTGAGTTGTGTCTGTGCCACTGCACTCTAACATAGGTAACACAGCAAGACTCTATCTTGGGAAAAAAAAAATGGATTTCCAACTGCAAAGAGCTTTTATTTATATGAATTATAGCTACTGATATTTACTGGATTAGAAGTTAAAACAGAAGTTTAAAAAATATTAATTCACTTTGATATGAAAATAAACATAACATTTTAATGGGAAAAACCCAACTACTTCCAAAAAAAATAGTGGAAAGAGTGATTTTGTTTTAGTTTTGGAAATCTTTTAAATATCTGGTGTAATAGAAAACATATGGATTTTGATATCTAGTTGTACATTTAATCTATAGCCCCACACAGATAAATAGTTAGAAATGGAGATTACTCATCTTGTCAGGTAATTATGGATATTATTCTTTGATACTAAATTTGACAAGGGAATGCACAATATGGGTTTGAAATCAAGTCAAAGAACACTTTGTACTTTGTTATACAAAATCTACTGTTTCCTCTTCTTGCACTTTTTGATCTTTTTTTTGTTTTTTTTGAGACAGGGTCTTACTGTGTCACCCAGACTGGAGTGCAGTGGTGTGATCATGGATCACTGCAGCCTTGACTTCCCCGGCTCCAGTGATCCTCCCACCTCAGCCTCCAGAGTAGCTGGGACTACAGGTGTGTGCCACCACACCCGGCTAATTTTTGTATTTTTTGTAGAGATGGGGTTTCACCATGTTGCCCAGGCTGGTCTCGAACTCCTGAGCTCAAGCGATCCTCCCACCTCGGCCTTCCAAAGTGCTGGGATTACAGGTGTGAGCCACCGTGCCTGGCCTGTCTTGCACTTTGAAAATAACTTTTACCCATGCGTCATTTTGTAACATTCGTTGCAGCATTCACTGATCATTTGAAAATAATGGCTCATCAAATTATAAGGATTTTCTAAATGTTGACACATTTAATTATATAATAGAAAAAAAAATCACATTTGCTAAAATACCACTAATTGGCCGGGCATGGTGGCTCACGCCTGTAATCCCAGCACTTTGCGAGGCCAAGGCGGGCAGATCACAAGGTGAGGAGAGTTTGAGACCAGCCTGACCAACATGGTGAAACCCCATCTCTACTAAAAATACAAAATTAGCTGGGCGTGGTGGTGCGCGCCTATAATCCCAGCTACCCGAGAGGCTGAGGCAGGAGAATCGCTTGAACTTGGGAGGCAGAGGTTGCAGTGAGCCAAGATTGTGCCACTGCACTCCAGACTGGGTGACAGAGTGAGACTCCATCTCAAAAAAACAAAAAAACAAACAAAAAACCCCACTAATCTCATCGAGGAAAGTCTTAAGAAGCTGTCAAGCTCATGGTGGTAATTATCACCACCAACAAATGCCTGTTGTTTTCCTTAAAATGACAAGCTAACATCATTACTTCTCAAGAAAATGTCTGTCAAATACCTAAGTCTACATAAACTGTTGGTGGGTCATTCTTTCAAGTAAAAATAGTGTTCCATAAAAGAAAGCAAGCTAGTTCAGCTTTCAACTCAAACAACTGCCCAAAAGCTTTCCTTCAAGAAAATCATTCTCTGGTGTGCACAAGTGCTATTTCAGACTTCCTATTTTGTCACACAAATGTTAAAAAAACATATACTCAAGCATCAAGATTTAATAAAGTTAGTAATTTTTACTGCTTCATAAAGAACTTCAACGAACTTGCCTTTTTCTTTTTTTTTTTTTTCTTTAAACCTCAAGGGTATGGTGTTGAAGAATAGAGGTAGCAGTTTGGTGCCACTGCCTTGATTTGTGCTAAGGCACAAGCAGGTTCACAAACCATTGCTTTTGCACCACAAGCAGAAATTTCAAAATGATAAAAAGGCAAATAATGGCTTAGTATGAAAATAGTTTTGACCTCTTGAAAGAATCACCTATCTCTAGGATGTCATCTTTGGCCTGGGTAACCATAACAATTTTCTAACTACTCTCCCTGCATTCACCCTTGCATCCAAATCCTTCCCTATACTGTTTTCTGGCCGATTTTTCTGGGATTCATTACTTGTTATTTAAAACTCTTCAAAGCTGTCTAATTTTTCTTTGACATCTCAGTTCTTTAATTAGCCTATAACGCTGTACATAATTTAGTCCCTGCCTACATCCCCCAATTTTTTCATCTCCCTTTCTTCTGATTTACCAAGTTCCAATCACACCTATCATATTCATTTCCTTGAAAAACAATTTCTTCGGGGTCTTTGTTTACTTCAGCATTTCTGTTCAAAGAATGCTCTTTCTCTGCGTACTCCCACATCATGCTCTTTACCAAACACAATTTAAACAAATTACCCCTTCCAAGAAATCTCCTTGACCACCCAACCCAAAGTAGGTTCCCGTTAGTTGTTCTCTGTTAGAGTACTCTCATTTTTCCCTTCGAAGGACTTCCCAGGATTTGCAAATAGTTATTTGTTTATCTGTTTGTCATTTGTGCCCCACCATGGGGCACAAACTTCATAAAAAACAGGGAATACTTACATCTTACTTTATACCTAGTGGGTACACTAATACTTGTTGAATCACTGGATGCATTTCTCAAATATTTCTATTAATGAGAACATGCTAAAGTGTTCAGTTATAGAATGCTGTATTAATCTGTTCTCAAAATTGAAATTCTGACTACTTTAATGAATAAGCAGTTATACTGGATCTTACATATTTTTAAAAAAACAAAACAAAAGATTCTCTGTGGCTTTCACCTTCGTATTTAGGATTCTTGAACTTACCATGTATGGCTTCTTGGTAACCAAGTGTCTTTGCCAACTTTTTCAATGCAAAACTTTTGAGGCCCATTACTTCCTACACCAAGAAAATAAGACAAAGTTTATCTGGTCCTTTAAACTTTTTTCTTCTGACAACTGCTTAAATAATAGAACATGTTGCACAGTCATATGAATGATACAAAATAAAGAAATTCACAATGTAAGCTGCTTCTGCCTGAAGAAGAAAATTGTTGCAGAGATCCAGCAATAAGAATTAGATCATTGGGAAGAAAACTCTCTCTACAGAATGTCGCTCCCTTCACAGTCACCATAGGGAGCAAAGCAATGGCCACCTCAGCTATATGAGGACACATTCATTTTTGTCTTACAAGTGCTTTGATATTAGCCACTCATTTTTCTTTCTTCTAAATGAAGCCCTACCTACAGCACAGAAGAGTAATCTTTAGGTTCAATCAAGTCTATTGTATGTCCAAAGGCCATTATTATCACAAAATTACGTACAGAGAAATTACAGTGAAATTACATTTACCCATGAGCTCAGCAAATCCTCCTAGAGGTAAACGGCAGGTTCCAGTGACGAACTGCAATAGTCGCATTCTTACTTCATTGTCTGTCTCTTTCACAAACTGTAATGAAATTAAATGTACTTTAATATGAAATGCTAAACTATCTTCAATCATGAAAGTAGTAGACACTTGAAGAAATTAAATAACACTGAATTGGTTCAAAAGATGTGCTAAAGGTTGGGCGTGGTGGCTCACACCTGTAATCCCAGCATTTTGGGAGGCCGAAGCAGGCGGATCACGAGGTCAGGAGATCGAGATCATCCTGGCTAACATGGTGAAACCCTGTCTCTACTAAAAATACAAAAAATTAGCCGGGCGTGGTGTCGGGCGCCTGTAGTCCCAGCTACTCGAGAGGCTGAGGCAGGAGAATGGCGTGAACCCGGGAGGTGGAGCTTGTAGTGAGCCAAGATCACGCCACTGCACTCCAGCCTGGGCGACAGAGCAAGACTCTGTCTCAAAAAAAAAAAAAAAAAAAAAAAAAAAAAAAAAAAAAGATGTGCTAAAAAGAGGTTGTAGGGTTTGTCATTTATTAAGGTTGGGCACTATGCTAAGTATACTGTGAACCTCACTTCAGTTCATCCTCATGAGAACACGGAGGCTGGCCACTATTATTACTACATCCATCTTACTGGAAGGAAATACACGAGAATCTTGGAAAGGTTAAGTCATTTATGTAAGGTCATACCAACAAAAGGTGCAACCAAGATAGATGTTGTTGTTGGGTTGTAATATAATAGCTATTAAGGGTTCCTGCCAAATAGTGTGCCACTGGTTTTCATGGATTTAGTTCTCACAACAATTCTATGAGATAGGTAGAATCATTAGCATCCCCACTGTACATATAAGGAAATGGAGGCCTAGAGAGTTTAAATGATTTGTCCTTCCCAAACTGCTAAAGTGGCAGAACTAACATTTGAACTCAAGTCTAGATGAGCCCTAAACCACTGTTATTCCTCCCTGAGTCAATTACCCCTCTCCCCTTTAACCTACAGAAAACAAATGAACACCTCCCTGCTGCCACTCTTAATAGTTTGTGGTATTTTCTCCCATGAAACACCATTTTCCTAACACTTTGTGTTCTTCCTGACTAGTACCTGAAAAACCAAAGTACACATTCCTCTAAAATTATCTATTTCATTGACTGGTTATTTTCAACGACATAAATGGGTAAGGTGGTGAACTACTAATTTGATTGGTTTGAGTATAACAGAAAGCAAGGAACATAGGGAGCAGATTAAGAGTGGAAATGTATCTTAAAAATAGGGAATAAACTTTAGCTAAGGATAAGACAAAATAGCTGTGCTAATCATGACCCAAAATATTTCAGTGAAGAATTGTGCTGAGGCACATATTTCATCAGAACACAAGAAACAAGACTTATTACCAGGTCTGGCACAAACCTCATCACTTTCCCTAAAAGAAACCCAATTCAGAAAACAGAAGTATTCATTTGGATTTATATGACTCTAAGCTTAAGCTCATTAGCTATGTAGGTACAAATGTGTAAACAGAAAGCCATGGAACACCGACTGTAATGAAGCTAGTAAAAAGCCTGAAAGGGAAGATTACAAACAACGGTATGCATACTGTATATAATGCAGTTCAGATATTTTAGGCTTGAAAATGGATTTATTCCTTCCTATTTATGTATGTATTTTATAATAGGTAATAGTATAGAATGCAAAAGGCTTTTATTTAATGAAAATCAGCTTTCCTACCTTTGCCTCCAACTGCTCAGCTCCTCTATAGAACTGTTTCCAGTTTTTTCTCTGCCTTTTCAAAGATGACATATTTCCAAACATACACTTACTATACAGACAATAACTTTTTAACCAAAAAGCACCATATTATACACATTGGTTAGCATCTTCCTTCTCCCCTTAATATTGTATTGAAACATTATTCTCCAACATTTTTGTTAATTTGCATTTTTAAAAAAGGAAAGAAAAGCCGGGCATGGTGGCTCATACCTGCAATCCCAGCACTTCAGGAGGCCAAGGCAGATGGATCACTTGAGGTCAGGAGTTCAAGACCAGCCTGGCCAACATGGTGAAACCCCGTCTCTACTAAAAATGCAAAAACTAGCCGGGCATGGTGGCGCACACCCGTAATCCCAACTACTTGGAGTGGGGGTGCTGAGGCGGGAGAATCACTTGAACCTGGGAGGCAGAGGGTGCAATGAGCTGAGATCCTGTCACTGCACTCCAGCCTAGGCAATAGAGTGAGACTCTGTCTCAAAAAAAAAAAAAAAAAAAAAAAAGAAAAAAGAAAAAGAAAAAGAATGACTCCAAGGTATAGACTTATAAAGAACGGATGTATCATAGTTTATTTACTCAGTACTCTCCTGATGGACATTTAGGTTGTTTCAAGTCTCTGTTAGTATACCAATGATGTTGCATTAAATACTTTGGTATGTGCCACTTTACACACGTTGAAGTATATTTTAAGATAAATTTCTAGAAGTGTCTACATCTCTTTAAAATATCAAGCAATAAACTCACAACATACATCCTTATGAAAAGATGCAACTTTTGGAAAGTGTACTATAACACAAAACCCAGCATTACTCTTCACCTGAAAATGAAACAGTTAAGCAGAAGTAAGCCAGAAGTCCAGTCACTAAGTTGCTCAAAAGAGTCCCAATTAGTAGAGTAGTTATCTGAAGAATATCCCTGATTTGGAGATTTTAAATTCTCTAATAAACACACAAAACAAAAAGTCTATTAAAATAAAATGTTCAAGATTAGTGTGGTACACTTGGATTCCTGAGACCATCCTATTATAGTTTAAGCAAAACACACACGCTAAAAAAATACATAAATAAATGAATAAAGTCATTCTTAGACATTATCCCCTCGATCATTCTTATTCCCTAGTATGTTATTACCTCAGAGGAATTAAAGTATCTGCACTGACTCTCACTACAAACATACTTCCTCATTTACTTCTAGAATTAAGTGGAATTTAGACTACTTTGATACCACTAGAAAAAAATTGCTACGCCTACAACTATTAACATTAAACTATTACTTAAATAAGATTCTGTCACTCAACTCCTTCATTTCAGCAAGACAGTCAAAGAAGCAATAGAAAGTACTTTTAACAAGTGTTCACACTATTCGCTTAGATTTAGAATTAAAAAATTATAAACTGTGTCCAAAAGCAGTCTCAATTAAAAATAATAAGCTATTTTTAAAACCACCATTTCATTAGAAAATATGTTGAGTACTTTGTTTCAAAAAAGATAAAAGCAAATACCTGCCAAAACCAAATGATTTGCTTGCTGTTTCTTGTATAATGTCGATAAACAGTATTTCTCTGCCAATCTGCCAAGTCAACCTCCTGCATGCCACACAACATAACCTGGGAAATGAGCACAGAATCAGGCCACAATAAAGATTTAGTGAAGAGAATAATTATATGACTGAAATTTCCTAATGCAGTTATGCACATGGCAAATTATGTGAAAAGCTATATGCATGGCATATAATGATCACAATAAGCAAATATAACAAAACTGTGGCAATTTAGCATAAAGGATTCTCTGGTACTTTATTTTACCCATGTTTATTGAACTCAAACCAAAAACCGCATTTAGAGTATTCTTCAAGAAAAACAGCTATACTGAAAAGCATGTATCCTTTACCGTATGTATATATGGTATGGTGTGTGTGTGTATTTACACACACACGCACACACATCTATATATATAGATTTATATCTAAATGTGTGTGTGTATCTATTATGTATACACACATTATGTATATATGGTATGGTGTGTGTGTGTAAATACACACATACACATCTATATATATAGATTTATATCTAGATAGATAGATAGATAGATAGATAGACAGACAGACAGACAGACAGATAGATCTCCCCCAAACTGGCTATCCAAATTCATTAGTTCCAAACCTATTTCTGGTTCTCATTTTTAAAAATCTATGCTATCTTATATATTTGAAAATAAAAAAATATACTAACCTCCTATTAATAATTTATCCAGAATAATATTCTCTAGGAATATTCTACTATGTGAAATTGTCAAACAACCTCAACTTATGTATGAAATGAACATTATTTTAGGTATAGTAAAATATGTAATACTTAATCTCTTAGTTTTTTTCGTAAGTCAACTTTGAGGTATAATTTACATACAATAAAATGCACAAACTTAGGTATATAGTTCGAAGATTTTCAACAGATGTATACACCTGTGTAACCACCATTACAATCAAGATATAGAATATTTCCATCATATCCCTTTTTGTAATCAAAATCATCATCCCCTTTTTGTAATCAAAACAATCATCCTCATCTCTAGTTTTAGGTGATCAATGATTTCACCACAGATTATATTTGTCCTTTTAAGAATGTCATATATATGCATACATACATATTTTTGTGATATATAGTGTATACACATATACACACATCCTCTTTTGTTTTTCCCACTCAACATGTTTTTGAGATTCATCCATGCTGTTGTTGGAACCAGTAGTTCATATTTTCTATCACTGAATAGTATTCCATTATATGAATATACAACAATTTGCTTATCCATTCACTTGTTAATGAACATTTAGGTTACTTTCAATTTTTAGCATTGATGAATAAAATGATTAACATGTATGTATGAGTCTTTGTGTGGATATATATTTCATTTCATTTTGATAAACACCTAACAGTAGAACTGGTAGGCCATAAGGTAGATGTACATTTAACATTACAAGAAACTACCAACACTATCTCAAAGTGGTGCTTTGATTTGCATTTCCCCAATTACTAATAAGCATTTTTCAAGTATTTACTTGCCATCTGTGTATATCCTATTGGGAAGTAAGCCTTTGTCCATTTAAAAATGTTTTCTTATCTTTTTATTGAGTTACGTGAGTTTTTTTGTTAATATATTCCAGATATAAGATCTTTGTCTCAATAGTTTCTCCCAGGGTGTAGGTTGCTTTTTCACTTAATGGTATCTTTTGAAGAGCAGTTTTTAGTTTTGAAGAAGTCCAATGTATCCATATTTTTCTTTCATGGTTATTGCTTTTTGTGTTCTAAAAAACTTCTGCCTACATCAAGATTTCTCTTATGTTTTTCACTTTCACATTCAGGCTTATAATTCTTTTTAATTGTAAGCATGAATAATTATATGGGCAGAGGTAAGGTCAAAGTTAATTTTAAATATGGACTGAGGTAGGCTTATAGTTAATTTTCTTCCATATGGATATCTAGTTGATTCAACATCATTTGTTGAAAAGATATTCCCTTTCCACGTTGAAATATCTTAGTACTTTTGTTGAAAATCAATTGACAATGTAGGTGTGGATCTACTTCTGGACATTCTAGTGTTCCACCAATTTGTCTATTCTTTCACAAATACCACGCTATCTTATTTACTATGGTGTTAGAAATCTTAAAATCAGGTGATGCAAATCCTCCAAGTCTGTCCTTTCTCAAAATTGGCTTTGCTCTTCTAGGGCCTCTGTATTTCCTTCTAATTTTGAAATCAGCCTGTCACTTTCTATAAAAAAAATTCTGCTGAGATGTTCAATCTCTACATCAATTTGGAGAGAACTGACACTTTAACAATATAACATCGTATATCTCTTCATTTATTTAGGTCTTCCTTAATTTTTCTGAGCAATGTTTTCAGTTTTTAGTATAGAGGTCTTGTGTGTTTTTGGTTAAATTTGCTCATTTTTTGATGCTTTCACAAATGAAACCAAAATCTAAATTTTAAGTGTCTGTTGCTAATACATAAAAATACGATTGATTTTTAAAGTATTAACATTGTACCCATGCCTTATTAAATTCACTATTATTTCTAGTAGTTTTTTGGTGGGTTACCTAGGATTTTCTAATCTAAGCTGAAAATCATGTTTTCATCTGTGAATATAGGCAGTTTTACTTATTTCCCATCTTTATACTTCTTATTTCTGCTTTTGCCACTGGCTAGGGTATTTGGTAAAATATTGAATAGAAGTGGTAAGAGTAGACATCTTTGCCTTTTTCCCAAACTCAATGGGAAACTTTCAAAATATTACCATTTAGAATAATGCTGAGGTTTTTTGTTGTTGATGATGATTCCCTTTATCAAACTAAGAAAGTTGCCTTATATTCCTAGTGTGGTAAGAGTTTTCATAAAGAATGACTACTGTATCTTCTTAAGCATTAAACAGATGTTAACCTATAAAAGGGCGGTGTGACTATGCATAGCCATTATTGTGAATAATAGTATAAATAACCATTACTATGGTAAGAGAGGCAATGAATGACAGTAGAAGAAAGAACAACAGATTAGGTGTAAAACTCAAGACAAAGCAAAACAAGACAAAATCTGTATTTTCTCACACAGCTCTGCACTCTTAATTGATTAGCACTCTTAACTGTACTCTTAACTGATTAGCTCAGGGCAAATAATCATTAAGGGCTTCAGTCATCTTATATGTAAAAGAAAGGTATCATATGGCCTTCCCACATACAGGGCAGTATGTGAGAACATTATAAACCCTGCCAAGGGTACATAAACTGTATGTTCCTATTCTTATGCTTCTTGATCTCCCGTTTTAGTTTCATCTCCACTTCAATATAGGGCTCCCACTATAACATCCCTCTCTGAGTGCACCTCTAACATGGGCATTCTTAATTGGAGGTATGGAATATTTAGGTGTATGAATTTAGAGGATGCAAGATGTCCATCTTCAGATTAAAAATGAAGTCGATGGTTTTTAAAAAGATTAATAAATACTACTCTAAAAATGTCTTCCATGCTAATCTTCTAATATGTTTCTGTTAATTTGTGTAAGCAAACTGTTAAGGAAGATGGTAACCAGGATTAGTGACAGTCTATGTCAGTCAGGTTCAGAGTCCTGGTTTTCATATATATCGGCTTTCCATATCCAACAGCTTTCGTATCAGCAGATTCAACCAATGGTAGATTGAAAATATTTGAGAAAAAGAATAATATGACAATTAAAAAAAATAAAAAAATTAAAAATATAGTATAACAACTATTTACCATAGCATTTGCATTGCATTAGGTATTTATAAGTAATCTAGAGATGATTTAAAGTGTAAGGGAGAAGTGTGTAGGTTATATGCAAATACTATCCTATTATATACTGTAATTGTAAGGACTTGAGTGTCCATGGATTGTGGTGTCCACAGGTGCCCTACAGAACCAATCTCCCACAGATACTGAGAGATGACTGTACTTCCTAGGTTAGTCAGACTTGCCAGAAGGCTAAATCCTACATAGGAATATTACTGTATGAAATCTGAAGTGCTGTTTTTCATATGCACATTTGATTACATGAAAGAACCAAGTTTCTTAATAAAAGGCCCAAGATGGCTGCAGTTAAAATAGCACACCCAAAGCAGGCAGAGAGGAAATGCCAAGGACTATTCAAATGCCCAGCCTATGTCCTAACTTATATGGGAAAATAAGCTTTAGAAAATTCTTGATAACTAATCATTAGGGAAATGCAAATCAAAACCACAATGAGATATCCCCTCACACCCATTAGGGTGGATACTATTAAAAAAACAAGCAAAAAACCAAAACAAGAAACAGAAAATAAATGTTGGGAAAGATGTGGAGAAACTGGAATCTTTCTACATGTTTAATAGGAATGTAAAATGATGCAACTGATATAGAAAACAGTATGGTAGTTCCTCAAAAAATTAAATAGAGGATTACCATATGATCCAACAATACCACTCCTGGTACATATCCAAAAGAAACGGGATCTCAAAGAAATATGTGTACACCTGTGTTCACAGCAGCACTATTCACAACAGCCAAAAGATGGAAGCCACACAAAGGTCCCTCAAGGGACAAATGGATAATACCATGTGGTAGTGTACATAATACTCTATAATGGAGTATTATTCAGTCTAAAAAAGGAAGAAATTCTGACACATGCTACAGGACGAATGAACCTTGAGGATATTAGGCTGAGTGAAATAACCCAGTCACAGAAAGTAAAATACTGTATGATTTCACTCATAGGAGGTATCAACAGTAGTCAAACTCACAGAAACAAAGTAGAAGGGTAGTTGCCAGGGGCTGGGGAAAAGGGGGACTTGTCTAATGGACATAGAGTTTCAGTTTTGCAGGATGAAAAATTTCTGGAGATTGGATGCACAATGTGAATATATTTAACATTATTGAACACTTAAAAATAGTTAAGATGGTATATTTTAAGATATATTTTATCACATGCCTGATATACTTCTAACAAGTCTAAATACAGTTAAGACCACTAAGAACTCATGACTTAAAATTCTGATCTTTGAAGCAACTCACTACTAAACTGAAATTTCAGAATTATTAATAATGTTCCAACAACTCTTCAAGACCCCTAACAAGTGACACTGATTGATGATTTTGTGCTCATGGAATTATATGGTTCAGAGAACATAATTAAGACTCTTACCCAATGCTAGAATAAATACCACCTTGACATCAGGACAAATGAGAGGATTCAAGATTGTGCTACAGGATTTTAAAATGTGTGAACACTGTTCTGTAAAAGCACTAAATTAGTCCCTCCCCCCACTAACATTCCCTACAATAGCATAATAAAAGGGCCTAACCTCTAATTCTTTTTCATCGAAGTACTGTAGCCACTGAAGAGGAACAACTTCATTAAAACCATCAAGGAAAGCTTTGGTCTGTTCTTGTACTCCTCGAGAAAAACGCCATTCTGTCATTAAACTGAAAATAAAGATGGTATTTAAAAATAGGTAATTTATATGTGAAGTAAAATACTTAAAAACACCAAGAACTTCTATAGTTCTTTCTCTTTTTCTAAATATGCCATATATATAAACATATAAATGTGATGTGTGTGTATATGTATGAATACATATAATTTTAGAGTTAACACATTTGAGGAAATCAGTTCTAACACATTGTTAACTATTAAAAAGGATGCTTTTAAAATAAATAGGAAAGGAAAACACAGAAAAAAGAAAGAAAATAAATAGGAGGTTCTTCACTATTTAGTAAGATAGCCAAATCCTAGCACTAATTATTTCCTGTTTATATCTAGACAAATAAATCCAAATATCATGTGCCCACCGGGAAGGAACAGCTAGTCATTTAACAGGCTCTTCTTACACCAAGCATTGCCGTGACAGACCTGAGGACTCTGACTCAAAGCCTTCCACACCAGCAAGGCAAGGGATTGTCTCAGTATGTAATGACCATATGTTCACAGGCCATGTGCTGGTGTAGGTTTATGGTCTGAGAGGGCTTAAGGCTGGAGAACAGGTTCTTTACCTGCTGTTTTATTGGAAAACACGAAGATTTCCTAACTAGAATAGAAGAACTCAATTAAGATGAAAACAAAACATTCTGAAGAGACATATATAAAGCAGCTGTAAGAGCAGGGAAGTATGACAGAAAGGAAATAAGGAAGAAAATCTGTCAGTGACACAAAATCTGTAAAAGGAGATTCCAAAAGGAGATGGATCTGAAAAGAACTACCTAAAGAAGCAGCATACACCACCTCATACAGAGAAGCCACAGATTCTAGACGATGAAGAGAAAGCCAAGCTGTTCACACTCCTCCCATTTCTAACTCTTCTTTTTGCTTTCTAGAGGAAGCTGGCCTTATGCTTTTCTAAGGCTGCCTCCAAAACTTTTCTTCAATTACTAAACCCTCTTTGTCCCGTATCCTCAACTCCAACTCCAACTTTTCTTCCCATTTGTCCACAAAGGTGTTCAGACTATTCTTTTCCAAAAACCCTTCCTTTAACCCAGTGTCTCTTTTAAATTACTCTGTCCTCCCTTTACCACCACACTCATTATAAGAGTACACCTTACTCAGTGTTTTCATTTTCTCACCTTCTATTCAACCAAATTGTAAACCAAGGTAATTTTAAACCTAGCTATCACTGTAGGCGCCACTATAGCCACTAATTCTCACCATCAACTTATCCCCTTAATACGTCAATTCTGCTCTTGCTGTTTTCCCTGTACCAAAATCTCCCTCTATCGGGCAAGCTTTCATGTATCTTTTTTTTTTTTTTTTTTTTTTTTTTTTTTTTTTTTTTTAATAACATAGGGTCTCACTCGGTTGCCTGGTTCACTGCAGCCTTGACCTCCCTGGGCTTAGGTGATCTTCCCACCTCAGTCTCCATAGTGGCTGGGACTACAAGTGCACACCACCATGCCCAGCTAATTTTTTAAAAAAATTTTATTTATTTATTTATTTATTTTTGTAGAGATGAGGTTTTGCCATGTTTCTCAGGCTGGTCTTGAACTCCTGGGCTCAAGTGATCCACCCACCTCGGCCTCCCAAAGTCCTGGGATTACAGGCAGGAGCCACCAGCCTCTCATGCATCTTTTAAGACATAGTCTAATACATAATGTCCTATGAAGAACTTTCCTGACTCCTCCCAGCAGAAACAATAGCTCTCTTCCCACTTTGGATTCCAGTAGTACTTCATATATATTTCCACCATTCATTTACTTATAGATTCACTGATGGCCTATTTTGTGCACTAAAAATAAGGTATCACAACTAAACAAGAGTGTTATCATATAATTTTCAAGAGCAAGATTAAAAAACAAGACTAAAGTCTGTTATTATTTGAGACTGAAACAAAATCCTCCAAAAATTGCTGCATTCATGATTAGCTATCAATAGTATTACAGTGATAAAATGTTTGAAACAGTGCTTAACTTTACAGAAAGTGAATATACATCTTACATAGTGAAATTTTATTTAGACTGTTTTTGATATTTGAAACCACTGATAGCATTTTTTTTAACCACTTAGATTGTGGTACTTATTTTTGTTGGACTTTGTGGAAGGCTCAGGCTTAACAAATATAGAAAGTCCAGTGCCTTATGCATGATCTTTTGATGAATATATTTTCCTCAAAATATAGTGTTACTGTTTTTTTCCAACTAGCGTAATAAATGCACACTGTAGAACAAAGCAAAACAAAAATACCTAACAGAGTACAAAAGTATAAAGGAAGAAAATCAGTTATTGGTAACTTCTCTCACTCAGAGATGACTGGTTTAGCAGAAAAATAAGAAGAGGCCAAGAATGCCAAGCTAAGAAGGGTACATTAAAGTTGGTAAGCAGAGACACTAAGGGGGTAAATTTGAAAGGCCATAGCAATTTACAAGAAGGGAAAAAAGAAGGGCTGTGACATTTTACAAAAGCCACATAGCAGTATCTATTAAATACTTTTTGACCCAGTAACTTCACTTTTTAAAAATCTAGCCCACAAAACAAGTAGCAGGATGTATGGATTCATGCTTAAGGAAGTTTTCTGCTGTCTTGTTTGCAGTGGCCCAAACTGGACACAACCTAAATGATCTCTATTGACAGGAATAGCTGAAGAATATAGAAAAAAATACACCACAATGTACCTAGCTATTAAAAAATGAGTTAGATTTAACTGTACTGTCCTTAAGACAAAAAAAAGTAAGCTACGGAGTAATGTGTATAATCCAATCCCATTTTCAAAACAAATATAAAAAACAAAAAATCTGAAAGAGACAGAGATGACAGCTAGCATCTAAGAGGGTGAAAATGGTAGTACTATTCATAGAAGACATCAGTAGGAGGCAATATCTAGGAAAAATGAAAAGTTTGATTTTAGGCCCATTACATTTTAAGATGCGTCATCTGTAGTTCACGTGCTGGCAAATTACGGCCCATGGGCCTAATCATCTGGTTTTTTTGTCCAGCATTTGAGCTAAGAATAGTTTTTACATTTTAAAAAAATGATTGAAAAATATTAAAAGTATTTTGGGACATGAAAATTATACAAAATCAAATTTCAGTGTCTACAAGTGTTTTACTGGAACACAGCCACACATCTATTTATACACTGTCTATAGCTACCTTTGCACTATACCACAGAGGTGAGTAGTTGCAATAAGAAATGTGCCTGTAAGCCTAAAAAGTTTACTGCCTGGTTCTTTCCTGAAAATGTTTGGACTTACCTGGCTGGCAAATGGAAATTATTTCTAAAGTTCAGATATAACTTTAACAGAAAATTGAAGCTATGTTAGCAGAATATTTAGAGAAGCAGGTTGAAATAAAATCTTGGAAAAATGCCTACATTTAGGAAATAGGAGATTTAAAGAACTGCCATTAAAAAAGAGCAAGTGACCAGGATGGTGACACCCTGTTATCCCAGCATTTTGGGAGGCTGAGGAAAGGAGGATGACTTGAGGCCAAGAGTTTGAGACCAGCCTGGGCAATACAGTGAGACCCTATCTTTACAAAAAAAAAAAAATTGTTTTAAATTAGCTGGGAATGGTAGTATAAGCCTGTAGTCCCAGCTACTCAGGAGACTAAGGCAGAATTGCTTGAGCACAGGAGGTCAACCCTGCAGTAAGCTATGATCACGCCACTACGACGGCCTGAGCGACAGAGTGAAACTCTCTCTAAAAACAAAAATTTAAAACAAGAGAATGTAAAGAAAATCAGTATGACATAGGATCATGGAATTCAAGAAAACACTGAGTTTCAAGAAACAGGCTGTGGTGAGCACTATTTAAAAGCCTAAGTTAAAAAAGGGAAAATGACATGGAAAGGGAAATGGTAGAATGGTTACAGCAAATGGCAGTGGGAAAATGAAGCAACATATATTCTCTTTTTTCAAGAACATTGGTACTGGTGAGAAGAACTTCCCAAAGGCATGAAAAGGGGATGAAATTAAGGGTACAGAGAGAGGATTTAGTTCTGAAGTGTTCTAGAAATTAAGCTTAATAAGGTATATCACCTTACCCAATATATTCATCTTTGTTCTCCTCAGTCACCAGAATATTGGAACCTCCCAACTTCAGGTCATGTGAAGTAACTTTTCCCAAAATCTCCATGTCAACAGAAAAGTACATTTCTAAGCCACATTCTTCAATGTTGTTATCTCTGGGTGAAATAAATATATATACACTAATTAACAAAATGAAACAAAATGGGTTTCAAAAAAATGACTTATTGCAAAACAAAATCTTCAAACCTTATCCAGATAAGGGAGTTATAAAATTCAGTATCAATAGATTCCAAATCCTTAATAGTAAGTTTTTTACTTAACATACGCTTGTAGAATGGTAAAGAGAAACCAGTATCGATAAACTTTCCATGAAATAGTGCCTGCAAAGAAAAATGAAAAATTTTATTTAAAATTTGCAAAATAACAATTTCTTAGAGAACAATGATAAAAGAAAAATCATGAGACTTCACAAGTAAACAAAGCATTCAGTAAGTGAATGGCATAAATCATGAAAACTAAAATATTATATAAAATGCTAGGTATGAAAAACAAAGTTAAAACAATCTATTTTATAACACATAGCTATATAACATATATCAAAAACTGTATAGGATGATAAAAGACTTCTATTACCATACCCTGCCTCAATCTTCCTAAATGTTTTATAAATTGAATTAACCTAACTGGATAAGGAAATATAAAAGGGCCCTGTGCACCTGAAAAGGCAGCTCTCTCGTTCGTTTCTTACTCTCACTGCTGCCTGTGAGGCTTTTAGGACTAACCCCATCGTGCCTTCGCTCCTATTCACAACAGCCAACACAGAAGCCCCAGACTCCCACCAATTTTGGGGAACTAAAAAAATCCACTGAAGCTATTAATACTACCTTAGCCCCCTCATGAAGTTATGTCTTCCCTTACTCAGTTTAGATTCCATAGTCAATCATTAAAATAACTACCTTCAAGGTGGGGCGCAGTGGCTCACACTTGTAATCCCAGCACTTTGGGAGGCTGAGGCGGGTGGATCATGAGGTTAGAAGATCAAGACCATCCTGGCTAACACAGTGAAACCCCGTCCTTACTAAAAATACAAAAAATTAGCTGGGCATGGTGGCACGCGCCTGTAGTCCCAGCTATTCAGGAAGATGAGGCAGGAGAATTGCTTGAACCTGGGAGGTGGAGGCTGCAGTGAGCCAAGATCGTGCCACTGCACTCCAGCCTGGGTGACAGAGCGAGACTTTGTCTCAAAAAATAAAATAAAATAACTCCCTTCAAACTCCACCTCTGCCAGTGTATTTCTAGCAAAATCCCAAGCCTAACTAAATTCAACTCTCAGGTTACTCAATGCCTGTACCTAGGCAATGGAACATGCTAGAAATGCATAAACAACCAAGCTGACTGCTCTATGACCGACAGTTGTATTTCATCACTGGTCTGTTTCCTGGTAATCACATTTCCCTACTGCATTCACTCTCCCACTTTCCTAGATGACTATTTCATTCCTACTCTTCTTTCCTCAAATACTTCTCCCCACTCCTTATTCTGAGTTGATGATCTTACTTCCTATTTCACAGAGGAAACAGAAGCAACCAGAAGAAAACTTTTGTGTTCTACTATATCTGCTCACTACTAGCATCTGAATCCATATAATCTTATTATAGATAATCTTTCCATCACTTGGTGTGTGTGCTAAATAAATCTCCTCCTCTCTCCAACTCAAGCCCATTGCTCTCATATTCCTTATATTCTGACTTTATCAAATTCTTTATCCTCTAACTTGGTACTATAGTTTAGATGTTTGTCTCCACCAAATCTCATGTTGAAATGTGATCCCCCAGCTGGCTTCTTCATACAGAAGAATGAAACTAGAGTGCTACCTTTCATCATACACAAAAATTAACTCAAGATGGATTAAATACTTAAATGTAAGACCTAAAACTATTAAAATCCTAAAAGAAAACCTAGGAAATGCCCTCTTGATATTAGCCTTGACAAAAAAATTTCTGGCTAAGTCCAACAAAAACAAAAATTGATAAATAGGACCTAATTAAACTAAAGAGCTTCTGCACAGCAAGAGAGGGAGTAAACTAACCTACAGAATGGGAGAAAATATTCACAAACTATGGATCCAACAAAGGTCTAATATCTAGAATTCATAAGGAAAGTAAGCAAATCAACAAGAAAAAAAAACCCATTAAAAACTGGGCAAGCATAAACAGACACTTCTCAAAAGAAGATACATAAGCAGCTGCTGGGCGCAGTGGCTCACGCCTGTAATCCCAGCACTTGGGGAGGCCGAGGTTGGCGGATCACCTGAGGTTAGGAGTTCGAGACCAGCCCGGCCAACATGGTGAAACCCCATCTCTATTAAAAATACAAAAATTAGCTGAGTGTGGTGGTGCGTGCCTGTGGTCCCAGCTACTCAGGAGGTTGAGGCAAGAGAATTGCTTGAACCCAGGAGGCAGAGGTTGCAGTGAGCTGAGATCATGCCACTGCACTCCAGCCTGGGTGACAGAGCAAGACTCTTGTCTCAAAAAAAAAAAAAAAAAAAAAAGAAAAGAAAAGAAAAGAAAAGAAAAGACATATAAGCAGCCAACAAAATATATGAAAAAATGCTCAACATCACTAATCATCAGAGAAATACAAATCAAAACCACAATGAAACACCATCTCATACCAGTCAGAATGGCTTTTGTTAAAACATTAAAAAATAACAGATGTTGGCAAGGCTTCAGAAAAAAAAGAGACATATACTTTGTTCAGAATGTAAATTAGTTCAGCCACTTTGAAAAGCAGGTTGGAAATTTCTCAATGAACTAAGAGTTGAACCACCATGAGAATCAGCAATCCCATTACTGGGTATAGATATCCAGAGGAAAATAAATTGTGCTACCAAAGGACACAAGCACTGTATGTTCCCCACAGCGCTACTCACAATAGGAAAGACCTAGAATAAATCCAGGTGCCCATCAATGGTGGACTGTAAGCACCATGAAATACTATTCAGCCAAAAAAAGAATGAAATCATATCCTTTGCAACAACACAGATGCAGATGGAGGCCATTTTCCCAAGCCAACTACCAAATACTGCATGTTCTTACGTACAGGTGGGAGCTCAGCATTGGGCACACATGGACATAAATAGATGGGAAAAATAGACACCTGGGGACTACGATGGGAGGGAGAGAGGGAGGAAGGCAAGGGTTGAAAAACTACCTATTGGGTACTACGTTCACTACCTGAGCATGATGGGTTCAATCATACCCCAAATCTCAGCATCACACAATATACTTTTTTAACAAACCTGCACATGTACCCCTGATTCTAAAATTAAACCAGAAAAACAAAGAATTTTGACCTGCAACTAATAGACTAATGCCCTGGTGAGTTCTCACTCTATTAGTTCCCTACAGAGCTGGTTTTAAAAAGAGTATGGCACTTCCTCCCCACCCTTGCTTCCTCTCTCATCATGTGACTTTCATACACGCTGCTTCCCCTTGTGCCATGAGTGGAAGCAGCCTGAGGCCCTCACCAGAAGACGATGCTGGCACCATGCTTCTTGTACAGCCTGCACAGTCAAACAAACCCCTTTTCTTTATAAATTATCCAGCCTCTGGTATTCCCTTACAGCAACACAAAACAGACTAAGATACTTAGTCATCACTATCAGCAATACAAATGTTTTATTCTCCTCCCATTCTTGACTCCATAAGCATTTCCAGTTAGTGACCAATTCTCTATGATTCCTTGTTTATATTTGCTGTATCCACTCTCCCTCCATTCTCTCTTGATTTTACTCCCATCAGTCTTTCCACCCTACCACTCATGAATAACTTTCACCTTTGCAGATACAATGGTCAAATCCCAGGCTTCATCTTGCTCAGTCTATCAGTAACATATGACGGTTGACCATGTCTTCCTTCTTGAAACACACTTTCTTCTTCCCTTGTCCTCTGGGGACCACTCCTATTTGATTCTACTACCTCAGATCTTTTGTTGGTTACTTATCTCCCTGACTATAATTGTCCTTGAACAACTTCTTCATCCATACTCACTCTATAAACAATCATATTGCCTTTTAATACTCTCTATGTGCCAAGAATTCCCAAATGCCTATCTCCAAACTAAATATCCTTTCATTGCCAGACTTATACCTCCAACTATCTCTTTTACATCTCCATGTGGATGTCTACTTCAAACTTAACAAGCCAAACCTAAATATTCTGGATTTCTCCCATACCCAAAATTTGCAACCAGACAAGCTGGCCATAAATATTGTTGCCATACTTGACTCTCTCTCACACCCCTGCATCTAATCTGTCAGAAAACTGTTAGTTCTAACTTCGCAATATACCCAGAATCCAAATCACTTCTCACTTCCTCCACTGCTAGAAGACACAAGTCCAAGCCACTATTATCTTTCACCTGGATTGTTACAAATGATTTTCCTGCTTCTATCCATGTTTTCCTATGCCCCCAATTATAGTCTGTCTTCTACATACTCGTAAAGCAAGCTTAATAAAATTTAAGTCAGATCATGTTAGTTAGATCAGGTCACTCATTGCCCTACTCAACTCTTATGTGAATTTCCTAAAGGTCCCACACAGCATCTCTCAATCTCATCTCCTATTACATTCTCTCTCATATCCTCTGCTGCAATTATACTGGTCTCTTTCTCAATCAAGAATGCACTCCCACATTAGAGCCTTTGTCTTGCTGTTCCCTATGCCTAGAATAGTCTCCAAGATATCTGCATGATTCAGTCCCTAGCTTTCTTCAATTTCTGTTCATGTGTCATCCATCAGTGAGGTTTCCTCTAACCATACCATATAAAAAAAGCAACACACTCTTTCCTTCAGAATATATCTATTGATTACTCATTTCTATCTAATGGAATTTAGGTCCCTGAGAGCAGGGACTGTGTATTCTTTTCATCTCTGGAGCCTAAAACAGTGCTTGGCATTACAGTAGGCTGTCAATAAATTTTTGCTGAATGAATTAATAGATAATAAAGTGTAAATAAATACGTAAATAAATAAATACAAACACTTCCCAAAAGACAATAGTTCCATAAGGGCTTCTGCAAAGCGCTTAAAATTCCAAAAACAATCAAATACAATTATTAGATAGCTCAGATTTTCCTTTTATTGAAAAGTAGGCTGGGAGTGGTGGCTCACATTTGTAATCTGAGCACTTTGGGAGGCCGAGACAGGCGGATCACTTCAGCTCAGGAGTTTGAGACCAGCCTGGGCAACATGATGAAACCCCATCTCAACTAAAAATACAAAAAAATTAGCTGGCATGGTGGTGTGAGCCTGTAGTCTCAGCTACTTGGGAGGCTGAGGTGGGAGGATCGTTTGAGTCTGCAAGGTGGAGGTTGCAGTTAGCTGAGATCACACCACTGCACTCCAGCCTGGGCAACAGACTGTGATCCTTTCTCAAAAGAATTAAAATTTTTTCTATTAAAAATAAATAAACAAATAAAAGTAGTCATACTATAAATGGGTTTTAAATTTAAAAATGAAAGGACTTTTAAAGACTAAGTGGCTGTATAAACATAATCTTCATATTCATAATCTTGATTTTATACAGGTACTCAAAAAATATATTTTTACACTCTCCAGGGAAACTTTCTTGGTAACAAAACTTGTGAATAGCAAATATAATGCTTATCCTTTTTTTTTTTTTTAAAAGCCTTCTCTAATACATTTGTAACAAACTTAAATAAATAATAATAAAGTCAGGAACTCACCATGGCAATAAAACGACCAATGAAACAGAAGTATGAAAGATGGTCTGGATTAATGGTTGATGCTGGATTTATCTGCAGACAATAGTTGTTCTTGCCCGCATACTCAAATAAGCAATACATTGGGTTCAAAACTTCATGTGAAAGCAAGAAAAACCATTCTCTATAAGAAAATAAGTCAAGGTTATTTTTTAGCATTAATATGTGAATTTAAAAACAGATCTTAAATATATTCATATATACATCATACCTCTGCTCAACAGTCTTTAAGAACTCCACTGCCCAATTCTTTGGCCCTCTATCCAAGTTCTTCTATGATCTGGCTCTCCATTTAAGTTACCTGCTAGTTTCGATGTGGCCAAACTACAAATTCACTGATCCTCATATAGATATAACATGCTTATTTGTATGCCACACTTTTGCTTGGGTATGTCTCCTCAACTTCAATTCAGCTTAAATCCCATTTCAACAATTTTTTGAGGCAATTTCCAGTGTATTTGTATTAATATCAGTCACTGAATACTCTGTTGTAACAACCTCACAATATTAATTCATTTTTATGCACATGACTTGCCCCATCCATCAGACTGTAAGTTTCTCAAAGGCAAAAGCCATGTATTTTTTTGTATTCTTAACTCTTACAAGCACTCTAGGATGTATATACAACAGGTTTTAATATACATTTGCAGGTGATACCGAGATACACAGCACTGCTGCTATTTAACACTTTTAACTTTATTGTCATTGCATTAAAAATGAAACTAAAATTTAAAAGGTTAAATCTTTAAATGTGATAAGCAATCTCTAACCTTTTACCACCCATTTTAAAGTCCAATATGCGAAATCCAACTAGATAAAGGTATTACAAGATAAACCCAATCTCTAAAAGGTTCTTTTCAATAGCAATTTCTTCTAAAGAAGGGTTCCAAACTCAAATGCTTACAGTAATCTGTAAGTACAAGGGGATTCCTTCTCTATTCTCTAGATGGGGCTCACATTCTCTGCTTAGCCACAATCCTCCATTCCTTATATACCTGCTGAATTATTGGTTTTAAGGAAGAAGAATTTCTAGGCATATTATCGTAGTCCTCAGACAACTGGGCAGTGGTGGACACCATAGTGAAACAGAGTATATGCTAATCTACAGGGGAAACAACTCTGATTCAGCCCACTGACGCCACATGAGAAGGCAGGATTGCAGGTCGAGTGTTTTAAAGAGAAGTCAGAAATCTTCATTCTTAAGCATAATCTAATGATTTTCAAATGTCATCAAGTAATTTAAAAACTGTAAAATCACAATGAGGGCCACCTCTATGTAGGCTACATCTGGCCTGGCAGCCTGTTAATAAACGTTTTTCTAAAGGTTATAAAACACAATCACTGATACTGCCTGAAGGGTAGAGAAGGAAGTCCTCAACAAAATCAACTAGAAATAGTAAACACCAATTATTAAAACTAAGTCCAGTTGTAACATAGTAGTAGTTGAACCAAGTGACTTCCCTCTATGATGAGGCTGAAGTAAGACATACCCCAGGTAAGAGGATGGAGCAGGTCTTGTGAGAGTGTGTTTAGACACATATATAAAACTAGGAATAAACCCTCCAGATGCTTCAGATAATTTTTAGCAAACAACAGCCCAGAGAAAACTCAATCAATTCAAAAGAAGAATGGCTAAAACATGGCATCTACTCTTTTCCTCTGATGCTAGCAGAAAAGGAAGAAAAATTCCTAACTAGCAAGAGGCAGAAGAATTAACTTTCAACATATTCTTCTCAATACTCTCAAATAAACTGAAGAGACACAAGAGGTTGAAAAAATTATGAGACAACAGATGAGCTAGCAGAGCCTAAAGAAGAAAATGAAGAAAACAGTAAAACCACTAATGAAGAAAAATCACATTAGAAGCAGCAAAACGTAGGGCAGTACTGCAAACAGTGACATGAGGATAGGCTTGAGAAAAATCAAAATAAAATGGAAAAGTGCAAAGATAAAAATGATCAGAGAAAAGATGACAGACATGTAAGACTGACAAAGGAGATTCCACATACCCATGACTGATGTTCCTGAAGAAAAATGGAACAAATGGAACAGAAAAAATATTCAAAGACATAATAGAAGAAAACTTCCCTGACATTAAGGAAGATCTTAATATATTCCTAAAAAAAGATACAAAACAATCAACAGTGAAATTATTGAACTTCAGGAAAAAGGACTGTGTGGGCACCCAGAGGAAAAATAAGGTTCTTACAAGGGGCTGGCCTCACACTTCACAGTACTAACATTCAATGCTAGAAAACAGTAAAGCAATGTCTGAGTATTGGAAAAACAAGTGTGCGAGAAATTTATATCTAGTGAAATTGTTGTTTATATGTAAAAGCAACAGAGAACATTATGCAAAGACTGTAGGAATATATCAATCCTGTAAACTCTTTAATAAACCATTTGATGAATCTAGCCCACCAATACATGAATTAAATAAAAAATTTAGGAATAAAAAATCATGTTATGGAGGAACTAGCTATATTCATTAAAACTATCAAAATATAAAACTTAGACCCAAATAGTTGAGGCAAATAAGGGCTCAGATAAGAATGTAAATGTTAATAAAGACACACTGTAAAAATACCATATTTCCTCATTTCTAAGATGTACCTTTCTTATGTCTGAACATTTCTGAAATTGAGATAAACTCGTAATAGATGCAATATGAACATTTATTATGATAGGCAGTGTTTCGTTTCTGGAAAAGTTTAATGATGTTGTAAATGAGGAAATATGCTAATATAAACAAAACTCTGATAATTCCACATATATTATTACTTATCTATCCCCATCAGTTGTACTTGGTTCTGTATCTCTTTTTGCCAGTTGTGTTAAAACTGTGATTTTGTAATTCTGTACACCTCTGAAATGAGTTCAAAAAAGGAGTTGTTTCTATGAAAAGCAAGTTTGAATTCTTTAGAAAGATTTAATCAAAATGTTTTGCTAAACAATAAATTGTTGCCAAATTAGGCTGGGGCAGAACAAATAAGGGACAAAATTGAAAAATAAAAGGATTTTCCACCCATATTGCTTCACAAGTATCTACTGTTAACAATATATTTAGTGAATGTAGAAAACTTTATTCCCAAAAGAGACTCAGATTGGACTAAAAACATAAACATAAAACCAAAATATGATGTTACTTACAATAGCAAAAAATAAGAATGTATGCATGCTAATCTATTAATTATGATATTTCCATACAACAGAATATTGTACAGCCATTTTAAAAAAGAAAATATTCAGACTGAGTGCTGTGCCTCACACCTGTAATCTCAGTACTTTGGGAGACCAAGGTTGGGGGAATCTCTTGAGCTCAGGAGTTCAAGATCAGCCTGGGCAAAACTGTGAGACCCTCATTTCTACAAAAAGCTTTAAAAACTTTTTTTTTTTTTTTGACACAGCGTCTTGCTCCATCACCCAGGCTGGAGTGCAGTGGCATGATCTCAGCTCACTGCAAGCTCCGCCTCCTGGGTTCACACCATTCTCCTGCCTTACCCTCCCGAGTAGCTGGAACTACAGGCGCCCACCACCACGCCTGGCTAATTTTTTTTATTTTTAGTAGAGACGGGGTTTCACCGTGTTAGCCAGGATGGTCTCGATCTCCTGATATCATGATCCACCCGCCTTGGCCTCCCAAAGTGCTGGGATTACAGGCGTAAGCCACCACGTCCAGCCTTTAAAACTTTTTAAAAAACAAGAAGAAAAAGAAATAAACAAATTCATTCACTCACTGTATATATGCTAACATAGAAAGATGCCCACACTATATAAAAAAACAAAATCAGATCCTACATTTTGTACATTGTATGATTAACTGTTAAAAAAAGCAGCAAATATATACTATATTACACATATATACAAATTTACATATATGTAAAGATGTATAGAAAGATAACCAAGAGTAGTAATAATAATAATGGTTACCGTGTGTATTTTTGAGAAAAATTCTGGATTGTTAATTCAAAAATTTAATACAATATATTCACATATGTTTTGAAGAATACTTTCCCTGTATACAATGAGATATACTTATTTCAAGGCAGATATGTGTTTTTTATTTTACCTCGCTAGGCCACCATAATCAAGTCCTTCTTCTCCTCTAAATATTACATATAAGCGCCTCCTCAAGTCATAGGGTTTTAATGCCATAATCTAATTAAAAACAAAAACATGAATATTAAATACTCACATGCAGTACAAGTTCCTTTCAAAACAATTTAAATTTAATCTCTATTTTCAAAATAACACATTTCCTTATCTTATACAATGCTTTTAACTCAAGAGATGAATTGGTTTCTTTCACAAACTAGATGAAGACATACATATCAATCTGTTAAGCTTTTCCTGACTCACTTTCACATATAGTTGACCCGTAAACAAGATGAGTTTAAGTCAACATGGTGAATGCACAGGTCCACTTATACTTGAATTTTCTTCAGCCTCTGCCACCCCTGAGACAACAAGGCCAAGCCCTCTTCCTCCTCCTCAGCCTATTCAATGTGAAGACAATGAGAATGAGGACCTTTATGATGATCCACTTTTACTTAATGAACAGTATATGTATTTTATCTTCCTTATGATTTTCTAAAAAAATTTTCTTTTCTCTAGCTTACTTTATTATAAGAATACAGTATACAGGCCGGGTGTGGTGCCTCAGGCCTGTAATCCCAGCACTTTGGAAGGCCAAGGCAGGTGGATCACGAGGTCAGGAGATTGAGACCATCCTGGCTAACATGGTGAAACCCCGTCTCTACTAAAAAATACAAAAAGTTAGCCAGGCGTGGTGGTGGGCGCCTGTAGTCCCAGCTATTCGGGAGGCTAAGGCAGGAGAATGGTGTGAACCCGGGAGGTGGAGCTTGCAGTGAGCCGAGATCGTGCCACTGCACTCCAGCCTGGGCGACAGAGCGAGACTCTGTCTCAAAAAAAAGAATACAGTATATAATACATATATTATACAAAATATGTGTTAACTGACTCTATGTGTTAACTGACTCTTTACGTTATTGGTAAGGCTTCCAGTCAATGGTAGGTATTAGTAATTCAGTTTTGGGGTAGTCAAAAGTTATACATGGCTTTTCAACTGTGCAAGGGGTCAGCACCCCTAGCCCCTGTGTTGTTTAAGGGTCAACTATACTCTTTCCTCCTTCTAGTATTAAATGGATAGTTCTATTTTGGGTTAATGACAAGACAGGAAGAGTTTGACACAAAAGGCTTTTAAGGTTAAAAATATTATCTCCCCTACTGGTTTCCCCAAACTGTACCAAAATCTTCCAACAGGTAAATTTTTCTGACTAGCAGTACTTAGAGGCAAAAGACTTTGTTCTGCATCCTGTTTATACCACACATTCCATTTCTCAGTAGGAAAGGAACTCAGCTATAATGAGCAATTATTTATACAATGATGAATTTATTCACAGGCTAGTATAACTTAAAAACAATACGTATACCAAATTTTCATAATCTTTAATAGCTTACATCAAGGTTACTAGTAAGTAGGCTTTACTTTGGATAGAAATAAATTACATTCCACACATATGTCAGGACCAGAGCCAAGACTGGCAAGTCTGGGTTGGAGCACAGCTCACCAGCATGCCTCCTTGGAGGCAGTCGTGGGCTCAGTGCTATACATCAAATAGACCATGATTCTTCCCAAGACAGGGTAAAAAGCAAAATAAAGTCTACCATGAATTCAGATGTACATTTACTAAAATCAATCCAGAGTTTAGAAAAAGTTGACCTATTTACACTTAGTTTGCTAAGAATTTATTAACTCAAAAAAAAAAAATCAACTTGATAATAGTTTAAGTATCATGCCCAAAGTCCAATCGTAAAATTAAGCTATGGTTTGAAATTCTCTTGGGGCTCAGAGTATCATTACTCCATTTTGGCTTGTACAAAGTATAAATAAAAGTCCCTGTATGCCTGAGTACACAGCATAATTTGGTTCATCATTATAATACTAGGGGGGGAATAAGACGTCTCATTATGAAAAATTCTCCACTTCATTGGGCAAAAACTGACAATACAGTATTTGGATTATTTATCCTTAAATATTCTGCAGATGACTCATGAAAGGAAGAAATACTGCATTCATTTATTTGTTCATCAAATATTTATTGAATACCCTCTATGTGCAAAGGCACTATTCTACGTACTAGGCAGAACAGCAGTAAACCAATAGTCCCTGCTCTCATGGAGCTCACATTCTAGTAAGGAAGACAAAATACACTATGTTGGGTGGTTATGAAAAAGAATAAAGCACCATAAATGGCTGGAATGTGACTGTGAGGGAGAAGAGAAGGACTGCCATCTTAAAATAGTAGGCTCAGAGAAGGTCTCTCTGAGATCACATTTAAACAGAAACATAAAGGTGAAAATAAAGTTATTAAAGGAATTCTCAAATGGAATACAGTATCTACCAATTTAATTTTAATTTGATAGCATTATCAAAACTTTGAGGTAATAAATTCTTAGCCAAGTATTGTGTCAAAACAAGAATCAACTTGTTCCAAAAGCTGTTTAAGCTTTATTTTAGTAAATACACATCTAAATTCATGATATGTCTCTCAGTCTCAGTACCTTTACCTATAACATGGAGATACAATAAGTGCTATCTCAAAGGGATGCTGTGAGGACGAATGAAATAAAATGAGAAATGTAAGATGCCGGTGTTTTGCAAATGATAATCACTCAGTATATGGGAAGGTTTAGTGTAACTATGATTAAAATGGGCACTCAGGCCAGATGCAGTGGCTCAAGCCTGTAATCCCAGCATTTTACGAGGCCGAGGTGGGTAGATCGTTCGAGCCCAGAGGTTGAGACCAACCTGGGCAACATGGCGAAATTCCATCTCTATTTAAGAAAACAGAACAAAACAAAACAAAACAAAGGCACTCAACAAGTGGTGGTGGCAGTCATTATTATTATAGCTGTGTTCTGGGTGGTTTAAAAATCTCTAAAACCCTGACTTTCTTTAGATGCACAGAATACAATGAGACAAATGGTGTTTTATTCTGCTAAAATCCTCCTTACCTGTTGGAAGGAATCTTCAAACAATGTCTGCCGGGACACATTGATCTTTACATGACTAGGTAGTGCATTAGACTAAAAACAAAAATAATATCATAATATCATCTGAGTTATAGTATATGTATTGTATAAAGAGAAGACTAAATTATTGAGTATAAGATTTATTTACCACTATAGTACCTGGCACAAATAACGGAAGTGAGCAAGCTTCCACCTAAAGCCGCGTTCATAAGCAATTTGTGGACCACCTTTAGTTCTAAAGAAAAACAAAAATAAACCAAATTAACTCATAATAAAGTTGAATATTTAGTATTCAGTATAAAATCAGAGTGTACTAAAGTCCAACAAAATACCACAGGAAGATTTCTGCTGGGAGAGAAGGGTATACATACATGGTGGGCCAAAAGAAGCTCAAGTAATGGGGACTATTACAGCAACAGGACACACATATACACAAAGAAGGACATTGTATTTATGGCTGGATCTTTTGTTAGTGAGTTAAATGAAATATCAAAGTCTACTACAGACTATTTCAAAGAAAATCTTCGATAATCCTTAAATCTAAGGAGGACAGAGGCTCCAGACAGAAGAGACGTGGAAGGAAATTCTACCACATCCTAAGCCTAACCTAAAACCCAAACAAATATTCCTGGAGATAATAAGCAAAGCAAAATCAAATTCCTAGAAACAACATTGTCATCCAGATCACACGGTTCACGTGGTCAGTGAGAGAAAAGGCAGAGTTGGTGGCACGGCACCTAGGAATACAGGTTTTACAATATGGTTTGACTCACAGTGACAGAGCCTGGATCTCTTGCCTATTGATTGAGGGCCTGACAGGCACAAAGAACTTTCATAATGTTAAGGAACACTTTGGAACAGATGAAAAATGTTCTCTTGTGTTGTCAGGTTCAAGTGAATTCACTTACTCAAAAAGCATTTACTGAATGCATAGCTGGTACCTGGCTTTCTTCTAGACAGTGACAGCATTACTTATTAATAGGTAAAAATGCCTGTTTTGTGGAGCTTATATACTAGTGAAGGAGATAAGACAAAAAAATATAATAAATAAGTAAAGTACAAATGTCTTATCACTCCTGACCTAGAACAATAAAACAATAAAAAAGGCATTGTTAAAAGGACAAAGTATAAGGAGTGATATGAGAAGCATTTTGTGATTTTCAAAAGGGTAAAAGGAGTAGAGCTCACAGACAAAGTGACATTTGAGCAAAAACATGAAGGAGAGGGCAAAAGCCATATGGAGTTTCGGGAAAAGAGCATACCAGGCAGACGGAATAAAGGCTAAGACCCAAGGTGGAAGCTGAAGGTGTTGAAGGCACAGCTAGCGTCCAATGAAGCTAGAACACGGTGAATGAGGAGGAGCGAAAACCAAGAGGAGGTTGAAGAGATAAGAGGGGTCAGATCCTGTAAGGCCATTTAGGCTGTTGTAAAGTGTGCTTTTTACTCTTATTGAGATGGAAACCACTGAAGGGTTTTGTGCAAATAAATGACTTTTAATTAAATTTTGTTTTGGAAATTCAGTCTCTGTGCTGTATGGAGAGTAACAACATTGTACAAGGTGTGGGAAGAAAGCAGAGAGAGGACTCTGCTACCAAGCCAGGCAACAGATAATGGTAGCTTGGACCAAAATGGTGGCAATGGGGGTGGTGAGGCATAGCTGGATTCTAGATATGTTTTGAAGTTGAGGTAACTAGAATTCTTGATGGACTGTTTGTAAGGTAGGAGAGATAGAGGAGTTGTGGATGATTCTACATTTTTTTTTTTTCCTAAGATGGAGTTTCGCTCTTGTTGCCTAGGCTGGAGTGCAATGGTGCAATCTCGGCTCACTGCAACCTCTGCCTCCTGGGTTCAAGCGATTCTCCTGCCTCAGCCTCCTGAGTAGCTGGGATTACAGGCACACGCCATCACGCCCAGCTAATTTTACCATGTTGGCCAGGCTGGTCTCGAACTCCTGACCTCAGGTGATCTGCCCGCCTCGGCCTCCCAAACTGCTGGGATTATAGGCGTGAGCCACCATAACAAGGTGATTTCAAAATTTTTGACCCAAGCACCTGCTAGAGTGGAGTTATCAACTGTGACAGGGAATATCACAGGTAGAGCTGGGTTTTTGTTGTTGTTGTTATAATTTTTTTTTTTTTAGAGACTAGCTCTTGCTATGTTGCCCAGGCTGGTCTCAAACTCCTGGGCTCAAGTGATCTACCCGCCTCAACCTCCCAGAGTGCTGGGATTATAGGTGTGTGCCACCATGCCTGGCCAGAGAGCAGGTTTTACAGGACCTACCAAGAAGGAGTTACAAGTGGAGATGTCAATAAGCAGCTGAATATAGAAAGCAAAATTTCAAGTGAGAAGTCTGAGCTAAATTTGTGAGTCATTAGCAGGCACATGTTTTAAAAGCATAATACTGAGTAAGATGCATCAAGAGAATGAATGTAGTTAACAAAAAAAAAAAAAAAAAAAGAGGCTTAGGAAAAAAAGGAGGACTCGACAAAATAAAGATAGAAGAACAGAAACGCAGAGGGAAATCAAGAAAGTATGGCTCACAGCACTACTTTTGCCAGGAGAGAGAAATGTATTGTGTCAAATGTTCCTGGTAAGTCAAATCAGGCAGGACTGCAAACCAACGCCTGGATTAACAATGTGAAGATCATTGGTGCCCTTGCAAATTCAGTGTCAGGGGAACTTCCTTGGAGTTGGTTTAAAGGAGAAACTATGAACAGCAATACAGAGACAACCATGCAAGTAGCTTTCCTGTAAAGGGGAGCAATAAAAATGAACTGTGGGCTGGGTGTGATGGCTCACGCCTGTAATCCCAGCACTTTGGGAGGCCAAAGCAGGTGGATCGCCTGAGGTCAGGAGTCCGAGACCAGCCTGGCCAACATGGCGAAACCCCATCTCTACTGAAAATACAAAAATTAGCTGGGTGTGGTGGCGGGTGCCTGTAATCCCAGCTACTCAGGGGGCTGAGGCAGGAGAATCGCTTGAACCCAGGAGGTGGAGGTTGCAGTGAGCTGACATCGCATCATTGCACTCCAGCCTGGGCAACAGGAGCGAAAGTCCGTCTCAAAAAAAAAACAAAAAAATGAACTGCGATTGAACACATTGGTAAAGGGAAGAGTTGTAATTTCTTTTTTTTTTTGCTTTTTTTTTATATCTAGGAGAAATAACAGCTGATAAGAATAATTTTGTAGAGAAATAAAACCTGATAATGCAACACAAAGGTGATAACTGTTGGAGCAATTAAGTAGAAAAGTGGGGGTAGGAATCGAATGTACCAGCAGAGGGACGAGACTTTGATAATAACAATGACAGTTCATCTATAGGAACAGGAGGGAGGAGAGATGGTAGGAGACGGACAGATATGGTGGTACAACTTTGCAAAAGACCTTTTAGGATTGCTTCTATTTTCTTAGTTATGCAAAGACATGACACCTTAGAGTAAGAATGAAGGAGAGATCTGTCAACCGCTTAATTAAGGTATCTTTAAATCTGGAAAAATCATTTCACTGACCATCTCATTGCAGCAGTGTGATGTGGCAGTTAAGAGCACAGAGTCTAGACAGAGACTGACTGTCATCGTTAGAAACCAGCTCCATTACTTGCCTTATAACTTTGCACAGTTAGTTATGCTCCCTATACCTCTCCTCACTTGGTAAAGGGAAAAATAATAGTATCTACCTCAAGGGGTTATTGGAAGATAAAATGAGTTAATACCTATGAAGTACTTAGAACAATCCTCGGCACACAGTAATCACTACATAAATAGTTTACATGCTGCAAATCCATTGTCAAATGAGAGCAAAGACAGCTATACTAAGGTTTCACTTGTGTAGGTTTTCTTGAACCAAAAAGTAAAATGTTTTGCTAAACTTGAGGATAAATTAGAGACTAAATCTCATGTGCTCACTAAGCAATATTTAAAGGAGAACTTCAGGTTTTCACTCACACAGATGACTTCCCATTGCGAGGATCTTTGAATGTTGTTGTTCTTGTGTTATGATCAACAAAGTACCTTACACCTTCACGAGTATATCTAATTTCCCAGCCTTCTGGCAGGGGTTCTTCATTCTGTAAGCTAAAAGATAAAGTTAAAATCACAAGATGAACCTTTTCTAGGTACTAAAAATATCTCATTCAAGGTTGGTTGGTTCTACCTACTGATATATGCAAGACGACTTAAGGCTGCTGTATATACATACCCTTGAGTTCTTGGATCTTCCCACTGGGTTGTTTTTGTGTTATGATTCACAAAGTAAACCCTGTCTGTTGAATCCACTCTTTTTTCTGAAATATAAAGTGAGTATAATATTTAATAACTATTTAGGATCTATATATAAAATAAGGAACACATATAATTATATATAATATATATTATATATATAAAAACATATCAGGGATATATGTATCCCTTATATATTATAGAATATATTATATAGAATATAATATATATTATAGAGAATATAACATATATTATATTATAGAGAATATAATATATATTATATTATAGATAATTATGTAGAATATAATATATATTCTATAATATATAATTCTTTAATATATAATCTATTCTATATATTCTGTATATTATATATATAATACATATATATATCCCTTATAATATACATATATATATCCCTTATAATATATACATATATAATATACATATATATCCCTTATAATATATAATATATTTAATATGGATTATATATTCTATATAGTATACAGAATATATAACATTCTACAGAATATATAATATATAGAATATATAATCCATATTAAATATATTATATATTATAAGGGATATATATATGTTAAGGGACATATATAAGGGAGATATATATATATAAAATAAGGAACATATATATATATATATATATATATATATATATATGGAGAGATATATATCTCCCTTATAGATCATTAGCAAAAACAGCTTACCCCAGCCTGGTGGCAAAGGTCCATAAGGGTCATTTTCTGCAGCTAACATTGAAGCCTGATTGGAGAAAAGATTAGGGAGAGAAATAAAATAACAGTGTTTTAATATGAAAGTAGAAATAAGCCAAGCATGTGGCAGAATCACATTTTATAATAATTTTCTAAAAATATGATAAGGGGTTGGGCGCAGTGGCTCATGCCTGTAATCTCAGCACCTTGGGAGGGCAAGGTGGGAGGATTACTTAAGCCCAGGAGTTCAAGACCAGCCTGGAAGATCCTGTCTCTATAAAAAAAAATTTTTTTTTAATTAGCCAGATGTGTTGGCACATGCCTAAAGTCCCAGCTACTTGGAAGGCTGAAGTGGGAGGATCACTTGAGCCCAGGAGGTGGAGGCTACAGTGAACTGTGATCACACTACTACTGCACTCCAGCCTGCACAACAGAGCGAGAAGCTGTCTCAAAAATATATCTATATTATTATATAGACAGATAGATAGGTCCACATTATAAGGAAATATAGCAATTTCAAGACACAAAGTTCTTTGTTTTTTGAGACAGGATCTTCCTGCTCTATTACCCAGACTGGGGTGCAGTGGCGTGATCTCAGCTCACAGCAGCCTCTGCTTCCCGGGCTCAAGCAATCCTCCCACCTCAGCAACAACCGAGTAGCTAGGACTACAGATATGCGCCACCACACCCGGCTAATATTTGTATTTTTTGTAGAGACAAGGTTTTGCCATGTTTCTGAGGCTGGTCTCGAACTCCTAGGCTCAAGCGATCCACCCGCCTCAGCCTCCCACAGTGCTGGGATTACAGGTGTAAGCCACCGCTCCCAGCCAAGACACTAAGTTCATAAAATGTCACGAAGAGGAGACTATCAACTATCAAATTAATTATTAGTTTTTCGAAAATGATTTAAAAATAATACACTGGCATCAATACTTTACTCTCCCAGTCCTTCCATACTAATCTATAGAGGGAAGATGAAATGGGAGAAGAACATATAGGAAATTATGATGTTTAAATGAGGCAATATTATTTGTTTAAAAATAGAACAGTTATCACAATTTTCTTTAAAACAAATGCCCACTAATAAAACTAACACTCAACTCCAGTATCATTTATAGAAATAAACTTTTAATTAGTATCTTTTATATTTTCATACATACATAAAAACACATTTTTATGTATGCCTCCATTCTTATAACCTAGAAATATATTCTGAAGAAAATATAAGTATTCTATCAAGAATTCTATAATAATGACAAATATAAAAATCATTACCTGAAAAATAATTTCTTAAAGTATATGCATCTTGATGAATATAATCTTGTAACAGACCCAGTTAATTATACTCAATATTTATCTTCCACCTGTTCTTGAGAACCAAAACCCTGTTTTGTTGGAGGTAGAAACGTGGCCATAAAGATCATTCCATTCCCCCTTCCCTGCAGCTGAGTTGGTAGAGTGACCAATTCTGGCCAATGAGGTATAGGCAGAAGGCCATGGTGAGGGCATCCTTCGCTAAGTAAAAAAGGCAAGGGCTTGCAACAACAGAGCCATCTGCCCTTTCAATTCCTCTTTCTCTTTCTTCTTGCCTAGACTATGGATGTGAGGCCCATAGTGCAGAGTATATAAACGAAGTAACAGGCCTGAAGTGCGATATGGATGGCAGAGCAAAAGGGCAGAAAGAACCCGGGTCCTTGATGACACTACTGAGTCAATGCAGCACTTACACTTTTACCCCAGACTTGATGTTGTACTGAGATAATTAAACCTCAATGTGTTTAAGGAGATTCTATTACTTGCAAGATAACATTCTTCTGATACACATCTGTTACCTCATTCTGCCCTGTTCACCAAAGGTTTTCATGTGTACAGATAAGTCCAACCAAAAACAAAGCTATATGTATTACTTTTTATGGATGTATATAGCTATATATATTACTATATATACCACACGGTATAATTACTATATACAGCTAAATTATGGAACCTTACCACAGATTTCTGTACAAGTCATGGAAGAACCAGCAACTGAAGGCAGCAGGAAACGCTATGGAAACTAGGCTGCCCACTCCCTCCCTGCTAGCTACATATAACCAGGAGAGTAGGTCAACCTGCAAATGAGAACTTACTATTTAACCTCTGAAAAAAATGTGGTTGAAAGAGCCAGACTGCAGCAGGATTTTGGAGAAAGTTACTTACATTTTCTTTCTATGTCTCTTTCCTACTTCCTTTCTATCTGCTAGCTTCTATATTTTAGGTTTCTTCAAGTTGCCTCAAAACACTATCTGTAGTTGTCCAGTACTTAAAATTTATCTTTTCTACCTCCTATGATCACACCATTTATCAGAGGAGTTTTGTTTTGTTTTTTCCACTCCTCTCACGGATGTTTGCTTATGGCAATAAGTAAATCACCAATTGGTCAAATTTTCAGACAGCATTAGATTTTTTGGATAAAACTTTCGAGTTCTAGAAATATCTTTGATGGAGCAAAACAGATGAGTGTTGCTTCTTAGAATCTGGGAAGAGAATCAGAATAGGTAGCATACTGCAAGACTGGCTCTAAGTAAAATAATAAAGTAACTGGTTTTGTTGAAAGCAAACAAAATTTATAAAAGTGGAAGATTGAAAATTAGTAAAAATATTATTTTGTTAAGAAATGCATTTATGAAACTACCCCGTAGGATATAAAACTTAATGTATAAGTTATGTTAGTAAACTAGAATATTTTAAAATATTATAAAGTACTTATATATATCAGAAACACTATTTATTAAAGATTAACTAAAAAATATCTTGTAACACAGTCTATACCATTTCTGAAAATCACCAAAATAGATATGTGATTATGGTCAAGGGATAGCAAAAAAAAAAAAGAAAGAAACACCTGAGGGAGGAAGTTATGTTAACATCTTACAATTTGCTAATTACCGAATAGAGGTATCGTTGGTTAAACTGTTGCATAGCTCCCTGCAATTGGTTCCGCTGAGATTGCCACTGTTCAAAATTTCGGACAGATTCCATGGTAGGCCGCTGCCACGTTGTTGTTCTGGTGTTATGATCCACATAATAAACTCTTCTACGATCATCAACTCTTCTTTCCCAACTACCACAAGTAAACAATAATAAACAATAATCTCTCAATATAAGAAAATGAAAAGCAGTTATTACTTCACTCAATTTAAATATCAAGTTCAAGACATGTTAAAATAACTAAAACATATAAAACTATGAACTATTTATTTTACCTAAATTACCTTCCCATTCTACCACTAATATCTTTTTTTTCCTTTAATCACTGTAATGTTTAGTCCTGCACTACAAGAGTTTGCTTATTTTCTTTTTTTTTTAATTTTACTTTAAGTTCTGGGATACATGTGTAGAACGTGCAGGTTTGTTACACAGGTATACATGTGCCATGGTCGTTTGCTGCAGCTATCAACACATCATCTAGGTTTTAAGCCCCTTACGGGGAGGGAAAGCATTAGCCCTAATATAATTTCTAAAGACTGTCTAAAAAGAGGCCACTGAATGAACAGTTTTAGTATCATCTGGCTATCCTTTCTCCCTCTTTTTTTTTTTTTTGAGATGGCGTTTCGCTCTTGTCACCCAGGCTGAAGTGCAATGGTGTGATCTTGGCTCACTGCAACCTCTGCCTCCCAGGTTCAAGTGATTTTCCTGCCTCAGCCTCCTGGGTAGCTGGGATTACAGGCGCAGACCACCATGCCCAGCTAATTTTTTGTATTTTTAGTAAAGATGGGGGTTTCACCACGTTGGCCAGGATGGTCTCGAACTCCTGACCTCAGGTGATCCTCCCACCTCTTGGCCTCCCAAAGTGTGGGGATTACAGGCATGAGCCACCATGCCCGGCCTCTCCTTCTTTCTTTGATAAGCATTTACTGACAGTGCTTGCTGTATACCAAGCAATCTGCTCTATAGCCAATGCCCATGTTCAGAATGAGTTAACTGAACTCTTTTTATTACTTTTTTAACTCACCTTCCTGCCATTATATTGCTGCCAATTTTCTTCCTGAAACACAGGTGGACTCCATGTCATTCCACCCATGATGGCTCACTGGCATGGCATAAAAATGAATTGTCCACATTTTCAGCCTCATTTCCCTGAGATCCTACAAGGGCCTCATGTGAGAGTCTAACCAACTATTTGCTGGTTCCAAGGGTGTCATGAGTGAATTTTGTTTCCCCTTTGCCTCACAGAATACCCTTCCCTATTTCTCTACCAACCAGAATTCTACTCATCCTCCAGGATTCACTCCAACTCCCACCTGTTCTACACATGTAGGATCTATTAAACCAATTTTTGTCATTAATTTATAAAATGATTGTAAACTCCTTTCAGCAACCAATTATAAATTCCTTAAACTTATTACTAAAAATACAATGGGGTCACAAAGAGAATAATAGACGCTAAAGATGAAATTAAAGACAACCTCTGCCTAATTTTTGGACAACAGTTTCAGTGAAATAAACCCCAAGTCATGGCACTCAATGAATGGACTAAATGAATGACTATAACTTGATGATCTTGTCATAGTTAAAATGAACTTCATGGTTTGCTATATTGCAATATCGGCACCATGTTTTCCAATACGTTCTCATTTAACACTGTAGGGTCAAGGCCTGAGTGCTTTATTCCATAAAAGAGAAATATCCCATAAAAATAACATTTCTCTGCCTTGAATTTTCTAGATTTTGAATGTGTTTTAAAATGGTGGGCTTTAAATTGAATCTGGAAGGGAAATCTGAGTATGTAAGAAATATATTCCAGGTACACATAGAATGTGTGAGTAAATGAATGCAAACAGTACAATTCGACTAGCTATCAGTGCAGTTATGTAGACAGTTATGAAAGAATACAAAGGTAAAGGAAGACTCGTTTGTGAATGGCCTTGAATGACAGCCTAATAGCATGAATTTTAGTATGTAATAAAAACTTTATTAATTTAAAACCTTCTACAATTTTAGGTATAAGTTCACTCATGGCAATCTTTGTAGATCATAGTTTTGGGCCTTTAAGTCATTAAATCATTTGGGCCTTTAAGTCATTTAATATTTAAGTCATTAAATCTTATGAAATAACATAGTTTAGATCACTATCCATGGAGAACCATACATATAAACTGTCCTAAATACTACCTTTCTTTCCTTAAAAAAATTACAAAGAAGGACTGACAACTGACCAAATTTTGCAACTTCTCTCAGTAACTCATGCCAATGCTTGACAGTCTCTTGAGGAAGCCCTACAGATTATCTAATCTCATTGACTGAACATTCATTATTTATATAAGGAAATGTAAAGAAATTGAATATATGCAGAATGAAAGAATCAAATTACGCTGTACTAAATAAATTTAAAAACCACATGTGTGATAAAATATAATTACAAATGCATAAAGAGTGCTATATTACCCTGGAGGTAAAGGTTGTGGTCTCTCCCATGTGGTAGTTCGAGTATTATGATCCACATAATAGGTTCTACCATGAGGATCTTTTCTTTGTTCCCACCTTTAATAAAAATACAAAAATAACAGTAAGAGACAACACACTAGGACAATCTTAAAAATGACTCTTCCTTATAATCAGAAAAATTACAGATAAGCTTTACATTAAAAGACTATACACACACACAGCTATATATATAAAGGCTATTATATATATATACAGAAGTGTTCATTTTCTCAATTATTAGTACTTTTTTAACCTCTTAATTATTCCCTTTTTATTACAGTATTGGAAACTCAAAGTATAGTTAGCAGAAAAGGAAGAGAATACCCCACATTTTAAAAAGTTACTTACAGAATTCCAAATTATCAGAAAACAGAAATTGAATCAAGAATTAAGAAACCTCTCCCTCTCCCCTCCCCTCCCCCTCCCCCTCCCCTCCCCTCCCCCTCCCTCTCCCTCTCCCCACAGTCTCCCTCTCCCTCTCTTTCCACGCTCTCCCTCTGATGCCAAGCCGAAGCTGGACTGTACCGCTGCCATCTCGGCTCACTGCAACCTCCCTGCCTGATTCTCCCGCCTCAGCCTGCCGAGTGCCTGCGATTGCAGTCGTGCGCCGCCATGCCTGACTGGTTTTCGTATTTTTTTGGTGGAGACGGGGTTTCACTGTGTTGGCCGGGCTGGTCTCCAGCTCCTAACGGCGAGTGATCTGCCAGCCTCAGCCTCCCGAGGTGCCGGGATTGCAGACGGAGTCTCGTTCACTCAGTGCTCAATGGTGCCCAGGCTGGAGTGCAGTGGCGTGATCTCGGCTAGCTACAACCTCCACCTCCCAGCCGCCTGCCTTGGCCTCCCAAAGTGCCGAGATTGCAGCCTCTGCCCGGCCGCCACCCCGTCTGGGAAGTGAGGAGCGTCTCTGCCTGGCCGCCCATCGTCTGGGATGTGAGGAGCCCCTCTGCCCGGCTGCCCAGTCTGGGAAGTGAGGAGCGCCTCTTCCCGGCCGCCATCCTGTCCAGGAAGTGAGGAGTGTCTCTGCCTGGCCGCCCATCGTCTGAGATGTGGGGAGCGCCTCTGCCCCGCCGCCCCGTCTGGGATGTGAGGAGCGCCTCTGCCGAGCCGTGACCCAGTCTGGGAGGTGAGGAGTGTCTCTGCCCGGCCGCCCCATCTGAGAAGTGAGGAGCCCCTCTGCCTGGCAGCCGCCCCATCTGAGAAGTGAGGAGCCCCTCCGCCCGGCAGCCGCCCCGTCTGGGAAGTGAGGAGCGTCTCCGCCCGGCAGCTGCCCCGTCCGGGAGGGAGGTGGGGGGCAGCCCCATAAGCGCTAACTTAAGTTAGCGCTTATGGGGGCAGCCCCCGCCCGGCCAGCCGCCCCATCTGGGAGGGAGGTGGGGGGCAGCCCCCGCCCGGCCAGCCGCCCCGTCCGGGAGGGAGGTGGGGGGCGCCTCTGCCCAGCCGCCGCCCCGTCCGGGAGGTGGGGGGGGGGCGCCTCTGCCCGGCCGCCCCTTCTGGGAAGTGAGGAGCCCCTCTGCCCGGCCGCCACCCCGTCTGGGAAGTGTACCAAACAGCTCATTGAGAACGGGCCATGATGATGATGGCGGTTTTGTGGAATAGAAAAGGGGGAAATGTGGGGAAAAGATAGAGAAATCAGATTGTTGCTGTGTCTGTGTAGAAAGAAGTAGACATAGGAGACTCCATTTTGTTCTGTACTAAGAAAGACTCTTCTGCCTTGGGATGCTGTTGATCTATGACCTTGCCCCCAACCCTGTGCTCTCTGAAACATGTGCTGTGTCCACTCAGGGTTAAATGGATTAAGGGCAGTGCAAGATGTGCTTTGTTAAACAGATGCTTGAAGGCAGCATACTCCTTAAGAGTCATCACCACTCCCTAATCTCAAGTACCCAGGGACACAAACACTGTGGAAGGCCGCAGGGTCCTCTGCCTAGGAAAACCAGAGACCTTTGTTCACTTGTTTATCTGCTGACCTTCCCTCCACTATTGTCCTGTGACCCTGCCAAATCCCCCTCTGGGAGAAACACCCAAGAATGATCAATTAAAAAAATAAATAAATAAAATAAATAAATAAATAAAAATAAAAATTACCCTTTTTCTGACATTTGATATTTATCTAGGATTACAATAATTATGCTAATTAGTTCTAGTCTATTTTTGTCTGAATACATTTTAGGTATTCAATAAACACTAATTTTCAGTTTCCAAAAAAAAAAAAAAAATGAAGAAACCTTCAACTTAATATTAAATCCAAGGCACAAAGTGTCTATGAAATAATATACTGATTTTGCTATAATTTCAAAAGTACCCATCTAAAAGATTTTTAGCAGAAATCGCCTTAAAGAAATATGTGGTGATACTGCCCCATGAAAATTCTTTCATCTGTGTGCACAGTATCTTTTCATTGTGCATATCTATCCTAATTTTGGTTCTGGTTTTGGTAGGTCTCTGAATTTATGGAAATGACGTTTTTATCTTTTTCCTATTCTATTTTGAAGACTCTCAATCTCTTGTTTCTCCCATTCTCATTTTTTCTTCTGTGATTCCCGTTAATTTCTCTTTAGTCTTCTTAATATGGTAAAGAAGAATAATTTTTAAAAATAAAAACTGGTGGGCCGGGCGTGGTGGCTCACACCTGTAATCCCAGCACTTTGGGAGGCTAAGGAGGGTGAATCACCTGAGGTCAGGAGCTCAAGACCAGCCTGACCAACATGGAGAAACCCCATCTCTACTAAAAATCCCAAAGAAAAAAAAAAATTAGCCAGCCATGGTGGCACACACTCCTGTAATCCAAGCTACTCGGTATGCTGATGCACGATAACTGCTTGAACCCAGGAGGTAGAGGTTGCAGTGAGCCAAGATTGCACCGCACTCCAGCCTGGGTGACAGGGCAAGACTCTGTCTTAAAAATATAAAATAAAATATAAATAAATAAATAAATAAATAAATAAATAAATAAATAAATACAAACTGGTACTTCTGAGTTTAAGACACTAGTTTTCAATTTTAAAATACAATAACCAGAAAATATTTTCCTTTTTCTTAAACACAAGAACTCGAGAAGGCAGTGTTTCGGAAGCGACATGAGAGAGTATTCCTGGGGTGCTGACAATGTTCTCTTTCTTGACTTGTGTGATGGTTACAAATGTGTATTTTGTGATAAATCAGTTTCATCTATATATTTTGAAGGAAAGTACTTTTCTGTGTATGTGTGATGTTTCACAATAAAAGATTCTGTTTTTAAATGTGAGTGCTTATCAAGAAGCCCTAACTTGGAATGGTGAGTTTTGATAAGTTGTCCTGCACCAAGAGGGAGGCTCAAGGATCTCCCATAAAGAATCCAGCACTCTTTCCTTCTACCTCCCTTCCCCATCTGCAAAATTTTGAGAGAGGATCAAATAGCTTTTCCCGATTATTTGTTAATATGGTAAATTTATATTTTCAAAAAAAATTTTTTTTTTTTGAGATGGCGTCTCGCTCTGTCCCCCAGGCTGGAATGCAGTGGCGCAATCTTGGCTCATGTAAGCTCCGCCTCCCGGGTTCACACCATTCTCCTGTCTCAGCCTCCCAAGTAGCTGGGACTATAGGCGCCAGCCACCACGCCCAGCTAATTTTTTGTATTTTTAGTAGAGACGGGGTTTCACCGTGTTAGCCAGAATGGTCTCAAACTGCTGACCTCGTGATCCTTCCGCCTCGGCCTCCCAAAGTGCTGAGATTACAGGCGTGAGCCACCATGCCCGGCCTATTTTCAAATATTAAATCAATCTGGGAGAACCCCCCCAAAAAAGAACCCAATTAAATTTATTTTTTTATTAAGAGTGCTTATTTTCTTTAAATTATTTTTATACACGATAACCATATATACTGAAACTACTCCCTAGTTTGCACCCATAAACACATACATACTTAAAATGACAAATGCACACAAAAAATTTAAAAAATTGTTTAGCCTGCATCTAACAAACCTAAGTCACAAAATGCTTAAGTAGTAACCATAAAGATTCCCAAGTTCAGAACTGACTCGGGATCACAAAAATTATTAAACTTGCCTATTATATCCTACACTGGAACACTCATGATATTCAGTACTGTAAAAACTTAGATATTTCTTATAAAGCATTTCACTAAAATCAGACAATCTGAAAGTTATGATTTACTTTATTTGTTTATATAAAAAGCTCACGGGAAAGAAGGAGTTAAATATAAAATTTCATTTTAAAGGCCTGTCAGGAATATGTCTAACATGTAACAATGGGCTATTCTGTATGAAAGCTTAACTACCAAAACCAAATGAATACCTAAAAACCTGATCAAGTTTCACTTTTGCTATTTTTAGGTAATAATTCCCATAAGCAGTCCTTGAATTTTTATTGCTGTCCTACAGCAAAATTTCCTGGTTTCAACTGTTTCTTCACAAATATCCTTTACTATTTTTAATTTAGCTTTAATTTTTTATCAAAATTACATATACTTTCAGATAGTTTAAAATATACCTTCATAGCTATATAATTATATATACCTTCACATAAACAGAGTCATACAGTCTGTGAGACTTATTGCAAAAAACAACAGTACCTACTGTCTCTTTCACTTCATTTTCCACTCCCCAAGGCAACATTTTCAACTGTTTCAGTCCATTTTTTTGGTATTTACTTCTTTTACTTATTAACTTCCTTGACTTATTGTGATTTGTTTAATTTCAAACATAATGTATTGACTTTTTATTAGGAAAGGTGAAGCTGCAGGTCTCTTTCCTGCACACATACACATCTACACTTACCCTCCTCCCAACCATTCCAAATATACACATATGTTGTACCTTCCCTTACAGTTATCATTATGACTATGTAAACTCTCCCCACAGATGAGCCATGGAACATACCCCAATTTCTTTTTTTAAAAAATACTATTAGCTAGAAAAATTATCTCCACTTCCATTTGCTTATTGTCTACATTCTTATCGTTAAACCCCAAATACTTTTCCAGTTGCATAAATCTCCTCTTAAAACGTTCAAGCTCATTAGCTGTTCTATGATTGCACCTGCCTTCTGATTAGCTTCTAGTCTAGAGTGAGTGCTGTCTGAGGCCAGTTTGGGCTTTCCTTTATCATTGTGCGGCATTCCTTTCACTCCTCTCCTAGCAGACCCTCTAATTCCTGCCTCCAACGTCTTTTACTTTCACTACCCAGTTTTGGGAAAACACAAGTCCTAGTAGCTTTCTAAGAAAGAAGACATAAGAAGTGAACTTTTGGAAACCTAGGATATGCATAGAATGTATTTATTCTATGCAAACACTAAACAGTGTGGCTGGATACAGAATTATATGTTGGGCATAATTTCCTTCAGCATTTAAGGCATGGACCCACTCTCTTCCACTGTCTTCTAGCTTTTCGTGTTGATTCTAGGAAATCTGATGCCATTCTGATTATTATGAAACCTGCTTTTTCAATCGCTGAAAATATTTAGAATTTAATTGGCCCCAATGTACTAAAATTTTCACAACAAATTGTCTTAAAATAGATCTGTTTTCATTTATCATCCTGGATTTTTAGTGAGTCTTTTCAATGAAGAAATTTGTGTTTATTCTTCAATAAAGAAATTTGTGTTTGTTATTTTGTTAAGGACTTCCTCCCATTTTCTCTCTTTCTAGAACTTTTCTTATCAGACTGTCTGAACTGGTCCTTATGTGTTACTGTCTGGCAAATTTCTTTACCTTTATCAGTCAAATTTCACACTGAATTAAATTTCCAAGAGTTTTTTAGTCCTTTGAGTATTCCATTTTTATAGCATTGGGTTCTTGTTGTATGTATGTTGTATCTACTTTTATCCCTCAGAGGATATTAAAATAGTCTGTTATCTTTTGTTTTTTGAGATGGAATCTCGCTCTGTCACCCAAGCTGGACTGCAGTGGTGTGATCTCAGCTCACTGCAACCTCCGTCTCCCAGGTTCAAGCGATTCTTCTGCCTCAGCCTTCTGAGTAGCTGGGACTACAGGCGCGTGCCACCATGCCTGGCTAATTTTTGTATTTTTAGTAGAGACAGGGTTTTACCATATTGGCCAAGCTGGTCTTGAACTCCTGACCAAGTGATCTGCGTGCCCAGGCCTCCCAAAGTGCTGGGATTACAGACGGGAGCCACCGCGCCCAGCCCTAGTCTGATATCTTAAAACAGTATTTTCTAGGTTGTTTTTTTGATCTCTATCTTTCAAATTAAGAGGTTTCCCTCAGATATCTAATGAGAAGGGCACTGAAAACTGACTGGGAGTTTTATGTGCCTGGGTGGGGCTTGTGGATTGTGGATTAATTAAAGAGTGATAATAATGGGACTGTTTTGTTAGAGAACAATCTATATTAGTATTTTCAGTGTTTTGGAGAGGTCTTCAATAGAAGATACTGTTAGTCTCCTGGTTGAGGAGGTAAAATCCTGGTTGTCAATATTCTGGGATCTGTGTTGGGTGTGTATTTGAAAATTTACTTTACAACCTTCTTCACTTACTAACCTTTCAAAGGCTCACTTACGTCTGCTGATTTAGGACAGTATCTCTGACCTCCAATGTGCCTGGTGTTCCCAAGCGTCAAGTATCTCCAGTGAGAAAACCCCTAGGCAGAGCAGAAGTTCTGGCTGCAGGGAAGGGAATTAGGGTTTCTCAAACATTCAGTCCTGCCATTTACAGTGTCATCTTCACTACCACTTCCAAAGGCATCCAATGCTGCCAATGCATATTCTGAGCTTTTCCCACTGACAGGCCAGAATCCAGCTCTCTTGGGTTTGCTAAGTGAGGTGCACTTAACCATCCTCCAAATGACTGCAGCCCCCACCAACAGCTTGATGGCAACCTCATGAGAACCCCAAGTAGAAGCACCCAGCTAATGCACTTCCTGATTCTTGATGCTCAGAAACTGTGTGAGATAAATTCTGGGGTAATTTATTATATAGCAATAAATAATACACAAGGAAACGCTACAAACCATTCAAAAGAATTAAGGGAGACCTATATATTAGACCATACGCTCCACAAAGTTTGGGCCTTCAACTGTTTTGCAAATCAGTATACTAACAGCACCTAGCACAGAGCCTGCCACACAGACAAGGAGTTTAATAAATATTTGTCGATTAAATATTTGGTCAATGTGTGAATTTACTTGTACTGATGTGGAAATATGACTAAGTTTTTTTTTAAAAGCAACTGAAAAACTATATACAGTATGATTCTATTTATGAAAATATTTTATGCAAAATAATAATTTATATAGCTGCTCTCTAGCCTCTTCATCCACTTTTATCTTGTCTCATAGAACTTGTCACTATCGGACATTACTCAACGAGTTTTTTTACATAAGGCCACTGTTTGTCTTCCCACTGAAATACAAGCTTTACACAACAGGTGCTACACAACAGAGCCTTGAGCTCTCCTGCCCTGCTGCACATGCCTAGAACAAGGCTCTCAAATATTTGCTACTGGAATAATATATATAGACACCATTCTCAGTGGTGAGCTTAAGAACTATTAATATTTCTATATGACTTAAATATTGTATTTGGTCATGTCTTAATTTTGTAATCAGAAACAGTTTTAAAATTGGGGGAAAAAATAAACACAACCAAGCCCTCCATCCATACAATGGGCTATGAAGCCCTTTTCTGTTTTATCCTGAGTTAACTTCAAGTATTTCTAACTTACCATCTAACAAATATTCAGTAAGCACTTACGTTCCAAGCACAATGCTAGTCACTGATCTTTTAGATCACTTCCAGATTTCAGTGTGTTTGTTCTAAATAGAATTTGTCTTTCTCAAACTAAATTTCTTGCTACACAGAACATTATATTCAGAACTGCTTTCGGTTATCTTATTTCTAATTTTCTAAAGTGCATTTTCTAGAATGCACTTTATTAGATCTATAATGCACTAGATAAGGAGTAGGCAAATTTCTACAAAGAGCCAGACGGTAAATATCTTAGGCTTTGTGAACCAAAGGTATAATCAAGATGATTATGTAGGTACTTACATAAAAAGAGACTCCTGACCTGCTCCACCCTCTCTGCTTGTGCTGGGGCATCCCGGGTTGTGGGCATGTTGTGTACCCAGTTCCCGCTGCTGACAACATTCTCAGAACACAGAGTTCCTGGTCCACAAGGGAGCAGCCTGGCCAATTTCACTGTCTGCCCCAGGGACTCCTGAATCCCTGTGTGTGCCCTTCTCTCCTCCCCTGGCAGCTGGCCCAAGAGGTATCACCGTGCTGAGATGTCACTCCCAGGGTATGTGTCCAAGGCTTGGGACCTGGTAGCTACCAAAAGTGAGTCCCCAGAATGTGGTGGTGACCAGAGCAGGCCTTGGGCAGCAAGGGAGGAAGGTACTTTCAGGGGGAAGTGGTACAGGGGTAAAGGGGGCTGCTCTGGCTTTGTCTCCATGACTCACAGTGACAGCCTGCTAGAGCTGTACCTATAAAAGTGGTGGGCTGGATTTGGCCAGAGACCAGATAATCCCGTAGTGAAAATTCATGAACACCCCTCAACTAGGTGCAAATTACCAAATTACTGATTAATGAGAATTCTCAATAGAACTCTAATTTATAACTGCCACACTTCACCTTCAACCATAACCCTCTTCTACCTAGTGTTTAGGTATGGTCTCTCTGTCTCACTAAAACATTATATACAAATTTTCAAAACCTAGTACTGAACAAAGACTTTGCTTAAAAAAAAAAAAAGAAATGTGGAAGAATTTTGAAAAATACATTACAATAAAAATAATAAAATTTGGTGAACGACTGGGCAACTTCTGGCTTCAAACTTATATAACAGGGGTTGGCAGTAAGACTGCTTGCTGCCTTGTCATAACTACAATCCCAGAGTTAATCCTCTTTCTGTCTAGTATTGGCCAATCTCTCCCTCCACTGACCTACTGCATCAGCAGATCAACCTGTCAGTCTCTTCCATTTTACAAAACAATCTACCCCTCAGTTCTGTATGTCCTCTTGCTCACTTCTTTCAAACATTCCTCCTTCCCTTTGTCTTCACACAGAAAGAGTTTTCTACATTAGTTCACATGCTTCCAAAGAGTCCTCTATCACACTTCCTCCCCTCTCATTCACTCCCAACTCACAGCAATTTGAATACAGCTCTTATTATTTCCCTGAAACCACACTCTGTCATGGGTCAACAATAAATAAACTCTTTGTAATTAAGTTCAATGAGTGCCTTTCAGTTCTTATCTTCCTAGAATTTTTCAGTGGCTTTTGACCTTGTTAACCATTTCTTCCAGAGGCATTTACCAGCCAGAGCTTTTGCCCAATTGCTCAGTCATTCTAAATCATTTAATGTAGCACAAATTCACTTATTTAACAAATATTTATTGAGTGCCTGCTATACGGTAGGCATAGTTTTGAGCACGAAGAATATAGAAATAGACAAAATAAAATCTCCCTTCAGTCTAGTGGAGAGACAACAGATAATAACACTGTGTGTCACATAATTTAAGTGCTAGAAAAATAATAAAGGTTACATCATGCTGATTAGAAGAAGCCTACTCAAAAGAGTTCATACTCCATCTATAGTAAGTTCTACAGCAGGGAAAATTAATCTATAGTAGAAAAAATTAGAATATTGATTGCCTCAGAATCACAACTTTCTAGGGTGATATTAATGTTCTGTATCTCGATAAAGATTTGAGTTACACAGACATACGCATTTGCCAAAATTCATCATAATGGTACATTCAAGACTCGTGTTTTTCTTTCTTTGTCATCTTTATCTAAAAAAATTTTAAAACATATTGAATTCCAGTTAATGATTTGCAAGCTGAAGTGTTGAGGGGCAAAACATATTGATGTCTGCAACTCATTGAAATGCACTAAAAATCAGATGGATGAAGAGATGAAGAGATGAGATAAGGCAAGCACAATAAAGGGTCAATTGTAAAATCTAGTGGGAAGTGTATGGGTTTTCACTGCAAAATTATAATTTTCTGTACATTTGTAAATTTTCAACATAAAATGTTGGGGAAAATAAAGCAGGATACGGAAATGTGGGGAAACTGGCTTGATTTGGACAGGAGACTCAAAAAACACCTCTGGAATGAGGTAACATTTTAACAAAACCTGAGTATATTTGAGAATACATAAAAGAGCACATGCAAAGTTCTTTAGGCAAAATCGTGCTTGGCATAACACTCAAATGTTATCTCCAGGCTAGAATATTCTTCTTCAGTTCTGGAACTGTACATATAACTGCCTCCTTGGTATACGGCATGAGGTACATATATCAACTGGATGCCCTACAAAATACAGAACACTTTCTCATCACTCTCCTACCCTAAGTCCAACATTCTATCATTATTTCAGTCAAATATGCCATGACCCAGTTGCCTAATCGCTATTTAGGGGCGGGGGTGGGGGGATGGGGGGGGGATTCAGAATGTATTTTTAATCTCTCTGAAAAGTACTCAATATTAATACACTGTCCAATTTTTCACTGATGCATACTTTAGATTTTGATACACAGAATTTTTTTATTTCATCTACATATCTCTATATAAAGTGAATTAAAAAATGTGGAGAGTAAAGGGTTAACAAAAGAACTTGAAGTAGCAGTTCTCAACTTGGCTGTACATTACAATCAACAGGATTGAGGCACCCATAGTCCTATCCTGTTGTTAGCTAAATGACTCAGTAAGTTACCAAACAAAAGAAAACACAGGAACTAAGGTAAGATTTTTAAGCAAAGAGGGAAGATGATGTGGAGTTGAAAACTGCTGACTCAAAGGGTTACACAGCCTGGTGCTGTGTATGCCAGAAGAATCCACCTTGGTTCCACTCTTTTTCTATTCTATCTCCCCACAACTTATCAAGACCCATCTTATGTCAACCTAAAATATTAGCATTTACCTCACTTCAGGCTCTCTTAATTTCTCCCCTGGATTAGTGGCTTTTAAACTTTTTTTGACCACAGTTTACACAGTAAGAAGTGTGTTTTATATAAATATCTCTGTGTATACCAGATTGCTATTTATCTACTGATTTTACTTACATACACACACATACACACACACACACACACACAGAAAAACAAACTTTCAGGAAACAATGCTTATTCTTACTACATTTAACATCTTCCAATATTTCCTATTCTCGCCTATATTTCTTTATTTCATTATGTGTTCAAATGCTGGTCATAACCTATTAACGGGTTGCACTCTACAATTTGAAAAACACTAATATAGATTACTGCAAAATTCTAATACAAAGATCATAAGTGGTGACAACAAGTCTGCTGAAGCATTTATCTGGTCTCAACAGAATTAGGTTTATGTACTTACTGTTTTGAACTGGAATGCCGGCTTCCCTCATTTATAAAACAGCCTGGCTGCTATCCCAACTCCTTAACTCCTCAGCTGTCTATACCACTGCAAAAATGATCTTAATAAAAGCAAAGAGGATTATGCCACTCCCCTGCTTTACATTCTTTAATGCTTATTCGTGGTTTTCAGAAAAAACTTCCAAACCCTTCGAAATCACACAAAATTCTTCACAGGGCTGTTTTCTCTTCAGCATTATATATCTTGCTGCCTCAAATGCTGAACTCAAACTATAACAAAATAATAATTCCTGGGTTCAGCATACTCATTTTCATGGGTGCTAGGAATCTGAATGTGCAGTCGGCTCTACTGAAAATGAAATTTTCACCACTCGTGCCTCCACTATTTGCTAACTCCTCCTCTTCTTTCAGAATCCACTGACGTGTCATAGCTTTCGAAAGTATTCTTTGACGTCAACGGCGCAGGTAACTCCTCCCATTCCTTCTCTGCATGTATTCCTTGTCATGGCATCCTAAACTTACCTCTGGCATAGCTTTAATTGTACTGTATGCTGGCTGATTGTCTACTTCTCTTCCCCTCCCCCACCACTTAGACGATGAGGTTCTTGACAGTAAGAACAGCTTCTTATATGTCTTTGCCACAGTGACTGGCACATGAGAGACTAGGATAATTGACTAATTTACCAAACATGGGACACAGGACAAGAGATTTTTGAGAGGGAAAGGAAAGCTAATATAGGGTCTGAAACATTTCCAGGAAACAGAAGAGGGAAAAGTAGTTGAAAATAAGCTCAAAGAAAAGTCTGGCCTGAACATATAGATTTAATAGTTAAAATGATGGAGAGCTGGCCAGGCATGGTGGCTCACACCTGTAATCCCAGCACTTTGGGAAGCAAGGCGGGTGGATCATGAGGTCAGGAGTTCGAGACCAGCCTGACCAACATGGAAAAACCCCGTCTCTACTAAAAATACAAAAATTAGCTGGGCATAGTGGCGGGTGCCTCTAATCCCAGCCACTTGGGAGGCTAAGGCAGCAGACTCACTTGAACCTGGGAGGCGGAAGTTGCAGTGAGCCAAGATCGTGCCATTGCACTCTAGCCTGGCCAACAAGAATGAAACTCTGCTCCAAAATAATAATAATGGAGAGTGCTAGATCTACTGGGGTAAGCACACAAAGGAAGACCAAAGGCTGAAACCGTAATTAAGCAGTGGACAACATCAGACGAGCCAGTAAAGGGCACTGAGAAAAAAAAAAACAATTCCAAAAAAAAAACCAACGTACACTAACATAGTGACTGAGGTAACAAAATGAAGACAATAGTGTAGAGACATCTAGAAGTGCAGTTTCAATAGCTACAACAGTTGACATTCTGATCACTGTAAACTGTGTTGGAAAGCACGTGTCCATATATACTTTCTGACTGTACTGTATATACTGTACACGTTTACAACTGTGAATCACTAAATAAGCTTCTTGAAGGCAGAGACAATTAATCATTAATTAATATTAGTATTATCAGTGCCAAAGGTCAAAGAAATTACCGAATGGAATACACATATAGAATACTCTTTAAAGAAAATCATGGGAAGTTGAGTAATTATAATGAGAAACTTAAAAGAGATTAAGAATTACTAACCAGCAATGAAAAACTGCATTTTTAATAGAGCCAATCAGCAAGGTTTGTGACTCCCCAGCACTCAATATTAGCTGAGGAAAAGAAGAGCTATTTGCTCTCCAGTATGAGGTCTGGAAAACAGATCACCAAGGATGCCAGAGAACTGAGGATATTATATGGAGTATCATGGTCACTCTTACGAAAAGTAGAAATAAACCAAGAATCAAATTAAGAGGGTCTTGCTAATTAACATCAGGTTTTTTCTTTTCCCTTCGTACTACATATATGTCAACCAGATGAGCAATTGTTCTTAGTTTCAAAAAGTACTTGTTTTGTAGCAAGTAAATAAATAGTATGATTCAGATCCCAACTTAGATTTCAAAGTTCTGAACAATGAAAACATTTTATGCACACATTCAATAATCGTATGTTAACAGAGTTGCTACTTAAATGCAAGTCAGACATTAAAAAGCTTAACATACCCTGATGGCAAGGTTTCTGTGTTGGCATTCCCAGACTGCTGCCGTACAGGATCCATACACCCATCTGGCTGTCTTGATTTGGCTGCTTCAAAAGCAGAACTACTTCTAGAATTAGAGGTGTCAGGCTCTAATATACTTCTAGCTTCAGATTCCAATTCTGCACTGGTAGAAGGAATACATTCATTGTTTTCTGAGGAAGTCAGTATTTCTTGAACTGGAGGATCTTCAACAGTAGTACTAGTGCAATTTGGAGACAAGGCATTTTCTTCAGACACTACTGGAGTACCCGTGACAGACGCATTATCAGTTGGTGCAAATGAGGATGATTCTCCATTAACTGAGAAGGGAAAATTAATAAAATCATCTATCAAGTAATGATAAAGCAATCAATTACCTAATCAATTGACTACACTTATTCAGAGCCTAATCCAGACTAAGCAACTACAATCCATTCTCCAAACAGCAGACAAAGTAATATTTTCAAAATATGTAACATAAAATAAAATGGAGATTTTATTTTTGTTGCTCAAAATTTCAGGGATGAATATGTAAATGATAAAAATTTAAGTATGTATAATAATAACAACCTTAAGGAGAGAGGAACCAGCATTAAGATAACCAGTGTTTTCCCTCCAAATCATCAATTCTGAGAGGAAGTCTGTATGGGCCATCTAAACTCTGAAAAATGATCCCTTTCAATCGCCCTTCCCTTGTGTAAGTGGTAGCTAACATCAAACGAACTGTTTTGCCAATAGTAGGAACTGTATGATGGCATCAGTTCTTAAGATAGTACTATAGGGGTTGCAAGAACCCATTCTACACTTTTTCAAGAAATAACCCAGTACTGCAATCCAGTGACACAGTTTTCCTAATTTTCATTTTAAGTGTGATTGATCTAGTTCGACTACGTGTCACTATAAAAATGAGTCAAATTAAAACTGTAAGGGTGAATAGATTACAGAACAAAACCTACTGGAAGACCATATATCAAAGTTCTAATGGAAATGGCAGAGGGAGACATAATCACAAATTTTAGGAGAATTAATGACAAAAAGAAAACACTCAGATTAAATGCTACTGGACATGGCCAAAGAAGTACCTAAAGATGTAAGAAAGAATGGTAACAAAAGAGCTTAGAATTCATTCCAGATACAGAAAAAAAAAAAAAAAGTAAGTAGAAGAAAATGAATTTTGGTCAAAAGACCCAAAAAAAAGATCAGAATTTCCTAATGCACCTGATAAGACTCCAGAACTTACTGAAAATATAGTATCTAAGTCCTCATCCTAGACTTACTGAATCTCTAGGGGAAATCTCTAGGGAAGAACCTGGGGATCTGCATTTTTAACAAATGCATATGATTTTTTTACTCAGGAAAGCTGGAGAAACCATGAAATATACCTTTCCAAGTGTTATAAAGAAAACATGTTTAATATAAATAACATTAGAAATACCACGTACAATTTCATATCAATGAGTTTGAAATTAGCTAAACTAACTCAAGGGAAAGAAAAAAAGACAAATCAGAGCAGCAATGGAAAAGGTGATGAAAGTTCTAATATCATCCCTCCTAAAGGCTCCAGGCTCAGAAAGGTTTTTGAGAAAATTCTATGAAGCCTTTATTGGATAGATCATTCTTATGTTATTTAAGGTGTTATAACACATTAGGGGAGAAAAAGTGAAAAGGAGTGTCCTAACTTATTCTGGGAAGGTAATGTAAACTTTCAAAGCTGAAACTGAACAACAACAGAACAAGAAGACTATAGACTAACATCATGTATAAATTCAAGGATGATTTGATATTAGGAAACTACATTAGAAAATCTACTGTTAGCAGATTAAAGGATAAACGTCATATGATTATTTTCAAAACAAACCAAAAGCATTCAAGAAAATCTTGGTAAAATGCCTGATAAGAAGAATCATGAAAAATTAAGAAGTAATCTAGATTATCTATCACAAACCTACAGTCATTAATATACAATAATTGTAAAACATTTTAAGAACTTTTTTTTTTGAGAAGGTGTCTCGCTCTGTGGCCCAGACTGGAGTGCAGTGGCACAATCACAGCTCACTGCAACCTCCACCTCCCGGGTTCAAACGGTTCTCCTTCCTCAGCCCCCCAGTAGCCGGGATTACAGGCACCCGCCACCACGCCTGGTTAGTTTTCCTATTTTTTGGTAGAGATGGGCTTTCACCTTGTTGGCCAGGCCAGTCTTGAACTCCTGACCTCAAATGATCCACCCAACTTGGCCTCCCAAAGTTCTGGGATTACAGGCATGAGCCACTGTGCCCAGCCTATTGTAAGAACTTCTATTAAGATCAAGAATAAAGTAAAATCAGGGCTGGGCACAGTGGCTCACGCCTGTAATCCCAGCACTTTGGGAGGCCGAGGCGGGTGGATCACGAGGTCAGGAGTTTGAGACCACCCTGACCAACACGGTGAAACCCTGTCTCTACCAAAAAATAGGAAAATTAGCTGGGTGTGGTGGTTGTGTGCCTGTAATCCCAGCTACTCAGGAGGCTGAGGCAGAAGTATTGCTTGAATCCGGGAGGTAGAGGTTGCAGTGAGCCAGGATCACGCCACTGTACTCCAACCTGGGCAAAAGAGCAAGACTCCGTCTGAAGAAAAAAAAAAAAAAAAAAAAAAGAAAGAAAAAGAAAAAGAATAAATTAAAATCAGCAACAAAACAAGGAAGATCACAATTACCAAGCCAATTCAGTATTGATTATATTTGACAATCCATTAAGAAAAGTCATAACAACATTGGAAAGAATATGGTAAAACTCATTTGTAGTGAAAATGACAAATAGATTATTTATTTAGAATACACAAGAAAATTTTTTTAAAAACCCCATTAGAACCAATTAATTGGAGCTAAAACATTTCAGCAAAATGAACAGACACAAGATCAACAACAAGATTACTTCAAGACCTATCCGAAGAAAAAAAATTTTTTTTTTTTTGAGACAGAGTCTTGCTCTGTCACCCAGGTTGGAGTGCAGTAGCGCGATCTCAGCTCACTGAAACCTCAGCACCCCAGGTTCAAGCAATTCTCCTGCCCCAGCCTCCCAAGTAGCAGGGATTATAGGCATGCGTCACCACACCCGGCTAAATTTTTTTGCATTTTTAGGATTTCATTATGTTGCCCAGGCTGGACTCGAACTCCTGACCTCAAGTGATTCCCCAGCCTGGGCCTCCCAAAATGCTGGGATTACAGGCGTAAGCCACTGCACAACCAGCGTGAAGAAAACACTTTAAAAAACATTACTAAAAAGAATGAATACAGACATAAAATATCTCTCAATGGGAAGATTCAGTATTGTTAAAATAATAATAAACAATAAACAACTCTCCTTGAAATGCAAATGTTGGTGAGATGCAAAGCACTAGGAATTCTCATTCACTGCAGTGGGAATGCAGGAGTACAGCCACTTTGGAAGACAGTTTGGCCGTTTGTTACAAAAGTAAACATACTTTAAAAATACAACCCACCAGTCTCACTCCTCAATCCAACTGAATTGAAGACTTATATTCACGTAAGAGCCTGCACACAAATGTATATAGCAATGTTTTTCACAATTGTAAAAAACTGAAGTAACCAAGGAGCCTTTATAATAAGTGAGTATTTAGTGATAAAAAGAAATGAGAAGTCAAGCCACAAAAAACATGGAGAAACCTTAAATGCACCTTGCTAAGTGAAAGAAGCCAATCTGAAAAGGCTACCCACACTGTAGGACTCCAACTATGTAGCATCCTGGAAAGGACAAAACTATAGAGCCAGTATTTAAAAACAGCTGTTGCAAAGGGTTTGAGGGATAAACAAATGAAACAAATTTTAGAGTAGTAAAACTATTCTGTATGATACTGTAATGGTGTGTACATGACGATATGCATTTCTCAAACCCACAGAACCAGTACAATACAAAGAAGGAACATTAGTTAATATAAGGTAATGTAAACTATGGACTTTAGTTAATAACAATGTATTATTAATGGTTCATTAATTGTAACAAACATCACAGTAATGCAAAATGTTAGTAATACAAAAACTCTGAGTGGGATGGGAGGACATATGGGAACTCTCTACAATCTCCCCAGTTTTTCTGTAAATCTGAAACTGTTCTAAAATATAAAGTCTATTAATTTAAAAAAAACTCTTAGAAACAAATTATTTCTATTCAATAATTCAACAAATGTTGGTTCTTCAATACTGCTCAGAACCGCATTAAGATGCCACAATAATATTTGACTGGAGAGATTACTGTTCATATATATCAATGGTTCTTGACTAGGGAAGATTCTGCTCTCCCCACCGCCAAAGACATTTAGTAATGTCTGTAAATGCATTTGGTCATCACAACTAGGAGAAGGTAAGATATTACTGGCACCTAGTGGATACAGATCAGGAATACTGCTAAACATTCTATTAATATAATGCACAGGACAGCCCCCTACAACAAAGAATTACCTGGGCCAATATGTCAACAGTGCTGAAATTGAGAAACTCTGATACCTATGTGCCCATCCACCTGGCAGTGTGCAGCCTATGGTAGTTGCAAAATAAACATCTGTTGACAAATGGATATAAGAAAGATTGAACAGATAAAACCGAAAAAAGAAGGAAAGGAAAAGGAAAGAGGAAGGACAGGATGGTAGGCTCCTTGCTCATGCAGAAACACGGGGCAAAAAATTAAAATCTTATGTAATAGTTATGATAGCAGAAGCTTATGCAAACCATCTCATCTCCACAAGACATAAGACCACACCCACTGACTTGGGTTCTGAATGAACATCTCCCAAGCCTTACTTTCAGCCATTATGACTTCTGGGTTACAAGACATAGCTTCCTAACTTCATGTTTAATCTTTGAGAGGTTAAGTTTCACATGAACTTTATGGTATATCCATCTCAAAGCACCACGTATTTGTCCTCACCCTAAAAGTACATTCAAATAAAGAAGAAAAAAGTAGAAATACTAGAGTGAATACCATTTTTACTCCATTTTAAAACTATGACATGAGAAATGACTGCTTGCATATACACAGCAAGTTTCTTTAACATTCAGTTCACACTTGAGAGTGGATGTAGCTTTAAAGAGGGTACATCATGAGGGAGTCTTCTGGTGATGCTACAGTTCTGTACCTGGATTGAACTGGTGGTACATGAAGCCATATGTGTGACAAAACTGTATAGAAACACACACACACACATACACACACAGGTAGAAATGGTGAAATGTGAACAAGCTGTATGGGTTGTATTCATGTCAATTTCCTGATTTTGTACAAAATAGTTATACAAGATGTTAACACTGGAGGAGGCTGGTGAAGGGTGCATGGGACCTTCCCATACATTTCTTTGCAACTTTCTGTTTATTTATAATTACTTCAGAATAAAGAGCTAAGAAAAAAATATAATAAACTTGTGATATCATGTACTTCTGTCTGAAACTCACCATACTGAGCTCTGATCTACTTTATTAATAAAATAACAACTATATATTAGAAAAAGTTATTTGACACTAGAAGTTATGACCAGAGGAACAAAGTGGAACAGAATATATTTTTCTTAAATACCACTCTCCAAGGACTATTATGAATGTTTTAGATTATCTCATTTAACCTCCAAAACTGTCCTATAAGGTAGTCGCATATTATCCTCTTTTCATAAATTTTGAGGATGTTCAATTTGTCCAAGGTTACAGAGTTAACATGGCAAGTGGTTGAGCTGAGACACCACGTTACCTCCTGTCAGAAGCTAAATCTAATCTTTTTACTACATCATGACTGCCTCCCATTTTAACCTGGAATACCTGCCAATCTTCATAGCAACTAAACCGTCAGATGGATCCCCTTACTCAAGCTTCAAAAGAACAGGAGGTGGGGGAGGTGGAAGCCCTCATATATAATAATGTCTTTGACAGAAATATATCGTTTGTCTTAAACCCCTTAGTATTGACCCACAATTCCTAATCTGAAACCTCAAAGTGCCAGGTGTGTTCCAGAATTCATAACTTTCTTTGGAATTTAGAAAGGTAGCAGTGGACAACATGGTAGCTCACCCCTGTAATCCCAACAATTTGGGAAGCTGAGGTGGGATGATTGCTTGGGGCCAGGAGATTGAGACTAGCCTGGGCAATATGGCAAAACCTCATCTCTACAAAAAATCTTAATATTAGACAGGCATGGTGGCACATGCCTATAGTCCCAACTATTCAGGGGGCTAAGGCAGGAGGATCGCTTGAGCCCAGGAGGTCAGAGCTACAGTGAGCCATGATGGTGCTACTGCACTCCAGCCTGGAAGTCAGGGCAAGACCCTGTCTCAAAAAAACAAACAAACAAAGGTAATGGCATATATATTGTATATTACACTATGCCTGGAGGAGGTTTAGGGGCCACACATCGTGATTAAATACATTAATATTTCTGCAGCGAAATGTAGAGATATGCACAGTAGCCATGATAAATAAGAACCATAAATAGCCTTTCATCAGTTCTAGTCATTTTGCCATCAAATGAGTTTACCAAAAAAAAAAAAAAAAAAAAATCCTTTTGGTTTCAGAGATTTCAAGATTGTGGAACTGCAGATTAAGAGATTAAAAGCATTTAATTATGTTACACATAGAATATGCACACCCCTATCCCATCTCCAAAAACAAAAGCTAATTTTTGAAATCCTTAATTAGAAAAAGTAATGCCATCTTATACCAACACCTTAAAAGGACAGGGATTACCCACTCCTTGAAAAGATACCTGAATTCATCCTTTATTAAGTGATGAACAATCATACAAAAAGACATCAGTTAAATGGCTGCTACCAACAGAGCAGGTTCCGGAAGCCTCTGTAAACCGGCCAATAGAATGATGACAGTTAGATTGTTTTGTCAGATGTCACTAGCAATAATCAGAGGTGGTGAAAAGGCTAGGGGAATGCTGTGTGAAGCCTAGCAGTATAAAAGATGAACAGCATAGCTTTGAGATCCTATAAAAACCACACACATCAAAATGAATAGGAAGAAGGCAAAGTGCACAGAATCAACAGCCAGATAGCGGAATGTCAATTACAGTTCTTCTACTTCCTAGCTGTGCCCTCTCAGTGCCTCAGTTCCTTCATCAGAGAAAAGGAAAAATACTACCACCTATTTCAAGGAGTTACTGTGAGAGAGATAAATCAGTTAATGGATATATACTATTTAGAACATGCAGGGCACAAATATGAGCTATTATCACTATTTTTCCGATTGTCATAGATTTCCTTACAGTTACTATGAATGTCATGAGAATTATTTATGATGGAACCTTCATGTTCCTCACATCCATTTTATTTTTACCTTAAAATTTTAGGCAAGAATAAATAAGAAAGAAATGCGAGAACTGAACTTATTACCAATGGAAAGAATCTATAAAGTATCAGACAAGCTGTAGAGGTATAAATAAGATTCTATGATGAGGAAAGCCTCAATTTCGTCTCCTTTTTATATCAACATCTGAATACATCCAAATGCCAAAACATACAACTAATTAGTGGTCAATGGATACTTTCACCAATGTATTCCATCAGCTGAATATTTTAGGAATAAGATCAAAACCTCCAAATCCATATTCAAGTTGAATATCCCTTATCTAAAATGCCTGGAACCAGAAATGTTTCAGATTTTAGATATTTGTTTAAATTTTGGAATATGTGCATTTTACTTGCCAGTTTAGCATCCCTAATCCAAAAATTCAAAATCTGAAATGCTCCAACGAGCATTTCCTTTCAGCATCATGTCAATGCTCAAACAGTTTCAGATTTTGGAGCATTTCAGATTTGAGATTTTTCAGATTAGAGACACTCCACCTGTATTAGAAATAGTAGCAGTTTTAACTAGTCTGTTCTTAATTTAGAAATAATCTGAATAATCCAAGACAATATTTCCTTTTCTGCTTTGCTAATAGGAATCTCAGAGACAAATGTTCTTACCAGAAAGTAGGTGAAAATCAGAAAATACATGAACTTTGCTCATTAATTTCACCATAATTGTATCTATTCTTCTCTTTGTTTTCTAGCCACCTTAAATTAAGACTAAAAAATTCTACCTACTGTGAGTACTTGGGAAACCGTATTTTAGTCTACTTCTTTTTTTTTTTTTAAGGGGAGCATTATTAAAGAAATTAAATTTTGAAAATATCATTCATGTGTCAGTTCTCAATGTTTACAAAAACTCTCAGACAGCTCTTGGTAAACATCTCCCCAAACACCAACCTTGGGTAAAAATACACAATTAAGACTTATTACTGTCCAGGCACGGTGGCTCACGCCTGTAATCCCAGCACTTTGGGAGGCTGAGACAGGTGGATCACTTGAAGTCAGGAGTTTGAGATCAGCCTGGCCAACATGGTGAAACCCTATCTCTACTAAAAATACAAACATTAGGGGGCATGGTGGCACACACCTGTAATCCCAGCTACTCAGGAGGCTGAGGCACAAGAATCTCTTAAACCCAGGAGGCAGAAGTTGCAGTGAGCCGAAATCCTGCCACTGCCCTCTAGCCTGGGCAACAGAGTGAGACTCCATCTCAAAAAATAAAAGACTCATTATCAAAAAGATCCATCTATTTTAATGTAATTACTGAATTGCTTCTTTCCATGTTTCTAATTCTGAATACTTCCATAAATAGACAAACACAGGGAGGAACATACGCTCTTGAATAAAAAGACCAGGATTTCAACTTAATTCCCAACATGTGTGCTAATAATCTTAAACACGTCCTAAGATGTTTAAGTTTCAGGAGACTCACCTGAAAGAGTTAATATACAATGACCAAACAAAACAATTTATGAATCTTATAAATGAGTCCACTAAGGATTATAGAGGACATCTTCCTTAGGCATTCCTTCTATAATACAGTAATGCTTACTTTTGGAAAATAAACTTTCTGAGAGCTATTCAACTCGCAGTACATTTTTCCACCAAGTTAGATGCCAAGAATAATAAATTTGTATACTGAAAGATGGGATAAAAGAACCATTCATTACTCACTTTTACTTAGAAATCAATGAATTAACTAAAGTTCTTTCAGAAATATATTTTATATCATGAATTACATAGTATTTTTTGTGGCAAAGCTTAAGAATCTAGCTCTCATATAAGCACTTGCTCAGTAAAAGTTCTGACCTCTAAAATATTTTTGAAATATCTTCCTAAATAATCCAGAAAGTTACAAATTATTAGGAAAAATTTCAGGCATTGTAATTTTTAAATTCCTATCATAGACTAGAAGATTAAGAAAGACTGCACAGGCTGGGTGCAGTGGCTCATGCCTGTAATCCCAACACTTTAGGGAGGCTGAGGTGGGCAGATCACTTGAGGTCAGGAGTTCGAGACCAGCCAGTTGCCAAAAAAGTGAAACTCTGTCTCTATTAAAAATACAAAAACTTTTTAGCTGGTTGTGGTGGTGGGTGCCTGTAATCCCAGCTACTTGGGAGGCTGAGGCAGGGGAATCGCTTGAACCCAAGAGGCAGAGGTTGCAGTGAGCCGAGATCGCACCACTGCACTCCAGCCTGGGTGACAGAGCGAGACTCCGTCTCAAAAAAAAGACTACACAAAAAGGGAAGTGTAGGCATGGATGGATACATAAACTTCATTTACTTTTCCTTTAAACAAGGTGTCATAAATAGCCTTGCTTACCAGTGTCATCGGCAGGCTCAGATGCGAGTGGTTTTGGAGCTGGTGTATTTTTGGGTCTGGCAGCAACCTGAGACGGAGATGAAGGTGTGTTGTCTCCATTAACTACATACGAGCAGCATGAGTTTTGGACTAGAGTGCTTGTAGGTACATGATTATCTATTCCATTCGTGCCTTCAACAGCCAACCTTGAAAAAAAAATGCCTTATTTCAATCATTTAAGTATAATTCAACAACATTTCATGAGAATTTTCATAGGATTTACTAAATTCTCTTAAGTTTCTTTTTTGTTATTTCTTTTTTAAAATTTTTTAGATTCTATTTCCAAACAATTGAGTTTTTATGTTTCAAGTAAAATGATAGGTAAATAGAGTAATGAACAAAGATATGACATGTTTTATATTAAAGTTTTAATTACTTTTCAGTTCTAAGTGTATTCATTCTGCAGATAAAAAAATACTGAGATATACAAACATACTAAGTCAAAATAAATACGGTCTCCCACAATAATATTCAAATTGTACATTTTAAATATTTAAGCCTAATATTAATCTATTTTAAAAGCTCTGAAAGTAGTTTCAAAAAGTTCATGAAATTATATGAATCATAAAAATAAAAATCAAGTATAAACTACTGTAAACTTTTTTTTTTTTTTTTAGAGACAGGATCTCACTCTGTCACCAAGGCTGGAGTGCAGTGGCTCACTGCAGCTTCAACCTCTTAGGCTCAAGTAATCCTCCTGCCTCAGCCTCTTGATCAGCTAGGATCACAGACGTGCATCACAGTGCCCAGCTAATTTTTTAAATTTTTGTAGAGACTGGATCTCCCTTTGTTGCCCAGGCTGGTCTCAAATTCCTGGCCTCAAGCGATCCTCCCATCTTGACCCCCAAAGTGCTGGGATTATAGGTGTGAGCCATTGTACCTGGCCTGAAACTATTATAACTTTATTAAATCTTGAAAAATAAGTGAAAAACAGTCTTCAAATATTAGTTACAAATTAGCATATACTAGGCACTAAAATCATGACTACAGGATGATCAAAAAAAGCTAAATATTATACCCCAGAACTATAAAAATGTATAGTATATACATCAGCAAATAAATAACTAACAACAAAATCAAACATTTTAAGTCTTATTGGCAGTGGAAGGAGCTGGGCGATTTGGTGAGACACAGTGTTTAAAAAAAAAAAAAACAAAAAAAGTTCAAAGCAATTGGAAATTATCATGTAAGTGACCAGGAGAGCTTTTCCAAATACACAGGTCATCCCATAACTGCTCTCCACAGAGCAGCCTGAGCATTGTTTTAAAAATATAAACCAGGTCATCACGTCACTCTCCTGGTTAGCCAACAAATCTTTTGAAAATCAGCCACACCTTTATCCCATCTTCTCTCTAACCTATTTCTCTCCAAGCTCATCCTTGCTCACTTTGCAGCAGATAATCGATTTTACTGAATATCAAAAACATACTGAACAGTCTTCAAATGTTTATTACAAATTATTATATGCCAGGTGGTAAAATTATACAACTATGAAATTATCAGAAAAGGTTAAATATTATTCTCTAGAGTTAGAAGAATTTCTAGAACATAACTGTAAACAAACTTGGGGTCTCTGAAGTTGCTGTTTCCTCTGTCTGGAACATTCTTCCCTCAGAACTCTGCACAGATGGTTCATTTGTGGCTTATTAATCTTAGCTCAAATCATACCTCCTCAGAGATGATTCCTTGGCATCTCTTTTAAAAATAGGCTCCCTTCCATTCCTGTCATCTTGTCCTGTTTAAATGACTTCATAGTGCTTATCGCTATGTCTAATTAGCATATTTATGTCTTCTGTTGTTTACTATCTTTATTTATTTATTTTTTTCCCCCCGAGACGAAGTCTTGCTCTGTCGCCCAGAGCTGGAGTGCAATGGCGCGATCTCAGCTCACTGCAACCTCCGCCTCCCGGGTTCAAGCAATTCTCCTGCTTCAGACTCCTGAGTAGCTGGGATTACAGGTGCGCACCACCATGCCTGGCTCATTTTTTTTGTATTTTTAGTAGAGACGGGGTTTCACCATGTTGGCCAGGCTGGTCTCGAACTCCTGACCTCATGATCTGCCCGCTTCGGCCTCCCAAAGTACTGGGATTACAGGAATGAGCCACCATGCCCAGTCTACTATCTACCTTTATCCCATCAGAATGTAAATTTCATGGGATCAGGGCTGGTATTCTTAATACTTGGACTAATGTCTGGCATCAAACAGGCATTAAGTAACTATCTGTTGAATGAACATTAATGAATCCCACCCTCCTTTCCCTTGTTGCCTATATATTTGGAACAAGATGTGTTTAGGAAGTTTGGGCAGGTAAAGACTGAAATGATTGTGATTTGTATACCCCTCCCCAGCCAACCAGCAAGAATCAGTGATTCAGAAGTCTAGGTAAAAGAACCCATTTGAATTTCTCCCCGTACTGTAGAACTAATCTTTAATTCAAAGCGTCTTACTATGCAATTGACAACATTTGGTAGTAATTCAAGCTCCTCTATCCATCTAAATTTTTTTAAATTATATGGACATTAAATATATGTACTTAAGCCAAATATACATTCAGAAGGCATACTTATCTGTTCAAGTGGTCTAATGAGAATCACTTAACGGCAACTTAGAAGAAACGATACTAGTAACTATAGATTAATAAAAGTCACACTTTGTCATATACTAGCATGCTTTTTCAAAGGTAATGAGTCCATTTTACCACAATATATTTTTATATTTTCAGGTGTTAATTCTACTTTATTTGCTCTATTATTTTATTCCAATTTAAATTACTTCAAACAAAAAACCTCTATTAATTGTCATGAACTGTGAATGCCAGGGAGTTTCTGAAATGGTAGAATGATGTCTGAGGGAAGGCCACAATGATGTCTGAAGGAAGGCCACAATCTGTGAAGCATTTATCTTCTCATGATTTACAGGATAATGCCAATCCAGAGAGCGGTATGATACCTATTTATCCATAGTATCTGACTGTACTCATAAAATATGTCTAAATACAGATTTTAAAAAGCCATTTTCAATAAAAAAAATAAAGCACTGTATATGCTGCAACATAAATGAACCTTGAAACATGCTAAGAAAAAGAAGTCAGTCACAAAAGGTCACATATTATATGAATCCATTTATAGAAAATGGCCAGAATAGACAATCCACAGACACAGAAAAAGTAGATTCATGGGTGCAGGGAAAAATGGAGAGTGACTACTCATGTATATACATGGTTTCTCTTCAAGGTAGAATATTCTGAAATCAGACAGTAGAGAAGGTAACACAACTCTCTTAATATATTAAAAACGACTAAAATGTATACTTTTAAAAAGTGAATTTCATGATATATGTATGATATCTCAATAAAGCTGTAATTTTTTAAAAAGCTACTTTCACAAGAATTAACCAAATGACATGCTTAGACATAAGCTTCTAAACTGTGTGGCAAATTCTAAACTAAGGTAAAATATAAAACTTCTTATTCAGGAAATATGTTCCACATCATGTCGCCACCCATATTCAAATAAAATATTCTACCTGGCAGTTGTCCTTGCTGAAGGCTCTCCATTTTCATGTAAGGCATCACCATTTTCCTGTATTTCTACTGAACAACAAGAAAGAAAAAAACTAGGTTTTTATATACTTCTTGCTTATTCTTTTTCCTTGAAATTTTACAAACATATAAAGTTAGCTTACTGGTTGGAGATGAGCTGCAGTTTGTTATATTTTCTTGCTCAATCACCAATCCATCAAGCACAACTGTCAATTCACCAGTTTGTGCTATGCCATTCTTGTTTTCCAAGGAAAGTTTTAATTGTTCTTTCACTCTTTCCACTAGAAAGAAGAATATTCTAATTTAAAAGCTTTTGCCACATATAAAAATGCTTCAGAAATCAAACCTACATTTCAAGAATCACTCTAATTCAGTACTTGACATTTGGAAGGAATTCTTTGCATGCCTTTGACAACTAGTTAAGTAATTCCTCTTTCCCCCTCAATCCCACGCTTTCAATATCACCTTTAATTGCTTCTGTGCATATTATAAATTTTGGAGAACATATAAATACATTTAAATAATAAGTGTAGCAATTGTCTAAACTTGCTTTTCAGCTCAAGGTACCACAGATGACTCTTGTGGTTGAGGCAAAATTTCTGCACAAGAGTCAGATTAAGTTTGGTTTCAAATTCCAGTTCTGCTACTTATTGGCTGTGTATTGAGTAACTTATTCAAACATCTTTAAGCCTTGGTTTCTTAATTACAAAATGGAGACAATGGACTTCAAACTAAAGGGACAGTGTTGAGGACCAAATGCAAAACCATACAGACAGCCCTAGCACCACTTCTGAGGCACAGTTTATAAGTGCTCGATAAATGCTACATATTGTGACAATCGTTTATCATTTTTATATAAGGACAAATACTTCCTTCCCATTATTAGAACATCTAGTTCTTATTTAAACTCAAGGTCATTTTGCTTCAACTTCTATGTTAGACTATATATTTAGACTATGCATTAAACGATATATTAGACTTCTATATATTAGACTATATATTAATAGTCATTAGTGAGGGCTTAGAGAAATGGAGAGATGAAGGTAAAAGGATACACAGCTTCAGTTAGAAGGAATTTTTGTTTCTTGGAGATATTGCACAATGTAATGTACATAGTAAATAATGTGTTGTACATTTCAAAATTGCTAAAATTCTAAATGTTCTCATCACAAAAAAAATAAGTATTTGAGGTGAGATATGTTAATAAGTTTGGTTTAATTATTCCACATTGTATTAATTGATCATAACATCACTCCATACCCCATAAATATATACAACTATAATTTGTCAATTTATAATTTAAAAATAAAAACTAAAAGAGAAAGTTATCAGTGATCACTTTATTATTCAAACTGAGGCCAAATACTTCCATCTGATCTTCAGTGGCTTTCTGCAGTTTTTGCAATCATGGAACATTTCACGTTTTTGATGAAGTCCTTAACTTTGATCTTTCCTATATTTAACAAATTTGGGCAGGGAGGAGAGGTTCTCCATTTACCAAATGTCCAGCATAAATATGTTCACAAGTTATCTATGTACAGAAAAGACAAGACAAAAATCTAGAACTACTAATCACCGGACAGAAATTTCTTTGTGGCCAGGCCTGGTGGCTCACACCTGTAACCCCAGCACTTTGGGAGGCCGACACAGGAGGATCACTTGAGCTTAGGAGTTTGAGACCAGCAACACAGTGAGATCTAGTCTCTAAAAAATTTAAAAATTAAGGCCAGACACGGTGGCTCACGCCTCTAATCCCAGCATTTTGGGAGGTGAGGCAGGCGCATCACTTGAGCCCAGGAGTTCAAGACCAACCTGGCCAACATAGCAAGACGCTGTCTCTATTTTTTTAAAAAAATTAAAAATTAGCCAGGTGCAGTGGCATGTGCCTGTATTCCCAGCTATTCAGGAGGCTGAGATGAGAGGATCCTGTAAGCCCAGGAGTTCGAGGCTGCAGCAAGTGATGATTGCACTATTGTACTCGAGTGGGAGTAATAGAGCGAGACCCTGTCTGAAAAAAGAAAGAAGAAAAAGAAATTCTTTGCAAAAAAAAAAAAAAATGTTTAAACCATGTGATAAAAGAAGACCTTATAGAATACCCCAACCATTTGTAGCACCATAGACCTCATTTCTACTTTACATCAAAAACAAACAAACAAACAAAAAACAAACAACTAGAAAAACTAAAGGAAATACGAAAGCACACACACACAAAAACTACAAAAGCAGCCAGGCGCAGTGGCTCACGCCTGTAATCCCAGCACTTTGGGAGGCCGAGGCGGGCGGATCACAAGATCTGGAGATCAAGACCATCCTGGCCAACGTGGTGAAACCCCGTCTCTACAAAAAATACAAAAAAATTAGCTGGGCATGGTGGCAGTTGCCTGTAGTCCCAGCTACTTAGGAGGCTGACGCAGGAGAATTGCTTGAATTCGGGAGGTGGAAGTTGCAATGAGCTGAGATCGCGCCACTGCACTCCAGCCTGGGTGACAGACCAAGACTCCATCTCAAAAAAAAAAAAGAAAACTACAAAAGCACGAATTTCAGCTTTCTCTAAAAATCAATATCTGAAGAAAACTATATTGACTGACATTCAATTTCATTCTTGTCATCTCTCATGATTTCAAGTGTCTGGAATTTGGTGATTTGGCTTCTCCCTAAAATATATAGCTGTTTGAATAGATTCCTAAAGAAGAGCCTTTTAAAATCTCTTTAGTGTGTATTTCTTGGTAAATTCTTTCATTTTTGTTTATCTGTAAATGTCTGCATTCTCATCCTCAAAAGACAGACTAGTTGGGCATATAATTTTGTATTGGTAATGATCTCAACTCTTTGAAGATATTTTTCCACTATCTTCTCTTATTACTAATTCTGCAATTCTAATTCATAAATTTTTGCAAATACTCTGTTTTTCTCTACAGCTGCTTTTTAAATTTATTTGTCTTTGGTATTACGCATTTCACTATGATATGGGGAGGTAGACTAAAAAACAAAAACATTCTTTTAGTGGTAAGTGCATTGAAGGAAATGAGCAAAGCAGTGGTAAGGAGGTCTTCTTTAGGCTAGTCAGGGTTTAACCCTGACCTAGTCACCTAGTGACCTGGTCACCAGGCATGACTTTTCTCTTTGCTCTCTTGTTTGGGACAGTATGAATCTGTGGACTCATGTTTTTCATTAGTGTTCAAAAACCTGCAGCCATTCTCTCTTAAAATATATCTCCTCAAAAATCTGGTCCATTACCTATTTTTCATAAATAAAGTTTTATTTGAACACAGTCATGCTCATTCATTTACATATTCTCTATGGCTGCTTTCACGTTACAATGGCGAGTTAATAACAGAAACCATATGCGGCCTTTATGCTCAAATGTTTACAATCTGTCTCTTTATGGACAACCTCTGCTTATGGTGGCTTGTTCCCTTATGTTTATTCTCTGACGTTAGCTTAAACTAATTTTAAGCTAATTTTTACCAGTGGTTTGATGATACGTCCTAATTTTACAGTGGTTTGATGGTACGCCCAAGAGTGTAGACTAGAGGAGTTCAAGCTCAGCTCCCTTCTCTGGCTATTAGCCAAAAGCTCAGCATCATTAAATCTGCTATTGGTATGGCAGACTATTCTAATTCTGTTTCATGAGGTTTTCTTTACCCCAACCCCCTCATCTCCTGGCTTTTTTTTTTTTTTTTTTTTTTAAGAAGAACAGCCCTCTACCTTTTTGCAAAATCATCAACGCCACAAAGATTTGTTCAATCCAGGACCTAGGTATTCTGCAGTGGGAGGGTGTTTACAGTATATATTATTTCACAATTCTGAACATGGAAGATTGAGTTATAACATTTTGGATCATAAAACTGGAAGGACAATCACATAAATAATTCCCATCTACATGTGTTTGTATATGTGTGTGTCAGAGGGAAAAAGATATTATTCTGTCACAGTATAAACAAACCAACTCCGATGTATTTATCCATTCAATATTTGAGTGCCTACGGTGTGCCAGGCACTGTAGATGGGGAAGAAGCAGGACAAACCTTGACTAGCCTAAAGGAGACCTCCTTACCACTGCTTTGCTCATTTCCTTCAATGCACTTACCACTAAAAGAATGTTTTTGTTTTTTGGTTGACCTCCCCAAATGAAATGAAGTCTCTAGCAGAGCAGAGATCTTGTCCAACTAATTCAGTGATGTATCCTCAGCAACTGAGAGAAGGTAGGTGCTTAAAAAACATTTAAACTAAGTGATTAAGGTAGTCCTGTCCTAGGGGAACTTACTCTTGTAAGGCAGAAGCTGATTTTTTTGTACCTCCTAGACCTTCTTCCTTAGTGTTAATACAGCAATTTGAGACAGAACAATTTGAGTCTCTGAGGAGGTAGGTATATAACTAGGTAATCTGTTCTATAAATCATGGATTTGTTGAAAACATGTTTCACAGACTTCTATTTAGCTCAGAGCCACATTCTGAAGCCGTTTTTAAAAACTGCTCAAACAATGTATTATCTATTGCTGAGTAACAAATTATTCTGAAACTTACTGGCTAAAAATAACAATAATCACTCATTATTGCCGAGAACTCAAGAGGGGCACATCCACATCTGGCAGGTGGGTGCTGGCTGCTGAGAGGAGACCTCAGTGCCCCGCCACAGGGCTTTGTGAGAGTCTTCTCAATGGTTGCTGATTTCCCATGGTGAGTACTCCAAGAGAACAAGGCAAAACCTGAAATGCCTATATGACTAAGTCTCAGAGTTTGTACACCATCACTTCTGCCATAATCTACTGGTCACACAGATAATCTCTGACGCAGTGTGGGAGGGGACTACAGAAGGGTGTTGGAACCCAGAAGGTATGAATGCTTGAAGGCCATTTAGAGGCTGGCCAACATACTCAAAAGTATGAGAAAAACAGAATTTTTAGAAACAAAATGAACACATTAGGTTACATAGCTTGTAAGTGACAGTCTTAATAATAGCAAAGTTTTCTAAAATTCCTAAGTCTTTTCATTATATCATGCTATGAGTCAATGTTCAACAACTCACAAAGTTAAGCTCCTACTTCCTACCATGTAACAAAAAATTTCAGAATTTATTTACTTATTTATTTATAATAAATCTGTAATCCCAGCACTTTGGGAGGCTGAGGTGGGTGGATCACTTGAGGAGTTCAAGATCAGCCTAGCCAACACAGAGAAACCCTGCCTCTACTAAGAACACAAAAATTAGCCAGGCATGGTGGCACGTGCCTGCAGTCCCAGCTACTCACACAGTTAAGTAGCTAGGGTTATTCCTAAGAGCCTTGAGGGGAGGTTGAGGCAAGGAGAATCGCTTCAACCCGGGAGATGGAGGTTGCAGTGAGCCGAGATCGTGCCAGTGCACTCCAGCCTGAGAGACAGAGTGAGACCCTGTCTCAAAAAAATAAATAAATACAAATTAAAAAATAAAAAGGCTAATGATTAACTGAGAGAAAAAAATAAGAGCTCTTAGGAATTAGTGAGAAAAAAACTAAACAAACCAATAAAAAATGTACAAAGAGCATGAGACAATCATAAATGATGAAGTATGAATGACTAATAAACATCTGACCTTATTAATAATCAAAGAAATGCTTTGATAATAAAACTTCTCATTTTTTTATCTAATAATGTGGCAAATATTTACAAATGGGTGCTGTCATACGCTACGTTTGTGTATATAAATTAGTAGAACTTTTCAGAAAGGCAGCTGAACTTCCAGAAAACTTTTCATTCCCTTTTACCTCCCAGTAATTTCAATACAAAAAAATTTTCGAAAGAATAAAGAGGCACTTACATCATTGAATGTGAAAATACTGTTTATTCAAAGCTTTGACTTCAAAATATCTGAGTTTGTGTTGATAGTAAGTGAATTTATAAAACAAAATTTGTCTTAGTAAACTAAACAAATAACTAAATAAGCAAATTCACTCAGTTAATAAGGCTAAAGAGAATTATAAAATAAAACCAAATTTGACTATGCTCTGTCCAGTACCACAAATGATACATTTCTCTGCTGTATTTCCCCACCATTCAATATAAAGAGAGATTTATTCATTATAAATCATTTTGGACATAATTTACTTCGAATTGAACTTAATGGATTTCAAAATGCTTTCCTTGACAAAAACTAAGTTCTTGGTTCTATTAACACCATAAAAAATAAAATAAATAAAAAACCTCAGTCTAATTATCAGTATTTGAATGGCAGCCATCTCACTCCTCTCTGGAATATTTAAAGTGGTTCTCTCCGCCTCAAAATTGAAACACAAAGTGAAGTTCTGAATATACTCTAATGTGTATGTTAGCTATACTATTTCTATGGTTTTCACCTATGGGTATAGTGACAAAGATTCTCTCTTTAATCAAACTCTAGTCAGGGTCCTCAGGACCTTCTTGACTAGGCCTCAATCTTGGCCTAGAAAAACTGCAAACTCAGCACAAATGATTTCCTCCACAATCCCAGCACCACTACCACCATTGCACACACACTAAAAGACTTGAGCAAGCACCACCATAGTTCCTAACAGTTCAAGGCTCTTAGGGATAACCCTAACTCCCCTTAAAGCACCTGCCTGAGAAAACTTAAGGCTGCCAAAAGAATTTATTGTCTGTTGTAACCAACACCTGATGATAGGCCCCCGACTACTCTTTCTTAGAGCATTTACTAAAAACGGCTTACAATGGTAAATCCTTCCTCTGTCTCCTATAACATGTGAGTGTCTTTCTCAAGGGCCTGAAAGACATTCCTTTAAAATGCAATCATTGGGAAGGATAGGGCTTTTGTTTCCCTGTCTCTGTGGGAGGACAGAATCCTGACTTCGTTACTTGCCAGCTACCAAACACAAGGGCCTAATTGCATTTACACTGACCAAGCTTTTGTAATTTTTCATTTTCCTGACTCTACTGAGCCTCCATTGAACCCCCCACCCCCACTCCTTCATTCTCCTTTTAAAAGACCCAGTAACCTCTATACAAATCAAAGTTGAGTTCAGTTCATGCTGGAATCTCTTCCTTATTGCAAAAACATATTATTGATTAAAGTATGTTCTGACTACTCTAAACAGTGTCCAGCTTTGTTTATCTGTAACAATAGAGGGATTTTTTTTTTCCTATGTAGTTTAAGAAATAGTGAGGCTGACTGAGTGAAACATACCTCAGATATCAGTATCTCACACTGGTGACATAAGGGAAAGAAAGCTAAAAATACCACACATCTCCGCAGAGCCAAAAAATTATTTCCATAGTTTGGAATGTTGTTCAACTGACCTGAACACAGAACTGAAGTTTAACTGAGGCACAAATGATGGCTTAAATCCACAAACATTCTGAGACAATGTATTAGAGGATTAAAGGAGCAAAAGCTTTGGGAATAAACCAACTGGGCTTATACAAAACAGATGAAGGTTAAGGAGTGAAAGCTCACTAGGGCTTAAATGTGAAGAAGTGGAACAATCTCCCTAACAAGACGCAGTTAGTTGGATTCTGGGGAAAACAATACAAATAATTTATGTTAGGAGAGTCTGGGGGGTTTATTTATGTATATGTAAATAAGGTTTATTTATGGCTGTAATAACACATACCATCAAGGATGAAGAAATTAAAAAAAACTTCAAAAATAGAAAATATACCTATTCAAATAAATCACTCCCCCACCATTACCCCAAATATATCAGAAAAGATAGATGAAAAACCATGAAATATACGAGAAAACAATAGGGAGCCTTAACAAAGGAAGAAATTAGCCTTGTAAATCTGAAAAGGAACAAATGACCTCAATAACTGCAAAATCTATTCTGATATGGTAGACTATTGGGTTCCTACTATGGTAGAATGGGGGAGTGGTCAGAAACCACATATTCTTCTCCCTCTCCCTCCCGCTCCTCCTCCCTCCCCCTCTCCCTCCCCCTCTCCCGTCTCCCTCTCGTCTCCCACTTTCCACGGTCTCCCTCTGATGCTGAGCCGAGGCTGGACTGTGCTGCCGCCATCTCGGTTCACTGCAACCTCCCTGCCTGATTCTCCTGCCTCAGCCTGCCTAGTGCCTGGGATTGCAGGCGCCCGCTGCCACGCCTGACTGGTTTTTGTATTTTTTGGTGGAGACGGGGTTTCGCCGTGTTGGACGGGCTGGTCTCCAGCTCCTGACCGCGAGTGATCTGCCAGCCTGGGCCTCCCGAAGTGCCGGGATTGCAGACGGAGTCTCGCTCACTCAGTGCTCAATCTTGCCCAGGCTGGAGTGCAGTGGCGTGATCTCGGCTTGCTACAACCTCCACCTCCCAGCCGCCTGCCTTGGCCTCCCAAAGTGCCGAGATTGCAGCCTGTGCCCAGCCGCCACCCCGTCTGGGAAGTGAGGAGCGTCTCTGCCTGGCCGCCCGTCGTCTGGGATGTGAGGAGCCCCTCTGCCCGGCCGCCCAGTCTGGGAAGTGAGGAGCGCCTCTTCCTGGCCGCCATCCCGTCTAGGAAGTGAGGAGCGTGTCTGCCCGGCTGCCCATCGTCTGAGATGTGGGGAGCGCCTCTGCCCCGCCGCTCCGTCTGGGATGTGAGGAGTGCCTCTGCCCAGCTGCGACCCCGTCTGGGATCTGAGGAGTGTCTCTGCCAGACCGCCACCCCTTCTGGGAGGTGAGGAGCGTCTCTGCCGGGCTGCCCCGTCTGAGAAGTGAGGAGCCCCTCCGCCTGGCAGCCGCCCCGTCCGGGAAGTGAGGAGCGTCTCCGCCCGGCAGCCGCCCCGTCCAGGAGGTGGGGGGCAGCCCCCGCCCGGCCAGCCGCCCCATCTGGGAAGGAGGTGGGGGGCAGCCCCCACCCCGCCAGCCGCCCCATCTGGGAGGGAGGTGGGGGGCGGCCTCCGCCGGGCAGCCGCCCCATCCGGGAGGTGGGTGGGGGGGCGCCTCTGCCCGGCCGCCCCGTCTGGGAAGTGAGGAGCCCGTCTGCCTGGCCGCCACCCCGTCTGGGAGGTGTACCCAACAGCTCATTGAGAACGGGCCATGATGATGATGGGGGTTTTGTCGAATAGAAAAGGGGGAAATGTGGGGAAAAGAAAGAGAGATCAGATTGTTACGGTGTCTGTGTAGAAAGAAGTAGACATAAGAGACTCCATTTTGTTCTGTACTAAGAAAAATTCTTCTGCCTTGGGATGCTGTTAATCTATAACCTTACCCCCAACCTGGTGCTCTCTGAAACATGTGCTGTATCCACTCAGGGTTAAATGGATTAAGGGGGGTGCAAGATGTGCTTTGTTAAACAGATGCTTGAAGGCAGCATACTCGTTAAGAGTCATCACACTCCCTAATCTCAAGTACCCAGGGACACAAACACTGCGGAAGGCCGCAGGGTCCTCTGCCTAGGAAAACCACAGACCCTTGTTCACATGTTTATCTGCTGACCTTCCCTCCACTATTGTCCTATGACCCTGCCAAATCCCCCTCTCCGAGAAACACCCAAGAATGATCAATAAATACTAAAAAAAAAAAAAGAAACCACATATTCTTTATATGTTTTGTATGTCTCTTCCTAAAACTCAATAAATGTTTATTTAATGAAGAAAAGTCCCAGATCTAAGAAAGTAAGAAATACAATTTTAAGGGTTTCTAACTTTAAGCAAGTTATCAAAGCATATCAGAGGTAAAATATGCAACTTCTTGGAAGATGGGAAGCTTTGAACCAAACATATCAAAACAACAAAGTCATCTTTATTTCAAAAAGTCATAAATAAGAAAAGAGAAGTCTACTGGCTGTTAGCAAATGGGAATATAAAATTAAAAAGCAACTCAGGTCTGATTTAAAAGACTGCAGAAGTCAAAATAATAAATGCTTATGTTCTATGAAAAACTTTTAAAATCTTAGGCAAATAAAATAAGAATTATTGGCTAATATAATCTACCAAGATGTTTAAATAAATTAAGAACTATTATAAAAGAAATGATTTTGTGAAAACTAAAAATACAATGGAAAACATGAAAATTTCAAAGCAACATTGTAAGCAATAAAGAAATGAATGACTAACAGTATCAATCAAAACCAGAACACAGACCAAACAGATGACACAGTGAACTACCTAGAGGGAAAAAAAGGCAATATGATTAGATTATATCAAAAAGTGTGCCAGGGGAAACATAAAAGACAAATGGCAGCAAATCATAATGAAGGAGAAAACAAACACAGATTTCAAACTAACAATGAAGAAAATACTCAAGGAGCTTCCAGAATTGATCCTTACAAAAAAGACAACCTAGCCAAGCGTAGTGGCCTCAGAAGACTGTGGTGGGAGGATCGCTTGAGTCCAGGAGTTGGAGGCTACCGTACACTAGGATAGCACCTGTGAACAGCCACTGGCCTGGGCAACATTTAAAAAAGAAAAAAGGAAAAAAAAAACAGACAACCTGGTACCTACTGATGAAACTAAAACTCTACCTAAGAGAAATATAAAAGTAAGTAGGAAGGAAAGGAAAGTTGTTTAAAAAAAAAAAAAAGGCAGAGATAAATTCTGATTTTGCAATTCAAACACAAAAGAGTCTGATACTGCACTGACCAATACAGTAGCCAGCGGCCATGTATGGCTATTTAAATGTAAATTTAATTAAAATAAAACCAAGTTTAAAATTAAACACTTTAGTTCTACAAACCACATTTCAAATGCTCAACTGCCATACATGATGAAAGGCTACCATATTGGATAGCAGAGATACAGAATATAACCATCACTGCAGAAGTTCTGTTGGACAGCAGCCCTTACTGAATGATGCTTAAATGAAGCTAACTTTTCATTATGAAGATGGAAGAAAATTATATAAAAATATAAAACACCAGCTGGGTTGCAGTGGGTCATGCCTATAATCCCGGCACTTTCAGAGGCTGAGGCAGGCAGATCACTTGAGGTCAGGAGTTCGAGACCAGTCTGGCTAACATGGTGAAACCCCATCTCTACCAAAAAATACAAAAATGAGCCGCACATGGTGGTGCATGGTAGCACACGTCTGTAACCCCAGTTACTCAGGAGGCTGAGGTGGGAGAATTGCTTGAACCTAGGAGGCAAAGGCTGCAGTGAGCCGAGACTGCACCCCTGCACTCCAGCCTGGGTGACAGAGTGAGACTGTCTCAAGGAAAAAAATAATAATGATAAAATAAATAAATAAATAAATAAATATACATATATGAATGTGTCAGTAAAATTCAATGGCACTGGGATTATAAAAGAATATATTTTAAAAGATTAGAAATCAAGATTATGGTCAAGACAAGTGGTAATACAAAGTAGAATCCGTGTTATTATTCACAGGCTATTTTGGCACTCCCTTCTACCTTTTTCACAAGATTCTTGGTATTTTATCCTTTAAGTGGTTCTAATATAAATATCTTTCCAATAAAAGATAAATGCCTAATACACAGGACCACTGCTAATGGAAGAATGTGAAAATAAGGGTCATTTAATATATATATGGCAACCAATAAAAATAATTTAGGTTAAGAAAAAGTTGGACCACCTCTGCTTCAGTCTGATGGCATCCCACAAAATTTGTATGTTGAAACTTAATCACTACTATGATAGTATTAAAAATTAGGGTCTTTAGGAAGGGATTAAATCAAGAGGGCGCAGTCCTCACGGATGGAATTAGGGCCTTTATAAAAGGACTTGAGTGAGTGGGTGTGCCCTTTTCTGTCCCTTTTGCCATGTGAGGACAGTGTTCATCCCCTTCAGAGGATGCAGCAACAAGGTGCCATCTTGGAAACAGGAACTGGATCCTCTCCAAACTCGAACCTGCTGGCATCTTGATCTTGGACTTCCAGATCCTAGAACTGTGATGAATGTATTTATGTTCTCCATAAGTTACCTAGTCTCAGGTATTTTGTTACAGCAGAACAAATGCAGTAAGACAGTATCTACGGAAAAAATTGAATCCCTGTAACTGAATGATACTCAAAGTTTCTTCAGTTACAGTCATTACAACTAGTTTATATTTTCATTTGTGGAATTATTAATTATACCTCCACTCCATTCCAAAAAGAATTTTGGGCAAGTTTCAGTACATTTATGTTGAAAGGTAAGGATAGTTAAGTAAAAGTTACATTCTAATAGCACTTAGACAAAAATAATTGAGTATACCACAGGGCCTGCATCATTGTCAAGACACCCCGCCCCCCCACCCAAACACACACACAAAAGAAGAACGAGGAGGAAAGGAAGGGAGAGAACAGCCTGCTATATGAGTGGAACATAAAATGATAAAATGTGTACTCAGGCTAGGGTACAGCAACTGTACACAGACACAATGATAGTTCACTGCAGCCTTGAACTCTGGGCCTCAAGAGATCCTCTTGCCTCAGCCTTCTTAGTAGCTACCTTAGATATAATTTTTACACACTCTCCATAATAATTCCACCTATGTTAAAGAATGAAATATAAAAACACACTAAACAAATGTATAATTATTGAAAATACCAAGGACATGATTAGTGATAAGTTGCTTTCAGTACAGGAGACCCAGCAAAGCATACTCAGAAGATAATGAGAAGACTAGCTGAACACAGCAGTCAGGGTATGAAGATGTAAGCAGGAAATTAGACAAACTGAACTAAGACTCGGTAAGGCACTGAAACCAGGAGTTGAACTTGATCTTATAGAAAAGTGATTTTCAAACTGGTTTCAGGAGCAGGGTACCACCAGAAATTAACTCAGGAACTGCTGTGGATAACAAGAGTAAGGACATGTGAGCATGTGCATGGCTGTGTTGTTCAATACTGCTTTATGTTTTATATACAGTAAAATTTTTATATAGAATAAGATTCCATGGTAAGATTTCACTTGAATAAGCAAGTTTCTCTGTTAACATTTTTAAAAAATCTTTGGCTGTGGACTGTGGGAAGCACTGAAAAAAACACAAGTGAATAAGACAGTGTCTACTTTCAAGTTGGTCATTAATTCCACTTTGTTTGTGGTCTATAATTGTTATAAATGTTACCTCAGATTCCTACAATAACTTTCCCACTATCACTAAACCATGTCCTTTCATCCTTTAAAATTACCCTTGAGAGCCCCCACATATACTTCTGGTAACAGTCACCTGCTCCATATTGTAATCTGCCTTCAAGGACTTTTATCCTTTCTGCCATTCATTCACACCATAAACTTTTTTTAAAAAAATGTCTTGCCAGAAATCATACTGGAAGTTTTCATGCATGCTAGATCCCGGGTTCTTCCTGAAGAGCTAGATTGTCTTTCGCTGTTCTCTTCTTTCACTGCCTCAACACCTAAAAACTCAGCCTACTTTCTTTCCTCTCAGGAGATTCCTCTTTCACTACATCCCTTAAAAATCTATCCTCTGCAAATAGATGAGGAACACAGACACACTGCAGAACATCCCTCCACTGGAGCCTTATACACAAATATACACAATTCTATTCAAGGTGCTGACTATCAAACATTTTCTATATAGAGCACACCTCAGAAACATAATATCTCTATCAATAACCTTGCCCCTCAAATCAGAATTTAAGGATAGGAACAAAAAATGTTTTTAGTACTGAATATTTTTCTTCAACACTAGGATGTCATGTTTTTCTTGGGTTACTTATTTTGTTCTTGGCAGTTGTTTACTTTTTTTTTTTTTTGAGACAGTGTCTTACTCTGTCACCCAGACTTGAATGCAGTGGTATAATCTTGGCTCACTGCAACCACCACCTCCCAGGCTCAAGCGATCCTCCCACCTCAGCCTCCCAAGTAGTTGGGACTACAGGCACATGCCTGGCTAATTTTTTGTATCTTTGATAAAGCCTGGCTAATTTTTTGTATCTCTGGTAGAGATGGGGTTTCACCATGTTGCCCAGGCTGGTATCAAACTCCTGAGCTCAGGTGATCCACCTGCCTCAGCCTCCCACAGTGCCAGGATTACAGGTGTGAGCCACCACCCCTAGCCTGTTTACTTCTTTTTAAAGGTAAATATACAATAACCCCAAAATTTAAGTAGAGCTCATTCAACTGATAGCCAACTAAAACTCAGAGTCCAAGTACTAAACCAAGAGACTGAATCAAAGGCAACCAAGAATGCTATCATTTATAAAAGTATTTTTAAATTGCTTCAAGGCTGTCTTGAACCTTATTAATTTTATATTACTTCTAATCAAAATTAGGCAGCTAAGAATCAGAAAACTTATGTTTTAATCACAACCCGGAAATTACGTGTATACTCTTGACCAACTTACTTAAATTAAAATCTAATTTTAATTACTTTAAATTATTTTACTCATTTGTCTATAAAATGAACGACTAAAACTAATACCCATAAATGTCTTCTATTGTAAAAGGATTATGATACTATCATGAGATTTAATTCTTCAAATAAATTTATTTACCTTTTGTTTGGGGCTGAATTGTGTCCCCCACCAAATTCGTATGTTGAAGTTTTACTCCCCAGTACCTCAAAATGTGACGTTTTTAGAGACTCGATTTTTGAAGAGGTAATTAAGTTAAAATAATGTCATTGGGGTAGGCCCTAATCCAATGACTGGTGTCCTGATAAGGGGAAATTTGGACGCAGACACATATACAGAGGGAAGACCATGTGAAGATACAGGGAAAAGATGTCCATCTACAAGCCAAGAAGAGAGGCCTCACAATAAACCAACCCCACTGATATCTTAATCACCGACTTCCAGCCTCTGGATATGTGAGAAAATCAATTTCCATTAAGGCACCCAGTCTGTGGTATTTTGTTATGGCAGCCCTTGCAAACTAATTTACCGACTTCTTAGGTGTGCAGGATGCTACTAAAATTTCTGAAGCCATCTACTGACTGTATGAGTGTTTATTAAATTTTATTTTTCCTGAGCATATCCGTATCCTACTCAATTAAATCACAGAGATAATTTTTATATATTTATTTAGTTATTTTTTGAGAGGGAGTCTCGCTCTGTAGCCCAGGCTTGGAGTGCAGTGGCGCAATCTCAGTTCACTGCAACCTCCGTCTCCCAGTTCAAGCAATTCTCCTGCCTCAGCCTCCTGAGTAGCTGGGATTACAGGCACGTGCCACCACACTCAGCTAATTTTTGTATTTTTGGTAGACACAGGGTCTCACCATGTTGGCCAGGCTGGTCTCAAACTCTTGACCTCAGGTGATCCGCCTGCCTCAGCCTCCCAAAGTGGTGGGATTACAGGCATGAACCACTGCACACAGCCAAGGTAATTTTTAGCTTATACAATTCGTGAGGGCTTCATTTCGAAGTGTATTGACATTACAACCTTCCTAGAAGATCATTTGGCAGATAAGTGGATAGTTATCTTTATATGGAGGTTCAGTAGAGTCTAACATAACAGAATTGAAAACAATCTAGATGTCCAACAATGGGAATATGGTTAAATAATAATAATCCAGGCAAGGTACTGTATACTTATAAAATCTATTACTTCTTCCTGTATCAAGATGAATTGCATGACTCATTGAGAAAAAAAAAAATGCCATGGCATAGCAGAGAATCAAACTTACAATGCTTTAAGAAAAAGAAAAAGTTTTAAGCCAAATATATAAAAATTATTATGGTTTATACTAACTACTAATTACTAGTTCTAATTATTATAATCCATAATTATATTTTCTTAACTCATAACTCACTTATTTCCAAAAACTAGATCAAAACAGATCTTTAAGTTACATGTGGATTTGCAGAAAGAACCTTTTTAAAGATAACTTGCTATTTTCATCATCAGCATTTCATCCCTTACTTCATTCAGCAAACCTACTTTTAGGAATTAATAAGAGAATCTCTACAGAAATAAGAAGAGCAAAAATATTTACAGATTTGAGCAAGAGCCTATTTTTAGTGAACTGTTACAAGCTACTTAAGTGTCAGACAACGGGAAACTAAATAAATTGTGGTGTGAGAAATCATTACATGGTATTTAAAAATCATAAACTAGAACCCTGGTTTTTTGCGGGTTTGAGATGGAGTCTCACCCTGTCGCCCAGGCTGGGAGTGCAGTGGTGCAATCTTGGCTCACTGCAACCTCCACCTCCCGGGTTCAAGCGATTCTCCTGCCTCAGCCTCCCAAGTAGCTGGGACAACAGGCACATGCCACCACATTCAGCTAATTTTTGTACTTTTAGTAGAGGCGAGGTTTCACCATGTTGGTCAGACTGGTCTTGAACTTCTGATCTCAAGTGATCTGCCCACCCTGGCCTCCCAAAGTACTGGGATTACAGGCATGAGCCACCACCCCCAGCTAGAACCCTGGTTTTTAATATTCAGAGGATCACACATTTTGAGAATCTGATAAAAGCTATGAACCCTCTCCCCAGAATTACACATATATGTACATACCCCCATATTTTTGCATATGATAGGAGGTTTACAAATAATTAAACTCTAAACTACCTTAAAATCCCAGTCTAGAAAAAGTATCATGGAAACTTAATATTTATGGTATATTGTTAAATTTCTAGAAAGCAGAGGATAAACTAGTAGATGCAAAGCAAAAAAGAAATATGTTTGTGTCTATGAAAAACAAAAGGACAGTGACCAAATTATTAAGATTGGTTATCCTTGGATAGTAAAATTATAGAAAATTTTTATATTACTCTATAATTGTCTATCTTCTTCATGTTTTTTACAATAAACTAATTATATAATAATAAAAGAAAACTTAAGAGTTACAATTTATTTTACCCAAATAAAATTGTTAGTAGTCAAGTGACAAAATAGAGTAGGGTCATGTAATGATAATTTTCTCAAGTTTTAAAGAATATAATAATAAGCAAATAATAAATGACTGATAGTCACTGATAATAGGGTACTTGTGGATGACTGAGATTACCTTGTAAATCTGCAGAATGCAGAAAGGCCATGGTAAATATTTCCTATTTCATAAAATGCCACAAAGTTAATCAATCACAAGCAATAACTGAAGTTCTTTATGGATACAAAACTATGTTTTTGCTTTTAGGATTCAGGATATGTTCAAAGTGTCTAAAATAAACTTATAAGGAAATAAAGGTCAGAACAAAAAACTTACATTTTCTATTGTGTATCAACAGAGCTTGTTTCAAATCTATCGTTGCTTTTCCTAATAAAGCATCTGCTTTTAAAGTGCGATGGCTCCAAACTTGAAATTCCAATGTAGTCTGTGGCGTAACATTTCTGGAAGGGTAAAATTATTAACAAAAATACAGGAGTAGACGTTGTCATTCTATTAATAAGTAACAATTCCTATTAAAGCATTTATTTCAGTAATGTTTTAAAAACCGTGAATTTCATTTATTTGAGAAGAAATATTGTATGAAACAGGAAACTACTTGAATCATAAATAAAAATATTTTACTTTCAAATACATTAGGACTTTAATAACTAGATGAGGATTTTTGGAATCAGCAAGCCAAAACACCAACACAGGAGTCTTACTGAGACTTCATAGTAACACTGTTTGTATTTGAACAAATGTCTAAAGACTTACATGATACTTTTACTATACACAAATTTATGCCATTATTATTTTGAAATGCCAAAATTAAGAATGACTAATTTGCAGTCCTATTTATTTCTGTACCAAAACAGTCAGAGAAAATGGAAATAATTTGGTTTATAAAGCAAAAGCAAGCATTATTATGCATCCTCCCCTTAAAAAAAAAATTTAACCAAAAATTTCTCCATACTTTAAATTGTCGATCCACACTTTAAAAAAATCACTCATTACTTTGAAGTCATTTTACAAAACAAAAAACATATTCCAAAAAATACACTTTCTTGTGAAGATTTTCCGTCCTTTACACAAGGTACTTACACAGTTAGCTGTTCATCCCATTTTGGATTAGAAGAACTACTGGATTTTGCTGTTTTCGTAATTTCTCCATCTACAACTACTTCTGTATATATTGCTGTTCCGAACCAGTTCTTTTTTCTTTTAAGTTTGGCACTAGAAACTAACAGACAAATAATTCACTAGTGAGTATGTGTTGCCAAAAAGTAGTACTGCACACTAATCAATCAATAAGAATGGAATTGTGCTTCTTGTGCAACTAGAACTCTTCTCGTTGGCAGAATGAAGAAACAATACAAAAGGGCTACTGATAATGCTTGAGAGCCATTTGAATGTTTCTGTAACAGTTTTAGTGAGCTATCATTCACATATCATATAATTCACCCACTTAAACTGTACAATTCAATGGTTTCACTATATTCAGAGTGGCACAACCATCACCACAATCAATTTTAAAACAGTTTTGTTACCATAAAAATAAACTCCATACCATTAAGCAGTCACCCCCTTCTTTCTCCTCCCAATCAACCCTCTCCCCACCCCCATCCCTAGGCAGCCACTAACCTACTCTCTGTCTCTTTAAATTTGCCTATTCTGGACATTTCATATAGATGGAATCATATAATGTGGGTTTTTTTTGTGACTGGCTTCTTTCACTCAGCATTACATTTTTGAGGTTCATCCATATTGTAACATGCACCAGTACTCCACTCCTTTTCTTGCCAAATACCATTCTATTATATGGGTATATGACATTTTATCTATTAACTGATAAATATATGAACTGCTTCCACTTTGTGGCTATTGTGCATAAAGCTGTTATGAACATTTGTGCACAGGCTTTTTTGTGGACGTATGTTTTCATTTCTCTTGGGCATATACTTTGGAGTAGAACTCCTGGCTCATGTGATAACCCTCTGTTGAGTAACTGCCAGGCTATTTTCCAAAGTGGCTGCACCATTTTATATTCCTATCAACAATATACACTGATTTCTCCACATTCTCACCAACAACTGCATTAAAGATCAAGGGAAAAGTGTCTTCAGATTCAACATGCCCATTAACATCCCTGCCAGGTACTATTAACTTGTCTTTCTGAAATTACATAACTGTGGCACTTAAAAAAATGCTTTAATGTTTTATCTGGAAAGTTAGCTTCGAAAAGAAGTAGTATTTGCATTTTCAAATAAAAGCTTAAAAATCAAAATGTCATTATAAAAGTTAATCATAACCCCTTCCAGAAAGTGAAAATCTAATATACCTGAGATATGAAGAAATCAGGGACTATCTACTTTCTGGGCAAAATACTGATGAACAGGCAGTAAGAACAACTTATCAAGATCACCTCTATAATCAATTACCTGTGAACACCCTAGATCAGAGATGAGGAAGGGAAAAGCCTCTTTCATGTCATACACACCGGATGTTAAGGATATAAAAACAACCAAAGCTATGTAAGCTTCCATTCTATTGTGAGAGAATAATAATCTAAATAGTCACACAAATAAATCACTGAAATACAATGTGATAAATGCAAGATTCCAAGCAAATACTATATTTAAGTACCGGCAACATAGCAATTAAAGAGTGTTCAATGTTATGTCTGAACTGCTACTACCAGGGTCTTAGCAAAACTCATTTCCATCCTTCATCGTTCCAAACTGCTCTAAGTTCAGCGCCACTGGACTAATATAGAAGGCCCAGACTTGCTCTCTCCCAAGAAACTTCCCAAGATTCTTTGAATAAAAGTGCTCATATATTTCCTCAGTATATGTAAGTCTTATCCATATAGCAGAAGACTGGAAGAAGGAAAAGTCAGTATATGATGGTGTTAAAAGCAGAGGGATAGACATATCTGGGTTCATTTTTCAAATGTGCCACTTACTAAAAGCCTGACCACAGTAAGTCAATTAATTTCTCCATCCCTTACTTGAAAAATCAGAAGAACAGCAGTACCTGATTCTTAGGATTGGTGAGTGAAGGCATGCAAGGCACTATCACCATCAATGAATGTCTGGCATCCAACAATGGTAGCTGTTACTCTATTATTACTGACTATATAGTATTAACTCTTCTCTGAGTTCATTACAGATCCATCCAAAATACGTCCACTGAATACCCTTACTTGGCAAAATACTCAACAATACTAGAGGGTAAGGTAAGAAAAGAGATTTTTCAAAGATAATAATCTTTAATCTCATGAGGAATTTATAAATATGCTAGCAAAATGTACATATAAATAATGTGATTTTAAATAACTAGAAGACAACCTTATTAATTCAAAAAGTTGTTCTAGTTAGTAGAATATATAGATTTTTTTTCTCATTTAATGAGTTTCCTTTGGTGTTATACACAGAATGTCCTCCACTCTAAGGTTATATAAGTATTTTTAAACTATCAGAAAATGAGTCACCTGTGAGAGGGTAGGGAGAGTTAACTCAAAAATCCCACTCACAATAACATCCCTTCAAAAAATCTAGTAATAAACTTAAGAAATAAGTAAGAGTCACATGAAGAGAACTATAAAACTTTACCAATGGAAACAAAGGCTTAAAAAAAATGATATGATATATTCCTAGATTTGAAAAGTTTAACATTGAAATATTTCAATTAGCTCCAATTTAATACATTATTTTAAAATAAAAACACCAACTGATTGGTTTTGAGTGTTTTTGGTGGGGGCAGAGGAAAAGGAAGGGAGACTTAAATATTCAAATAAAAGCCAAAGAAAAATCAAGAACAGTAAACGTGTATTTTAAAATGCAAAGTAATAAAAGGAAATTTCTCAAAATATTTTTTTAAAAAGTACCATAAAGTGAAAATAATTAAAATGGTTTGACAGTGATGTAAAAGAGAAGTAAAGAGAAAAGCAAGATACTAATGCATAACAGTGGCATTTCAAATCAATGGGAAGATAGATGAGACCATAAATTTTGAAACATTTGAAAAGAATGAAGTCTATAATTCACACCACTCATACAAAAATAAGTGGTATATGATTTGACACTTTTACTTTAAAAAGTGAAAATGCTTTAGAAGACACAATAGCTAAAAAAAAATTATAAACATGAATACAACAGCCCATTTTTTCTTCAATCTCATCCTTTATACATCTTGCATACTCTATGCTTCTGACAGTTTCCTGTTGAAAGTCTAAAATCTAAAATATCGAAGATAATACACTTCTATATGCTACTATCCTTGAGTAGCTGGTACATTACAGTATATTACTATATGACAATAGGTAGTTTTCTGTTTGATTTTTTCCATCAGTTTTTCCGCGTTCCATGATCAATGCTCTTATTCTTACATGTTGCTGCCAATCAGATAAGGGTTAAGAACAGAAATGAGGATAAGAGTAAATATGCTAAAAATAAAAAAAAAAAATTGGCTTAGGGCAGAGAACCTCGGTTTACAGACAATAAACAGCCAGACTGCAATATTAGAGGGGTCTTAATCTGAGTACTTACTGTTTTTAAAAAGAAAAGAAAAGCCTGGGCGTGGTGGCTCAGCCTGTAATCCCAGCACTCTGGGAGGCCGAGGCAGGCGGATCACCTGTGGTCAGGAGTTCGAGACCAGCCTGGCCAACACGGTGAAACCCCGTATCTACTGAAAATACAAAAAAAAAAAAAAAAATTAGACAGGAATGCTGGCATGCACCTGTAATCTCAGCTATTTGGGAGGCTGATGCAGGAGAATCACTTGAACCCAGGAGGGGGAGGTTGCAGTGAGCCAAGATCACGCCACTGCACTCCAGCCTGGGCAACAGAGCAAGACTCCATTTCAAAAAAAAGAAAAAATCAATACAGAGGTCTTTGTAATCTAATAAAAGGAGCAACAACTTGGAGTCCTAAGACCTCAGTTGGTTTCTCATTATTAACCCAAGGCACTTAATCCCTCTGATTCTCAGTGTCCTCACTGACAAATCAGGAGTAGTAATCTTTATTGCAGAAGTTATTGTGAGATCAGTAAGACTGGTAATTTTAAGGTGACTTTTATTTTAAAAATTAGATCAACAAAACGGAAGACAAAGACAAGAAGAAAAGAAGGCACTAAAACCTGGTGCCATTTAGCACAGGTCCATGATCATTCTTTCCCAAAAGGATCACTGTATTTCAAAGGAGAGCAGCAACTGACGCTCAAAATGATAAATACTGTCATGGCATTGTTTTGGCTACTTAGACTGCCTTGGTCCACATCTATTTTCCAACTGGTTCTCCAGATTTGAGTCACCTGATAGTCTTTCAGTATGTTCTTTTTCACCTCAAATTAGCCAGATCAGGTTTTTCTTTTTCTTTTCTTTTTCTTTCTTTTTTTTTTGAGACAGAGCCTCACTTTATCCCCCAGGCTGGAATGCAGTGACGCCATCTCGGCTCACTGCAACCTCCACCTCCAGTGTTCAAGTGATTCTCATGCCTAAGCCTCCCAAGTAGCTGGGATTACAGGCATGTGCCACTATGCCCGGCTAATTTTTGTATTTTTAGTAGAGATGGGGTTTCACCATGTTGGCCAGGCCAGTCACAAACTCCTGGCCTCACGTGATCCACCTGCCTCGGCCTCCCAAAGTGCTGGGATTACAGGCATGAGCCACCGCGCCTGGCCTAGTTTTTTCTTATTTTACCTAAGAACTCTTATACATAGGTCAAGATCATTTGAAAGTTACACCTCAGGTGTACTGTCCATTGGTCCTACGCAAGTTACAATAAACTGAAAATGTAGTGAAAATAGGGCTCTAAGCTTCTTATACAGAGCAAAAGTAGAAGGAATTATGTAAGTGGTTCTTCAGTGGAGTACCTATCAGCTTCATCAGAACTGTTTCAAAAATAGATGCCCATTATTCACAGAAACCAAAATCCAAATATCCCTTATAGTTCAACCTTACAGTGAGAGAAATGCTATTTTAAATAACACTAAGATACCACTTCAGTGTCTAATTATGAACAATCCCAAAGCTTGACAACAGATTTTGGTTAGGCTTTGGGAAAACAGGCACTGTCATGTATAGCTGGTGTAGACACAAAATGGTGCAGACCCCATGGAGAGGAACTTGGCAATACCTGGCAAAATTACATGTGTCTACCCTTTGACCCAGCAATCTCATTCTAGGATCCTATCCTATTGATACATGAGCAGACATAAGAAACGACTTTTGTATGAAGTTATTTGTTGCAGCACTATTGGTAATAGCAAACAGTGGAACGCCAATGTCCAGCAAAAGGAGACTAGTTAGCTTTTTTACATCTATTCAACAGGATATGGCGCAATGATGAAAAAGAATATTCTGTTATGAAACAAACTCCAGAATAATACTGTAAAGTTAAAAAAAGCAAAGCACAGAGAAGTATGCAAGAATTAGGAGATTAAGAGGAGAGATGAGATACGTATACTGCACATGTATCTGCTTATATTTTCAAAAAGAAGCAACAGAAGGATAAAGCAAAACTAATAAAAATGTGAACCTACAGGGCAAGGGAGAGAAGTGGGAAAATGGGACCAAGTAGCCAGACCTCTCTAAATGTACCTTGGTTTTGACTCTGGGACTATGTAAATGTCTTACAAGGTTATAAAACAAAATTAAAAAAAAAACTGAAAACGATGAACTTAACTAATTATCAATTTGGTGATATAACCAAATAGAGAATTACTAAAGTACATTAAAACATGGTATTTTGATTATACGTCCTAAAGGGGGAAAACACACAAAGAAATCTTAAACTGCAATGAGTAGACCTATTGTTTTTGGTAATTTTTTAAATTACCTTTTTTTCACCTCCTTCTCCCTCTGTTTTTGGTAATTTTCATGTTATTTTGAACTGGTGTAGTAGGATAAAAACAGATATTATGATAATGTCATTTTGAATGGAGATTTTTTGATTAAGAGGAGAGAGTTACAGGCCAGGCACAGTGGCTCAATTTGGGAGGGTGGTGCAAAAGGATTGCTTGAAACAAAGAGTTCAAGACCAGCGTGGGCAACATAGTGAGACCCTGTCTCTAAAAAAATTTTTTTTTAAATTAGCCAGGCAAGGTGTTGAACATCTGCAGTCCCAACTACTTGGGAGGCTGAAGCACGAGGATCACTTCAGCCCAGTAGTTTGAGGCTACAAGGAGGTATGTTTGCGCCACCGTACTCCAGCCAGGGAGAGAAAGTGAGACCCTATCTCAAAAGAAAAAAAAAGATATGAATATAAAGTCAAATTAATTTAAATTTTGTTTCCTTTTAGTAGAAAATGGTACTTATAGACTACAGTTATTATTATGAATTGGAAATATCAGCATGAACTCAGGATGTTAAAATATTTTTTATTTTTTGCTTTCTACAAGAAACATTTCCTAGCTCTGTTAACTGAAACCTCCTAGAAATAACTAAATTCATATAATGAGTACCATGGGAATTACAGTACTGTGTAATCCCACTTAAATATTTGCCCAATGATTGAACAAATGGCTAAATGTATGTAAGAAGGCCTTTGGCATCCTGCTCCATCCTATTAATCATTTAAGGGCCAATGCAATGATACTTATTCAAAAGCCCAAATTCTCCCACCATTACAGAGGCTATATCTTCTCTTCATCCAGCATAGGTTCAATAAATATTTACTGAATAAATAATATAGTTTTGGAGGGCATCTACCTTTGAGGCTTGTTGCAACAAATATGCCATAGTATGAATCTAAAAGAAATTCTATTTCTGGAATAAGTCTGCTGAATTAGGTATTCAAAAGAAAAGTTCATCAGGGAATCACCATATTAAATATAAAAATAACTTACCAGTTACCTGTAACTGCAACCTTCCACTGTGGTTATTACTAGTATCAGACCTTGGTGAAGCAGTGGCCATGTCCCAAAATTCAGCTAAAACCTATTTTAAAAAAGGGGAATTTATTCATGTGTTAGATAAGAGTTTGTAATTTTCAAGATATTAAAACTACTTGTTTAAATCAACTAAGAAGTTCTCAAAAAGTACATGAAAATTATCAAGCCTATTACCATCCCATTAAAAGAAAACCCTAAAGTTAGTTGAAATAACAGAAAAAATGGTGAGTAGTAAGCAAAAATAAAAATAAACATTAGAATGTTGCCCTGGATATGCCTGCTACAGGAACAGACAAAGCACTGGGCCTGCTACAAGGGGAAGGAGTGAGATTCCCATACCAAGCAAAGGGCCCAAGTCAGTAGAAACTCCTAACATATGGCAGAAGCATATACGTATGTTTTAGGAAAGTACCCCAATTTAAGCCATTGGGAGTACCTAAGACGAAGAGCAACCAAGTCTGAGTCTATAATCTTAAAAATCAAATTTATATGAAAACAAGCCACCAGTCTGGGCAACAGAGCGAGACTCTGTCTCAACAACAACAAAAATCTCTATCCAGACAAGACAAAATAAAATTCACAGTCTACATGGGGTGGGAAGCCTCAAAATACAGTAAAAACTACAGGAAGAAATTGACAAATTGGCCATTGTTGTGGGTGATTTCAACACATCCCAATTAATCATAAGTCAAGCAGACAAAAAAAATAATAATGAACAAGCAGGATTTAATAACATCAACAGAACCTCATAACCAACTATCAGAAAATAAAAATTTTTCTCAGGTATTCATGAAACATGAGTGACAAACAAAAAAAATACACTGAAATATAATGAAAATCTCACTAAATTTCAAAAAATGTTCTAAGTTTCTGTCCGTAATACAATTAAGTTAAAAATCAGTAACAAAAGATAAATTTGAAAACTATAAATAGAATTTAAAAACACTTCTAAATATTTAGTGAATCAAAAGAAACCATGTTGGAAATTACAAAAAAAAAAAAAACAAACTAAGAACTGAAAAACAAAAATACCACATATAAAAATGTGTGGGAAAAGTTATACTTAGAGGCAAATTTATAGCCTTAAAGACATACTAGGAAAGGAAAGGTTGAAAACTGATGTGTTAGTAGGTCATCTGGTAAGTCTGAAAGAGAAAAATAGAACAAACCCAAAGAAAGGAGTTAATAAAGAGCAGAAACTAATGAAGTAGAAAGAAGGTAACAGAAAGGATCAACAAAGTCAGAGCTACTTCTTAGAAAACACTAAGATAAATAAATGTCTGATAAGACTAACGAAGGGGAAAAAAATGAAACAAAATAGGAAGCCCTAAAACAGACCAATGCATATAAGGACAAACCCACATAAAAGATGTAGCAATGCAGATCCATGAGAAAAGAGGGACACTTAAAGAAACCTGGAATTATCCATATGGAAAAAAAATGAAACTGGACCCCTACTGCACATCATATATAAAACCAATTCAAGATGGACCAATGACATAAATATGAAAGGGAAACAGTAGAACTTTTAGAATAAATTACAGCAGAAAACTATTGTTTTGTGTCCTCTCAGGATGGAAGGATTTCTTAAGAGACAGGGGCATACTAACCAAATAAGAAAAGTGTGAATATTCACTCCTGTAATCCCAGCACTTTGGCAGGCCAAGGCGGGTGGATCACCTGAGGTCAGGAGTTCAAGACCCGCCTGGCCAACACGGCGAAAACCTGTCTCTACTAAAAAAATACAAAAATTAGGCCGGGCGCGGTGGCTCACGCCTGTAATCCCAGCACTTTGGGAGGCCGAGACGGGCGGATCACGAGGTCAGGAGATCGAGACCATCCTGGGTAACACGGTGAAACCCCGTCTCTACTAAAAATACAAAAATTAGCCGGGCATGGTGGCGCGCGCCTGTAGTCCCAGCTACACGGGAGGCTGAGGCAGGAGAATGGCGTGAACCCGGGAGGCGGAGCTTGCAGTGAGTCGAGATCGCGCCACTGCACTCCAGCCTGGGCGACAGAGCGAAACTCCGTCTCAAAAAAAAAAAAAAAAAAAAAAAATACAAAAATTAGCCAGGCGTGGTGGTGGGCGCCTGCAGTCTCAGCTACTCAGGACGCTGAGGGAGGGAGAATTGCTTGAATCTGGGAGGTGGAGGCTGCAGTGAGCTGAGGTCACGTCACTACACTCCAGCCTGGGCAACAGAGCAAGACCCTGATTCAAAAAAAGAAAAAAAGGGTGAATATTTTGACTACACGGAAACTGAGACTTCTGTTCATCAGGACATCATAAAGAAAATGAAAAGATATGCCAGAAACTGGAATAAATTTGCGAAACAAAAAACTAATTAAAGATTAGTATTTAAACTACATATATAAGAATACTTACAAATAAGAAAAAGATAACACATTAGGCAAATAGGCAAAAGGCTTAACTGTAATTATACAGAAAAGGAGATTTCTAAGGCCAACAAACATGAAACAATGTTGAATCTCACTGCCCATCAGAGAAATACAAACCACACAGATGTCATTTTTAAATTCATTAGAATGGTAAAAACTAGGAATGTTGATAGTGCCAAATAATGGCAAAAAACATGCAACAGTGGTGGCTCTTATACACCGCTGGTAGGCGTTTTCAGATGGCAAAATCCTGTTGGAAAATAATTTGGCATTATCATTTAAAGCTAAACATTTGTATGCCCTTCAATGAGTAATTTTGAATTTTATAAAATTTTTTGTACCTGTGTACCAAGTATAAGCATTCTTCATAATAACAAAAAAATTGAAAAATACTCAGATGTCCATTGGTAGAAAAATGGTTACATAAATTAGCCTAACTCATACAATGGAGCATTATATAGTAGTGAGAACGAATGAACTACAGGTAGGGGCGGTGGCTCATGCCTGTAATTCCAGTGCTTTGGGAGGCTGAGATGCCTCCCAAAGGTGGATCCCAAGGTGGATCACTTGAGGTCAAGTTCAAGAACAGCCTGGCCAACATGGTGAAGCCTCGCCTCTACCAAAAAAAAAAAAAAAAATACAAAAATTAGCCAGGCGAGGTGGCAGGTGCCTGTAATCCCAGCTACTCAGGAGGCTGAGGCAGGAGAATTACTTAAACCCGGGAGGCAGAGGTTGCAGTGAGCTAAGATCTTGCCACTGCACTCCAGCCTGGGCAACAGAGAAAGACTCTGTCTCAAAAAAAAAAAAAAAAAAAAAAAAAAAAGAATGAATATAGCTATAAGCAATACCATGAATATATCTAAGAAAAAGAACAAGTAAGTAGAAAAGAAAAAAGACAGATGAGTTCTGAGCATTAACACCTTCTTCTCAGTTCTGTCTCCAAGATTTAACATTCTACACTGAAGTCATGAAGAAATTCTTCCAACTCCTTATGACAAAGAAGAAATGAATTATTTTGATGGTTATCATGACCTCATCTTTTGTTATTCATTTCCTTTGAAAACACCATGATTCCATGATTGAAAAAGAAATCCAGAAATGTGGGGTACTGTGGATCCTGAGCCTCAAGAGTTTGTCCAACGAACAATTACAGAAGCCCAGTAAAGAACTGCTAAGGTCCAAACAGCCAACAAATAACAAGCTGTCAGTCTTCCAAGGAGTACTCTATGAATCTTATGGAAACATTTCTGCACACAATAAAGAAACTAGTGTACAGAAATGTTTACTTGTCTATGATACAGCAATAACTACAGAGTCCAAAAATAAGTCTCCACAATTATTTTCTGGTTATAAATTTGAATTTGCCTACTGAGATATTTCTGTCTATTTTTATGTCTGCTCAAACATCTTTTATGATGTTTAAATGTTTTCCTTGAAATGTATAAAGATTTGTAAATCAGATTTTCTTCTATAATAAAATACCATATGTGCAAGCTTTAAAAAGCCTACAAACATGATTATGAAATTCAAATCAAACAATCATATTTGTGGTATTTTAAAAAGAAAAGATGGAAACAAGTTCAGGATAGCACTTACTTTAGGGGCTGGGAAAAGGTAAGAATATGGAATCAGAGAGGTTTTCACAGCTCTTTAACCATATTGGGATTGATCTAGTTCTTCAGCTGAGCAGTTGGTTCCCAAATGTTTTTTATTATTGACTTGCATATGTTACATATTATCTGGTACACTCAAATTACATGGGTTTTTTTTTTAATTTAAAGAATGTATGGAAGGCACGGAAGTAGATACAGTAAAGTATAAATCACTAACTCATCAAGTGTAATTACTGGGGCCTGTGATGCAAAAGAAGGACAGATACAGCTTTCAGACAGCATTTAGTCTTCCAAGAAAAAGACACTTCTTCCTCTAGGCAGTAAATGAGGGATTTAAGGATAGGTGAAGATATTGATTCATATGGAGGTAGATTAAACAAAAATCAAAGAACCTTATTAGGGAATTAAACAGAAAGATAACTACTGAGAATAAAGGCAAGAGGCATAGATTACTTATTTGAGAAGAATCTTAAAAGTTTACAATACTGTGCAAACTGGGGAACAGTGCCAATCAGGTAAAAAACTATTCACTTTACTACATGAAACTTTCTCTGTACCCTGATCCCCACCCCCAATCTATTTTTCTCTTTATTCTATATAAACCCTTTCATATCACCCAATCCCCAGACTCAAGAGCACATGTTCTGGTAAGCAGTAACTGCAAATTTAAACTAAAACCATGAGAGATAGTTAAAAAATGATACCATCTTGCCTTAAAAGTGAAGAGATACAGCAAATAAAATTATCAATTTCAACAATTATTCTCCGCACTTCATTTAATAAAGTTGTATGACACTTAAAAGATAAGGTACTGTCATATATTCTCCCATCTGAGCATTACAGTAACACTGTGTGAGGAGGGAGGCACTCTGTCTATCTTAGAGATGAGAAAACTGAGCCTCAGGAGTATTAGAAGTCTATAGCCATATTTTTTATGACAACGTATTACTAGGTCTACATAATTAACTATCAAAATGTATGAAGTCTGACTATTAATTATAGTCTTAGTTTTAAAAAAATTGTTAACCACTTACTATGTATCAGGAACTGCTAGACACTGGGGATACAAAGATGAGTAAGACACGATTCCCTCTTTCAAGGAGCTCATAGTCTGTGAGGAGACAACCCTGTAAACAAATAAATAGCTTTCAGTGTGATAATTCCTAAAATAGATGCAAAAGGTAAAGTACTACATCTGGGGCACACAAGAGAAAGTAGATAATCCAGCCTTCAGGGATCAAGAAAGGGATCACAGAGAAGATAACCTCTGAGAGAACTGCGTCTTGAAGTGTGTAATTCTTCAAGAGAGAATTACAGAAAGAACGGCACATCCAGAGAACTGCTTGCATAGTGGACAATGGAACATAAGGACAGTGTAACGTGATCAGGCAAACAGAGAGGGTCTAAACTGCATAGGATCCTATGGAATAGTTTATATTGTATTTAAAATATACCATGCATAGTACTTTAAAGTTTATCCTGATGGTTTCAGTGATGAGAATTGCATTTTGGAAAAATAACTTTGGAAGCTCTGGGGGTTAGATTTAAGATAGTGAGCTTATCTGAACTAGAGCATTGGCACCATGAAAGAAAAACTCAGGATACATATAAGGTCTTTGACCAGATGACTATAGGATGGCTGAGGGTTACAAAAAAACAAGAATCTGAAAAACTAAAATTTCCCACTTCATTGTCTGAGTGGATGATGGTTCCCTAACCAGGATAGAGAGAAGAGTAAGATTATTTGAATTTCATTTCCAGTTCTGCCACTTAAGAGCTGTATGACCAAGTTAACTTTTCCATGGCTCATTTCCTGTAGCAGTAGAATAGGAAAAACAAAGTCATCTATCTCATGTTACAATGTGAATTAAATGAGATAATACATGTAAAACACTTAGCACTTAGAGTATATGACACGAAGTAAAGACTCAATAAAGATGACTTATTGTTTTTATTGTGGGAGAAGGAGGTTAAATATACAAGTTTCATTTGGATATGCAGTTCAAAAGAAAATTGCTAACAACCAGGTGTAATAGACAGCTAGTTAGAGAAGCATGCAGTTGAGGAAACAGGTCCATGGAGAAGAAACATTTGGGAGTCACGGTTTATGTAAGTGGTATTAACTTCCATGGAAGACAATGGGCTTGTTCACAGTGGAGATATTTTGGAATAAATGTTGAACAGAATGAGAGAGTGCTGATCAAATTCTGCTGAGCCGTATTAATACTGTGCTTATCACAAGCCCTCAGGGACAACAATCTGCATAGTGGTATGACTTTTATCAAGTTGTCCTTGGTCCCCAGGATATGAGAAGACAGAAAAACTATATGATCAATTTAGGTTCAGCAATTTAGAAAGCAGGGTTGGCAAAAGAAAAAACAAAGTCTGAGTTTTAGGTCATAATCTATGCTCAGAGGGTATGGTCAGTAATATCTAAGCTGATTATGTTAGTCCAACCCTTTGAAAATCCCACAGAATTGTATAAAGGTTCACTATTATTCAACTGCAAAGAACAGAAAAAAGTCCTGAATGTAGATAATAAACGACATTTCCAGTACTCTTAGGTTATAGATCTATCAAATCCTCATTTAGAAGGCATATCTTAATTGCCTGCTTACTTCAAAATGTCTTTCTCAAGTCAGAAGCAAAATTGTGAAAGAAAGAAAGAGAAAGAAAGAAAGAAATCCAATTAGAATAGATCTGATTCATTCTGCACACTCTGCAGTGTTAAGACTTTGAAAAGTCAAATAAATGCTGTCACATATCTATGTGCCTGGATCAATTAACAAACATACTTATTGGCTGCCTAGTTTATAAAGTGGGTATGGCAAGGATACAGAAATGGTAGAAGACAAAGTCCTGGCTTCAATACTGAGTCTAATTTTGAAGACAACACTAATACACAAGAAAAAAACTCAGTAACAAGATAGGATGATATGTAACAGAGCAGTTTAGTTCAATAAATGTGGAACCTAAAAGGTTAGAAAGCCTGCACTTAGGCAAAGCTATTTTATCAAGCACCAAATTTAAAACTCAATGAATGTGGCAAAGATAAAAATGGATGAACCATGCAGTCTCCCCCCTCAATAGAGCAACTCCAAAGCATAAAATAAATATTTCATTAAAATGTAAACTACAAAATAGAGGACTTAATTTTAAATTAAATTATATATACGAATATAGTAATATTACTTCTACATAGAAATACTGGTCATTTCAATGAATTTATAAAATGAAAGAGTAAACAGGAGGGTGACCAACTCGTCCCAGTTTGCTCAGGAGCATCAGGTTTTAAACTTGCATCCTGGGAAACCTCTCAGTTCTGGCCAAACTGGGATTTTTGATAATCCTAGTGAACAGTGTAATGGCTCTAACTGCCTAGACAGCTCTCTTGATGTATCTCAAAGAAACTTTTCTAGTGGAATCCTGTTATAAAAATATAATTCTGTTAGATTTTTCATTTCCATGTGACCTGCAAATTCAGAAAGGAAAAACCAATTTGATAGGAACTACTCATCACTAAGGCTCAAAATCATATCACTGGAACTACATGTCAGGAGAAGGGAAGAGGGAAGAGTAAGAGGCTTTCTCAATACCCAGGGTCTTTTAGCCCTCCGAATCATTTACTTTTAACAGACTCTCTGTCCATATCATCACCACTGATCTCCCTAATCAAAGACATTTCCAACTAGTGCTACTGTTCTTCCCTGGCCCATGCCATCACCCATCATCCCCATGCCATCATACCCCAAGCCATCACAGCCTCTGCATCTATGCCAACAACTCACCCTTCCTGTATCTTGCTGATCTCCATTCCATTCACTAGCTCATATGGCCCCATCCTGAACTTGATGGGTCCTATTCTTCCCACAATCTCCCACTAGGAATCTCTACCACTGCACTCTTCCCTTAGAATTGGTCTGCTTAACTCAGGAACTACAGTCTCTCCAGCACTCTCCGGCATCCCTTCACTGTAGGGGACCTACTGGCAATGTCATTAATACTTTACATTTGCGAAGCACTTCATAGTTTCAAATTTTCACATACGTTATGTCAAGAAAACAGGCTAAGTACAATTGTTTCCAATTTTACCAGTGCCACGTTAATATCACTTTTCACTTCTATCTCCCATTGGGCTTTTCTTCCCAGGTTCTGTCTTTATTGTGCCTTTCTCTCTCCCTTCAAATAAACTTGGTGTTCTCAATGTATACATCTAACTATTTGGGAAAGAAGCTATGTGATTTCTTTTAAAGCTTTTTATATATAAATAGAGACAGGGTCTCACTATTTGCCCAGGCTAGTCTTTAACCTCTGGCCTCAAGTGATCCTCCCACCTGGGCCTCCCAAAGTGCTGGGATTACAGGCATCAACCACTGTGACCCGCCAAAAAATTAAAGCTTTCTTGTCCACACTTGACCTCTCCCTATATCACTGATTGATCCATTCATATTCAAAACACAAGAATGCCCCTCTCCTGATAACTTACAAGTGTGCTGCAGAGTAAAACAGAATAGCACTTCTGAGCTGTACCATTCCAGTGATTTGAAGAGTACTTGCAATATCTACCAGACAAATAACAAATAAACATGGAATCTACAGGTACCTTTTAGCCTCTGACTTTAATTTGGGTGTTTATTTTAAACACCCAATAAATGTGGAACCTAAAAGGTATTGAAGCCTAAAAATGCCTATCTAACCACAGAATCTAATAACTTCGACTATCTTCCCTCCATCTTTCTGTATTTTTAGTCAATTTCAAAGTTCCTTTCAGTGCACAATATATGGCCCTTTAGGAAGTATTTCTATGAGAAAAATGTATTTTTCTTCAAAAGGCCCAATTTCCTAAGTTAGTATGAATACCCAATTCTTACTATTCGTTATCACCCAATTTCAGATTTTCAACCAGAGGGAGTTAATACATTAATTTTTAATTAACGTTAATACATAGATTTTTTTCTGAGCCTTTTGGTTCTGTTTTCTCTTACTCTCTAATTTTTACATCTTCTTTTCCAGTAACATAAATCTAGTCCTTGTTTCTTGACTTTTCTTTTTCAGATATATCTCACATCTCCCCTATCATAAATGCACTCTCTTCCTATTTTTCAGCCACTTCATTTTCTTATAGAAAGTGAGTTTCTACTCAATTGTATTTTTAATTTTTAATTTTACTTTATTTTCTCTCTTTCTTTCTTTCTCTCTTTCTTCTTTCTCTCTCTCTCTCTCTCTCTCTCTTTCTTTCTTTCTTTCTTTCTTTCTTTCGAGGCAGGGTCTCACTTTTGTCGCCCAGGATAGAGTGCAGTGGCATAATCATGGCTCACTGTAGGGTCTAACTATTGGACTCCTGCTATCCTCCTGCCTGAGACTCTCAAGTAGTTGACACTACAGGCACGCACCACCATGCCTGGTTAATTTCTTTGTTTGTTTTTTGTAGAGATGGGGTCTATGTTACCCAGGCTGGTCCAGAACTCCTTAGCTCAAGTGAGCCTCCCACCCCAGACTCCCAAAGCACTGAAATATTTTTTATTTTTAAAGATTTATTCCTCTCAAACAATTACACAGAAAACTCTTCTGCTTTACAGTACATTACCTCAAAATTTACCTCTCATTAACATGTATAATGTAAGCAAAACATATTCTTACATTAAAATGCACCATACATATCACAGTTTTGAGTATGAAGCACCAAATCTTGATTTTTCTGTAGATTCCCTTTTTAATGCCAATTTTAACCATTTCTAAGCTATATGAAAGCCTTGTTCTCAAAATTATTCTATGACCCACCTACTCTAAACTATTAGTTACATAATGAATACAAATTTATTTCTCTCCCTCAAAGCAACCAACACATAAAATTCACTTTATTTACAGAAATTCAAGTCCAATAGCTAGTGAAGCTATTTAACTCAATTCTCTTTTCATTCTCATTAATTCTAATCAAGTACATTTTTGAGTACTTTAAATTCCATCTATGTCCTTGCCTTCTAAATAGCCCTGCATCACAGCAAGGCTTCAGTCACACCAGAAAATATGATCAGAGCAATTTAATGTGCTCTTCTTATCAGGGTTCTTGTCCCAATTAATGAGAAAAGTTACAATTACATACCCAAAGCAAAACTAACTAACCACCCTTTCAAGGAAAATGTGTTTCACGTACACTACTTTTGTCATTTTAGTGACAAAGCACTAAAAATACTTCCTGGCACAGAATAAATACCTAATAAATAAAATCAGCAAGACCACAGACAAATTTCTTTTTTTTTTTTTTTTTTTTGAGATGGAGTCTCACTCTGTCACCCAGGCTGAGTACAGTGGTGCGATCTCGGCTCACTGCAACCTCTGCCTCCCAGGTTCAAGTGATTCTCCTGCCTCAGCCTCCTGAGTAGCTGGGGCCACAGGTGCCCACACCCGGCTAATTTGTTTATTTTTCGTAGAGACGGGGTTTCACCATGTTGGCCAGGCTGGTCTTGAACTCCTGACCTCAAGTGATCGGCCCACCTCGGCCTCCCAAAGTGCTGGGATTACAGGAGTGAGCCACCATGCTCGGCCCATAGACATATAATTTAACCTCTTTCAGTAGCCTTTGTTAAAAAAAAACTTATGGGAAGCCATTGTTTTTGGACTAAGCTCCTGCACTAGGCCCCAAAAGACCAGACCAAGACAAAATGAAGCCACCCATGCTAAATGCCACATAATCAAACTAAAAGTTCAAGGAAGCAGACAGTTAAAGCAGACCAGCAGACCAGCTTTCCCTAAAAACAGGTAACAGTCTGACTGAGTCAACATAATAAGGAATTCCCCTCTGCTTTAATCCTTACAAAAAAGTAACCTGACATTAACCAGTCAGCTTTTTTTGTTGTTGTTTCCTCGTCCCCATCTCACAAAACCCAGTGTTCTGCCACTACCCAGCAGAAGTTCTCATTCCATATTGTAGAATGGAGACTGCCCCATTCATGGATCATGAATAAAAGCCAATTTGATCTGTAACTAAATTTGTGATAATTTTGTTTTTTGATACCTTCAAGGTAAGATTATATAAGCACTTTATGAATTATCGAGTACTATATAAATGCTAAATTATTAAGCATGAGAAAAATATTAAATAATATTAAATACGAGAAACAATTTTCAATAATGAAAGTTAAATAATGCATTTATAGAAAAATGCAGATAGTCCTGCTATATTTATCTGATTTGTATCTGTTAATTCTAAACACTGAGGTGCTTTTGAGATACTAATCCCAGCTTTTATTTTAAATAATTTCTGATGTAAATTTCTGTAAAAAGACACTACACTCGATCTTGTCTAGCATTGAGTCCTTGAAATTAAATATACCCTCCTACTTTCTGAAGTGGTATACCTACACACTGTCATCTTCTAGGATAATGCCTTCCCTCCCTTCTCCTCCCTCATTTAAACCCTCCTTTTTTGGTCATCAAACAGATTTGGGGCTCATGTACTACTTAAAATAAACAAGAGCAACAAGAAAAAGGGAGAAAAAAATTCCTTTGATGAACTCACTTCCTAAAATAATGATGTCTAAGCTTGTCACCGATTCTTCTACCCTTGCAATTTGGTTGCTGCCCTCACCACTCTACTGAAATATTTCTGTTCCCCTTCCAAGGCCAAACAGTGGCCACCTTACACCTACTTTCTCCTGGACCTGTCTGCACCATAAGACTACAATTCAATCACTCAATAAACACTGATGTGGCCTCCATTCTCTCCCTGAAAAATACTGACATAAGCCTCTAATTTAATCTTTCTAGTATATCAATTTACCATGTGAAAAAAAAAAAGGTGATCAATAATCAAAGAAACTAGGCATTAGGCATTTTAACAATTTTTTGAATGAAGTTTTCCAGTATATATATATATATATATATATATATATATATATATATGCCTTGTATATATATATGCCTAGTATATATATACATATGCCTAGTGTATATATATATGCCTAGTGTATATATATATGTGTGTATATATGTGTATATATATGTGTGTATATATGTGTGTATATATATGTGTGTGTATATATATGTGTATATATATATGTGTGTATATATATGTATATATATATATATATACACACACACACTAGGCATATTTTCAGGTAATATATTAAACACTAGAAATATAAAAGCCATATAAAATATGCTCTTTGCTCTCAGTGAGTTTAAAATTTAGTAGCAGAAACAGACACGTGACTCAATTTTAAGTTCATTGACAGAAAGGGGTGTGCAGACAGTAACTACAGAAGAACAAAAGCACCTTAATATTATTTGGAGGTAAGAGGTAAAGAGTTGTCAGGAAAGAATTCTGAGAAATGGTAACAGTTGAGATGAGTTGTGGAGGACTCCAATGCAGCAGCTGCACATACAAAAGGAAAGAAGTGGAAAGGAAAGACATGCTTTCAAGGCATTCTGTGCCCAGAGAGGTGAGATGACTAACATAAGCAGGTTAAAAAGTAGTTCTGTTAGGAAGGGTATGGGGAGAGAAATCTAAGAGACAAAACTATTAAGGCAGAAAGAAGCTATAGCATGAAGAATACCAGGAAAGCCATACAGAACCACTACATTTTCAGCAGAGAAGGAATATATGTGTATTTTAGAAAAACCCCTTTGACAGTGTTGTAAGGGTAGCCTGAAAGTAGTCTAGGCAGAAAATGGCCTGAAATTAGGGGAAAGAGAAGAAGCAGCAGAGGTATTGAGGAGCAGAATCTATAAGTGGTGGACTACTGAGATGCAGGGGTAAAAGAAGGGGATATGTTAATATGTCCCAGATTTCTGCCTAGGCCAATTACTTCTTACCATCACTACCACTACAACTCTTATCTCCAAGCCCATAATTTCTCATCCAAACTAAGCACAGCTTGCTAAATGGTCTTCCTGCCCCACTCTTCACTCCCAACCTAGATCCATCCTCTACCCAGCACAGTGATCCTTCTAAAGCAGGATACATGAAGGTAACTCTGTTTCCAACGTTCTCTCATTTTAACTACAATAAATCCAAACTCATAAATGCCTATGTGATCTGTTGCCCCACCTCTTCCTTCTCCTCTTTATCTATTCCTGACATTCCTCAACCTAATTACCCTGAATGCTGCAAAGGAGCCTTTGCATTCACTGCTCCATCCAATCAATAGTCCTTTGGCTGCCTTCTCAGTCTTAGAACTCAACTTATATATGATCTCTTCAGAAAGAATTCCTGATCACCATAGGCCAACTCTAGCACCTTGCCCTATTTTATCTGTCCTAGTAATTCTCAATTACAGACGTTCATATATTTTGTCCTCTCACTTCTATCCATACCCCCAACTCTGCAAGGTAAGATCCCTGAGGACAGAGACTATCTTATTTACCATTCTATTCCTAGAACCTACGCCAGAGTCTGGCTGGGGAAAGGCCCCCAATTAATAGTTACTGACTGAGACACAGCACAGCAAAGAGATATATTCTGGAGGCAAAGGTGTGCATGGCATCCTATGAGCAAAGCTTGAGAGTAAACTGAAAGCCAGCCATGCTGTGACAGGTACCCACTCAGGAAAGGCCTACTGCATAGGGGGCAGAACCTAGGTAACCCCAGGACTAACAGTCTGGACAGCAGGCAGGAACTATGAAAAGGGGTGAGGAAAACCAAAAGAAAACTTCAAGGAAGAATTTCAAGGAGGAGGAAACAGTGACCAACTCCACCAAGGTAAGATCAGTAAAAAGAGCAAATTGTTTACTGAACAATGTGAAAGTTACGAGGCCCTTAGCAAGAGCAATTTTCATGGAAAGGTAGGACCTGAAGCCTGTGGCTTACCAAGCAAAAAAAACCACCAGAAACTTATTTTCAGATGATTTTGACTATCAAAGAGAAACATAAGCGTAAAAGATGTTTAGAGGATTGGTTTGGTTTGGTTTTTTGTTTTTTTTTTGAGACGGAGTCTCAGTCTGTTGCCCAAGAGAAACAGAAGCGTAAAAGATATTTAGAGGATTGTGTTTTTTTTTTGTTTTTTGTTTTTTGTTTTTGAGAGGGAGTCTCACTCTGTTGCCCAGGCTGGAGTGCAGTGGCGCAATCTCAGCTCACTGCAAGCTCCACCTCCCGGGTTCACGCCATTCTCCTGCCTCAGCCTCCTGAGTAGCTGGGACTACAGGCGCCCGCCACCACGCCCGGCTAATTTTTTGTATTTTTAGTAGAGACGGGGTTTCACTTTGTTAGCCAGGATGGTCTCGATCTCCTGACCTCGTGATCCGCCCGCCTCCGCCTCCCAAAGTGCTGGGATTACAGGCGTGAGCCACTGCGCCCGCCGAGGACTGTTTTTAATGATGAAAGAGAGTATTATTTACAGGCAAGCAGAAGCTGTAGTCATTCACTGATGATGATCACTAACACAAGATCCCTGAGAAGGCAGAACTGGCTGAGATTAAACACAGGTATAGACAAAACCGCTCTTACTCTGAGATTTGGAAGAGAAAAGAATGCTTATCTTTGAAAATGTCTGGAAAGAAAGTTAAGGAAATGTTACCTAATGTCTCCAATTTTCTCGGTGAAGTAGGAGACACTCTTTGGGGCACTGGGAATACAATGGTCAATGAGAATAGACAAAATTCCCTGTTTTACCAGGTATGTGACTAAGGTAAGGAATTTGAGGCAGACAGAGGAGAAACTTGGGCCCAGCTGAGTAATGGCACCAATCCCCATAGGCAAGACTTTTCTTCCAGCTCATTTTAATAGTTCATGGTTAGAAACAATGAAACTGTTAGAGTTGTTTATAGCATAGGTTCCAGAAGAGAAAGGGGTACACTCCAACTATTATCAAACTGGTCCTGGTCATTCAAATCGATTATTTATACACACTCCCTCTCTTACCTCCATTCATTAAAATTTAGGTAGAGAAAAAAAGATGATTCTCCAGAAGAAAAGTTCACTATTCACACATATTTCTAATTCATTGCCAATTGTCCCCAATCTGGCTGCATGGCAGAATCACCTGGGGACTGTGTTGGGCATTCTAGGTGATTCTCATACAGATTTGGATACCAACGACTTCCCACATGTTTCTCCCACTACTCTTCTCCTTCATTTCTAATCATCTGTCCGCTCAGGTGTCATCTCTCCAGTTTTGAACTAGTTGCTATTTGTCTTCAGAGCACTCTAACCATGTTTTTTTCTCTATCTCTCCCGTTACACTGTTAAAGTCTTTATTATCAAGCTTCATTGTAATTCCAGCCTCTAGCCCAATGTCTGGCCCCTACTAAATAATAAATGGGCCAGTCATGGTGGCTCATACCCATAATCCTAGCACCTTGGGAGGCCAAGGTGGGTGGATTAATTGAGCCCAGGAGTTCGAGACCAGCCTAGGCAACACGGTAAAACCTTGTCTCTACAAAAAAATAGAATTATATATACCCAAAATAAAGGAAATTAAAAAAAAACAATAGCTGGGTGTGGTGGTGCATTCTTGTAGTCAAGAGGCTGAGGTAGGACAATCACTTGAGCCTGGGGAACTTGAGGCAGTGGTGAGTTGTGACGGCACCACTGCACTCTAGCCTGGGAGACAGAGCTAGACCTTGTCTCCAAAGGAAAAAAAAAAAAACTCCTCAATAAATGTGTATTAAATGAAGATACACAGATACACAATTAATAAAACAACATATTATTATGTTAACTGCTAAGACAACAATAAAAGATGGCTAGAGTGGTTAGGTTAAGAAAATACCTATATAGCATAGAACTGAAATTTTACATTAAAATATCATTAAGAAAATACTATGCAAGTGGGACAATACCCACCTACATCCTCTCCCATCTCTGCCCTAATCTAAGATTCAAGTCCATGCTCACCTCACCAATATTTCATCTCCACAGCCCAAAACAAATGCTCAATAGAAAAACGTCCAATACAAAAGTAAAGGATCTAAAATGCTAGTTTGACTTATTAAATACTCAAAGAAACAAAAGAATATAAGAGAGAAGCTTATTACACTTGGATACTCCCCGACCTTAATTAAACATTCCAAACACTTTAGAAGTCATATGCTAACCCCCAAACTATCAAACATTAGACCCCAAAAGTTTAAGGACAAGATGGCTTCTTGGAATACAACACAAATTTTCCCACAGAAACATTGTGACAAATGGTGGTAGGATACCAACACCAAGCCGTGAAAGCCCACTGGTACTGTAACAGCCAAATTGTTAATACTTTACAAGGAAAACTATCGTTCCATGGAGGTATGTCAGGGCTTCCACCAATACTTATTTGTGTGCATATACACTGTTCCTGCAAAATCAAAGCAAAATTCTGAAATAAATTGCTGAGACTAAAAAACAGTACCTAAATCCCTTTGCATGATGCCTAACACAAAACAAATTATAGCTACTTTTATCCAGAATCCCTGATATTAAACTTTTGTCATCAAAACAGCTTTATTTATCTCACTGAATACTAAATTCCAAGAATGCCAGGGCAAGTCCTCGCCACTGTATCCAGCTTGCCTCCCTCAAAGCTTGGCATACTGGAAGTGTTTAATACATATTTGCTACTGAAGAATACTTAGTGTCAACCAAATGCCCAAACAACTAAGTAAATACGAGCAGTAAAACCAAATGGCCTATTTATTCTAGATGCTCTTTTAAATGAACCATCATACTTTTCATACTGATTTTTTTCCCCTTAAAGTTATCATCAAAATGAAAAGAGTATTTGGCTGTTAGCAGTCATATAAAAAAAGAAAAAAGTGTAAAGACTCATGTAGAAAATATCCCTCCAAGAGTCATCAGTTTAGAAAACACTGTTTTAGACAACAAACAGTTCTATATTAAATGGCTGAGTGAGATGGGGCATCTAAACCTCACTCGGCCTCAGTTTTCTTATTAAATGAGAATTGGAACATAGAACATATTGATAATTTTTAGCTTAGAATTACTTCACTGAAAATAGTGCATATTTCATGAAAATATGAAATACACAGAAACCATCCATAATTATTATACCAACCTCAGAATGATTTATACAATTATTTTCCTCAAATAGACTTTTATAAAGTTGCAATCCTTGTATACAAACCATTTTATTTTCTGTTCTCCACCCCTATTTACAGTAAAAAGCTATCCATTACAAACTAGACGAAGTCGTTGGCCAACATCAGAGAACAATTTAATTTATGCTTACAGTTGTGGAAACAACCTTGCAACAATATTCTAGAAGGCCACAAGGTGGTGATGTTGCACCATAAAAAGAACCTTTAAAAAATATTAAAATAGATTACACCAACTTCCCCAAAATGAAATTGACAGCTTTCCTCCATTGCAGGAAAGGATATCAGTTACTATGTTTACTAGAAAACATTAGAAAGAAAAGACAATGTATTCATCAAACTTAGCAGCAACTATTCCAATTTTTAACCTAAGCAGCTATGGACCTTTAAAAGACAGACAAAAACATAGGGCTTTCTTTGGCATCGTTACTCTATTATGTCAACAAAAGATAAACCTAAATGGTATCAGTACAGTACTGAGAATGAGGTAGTTTTTTTCTTTTAATTTGCTATAATTTCTCAGTTTGTTATACAATATTATGTTTGCATATTATACCAAATACCAAAGATTTTACAGTAAAAAAAAATATATATATAAATATATATATGCGTGCATTTGATAAGTTTTTCCCCTTACCCTAGTGAACATCAGAAAACAGGTTTCCCACTCCTATACTGCATGTTTCTGAAGAAAATATGATTCTAAGAACATTAAAACTTGGGTTCCAAACTTACAGAATCAACATAAGTTAACATATAAAAAGAGATGTGTATATACTTGCTAGGCAGAAAGGTAAGATGATAAAGCCCAAGACTTCATACACTTAGGTGGGGCACCTGAGTGATGCAGAAAACACAGCCAGTCTTAAAACACGGAACCTGAACCAGGCCTCTGACTCCAAAATATAACAACAGCAGCAAACATTTACTGGGCTCCTATTATATGTCAGTCACTTTACAAAAAAATTATCTCTAACATTATCAATTATCCATTAGAGTCATCATTATTAGTCCCATTAACAGATAAGAAAAATTAGGTTGAAGTAAATTGCCCAGGGCCATGAAACTAGTAAGTCTGAATTTGAAGCCAGATTTCCTTGGGCTCAAAGCTAATGCTCTTTTCACTACATACGCACTGCAGAAACAAAATATAAAATAAGAAGTGCTGAGCTAACCCATGCCTTAAAATGAGAAGTTTGCTGTATCAATCTGAAGTTACTATTCTCTTATCAACTAAAGCTTACGTCAGGTGGTTTTGTGGGCTGTTAAGCTAGCCTTTGAAAATACCTTTCCTTAAGGTTAAAAGAGAAAGAACAATTAATCGTAAAAAGATAAGTGTGTAAAAGTATAAGCACATAAACAATGGAGTAGGTAAGCTGTTAGAGATCATGTTTAACACATAATTTCCACGTATTCTGGGAAAGCATTCAGGACAACATGACATTCTCACTCTATGAAGATCAAACTTCAGTATAATCTCTTATTTCAAAATGACACAAACATTTCCATAAGTAATTGGTCACTTTATTCAAACTGATATTTTAATAGTATATTTGCTTAACGACTTTTTTCCTTAAAATTCAAAAATTTTTAATATTTTGGCATTCTTGAAATACACATACTTGCTGCATTTATGAAGCAGCACAAAGCAGAGTCATGGAGCTGAGCTGAGGATGAGAGGTGATTAAGAGAATTACTCAGAAACACAGAGCTTCTTAATGGCAGGCCAAACCCAGAACTGCTGATGAGACTAGCACTCTTCTACACTGTGCTCATCATCAGGATATCATTACTCAAAGTTATGTTCACCTCAAAACATCTCCTGATTGTTTCTTAATACATTAAGAATTCTAATTTATCAGCATTTAAGCAGCCATGGAGATGTCCTAACTCTTCAATTCCAAAGTGCCAATTTTAAGTTTGAGAAGAGCACATTTTGGTAATGTAATGCAGAGAACAGTTTTCAAGTCGGACAGACCTACATGCAAACTTCAACTCTATTTGTGCATATTTAACCTGAGTCTCAGTTTTCCTGTCTGTCAAATGAGGATAATAACACCAAATTAATATAGTATTGTGAGGGTTTTTTTAAAAAAAGGTGTTAATATTAACTGTGGGAAAGTGGAACTCTTTCTAGAATCAGGAATAAGAAGGTGCCCAATAATAGTTAATTTCCTAACCCCATCCCACCCTGATCACCACCACTCTAACCACACTCTCAACTACTCTAAGGCACAAAAACTCTCAATATTTTTCTTCCATACTTCCACAACAATATAGAGAAAAGTAGGTAAAGAAAGCCCCTCACACACCTGCAGTAAGGATTAGAAATTACATTTAAGAACTTGAAAGGAATACAGTACTGCCACATTTTGTTATAAATACAAAATTTCAAGATATTTTCAAGTTATTCATGTAATAGATACACAATGTTAATTCACTATTTACAAATACTCTTCCTAAGCATTTTAAAGCATGCCATAAAGGATAAACTTTCATCAGATATTCCTCATTCTTAGAGGAAAGTATTAGAATCCAAAATACAGGGACACAATCCTTTATCCACTGACCCAAAATGCAAAAAGCTAAAAAAAAAACTGAAAGTTCATTTAGCAACAAAATCTGACCTGATGTGTGGCTATTTATTAACCTTACTTATCCACACACAAGCATTTGCCAAACAAACTACAGGCACTGCCCTAGACTTTACTGCAGTTTTATTTAACAGCATATGGAATGGATTACCTTTCCAAAATTCAAGAAAATTCTGAAATAGATCTGACATCAATGAGAAGGTATTATAGACCCAGCCTAGTGAATATGTACTGAAAACTAAGTGCCAGGTTTAAGTCACACAAGAAACCCATGAATTGGGTATATTATTCTCAGTTTACATATGATAAAACTAGGGCTTAATCTGAAGTTAACTTAAACAGTAGCACTCAGCCCATGGGTGCCAACACCCAATTCTAGGTTTGTCTTACTTTATTTAAGGCCCGAGCTCTAAATAGCCAATACGTTAATGGAAAAATTAAATCACAAAGAAAGTTTTAAAACAAGTTACAATTACCAAAATTTTTAACCTAGAAAAATGGTATTCCCAAGTATAATATATACGTTCTGTTCGGTATTCACTTGTAAACATCGACACAATATTTCACAGGGCATAGACAAAAAGAGATGGCTGTTGTTTTTCCTCAAAAGAAAGGGCTCAAAGAGACAGTGAAAACAAACAGATACAATAGGCTTCTCATGGCCAGGTGCCTTGGCTCAAGCCTGTAATCCCAGCACTCTGGAAGGCCAAGGCAGGCGGATCACTTGAGGTCAGGAGTTCGAGACCAGCCTGGCCAACATGGTGAAACCCCCATCTCTACAAAAATTAGCCAGCAGGTGTCACGTACCTATAATCCCAGCTACTTGGGAGGCTGAGGCAGGAGAATTGCGTGAACCCAGGAGATGGAGGTTGCAGTGAGCTGAGACTGCACCACTGCACTCCAGCCTGGGCAACAGAGTGAGACTCCGTCTCAGAAGAAGAAAAAAAAAACAATAGGCTCCTCAAAAAGAAATGCAAACTAATCCTTTCTACTCAAATTGAGAAAAAATAAATCATGGGTTTGGCATATTTTTGACCACAAAATTACTAACATAGCAACCTATGTTTATTTCAACCATATTTTTAGGTTTTTCCAGGAAAAAAGATCTACTCTTCTGATGACAGGATCAGATTTTGGATCCTGCTGGTCACAGGACTGAGGAGGGTTTAAGTGAAGTAGCCCGTAGGTGTCATCACTTTGGCCCTAAATAACAGTTAGAGATTAGCTTGAAATTTGTTTTGTTTCTTTCATTAATTTAAAATTCAAACCTTTTCTCATGACTTTCCAAGTCAACGCCCTTACCCTAAGCAAAAGCTTTTCCCTATAAGAGACACATCATGCCCCCAACCAACCTACTTTCTAGTCAAAAGACCAAATTCCAAATTTGACACATTTCAGTCAAAAATCTCTATTTTTAAGTGGCTTACCTTAGCTAAGTGAAAAGCAATCAGACTATTTAATAATGAATCATAACTTCTAGCTTAACTTTTAGTAGGCATTTTTTAAAAAGAATTAGCTTCACTCAAAATAATTTCTGCTTTTGTAGAAAGAAGTACGGAGGAAATGTTTTGAACAAGGAAGCCTAATGGACATCTCTTTGCAGTATCATTTCTCTTGCCTACTCCTCACTGTAATCACCCTGTATCAAGTTTCTAGAGTTTGTTTGGATCAAGTCCTTGGCAATTATCTTAGGCTGTTTTAAACATCTGGAAGGTTCAGATGTTAAGCTCTCTTTGTATTTACATTACACATGTGTACTTAAAGAATACTTGAGGGCTGGGCATGGTGGCTCATAACTTTAATCCCAGCACATTGGGAGAGAGGGCAAGGTGAGAGGATCACTTGAGTCCAGGAGTTCAAGACCAGCCTGGGAAATAAGGTAAGACCCCCATCTCTAAGAAAAATAAAAAATTAGGCAGGGCACGGTGGCTCATGGCTATAATCCATCCCAGAACTTTGGGAGGCCAAGACGGGTGAATCACTTGAGGCCAGGAGTTCGAGACCAGCCTGGCCAACATGGTAAAATCCCGTCTCTACTAAAAATACAAAAATTGGCTGGGCCTGGTGGCATGCACCTGTAATCCCAGCTACTCGGTAGGATGAGGCACAAGAATCATTTGAAACTGGGAGGGAGAGGTTGCAGTGAGCCGAGATAGCGCCACTGCACTCCAACCTGGGTGACAGTAAGACTCTGTCTTAAAATAAATAAATAAATAAATAAAAATAAAAAATTAGCTAGGTGTCGCGGCACACACCTGTACTCCCAACTACTAGGGAGGCTAAGGTGGGAGGATCGTTTGAGCCCAGGAGGTTGGTTAAGGTTGCAGTGAGCCATGATCTTGCCACTGCACTCTAGCCTTGGGTGACAGAACAAGACCTTTTCTCAAAAAAAAAAAAAAAAAAGGAATATTTTAGCTAGCTAGCTAGAAAAATGAACTCTGACAGAGCACACTAGGACCCCAAATAACCAATTCAGTTTCTACCAACAGTTCTCAAACTAATGTGCATAAAATCTCTTGAGATATTTGCAAAAAATGAAGATCCCTAAGCTCCACTCTCAAGGACCATATCAGAGATCTCAAAGGATACTCAAGAATCAACATGTTTAATAAGCATCCCAGACGACTGTTATATAAGGATTGCGCTTTGACAAACACTGGTCAATACAATATTTCATCTAATGATGGTGTTAATGATTTCTTGTTCCCAGGCTGCACAGCAAAACCATCACTAGCTGATATATTGCCAGCCATGTTAAGTCAGTATCCCAGATTTCGTGCTTACCCTTTTAGCAACTTTTTTTTTGTTTATTTGGCCAGGCCTGGTGGCTCATGCCTGTAAATCCCAGCACTATGGGAGGTCGAGGTAGGGGGGATCACTTGAGCCCAGGAATTCAAGACCAGCCTGGGCAACATCTCTACTAAAAAAAAAAAAAAACTAGCTGAGCATGTTAGTGCGTAACTGTAGTCCCAGCTACTTGTGGGGCTGAGGTGGGAGGATTGCTTGAGCCCCCGAGGTCAAGCCTGCTATGAACCATGATCACACTATTGCTCTCTAGCCTGGGAGACAGAGCTGTCGGAGACCCTGTCTCAAAAAAAAGCTGGGGGTGGAAATTTGATAAGGAGCTCTGCCCATGCCAAAACGAAGCTAGAACTGTCTTTGAGAAATGAGTAGCTCACAGCAAAGTGAATACTTGTTTGAATTTTCAACTTCATAATACTGAATTACGAGCAATAAACATGATTTAAGGGCTTACGTTCTAGCCACCATGCTTTCTGCTTTATAAACATTATTTCAATTAATCCTTACAAAAATCCATTAAGGATGGTATTCTTTACATTTTACAAAAGAAGAAACTGAGGCAATCCTGCCATTAAGCAATACTACCAGAAGTCAGGTCTGCCTGACTTTAAACTGTGACTCTTAACCTGTATGCCAAAAGTGCCTCTACCGTTAAAAACTTAAAAAGAGAAGAACAATCTAGTTTGTTTACTTCTAAGGTAAAGAATATCCTACTTTATACAAAACAGGTTCATTTAACTAATTCTCCTCCCCAGTCTAACTAAACACAGACAAAAAGTAGGACATCTTGGCAAGTTGGGGCTAATGTGTAACCACAGTATCCTAATTTCAAGTCAGGACTCAACAGTCAGCTTCCACCCAGCCCAGTCAATCAGATTTATGAGTATACTGAACAGCTATCAAAAGAACTTGTTTTCCTTGTTTCCTAAAAGGCTATCATACCTACATTCTGTTAATGCTAGGATATTTTTTAACTACCCAAATAATTTAGGGTAGGGAGGACAGCCATCAAGAAGCACCTTCATGTAACTCTATCCGTGCCCTTCTTTGTGCCCTGGCCTTTCCTATTTCTATAAATCATGTTTCTCAGTACATCCAATTACCAAACTCCTCCCCGCAACAGCCAATGTACTATTTTCAGAAATTTGCAAAGAGATTTGCATTAGGATGCAGGGGCCCGTTTTTTAGTGTACATGAAATGCTTCAAAAATGCTTCGCAGCTATGCACTAATAACCTAAATTCTTAAAATGAAATGCATTCACTACTCCACTCAGAAGCTATAATGTAATAAAAACTAAACACTCATTTTCTTCATTTCACCTTTAACCATGGCATTACTTAGCAGCCAACTTGAACTAAAAACAAACAAACAAAAAATACTGCTAAGACTAAAATAAAGCGATAGTGGATAAGGTTAAGTGATAATGCGAGAAAAACCCAGATAGCAATCAATGAATCTACCTGTTCTTGGAAAGGAGAAGCAGCACCTTATTCATTGTATTTCCATAAGAGAGGATTACCATTCCAGTCTCTAGAAGGAAAGAGAATTCTCTCCACTATAATGACACCTCTCCAAGGAAGAGTAGCTTATCCCAAGCTTTTTCAAGACACTGCAAACAGAAAATGCCATTGGGGCTTGGAGCGCGTGGGGGACAGGTTGCTCACTCTGGTCAAGGCCAGAGTGATAGTCAAGAAACCCTTCTCCCCTAGGTCTCAAATCCAATCACAAGGGCAGAGGGAATCGATCTCTGCCCATCTGTGGCCCATTTTCTGCATGGGATGCTGTCTGTTCCAATTCACGAGATCGGGTAAATCACTACTTCCAAGCAGCATGGACTCTTGGGTCCTGTACTTTGTTAGATCCCACTGCCCTCAAGCAGAAGGCAAGTCAATCCTACCCTATTATGGTGGCACACTAGGAAAAACCTCAGAGGCCACAAATGTTCTCCTCTTTTCTAACCAAGGAGAGTGCTAGGTATTCCCATTTGCGTAGTAAGCCAGATGTGCTGTCATTTGCACTTTTTAGACTCAGCTTTCCCTGTGGCATGCTCAGACTCAAAATCCAGATTTGCGGAAAGTAGTAAGCTGCCTAAGCTTCAGCTTCCAAAACAGTTTTCCGTAAGTCCTGTTTTGGTATAGTAAAGCTGATGTTATACTTAAATAAAATTTATGGTAATCTGTTACATGGGTGGCCCCAAATGGATTCACACATTTGTACCCTTGAACCTGGGCTAGATTTGTGACTTGCTTTAACCAGTATAATAAGGCAGAAATGATACTGTATCCCTTACAAGTCTAAACCTTAAGAAGATCTGGTTGCAGACCAGGCACGGTGGCTCACGCCTGTAATCCCAGCACTCTGGGAGGCCGAGGCGGACAGATCACCTGAGCTCAGGAGTTCCAGACTAGCCTGTCCAACATGGTGAAACCCCATCTCTACTAATACAAAAATTAGCTGGGCATGGTGGTGCACGCCTGTAATCCCAGCTACTCGGGAAGCTGAGGCAGGAGAATTGCTTGAACCTGGGAGGTGGAGGTTGCAGTGAGCCAAGACTGAGCCACTGCACTCCAGCCTGGGTGACAGAGTGAGACTCCCTCTCAAAAAAAAAGATCTGGTTGCTTCTGTTTTGTACTCTTGTGAGCCCTAAGCCATCAGCTACCAGGTAAGGCCAGCAACTCTGCTGGAAAGGCTACTTGGAGAGAAAAGCAGCCATTAGAGTGATCACCAGCAAAACCTGCCCAACTGAGCCCAACCCAGGAAAGCAAAACTGTAACAAAGAAAATGGTTGTTTTAAGTCACTTGGTTTAGGGCTGTTTGCTACACAGCAGTACATAACTGAAACAACACTCACCTGGTTCCTTGTGTGTTCTGCATAATTTGTTCAAACCCCAGAAAAAGGAGAGGTATAATTAATTACACTCCGCAAAATTACAACCTGAGAAGATAAAGTTCTATGCCCTTGTTAATGTTAGTGATTCCACTAAACTCCAGGTTCCAAGAGGAAAGGCTTCATATCTGTCATCTCAACACTGTACTCCCAGCACCTAGAAATATGTCTGGCACATAGTAGGTACGCCAGTATGTGCTGTGAGTGAACTGTAGATTTAAGAAATGTCAAGACGGCCAGGCGTGGTGGCTCATGCCTGTAATCCCAATACTTTGGGAGGCTGAGGCGGGCAGATCACCTGTGGTCTGGAGTTCAAGACCAGCCTGACCAACATGGAGAAACCCCGTCTCTACTAAAAATACAAAATTAGCCAGGTGTGGTGGTGCATGCCTGCAATCCCAACTACTTGGGAGGCTGAGGCAGGAGAATCTCTTGAACCCAGGAGGCGGAAGCTGCAGTGAGCCAAGATTGCGCCATTGCACTCCAGCCTGGGCAGCAAGAGGGAAACTCCGTCTCAAAAAAAAAAAGAAAAAAGAAATGTCAAGACTAAATCAACAAATGCTACTCTTCCTTATAACTTAAAAACCATGCTAGTCTTCCTTATAACTTAAAAACCATCTGACGTATGGTTTTACATTATACATTCCCTAAAAAAGTTGTTTAAATGTATGAATTGAAGCATCCACTAAGGAGGGCTTTTTAATATCTTTGGGTTTTTTTCAATGGTAGAGCTTATGATCTAATACAAAAATAATAAAATATCATGATACAGGTTGAGTATCCCTAATCCAAATATCCAAAATCTGAAATACTCCAGTGAATGTTTCTGTTGAGTAATGTAGGTGGCTCAAAGTTTCCCATTTTGGAGCATTTCAAACTTTGAATTAGGGATACCCAATCTATATATATTTTGGAAATTAGATCCTCATTTATATCCTCAAAAAATGTAAATTTTTGAAGACTAAGCTTTTATAAAAGGGAAACACAAACTTCATCTGTAAAAGCAACAGAATTAAATTCAAAATTTTCAAAAAAATAAATATCTACATTTCACCAATGTACTTTTCCAGATAAGAAATCAACTTTTGCTTTATCCTTGACAGGAGAATAACTATTCTGTGGTACAATGCTTACAAATTTAAATATCACCTACCAATAGCCACTGCAGTGAGATTACCATTTTAACACAAAGGAAAAAACTGACAAGTTTACCTCTACACGGTACAAAAGTTTAACACATTCCAAACAGGTAAATTCAAATCCTTCACATACAGCTCTTAACTAATGATGTTCCATTGTACATGAAGAGTAAGAAGTCTGGTGGGAAAAGAATACTGACATAGGAACAAAAATAAGGGTTTTAGTTGTAGTTCTAATTGTGGCCACTAACTAGCCACATACTTTGGAAATTTAACTTTTTAAACTTTTTTTTTAGCCTCAGCATATTCATCCAAAAAGCAATGATTGGCTGGAAGCGATGGCTCACGCCTGTAATTCCAGCACTTTGGAAGGCCATGGTGGGAGGGCCACGAGTCCAGGAGTTCGAGGCCAGCCTGAGGAAACACAGCAAGACCCCATCTCTATAAAAAATTTTAAAAATTTAGCTGGGTGTCATGACATACACCTGTAGTCCCAAGTACTTGGGAGGCTGAGGTCTAGGCTTCAGTTTAGCCATGACTGTGCCACTGAACTCCAGCCTGGGCAACAGAGCAAGACCCTGTCTCAAAAATAAATAAATAAAATAAAATAAAATAAAATATAAAGCAGTTATTACTTCCTAACACACCAACTTATCAGTTGTCATGAGAACCAAATGATAAATATAGTTATTATTTACAAATGTGAAATGCTATACTAACATAAGGTATAGTACAATTCTTAATGCCAGCAAAAACAATAAAATTCATCTGTGTATGTTTTTATCATTTTTCCTCCATTAAGTATTAGTAACTAGTTCCTTGGATACCACTATAAAGGGCAATTTATTGGATTTTCCAATGCTCATTATAATTGTATCATATTTTTATACAAAGAGTAAAAAACAACAGTCTTTCTAATAATTATGAAATCAAAGTTTATTAACATGTAATAACATGCTATGATTACCTATTACCAGGGAGATAATCTTACAGGTGCAGAAAAGTCAACTGTTTACCAATCGCACTACACTTTAACCGTACTAGCTAGCTACTTAATCCACCCAAAAAAAATTGAGTAGGAATCTTCATTTACATTGTGAAGTCTCCATTTTTATTTGATAAAGGCTTCCTGAAAGAAAAGAATATTCTGAAGGTATAAATGAACAGAGAAGATAAAGTTCTTTTTTTTTGAGACAGAGTCTCGCTCTGTTGCCCAGGCTGGAGTGTAGTGGCGCAATCTCGGCTCACTACAAGCTCCGCCTCCCGGGTTCACACCATCCTCCTGCCTCAGCCTCCCAATAAAGTTCTTAAAGTTTCTTATTTCACTTACATCACCTCTCTCCTCCCTACTCCCCAGCCCAAAGTGAGACATACAAAGAAAGTAACAATCCAAATGAATGATCTGATATTGCTAACTGCTCTTCTCTACCCAATTCATCCCTCAGACTCACCAGCTCTCATGCACATATTAAACAAGGAGAGTAGATACTCTGATGAAAGTCTAGGACTCGAGAATCACAAAATGTTAAAAACTAGAAGGAATCTTGTGGGATCATCTAGTCTTACTGACAAGGTCATTTAAAGGCAGTAACTATATTTAATTGATGGTAAAGCCACTGCATTATCTTCATACATGAAAGAACACCATCATTGTCAACAATCTCCTGATTCCACTTTACCCACCAGCTGAATGATGCTTCAGGCAAATCATTTAAACTCCAGGAATAGTTTATTGTGTAATATAATAGCAAATAACATTAGTCAAAATTCTCTGTAAACTGTAAACCACAACACAAATGTAATATTGTGTTTCTGTATATATACAGCATATCTCTACAGTAAGAGTTCTTATCAGTACACAGAAGAACCTGAAGGTTCTACTGTTTTAAAAAGCTCCCAGTAGGCCCGGCAGGGTGGCTTACGCTGTAATCCCAGCACTTAGGAAGGCCAAGGCAAGCTGATCACTTGAGCTCAGGAGTTCAACACGAGCCTGGGCAAAATAGTGAGACCCCATCTCTAAAAAAAAAATACAAAAATTAGCCGGGTGTGGTGGCAAGCGCCTGTAGTTCAAGCTATTCGGGAGACTGAGGCAGGAGAATCTCTTGAGCCTGGGAGGCGGAGGTTGCAATGAGCCCAGAAGGCGCCACTGCACTCCAGCCACAGGGACAGGAGTGAAAGAAATCCTGCCTCGAAAATAAAAAAAGCTCCAAGAAATTCTGAGATGAGTGTCATGGATGACTTTCAGGTGTTCCATGGACTCCCCTAAAATTATATCCACAAAGCATAGGCGCATATGGAAATTTTCCAGGCCAGCATTTTACCAAGAATTAGTAATCTCCAAAAAGTTGTAAAGTAGCACACATATGCTGAGGGTAAAGCTTCATGATCTTGCTCAAAATGGTACCACTGTTCTCCCAACCAACCTGGATCAGAATCAGTTATTTTTACTTTCATTTGCCCTCTCATCAAATTTTGGCTATTCGACTTCCTTTCTTCCTTTCCATTCGCGTGCACCACAGCTCAGATCCTCACTATCCATGACTACAACAACTGGGAGGTCTTTCTACCTCCAGGGTCTCCCTACCTCAGTTCACACTACAGACCTCTATCCCACTAATCCTTCTGAAACAAAGTGTTCAAATTGTTTCACTCCCAATTCAAAATCATCTGTGGAAGCCCCACCACCGGGTAAATCCAAGGTCATAAGTCTGGCATTAAAAACAACCCATAAACTGGTCCAAATTTTTACTTCAAGTTTTATCACCCTTTATCCTGGTACAAATAAGTTTATGTTCCACCCAAACATAATTACCTGCCTTTCCCCAAACAGGAACTCTGTGCTCTCTTAGAGATACCTCTCTGCTAGGATTACCTTTCCTGCCTATCCAAAGTCATAATCGTCCTTCAAAACCACGATTTCAGAAGCCAGGAGCTCTACAAACTAACCCTCTTATCCCTACCTTGCCAAGTAAGATCTGAGCTCTACTCTCTTTGAAGTTGACTTCTGAGAGGATTTTGGTACCATTTATGAAACTTATATATTAAAAGACAAATAAGGCATTTGTGTATAGCACTATCTACCTAATTAGTGTGAAGGCAGAAATTGCTAATCGGTTCATCTTTGTATTTCCCAAAATACCTCCCACAATTATGCAGTAAATGCTTAACAACTGTACAAGGAAGTAAAGGAAATTTCAGCCACCGTGGGGTAAACAGCAAAGATTACCATCTCTTTGAAGGCAGAAACTTTATCTGCGACATCCTGTATTATGCCGGTAGCTCATAATTATTGCTTTTCAAAACCCTGATGTAGATCTTACCAGCAGTTTCACATTTTAAGGTAAGAACTATCTGAAAATGTTGATAAGCTATGTCCCAAAGAACTATTCCACATACTTTACAATTCTCAATCTGAGTAGCTCCCAATACTTGGCCACTACACTTTCCATTTTTTAAAATACTAACCATTTATGAAAAATGATCATTTCTAGTTGCAGCTAATTTACTACTTGATGGCTAAAAACAAGTCACACAATAAAAGAACGACTTTCTTCTTTAAAAGGTGCATTTTGCTTGTATAATACACACAGATTTGGTGAGGCAGGTAAAGTGGATTTACACATAAACATGAACTCTTGTTAAAAAAAAAAAATGCAGGTAACTGTAAACCAACTATTTCAGGTAAAAACACCAAACGGGGAAAACAAAGATAATTTTGGACATGATTTTTTTTCCCACTACTATTACCAGTAACATTTTAAAGCAGAAACACAAAATCTTGTTCCACATTAACCTACACACACACAGAAAAAAATTTGTTAAACTTATCAAATAGAAAAAGAAGGCAAAATCAAGCCCCTGGAAAATATTTTATTCTGAAAGAGTAAAAATGTCAAAATTATAACAGACACTACTCTTCTTTGGTAATGAAGGTTTCATATATTTACCACAGCAGAGAAAACTCCAAATCGGCAGAGCAAAGAAAGGACTGTGAACAAGACTGATCATTTAAAGGTCGTAAAGGTAAGGAGCAAACTACAAAATTAAATTTTTTTAAAAAAAGAACACGAAGATGAAAGGAGAGTCTGTAAGTCACAGACAAGATAAGGACTGGTAAAATCTGCAAGGTCACTGGAACCTACCAGGTCACAAAAGGTGGAGGTGGGGGTTGCGCTGGGGGGGCGGGGGATGGGGAGCTGCAGAGTCGGTGAAGAACGGAGAGTGATAAAAACATGTCAGAAAAAGACGTTCCAAAGCTGGAGTCCTTGGTTTGCAACGCTGAAATTGGGGTGAAAGTCAGGGAACGGGCAATGAGTCCATGTATTTGTGTTTTCAGGGAGGTGTTAGGGAAAGGTGGAGGAAGGCGAAGAGAAGGCTAAGGAAGCCTAAGAACTGCGGCTGCAGAGTCACGGAAACACTTCGCTCCGCTCCAGGATCACTGGCACAGGCCTTTGCCAGGGCGAACTCCGGGCAAGACCCGTGACCCCACCCCAGAAAACTCCCGACTCCCGGGCTGGAGAAGGTAGCCAAGGTAGGGCGGACCGTCCCCCGACGGGTCCTAGGAGGGTCCAGCCCGGGGGCGGACGGCGCCGGGCGCCCAGCACCGCGGCCAAGGCTCAGGGCCCGTGCCCCCTCCCGCCCTGCCCATTCGCACCCCCAGCCCCGCGCCGCGCCGTCCTTACCCGGCGCGAAGCTGTCGGCTCCCGGCAGCCGGGCGGCCACGGCAGCGGCACCTCCTCCTGCGGCGGGCGCCCTCACCCTTCCGCGCCCAAGATCGCCATCTCGCAGCAGGCGCGGCGGCAGCAGCCACCCAGGCGTCGGCCCCGGCAGCCCAGGCCGCCAGCAGCCACTCGGAACCCGCACGCGGAGCTCGCCGACACCCGACCCTCCCCCCACCCCCACCCCGTCCACGCGCCACCCCCAGCCGACCCCACACCTCCCTTCCTCGGGAGCGCGCCGCGTGGCCGCGTCGCCGGCGCCGCGCCCTAAGCGCGCGCCTCCCCGCCGGCCCCGGCACCGCGCGCTACGCCGCGGCCGCCCAAAGCCTCCAACTCCGGACCCGGAATCCGCCTCCCCCGAGCATGCGCAGCGAGGGCGCTCGGATGCTGCCTTAGGAAAACTCCGCTCCTCCGGGTCTTCCGAGCAGTCTAGCGGAGGGGGACGGACAGCCAATAGTAGGGAGGGGCGGGGCCTGAACGTGTGGAAGGGGCGGGGCCGCCGCTGAGATTTGGGAAGAGGCTGCTCTAAGCTCGCGCTGGGCACTGCTAATTTGACTTTCCGGTCGGCGGCTGATCCCGGAGCAGGACTTCTTAAGGTCCGGGGGCAAAAGTAGGCTGTCCATAAATACTCCTTGACCTAGCTGGGTGACCTCGAACACATTGCAAGAGTAAATAATTGCATTTAGCCATTGGTCATACCCGAAGACTTTCAGTCCATTTTTTATTAATCAAAACGTTCATCTGTGGAAGCCCCACCACCTAGTCCTCACTCACATCAGCCCGGTGATAAAGCAGATACTTATTGACCGAGTATACGTGTCCGCACAATTAACGCACACAACAATCTGACAAAGTAGTGTCTACTGTCTGCATTTTACAGAAAAGTCAACTAGTTTAGAAAAGTACTGTTGGTTATGTGTATTGCTTTTAGAAGAAAGGCCAATGTGCAAATAGAAGTCAGTGGGACCACATTGCTTACCAGGTGACCCGGTTTCTACTTCAGAGAAGCAGAAGCCTTCAGGCATGGATTTCTACAGCTTTTGCCCAACCACCTGACCAACCCCCATAGATTATATCTACGTCCACACCCAGACTTACTAGTTTTCCTTCTATCTCGGAGGCTAGATGTCCCTGCTCCTCTCCACTGCCTGCTCCCCACTGTGGGCGGTCCTTGGCACATCTTTAACTTCACCCTCTCCACTGCCTACAACTCCTCAGCATAATCACGTTTTAAGATTAGGTCCTAAATTTTCCCTTGATTTTAAAACCTCTGGTTCTCTCTCCCCTTCCATTTTAACTGAGCTTTTTGAAAGAACTGTGTACCAAAAACAACCCCAACACTTCATGAGTGTGTACAGAATTCAACAAGTATCTCTTGACTGAACAATGCACATTCCCGCCTACCTCCATGCATTAGTTCTTGTCCTCTGGCTTCATAGTTGAAATTGGTGCACATTATATCCACAAAGATCATTCGAAAATATACATCTGTGTCATTCCACTGCTTAAAATCATTCTTTGGCTTTTCGGAGCTCTCCTGACAAAGATTAACGTGATATTCAAGGTTCCTTTGATGCTCACATGCTCTATCTCTCCTGTTATGAAAAACTCTTCACAGTGCCCCATATGTGCCCACTCATCTCTGCTTTAAACATGTACTAAGATTTTCTTCATCTTTTTGCTTTTGCTGTCTGGTCCCTTTAAATAGATGCAATAATGTGCTTACAAACACGTCCTCAGAAATTCCGTAGGTATTCCCCAGCAGGGATCTGGACTCCTTCTCCAGAATGCATGCAGGCCTCCTCTTCCTGCTCTGTGTCTCACTTTCAGCTCCCCTCATTGCTCAATTTCCTCCCCGTTCAGAAGCTCTTAGTACTCACCTAGTCCTCAAGCTGACACCCAATATTGAACCAGCCTTTTGTTATTGACTGTTTGGTTTCAAATGAACAATATTATAAATAGTATTCCATAACCATTGTTCATGTCCTTATTAACTGTCTTAGATAAATTATTAAAAGTAATAAAAAAGTATGAACAAGTTTAGCCCTTTTGAAACATATTGGCAACTACCTTCCAGAAAGAGCATAGGCTCAGGTATCACATCGCCCAGCATCAAAACACAGCTCTGCCACCCAGTGCCACATTCTGACTTTCACAGGCCCTAGGTGCTTATACCTGTGTGGGCCTCATCTTCCATAAAATAATACTACAAAATATATTTTATTACTGCATTGGTATGAAGAAAAAGATATTAACATTATACATTAAAATATTTTCTTTGACCTAAATATTCAATTTTTTGCCTTCTGATTTTAAAAGAAATTAAAACATTTTTATGGGCCCCCGAAAGTGTTATAAGCCTGAGGCACTGTGTCTACTGTGCCTAATGGATAACCTGACCCTCCTGCTGCCTATGAGCTGAGAGATTTGGCCAATTGCTTAATCTAATTGTGTCTCAACTAGAAAATTAATATAGTGCTTCCACATGTTGTATTAAAAAATATATATAAATTGCTATAAATAACACGCATAGAGCTACTTAACACATGAGCATGGCACATAATCAAGAAATGATTGTCATAATGGTTATCAATTTTCCCACAACACTACATGACAGTATGTGATTGTCCTTCTTCCATGTGCCCAAATCATCATGGTATGTTTTCATATGTGTATGTATGGTAGCTTATTGTTTGTCCTTTGTCCATTTTCTTACTGAGGTATTTCACAAAAGGGTGCTTCACACAATGTAGATATTAGTCCTTTGTAAAACTATTGATCTTTTCCATTTTTGTATTCTTCCATTGTTTTTTACTTCATACATCTTTCCCATCCTGAGATCATATAATTCATCTGTCTTTACTTTTTTCTACTTGTTTGACTATTTTACTTTTTTCATTAAATAATTTAATTTTCTTGGATTTATTTTGCAATGATAATCTAACTTTTATTCCTTTAAAAATAGCTCATGGTATTCCCCCAAACCATTTGTTTAAAAAATTGTTCTCTAACTGTAGTGGTTTTAAAATAGGTCTACAGGCCGGGCACTGTGGCTCACACCTGTAATCCCAACACTTTGAGAGCCCAAAGCAGGTGGATCACTTAAGGCCAGGTGTTTGATACCGGCCTGACCAACATGACAAACCCTGTGATATGGTTTGGCTGTGTCCCCACGCAAATCTCATCTTTTTTTTTTTTTTTTTGAGATGGAGTATTGCTCTGTCATCCAGGCTGGAGTGCAGTGGTGTGATCTTGGCTCACTGCAACCTCCACTCCTGGGTTCAAGTGATTCTCTTGCCTCAGCCTCCCGAGTAGTTGGGATTACAGGCACATGCTACCACACCTAGCTAATTTTTTTTTTAATTTTTAGTAGAGACGGGGTTTCACCATGTTGGCCAGGCTGATCTTGAACTCCTGATCTCAAGTGACCCTCCTGCCTCGACCTCCCAAAGTGCTGTGATTACAGGCATGAGCCACCATCCCTAACCCTAATCTCGTCTTGAATTGTAGTTCCCATAATATCCACGTGTTGTGGGAGGGACCCAGTGTCAGGTAATTTAATCATGGGGGCGGTTACTCTCATGCTGTTCTGGTGATAGTGAGTGAGTTCTCACAAGATCTGATGGTTTTATAAGGGGCTTTTCCCCCTTTTGCTCAGCACTTCTCCTTGCTGCCACCATGTGAAGAAGGTTGTGCTTGCCTCCCCTTCTGCCATGATTGTAAGTTTCCTGAGGCCTCCCCAGCCATGCTGAACTATGAGTCAATTAAACCTCTTTCCTTTATAAATTACCCAGTCTCAAGTATGTCTCTATTAGCAGCATGAGAACAGACTAATACACCCTGTCTGTATTATATTTCCAAGAATAATTTTTTTAAATTTCTTAATAAAATATGTCTACAAATATTTTGATACTTCTGCCCTCAGAAAGTGAAGCCTAGCCAGGCACAGTGGTTCATGCCTGTAATCCCAGGACTTTGGGAGGCCAATGTGAGAAGATTGCTTGAGCCCAGGGGTTCGAGACCAGCATGGACAACGTAGTGAGACCTCATCTCTACTAAAAATCAAAAACTTATCTGGGCATGGTGGTGTGCACCTGTAATCCCAGCTACTCTGGAGGCTGAGGTGGGAGGGTCACTTGAGCCCAGGAAGTCAAGGCTGCAGTGAGTCATGAGTGCATCATGATTGCACTCCAGCCTGGGTAACAGAGTGAGAGCAAGACTCTGTCTCAAAAATAATAAAAACAAAAAACCAGGAGGCAGAGGTTGCAGTGAGCCAAGATGGCACCACTTCACTCCATCCTAGGCAACAGAGCAAGACTCCCTCTCAAAAAAAAATAAATAAATAAAATTAAAAAAAAATAAACCAGTGAGGCCTAATTCTCTTCCAAAAGGAATGTAGGCTGTAATTAGTGACTTGTTGTTAACAGATATAGCAAAAGTGACAGTGTGTCACTTCCAAGACCAGGCCATAAAAAGGCATCATGGAGCCCCTCCCACTCTCTTTCAGATCATTCTCAGTTGCCATATGGCAAAGACACAGGAAGCTGCCCTGTGTAGAGACCCACATGGCAAGGAACTGAGACATCCTGCCAACAACCACCAGAGTCTGAGGCCTGCTGCCATCACCACGTGAGTGAGACATCTTAGAAGTGGATCCTTCAGCCTAAGTCAAGCCTTCAGATGATTGCGTCTTGACTGCAGCCTCATCAAAGACCTTGAACCAGAACCACCCAACTCAGTTACTCTCAAATGCTTAACCCATAGAAACTATAGCGGTAAAATAAGTGCTTATTGTTTTAAGTCACTAAATTTGGGAGATAATTTATATCTATCCAGAAATAGATAACAAATACACTAATCCTGTTGTTCTCAACTTGGGACCATTTCATATCCCAGGGGATTTTGGCAATGGCTTACGACATTTTTCATGGGGGTAGGTTGGATGTTCCATTGGCATCTAGTGGGTAGATGTGACAGAGGGTGCTAAACATCCTACAGTGCACAAGACAGCCCCATCACTCCACTCAAAAAACAAGGAATGATCAGGTCCAAATGGCATTAATGCTGAAGCTGAGAAACTGCCCCAACCTATTTTCCCTTGCACTTTAAAAGTTTCCTATTTCACCTGTACTTGTGAAAGAGGTGGGGTTTGCTTCACTTCCATTACTCATTTGAATGCTGCTTCACTTGTTTCTTTTTTTTTTTTCTCTTTTTCTACTTTTATTTTAGGTTCAGGGAATACCTGTGCAGGTTTGTTGCATGTGTAAATTGCGTGTCACTGAGGCTTGGTGTACAAATGATCCTATCACCCAAGTGCTTGTTACTTAGCCCTCTTTAGTATTCTCCTCATTCTCATGCTCCCCTTCTGGTCAAAGCCCAAAACTCAGATAGCATAGAGAGCAGTGCCCCTTAGGACAATCTGCACTTCCTTAAGAATTCCTTTGAAGGAGTGAAATACCAACATGAGGCAGTCCTCTCCTCTTCTGATGTTCCCCTCTCCTGTTTACCTTCCTATAAGTACCGAACAAAGTAAGTAGGTATATCAGTCTTAAGGGCTTCCCATGCCATAAGATATAACTTAAAGCAGTTATATCTTATGAAGGAAATTATTTCTTGTGATGGTCTTTTTTAAAAACTATTTTTAGTAAAGACAGGGTTTCACCAAGTTGACCAGGCTGCTCTTGAACTCCTGACCTCAGGTGATCTGCCCACCTTGGCCTCCCAAAGTGCTGGGATTACAGGAGTGAGCCACCGCACCTGGCCTTTACTGATACTCTTTGTTTTTATTTTTAAAATATTTTTATAGACACAGGGTCTCACTATTTTGCCCAGGCTGGTCTTGAACTTCAGGCCTTCCTGCCTTGGCCTCCCAAAACACTGGCATTTACAGGTATGAGCCACCATGCCTAGACTTTTTATTTTTATTTTTGCAATACTCTTTTTTAATTGACCTGAATGAGGTATTGTTTATATACACTAAACTAACCTCATTTTAATGGTACAGTTCAATAAATTTTAACAAATGAATACACCAGTGTAACTATTACCACAATCATGATACAGAACATTTCCAACACGGCAAAAAGTATTCTCAAGCCCTTCCTCCCCCCAACTACTTCTGGTCCTAGGTAACTACTTGTTTGCATTCTGTCACTGTAGAATAATTCTACTTTTTACATAATTTCATTTTTTATTTTTGAGACAGGGTCTCACTCTGTCACCCAGACTGGAGTGCCATGGCATTGACACAGCTCACAGCAGCTTCAATCTCCTGGGCTCAAGGGATTCTCCCGCTTCAGCCCCTTGAGAAACTGGGACTACAGGCATGTACCACAGGGCCCAGCTAATTCTTTAACTTTTTGTTGAGATGGGGTCTTGCCGTGTTGCCCAGGTTTGTCTCAAATTCCTGGCCTCAGGCAATCCTTCTGCCTCAGCCTCCCAAAGTGCTGGGAGTACAGGTGGGAGCCACTGCATCTCGGCCCACTTTTTCAAGAATTTGATATAAGTGGTATCATCCAGTATATACTCTGTTGTATGTGGTTTCAGCTCAGCATGTTTCAGAGATGCATTTGTAATATTCTGTGCAGTAGTTATTTCTTCTTTTCTAGTGGAGTAGTGATCCCTTGTATGGATTTGCTACAATTTGTTTATTTTTGTCCTATTCATAGATAATTGGTTTGTTTCCAGTTTTTGGCTACTATGACTAAAGATTCTATGAACATTTGGTTAAAAGTATTTTTCTTGGATAAATAATGCCTAAGAGTAAAACAGCTAGGTCATATTGTCATATATCTAACTTTATGATAAATTGCCAAACTGTTTTCCAAAGTGGTTGTACCATTTCCATTTCCACCAGTAATATATGAGAGTTCCAGTTGCTTCATTTCTTCTCCAATGTTTGGTAATCCTTCTAATTTTCAATTATTGTATTTAAATTTGCATTTTCCTAATAACTAATCATGTTGAGTATCTTTTCCTGTCCTTAAGGGGCATGTGTGTATTTGAACAGAAGTATCTGTTCAAACCTTTTGTCTACTTCAAATTGGTTTTTTCCTCTTATTACTGGGGTGTGTATATTCTGTCTTTTATACTATCCTTTGTCAGATATTGGTGTTGTGAATATTTTCTCCCAGATTATGGCTTGCTATGGCAGTCAGCCCCCAAGATGGACCCCATTGATTCTGGACTCCTGGTATGTATACACTCTTATACAGTACTTTCCCCTATTGACTGACCTATGTGACCAAGAGAAAATTGTAGAAGTGATAGTACCTGTCTTCTGAGACAACATCATAAAAGATATTGCAGCTCCCACCTTGCTGCCTTGGGGTACTCTTGCTCTAGAGAAAGACAGTGCTTTAGCAAGGATTTTGTCTTGCTGTCTTGCCTCAGACAGGAACTGAGGCCTGTTGATAAATGGACAGCAGCAATTTGCTAGCCATATGTGGCACCTTGGAAATGGATCTTCCAATCCCTCTCAAGTCTTCAGATGACTGCAATCTCACGTAACACTCTATGCCAGAAGTAGCCAGCCAAGAAATACATATATTCCAGAACTGCAAAAACTGTGAGAAATAATAAATCTGTATTATTGTTTTCGGTCACTAGGTTTTGGAGAAATTTTTATACAACAAATATACTTGCATTTTCATTTTCTTAACAATGTGTTTTGAAAAGTCAATGTTTTTATTTTGATGAAGTTCACATCATTTTGTGACATATTTAAGAAATTTTACTTTAAGACAGTGAAGATTTGTTAATACTTTTTTTCTTAAAGTTTATAGCTTTAGCTTTTACATTTGGGTCTATAATCTATTTCAAAATAATTTTTGCATATGCTGAGATGAAAGAGTCAATGTTCATTTTTTTTTTCTAAATAGATATATGGTTGTTTCAATACCATTTGTTGAAAAGACAATCCTTTCCCCATTGAATTACTTTGGAACTTTTGTGAAAACTCTGTCTATTTCTGGGCTCTCTATTCCTTCCATTGAACCATATGTCTATCCTTACACAAATATCACACTGTCTTGATTACTATAACTTTAGAAAGTCTTAAAATTGGGAAGTGTAAATTTTCCAAATTTGTTCTTTTTCAAAATGATTTTGACTCTTCCAGGTTCTTTGCATATGTTATGCTTTTTGATGCTGCAAGAGATCTTCAACAAGTTCATAGAAATATGCATATTTTGAAAAAACTATGCATGGATTTTAAAATTTTTCGCCCCCAGATGAACTCATACTAACTTGCTATAACATGTATGAGCAGGATGTATTTTGAGTCACTAAGAAGGATAAGACATCAGTTTGAAAAAAAGCCCCTATCAGAGTAGCATGAATTCTGCTAGAGTTGAAGCAAGAACAAACATCAAATTTATGGGGAAGCTTGGGTAGAACAATGGTAAAATCACTGATGCTTTATGAAAAATTTATTGGGACAATGCACCAAAGCAATCAGCAGTTTACAAATGGGTAATTCATTTTAAGAAGGGAGGAGATTATGTAAAAGATGAAGCCTGCAATGACAGACCTTCACATCAGTTTGCAAGGAAAAAACTCACCTTGTTCATAACCTCATTCAAGAGGCCTAACAATTAGTAGGAGAAACAATAGCCAACACCATAGAAAACTCAAATCTCATAGCTTACACAATCTGACTGAAAAACTAAAGTGGAGCAAACTTTTCACTCAACAGGTGCCAAAACCATTGTACCCAGATCAACTGCAAACAAGAACAGAGTTTTAATGGAAATTTTAAACAAGTAAGATGAAAATCCTGAAGCATTTCTTTCAAGAATTGTAACAGGAGATGAAACATGGCTTTACCAGTATAATCCCGAAGACAAAGTACAATCAGAGCAATGGCTACCAAGAGGTGGAAGTGGTCCAGTCAAAGCAAAAGCAGACCTGCCAAGAGCAAAGGTCGTGGGAATAGTTTTTTGGGATACTTATTTTGCTTGTTGACTTTCTGAAGAGCCAAAGAACAATAATATCTGCTTGTTTCAAGAGTGTTTTGAGAAAGTTTGCTAAAGCTTTAGCAGAAAAATTCCTGGAAAAGCTTCACCAGTCTTTTTCTACCGCAACAATGCTCCCACTCATTCTTCTCATCAAACAAGGGCAATTTTACAAGACTTTCAATGAGAAATCATTAGGCATCGACCTTACAGTCCTAATTTGGCTCTTTCTAACTTCTTTTTGTTTCCTAATCTTAAAAAATCTGCAAAGGGCTCCCATTTTTCGTCATTTAATCATGTAAAAAAGACATGGTTAAATTTCCATGAATCTCAATTTTTTTAGGGATGGATTAAATGACTGGTGTCATCACTTACAACCATGGTTGACCTCGATGGAGCTTATGTTGAGAAATAAAGTTTATATTCTTTATCTTTTAATTCAATTTTTCCATGAACATTTTGAAGTGCCTCATATTATAAATGATATTTCATTGTTAGTGGTTCATTAATAGGGTATTTAAATACAATTCTTTTTTAATATTAGTCCTGTACACTGAGATCATGTTTAAAAACCTATTAGTTCTAGTAGTATTTTATAGATTTCTTTTGATTTTCTATGTATACAATCATGTTTCTCCAAATAAAGAGTTTTATTTTTTTCCTTCCATTCTGTATGCTTTTATTTCCTTTTCTTGCCCTATTGCATGGACTAGAACATCCAGTACAATGTTGAGCAGAAGTGATGAGAAATACATCCTTACCTTGTTCCTGATTTTCAGACAAAGCATTCAGTGTTTTACCATCAAGTATACTATCTTTAGGCTTTTTGTATACGTAATTTATGAGGTTGAGGAAGTTCTCTTCTTTTCTTAGTTTGCTGAGAGCTTTTTTATATTTTTGAGATAGGGTCTCAGTCACCTAGCCTGGAGTGCTGTCACGATCATGGCTCACTGAGCCTCAGCCTCCTGGGCTCATGTGATCCTTCCACCTCAGCCTTCTGAGTACCTGGGACTACAGATGCATACCACCACATTCGGCTCATTTTTTTGTAGAGACAGGGTTTCACTATGTTGCCCTGGCTGGTCTCGAACTCCTGGACTCAAATGATCCTCTCACCACAGCCTCCCAAAGTGCTGGGATCACAGACATGAGCCACTGTGCTTGGCCTGTCAAGAGCTTTTTAATCATGAATAAATGTTACATTTGTATCAGTGCTTGGCAGTGGCGGGGCGGGGGGCGGCGTCTATTGAGATGATTTTTGTTTTTGTGTGTAGACTATTAATATGATTAATTAAGTTTTTTGATTTTCAAATGTCAAACTAACTTACATTTCTGGGATAAACCACACTTGGTCATGATGCATTCTCCCTTTTATATATTGCTGGGTTTTTATTTGCTGATGTTTTAAAGGATGTTAATGAATCCAAATTCATTAGGGATATTGATCTGTAGTTTTCTTGTAATATCTTTGTCTATATTATCACGGTGAGACTGACCTGATAAAATGAGCTTGGAAGTGTATGCTCCTTATCTATTACCTACACTAGAGTTTTCTTTTTGAGAAAGTTTAAAGTGTGAATTTAATTTCTTTTATAAATTAAAGACAGTTCACATTTTCTATTTTTTTATGCCAGTTTGGGTAATTTTGTCTTTTAAGATATTTGTCCATTTCATTTAAGTTTTCAGGTTTATTGACCCAGAGTTGTTAATCATATTTCTTTGTTATTCTTTAATATTTATAGGATTGTAGTGATGTCCCATCTTTTATTCCTAATATTTGTAATTTGTATACTCTCTGCCTTTTACATGATCAGTTTGGTTAAAGGTATTTCAATTCGATCTTTTCAAAGAAGAGCTTTGATTTCATTAATGTTATTGTTTGATTATTTTCTCTTTCATTTATTTCAGCTTTCATTTTTATTATTGCTACATTTCTACTTACGTTGGGTGTATTTGCTCTTGTTTTGCAAATAAACCCAGCTACTGGGGAAGCTGAGGTGCGAGGATTGCTTGAGCCCAGGAGGTTTAACCTGCAGTGAGCCATGACCACAACACTACACTGTGCCTGGGTGACGAGCAAGACCCTGTCTCAAAAAGTAAAAAAAAAAAAAAAAAAAAAAAAAGAAAGAAAGAAAGAAAGAAAAGAAATTTAATTGCCATTGTAACAGTTCTAAGAGGTGGGAATTTTAGTTGCTGATTATGCTATGAGAGCTCTATCCTCATGGGTGGGATTGGTGCTCTTATAAAATGGTGAATTCACACCCCTCTTACTCTCTCTTTACCCTTCCATATTCTGCCATGATATGACACAGCAAGAAGGCCCTTCCAAGATGCCAGCACCTTGATCTTAGACTTCCCAGCTTCCAGATTCACAAACCAATAAATTTCTGTTCATTATAAATTACTCAGTCTCAAGTATTCTGTTATAGCAGCACAAAATGGACAAAGACACGCACCATTTTGCTGTTGTTTCTTTCAAAATATTTGTCTATATCATTGGTTTTGAACTGTTTGATTATTGTGTGTCTTTGTGTGATTTGCTATGTATTTACACACACAGGCCCACCCCTCGAGATTTAAATAAAATTGGCTCCAACCCCTTAGCCAACAGCCCATTGGAAGTCTAGTCTCTCTCCCTCCTACAGCCTCTCTGAATTCCCAAAAACATATGTTCACATGGTCTCTTCTGGCTGTGTGAATAAGCTCCTAATTAACTTTTCCTTTCACACATACACATCCCACATGGCTGGTCTCTTCTCTGTTCTACACTAGACACAAATCTGGAGACTCTTTTTAATTTCTTCTCACCACCCTATCCCCCCAAAAAGAAAACCTCACTTATAAAAGTTGTTCTTTGTTTGTAGCATCCTCCCCACTGACAGGGGAGACAAAAGGGATTTGCATACAGCAATGCATCCAATTTAAAATTGGTCTTTAGGAGCTCCCTGCTTTCAGAAGCCCTTCAGCCAACCCATGGCCAGGAATTTCCTACCAGCTGCTTCACTCCACACACATGGTGCTGCTTCTTCTCTTCACTCTCTTTTCATATAAATTATTTTTTATTTCTTAAGCAGAGTGGTTTGCTTGTCTCTTTGTTTCATTATGTTCTTCCAAACTATGCCCCTAGGATCTTGCCTCTTACGTTCATGCAATATATTAAGAAATCTTTCTCAAGAAAATGATTTATTTCCCAAGAGAAATTCTCACAGAAAATGTCAAAATCACTTTTTTTCACCTCACGAAACAAGGATTTATTTCTAGGTCATCTGTTCTGTTCCTTTTCTTGTTCTTCTTTTTTTTTTTGTTGTTGTTGTTGTTGTTGTTGTTGTTGTTGTTTGGTTGGTTTTTGAGATAGGGTCTTGGTCTGTTGACCAGTCTGGAGTGCAGTGGTGAAAACATAGTTCACTGCAGCCTTGACTTCCTGGGCTCAAGCAAAACTCCTGCCTCAGCCTCCCGTGTAACTGGGATCACAGGCACGTGCCACCACATCCAGCTAATTTCTTTTTTAGTTTTGTAGAGACAGGGTCTTGCTTTGTCATGTGGGCTGGTCTCAAACTTCTGGCCTCAAGTAATCCTCCTGCCTTGGCCTTACAAAGTGCTGGGATTATAGGCATGAGCCACCACACCCAGCTCTTTTTTGTTTTTTTACCTGTTTGTATCACACTATTAATTACTGTAACTATATTATATAATTTAATACCTATAAGCAAGGTTGATATACCAAATGTTTAACAGCTAGTAAAGCACAACCATAAACCAATCAGAGCAAATGAACTGACCAATCACAACAGGGCACTGGGCACACACCACAGTGTATGAGCATAAGTGTGTGTTCAGGCTCTCATTACCCTCTCTTTTCAAAATTTTCTTGCTTATTCTCACATGATTATTCTTATTGGTTATATTAGTTATTTTGTCTATTTTTTTAAAAAAAAAACCTCATCAAGATGGTGTTTGGGATTGCACTGAACCTAATTTGGGAAGAACTGATATTTTACAATATTTGATTCTCTCCATTCTATTTTCCTCTGCCTTCCTTCCTCGTGATCCTGAATAAAGCAGTTAATGTTTTTGGTGGGGTTTCATGACACTGAGTGGGCCATATTCATGAGCAGAAATAGCGACAATGTGTTCAAAGGTCGGTGTACACAGCTTCCTTTGAGCAGGCCTAGATACCATTACTGTTCTTTTTTCTCTCTCTATTTTTCGCCTCCTCATAGCTCTCTTTACTTTTTCCTTTAATACAACATTAGTGATAGTCCAAGCTGTGGGAAACAGAAAATATTTGGGGATTAGTATCACCATGAAGGCCCCTAATAATAAAGTATTACTTTGCTCATCTTTGTCTTTGTCATTGTCACCTATTTATATTCCTCAGGGACCTTTCAGGAAGAAGAAGTGTCTGGACCACAGCTAGATTTAAGTATGCCTGTGTCCTGTAATACCATCTTAATTATTCCACTGTTACTTCTTTTTGTTTTTAGAGACAGGGCTGGAGTGCAGTGGTGCAGTGGCATGATCATAGCTCATTGCAGCCTCAGCCTCCTGGGCTCTCAAGGAATCCTCCCACCTCAGCCACCTGAGTAGCTGGTACCACAGTCATGCACCAGCATGCTTAGCTAATTTTTTGATTTCTTTGTAGAGGTGAGGTCTCATTATGTTGCCCAGGCTTGTCTTGAACTCTTGGACTCAAGTGATCCTCCTGACTTAGCCTGTCAAAATGCTGGGATTACAGATGTGAGCCACCATGCCTGGCTTCACTATCACTTCTAACAGTCTCTTCATTAGAGAACATAGTATTCTTGGCATTTATTTACATCCACTTGTATTTCCCCCAGCAAAATGTTATATTTTTCTTTGTATAGATCCACCAGATTAAAAATTTGGCTAGAAAAACTACATTAACTAATATTAAATCTATACTAGCACATCAATTGCTTTTTTCCAACCTCTTTCAGGATGATGTGTAATTTTTCCCTTTTTGTTCATTGACAGGTTGTGTTATATTAATAGGTTTCCTCATAATGATTTATCCTTGCATTCCTAGATTAGTCTTTTCTTGTTTATAGTGGTTTTTATATTAAACAGTCTATGGAAAGCACTTGACAGTTAGGTCATCCTCATCTGAGAGACCTCCAAGTACCTGTAGTCCTCCATCTCTGGGATTCATTTTTGCCCAATAACACCAACACTGACAACAGCTGAGCAGAGCAGTGATGAGTTCGTGACCCAAAGATGTTCATTTATAAAACCAGCCTGTTGCCTAAGACAGGGCCTGAGAGAAGAGCTTGCCAACCCTCTCCTGGAAGATGACAGTCTGGCAGTATCAGACACTCAGAATGAGATACGGAAAACAGACTGGCATGGAAACAAAGAGAGAGAAGCAATAATCAGAAGCCATGGAGTAAGAGTAAAAACAGTTAGATCGAAGTAGTGGTAAAACAGAAACAGACACTGTAGAAGCAGAGATACATTTAGCCACAAATATGGAAGAGTAGCAAAAATAGAGAGCAAAAGGTACTTGCTGTGAGGGATCATAGGACAAATGGGATTTCCATGTTGATTACTGTAGTTGTGAAGCTCTGGAGCATCAGTGCATCCTGAATGTCATTCCAGTCTTTCAGGAGACCTGGCCATATGACTGTGGAGAGACTGTGGAGAGACTAGGGAGAGATATCCCCTGTATCAGCTGAAATTACTTACATATGGCTTTTTTGCTGCCGGAAAAATACCAACCAGTAGAATTATTCTCCTAAAATGCTGCTAGATTCAATTTTTCCAGTAACTTTTTAAAAGATTTGTTTGGAGGATTTGGCTACAGCCTTCTTGTGTGTGTGCATGCACATGTACGCGCTATCTTTGTAGGCTGAATTTTGCTATGTTACCTCCTGTTTCCTTCTCTAGTGAATCCTCTATATTATCTATCTTATCAGTTCACTTTGAAGGGTTCAAGAAAATTAGTTGCAATTTATAATTTCTATTATTGCATAGCTTATCTTCACTCTTATACTTGATGAGCGTACCTCAGTTGCTGAATCCATATTTTAAAAAAATCTATAGTTTTGTAAAACTGGGTGCCAAATTCCAAATAAAAATTCAAAACTTATAAACACCGTGTTACATTTTTTTAGACTACTCTACTTTCTGAAGTATCTGGAATTTATAATATGGAAATGTTATGCTATTTCTCGTGAACAAGCTTTTAAGGTTTAGTATCATAATAGGTTTAGGAATCCAGGTGTCTCACAGATTGGTTGTGTTAATGACCGCACTTATGTCCTCCATGAAATCACAGTGTTTGTCTTATAACTTTAAAGTGCCCATCCCCCACCAAACAGTCCCCACTCTGGCCTTGGGCATGTGATTTGCTTTGGTCAATAGGATGTTACCAGGCCAGGTGCAACACAGCAGAACTCTGTCTCAAAAAAAAAGAAAAAAAAAAAAAAAGAATATCTGCCATATATAAATGTTGTCTGTGACTGGGCACCTCAAAAAGGCAGTGAGTTCACCTCATTGATTAATTACTATTTGAGCATCTCTGTGTTATCTATGTCTATTGCCACAATAATGCTTGATAACAAACCATCCCAAACTCAGTTTCTTAAAATAATAAAGTTATTTAGTTCACTAGATTTTAAACGGGGTTAGCTGGAAAGTTTTTCTGACCTAAGCTGGATGTCCTCACGTATCTGGGGCTGGCTGGCCATTGATTGATCTAGGATGGCCCTGGCTGGGATGTCAGGGGTAACTCTGCTCTCTTCCACATGCCTCTTGCATCCTTTCTGCAGGCTAGCCCAGAAGATGTTCTCATAGCATAGCAGAGGAGAATAGTGGGCAGGCCCAGTCACATAAGAGTGTAATGAAAAAGCGCATGCCCTTTTCAAGCCTCTGCTAACACCTTTTTTTTTTTTTTTTTTTTTTTTTTGACAGAATGTCACTCTGTTGCCCAGGCTGGAGTGCAGTGGTGAGACCTCTGCTCGCTACAACCTCCGTTTCCCGGGTTCAAGTGATTCTCCTACAGGCATCCGCCACCACACCTGGCTAATTTTTGTATTTTTAATAGAGTTGGAGTTTCACCATGTTGGCCAGGCTGGTCTCGAACTCCTGACCTCAGTTGATCCGCCAGCCCTGACCTCCCAAAGTGCTGGAATTACAGGTATGAACCACTGCACCTGGCCTATTCTCATGTATTTACATCTCCTTTTGTTTACTTTCATCTCAGGAAAACTTGTTTTACTATTCCAAGAGCAATAGTGGTACCAGAGAATGTTTCCTTCTAACACTGGGCTTGCCAAGAAAGAGGTCTGACTTTCTCATATATGATTATTTAGGAATTTAAGGTAGTAAAAATGTAAATAGGTTTTATATGATCAGGACTGTAAAGACAGTGGTGTTCTCTGCCTCAAATTTTCATGTGGATTTGAGCTATGGGTAAAAAGAAAAAATAATGGGCTGAGTGTGGTGGCTTACACCTGTAACTCCAGCACTTTGGGAGGCAGAGGTGGGAGGATGGCTTGAGCCCCAGGAGTTCAAGACTAGCCTGGGCAACATAGAGAGGTCCTATCTCTACAAAAACTTAGCCAGGTGTGGTGGCCCATATCTGTGCTCCCAGCTACTCAGGAGGCTGAGGCAGGAGGATTGCTTGAACCCGGGTCAAGGCTGCAGTGAGCAGTGAGCCATGATTATTGTGCCATTGTACTCCAGCCTGGGCAAGACCGTGAAAATAAAAAAAGAAAGAGAGAAAGAGAAAGGGAAAGGAAAGGAAAGGAAAGGAAAGGAAAGGAAAGGAAAGGAAAGGAAAGGAAAGGAAAGGAAAGGAAAGGAAGAAAGGAAGAAGAGGAGGGGAGGGGAGGGGGGAGGAGAGGAGAGGAGAGGAGAGGAGAGGACATATTCGGGCTTGTGAATGCTTTCAGTGATGAACTTTCTTGATGACTCAGATTGTAGAATGTCTTTTAAAGAAATTTTAGAAATATAGGATACAAGTGAAGCCCTTGCTCTTATTATATTAGGCAGATATAAGTTTCTAAAGAGAAAACATAGAGACTTCAGTTCAACTTCATATACATTTATTGATCTCCTGTTATGTACCAGACATTATACATGCAAAATCAATGAAAATTAGCCTCTGCCCTCAAGGAGCTTAGAGTTCAGAAAAGAGACAGGCAAAGAAATCATGATTTCAATATACTATGGTAAACTCAGAATGGGGTATGCACATGAAGCTTATGGTAGCTGAGGGGATGTGGAGGGGCTGGTGGGAGACTATGTCTATGACTCACAAATTTGAAAGATGAGTGATTAATTTTATTTATTTATTTATTTATTTATTTATTTATTTATTTATTTATTTTTGAGACAGAGTCTCACTCTGTCACCCAGGCTGGAGTGCAGTGGCACAATCTCAGATCACTGCAACCTCCGCCTCCTGGGTTTGAGTGACTCTTGTGCCTCAGCTTCGCAAGTAGCTGGGACTACAGGTGTCCACAACCATGCCCGGCTAATTTTTGTATTTTTGGTAGAGACAGGGTTTTGCCATGTTGGCCAGGCTGGTCTTGAACTCCTGGCCTCAAGTGATCTGTCCCTCTCAGCCTCCCAAAGTGCTGGGATTACAGCCATGAGCCACCGAACCTGGCCGAAAGATGAGTGATTTAGACAAGTAAAAGAGGGGCTTAGGTGGGAAAAGATTCCAGCAAGGAGTAATAGCATGAACAGTCACAGACTACACAGGAAACCATAGAACCTAGTGTGTCACTAGTAAGTATACTTGCCCAAATATTATCAAAGATCTAATAGGTATTTTTTGATCAGATATGCATTACTTTTTATAATAGAGTTTTGCTTTATTTTACATGTTAGGAAAATAATCTACGAACCTTCTAGTATCTTCTGAATTCCTGTAAGCTCCATGTGAACAGAGATCAAATTTATCTTATTCTCTCCTGCATTTTAGCACCCAGTACAATGTCTGGCCCTTTGTAGGGATTCAACATCTAGTTGTTAAGCAAATTACTAAATTATTGAGCTTGTTAGTCTTTGCCAAAGTCGAATATAAATTTAGCCTTTAAATTATTCTTTAAATTTACTTTTAAAGACTCATGTTCTTGAACAACTTGCCTTTCTCAAACTGTCTTCAATAAAGGATAGCTTGATACTCCCTTTTATAATTCTTCCTATTTGGGGACTCTTTTTAAAATGCAAGTTTTGGTGTTGTTTTTCTCCCTATACATCCATCTATTCGCTATTTATTCAGCATATGCTTATTAAATACTTGATTATGTGCTGGCATTGTGCTACACACCAGGAGTAGAATACTGATGAGTTAGACCTGGACTAGGCTCCACTGGAGCTTATAGCCCAGGGAAAAAAGCAGGCAGATATTCAACAAATAATTTACAAGCACATTGTTGTTGCAAAACAGAAGTGAATAGTTCTATGAGAGTTTGTAATAATTTCTTTTAGCCTTTATTCAGTATGAATTATTATCTGATCATTATATAACATGTTTACTTTATCAAGTTCTTAGCTTACATTCTCCACTTTCTGCCTTAGTATACAACATTTATAGCTAATGTGGGGCACAAAGTAAGTACACTATAAATATTACTTGAATGAAAGAATAATTACTTTCTCATACAATTTGCATTTTATCCTGTATTATTTTGATCCTGTTGAGTACAAACACCTGCACTCTTTGTGGTAAGACAAATATAAGAATTATTCCCTTGATATATCTGTCAACTGGATGAAATAATGGGAATAGTGTAGGTGATGTGTGTTGTCTAAAATTAGGTGTACAGCACTTCAGTAGAGCCTAGATCTATAGTCTATTGGCTTAATTTCTGTGTAAAGTGAGGTTATTAACCACATCTATTTGGTTATATGATTTTAATCAATAAGTATTCATTAAAAATCTATGTAAGTTTTGTAGCATATGCTGAGGGGCATTCAAAGAAGAATAAAACAAGGCTTCTGCCCTACAGAAATTCAATCTAAATGCCTGTGACAAAAGAAGAGAAATACTTTTTGCCTATTAGGGAGGAAAGTAAGCCCTGTAAGAAAAGACATTCTACAAGAAGTGATGGTTAATCTATAACAGTTCTTGAAGAATGAATAAGACTTTGCCAAATAGATGGTAAAGGGAAAGGCATGCTAGAGAGAAGACTTCAGTTCTTCATGCTAGGGAGCATGTGCAAGTGCAAGGAAGCCTGACTCCCCTTTCTAGCCTATCAACTATTTTTTCTTTTTATACTTTAAGTTCTGGATACGTGTGCAGAACGTGCAGGTTTGTTACATAGGTATACACATGCCATGGTGGTTTGCTGCGCCCATCAACCTGTCATCTACATTAGGTATTTAGGTATTTCTCATAATCCTATCCTTCCCCTAGCCTCCCACCCCCCAACAGGCCCCGGTGTATGATGCTCCCCTCCCTGTGTCCATGTGTTCTCATTGTTCAACTCTTACTTATGAGTGAGAACATGTGGTGCTTGGTTTTCTGTTCCTGTGTTAGTTTGCTGAGCAGAAATACCATCTGACCCAGCAATCCCATTACTGAGTATATACCCAAAGGATTATAAATCTTTTTACTATAAAGACACATGCACACGTATGTTTATTGCAGCACTGTTCACAATAGCAAAGACTTGGAACCAATCCAAATGCCCGTCAATGATAGACTGGATAAAGAAAATGTGGCACATATACACCATGGAATACTATGCAGCCATAAAAAAGGATAAATTCATGTTTTTTGCAGGGACATGGATGAAGCTGGAAACCATCAACTATTTTTTATTTACATTCTTGTTCACTATCGCTTCACAAGTTCTTGCTTTGTTATGCTAATTCTGTTAGATCAAGATTTACAAAATGTCTATCTTTAGCATGTCTTCAATTTAATTTCCTTTGGAAAGTGGACAAATTAGAACTACATTCTGTCCCAAAAATGAGCAATTCCAACATTCATATAAGTCAGAGGTGCCTGGGTGCGGTAGTTCACACCTGTAATCTCAGCACTTTAGGGGGCCAAGGTGGATGGATTGCTGGAGTCCAGGAGTTCAAGACCAGCCTGGGCAAAATGGCAAAACCTGTCTACCAAAAAAAAAAAAAAAAAAGCCAGGCATGGTAGCCCATGACTGTGGTCCCAACTACTTGGGAGACTGAGGCAGGAGGATTGCTTGAGCCCAGGAGGTCAAGGCTTCAGCAAACCATGATTGCTCCATTGCACTCCAGCCTGAGTGACAGAGCAAGACTGTCTCAAAAAAAAAAAAAAAAAAAAGAAAAAGGAAAAAAAAGAAAAAGTTAGAGGCATCAGAATCTTTATGGTAACTACCACCTATCACGCAGTTGGCCTGAAAAGAGTGGCCTCTTTGGTAGTTGTGGGTGGTGGCTAGACTTTACAGCTTCACTGGACCTGAATGCTGATCATTTGCTTCGTGTTCACCATCTAAGAAAATGTTCCCCCAACCACACACGTGGCTATTGTGTTTGTAGCACAGGATTACAAATTCTCCAGCCCCAATGGCTAGTCACAGGTAAGTGGAAAAACAACCCAAAGCTCACTTGACCCAATTAAATTCTCTTTCACAAGAATTCAAACTAAAAGCCATAGAGTTTGACTTAGTAATCAGTGGTGGGCTGGAGCTGTAACATCTGGTCGAGTCTGAACCAAATTGCTTCACAGCAGGGCAGGGGCTCACGTAAAGCTGAAGTTTACCCAGGAACTGAAATGACGACCCTGGTAAAAGAAGCCTGGCTACATGAAGCAGAATGAAATTCAAGTACAGAGGGATGCAGAAAAGAAATCATGTTTCCTGAAAGAAAAAAGCAGAGAAAGTAGCTTGTTTGAAGATTGTTTTCAACATTTATGAGGCCTAGTGGCAGCATTTACAGTTGGATTATGTGAGATTTCCATGTATCCTTCAAATAAATTCCCTTTTCATCTTGTCTATTGGAATGTCTTTCTCAACACCCCAGGCAAATGGTTTTGGAATGAGAAGCTGCTTAGCTATTTCAGGGAACCCTATACTCTTTGGTAGAATGACCACACCCTTGACATAACAGGTCTTAACTAGGTATTCCCATGGCTGCCTGTGCTTCCTCTACTCATGCCCACATGAATGCCTCTCAGACTGTTGACATTTTTTGTAATGCACTGAGTTTTTCTCTGCCAGTTAGCAGGCCCAGTGTTTAGATATCTTACTCAGGATGCCCTACCACCAAGTGTTCAAATAATAACATCTTAACTTCAGTTGGCAAAATATTCTGCATAGTACAGATTTAGAAGGCATTGCTGGAACATTTGTAAGAACAGACATGTTGGCCAAAATCGTTGTGCTGACACAAGGAAATCAAAAAACCAGGTTTATCATGGATGTCATCATTGTGGGGCATGTCAGCAGCATGTTCCATCCAACTCACAATAGCTAGGCAGAGTTAGGCCCTGTGTAGGATTAGGCAAGCTTGACTTGCAACAGAAAGCAACCAGTATAGTGTGGGGATGGCAGTAGAGAAAGAAGAGGAGGCTCAAAGTTAAATGGAATCTGATATCAACAACATTGAGACAATCAAGAAAAACAATCCAGCAGACCATAAATCAGTGCATGCTTGGAGGGAGCCATTATTTCAATCAAGGAGTGTCTGCTGAAAGAGGCCTATAATTTCATAGCAGCTCAGAGCTACTGGACAACATTCCTACTTCTGGCTCCTAAAGAGCCTTTTGTAGCCAAGGAGGTCTAGGACCAGTTAGAAGACTTCAGAGCTATCGTCCAATAAGGATGAATGCATTGTCTTCTAATTCTTATAGGGGGTCTGATGGGTCAGACCTCAGTGGAGCCAGTCTGGTACCTTGAAGAGGATTTCATTTTACTAAATGTCAAGGTCAGTCTCTGTTATATTACTCTGGTTTAATTTCTTCATGATACTTATCGTCATCTGAAAATTGTATTTATTTGCTTATTGTCTGTCTCCTGCCCCTTCCAGTAAAATGTAAATAAATTCCTTTAGAGCAGAGACTTTAATCTGGTTTTTCTCCCCCAGTGCTGTGTTCTCAGCATCTGGAACAATGTCTGGCTTTTCATATGTTCTCAGTAAATATTTATTGAATAAATAAACAAAAGTCCATGAACTTGGTGATACAGCCATGTACTTTGAACGGTATAAGAGTCCTGGAGATCCAGACAGTCCTTGATTAGAATGCCTACATTTTAAACATATCTGGAAAACAACTGTCCCTGACTTCCCACCCTGTCCCCACCCAAATTCTGCCCTCAATTCTGATATTGTAAATTTTCCGAGAATGAAAAATAACCGTTCTTTTGGTAAGAAGAATATGCTTGCTTCTATTGAACAAGCCTCAGCCACAACCACGTTCTCTCTCCAGCCATCTGCCGAGATGACACTTCAACTTCCTCACCCCACCCCCACCCCCATTTTGTCTCTTTCTTCTTGATAAACAAACTCCTCAGTTCTCACAGATAATAAAACATGTCTCCATCAGGGAAGTGTAAGTGAGCCTATTTTCAGGAAACAGCTGAGATTCCTCATGTACTTTGCTTTTTTGAAAAGCAGCCACTTGGCTCAATATGTATACAGCACTTGTTTACTAATTAACAAACAGCCTCCCGCTGAGTCAGTCTTCCTTCCTCTCCCAATTTCCTTTTCCATTCTTAGAAAATTGTTTGAGTGAATAAAAACTTGGTCCAGGCCAGGCGTGGCAGCTCAAGCCTCTAATCCCAACGTTGCGGGAGGCCGAGGTGGCAGGATCACTTAGCCCAGGAGTTCCAGACCAGCCAGGGCAGCATGATGTAACCCCGTCTCTACAAAAAATTAGCCAGGCTTAGTGGTCTGTAGTCCCAGCTACCCAGCCCTGGAGGCTGAGGTGGGAGGAATACTCTAGCCTGGAAGTCCAAATTGCAGTGAGTCGTGATTGCACCACTGCACTCCAGCCTGGGCAACAGAGTGAGACCCTGTCTCTAAAAAGGAAAAACGAAACAAAACAAAAACTTGGCCCAGTGTTTCTGAACATGTTATGTGACTACATTTATTATCATGGACACCACCATCCTTCAAATACATGTCTCTTTAGGTTGCATAATCAAAGTGAAAATAATATTCTATTAACAAAAGTAACTTTTGAAGACACTAAGAGGATGTATGCTTTATATGATGACTATGCACACAATCTCTTTCTTTGAAAGCAAGAAGAGTAAATTTTATTAAGTTGCAGGATAAAATAATCCGCTTTAAAATCCAGTAATAATATTTGCATTAATGGTTAATAATCATCAATAAACAAACAGATATTTATTGACCACCTGTTATAGACAGTGTACTGTAATCGTTAATCTGTATGATACAAAGAAACATAAATGTGTCCCCAGATTTATTAGATCTATTTGATAGGATAGGCTATATGTTTGTTACCAAAAAAAAAAAAAGTTAACAACAATAGAGTTTATAGGAATGAATGATGACTTCTGTCAAAAGTGGTCACTGAAGATTTCAGAGAGAAGATAGGATTTAGGATAGGCTTTGGAGATTAGGTAACAGGAAATTATAGTAAGAGCTACTTCTTGTAAACCCTGGGAAACTTGTGAAAAGATACAGCAGATTTGAGTTTTATCTATGCCCCAAATTTGGAAAGATTAGAGCTTGAGTTGGGAAGATATTTTGCAATTTAACATCCTTTAAAAATTGTTGTATCATAAAAATTACATATTTTCCCTCTGGAGATGTAATTTCTTTCAGTGATGTTTCAGTTACTATTGCTGTGTGATTGCACCAACATTTAGTAGCTTACAACACCATTCCTTATGGCCATGGATTCTGTGGGTCAGAAACAAGACCAGGGCTCAGGGGAGTGACTTGTCTCTGCTTCCCAATATCTGGAACTTCAACAAAGGAGACTTGAAAGCTGAGGGTGACCTGATCGCTGGAGTCTGGAATCACCTGGAGACAAATTGATGCTGGCTTTTCGGTGGGACCTTAATCCCTCCGGAATCACTTACCAAAGCATTTACACATAGCTTCTCCACTTGGCTTGGGCTTCCTCTTATTGTGACAGCCTCAGGTAGTTAGGCTTCTTCCACAGAAGCTCACCGGACTCCAAAGATAAGCATCCCAGCAACTAAGGCAGAAGCTATACTGCCTTTTCCCTCCTAGTCTCAAAAGTCAAGCTGCGTCACTTCTACAGTGTTGTTATAAGAGAATCACAAGTCCTACAACCAGGCCCCTCCTCATAACACTTTACTGTCCTCACCTTAATTCAGGTGAACTTTGTCCTTCATAGTGATGACGTCTTAGGCACTTACTAGTTTTTAATTTACATAAGCTATATTTTACATTCTTAACAAGCTCTCCTGGTGTCTTCCTTTTTCCTTGGTTTCTGTATCATTTTATTTTGGTTTTCTTCATGTTACTCTCTATTGTCTCCTGTTTGGTCTCATTTATGATCACGCTCCCTTCTTTTTTCAACCACCACTTCTGGGTGGATGTTCCTTGGGGCTTCATTTTTTTTTTCTGAAGACAGGGGCTCACTCCATCACCCAGGTTGTAGTGCAATGGTGCAATCACAGCTCACTGCAGCTTCGACTGGCTCAAGTGATCTTCCCATCTCACCTCAGTCTCCCAAGTAGTTGAGACCACAGGCACACACTACTCCTGGATAATTTTTTTTTTATTATTTATAGAGATGAGGTTCCCCTATGTTGCCCAGGCTGGTCTTGAACTCCTGGGCTCAAGTCATCCTCCTGCCTTGGCCTCCTTGGGGCTCCATTTTAAATTCTCTTCATCTTATAAACTCTTTAGAGCTTTAATTCTTTCTTTCCTATAACCCCTTTCCTGATAAATTAGTTCCATATATTTATTTCCACAACCACCTTGATCACTGGTAGTCTCCACTTACAAACTGTATGTTGAACCCTGTGTGCTCCTGGGTTTCAGATTCATATTTCCAAAAGCCAATTTGATATCTGTATAAGTCCTCCAGGAACCTCTACCTTCTCTCAAAGTTTAAACTCTCAAAGTTTAAAGTTTTTCCTTCTCCAGCTAGAACTATATCACTAATGACTGCTGTGGCAACCATTTTGATGACCACATCAGTTTAATTACTTTGATAAACTATTGTCACCTTGCAAATCCTCTTTGAAATGAAAAATTCATAAAAGGACTGCTAAAACTAAGAAAGCAGTTTTAAGTTTTAGTGGGCTTTATAATTTTCCATCTCTTTGAAAAAACAACATTAGTTCTATGGTATTGGAAGAAGATATTCAGAACTCCATTATGAAGAATTATTTATGACTCAACTAATTGTAAAACATACCATGATAATGTGGTCTAGGTCCAATTTTCCAGTGTATTGGTGTGTATCATATATAAGCCCTGCCCAATATGAGGTTTCTTTAGTTCAGTGTAAAAATATTTTCTCATTAGAGAGAGAAGATGGTTCCTGAAGCAGTTAGGCAAAAGTCATTACTAGTCTCTTGTCAAGATGATTCATTTTTATTTTTATGCATCTATTCATGCATAAAGGTGAGATTTAAAAACAATTAATGAATTGCTAATGAAACAGTATTCTGTAGTACTCAACAGTCAGTTTCAGATTTGGCTAATTTAGATTTAATGAGTAGAACAGGCAACTGCTAGTGAAGGTTATCTCCTGTGTGTCAAACATCAACCCATCTCCTATCGTTTTCAATATTTGATTTTTTTTCCTGTGAGACTGGAAAACGTTTTAGTCTTCAAAGATCTGATAGAGAGGAAGTTGTTGATGGGAAAATCATAGGCACAGTGGGTTCTGTTTATAGTAATATAAATGTGCACAAATTTAGACACGTGAAAGAGGATATTTGGGAAAGGTGGTTTTATCAGGTGGTGCCTTAAAAGTAATTTAGAAAGTTGATACACAACCCCGCCACTACTTAATTAGACTGGCTTAAAAAAAAAGTAATTTAGCCAAGTGTGGTGGCTCATGCCTGTAATCCAAGGCCAGAGAACTGCTTGAGAACAGGGGTTTGAGACCAGCCTGGGCAACACAGCAAGACCTTTGTCTCAACAAAAAATAAAAAAATTAGCTGGGCATAGTGGCACGTTGTTGGGAACAGGCCCCCAAATCTGGCCATAAACTAGCCATAAACAAAATCTCTGCAGCACTGTGACATGTTCATGATGGCCATGATGCCCACACTAAAGGTTGTGGGTTTACCAGAATGAGGGCAAGGAACACCTGGCATATCCAGGGCGGAAAACTGCTTAAAGGCGTTCCTAAGCCACAAACAGTAGCATGAGCAATCTGTGCCTTAAGGACATGTTCCTGCTGCAGATAACTAGCCAGACCCATCCCTTTAATTCAGCCCATCCCTTTGTTTCCTGTAAGGAATAATTTTAGTTAATATATTATCAATAGAAACAATGTTTATCACTGGCTTGCTGTCAATAAATACATGGGTAAATCTCTGTTCGAGGCTCTTAGCTCTGAAGGCTGTGAGACCCCCAATTTCCTACTCCACACGCTGTATTTTTGTGTGTGTCTTTAATTTGTCTAGTGCCACTGGGTTAGGGTGTCCACAACCAAGCTGGTCTCGGCAGCACGTGGCCCTGTGGTCCCAGCTACTCAGGAGACTAAGGCAGGAGGATCGCTTCAGCCCAGGAAGTTGAGGTTGCAGTGAGCTGTGATTGCACCATTGCCCTCCAGCTTGGACAACAGAGAAATACCTTGCCTAAAAAAAAAAAAAAAAAAAATTTGTTTTTGGAATAGTTTCAGTAGGAATGGTACCAGCTCTTCTTCTTGAATTTAATAGAAATGAGCTGTGAATCCATCTGGTCCTGGGCTTTTCTTGGTTGGCAGGCCCATTCACCACGAATTCAATTTCAGAGCTTGTTTTTGGTCTGTTCAGGGAATCCATTTTTTCCTGGTTCAGTCTTGGGAGGGTGTATGTGTCCAGGAATTTATCCATCTCTTCTAGGTTTTCTAGCTTGTGTGCATACAAGTGTTCGCAGTAGTCTTTGGTGGTCATTTGTATTTGGTGGGGTCAGTGGTAACATCCCCTTTGTCATTTCTAATTGTGCTTTTTTGCATCTTCTCTCTTTTCTTCTTTATTAGTCTAGCTAGTGGTCTATATACCTTATTAAGTTTTTCAAAAAACCAACTTCTAGATTCATTGATCTTTGAATGGTTTTTCATGTCTTGATCTCCTTCAGTTCAGCTCTGATTTTGGTTATTTCCTGTCTTGTGCTAGGTTTGGAGAAGCAACAGGAAACCAGGTGGGTTCCTGTTGCTTCTCTAGTTCTTTTAGTTGTGATGTTAAGTTGTTAATTTCAGATCATTCTAACTTTTCGATGTGGGCATTTAGTGCTATGAATTCCTCTCTTAACACTGCCTTAGCTGTGTTCCAAAGATTCTGGTATGCTGTGTCCTTGTTCTCATTAGTTTCAAAGAACTTGATTTCTGCCTTAATTTCATTATTTACCCAAAAGTCATTCAAGAGTAGGTTGTTTACTTTCCATGTAATTACATAGTTTTGAGTGATTTTTTTTAGTTTTGATTTCAATTTTTATTGCACTAAGGTCTGACAGTGTGTTTGGCATGATTGTGGTTCTTTTGCATTTAAAAGAACAAAGCTGGAGGCATCACCTTACCAACTTCTAACTATACTACAGGGCTGCAGTAAACAAAATAGCATGGTATTGGTACAAAAATAGACACATTCACCAATGGAATAGAATAGAAAGCCTGCAAATAAGGCTTCACACCTATGACCATCCGATCTTCAACAAAGCTGAAAAAACAAACAACGGGGAAAGGACTTTCTATTCAGTAAATGGTGCTAGGATAACTGTCTAGCCATATGCAGAAGATTGAAACTGGGCTCCTTCCTTATACCATATACCAAAATCAAGTCAAGATTGGTTAGAGACTTAAATGTAAAACCCCAAACTATAAACACCCTGGAAGACAACCTAGGCAATACCATTTGGGACATAGGAACTGGCAAAGATTTCATGATGAAGATGCCAAAAGCAATTGCAACAAAAGCAAAAATTAACAAACTGGATCTAATTAAACTTAAGAGCTTCTGCACAGCAAAAGAAACTATCAACAAAATAAACAGACAACCTACAGAATGGGAGAAAATATTTGCAAACTATGCATCTGACAAAGGTTTCATATCAGCACCTATAAGGAACTTAAACAAATTTACAAGAGAAAACAACCCCATTAAAAAGTGGGCAATGAACAGACACTTTTCAAAAGAAGACATACATACATCCAACAAGCATATTAAAAAACCCTTAATATCACTGATCATTAGAAAAATGAAAATCAAAACCACAATGAGATACCATCTCACACCAGTCAGAATAGCTATTATTAGAAAGCCAAAAAATAACAGATGCTGGAAAAGTTGCAGAGAAAAGAGAATGCTTATACATTTTTGATGGAGGTGTAAATTAGTTCAGCCATTGTGGAAAGCAGTGGGGTGATTCATCAAAGAGCTAAAATCAGAACCACCATTCAACCCAGCAATCCCATTATTGTGGGTATATGCCCAAAGGAATATAAATCATTCTACCATAAAGACACATGCACATGTATGTTCACTGCAGTACTATTTGCAATAGTAAAGGCATGGAATCAACCTAAATGCCCATCAATGGCAGACTGGATAAAGAAAATGTGGTACCTATACACCACAGAATGCTATGCAGCCATGCATGGTACTGGATGGAACTGGAGGCCATTGTCCTTAGCAAACTAACACAAGAACAGAAAACCAAAAACTATATGTTTTCACTTATAAGTGGGAGCTAAATGATGAGAATACATGGGCACGTAGAGGGGAACAACAGACACAGGGGCCTACTTGAGTGTGGTGGATAGGTGGAGGGAGAGGATCAGAAAAAATAACTACCGAGTGGTAGGCTTAGTGACTGGGTGATGAAATAATCTATATGACTATACAACAAACCCCTGTGACACAAGTTTACCCATATAACAAACCTGCACATGTACCCCTGAAGCTAAAATAAACGTTACTTAATAGCGAATATTCATTACATGATCAGTATACGCCAGGCATTATGAGAATAACTTTACATATATTATCACATTTAATCTACATAAAAACCCAATTTTGAAGATGACCCTATTTTAAAATGAAGAAAGTTAATCTTACAGAAGGAAAGTGAGAGTCAAAATTGGATTCTTCAATGACTTGTCTCTTTTATACCCCATGTCCAATTAAACAAATCATTTGAACTTTACCTTCAAAATATACCCAGAATTAGGCCACTTCTGATGAACCATCCTCATTTTCTGCCTGACCATTGCAATAGCCTTCCAACTGGTCTCCCTGTTTCTATTTTTTGCTTTCCTACAATGCATTTTGTATGTTGCATTCAGAAAAATAATTTTAAAATAAATTCAAGATCAGAATTCTCCAAAGGTTTTTCATCTAAAATAACATCTAAACTCTTTACCATAGTCTACAAGGCAATATTATATGGTATGTTTCATTCCTTACAGGTTCCCATGTATTACAAAGACATAAAAAAATAGATGTATTAAAGGACACACAGGTACCTTTGTCACTCAGAAGCCATTTCTCCCTACTGGCACAACACATCCCCACTCTAAACATATGCTCTTGTAACTAACATTGTTAGTCCCCTGGGAAATGTCTTGTTATATGTTTCATTTATGTCTTCAAAATAAAAAGCAATTATATATAAATGCTGTGAATATTTGTGGATTGCATTGCTGCCAACATCAGAGATTGACATGACTTCAAAGGACAGCAGAATTAGAGCAGTGGAAGCACTTAAGTAAGAGAAAAGACAAAGTAATTAACTTCTCAAATACTCCCTCTCAGATAGCATGAATACAATAAATTCTTGCATAATGAAGTATGATTTCCAGGGGTGCTCTGCATCTATTTGCTTGCCTTTTTTCTGTTCCTGTTCATAGTTCTGGAGGGACACAAGAATTAGCTGAAATCTGCAATAGTCGCAGCTGGGTCTGAGAAAGATTCTACAATGTTAAACAATTTATATTTACTCTTACATTTGAGTATAAATAGATCTAAAAATGAAATATGAAGCATAATATCAATTATTTACATTGGCAATTAGGCATATAATATAACTCTAGACATTTTAGAAGAAATAGAACATTTTTGAAAACATGAGTGAAAATTATTTTAACTTTTATATTTATTGTATTTTTCTGATAAAATATATATTCAAATGATGAACATATTGAACACATTATTTTTTATTCTTTAGATCATTGGAAATGAGAGCAAGTTGATTAGATGGTAAAAATGTGAAATAGAACCTCAAAAGAAAAAAACTTGAAAAGAAAAATGAAATAGAAATCTTAAAAAAAGCACCTGCTTAAACTTTTAAAACTAGAAATAAAGAGAGTTAGGCAGAATCCACATATTATTTGTGAAACCACACTGCAAATTCTGTATTTAATGCAGATTTAATTACTTCCAAACAATAAAAACAAGCAGGAAATTATTCCTATCAAAGTCACAGTTTATACACATTAAGAAATCTGTGTAACTTCATACTCTTTACTACATGAAGATTTTATATATATATATATATATATACATATATATATATACATATATATATGTATATATATATATATTTTTTTTTTTTTTTTGAGATAGAGTCTGACTCTGTCACCCAGGTTGGACTACAATGCCAAGATCTTGGCTCACTGTAACCTTTGCCTCTTGGGCTCAAGCTATCCTCTTGATGCAAGATTTTTTGTGACCTCTTTGTCACACTTGAGATGGGGTGCCCCATTTACTTGGCCAGCTGTGCTCAACCCCTTGTGGGAAGGAACACGTGAGTGAATGAGTATGGGCTGTTCCAGTCATTAGCAAGAGCAAGTTCTGTGTGGGGCCCATGGCGGTGCCCAGGTGGGGGTGCCTGAGACCCTGAAGCCCAGAAGACATGTTACAATGCTCTCTTAGTTCCGCTATCCATGGACAGTGGTGTGTTATCAGCTCAGTTGGCCCCTTTCCTTGTCACGTGGGGCAGCTGCCCACTGCCGCTGAGGTCAAGGGCCAGTGTGACAGCATTTTTGAGTACCTGCACTCAGTGGGTCCTGAACTCTTGTCTGGTGCCCAAGAAAAATGAGGTCACACAGGCCAATTGAAGGACAGTGAATGTGGAGAATTTTATTGAGTGATGAAAGTGGCTCTCAGTGGACAGGGGAGTTGGAAAGGGAGAGGAAGGGCAGTTAGTCTTCTCCCCAAAGTCCAGCTGGCTCGTCCTGCAAAGTCCAACCTCCTGTCTGAAGTTAAGTTGCCTCTCCTCTACATCCAGCCATCATTCCCCTCTATTGACTGAGTCTGGGGTCTTTATAGGCACAGGATGGTATGGGGGGCATGGTGGGCTATAGGTAGTTTTGGAAAAGGCAACATTCAATTGGTAAAAGGGCACTATTCAGAAAGACCCAATCAGGGGAGAGTGGGCAAACAGGAATAGAAGTTCTCACTTTGGGCTGTGAGTTCCAGGCTTTTTTGCTTGAAGGTGGGGTTTTTCCAGGGACCTGCCCCATCTGCCTCCTGCCTCTGTCACTCTCATCTCAGCCTCCCAAATAGCTGAGACTACAGGTGTGCACCACCACGCCCAGCTAATTTTTGTATTTCTTGTAGAGACAGGGTTTCACCATGTTGCCCACAATGGTCTCAAATTCATGAGTGCAAGCAATCCACCCGCCTCAGTCTTCCAGAGTGCTGGGATTACAGGCATGAGCCACCACGTCTGGCCTGCTATGTGAAGATTTAATTGCTAATAAAAACAATAATATAGAGGAGTCTCCCTTCATGCTCTTGTTTGTGGGTTCATAAATGTTTATAAATATTTGTTAAATGCTTGTTTTTTCTTCATAGAACTTATAGAATGACGTATTACCTGTAATTTGCTTATTTGCATATGATATATCTTCTGATAGATTTTAAGTTCAATGAGAGCAATAAGTTTGGTGTTTTTTTTCATTGCTGTTAATCCCCAAGTCTAAAACAATGTCTGTCTCAGAATATGGGTTCAAAAAATTTTCGTTGAATTGACAATACTAACATGTTAACGGTCTTAACCTCTAGATATGCAGCATTCCACTGAGAGGGCTGTGCAACCTCTGGGAAGATACTGGGGAAAAAATAACAAAGTTCAAATTATGATGTTTGCTAGTCTTACAACAAACATCTTAGCCTACTTTTCTAACATTATTATTAAAGACTGTAACTAACAAAACAAAAAATAAAAAAAGATAAAGATAAAGACAAAGACTGTAACTAATTCATTGTTTAGTCTTTCATTAACTGAGGAGTAACTGCATAAAGCATTGTGTTGGATAGCATGGGTTCAAGAAGAAATAAGATGTGTTGCACATTGTTATAGATAATTGTGTTAGGGTTCTCCAGAGGAATAGAACCAATGGGATATATGTATATATAAAAGGGAGTTTGTTACAGAGAATTGGCTCACACTATTACAAGGTGAAGTCCCATGATAGGCCATCTGAAGCTGGTGAAAGAGAGAAGCCAGCAGTCGCTCAGTCCAAGTCCAAAAACTCAAAACCAGAGAGGCCAACAGTGCAGCCTACAGTCTGCAGCCAAAGGCCTAAAAGCCCCTGGGAAGCCACTGGTGCAAGCCTCAGAGTCCAAAGGTTGAAGAACCTGGAGTCCGAGTATAATGGCAGGAGGAGCAGAAACAAGTGTCTGGCAAAGGAAGAAGAAAAGTAAGCCGGAAAGCTTAGCAAGGAAATTTATTCTACTTTCTTCCACCTGCTTTGTTCTAGCACCACTGGCAGCTGATTGGATGGTGTTCACCCACACTGAGCGTGGGTCTTCCTCTCCCACTCCACCAAGTCAAATGTCAGTCTCCTCTGGCAACACCCTCACAAACACACCCAGATACAATATCAGTCATCTAGGCATCCCTCAATCCAATCAAGTGGATGCCTAAAATTAACCATCACAATAGTATTAATGTCATAATTTTGCTATCCCTCTTAACTGGGTCTGTCTTGACCAGAGTATACTTCTCAACCCATTGACCTCAATCTTGGCCAGGTGATCTGCTTTAACCAATAAAATGTGAATAACAGTCATTTATGCCATTTCCGAATAGAACCATTAAGAGTCATTCTATGGCTCTGGTCTTACCCTTTTCTCTCTGCCACACAAATGGCATGACACAGAGAAGAGCTGCTTTTTCAGCCTATATCCTGGAATAAAGATGACCTGGTGCAGGGTTGAAGCTGAACTGCAAAGAGCATGTATCATTGGCAAGAAATAAACCTCTGTTCTTTTTTTATTATTATTATTTTGAGACAGAGTCTCACTCTGTCGCCTAGGCTGGAGTGCAGTGGCTTGATTTTGGCTCACTGCAACCTCCACCTCCCAGGTTCAAGCAATTCTTCTGCCTCAGCCTCCTGAGCAGCTGGGACTACAGGCAGGTGCCACCACGCCTGGCTAATATTTGTATTTTTAGTAGAAACGGGGTTTCACCATATTGGTCAGGCTGTTCTTGAACTCCTAACCTCATGATCTGCTAGCCTCAGCCTCCCAAAGTTCTGGGATTATAGGCGTGAGCCACTGCACCTGGCCAAACCTCTGTTCTTATAAAGCCATGGGTGTGCTGGAGCTGGCTTGTATGTAATTGTGCTCATCTCCTCTCAACTCTGCATTAGATGATGTCATATTAGTAGCTTAACATTGGGAAAGGTGGGAATATGTACACTATGGAAATTGGCAAATACAGTCAGTCAGGGCTTTTATTCCTGGAAAGCTTACTGTTAAATATTTATCAATATTCCAAAGTTTAAAGTCACTACTATTTTGAGTTTGTTTGTTACCATACCATAATTTAGTCTAAGCTGACTGATACACTATTTTCAGTTTATAAACCCGTGGTAGATATTATTAGGCTAAAACAGAATTATATTATCTTAAGTACTACATTAAGCCAAGAACAGGATATTATGGGTGTCAAGAACTGTGAAGGGTCTGAGATTTTAATCTACTTGCAAACTCACAAGATAGCCTGCCACAGTTTCATAAATACTGGCAGAGGACATGAGACTCCTGGATCAGAGACAAGGGACTTTATTACTCACAGGACAAAAAGCATCATGAGCATAATGTTCATGTCTGTTCCCCAGGTCAGGGGAGTAGAATGGCCCAGGTAGATGCTGCATATATAATAGGTTTGTGTCTCCACTAAGGAAACTTAAGCTTAGAAAATCTAAATAATTCCTAATGCACTATAAGCAAACCTGCCCAACTTTTGCCCTGGAAGAAGACATTATCCAAATTATATTTGACAGTAAACAAATCTACCTTCTCTTTAGAGGGAGGCACTATCTCTATCACCCAAGGATGTTTGCTATACAAACATTTGTGAAACAGAGTCCAGAGCAAGGGCCATCAGTGGCTGTTCTTACAAGCACAGAAATGTAAGAGACACATAGAGAATTGTCTTCCTAACTGCATACCATCCCTGAATAGTGACAGGAAGGTTTCCATGTCCCCCATTTTAGCATTTCCCTAGAGTATCCCCTTAAGAGTAATTTTTGGAGATAGATTTTTTCCTCTCTCCTTCTTTTCTTTGCTTTTCTGTGTCCTAGACTTTTGTTAAATCATGGAAATTAATCAATCACTGAATGTAATCAGAGAAAAACTTGAAGTGTTAATAGTGGATGATGTTTTGTTGTTCTTGTATTTATTTATTTTTAGGGTCTTGCTCTGTCACCCAGGTGGAGTGCAGTGGCACAATCATAGCTCACTATAACCTTGAACTCTTGGGCTCAAGCAATCCTCACCTCTCAGGCTCATGACTAGCTGGGACTATAGGTACACCATCATGCTTGGGTGATTTTTTTTTTTTTTTGAGATGGAGTCTTGCTCTGTCACCCAGGCTGGAGTTCAGTGGTGCGATCTCAGCTCACTGCAAGCTCCGCCTCCCGGGTTCATGCCATTCTGCTGCCTCAGCCTCCCAAGTAGCTGGAATTACAGGTGCCTGCCACTACGCCTGGCTAATTTTTTGTATTTTTAGTAGAGACAGGGTTTCACCTTGTTAGCCAGGATGGTCTCAATCTCCTGACCTCATGATCTGCCCGCCTCAGCCTCCCAAAGTGCTGGGATTACAGGCGTGAGCCACCGTGCCCAGCTTTTTTTTTTTTTTTTTTTTCTGTAGAGACAAGCTCTTGCTATGTTGCCCAGGCTGGTCATGAACTCTTTGCTTCAAGTGATTCTCCCACCTTGGCCTTCCAAAGTGCTGGGGATTACAAGTGTGAAACACTGCATCAGGCCTGCTTTTCCTCTGAGTGACACTATAACAGAGGGATAAGTAAGAGCCCAGGCTCTGCAGTAGGTCCCACCTGGGTAAAATCCCAGACTTTTCACTCACTAACCATTTAACCTTGGATAAATTTAAGAAAGATAATGCATGTGTAGTGGAAGAATCCTTGTGCAGTATTAACAGAGATAATCTACTAATACTTGCCCTGGGCTTTCACCCTCAGAATCAATATAGTGATGGAGAATTCAGCTGGGAATTAAAGAGGTATTGCTTATCTTTAAGTTTCCAAATGGACAATTAAAGTCTATGATACAGACAATAATCTGAGAGCCTGAAGACTGAGATAGAGAAACTCTACTTTAGCGGTGGAAGCCTTTGAGCACCAGAGGGGGCATTGGGATAGAGCATCCTTTGCCCATATCAAGAAGCTATGTAAAGCATCGTCCCTTCTGTGACCTCACCAGCCTCATCTCACATTGCTACCGAGCAAAGATAAGGTTAGGCTGGGCACAGTGGTTCACGCGTGTAATCCCAGCACTTTGGGAGGCCGAGGTGGGTGGATCACGAGGTCAAGAGATTGAGACCGTCCTGGCCAACATGATGAAACCCGGTCTCTAGTAAATATACAAAAAATTAGCCTGGCGTGGTGGCGGGTGCCTGTAGTCCCAGCTACTCAGGAGGCTGATTCAGGAGAATGGCATGAACCCGGGAGACGGAGCTTGCGGTGAGCCGAGATCACACCAATGCACTCCAGCCTGGGCGACAGAGTGAGACTCCGTCTCAAAAAAAAGAAAGAAAGAAAGAAAGAAAGAAAGAAAGAAAGAAAGAAAGAGAGAGAGAGAGAGAGAGAGAGAGAGAGAGAGAGAGAGAGAGAGAGAGAGAGAGAAAGAAAGAAAGAAAGAAAGAAAGAAAGAAAGAAAGAAAGAAAGAAAGAAAGAAAGAAAGAAAGAAAGAAAGAAAGGAAATAAAATTAGCCAGGCATGGTGGCGCATGCCTGTAATCCCAATACTTGGGTGATTGAGGAACGGGAGGTGGAGGTGGAGGTTGCAGTGAGTCGGGTTTGTACTGCACTCCAGCCTGGGCAACAGGGTGAGACTCCGTCTCAAAAGAAAAAAAAAAGATGAGGTCAAAGAGGAAGAGGAGCGTTTGCACTGACTGAGATTAAATTCTGAATGTACTTCTTTTAAAATCAAGTGTCTGGAATTACTTTGGGCAAATTGATGTTCTTCCTCAATTAGCAGACATAGGTACTTGTGAACTAATTTGTGTTCAAGTCTATAGAAATGAGGGAAGATAAGTTTTTTGGAGCATTTGAGAGCATTTTGACTATTCCCTTCAAATCTGCTTCCCAAGTAAGGGGATTGACACATTGTCACATAGACTGTATTAAAATAGTATGACTTATTATTACTGACAATATCATGCACATAAATTTACAAAGCCCTAGGAACAACTGAGAAGTGTTTGACATTTTTCTTGGGTGTACCTTGCTTAGTGCTTTTCCTCTTTTCTGTGATTTCAGACCTCTCACTCCCTTATTTAGTCACTCCTTCTCTCTAACATGTTAACTGGTGGATTTACTCTTCCCAGGATTATTTTTCAGTTGTAGAAGACAACCAAACACAAAAGCTCTTCACAACGAAGAAAGAATGTGCATCTAATTATGGGGTGCAAAATCTGAGACTAGCTATAGAGATATTTTTGGGGTAGACGAGAGGGCTTACTTTTCTCAAATTATATGTCAGAAGCGTCTGCCTACTTTATATTTTTCCTAAGCTGCACAGTTTTGTGCAGGATCCTCGAAGTGCTAAATCAAAAAAGAGAGTAACAGTGGAGATTTATGTTTCTCCTGGCAGAATTTAAGGAGAATTATTTCTGCCAAGTTTCCAAATTCCCCCTGCACTCCCTACCCCTTTCACAGGCCCCAAATTACACCATTTAGTGTTGATCTTTTCCAACTGTGAATAACAATAGACTTGAAGAACTATTTGTGTTTTTTTAATCATTGGTGTTTTTCTGCCTTGAGATTTGTTAAATGAAACATGTTGATACTTAGGCTGGCTCCATGGAAACCCTCATAAATGAGTCATTCTACTTTGGTCAATAGCAAGCTTAGTCATGCCACTATAGCTCCAAAAGTGGAACAGAGCTTAATCAATCTACTGTAATTCTTAAATATTAAGTTTTGGACAATATCCTTTTAAAAATAATGTATATCTCTTTGAAAAATCAGTCTTAGTTCCTTTTCCCCCCATTAATTCATCTGCTGTTTCTTATATCTTTATAGGAAGATACTTAAAACTCATCTGGATTTTTATAGATGCATTAAAAAAACTTTTTTAGTGTTATTGTCCAGATAGCCTTAATTTTGGCTTGGCTTTAATCCTAATGATCAAGCCTCCATAGATACATTTTAATCTATGTTTTTCTTCTTTTGCTAGAGGGAATTTTTATTATAATTAATTTGAATGTACTTTCAATTTTATCATATTTAGTTTGAAAAAAAATCACTTAATATTTAAAATTACCTTTGAATACATCCCTCCAAGAAATGTCTGGGAATGAATTCTCCAAATTCTATAGAAAAATAAATCTTTGGTAACCATCAATGTGAAATCTCTATACACTTTTTCAAAAAAAGTGGGATCATATAGATATGCAAATACATATTCCTAGATATATAGCCTCTAGCATATGGCAACAGACACATTAAAAAAATTGCATATAATTTGTCTTAAAAAGAACTTTCATTTGTTAAAAATAAAATCAAATGCCTTTATCCCTGGGGCTGCCTCTTAAAGATGTGCAGGCTCGCGGAAGCTGTAGTCTAGCCACTGGCGCGGCTTATTCTAATGTCCGAAAGTGAAGGCAGCATCTGTTTAGACAGGGGCTTCTTACAATGGTAAAGACACTCCGTTTTCATGGATAGATTAATTAAAAACTGCCCCTCCTACTCATCCATTCTTTCTGTTCTCTTTCCCTTCTCTATTAAATCTATAACATGCTTTTAATTAAAGTTAATGAAAATAAAATATTTTTCTTTTTCCTGAAGCCTATTTTGGGCCCTCATTTCAAGTTAAGAGGACTTGTTTGCTCCGTTGGCTTTTTAAATTTCTAGTACCACTATTTTAAACTTAAAACTTAATTTATTTCATTCTGCATACATTTCCCAATACTCTTAAATATCTGAGGACAGCATTACTATGGTTTTTAATACCATTACAAATAGGATACATACTTAGAGCTTTTTTATCTTTGTAGATTATTAACTTTTAGCCCCAAATTATTTTGTATGATGTAGATTCCATAAAACTTAGAGTTAGACTCCCATTAACTTAGAGTCAGAGTTTCAGATTCAGATGTGGAAGCTATTTAAGTAAAAAACAAAAAGAGTTATGGAGTCAAAGCATCTCAGAATGAAAAAAAAATGCCTGTGTGCCTAGGGCATGCCTAGCTTGCACAGTCTTAGTAGTGGGGAATTCTCTACCTTCAGAAAACTGACCTATGCCAGTAGGTTTCCCAAACTGGTGATAAATTGGTAAGGTCTAATATCTCTTTTATTTAAATACTTGAAGAAAACTACCATCATGCCACCTGGTTCACATTTCTGTAGGCTAAACATCCCAAATTTCTCTATAAAATATCTGATTTTGATCTGATTTATCAGCCTGGTCAATTTTCTCTATTTCATATACGTTCTAAATATGTCATAACCACGAGTGAATGCAACTCCTTCAGATATATGCTTACAAAGGGTGTGTGTAGCAGGATTGTATTCTTGCTCATTCTAGATATTAAGTGTTTTGATTCACAGATTTCATAAATCTTTTTATCAAAACTAAGGCCTGACAATTGCATTTACCAAAGATAGTAAATACAACTTCCCAGGGAATGTATTCTCCCAGAAAAAGATAAAAAGAAATTCGATAACAGTGTTAGAAAGGAGAAATATAAAATTTATCTTTCAGGGAAGTGAAATAAATTTGTAACACAAATTGTCTATTATATTTTAAAATAAGGTCCTATATAAAATTTATTCAGTAAGTTTGTTTTCAAATTCCTTCTCTGTGGATACTGAATGTCCGTGTTTATTCTGGGAGCCATGATTATGTTGAGTGATATAAGGATTGTAGCCAGGATCTTTTAACATGTATTCCCTTGAGAACCTAAGGGCAGAGATTTAATTGCTGTACTTTCTAAAATGGGGCTAATAACATTTCCAGCAATACCCATACTTGTTGTGTAGATTATTCCACTTACATATGCAACACACTTTGAAGATAAAATGCAACAGACACCCTGACTCTGGGGTAGAGGGCTAAGTAGATCTTTAATGACTGGTTTGTCAGTCAGCATGGAATAAAAAAAGGAGGTGGTACCTAGTGAACTTACAGTTCATTAGTGGTTTAAAGTAGCCCAGGGAGAGCAGAATTGGATTTTCCAATTAAATTTCCCATTTGTTGCTGTGGCCCCCCCACAACAACTTTCCTCCTTGAGTTTGAGGAAATAACTCAAAAAAGAGTTTGAACTATAAATGAAAGATTTCAGACACAACTTTAAAAAGGATATTACTAAACATTGTGTTCATTAGCATGATTTGATTGCAGTCAACAGAAATTAACCCCATTGAACTTAAGCAAAGTCAATTTATTGGAAAGATAGGAAATTTATTCAGGAAAGCTGGGCCTGAGAATGGACAAGAACTGGAGAAGCTCAGAGGACACACAACCATGGGCTCATGGCATTGAGCTGCCTTGTCAGGATGCTACTGACTCAAAGTGATGTCATTCCATTCATTTTCAGAGTCTACGTTTCCTTGCTCAAGATTCTCTTTGTTTCAGCTTGTCTGTGGTAGGAATAGGACCCTGATAAATATCCTCTAGATAGGTGGTTCTCAAGCTTTTTGGTCTTAAGAAATCTTTACACTCTTAAAGATTATTGAGGACCCCAAAGTGGGTCCTCATTCACCAATGTTGGTTGTAGCTACCTATATTATTTACTGTGTTATAAGTTAAAAGTGAGGCACTTTTTACTTTAACCTTTTATTTATTATTTGAATGAATTTTAAAATAGCAATAATAGGCCCGGCATAGTGGCTCATGCCTGTAATCCCAGTACTTTGGGAGGCCGAGATGGGCGGATCGTGAGGTCAGGAGATAGAGACCATCCTGGCCAACATGTTGAAACCCTGTCTGTACTAAAAATACAAAAATTTGCCGGGCGTGGTGGCAGGCACCTGTAGTTCCAGCTACTCGGGAGTCTGAGGCAGGAGAATCGCTTGAACCCGGGAGGCGGAGGTTGCAGTGAGTAGAGATCATGCCACTGCACTTCAGCCTGGTGACAGCAGAGCGAGATTTCATTTAAAAAAAAAAAATAAACATGTTGCATGTTAGCCTAGATAACATAGGTTTATAAAAAATAACTAATTTTCCCACCCCTCCACCCCCAAAGTGCAAAGAGTGGTATTGCATTACATTTGTACAAATCTCTGTAATGTTTGGCTAGGCAGTAGATAGCTGAATTCTCATATCTACTTCTGTACTCACTCTTGTGTAATATTTCATTTCAGTTTAAATATATGAAGAAAATTAGCTATCAAACAGATATATCATTAGAAAACAAAGCACCATTTTGATGGCCTTTTCCAGTAAAATGTGGATACATTGTGCTAAACTATATGATAGAGACAATAATCTGAAACTTGAAGCCTAGGCTAGTAAGCAATATATCTCAGTGGAAACCTCTGAGGACAAGAAGAAGGCACTAGGAGGGTGCATCTATTCCCATCACCCCAACTCATCTTCATCTTGTGTCATTCCTGGGAGAAAGATGCTGTCAAGAGGGAACTTGATAATGTTGTACTGACTGAGATTCAATTCTGAATTTATTTCCCTTAAACTCAGAAGTATCTGGAGTTGAACATGGTCACCTACAGGATTTTCCAGGTTTATATGTAAACCTATTCCAGCATGCCCACTACTCTGAGCCTTTTGATCCCTTCCTCCACTAATTTGCCATGGCAGATCTGGCATCTTTGTTTCATGTGGGCCACTGCTTTTTCTGAGCTTCCTGGAGCTATCCCTCACCCAAGGCCCTAACCAAGATATTAATCCCTGTGATAGAGGAAATTGTCCCCATATTAGCAAACTCACCCTTATTCAGTTTTATGTTCCATCTCTCTTAATGCAACGCTCTCCAGATACACTCACTTTCTCACTCTCTGCTGGGTTGATGCACTTGAGAACCTTGAACACCCAAGGTGGTTCCCGCTTGCTTGAGGAAGTTCTCTGGAGAACAGGATGGCCATGTGTTGTTATCAGTCAGTAAAAAGAATTAAACAGTTATTGGTAACAATATGTACAAATCTTTGGAAGGCTCAACATTGCTGAAACCAAATATTGAAAGGAAAAGTCTCTGATGTTCTATGCATTACAGTTTTTTGAAAGGTCATCATATCTGAAATCTCCTTCTACTTCTCTGTTTACTGTTTTTTTCTACTCTGCAATGCTGTTATGAGAACTTCTGCAAATAAACTGAGCAAACCAAATGTGTCATTTTATAAACATTCACAGCATTTTTCTTTTTGCACATTGGCCATTTTCTCCAAAACGTTATTATCAACCTTTACAAACACTTCCATTCTGGAAGAACTCCATGAACTTTTATTAGTAATGTTTAGTGAAGAAAAATGATTTAATATTCTTTTTCTCTCTCATTTTTTCCAGAGTATGTCTTTCCCTTCTTCCTCCTCCCTTTCCTTTTTATTTCTTTCCTACAGTCTCTTCTTCCTTCTCTTTTTTCTTTCTTTCCTTCATTCTTCTGTCCCTATATCTAATTTTCTGTCTTTACTTGGTTCATTGTATGGTGCAATGTGGCTATTTTTCACATATATGTATTTTCCAGAATTTTTTTCTTTTTTGGCACCATCTGTCTTTGCATCAGACAGGTATTTCTCTCATGAATTTAGGAGTTCTAGTCAGCATGCTATGGAACAGATTCAAGAGCAGAAGACTTTCCAGATTTTCAATTTTTAAATACTTTCTCAGAATATATCTCCTGGAGAAAAGTAAATCATTTATGGAGCATATGCTGGATGTTACAATTGTGAATTTTTAGTTTAAGTCAAAAGGAAGGATAAGAAAAAAATGAGGTATCTAACTTTTATCATGTAGATTTTTTTCCCCATTATTAAATAAAATCAATACCTTGTGTTTTAATGCTATGATACTGTATCAGTTTGCTAGGGCTGCCATAACTAAGTATCACAGACTGGGTGGCTTAAACGACAGAAATGTATTATTTGACAATTGCTAGAAGTCCAAAGTCATGGCATCAGTAGGGTTGGTTTCTTCTGGGGCTTCTCCCTTTGACTTGTAGATGACCACCTTCTCCCGGTGTCTTCACAGGGTCTTCCCTCTGGGTGAGTCTATGTTCTAATTGTCTCTTCTTATAAAGACACCAGTCATATTGGATTACGACCTACCCTAAAGATGTCATTTTAACTTAATTACCACTTTAAAGACCCCAACTCCAAATATGGTCACATTTTGAGGTACTGGGGGTTAAAACTTTAATATGAATTTTGAAAGGACACAATTCAACCCTTAACAGATATTTAACTACTATTTAAGAATTCCTCAGATTCTGATGAATGACAAGATTTAAATGTTATCATTTGTTATGTAACAATGTTTTAAAATTGCTCAGTAGAGGACTTCTGCTTCAAGGAAGATTAAGTAAATATACTTTTTCCTATTCCTCCCAATAAATGTAATGAAAAACCCTTGACATCATATACAAAACAAACAAGAAAACTCAAAGGCAGAGAGAAGAAGGCAGCCCAGCTAGGGATGTTGACACCCAAGAGATGACATGAAGTTAAATTCTCTAGGTTTTCTTTCTTTTTTATCTCCTAGACGAGGTGCTGGAGAAACTGGCAACCCAGAAGTCACTGGTCTCATACGTAGTTCTACAAAAAGGACACATGTACTCATATGTTCATTGTAGTGCTATTCACAATAACAAAATAATCAACTGCTCATGGGCAATCACCATTGATGGGCACCTAGGTTGATTACTGGGTGCCCATCAACAGCGGATCAAATAAAGAAAATGTGGTAATACACACTGTGGAATACTATGCAGTCACAAAAAGAACAAAATTATGTTCTTTGCAGCAACACACATACAGCTGGAGGCCTTTATCCTAAGTGAATTACTGCAGGAACAGAAAATCAAATACTGCATGTTCTCACTTATAAGTGGGAGCTAAGCACTGATGTAAAGATGGGAACAAAAAACACTGGGGACTACTACAGCAGGGAAGGAGGGAAGGAGTCAGTCATGGGCTGAAAAACTAACTATTGGGTGTTATGCTCACTACCTGGGTGATGGGATCATCCTTACTCCAATCCTCAGCATCATGAAATATACCCATGTAACAAACCTGCACACATACCCTCTGAATTTAAAATAAAATTTGAAATTATTTTTTTAAAGCCCAACTAAACCTTGTGCTCTTTAGCAAAAGGATCAGGAAAGGGGAAGCCAAACAAAGTAGAAAACTTTTAGAAAATAATCATTCGACTTCAGCCGAGCATCACAAAAACAACTGTGCTCCACCCCCATTCCACCAATAAGGGCCAAGTGGATGGCATAGACTTCCACCCTTGTCAGGCTGTAACAAGGCTCCCTAATTCTTCATACTTTGCTTGAAAGCTGGGACTTTCATGCCCTCTGGGTGGTAAAGAATTTCCCTTCTCCCTTCCTGTCAACAGAGACCAGCAGGGACACAGGACTTCCACTATGTTCCTGTGGTAATGAGGCACTTCTTACCCTCCCCACTGAGGTGGTATGGGAGGAAGTCTAGTGGACAATTAGGAGTTTAGCCACAACTCAACAGTAAGAAGGCCACTCCCCTCATGGTGTCAGTGGAAGCCACCTGGGAAGCACTAATGAAGCACCTTGCTCCTCCTAGCAAGGAGGTATCAGGAGAGGCCTAGTGGGGAGCCTGAGCTCTCATTTGCACACAGCAGTAATGAGAAGCCCCTCGCCTTCTGGGTGATGATGGAGGTTGAGTGGAAAATCTGGACTTCCATCCCTCACATGACAATGACAAGAAGGAGCCCCATCACCCATTGGAGTAATTTCAGAGTAGGCCTGCTAAAACACAAATTTAAATAAGACACAGTCTTTTTTATTTTTTGAGACAGAGTCTTGCTCTGTTGCCCAGGCTAGAGTGCAGTGGTGTGATCTCGGCTCACCGCAACCTCCGCCTCCGGGTTTAAGTGATTCTCCTGCCTTAGCCTCCCCAGTAGCTGGGATTACAGGCACCTGCCACGGCGCCTGGCTAATTTTTGTATTTTTAGTAGTGACGGGGTTATAGGATGATACCCAAAATGTCCATTTCAGTCAAAAACCAATTGTTATACCAAGAACCAGGAAGATTTCATACTGAATGCAAAAAGAAAAACCTCACATGCCAAAACTGAGATGACACACATGTCAGAATCCTCTCATGAGAATTTTAAAGCAGCCATTATGGAAATACTTCAGAAAAGCAACACAAACACACTTGAAACAAATGAAGAATAGAAAATCTCAGAAAAGAGTAGAATTCACAGCAAAAATAAAAGTTGTAAAGAAGAACCACATGGAAATTTTAAAACTAAAAATGATAAACACCAAAATAAAAAACACCTCAGTGGACAGGCTGAACAGCAGAGGTCAAAGAAAAGGATCATTGAACTTGAAGCCAGAGCAATAGATTTACATAATCTGAAAAATAGACAAACATAGGCAAAATAAATAAATAAATAAATAAAAATAAAAAGCAGAGCTACTGGGACATGTGGGACTGCAATAAAAGATCTAAATTTTGTGTCATTGCTGTTAGGGGAAAAGAAGAGAAAGGATGGGACAGAAAACATATTCAAAGAAATAATGGCTATAGATCTGTCAAATTTGGCAAAAAAAGAAAAAGAAAAAGAAAAAGAAAAAAAAGCCTAGAGATTTAAGAAACTAAGTGATCTCCAAGCAGGATAAACCCAAATAAATCTACACCAAGACTCATCATACTTAAACCTCTGAAAACTGAAAACAAAGAGAATTCTTGAAAGCAGCCAGAGAGAAATGACACATTACCTAAGGGAGAAATATTATAAAATATCCTCCAGAGGTAATGGGGAAATCAAGAAATTCTTAGATGAAGGAAAATCAAGAGAGTTTGTCACCAGCAGACCTACCCTAAAAGAAGGACTGAAGGAAGTTCCTGACACAGAAAGTAAATGATGAATATCTTGGAAACCAGGAAGAAAGAAAGAATACGGGAAGCAGCTAAAATATGGGTAAATACAATACAGGGTCTCTACATATCTAGAGGATACATTTAAGACAATTGTGTTGTCAATGGCAGAGGGCAAAGGGATATAAAGGGAGGTAGGGTTTCACTGCTTCATTCAAACTGGTAAAATGTTGACACCAGTAGACTTAGGTAGCTTACGTAAAACTTATAAGTTAATATAATATCTGTATTAGTCAAGGTTTTCCAGATGAACAGAATCAACAGATAGATGGATAGATGATAGGCAGACATAGAAATAAATAAATAGTGATCTATTTTTAGGAATCGTCTCACAAAATTATGGAGGCTAGCAAATCCAAAATTTGCAGGGTGTGCCATCAATCTAAGAGATCCAGGAAAGAGTAAATTTTGCAGTTCAAGTCCAAAGGCTGTCTGTTGCAGGATTCTCTCTTTCTTTGTAGAGGTCAGTCTCTTGTTCTATTCAGGTTTTCAATCAGCTGGATGGGGCCCGTCCACATTAGTGAGAGCAATCTGCCTTACTGAAAATCTACCTATTTAAATGTAAATCTCATCCCAAAACACCTTGATGGAAACATCCAAATAATGTTTGCCTAAGTATCCGAGCATCATCATGGCCCAGCAAGGTTGAACCTAAAATTAAACATTATAAACAACTAGAAAATCTATACAAAGAGATATACTCAAACTCAAAAATACTACAGATGAAACAAAATTGAATTCTAAAAGATGTTCAAGTTACTAACAGGAAAGCAGGAAAAAGAAAACAAAAAGTAGAGAGAACAAACAGAAAATAAAAATAAAATGCTGGACTTAAGTCTAAACATCAGTAATCACACCAAATGTAAATTGTCTAAATACACTATGTAAAAGAAATAGATTGGCAAAGCAGATTTTAAAACATAATCCAAAAATCTGCTGTATATAAGAAACTGACTTCAAATATGATATACATAGGTTGAAAGAAAAAGGATAAAAATATTTATTATTCAAACATTAATTTTAAAAGGCAAGAGTGGTTATGTAAATATCAGATAAAGTAAACTTAAGAGCAAAAAAAATTACCAGAGACAGAGAGAGACATTACATAATGATGAAAGGATCAATCCACCAAGAAGATATGGCAATCCCAAATGTATATATACCAAACAAAAAAGCTGCAAAATATGTATAATTAAAACTGAGAAATGAAAGGAGAGATAGACAAATCCACAATTATACTTACAGACTTCAACACTCCTTTCTCAACAACTGATATAACAATTTATAAAAAATCAATGAGGATATAGATAAGCACAGCAACACCATCAGCCCAAAGAATCTAATCAATACTTATGGAACACTTCATCTAGTAACAGCAGAATACACATTCTTTTCAAGTGCCCACAGAACATGTACCAAAATAGACCATATCCTGAGCCATAGACCAAATGTCAACACATTTAACGGAATACGTTTTATGACCACAATGGAATCAAACTAAAAATCAATAGCAGAAAGATTATGGGAATATTCCAGAATGCTTAGAAAATAAACAGTATGTTTCTAACTAATCCATGGGTCAAAGAGCAAGTTTCAAGAGTAATTTAAAAATACTTTTAACTAAATGAAAATGATGAGTCAACATATCGATATGTGTGAGACACAGTTGAAGTAGTGCTGAGAGGAACATGTATAGCACTAAATGTTTACATTAGAAAGGAAAAATCTCAATAATTTAAGTTCCTATCTCATAAAATATCAAAAAGAAAAAGATATATAAGCCCCAAGCAAACAGAGGAAGAAAAAAAAGATAAAAGCAGAAATCAATACCATTGAAAACACAAAAACAATTTTTAAAAAAGTGCTGGTTCTTGGCCGTGCAAGGTGGCGTGCTCCTGTAGTCCCAGCACTTTGGGAGGCCGAGGCGGGGCAGATCACTTGAGGTTAGGAGTTCAAGACCAGCCTGACCAACCTGATGAAACCCCATCTCTACTAAAAATACAAAAATTAGCCAGGCATAATCATGCGTGCCTGTAATCCCAGCTACGCGGGAGCCTGAGGCACGAGAATCGCTTGAACTCAGGAGGCGGAGGTTGCGGCGAGCTGAGATTTCGCCACTGCACTTCAGCCTGGGCGACAGAGCCAGACTTGGTCTCAAAAAAAAAGAAAGTGCTGCTTCTTGAAAAGATAAAATTGGTAAACTACTAGTAAGACTGACAAAATAAAAAAGAGAGAAGACACAAATTACCATTATTAGGAATTAAAAATATGTCACTGCCTATCCTACAAACATCAAAAGGATAATAAGAAAATTCTACAAATGACTCTACACACACAAAATTGACCCCTTTGATGAAATGAACCAATTCTTCAAAAACAAAACAAAAACCAAACTACTACAACTCACCTGATATGGAACAGAATTTTTGAATAACTTGATTATTATTAAGAAAATTGAAATCATCATGAAAATCCTCCCCAAAGTGAAATTTCCATGCCCAGATGATTTCACTGGAGAATTCTACCAAATGCTTAAAGAGAAGTTAACACCTATTCCATGTAATCGTTTCCAATTGAAAGCAGAATCTTTTGCTCAATTGAAAGGAGAGAATCTTTTGCTCGTTTGAGAGGAGCGAACACTTCCTAACTTATTCTATGAAGCCGTTATTACCCTGATTCCAAAACCAGACAGAGACAGTGCAAAAAACCCTACAGACTAATATCCCTAATGAATACAGATGAAAAACTTTTTAACAAAACTGTATTAGTCAATATAATTTAGCAATATATGAAATACGATTTAGCAGTATATGAAAGTAATTACACATCATGACCAAATGAGTCTTTTCCAGGAATACAAGACTGGTTCAATATTTGGAAATCAATCAGTGTGGTCCACTATACTTACAGGCCGAAAACAAAGTACATGTTTGTATTACTTAATGCAGAAAAAGCATTTAAAATATGTCAATACCAATTTATTATGAAAACATTAAGCAAATGAGAATAGAGGGGAACTTTCTGAACTTGATAAAGAGCACCTGCAGCTAATATCTTACTTAATTTTAAAACACTTCTTCCTTCTAAGGTTGGAAACAAGGCAAGGATGTCCTCTCACACCACTGCTATTAAACCTAGTACATCCTACATCTGAGAATTCAAAATGCAAAATGCTCCAAAATTTGAAATGTTTTGAGTGCCAACATGATACTTAAAGGAAACGCTCATTTGAGCATTTTGGATCCCAATTTTCAGATTTAGGATGTTTAATTGAAAAGTATTATGCAAATATTGCAAAATAAAAAATAAATCTAAAATCTGAAATATTTCTGGCCTCAAGCATTTTGTATAAGGGATACTCAACCTGTCCTGGATGATGTAGCCAGTGCAATAAGGGAAAATAAAGAAATAAAAGGCACAAAGATGAGAAAGAAATGAAACTGTTCTACCTAGGAAAATCCTATGAAAATATTAAGGAATCTACATTTTAAAAACTCTCTTACAACTATAGCAAATTCAGCCAATTTGCAAGGTACAAGATAAGCACACAAAAATTAATTTGTATTTCTATATGCTGGCAATAAATACATGGAGAACAAAATTAAAAATACAGTACCATTTACAAGCACTCATAAGAAAGAAATGCCAATGTGTAAATCTAACAAAGGATGTACAGAACTTGTATGCTGAAAACTTGTATACATTTATCCAAGAGAAATAAAAACTTATATTTACATAAAAACCTGCACACAATTGTTCAGAGCAGCAGTATTTGCAATAGCCAAAACCTGGAAACAACCAAAATGTCTCTCAATAGGTTAGTGGTTAAATAGTTTCAATGGAATAGTATCACAGGTTACCACCAACACCAGGAAGTACTACTCAGCAAGAAACAAGGAACTATTGATGCACATACAACTTGGATAGATTTCAAGGGCATTATAGTAAGTGAAAAAGCAATCTTAATAAGTCATATACTATATGATTCTTTACAGTTGACCTTGAGCAACACATGTTTGAACTACGTTGGTCTACTTATATGCAGATTTTCTTCTGCCTCTGCCAATCCTGAAACAGCAAGACCAAGTTCTCCTTTTCCTCTTCCTCCTCAGCCTACTCAATGTGAAGAGGATGAGAATGAAGACCTTTATGATGATCCACTTCTACTTAATGAATAGTAAATATATTTTCTCTTCCTTCTGATTTTCTTAATACATTTTCTTTCTCTAGCCCACTTTATTGTAAGAATACACTAGGTAATACATAGAACATACAAAATGTGTGTTAATCAACTGTTTATGTTATCAGTAAGGCTTCTGGTCAACACTATGCTATTAGTAGGTACATTTTTGGGGAGTCAAAAGTTATAATTACATTTTTTACTTCTTGGGAGATTGGCACCCTAACTCCCACAATGTTCAAGGGCCAACTGTATATATTTATATAAAATTCTCTAAAATAAAAAAATTAAGAGATGGAAATCTGATTGATGGTTGCAAGGGCTAGGAATAGTGAGGGGGTGAGGGGGTGGACATGACCATAAAGGGGTAGTCTGAGGGAAGAACTTCGTAGTGATGGAGTAGTTCTATATTTTGATTGAGGTGATAGCTATGTGAATTTACATTTATGATAAAATGATGTAGAACTGCACACACACATTGTACCAATGTCACATTCTTGGTTTTAATATTATACTATATTTACGTAAAATGTAACCACCAGGGGAAACTAGGCGAAAGATACTGGGACCTCTGTATTATTTGAAACTCCTTATGAATTTATAATTTTATTTCATTGTTTATTGTTTATTTTTATAGTGACCAATTTGTGTCACTAACTGAGGTTGGTAGCAAAACTTTAATATTTGCAAAGGTGATGGAGAGATTAAAGTTTTTCCTGATGATTCTTCATTTCCTTTTTGGGGGAGGGGGGATGGAATCTCATTCTGTTGCCCAAGCTGGAGTGCAGTGGCACAATCTCTGCTCACTGCAAACTCCGCCTCCGGGTTTAGGCGATTCTCCTGCCTCATCCTCCCAAGTAGCTGGGATTATAGGCATCCACCACCATGACTGGCTAATTTTTGTATTTTTAGTAGAAATGGGGTTTTGCCATGTTGTTGGGGCCAGTCTCAAACTCCTGACCTCAGGTGATCTGCCCACTTCTGCCTCCCAAAGTGTTGGAATTACAGGCATGAGCCACTGCGCCCGGCCCATTCCTCAGTTCTTTCTCATTCCTTATGTTTCAAAGTTTGTGGTTCATTCAGCTTTCACTCTTGGTTAAAGTTTGATAGTGGCCATGGCTGTGGATAGGTGTCCAGGAAGGGCACAGTCATTGGAAACATACCAAATTGTGTAGACTCTGTCTTTGTCACTTACTCGTGTTGACTTTTGAGCAAATTAATTTCTCCGAGACTCAGTTTCTTCTGTTATAAAATGGGCTTAATAATCTCGGCCTCATGGAGCTATACTTTGGTCAGTCCTCAGGTACTATGACTAAACACGCCTGGATTTAAATTAGGGTTAGTCAGCCACCCTTCCCCATCCCCACCTTTGCTTTATAAGACACTGTTGTAAAGGAGTCATTGCTTGCTACTACATATACCAAATTTCCCTCTGACAAGGGTTTGGTCAGTTTTGTTTCAGGAGTACTACTACAGTTTTCCTCATTTCTTTCATTTTTGGTGCTTCCAGATTCTACGTATGATGAGATGGAATACTGGAAGGAAGGACGAAAGCGACTTTTTTTCTCCCTCTGTCACCCAGGCTGGAGTGCAGTGGCACAATATTGGCTCACTGCAACTTCTGCCTCCTTGGTTCAAGCAGTTCTCCCTCCTCAGCCTCCCGAGTAGCTGGGATTACAGGCACCTGCCACCATGCCTGGTTAATTTTTTTTTTTTTGTATTTTTTTTTTTTTTTAGTAGAGATGGGGTTTTGCCATGTTGCCCAGGCTGGTCTCAAACTCCTGGACTCAAGCAATCTGCCCACCTTGGCAGGCAAAGTGTGGGGATTGCAGTTGTAATCCACTGTACCCGGCCATGAATGCTGCTTTGAAAAGAAACCTGAAAAGTTGTTCACCTGCTTTCTCATTCATTTCCCCTTGGCATGATAAAAATGTTTTTAAAACCAGCAAAGAGCATACCTCACATAGTATACTACATGTTGCCAGTGGAGGGAGTGCAGATTTTTGGTGTCTTGAACAAAGAATTGAACAAAACTCACAAAGCAAGGAAAGAATGAAGCAACAAAAGCAGATTTATTGAAAATGAAAGTACACTCCACAGGGTGGGAGCGGGCCCAAGCATAGGGGCCCAAAAGCCCGGTTGCAGATTTTCCTGGGGTCCAAATACCTGCAAGAGGTTTTCCATTGGCCACTTGGTGTTCGCCTCCTGCAAATGAAGTGGCGGCCCACAATCTGTCTCATTGGTTGTGAAAAGCAACCAATCAGAGGCTGAAGTGAAGCTACAACGTTACACTCCTGTGCAAAAGTCTGGTTGGTTTGCATAGGAGTACCAATCAGAGGTACTTTCAATTTTCCATCTGCCGTGCAGAAAGGCAGGGGGGTGGCAAAGGGAGTAGCTTCTGGTCCTTTTGTTAGTTGTGTGGAAAGTCGGGGTTTTCCTTTTAATTTAGTTCTAGGAAGTCAGTGTGAATTGGCCTTAGGAACGTTCCCTGCCTCCAGACCCTATTCTCCTCCCTCATTGGTATTTCACACAATTTTTCTACTTAAATTTATTGCCTGGAGCACAAGCCCACTCAAGTTTGTTTTAAAAGATGTGCCTCTGGGGTTTCTTGTAAAGGTGCCGACGGAGAGACACAAAAAACAGAAAGTTCTGGGAACCAGCCCACCTTGACCATCTTTCTGCACATCAGTTTCATTCTCTTACTGCTGATGGCTTCCTCGCCCTCTACTACATGAATTTGCTGCTTCGTCATACCTTTGTCTTCCTTTGGCATGGACTGAGGCTCCAGAACAAACAATGAGGCAATGTCTGCAGAGTGCTATCAAGGCTGTGCAAATAAATAAAATGGACATTCATAGAAACTAATGTTCATTTCCATTAGAAGGCTTCATGGAGAAGGTGGCAATCTGAGCTCAACCTTGAAAAATGATCCCTAAGAAAACATTTTAGGCAGAGTAAACAACAGTGATAAAGCTATGGAGACAGAAAAGAACAGACTGTGTAGTGAAATTGGCATGGAGTCCCAAGGTGACTATAATGTAGGGTATCTATAAAGCCATAAACATGACTTGAGTCACCAAAGGAAGTGCGCTATGGAGGAGACAAAACGAAAGTTGACATAAGAATAGGGACTGCCTACTTTTTTTTTTGGTATAAATTTAAGGGGTACAAGTGTAGTTTTGTTACATGAATATATTGTATAGTGGTGAAGTCTAGGCTTTTAGTGTATCCATTACTCAAATAATGTGTATTATACCTGTTAAGTAATTTCTCATCCCTCACCCCCATCCACCCTTCTGATCCTCCAAAGTCTATCGTTTCACACTTTATGTCCATGTATACACATTATTTAGCTCCCACTTATAAATGAGAATATGTGGTATATGACTTTTTGTTTCTCAATTGTTTCACTGAAGATAATGACGTCCAGTTCCACCCATGTTGTTGAAAAAGACATGATTTCATCATTTCTTATGGCTGAATAGTATTTTATTGTGTATATATCCACCATATTTTCTTTATCCAATCATCCGTTGATGGACACAGGGTTGATCCCATATCTTTGTTATTGTGAATATTGTTGCAATAAACATACAAGTGCAGGTATCTTTTTTATGTAATGATTTCTTTTCCTTTGGATAGATACCCAACACCGGAATTACTGGATTGGATGGTAGTTCTGTTTTTAGTTTTTTGAGAAATCGCTATACTGTTTTCTGTAGAGATTGTACTAATTTACATTCCCACCAACGGTGTTTAAGAGTTCCCTTTTCTCCACATCCTCTCCACCATGTGTTTTTTTGTTTTTTTTGTTTTTTTTTTTTTTGAGACAGAGTCTCACTCTATCACCCAGGATGGAGTACAGTGTTGTGATCTCGGCTCACTGCAACCTCCACTTCCGGGGTTCAAGTGATTCTCTTGCCTCAGCCTCCTGAATAGCTGAAATTACAGGCACCTGCCACCACACCTGGCTAATTTTTGTATTTTCTTAGTGGAAACGGGGTTCCACCATGTTGGCCAGGGTGGTTTCGAACTCCTGAGCCCAGGTGATCTGCCTGCCTCAGCCTCCCAAAGTGTTGGGATTACAGGCTTGAGCCACCGTGCCTGGCCTTGACTTTTTAATAATAGTCATTCTGACTATTAAGATGATGTATCATTGCGGCTTTAATTTGCATTTTTCTGATGATTAGTGATGTTGAATCTGTTTTCATGATCTTATTGGCCATTTGTATGTCTTCTTTTGAAAAACGTCAGTTATCAATATTTGTAAGTATTGATAATGTAATTTATAATGAAATTGCTTTCTCAGCTATTAATGTTAACTATATCGTCTTCATATAGCCTTATAATTCATGTGTGCTATTCCATTTTCCTCTGTTCCTTTTATTTTCACTCCCCTTGTAATGTTAGTCTCTTTGTACTGATTTCTGAAGAGTTCATTTATGATTAAAGATGTTAACATTTTGTCAAAAAAAAGAAAAATGTCTATTCACATCCTTATGCTCATATTTAAATTGAATTTTATCAATTTTAATTGGGTTATTTGTGGGTTTTTTTGTTGGGTTGTTTGAGTTCCTTCATCAGGTATTTTGTGTCACTGAATTATGGAGAAATATTACTTGTTTTTCCTGTCCTATATTTTACTTATGCAATTGTGGCTATAATTTAGGAAAATTACATTTATGCAATTATGCATTTCTAATCTGGAAATTTTTCCTTACATTAAAAATAACGGGGGAATGTTTTCAATCAACTAATTGCACCATGGATTTGTGAGATGGTGTCTATAACGTTAAATAAACTGTGATAATTTGGGTAATTGTTCAGCAAGTATTCACTCCTCTTCCCCTCACACTGTAGGTGGGATCTGCTTCACCAGCCTCATTATGTTGGATGTGACCCTGTGACTTGTTTTACCCAATGTAATGTTAGCAGTCATGATGCGAGCAGAAGCCTTAGATGTGCTTGGTTCTTAATTTGGCATTCTTAGTGGCATGCTATGAGGAGAGCATGCCTCAGAAAGAACAAATACATACCAAAGTAACCTGACCTAGCTGTAGGCTGAATCCAAGCCAGACGCAGAGCCACTCAGCTAAGCCCAGTTTAAGTCACCTGTACTACAGTTGACCTGCAGATTCTTGAGCATGAGAATGAATGCTTATTTCTGTAAGCAACTGAGTTTGATCTGGTTTTCTACGCAGCATTATTGCAGCAGTAGCTAATATATGAACAATGTATTTTTATTGAATAATATTGAAAAAATTAGCCAAAGTTATAAAAAATTAACAGGGTATTGAATATATATATATGTATATATACGTATATACACATATATACACATACATACGTATATATGTATATATGTATATACACATATATATACGTATATATGTGTGTATATATACGTATATACACACATATATACGTATATATGTGTATATACGTATATATACACACATATATACGTATATATGTGTATATACGTATATACACATATATACGTATATATATGTGTATATATGTGTATATATGTGTATATATGTATGTATGTATATATATGTGTCTGTGTATATATACACAGACACATATATATACGTATATATAGTCATTATTCATGTGGATTTTTTTTGAGATGGGATCTCACTCTGTTGCCCAGGTTGGAGTGCAGTGGCATGATCACAGCTCACTGCAAGCTAAAACTCCTGGGCTGAAGGGATCCCCCTGCCCCAACCTCCTGAGTACCTGGGACTGCAGGCCCATCCATCATGCCTGGCTAACTTTTTTTTTTTTTTTGGTAGAGATGTGGTCTTGCTATGTTGTCAAGTCTGGTCTTGAACTCCTGGGCTCATGCAATCCTCCTGCCTCAGCCTGCCAAAGTGTTGGGATTACAGGCACGAACCACCACACCTGGCCCACATGGATTTTAATGCATGGCCCAGGATCTGAACCCTGACCTGTTTGCTCACACATTGCTCCCTTGGAAAAAGTAGCTATTGATCAGATTTGCAAGTAAATTCTGGTCGCAAGAGTGGGTTAGGTTAGATTAGGAAAAATCATTCCAAATCATGTGGTTGCCAAGGGTAACCTGGCTACCAGGGCTCTTGATATTCTCATTCAAGTTCTGCCTCTGCTCAATCCTGCTTCCATTGTTCTTCCATGTGAGTTCTTGAGATTACTGCCTGTCATCCCAACATCAACTCTGTTTCTCAGAGAACCTGAATGAAGGCAGAAAACAATATGCGGAGTATTTTTACCTTATATATGTAATATAGTTTAGATGTTTCATCCCTTCCAAATCTCATGTTGAGATGTGTCCTCCACTGTTGGAGGTGGACCTAGTGGGGGATATTTGGGTCATGGGGATGGACCCATCATGAACGGCTTGGCGCCCTCAGGTATTTTTCTGTAGCAATGAAAATGAATAGGCACAATATGTTAAAAAAATAGTGACTGGATAAGTGTTTTCTCTACACACGCACACACACACAGAGACGCACACTTGTAACTGTCTAGAAAGATACAGTAAGTTGTTACAATGGAAAAGGAAGGAGAGATTGTCAATGAGAGGATTTACTCTTCTCTTGATACCTGTTTTCTTTGAAATTTTCTAAGAATTTGTATCACTTTTTCAATAATTTAAAAGACAAAAACAAGTATGATGAAAAGCTCCAGTAGGCTGTGTGAGGCTAGAGAGCTGAACCAAAAGATCTGCCGACTATAAGCCAACTAGTTTTGCCAAGGACATGGTGTTCAGTTGTACAAAATCCCATAATATTTTAGCAGTAAATATGCCTAAGCATCTAACTATAAAGATACAAAATCTAAGTAGTGCAAGAAAACAGCTTTCTAGTTCCAAAGTATTATTATTATGTTAGATAGGATCTTGCTTTCTTGTCCGGGTTAGAGTGCAGTGGTGTGATCATAGATCACTACAGCCTCAAACTCCTGGGCTCAAGTTGTCCTCCCTCCTCAGCCTCTCAAAGTGCTGAGATTACAGGCGTGAGCCATCATGCCCAGCTATTATTTTATTTTACTAATATGAGATCAATATAATGAAGTTAAGCGATGCAAAAAAGATTTAAAAAAAAGTTTAAAAAAAAGACTGCCAATTCCGCTATATAGAAATAACTTTACTCCAGAAATCTTTCTGTACATATACACAGATGGAAGCATAGATCTATAAACTGGTGGAAGCAATTCTTAATGAGATCATATTCTAAATAAAGAATATTAAATTTAAGTGTATTTGAGTTTAAGAGAAATAAAATTTGCAGGGATATAATGTTCTAAACGATTTCTCTACACTTAAGAAAAAAGTTTATGAAAAGCATTAAGAAGTTGAAGTTGTTAAAAATTACTTCCCTCCATTTCAAACAGTATTGATTGGAGTCCATGCTATGGAAAATGAGGACATTACTAGCAAAAGCTAACACTTATTGAGTGATTACAATGTTCCAAGCATGAATCTAAATGCCTTATGTGTACTAAGTCATGTAATCCTTAAATAAACACCGTAAGATAGAGACATCATTCCCGTTTTTGTTGTTGCTGTTTTTGTTTGTTTTTATTCTGTGACACAGTCTTACTTAGTTGCCCAGGCTAGGGTACAGTGGTGGTATCTCAGCTCACTGTAACCTCAACTTCCTGGGCTCAAGTGATCCTCCCATCTCAGCCTCCCAAGTGGCTGGAACTATAGGCACATGCCACTATGCTTGGCTATTTTTTTTTTTTTTGGTAGAGATGGGGTTTTGACATGTTGCCAGGCTGATCTCGAATTCCTGGGCTCAAGCGATCTGCCCACCTCAGCCTCCCAAAGTGCTGGGATTACAAGCGTGAGACTCCGCACTTATCCTCATTCCCATTTTTTAAATAAAAAAAACCTAAGGTTCAGAAAGTTTACATGATTGCATAGGGCCATGTCACTAAGGTAGCAGCAAAACTAGAATTCAGACCTGGGCCCAGAGCCCCTAGGCTCCTAACTTCCACTGCCTCCCTTCTCACTGGTGCTTGCATTCCCATTGATTAAACTTTTTTGTGTGTGCTGTCAAATTTGGATTATTTATATTGTTTTATGTGCCATTGTCTTTTGACCACATTAGTTTAGTATTTATTCTATGTTTATGTGGATTTCATGCCACCCCCAGTCCTTTCACATGGATGTTCCATTTGTGAGTTTAGTAACTTGTTTTTGTCTTTTTTTTTTTCTCCCAATAAGAACCTATGAATCCTCTATTCCTGGAGTTCTTTCAGATTTGAAAAGGATTGTTTGAATTTTGGTCATCTTGCTTGGATATAATCTTCAGCTATATGCTTTGGTTTTTAAAAGAAATTTTCCTTGTATATTTCTCCACTGTTTTAGACTGAATCATGCTGTGAAAAAGTAGACAGGCTAGGTATGGTGGCTCACACCTGTAATCCCAGCACTTTGGGAGGCTAAGGCAGGCATATCACTTGAGGTCAGGAGTTCGAGACCATCCTGGCCAACATAGCAAAATCCTGTCTCTACTAAAAATACAAAAATTAGCTGGGTGTGATGGTGGGCACCTGTAATCCCAACTACTCAGGAGGCTGAGGCAGGAGAATCACTTGAACTGGGAGGAAGAGGTTGCAATCAGCCAAGATTATGCCACTGCACTCCAGCCTGGGTGACAGAGCGACACTCTGCCTCAAAAAAAAAAAAAAAAGAGAAAAGAAAAAGAAAAGAAAGACAGACTCATTTTTTTCTCCTTTACAGAGGATTTTCTTTTTCTACCCAACACCTAAAGAATACCTTCTCTTCCCTTCCGATTTATTTCCTTCTCTTCCATCTTTTTCTCTCTCCCCCTTTCTCCTCCCACTTTCTTCTGTTCATTTTCTTTTTTAAAAAAAAAATTCTTTATTTTTAAAATATCATTTTACTAAGGTGTGGCTTTATTGTTGTTGATTATTCTGTATGAAATGTTCTCTCAAGTTTGTATGAATGTTTAGTTTGCTGAAATCATCCTCTATTTGAGGTTTTTTTTTTTGGTAGTAATTCTTTGGGAGCTTTTATTGTTGCAGGAACTACATTCACTAGTGTCAGGATGCTCCTGTTGGATTTTGGGTATCTCTGTTCCATATTCTTCATTGTTTCCAGTATTTCAATCCCCACCTTCTTCTCCAATATTTTTATCTGGTGATTAACTATATTGGTGATTATCTCAAACCCTTTTTCTATCTTAGTAACTCAATTTACATTTCCATCCATTATGTTTTTAATCTATTTGTTATATCTATAATCATGTAGTTTTGGCTCTCTGTGAATTATGGCAACTTCCCATTTCTTCTCTTTCTCTTCTTTTCTTATCATACAGTTTTTAGCCTTTGTTTTATTTATTAACATAGTAGATTATCTTCTCATTTCTTTTCACCTTATTCTTGCTTGGTTAGTGTTGTCCAGAACTTACCTTTGCTCTAATATATTTACTTCCTGATTCTCTTTCCACTGCCCCTAAGAGGAGATGACTTTCATTTTTGTGACAAAATTTAAGATATCTTCTAGCACACAAGGCATGAATAGGAGGAAGAGATTACTCAGAGGAAATGGTGTCTAGTATTTGTAACAATACCTAGCCTCTGCTATCATATCGGAAGTTTTCCTAATGTTCTGTACTCGGGTAATCTATTAGGGCAAGCAATCTACCATAACAAGTAATTCTCAGACCTTAGAGATTTAACACAACAAAAGTTTATTATAGTTTACTTATGCTATAGTCCAATGAGGATATCATGAAGGAAGGTAGCCAAAGTCATCCAGAGACTAAATTACTTCTATTTTTTGAGGCCACCATCTTCAATATGTGGCCTCCAGTGTCACTACAGACAGGGAAGAGAAAAATGGAGGCTCTCACATGCATCTGGATGTGGCATTTGTAACTTTATTCCACATTGCATGGGCTGAAACTCTGTCTCATGAATGCTGTGTAGTTGCAAAGTACCTTAAAGATGCAGAGTAAATGTATACTTAGGAGGAAAGTTGAATGGGTTTGGTAAACTCATAACATTCTTTCTGCCATAAGTTCAGTCCCTATTTTGGTGCTCACAAAATAATTGTAAAGTGTGTTAACCCAAAATAAAATTCGAAGCCCTCCTGTGCCCCCACCAACCATCTGAACGGATTCGTCCTCTTTACTAGGGCATTCCAAAGTTAACCTGAAAAACTGGTTCAGGCCATGGTGGGAAGGGTTGGACATGCCTCTTTATATCTTCCTCCCTTTTGGAATTCAGGAGAAGCCGACTAGCATTAACATCAATGCAGACCTTAAGTTTGACAAGAAACATTTATAATCTACTCTCTCTGAAGCCTCCTACCTGGAGGCTTCATCTGCATGATAAAACTTTGGTCTCCACAACCCCTTATCATAATCCAAACATTTCTTTCTATCGATAAATCTTTCAACCAATTGCTAATCAGAAAAATTTGAAATCTACCTGTGACCTGAAAGCAACTCCCATACCCCTTGCTTTGAGTTGTTCCACTTTTCTGGACAGAACCAATGAATATCTTATATGTGTTTGATTGATGTCTCATGTCTCCCTAAAATGTAGTGCCCAGACCACATTGGACACATGTTCTCAGGATCTTCTGAGGGGTGTGCCATGGGCCACTGGTCATTCATATTTGGCTCAGAATAAATCTCTTAAAATATTTTACAGAGTTTGATTGTTTTTGTTGATCATAATTTGACAAGCAACATGGGGCCTCAGAGAAGACTAAGAACCCTGAAGGAGTTGTCTGAACCTCGAGCTAAGGATCAGCAGGAGCTCATTGAAAGCCTCCTTGACTTTGAGTTTCTCCTCTGGTAGAATTGGTAAGTCCTTCTGAGCCCTGAACTTCCCTTTTATTGATTTTCCTCGATTTATTCCGAGCTGCATTTTCCCCCTGCTAGAAAGTTGTTGTTTAGGATCCTTATTCTAGCATTCTAAAGGGTATTCTTTATTGTCTTTTTCTGAAGACAAGAAGAACGACCCTCTTTTGGGCACCCCATTTGGTTTCTAGTTTGGAAGTGCATTCTAAATGGTCTTCTCCATTGCTTTTTCTCCAAAAATTAATTTTGATTGGCTTATATGCACCTTTGCATGAGGAACTGAACTGTTGTTTTCATAGATAAATGAAAGACCAAGTTTCATCAGCTCCAGAGCAAAAGGGCATTTTGCTATTGCCAGCTGAAAGGTGCCCCTGGGTGACCAGGGGCAAAGTTGGAGTATCTGAGGGGTTGACCCCCTGCAACATACAGCAGCCCTACAGGGAACCCTCAACAAAATTAATTTTAAAAGGCAAGGAAATGCATATAGGAGCTGGTCACTCTGTATTTTGAGTCCTCTCAGAGGTGCTAGACCTCTGGAGAGCAAAACCAAGACATGTAAGAGGGTGGAAATGACTCAGTGGTGACATACTCTGGAGTCCTGCCCACAGTCAGTACACATCAACTCACTACAATAAACTCTACGCTATAGCTCAGTTTCTCTTTTTTTTTTTTTAAGTGGGAAACGAATAATCCAAGAATGAGGAAAAACGAGGAGAATGACCCACTTTTGGGCATGCCATTGGTTTTATGGTGCCTCTACTAGGAAGCGTTTGTGTAAAATGGACATATTATGGTCTTTTTGTACACATTTACATCAAGGAAGAATTCAGAGCCCAAAGGTTGACCTGCAAACTCTCAAGCTCTTCCGTTCTCTATTTCTATATTTTCGTTTAGGCCTGCTTTAAAACTATGGAGATATAAACCACTGTTTAGATCCATCCACTTTTTTTTCTTTGCAAACTGGTGAGTTTGTATTAATATCACATGGCTAGAGTTCTGAAGTAAAAGCTATAGCATCTTTGTTTGTGTAAGTGTGTATGTGTGTGTTTCTGTGTACTTACACATATTTTGTTAATGTGTCTTGGCCACAAGGTACTGAATTGGCTTAAAGTTAAGGAGTACTCATAAATTAAATAATAAGCCCAAATACTTTTCAAGTTCATGTGACTTAAATGAAATCTTAAATAAATAGGCTAGCTTTAAAATTATTGGTAAAATAATTCTAAAAATGTCTTAGGAATTGTCAGCATTTTTGTTTGCATTTATTGATCAAGCAGTTTCATACTTATTTCTGCAGAATACTATATAATTTAGAAATAAATGCTTGTAAACAGACGTATAATTTAGAACCAAGTTTATATTAATTAATGTCTGGGTAATTTCCAATTTGAAAATTATAAAAAACGCTTTAATAATGTGTTATTATAAAAGGTAATTATTTGTTGTCTAATTCAAAGGTAATTTAGAGGTTATATATAAAACAAGGCAAAAGGAACCAGGAAATAAGAGAGATGTAAAGAAAGTTATAGATATAAAGGGATATTTTTTGGTAATAAGGGTTAAAAGTAATTTTACATGAGAAAGAATCTTGTATAGTGAATTTTTTGTTCTGAAATAAGATAATTGGTTGTTCAAGAAAGGGATATTTAGGACAAACCAGAAAGTCCAAGCATGTCATGAATGGTCTATGTAAGTTGCAATAAAGTTGGTAAAAAGAAATTTATAAAAATGTCATGTGATCAAGTTGGCTATAATTAAAGAAAATTATAATAGTTTTTCTAAAAATGGGTTTTGATATTAAAAATACACATACAAAAGTAAAGAATTGGTTAGAACAAGATTTTATTTAAAATATTGACTTAGTCTAGGCCAGGCACTGTGGCTCATGCCCATAATTCCAGCACTTTGGGGGGCCTAGGTGGGCAGATCAGTTGAGGTCAGAAGTTGGAAATCAGCCTGGCCAACATGGCAAAACCCCGTCTCTACTAAAAATACAAAAATTAGCTGGGTGTGGTGGTGCCTATCTGTAATCCCAGCTACTCAGCAGGCTGAGGCATGAGAATCGCTTGAATGCAGGAGGTGGAGGTTGCAGTGAGCCAAGATGGTGCCACTGAACTCCAGCCTAAGTGATAGGGCAAGAGTCTGTCTCAAAAAAAAGTAAAAAAATAAGAAAAGAAAAGTAAAATATTGATTTACTCTTAATGCAAGAAGTTTTTAATTTTTCAAACTCTAGAATCTGTTTCTTTTTGAAATTCTTCAGATTGATATCTCAGAAATTCAGCTCTTTCTCTTTTTTGAAAAGGCCTAGGATAATAACTCTCTCCTTCACCTTTTGTTGGTTCCTTTATTGTTTTCCATTAATAATCTAAAGTAAGGGAGAACACTTATTGAAAGCAAGCAAATGAAAAATCTTTTGGAACTGCCTTAGTCTGTATATCTGTTATATCTATATGTTTATATGTATCATGTGGAAGTGATATTTCACTACCAAACTATATGAAAGGGTTCTAATTAATTGACTTGAAGGCGAGTAAGCACTTATCAAACTGAAAGAAGCTAGCTCAGACGCCTTTTAATTCACATGATCTTGTTAATCTTTGGTAAGATTAATTCTCTCCAGAAGTTTAAAATTTTAAAGTCATGTTATGTTAAATTAAGTAACCTCAGTGTTTTCACTGGGAATTAGATTACTAACAGTTAAAATAGTAGCAGAGTAAAAGGTGTTTTTGGTGAAGTTCATTAAATCACAAGATTATGGTTTTTGCTTAAAAAGTGTATTTGTTTCTAGTTTAGAGACTATTTAAGAGTCACTTTAAAATGAAGGAAAAAAATATATAGAGAAAACTAAATGTATAAAAAGAAAAACAAAAAGATGGGGAATGAGAAACTTTGACTCTTGTGTGGCCATGTGGTTTCCCATCTTAAGGAGCTGCAGCTGGGCTGCATTTGCTTACTAAAGGTAAAAGTTACCTCTGAGACCTGTGGTTACCAAAAAGATATTCAATGTGGGAGAAGGACAAAACCAAGTAACTATTAAAACCAGAGTGTATAATATAAAAGGATTATTCCATTTTGTATACTGGTATCATTGGCCTCTGGAAAATCCTTTACTATGATGGATTGTAAAAATAACTACTTTAAGGTTAATATCCTTAATTTTAAATGCTACAGAATGAAAAAGCTTGTTTGGGTTGATGCAGGACCCAGAGCTCACTGCTAAACCATTGATGAGTATATGTAATCCAAATGCACAGGAGGTTATTCCTGAGAGAATGTCCAGTCTAATGAGCTGGATAAACACCACTGTAAGTTCTTTTTACCTGAAGGAGACTTCCCAACTCTCCCTATAAAATGCCAAGTGGAGTACTCCAGATGAAGCAGCTGATACGCTTCATGTGCAAGCCATGTGGGACTGGCTTTATAATGACCAGGATATTCTCCACTAAATATGCCTGTTTCCCAGGTTGTGGTAAATGTTGGGGTTAAGGAAACCCTTTTAACATGGGCACCCCAGATGACACTACTTCCACAGAATTATACAACTGTCTGAGAAGCCTTACCAAATTTGCTTTCCTTCATGGGTCTTATAGATGCTTAATAAAACATTAGGATAATTAAAATTTTTAAAAAGGGAAAAAAATGGGAAAGTCAAAAGGGAGTCAAAGGACTTGCTCCAGAAGGGTGATAGAAATCTTTAAATGGTTATTAAGAAATGAAATAAATAAAATGAAAATTGGTGGAGTTAAAACAAAGGTCCTTACAATTCTATTGAGGGTTGAGTGGGCCAAAGGGAACCCCTGCTGGTTCCCCAACACTAAAGGGTTCCACATCAGTTTTCTGCATTTGCCCCAAATTGGGGAAATCTAAGAAAAATCAAAAAGGCAAAAGTTATAGTGAGGAAGGTAACATTGCCTAGGGCAATGATGAGGCAAATAAAGTTAAAAATTGACGGAAGAGCCTGAGTTCCTTGGCTCAACTTACTCCCTGCTGGGAACCCAACCCTTTTACACCATAAAAGGTACAATGATCTGGGGATAGAAAAGAAAAGCACCTGGGACCAGAACATAAAAATACACAGGTTGATAGGATGATGAAATTTGAAATGTTTAAACAGGCTTTATGTAAAGTAGTTGTGACTCCTTTACCTAAATGTCTTATGAAAATAGGTACTGTATCTGACTAGGAGATGCTTCCCCTATGTAATACTACACAACTGAAGGCATGTAAATCTGCCCTTTGAGAAATGATAATTGTGCACTTTAAATGGGAACTAATAAGATTGCCTGAGCCCACAGAATATTGGGTAAAAGCTAGAATGCTAGTCAGGGCAAATCCTTCACTTTATAGACCTTCGTGGAACATTTATTGGGGTTTATGGCAAAAGACTGTGAATACTTCCCAGTGACAACTACTGGACTAGATAATTTCCACTGAAGGGGCATTTACTGCCTTGCTATGGAATGTTAACTGAAGCTATCCCTATGCTAATGGAAATAATCGTGTCCAAAAGAGTTCCATAATGTATTAGTCAAGGTTCTCTGGAGGGACAGGACTGATAGGATATATATAAATTGGAGTTTATTAAGGAGTATTAAGTCACACGATCACAAGGTCCCACAATAGGCTGTCTGCAAGCTGTGGAGCAAGGAAGCCAGTCTGAGTCCCAAAGCTGAAGAACTTGGAGTCTGATGTTTGAGGGCAGGAAGCATCCAGTATGGAAGAAAGATGTAGGCTTGGAGGCTAATCCAGTCTAAGCTTTTCATGTTTTTCTGCCTGCTTTTATATCCTGGCTGCACTGGCAGCTGATTAGATGGTGCCCACCAAGATTAAGGGTGAGAGTCTGCCTTTTTCAGTCCCCTAACTCAAATGTTAATCTCCTCTGGCAACACCCTCACAGACACACCCAAGATCAATACTTTACATCCTTCAATTCAATCAAGTTGGCACTCAATATTAATCATCATACATGATAAAATAAAAATGGTTTACATAAGATCTTGCTACCTGACACTACAAGGAGGAGATACTCCTGAGCTGGGACCCTCCTTTTTTTTCTCCATAGGACTGACTCTAACTATGTGAGGAGCTGCTAGAGTCTACTGTGCCTGATAAACAGCTCTCATCTAACAAAAGCTACTTAGCATGTGAATGGCAGTTGAGAATGAACAAATGACATGCTGTTTAAAAGGCTGCTGCTCTGGTTAAAGAATAGTCAGGAAAATCTTCTTTTGAGTTATTTATAGTTTAGAGCATTTGGGTGAAGTATATTTTTGTAAATAAATTCACCTTTCTCTCTGAGTTCTCTGAAATTTGGAAACTGTTTGTGATTTTGACAATATAGTGATTTGCGTAAGTTTAGTGAAAGTCTTTCCAAAGAGGACAATTAGATACACCGGTTATTTTACCAAGACTTAGACTAGAATAACACATTTTTAGGTAAAGTTCCAGGAAATCCAACTTAAAAAGTGCCTATATGGACAATAAATTCTTGCTGCACTTTATGCAAATAATAAGGCCAAGTATAACAAGCCTAAAACTTATTTTGCACACAAATTGGCCTTACTATAATTTCTTTTAATAGAAAAGGAGGGCTAGAGAAAGAGAAATTGTTTCAAAGGAAACGAGTAACACTTGATACTAGATTTCAGCCCTGACTCTTTTTTGAGGCAGAGTCTCGCTCTGTTGCCCAGGCTAGAGTGTGGTGGCATGATCTTGGCTCACTGCAACCTCTGCCTCCCAGGTTCAAGCGATTCTCCCATCTCAGCCTCCCAAGTAGCTGGGACTACAGGTGTGTGTCACCAGGCCCAGTTAATTTTTGTATTTCTAGAAGAGATGGGTTTCACCATGTTGGCTCAGCTGGTATTGAACTCCTGACCTCAAGTGATCTGCCTGCCTCAGCCTCCAAAAGTGCTGGGATTACAGGCATGAGCCACCGCACCTAGCCTGACATTTTTTTTTTAGAGTGCAGATTGAATCATGTATTATTTCTTGGCTGCAATAATTCTCTAGGGAGTATGAGATTATAATTTTTCTTCGTATTTTTAGTTGGTGCCCTAATGGAATAGCTTCATTTCTCTGTTCTGACACACAAAATACTCTTTTGATTGTCACAATGTTAATGTTATTTCTCTTTCCTTGTTTTACTTCCAAGGAAACAAAAATCATTGTATTTTGAAGACTAGAGATATGAATCTCCCACATTTGGCATCACACTGGGCTTGATCTGTTTTTCACTGGAAATGCACTGCTGCTAAGCCTGAACAAGCATCTTCCCTTCTGGCCCAGGGACTGTTGTGGAAGAGGTGGGCTGGTGAGATTGTAAAGGCTGTTTTGAGGGACAGAATTAGGTCAGACCCTCCAAATCAAGATGGGTACAGAGATGCCTAAACACTGGTAAAACAAGGGACTTAGCCTATTATTGGCATCTTTGCATCCACCCCAACCATAAAGAATTTCTTGCTTCCTGTAGAATTAAAAAAAAAAATTATGGGGAGGATAAAGATACCTCATGGCAAAACCTCCTGGGTATAATACACCCAGTTAAGAGTTGTGAAAATTGATACACATTAAAATTTTTTTTCAGAGCAATGCTCATGTTTCATATAGCTAATTGCTATAAGTCTGTAATTAAAACCAAGATTACAGTAGCTTAATTAATAGAAGTTAAAGATAGCTCAGTTTTGTAATCTCACCTTTGGCTTTTTGTTCATTGGCTTTTTACTTTAAAAATTTTGTTTAAGGGGCAGTGACTACCTGTCCACATCCATTCTTGTCTGGCTTAGAACATTTAATTGACTGTACATCTTTTGAATGTAAATCCCTCAGCCATAGGAGTCCCACCGAGGGACAGGATGGGCCCCAGGCAGGCAGCCGTGTCACCCCGGTAACATCATGGGACAATATAAAAATTTGGTGGCCATTGATGTTGCCTCTGGAAAAAATCTTGGCCAGAAGTGGGAGAATGTAAACCAAAACCAAAATTCTAGGGCCCCTCTAGCCAACTGAAAGGATCCCTCCTCTTGGCCAGGACATTCCAAAGTTAACCTGAAAAACTGGTTCAGACCCAGACAGGAAGGGAGGGTCAGACATGCCTCATGTCCTCCTCCCTTTTGGAATTCAGGAAAAGCTGACCAGCATTTAACATCAACACAGACCTTAAGTTTGATAAGAAACATTTACAATCTATTCTCTCTGAAGCCTGCTACCTGGAGGCTTCATCTGCATGATAAAACTTTGTTCTCCACAACCTTTTATTGTAACCCAGACATTCTTTTCTATTGATAATAACTCTTTTGACCAATTGCCAATTACAAAAATTTTAAATCTGCCTATAATGTGGAAGCCCCCTCCCCCTACCTTTAAGTTGTCCTGCCTTTCTGGATTAAACCAATGTATATATTTCATGTATTTGATTGATGTCCCATGTCTCCCTAAAATGTATACAACTAGGCTATGCCCAGACCACCTCAGGCACATGTTCTCAGGATCTCCTGTGGGCTGTGCCACTGGCCATTGGTCAGTCACTCATATTTGGCTCAGAATAAATTTCTTCAAATAGTTTACAGAGTTTGACTGTTTTCTTCAATAAAAGTGAGTCACTTCTGGCTTCAGATCAGTTCTCCAAATCAGTGTGTCTCCCTGAGAGTGAGTCCATCTCATAGTTAGCTTCCTCTATTGAACCAGTTTCTCCCATCACTCATTCCTACAAAATAGGATGACTCAGTTAGTTTTACTACAAAAGCAAAGTACTGGACGTGAAGACTAATTGCAGGCATTTGTTTGACTTGATAGTACCAAAATTTGTACTCTTGAAAAGTCCTGGCTTGGTGTGTTGGCTCATACCTGCAATCCCAGCACTTTGGAAGGGTGAGACAGTTGAATTGCTCGAGCTCAGGAGTTTGAGACCAGTCTGAGAGACATGGAGAAACCCCAACTTTACAAAAAATACAAAAATTTGTCAGGCGTGGTGCTTCTGTAGTCCCAGCTGCTCAGGAGGCTGAGGTGGGAGGATCGCTTGATCCTGGGAGGTCAAGGCTGCAGGGAGCTGTGATTGGACTACTGCACTCCAGCCTAAGTGACAGCCAGATCCTGTGTCAAAAAAAAGTCCTAATATTTCAAATGCTGCTGTGACATCTTTGAGCCTCACAGGGTCCTAATGGCCTAACTGTGAGTTCCTCTGCCTTTGCCAGATATTCTCCAGACCCATCGGGAGAAGCCCACCACCTGGCCAGTTCGCTTCTTCACTGGAGCAGCCGCACTCTACCTAGGCCTCAACCTAATGGGAACCAGAAGGCAGCTCATCCACTTGTTACTACAAAGCCTGACTTCCTTTGGCAGCCCTTGCTGGTTCAGTCTACTCTCAAGTGCAACCCTTGTGTGCCCCTGCATGGCAAGCAGCATCCTCCTCTGAGCTGTGAATGTATATGACTAACAAACTGCTTTCATTCTCATCTGTCCAGTGTTGGTTGCCACATGTTTGGCTATCTCATACTACTCGGGGTGAAGGACCCCTCCTTTGCCAACAGGGTGAATAGAAGATGATCAGAACAGGATGGTTAGGAGACTTGCCACACAACATTGCCCAGCTTTGCAACAGAATTTTGTATTTTTTTCTTTTGACCATTTTTGTTAAGAGTATGACCTTAAGGGGCACCTGTTTCATTATTTGGTTTAGTGTGTTTGTTTGATTGATGGTTCCATTACTTAAATGTTGTGGAGAGACAGTTTTGAGGTGTAACTTTTTGTTTCAAAATTATAGACAATCATCTTGTAGAAGAGTGTAGAAGGACAATATACAGGGGTGTTGAGGAGCAGTTAGCATCGATATCATTATTGGACATGAATGATAAATAATACAGGAAACTTTAAATAAGAATGACCAGCCTGGGCAACATGGTGAAACCTTGTCTCTACTAAAAATACAAAAAATTAGCCGGGCCTGGTGGTGCATGCCTGTAATTTGCTTGAGACAGAGGTAGCAGTGAGCTGAGATCATTCCACTACACTCCAGCCTGGGCAACACAGTGAGACCTCGTATCCAAAAAAAAAAAAAAAAAAAAAAAAAAGGCCATTTGTGTATAGGCATTTAAAAAAGACCAAAAATAACTTATAGACTTAAAAAAATGAACTCAGTACCACTATACCATATGATGGCTATGTCTTATTAGTTTATGATAAAGTCTTATTCGCTTATGATAGGCTAGTGTTAGTGCCATCAAGGACAAACTGGAGCTACTGAGTTCCAGAACAAATGCACCCCAAAGGGCATGTATTTAGAGACCAACTCTACTTCTGAAGATTAAAAAATTGCTTTAGGCAGGGCATGGTGGCTCATGCTTGTAAATCCAGCACTTTGAGAGGCTGAGGTAGGAGGATTTCTTGAGGCCAGGAGTTTGAGACCAGCCTGGGCATTATACCAAAACCCTATTTCTACAAAAAAATAAAAAAAAATTAGCCAGGTGTGGTGGCATGTGCGTGTGGTGTCAGCAACTTGGGATGCTGAGGTGGGAGGATTGCTTCAGCCCAGGAGATCGAGGTTGCAGTGAGCTGTGATAGCACTATTGACCTCCAGCCTGGGGAACAGAACAAGACCCTGTCTCAAAAAAAAAAAAAAAATCCTTTAGAATGTCTTGTTTTCTACTTCTAGAATACTCTATGCGTCTATGTAATATACAATGATTTTTATTATCAATGCATTTTATCTCTAAATTTGGCAATTACAAACTGCTATCTTTTTACCTGTAAGTAAAAAATAATATGCTAGTCCATATATTTGATCTTGAGTCTGACAAATTTGTAAAGTGACATACACATCTGCTTCTGTGCTGTCCTGAATTAGCTGCCTTCATCTACATGACATGACCTACTTTTACTGCTGACCTTCTTCCTTTTCTTTTTAGATGGAGTCTCACTCTGTCTCCCAGGCTGGAATGCAGTGGCAGAATCTAGGCTCACTGCAAACTCCACCTCCTGGGTTCAAGCAATTCTCATGCCTCACCCTCCTGCGTAGCTGGGATTACAAGAGTGCGCTACCATACCCGGCTAATTTTTGTATTTTTAGTAGAGATGGGGTTTCACCATATTTCCCAGGCTGGCCTCAAACTCCTGACTTCAAGTGATCCACCCGCCTCAGCCTCCCAAAGTGCTGGGATTACAGGTGTGAGCCACTGTGCCCGGCCACTGCTGACCATTTTTAAAAGAACACTGATACGATTCTTCTCTCTCTCCTTCTCCTCCTCTTCTGTTCTTTTGTCTTGCTCTGCTTCTCCCAACTCCTTTCTTTTTCTTGCTTTCTCCATTTCAGCAGCTTGTTTTGTGCTTTTCCCCTATAATTTTAACTATACCACGTGGCCAATAAACCTCAGAGAATATTCATTTATTCATTCATTCAATGAAGAATAGTTTTTGATTACCTTCTGTATCAGAAATCAAATCAGGGACTAAGTTTATAGAGATGAAAGCAACAGAATCAACCTTAAAAATCTTCAAAATATAGTAGGGAGACAAAAGAATATCAAAAGTACAATGAGTGTCATAATGAATATATTTAAGGATTTTATGGAGTACAGACGAGGGGCATCTATTACATTAAAATTCACTGAAAAGTGGAATTTAATATCCTTAGTTATTCACAGGAGAGCTTTATCCATTTTGAATTAATAAAATTATCCCATCTCTAGAGAGGCTTTCCAAATGTGCCTTCTGCAGTATGTGACTCCTGTATCATGACTTGATAGAGATATATGTTAAATAACCTTTTATTTTTAGCACCTTTTGGACCAATGTAGCATTTATTTTTGTGATGCTGAACTGCATTGCAAGCCAAGAGGGCCAGATACCTTTGCCATTCCCAATACATGATGTTCCCACATTTCCAGTTAGGGTTGTGATTATAACGTTTATTTGTTTATTTATTTTATTTTATTTTTAGATGAAGTCTTGCTCTGTCACCCAGGCTAGAGTGCAGTGGCATGATCTCGGCTCACTGTAACCTCCGCCTCCCGGGTTCAAGTGATTCTGCTGCCTCGACCTCTCGAGTAGCTGGGATTACAGGTGTGCAGCACCACGCCTGGATAATTTTTTTGTATTTTTAGTAGAGATGGGGTTTCACCATGTTGCGCAGGCTGGTCTCGAACTCCTGACCTCAAGTGATCTGCCTGCCTCAGCCTCCCAAAGTGCTGGGATTACAGGTGTGAGCCACCACGCCTGGCCAGTTAATGTTTACTATATATTGATTTTAATCATTGAATTAAATAATCTTCTCAATAAACGAAATATCTTTTGCAGATTTAAACTTCCTTATTACTGAAAATGTAACTTAAATGGCTATACCAAGAGCTCAAGTAAACTCGGTCTTATAAGGAAAGAATGTCTTCATATAACTCTTTCTCCTTAAAAAGAAGATGCTACTCTAACGATCTGATAGACACTCAGAACACCTGTGTGTACTACTCTTTGTCCACTCAGTCGACTGTGAAACTATTCTACAATAACGTTGTTTAAGTTCCAATTTTTCCAGTTTGTTGTTTTGCGTCTTACCTTGTAGGCCCTACTTAATAAGAACTCTCAAGTGTGATATGTCAAAACAATTCCTCACTAGAGAGAGGGCAGATAGCTCTTGCTGTAGTTGAACAAAGACCCTTACTGCTCTCTAGGAAGGATGATCTGTTTGAACAATTATGCAGTTAGTCATGCATGCAGGTTTAATAACCATTGATGGATCATTCATAAACTATCACTCTGCATTTCTTCTTAATCAGAGGGTAAAAGTGGTCAACTGCCTAATTGGTGGTCTGAAAATTCCCACACTATGATGTCAATCCACCACCTACAATTTCTATGTTAACCTTGTTAACCTTATTTCTTTGGGTTGGAGAAACTATTTGGTCTTCAGTGCCTCAAAAAGATAAGGAGAATTTTGACAGCAAGAATAAATGGGTAACAACATTCCTATTATAGGGTTGTTGGTCAAAACCTTCTTGGCTTAAAAAACTATTTAGGAAAAGATGCTCTAATTAATAAGCTTGTGCAAAATACCTAAGATGATGATGATGATGGTGATGATGATTATTATGGCAACTAACAAGTATGATGCAATTACAGTACACTAAGCATGTTGCTAAGAGTTTAACATGGATTATCATATCTAATACTCACATCAACAGAAAGTTAGATACTTTCATTATCTGTGCTTTGTGGATAAAGAAACTGAGGCTTAAACAAAGTTGAATAAAGAGCCACGGGTGCATACGGGTTGAGAATCTAACTTTGGATTTCTGACTATACTGTCAAAGCTCTTAACCAATGTTCTGTGAGTGTCCTGGGCTGCAGGAAAGAACAGCTGGAATAAGGACTAATGGGGCTGTTTTACATCTCTCTTCCCATTTTAGCTTTCTTCCAAATGGCTTCTCTCAAATTCTACTTTAATTGCTAATTTATTCATCCAGCAGCCATTTAGTGGCCACCAACGAAGATCTTGGGACTATGCTTGATACTGTGAATATAAAAATAATTGTAAGGTAGTTCCCTCCAGGCAGCTCATAGCTCAATGGGACATCTAGAAAATAACAAAGAATTGTAGAAACAGCGTGGTGAGAACCATGCAGGAACAAGCAAGGAGCACTGGGCAAGTACAGCGGGCACTGGGGAGACACTACACTATGGTTTGCCTTCATTTAGAAGTTCGAAGAGGTGGCCAGGTTCAGTGGCTCATGCTCGTAATCTCAGTACTTTGGGAGGCTGAGGCAGGGGGATCACTTGAGGCCAGGAGTTCGAGACCAGCCTGGCCAATATGGTGAAACCCTGTCTCTACTAAAAATACAAAAATTAGCTGGGCATGATGGTGGGTGCCTGTAATTTCAGCAACTTGGGAGGCTGAGGCAGGAGAATTGCTCAAACGTGGGAGGGAGAGGGTGCAGTGAGCCAAGATTACGCCATTGCATTCCAGCCTGGGCAATAGAGTGAGACTCTGTCTCAAAAATAAATAAAAAAGAAGTTCCAAGAGGTGCAGTCTTTTCCCTTCCTCTTTTCTTTGCTGTTCTTTACCTCATTCTTTCATCAAATAGTTAACGTAATTAGATTAAAAATAACCACGGGAACCATACAGTGGTTACAAGTTCAATCTCTGGTTACTGAACCTCTCAGAGCCTCATGGCTTCTCATTTGTACTTCTTAGGTTTGTTGGATATTGGTGAATATTAAATTAGAAATAATGTCATCACATTCTAACTATCCTTCCCTGCTTTACTTTTCAGAATAGCCCCTACCACCCACTGATATATTGTTGATAAGTTTGCTTGGCTTAGCCTACTACTATGTGTGCTCCATGAAAGCCAGGATATGCTGGGCATGGTGTCTCACACCTGTAATCCCAGCACTTTGGGAGGCTGAGGTGGGAGAATCGCTTGAGCCCAAGAGTTCGAGACCAGCTTGGGCAACATAGTGAGAACTCGTCTCTACAAATAAAACAAAATTTGATGGGCATGGTGGCACATGCCTGTAGTCCCAGCTACTCAGGATGCTGAGGCAGGAGGATCATTTGAGCCCAGGAGACAGTGGCTGTGGTGAGCTGAGATGTGCCTGGCAACAGAGCAAGACCCTGTCTCAAACAACAACAACAACAAAAAAAAAAAAAAAGGAAAGAAAAGAAAAAGAAAGGAAGTAGGAATATTATCTGCTTTCTTTATTAATATAACCTGTATACCAAGAATAGCATTTGGCAATTAGTATTTGAACAAATAAGTGAATAAATGTCAGTAAAGCATTTAGCAGAGTCTGGCTCATAGTAAACATTCAACAAAGATGACTTTTTATCATCATCATTATTATTATTTTAGAGACAGGGTCTCAAGGTCTTGCTATATTGCCCAGGCTGGCCTTAAATTCCTGGGCTCAAGCTGTCCTCCTGCCTCAGCCTCCTAAGTAGCTGGGATTACAAGCTGCATCTGATTATGATTATTGCCTGATATCTATATATCTATATGTATATATATATACAAACATACATATATATATTTGCATTTCAAAAGTGGTAAAGCTTTACAAGGGAAAATTCACTAACATTTGTCTTGTGTGTCCTGTTTAGTTATCTTCTGCCCATTTCTGTTTCTTCTCCATCATTCTGTTATTTCACTAATGAATACCCTAAAATGTGTTAAGTGATTGGTTTACCTTTAACACTAGTATTTAAGAATTAAATGCCTGAACACAGAACAAATTAAGAAAAGAAGGATGAATCCTTCAGTGTGTGGTTTGGAACGAATGGTTGAAATATTGGCATCAGCAGTGGAGGTATTTTTGGAGAAGGGAAGTAACAAAACCCAGGAATGGCTGAGGATATTGTTTGTCAATGCTTTTAATTCTTTTTTCCCTCTCTGCACCTTTTAAATCATACCATTAACCTGCTACATTCTGACTATCACACAGCCGGATGACATTTGTGTGTTTATAACATGAACATTTTCTACTTTGAGATATGATTGCTTGTGTTGCCCTGAAGAAAATCTTCTTAACCACCTCCTCCTGGCTAGGGCAGGAAATGGCTGTAATCCTGACACACATGTGGAGTTTGATGACTCAGGAGTGTGCCTTCCTTTTAATCAAAATCCTGACAAAGATATCCTTATTAAATCATCTTCTCTTATTTAGTTTTACTTTAAAATTTCTGAGGTGGCTCCGTTGTTTTAAGTCATTAACCTAGATGTCATTTTCTGTATCATCAGAGAAATACGCAGGGACCTGTCATGAAGTTTCAAATCTAAACTGTCAATCTAGCCTGACTTTTTTTTTTTTGGATAAAAATTAACAGGTATATTGTTTGTAAAATTGGAGTCTCTGAAAGAGATATATAAATAATTAAGGTTTCAAAAACTTAGTGAAAAGTTTAGATCATCAACATATAAATTCATGTAGATCAGAAAATTTCAGAATTTATGTAAGTATAACACCATATCTAGAAACTGCAGTGGCAAACTGGTAAAAACCAAATATGAAAAGTAAAATCTTAGACCCAACCAGAGAAAGACAAATTACTTAGAAGGATATAATACAAGAGATGGCTGATTCTTGATTAGGAACGATGGAGGTCAGAGTAGACAGTAAAATAAATTTCAAAAAACCTGAAACTACCATTATAACTTTAAACAATTTCTTATAAAGTGAGAATATTATTTAAAAATGGGTGTAATAAAGACTTTGTGATAACCAAATGCTGAGAAACCTAGCATGGTTTTGATCCCAATTATCACATCTTCATTTCACCTATCTGTAATATTTTCTCTATGGGATACTTGTTTTTCTTGACTTTTAGTATTCTTTATCTTATAGTTCATCTTGTTTGCTGAACACCACTGATTTGGGAGGACCGTCAAGTGCTTCTTTCCCTGACATATTTTGTAAATAGCCAGCAGGGTAGAAAGCTGTGAAAAAAAAAAAAAGCATAACTCTTTGAAGATGATACCAACTTCAAATAAAGATTAAATATGCAGTAAATCAATAATGATAAAATACTATAATAATTTTATTTCTGAAATGAGCTGTTATATGAATGCATCCAAATTCATACCTAGTCTATTATAAGTTCATATTGTTTTAAACAATTTCTATCTCTTTGCATTGATCTGCATGCTTATTTCATTAAAAACCAAAAGAATTTTTAGTATTTATCTTATTAAATTCTTTCTTTCTGTATTTTCTCTGTGAAATTTGTAAGTTATGTTCAAAAGGAAATAGTTATTTTAAAATAAAATATTCTCTTCAGTTTTCCTAAACATTTCTACTGATACTGATTTTTTAAATTATTTTATTTTATTTTTATAGAGATGGGGTCTTACTATATTGCCCAAACTGGTCGTGAACTCCTGGGCTCAAACAATTCTCTTGCTTCAGCCTCCCAAAATGCTGGGATTATAGGCATATGCCACCATACCCAGCCTCTACTTATACTATTTTGAAGAGAAGGGTAATACCATTTGTCTAATCAACATTTTTTCCCTGTGTGAAAGCTGACATATTGGGATATTCATCTCTATTTTTTCCACATGTACATTTAAAAAAATTCTCAAGTGACTTAGAGAAACAATGTATTATGTGTGTGTGTACATATTCAATTAAAAATAAGACATATCAATTTCCTGCTCAAATACTACAATTATATGGCAATATTTTATTCTTGTGCCTTAAGGTTTGTTATTATTCCCATTTTTGCAGATTCAGTGTCACAGCTTCAAATTCACAGTATCTGGCAGTAATTTAAATTATAAATGGTAATAATCAGAGAGCAGAATTATCATTTCTTTGATTCTATATATAAACTTCTCTTGGCTGCTTTGGAAGACACATCATACCACTGAGTCAGGTGTAACATTGTTTTACAACTAATACATATTAGTCTTTTACATAAAATTATGACTGGTAAGCTGCACTTTCTCTTTTTGGTTATTAATGACAATAATACTTAGATGAAACTGTGTACTAACTGAATATGGACAAATAAAGTAGTAGAAAAATGTTTTTATTATTACAATTTTCTTTTCTTTTTCCTTTATGCTTTGTAAGTTTTACAGCCATTATACTAATACAAATGTACTTTTTCAGTGATGTGTTGGAGTGGGCTTGTACTGGTTCACAAGAGCTCATGGTTGTGCACCTCTTCCCGTTTCCAAGTCTAGTGACATCAGGTTGATAGCTTGAAACTGGCCTTAGTGGAAGTATTTGGGTTATAGGAAGTAGCAAATGGGACAAACCAGGGCTCTTGTCTCTTTAGACCTGGAGAGCTGGTTGTTAAACATTTACCAGCATATCACCTTTAGTATTGTATCAATGTTAATTTCCTGATTTTGATCATTATACTAAAGTTATATAAGGAAGTACCATTGTTTTTAGTAAACACACCCTGAAATATTTAAGGACAAAGACGTTTTATATCTACAGCTTACTTTCAAGAGATTACAGTCATGCACCACGTAACGATGTTTTGGTCAATGATTGACTGCATATACAATAGTAGTCCCATAAGGTTATAATACTGTATTTTTACTGAAACCTTTCTGTATTTAAATACATTTAGATATACAAATACTTACCATTCTGTTACAATTGCCTACGGTATTCTGTACAGTAACATGCTGTACAGGTTTGTAGCCTAGGAGTGAAACCACCTTTGCAAAGATTATGACAGTGAAAGAAGTCTAGCATGGCTGACTCCATCTTGCTTCTAGCTTCACAGGCTGGCTGTTCTCACTCATTCCTGGGTGTAGGCCAAGCTAACCATGGGGGGCAATTTACAGTTTAACATGGAAGTAAGGAAAATAATACTCCTTCCCTAAAACAAACCCCTTCCTTGCTCAGAGACTGAAGCTGCCTTTGTAAAAGTAATAAAAAGCCATGGAATTAGGATTATGGGAGGGGCCTGAGTTTTGCTAAAATGTAGGTACAGTTTCTATAATCCCTTATTGATCAGGAGTCATGTGGCCAGAGGTCACAAGATTTATGACTTCCCCGATTGCTCTCCAATAGATAACATCACTGTTGTAGTACCTAAGATTGGACTTTTGAGATGTTTTTCAGACTTCTGCATCCTGGCAGCTGACTGACCCCACCTGGAACTGTGACTCATGACTCAACCAGTCATATGGCCTCCATCCAAAGGTGGACTCAGTGCATGAGGACAATTTCTACACCCCTCTGATTTCATCCACAACCAATCAGCAGCACCCATTCCCTAGCCCCCTGCCCACCAAATTATTTATAAGAACCCTAGCCTCTGAGTTCTTGGAAAGACTGATTTGAGTGATAACTCCAGCCTTTCCACTTGGCTAGCTCTGCGTTAATTAAACTTTTTCTCTACTGCAATACTGCAGTCTCAGTCAATTGGTTTTGTCTGTGCAGTGGGCAGGAAGAACCCACATTAGGTGATTGCAGGAGCAGTAGGCTATACCATATAGCCTAGGTATATAGCAGGCTATACTACCTAGATTTGTGTAAGTACACTCTAATGTTCACAAAATGATGAAATCATTTTATGAGGCATTTCTCAGAACATATCCTTGTTGTTACATGATGCATGACTATATATACATATATATATATGCATGTTTGTGTGTGTGTTTGTGTATGTGTATAGTATTTAGACATAAGAGAGTTATGATAGGAAGAGACAGAGAGGGAGAGAATGATGAAGCAAATGTGGTAAAATGTTAACATTTGTGAAATTTGGGTAATGGTTATAAGGAATTCTTTGTATTATTTTTGTAATTTTTCTGTAACTGTGAAATTATTTCAAAACAAAAGGTTAAAAAGAAGTGTCTTTGAGGCTAGGATATAGTGCTACAGGAAACAAAGAATGAAAAAGAACAGAAAAAACCAAGAGCACATTCTTGAAAGGTGACATAAAGTAGTGTTTAGGAGTACAGACTCTGGAGCTAGGCTGCCTGGGTCCAAAGTCAGCTCTGTGTTATTTTCTGTGGTCTTGTCCCACTAAACCTCTTTGTGCCTCTTTCATCTGTAAAATGGAATAATAATAATATCTATATAAAGGAAAACTGTTTCTCTACTGAAAACACTTCTGACAGTAAATGTATGAGTTTTCCACACCAAGTGAATCTCTAATTTTCTGCAGACATGGGTGTCCTATAATTTAATTCACTTTTGATACTAACTACCCAGGGCTAGTTCAGACCCCATAGGTTAAGGTTTCAGTTCCACAAGACTGCTTCCCATTTCAGATGCCCATGACAAGTAGTGGGTCCTCATGTTACCCACACTTCTATCTGATGTGGCTACAAATCCTGGCTTCTGACAACTTCCTGCTCAGGTTTGATAGTTTGCCATAATGGCTCACAGAACTCAGGGAAACACTTTGTTTACTATTAGCAATTTATTATTAAGGAGATTATGAAGGATACAAATGAACAGCCAGATGAAGAGGTACATAGGGTGAGGTCTGGAAGGTCCTGAGCCCAAGAGATTCTCTCCTTTAGTGTCAGGATACGCCACTGTCTACAGATCTGATTACCAGCCAGGAAGCTCTTCAAACCCCGTTGTTTAGAGTTTTTATGGAGGTCCCATTACATAGGCATGATTGATTAAATCATTGGCCACTGGCGATTAACTTGATCCCCAGTCCCTCTCCCCTTCCTAGAGGTTTGGGGGTAGTGTTAAAAGTTCCAACACTCTAGTCACCTGGGTGCTTCCACTGGCAACCAGCCCCCATTGTCCAAGAGTCACCTCATCAGCATAAGCTCAGGTATACAGAAAGGGGTTTATTATGAATAACAAAAGATGCTCTCCTCACATCTGTCACTGAGAAAATTTCAAAAGTTTTAGAAGCTGTTTGGTCAGGAATCAGGAACTAAGACCAAATGTCAAACAAAAGACACTCCTATCACCCTCTCACTTAGGAAATTACAAAGGTTTTAGTAGCTTTATGCCAGGAACTGGTACAGAGACCAAATATATGTTTCTTATAGTGTCACATTATGTCATGCAGTTGTGATGATTGAATGAGTTAATATATAAAGCACTTGTGTTAGTGACTGGCCCTTAGTGAGCATTAGCTATTACTGCTGTTACTGGCTTTGAGTTCCAAAACAGGGTATTGAAGTTTCCAAAACCAGCTTGGGTAACATGGCAAGACCCTGTCTCTACCAAAAAAAAAAAAAAAAAAATTAGCCAGTCCTGGTGGCTTGTGCCTGTAGTCTGAGCTACTCAGGATGCTGAGGCAGGAAGATCACTTGAGCCTGGGAGGCAGAGATTGTAGTGAACTGAGATTGCATCATTGTACTCTAGCTTGGGTGACAGACTGAGACTCTGTTTCAAAAAAAAAAAAAAAAGTAGTTTCCAAGAGTCAACAGCCAGGTGCTTTGGGAGGGGAAAGTGCTCTCAGAATTCCAAATTCTTGGCTTTAATCACCAAGAACCAAAGTTGGTGGGCTTAAAGCAAAAAGTATACTATAACCATTTTGGAATGTGAGGGTGTAGGATATAGATAAAAGGGTAGTTTTAAGTTACAAGGTAAGGAAATTAAAAAACAAAACCCAAGGCAGAAACCCAACCACCAAAAATATTTTTCCTTGGCTGGAATAAGGTATTTGGGGAGAATTTGGAAAAAAGAGCCAGAGAGCTTAGATAAAATGTGAGGCTTTGATCTCTGCCTCTCTATTCTTACTTTTCCAGGTTGAAATCTTTATATCAATGATGATGATGATGATGATGATATTTACTGAGCAGTAACTATATGCCAGACTGTTCTAGGAGCTTTATGTGGATGATGTAATACAATTCTCCCAACAAAACTTTGTGGTAGGAATTATTATCACTATTGGTACATGAGAACTTAAGAGGCAGAAATGGCAAGTAAATTGCCGAGTCAGACAGTTAACAAGTGTTGAAACAGAATTAGAACCCAGACAAATGCCAGGGCCTGTACCATCTCCAGTGGGTTTGGGGATTATAAAGAAGAGTGACTTGTGCTTGCATTCCATGTGGAATTTGAGGAGGAGAGAAACTTGATAGAATATTCAAGTGAGAGTGGCCCCCATGATGCCACCTTGATATCCACCTCCTGGCACTGATCATTGTGTAGTCCCCTTCCACACTGCATCAGTGTAACCAGTAGAATATGGCAGCAGTGATGGTATATGACTTCTGAGGCCAGGGCAAAAAAGACAGCATGGCTTCTGCCTTGTTCTCTCTCTCACATCACTTGCTCTGAGGGAAGCTAGCTGGCACGTCCTGGGGAGCATTCAGAACCTCCACAAAAACGCCCACGTGGTGAGTGTTAAAAGGAAAACTTTAGACAAATTAAATTTAGCAAAGTTTAATTGAGCAAGGAAAAAAAAAACAATTCATGAATCAGGGAGCTCACAGAATCACAGGAGATTCTGAGAGACTCCAGGGATGGCACATGGGATGTACAGAAAAAGGAAATGAGGTATAGAAACACTTGGATTGGTTACAGCTCGGCATTTGCCTTATTTGAACATGGTTTGAACAGTTGGATGCCGTGAGTGGTTGAAGTATGGCTACTAGGATTGTCTGAGACTCAGCTCTTGTTACAGAAGCATATTCCTAAATTAGGATTTTCAATTTGCTCCCCTACTAGGTTAGGTTATGGTTTGTCCATAAGGGCTCAAGTATGTGACCTACAGAGGCTTTCTCAGGCCAGATTTCAGTTTGATTTAACAGGAGGAACTGGAACCTGTGGTCAATAGCCAGTGAGGACTGAAGCCTCCCACCAACAGCCACGTGAATGAGTTTAGACGTGGACTGGCCAGCCCCAGGCAAAGTTTCAGGTCACTGTGTATGGCAGATGCACCTGACAGCAATAACTTAACTTAGGCATGCCCTGAGAATGACCCTATGGTTTAAGGACAATGTGCGTTTAGAATTCCAAACAAAGGAATCTGGGGGTAGCCAACCTAGAGATCCATTCCTTATCTGTGAGAAACATCTGAACCCCTGTTCATTCCACAGAATGCAAGCTGTACAGGGGAGTGAGGCCCTTTGTTTGGGTTAAATGAAGATTGCCAGGTGGAGGTTGATGGGGGAGGGTGCTAAGTGAAAATGCTGTATAAATTGTATGGTTTTTACAAGTGGTTTCAATTCCGTGCAGCCCACTGCCCTTGGACTTCCCTCTATATAAGTCCCCTCAATAAACCCCATGTCTCACTTGCTGGCTCCACATGTCTTCTTCGTCCTTTTGAACATAGTGCCATCCCTACTGAAGTTAATAGGGGTCCAGCACGACAAACTGTAGCACTAACTGATACCGTGATTGCAGCCTCATAAAAGACCTGAGCCAGAACCACCCAGCTAAGTAGCTGTTTAATTCTCAATCAACGGAAACACATGTTTGTTGTTTTAAGCCACTAAATGTTGGGGTGACAGGCAGCATAGCAACACATAGTCTAGCATAAACAAAAGACAGCCTCAAAAGAAATGGTGGTGTGGCATGTTTGAACAAAGAAAGCATGAGCTAGACCACCTTCCCCTTAAAGGCTTTTTGACTAAGAATTAAGGTCTACCATGGAAGTCCAGGGATAGGGTTATAGAACCCTGTAGCGGGGTCTGCAAAGTGGACCATCCATACCAAGGCAACAGACTCAGTGTTACACCAGCTGAGGACATATATGGGAGGCAGTGGAGACAGAGGTCAATGCTTAAGACCTCTGTCTCTTCCTCTCTCGCCGGCATAATGCAAGTCACCCAGGAACTCATACAATCCTAGGAACTTTACTCAGGAAAAAAGAGGCAAAGGAGAAGGGAGAGGTGGGATAGTCATAAGAGACTGAGTTTTAAACTGAAAGTAACTAAGCTACTTTGAATTGGTGAGAATGAATTTTCTTCCTCAGATGAAAATTGGGTTTCAGAGTAAAATTAATTTCAGGTACAGAGAAAATAAGTTATTTATGGCCTTTTGTTCACTCAATGTTTGTAGTTAAAAATCTTCACACCCACTATTTCATGATTGATAGTGACCTTTTTATTCCAGACCAAGATAAAAGAAATAGATGAATGATGTCATAAAAAATCAGTGTTGTCTTTATTTAGCAGGAATATGTGACTTTGAATTATTTTTGGTATTGGGTAATACATTTTTATGGAGTACAGTATCTCTGGAATTGCACTAATAATGGCTAATACTCCTGATGCACTCATGATGTTCCATAAAATGATTCTCACTATTTTACAAATATTAAAGTCATTCCATTCTCACAACAAATTTATGGTATACTATTACCATTAGCCCTCACTTTAAAATGATGAAACTGAGACAAAGAAAGGTTAAGCAAAGTGCGAAAGGTCATAGCTAGTCAGGCTCTGAGATCTATGAACTTAACCACTACCTTCTCATACTCCTCAAGTTGTATCGGATAGTTCTTCAATTTTTTTTTCTCCAGTATATCAGGTTTGTCCTGGGAGCTGTGACGAAGTTGGAAGAGTATAAGATACAGAAGCAGATTTAATGTGTATTCTTATGAAGATACTAGACAAGGAGCTTATTGGCTTGTGTCTTAAATGGAGTTAACTATATTCACCTACATGCATAGTTATTTGTGGATATAATCCTGTTATATCTGGACTTCACTTTAAAGGTGAATAGCATTGGGTGTCCTGGCTGTGGTGTGGAGGGCTGCACAGATCTTCAAGGGTTGGCTTGTAAATATGTAATCAGAAGAGCTGGTGCTGCCTGAGAATCCAGAGCAAGTTTTAAATAGCTCACTGAGAGCTAAGCTGGTCTTTCCATGTCCAAGTTATCAAAAATAGTTTCCTAATTTGTATGTGTGACCTTTTCTGGCTACGGATGCTGAGCCATGAAGGCCATTCTGCCTTTGCTTGTCTCTTGTCTGGAGGCAAGAGAAAACTCAAGGAATTCTCAAATATGAACTATAATTTAAAAACCTAAATAATCTCAATCATGGTGCCTGCATAGAGTCCTGTGAGGTCCATGAATTTCTCTGAGTTCGATGGAATCACTCTCTCTATCAAACACCTTTAAGACAGGGGATGGGAAATGGAGCCTTGGTAGCTGTGTCCTACTTTCTTCAGAATGTTCAGCCAGAAACCAAAACAGCCATAAGTAAAGAGAAGCCTGGAGATTCTTCTGTAGATAACTTGAGACTCTTTAACATTGTTGATTAACTTGTTTTACCTGACTCGCCTAATAATTTATAGGAAGAAGCATTACTATGATCTAATGGCTCTGCTCACTACTTTTTGTTGGCCTAGAAGGTAGGTTCAAACATTTCTAAATCTTTTTCATGAACTTTTTCCTTGAGAAGAGTTCTGATAAACACTCATTATGTGAAGTCAGTGGGGGAAGAAGAAAAATTATGTCCATGTGGAGAGATTGTCTAGAATGCTGATCATGTGGAAATATTATGAAACATGAAAAGTAAACTAAGCAAAACTAGAGAATAAACATCCAAAGTACTTAGGGAGCCAAATTTTGGCACTATTTTCCACTTTTAAAAAATATGCTACTATAGTCCAGAAAAAAATGTTTCAGTGTTCTTCTCTGTAAAGTGACTTCTGAGTTCCTAGCTAGCAGAACTTATTATATTTATATGAAATACAAAGTCATAAACTTCTTTTACCATTGCTAATTGGCAAAGAATTTGTTTTAATTTTCTAGGTGAGTTAGTTGCAGTTTAACACTGTTTATTTTGCTGATTCAAGATGGTCAGTTAACATTTATTCAAAGAATGGAATAAATAGCATTTTATTTTCCTTAGTTACAAAATAAATAGCTCTTTCTGAAACTTTTGTATTACTCTTTTCCTACTACTTCAATTTAGGCTCGCTAGGCCTTTTGTTTAACTTTAGCTTACTGGTTCTTGAACCCACCCAGAAAGAAATTTTTAAATGATGCATTCTAGGCATGCATAATGTATGCTATAAACTTCTGCTTCATCATAACTTTTCTTGCACATTAATATTACTTACCATGGGTCTATTTCAACTGTGTGGAGCTCTTTTACATTCATGTTTGTGACCATTTCTGTCTCTTTAAAAAAAAAATTTAATTTTGCTACAGAAATCTACTAGCCCAGCTAATCTTTTTGATCAGGTCACAGAAGGTATCTGTAAGTCACTGATCTATGTATGCCTTTGGGCTGAGTGCCTATTCCTGGTAGACACACAGGCTGAAGGTAAGCAAGTTCTCAAGGAAAAAGATGTGCAATGCTGGGCACTACTGGCATATTATTATTGCGTATAATACAAAGTAATAACCTAAAGGTTATCCTAGTTCCTTGAATATTGAATATCCTAGTACCTTGAATATTCTTTTGAGATAAATTCCTTACTGTTTATTATGGAGCTCTTGAACTTGATTTATTTCATAATAAGGATCTTAGGACAAATAATTAAAAACAGCTTTTGAAAACTTGCTGACATGTTTGGTTAGCTGACCCAACAGTTACCTCTCAAGCTAAAGAATTTTTGTGAATTTTCTTGATATGTGCGGCAGCCTGACCGCCCTCCCATTCCTCTTGCTTTGGCTTAGATTCTGTGTCTGAAGCTCTAGCAGCCATCTATGGCTGTCAGGGAGTCCCTTTGACAAAAGGGAGCCATTGAACTGATGTTGACCCTAGGCTTCCTCTTACGCAAGAAAAGAAAAATGACTCTATTTTTAAAAATTCACTCAGATTTCCGATATCTTGATTTACACATAGTCCTAACTAATACAGTGAAATATGGTTATATCAAATATGGTTATACCAAAGTATGATTATTCCAAATACTTAGAGAACTGACAATAATGAAGCCAAAATGTACATTGCCCCATTTTTTAATGCGATGAAGAATTTCAAGATTAATTTCAACATTGAAAAGTGCACTTACTAGTTTGCTTTCTCCCCCTTTCCATTTACCAGTTTTCTCTATTTATAAGCCTTTAAGTGTCACCTCATATGCTGGGCAAACTGTATTGCTTTGCAAGCAGAGGCTTTTACAAATTGGTCATTTCCCTCAAAACATTATATGCCAATATAAAAATTTCTGCTTTGGAAGAACTAAGGATTTGAAGCATATAATTAAATTAATAGCAAAAGGATAAATTAGATCTCTTTGCTCCCTTTCTTCATCTCTCTTTCTCCAACTCTTTCTTCTTTCAACATCTCTCTTTAGTCTTCCCATTCTCCTTCTTTTTTCTTTCCCATAGCTGGTTCTTTATCACATTGCACAGTGCAATGAGATAAGTTTTTCATGAAGGTTCTAGAGATCTTTTCTTAGTATTTATAACTAAGTATTAAGTTATAAGTAAAAGCATGACAGACACTTTTTTCTTATAATTTTGTAAGGTTTTTTTTTTCTTTGCCAGCATGTTATATAACATGTTATGCAACAGAACTAGTAATGAAAAAGTTATCCAAATTTTCAGTTTCAAGTAATTTCCCCACTTTTTCTGTAGAAATATCAACTTCTGAGGTACATGGATTATGTCATAATTGTGAATTTTTGATCCAAGTTAAAATATGAGGTCACAAGTGATTGTTAACATTTGATTACTCACCCATGTTTTTCTATTTCCATGTAGAGAAATACGGCATATTTTAATGGTACACCCATCAGCTAAATGACATAAGTGCATCAGTGTGCGACAAATAAGGCAAGGCTAAAGAACACAAGTTGGTATATTATAAACGTTTTCAACGGAACAGGATCAAAACCAAAATGCTTAATGTTGAGTAAAACATATTTAAAGCAAACCTATATCATTTCCTTGCACGAAATGGCCACTTAGAAGATATCTAAATAAGAGGAAAAAAACAGAACATGCTTTTCAGTTTTTACTAGATTCAAGGAAATGTAAAAGAATCTATTGGAACAATGTATCTATGCCTGTATTAGTCTGAGAATCTAAATAGACATTATTTAACCAGATTCCAAAGTTCAAGGACAACATAGTTGAAAGATCTCTGATTTTAAAATCAATGTTTGTATAAGTAAACCTTTGTGCCCAATCTGTAAATTATTAAAATAAGTAAATAATGAGTTCCCAGGTTTCCTCTTTAGGTCTTCCACATGCAATGTTTTGTTTAGATGTCTCACTCACTCTTTGGTAGTTCATTACTAGTGACAGTCCTGGCATTTTTAGATTTGCCAATGATACATGGGGATTAAGTGCCCACCAGCATGTCCTCATGCAAATTTCAGGTTAGCTATTCCTGCCACATTCTCGAGTTAAAGTTTGAGAACCTCAGTGAAGGGTAGAGTTCTTCATCTAGAAGTTTCTCTAGTGTCCATTCCTTCATTGTCTGTATAGTTCACTTTGATTTTTGTCTCTAGGCCCTTCTTTGTCATGTGGCAGAAAACTTAGTCATTTTTAAGTAAAGGTCAATTGAGTTATTTTTCAGTCATTTAATTTTGAGATTTAATCATATTCAGGATGTTCCTCCTTTCAGTCTTTTGTTGCTCTCTTTTATCCTGGGTTGGAGTTTTAAGTTTTAGGGGCAGATGTAACTGCCACTGTGGTAAGGTTGTACCAGAGTCAGATTGGAGCTGGGTATTTTATTGTTACAAAGAGTCTATTTTGTCAGTCCATGATCTCTATTTTAATAACACTAAATGGCTTGGACTTCCTAGCCATTCCTAAACTCCAAAAAGAGAAGGGTATAATGAGGCATGCCTGACCCTGCTTCCTCACTGCAGCCTTCCTATCTTGTCCTAAATTAGTTTTTCAGGATTCTTTGGGATACCTTTGCCCAAAGCAAGGTCCTTGTCCATTAAGTCAGCTGGGGAGACTTAGAATTTTATGTTTGGTTTACAATGTCAAGGATAAAAGAGCTTATGGCTGTGAGTTCAATCACTCTCTTTCTCCCTCTCCCTTTTTCTCCTTCTCTCACATGTGCTCTCTCTCCATATAATGATTTCTACCATGTTATGACATAGCAGGAAGACTCTCACTAGCTGCAGACCCTCAATCATGGACTTCCTAGCTATTAGAACTGTAAGAAATAAATCCTTATTTTTTATATATTACCAAGTCTCAGGTATTCTGTTATAGCAGCAGAAAATGAACCAAGACAGAACATTTGTCTGAGAAGTGTGACTGTTGCTGTAACAAATACCTAAAAATGTGGAAGCAGCTTTGCAACTGGGTAATGGGTAAAGGCTGGAAGAATTTGGATGAGCAGGCTAATGTCAAAAGACAAAATTACAAGTTTAGCTTGAAGATCTTAATTGGCTTCTATTGCAATTCCAGAGTTAGACAACACTTCATTTTATAAAATAGAATAAGTATTCCAACGAATTGAGCAGAAGGGATTGGTTTTCTAGATGGAAAAGGGCTGAAGAAAGTAGAAACAAAGAATAAAAACAGATGGTCATTTCAAAAATACTTTCCTTATAAGAACAGGACAGTGAGACCAAACAATAGAAAAATAACTGATTGGTTAACATCAGGTTACTTTTTGTTGTAAAGATTAAAACAGCGGGAACTTCATTATCATACTGATTGAAGATTGAAACTGGCCTGTTTGGGAAATTGGCTATCTCTTTCCTGATTTCTTGGAAGGTCAGGTAAAAACTTAATTTTGTTTTGCTGATCTAAAACTTTAGCATGGGTGACACCATTTTGATTTTTAGTCTGGTCTGTTGAGGCCTAGTTCAGGACCTTAATCTAAAACAATGGCCTCCTATGATTTTTATTTAACACTAGAAGAAGCCTAGATTGCTATAAGTGAAGCACTAAGGATAATTCTGACAAGGGCTCCCAGAAGACAAGAGCTGTAGGGAAAGCCAAAATCTTAGGGATTATGTTAGTGGTTGTGATCAGAATGTTGGTAAAAATATAAATGGCAAAGACCTTTCTGATGAGAGCTCAGACGGATACGAGGAAAAAAAGCACTGAAATCTGGAATAAAGGCCCATCTTGTTATACAGTTACAAAGAACTTGGCAGAATTATGTCCACGTCCTAAAATTTGTTGAAGACAAACTTAAGCATGATGTACCGGGATATCTGGAAGAAGAAGTATATAAGCAACAAAGTATTCAAGGTGCTATATGGTTTCTTTTGGCTGCTTACAGTAAAATTAGAGAGGAGAAAAACGATTTAAATCAAAATTTATAATTAAATGTGAAGCAGAATGGAAAGATTTAGAAAACTCTGAGCCTGGCCATGCAAAAAGTCAAAAAGCATGTTTGGAAGAGTATATTAAGGGTGTGGTCAAGTGAGCAGTTGCTAAAAAGATTAATAAGGATAAAAGGAAGGGAGTTTCTATTCATCAAGACAATGGAAGACGGACCCAAGGGCATTTTAGAGATCTTTGAGTCAAGCTAGAACTTTGAAGGCAAGATAGCTAAAGAGGTACCTGTGGGACCTCAGTGTTCACTGCCCTACACCACCTTGGGACTCTGTTCCCTGATTTCTGGTGCAGTGCCCCTCAGTTGCCTCAGCTGTGGCTCAAGTGGGCCCAAGTATGTCCCAACCCACTGCTCTGGAAGGTAAAACCATAAACCTTGGCAGTGTCCACATGAGTATGTGTTTGAAAATACTTGCTTTCTGTCTATTGCTCATCTTTTCACTTTTTTTAATGGTGCCTTTGGAAGTGCAAAAGTTTTAAACATTGCTGAGGTCCAATTTATTAATACTGTTCTTTTACAAACCATGCTTTTTGGTCTTTGCCTAACCCAATATCTCAAAGATTTTCTTCCACTAGTGAAGAAAATGAACTCGAAATAAATCATAAACTTAAATGTAGGAGCCAAAGCAATGAAACTTTTAAAAGAAGTTTTATTATTTTGGCTCCTACCTTTAAGTTTATGATTTATTTTTAGTTAATTTTTGATATGGTCTGAGGCAAAAGTCTAAGTTCATCTTTTTGCATGTGGACATCTAATGGTCCTAGTACCATTTGTTAAACAGACTATACTTTCCTCAGTGAATTGCTTTGGTAACTTTGTAAAAAATCAGTTTAATGAAATATATGCTTTATTTTGGAGCTCTCAATTATGCTCCATTAATCTATATGCCTAAGTACTCGTATGGTCAGGGGTGGTGGCTACAGGGTGAAGCTCCTCTGCCTTTGGAAAGGGGAGAGTAGAATAGGAAGGACCACATCTTGTGGTTTGAATGCCAGCTGAGCTGCAATACAGCAGAATACCAGGTAGACTTCTAAGGTTTTTGACTTTAGTCTCTGACTTCCAGATGGCCCTTTTGGACCCACCTAGGGCCTGGGGGACCTCACCAGCATTCAAAAAAAGACACAGGCCTGGATGGCTTTGCCACTTGCTGATTGTAGAGCCCTGGGGCTTGAGTGAACATAGGCAGTAGCCAGGGCATGGTTACAGCAGGCCTTGGGTGAAACTCAGTGGTGGGCTGGTTTCAGGTCTGACCCAGCACAGTCACAGTGGTGGTGGCTAAAGGGGTGTGAGAGGGTCTGTATGTTTGGGAGAAAGCAAAGGAAGAGAAAGAGTCTCTGCCTAGTAATCCAGCAATTTCTCCAAGATTTTGTCCAAGACCATCAAGGCAGTACTTCTACAAGTCTGCAAGAATCACAGCATTGCTGGGTTTGGCATGCCCTTTAAAGCAGATAAAGCTTAGATCACAATACCCAAGTACTTTCAAATATTTGGAAAGCCTTCCCAAGAAGGATGGCTACAAATAAGCCCAGACAGTAAAGACTAAAATAAATACCTAAGTCTTCAATGCCCAGATACAGAAGAATATCTACTAGCATCAACACCATTCAGGAAAATGTGACCTCACCAAATGAACTAAATAAGACACCAGGGACCAACCCTGGAACAACAATGATGTGTGATATTTCATATAGAAAATTCAAATTAGCTGTGCAGAGGAAACTCAAAGAAATTCAAGACAACACTGAGAAGGAATTCAGAATTCTATCAGATAAATCTAACAAAGAGATTGAAATAATTAATAAGAATGAAGCAGAAATTCTGGAGCTGAAAAGTGCAATTGGCATACTGAAGAATGCATCAGAGTCCTTTAACAGCAGAATGGATCAAGCAGAAGAAAAAATCAGTGAGCTTAAAGATGGTCTATTTGAAAATACACAGTTTCAAATATGGGTCAGTTGTGGTGGCTCACACTTGTAATCCCAGCACGTTGGGAAGCTGAGGCATGTGTATCACTTGAGGCTAGGAGTTTGAGACCAGCCTGGCCAATATGGCAAAACCCCATCTCTACTAAAAATACAAAAATTAGCTGGGCATGATGGCACATGCCTGTAATCCCAGCTACTCAGGAGGCAGAGGCATGAGAATCTCTTGAATCTGGGAGGCAGAGGTTGCAGTGAGCCAAGATCATGCCACTGCACTCCAGTCTGGGTGACAGAGTGAGACTCTGTCTTAAAAAATAAAATAAAAATAAAATAGTGCTTATTTTTAAAAATAAGATTAAAAAAGATTTAAAAATAAAAAAATACACAATCAGAAGAGACAAAAGAAAAAAGAATAAAAAAGAATGAAGCAAGCCTATAGGATTTAGGCATGCTAAATAGTCTCAAAAGAGCAAATCTAAGAGTTATTGGCCTTAAATAGGAGGTAGAAAAAGAGATAGGGATAGAAAGCTTATTCAAAGGGAAAATAACAGAGAACTTCCCAAACCTAGAGAAAGATATCAATATCCAAGCACAAGAACGTTATAGAACACCAAACAGATTTAACCTAAAGAAGACTACCTCAAGGCGTTTAATAATCAAACTCCCATATATCAAGGATAAAGAAAGAATCCTAAAATCAGCAAGAGAAAAGAAACAATGTACAACGAAACTCCAGTAGGTCTGGGAGCAGACTTTTCAGTGGAAACCTTACAGGCCAGGAAAGAGTGCCTGATATATTTAAAGTGCTGAAGGAAAAAACTTTTACCCTAGAATAGTCTATCTGGTGAAAAGATCCTTCAAACATCAAGAAGAAATAGACTTCCCCAGACAAACAAAAGCTGACGGATATCATCAATACCAGACCTGTCTTACATGAAATGCTAAAGGGAGTACTTCAATCAGAAAGAAAAAGACATTAATGAGCAATAAATAATCACTTGAAGGTACAAAACTCACTGGTAATATTAAGCACACAGAAAACCACAGAATATTATAACATTTGTAACTATGGTGTGCAAACTACTCTTATCCTAAGTAGAAGGAATAAATGATGGACTAATAAAAAATAATAAGTACAATAATTTTCAAGACATAGTCAGTACAATAAGATATAAATAGAAACAACAAAAAGTTAAGTGGGGGGATGCAGTTAAGGCAAGTTTTTATTAGTTTTCTTTTTTGCTTGTTTGTGTATGCAAATAGTGTTACGTTGTTATCAGGCTAAAATAATGGGTTATAAGACAGTATTTGCAAGCCTCGTGATAACCTCAAACCAAAAAACATACAAATGTATACACAAAAAATAAAAAAGCAAAAAACTAAATCACGTCACAAGAGAAAATCATCTTCACTAGAGGAAGACAGGAATGAAAGGAAGAAGGAAGGAAGGGAAAAGCACAAAACAACCAGAAAACAAATAACAAAATGGCAGGAGTAAAACCTTACTTATCAATAATAACAGTGAATGTAAATGGACTAAACTTTCCAATAAAAAGACATGTCTGGCTGAATGGATGAAAAAGCAAGACTCACTGATCTGTTGTCTACAAGAAACACAGTTCACCTATAAAGACACACACAAACTCAAAATAAAGGGATGGAAAAAAAAGCAAGACCCACAGATCTGTTGCCTACAAGAACCACACTTCACCTATAAAGACACACACAAACTGAAAAATAAAGGGAAGATTTCTATTGGTTTTCATGCTAATGGAAGCAAAATAAAACAAACAAACAAACAAGAACAGATGTCACTAGACTGATATCAGATAAAATAGATTTCAAGACAAAAACTGTAATAAGTTCTGATGCTTACTTGAGTCATGTAAAATAACTGTAAGAAGAGACAAAGAAGGTCACTATACAATGATAAAGAGGTCAATTCAGCAAGAGGATATAACAATTATAAATATATAAGCACTCAGCACTGGAACATTAAGATATATAAAGAAAATACTATTAGACCTAAAGAAAGAGACATCCCCCAGCACAATAATAGCTGGAGACTTCAACATCCCACTTTCACCATTGCACAGATCTTTCACACAGAAAAATCAGACTTAATCTGCACTATAGACCAAATTGATCTAATAGATATTTACAGAACATTTTATCCAAGAGCTGCAGAATATACTCTTTTCCAGAGCACATGGATCATTCTCAAGGATAGACCATATGTTAGGTCACAAAACAAGTCTTACAATATTCAAAAAAGTTTGAAATAACATCAAGCATCTCCTCTGGCCGCAATGGAATGAAACTACAAATTAATAACAAAAGGAATTTTGGAAACTACAGAAATACATGCAAATTAAACATCATGCTCCTGAATGACCAGTGGGTCAATGAAGAAATTAAGAAGGAAACTGAAAAATTTCTTGACACAAATGATAATGGAAACACAACATACCAAAACCTATGGGATAGAGCAAAAATAATACTAAGAGAAAAAGTTATGGTTTTAAGTACCTACATCAACAAAGAGGAAAAACTTCAAATAAACAACCTAATGATGCACCTTAAAGAACTAGAAAAGCAAGAGCAAACCAAAATCAAAATTAGCAGAAGAAAATAAATAATAAAGATCAGAGCAGAAATAAATGAAATTGGAATTAGGCCAGGAGCAGTGGCCCACACTTGTAATCCCAGGACTTTGGGAGGCTGAAGTGGGTGGATCACTTGAGGTGAGGAGTTAGAGACCAGCCTGACCAACATGGTGAAACCTCTCTGAAATCTCTACTAAATATCTCTACTAAAATCTCTATTAAATCTCTACTAAATCTACTAAATCTCTACTAAAAATACCAAAAATTAGCCAGGTTTGGTGGTGGGGGCCTGTAGTCCCAGCTACTTGGGAGGCTGAGGCACCAGAATCATTTCAGCCTCGGAGGTGGAGGTTGCAGTGAGTCAAGTCATGATTGTGCCACTACACTCCAGCCTGGGCAACAGAGCAAGACTCCACTAAAAAAAAAATTGAAGTGAAAAAAAAAAACCCAAAATTGATGACATCAAAAGTCGTTTCTTTGAAAAGTTAAACAGAACTGACAAACCTTTAGCTAGGTTAATTAAGAAAAAAGATAAAAGATCCAAGTAAATAAAACCAGAAATGAAAAAGTAGCCATTATAATTGATACTGAAGAAATTCAAATGATTATTAGTGGCTACTATGAGCAACTATATGCCAATAAATCAGAAAATCTAGATGAATTGGACAAATTCCTAGATACAACCTACCAAGATTGAGTCAGGAGGAAATCCAAAACTTGAACAGACCAATAACAAGTAATGAGATCGAAGCGGTTATAAAAAGTCTCCCAGTAAAGAAAATTCCAGGACCTGATGGAGTCACTGTTGAATTCTGCCAAACATTTAAAGAAGAATTAATACCAATCATACTCAAATTATTCCAATAAATAGAGGAGGAGGAGGTACTTCTAAACTCACTCTATGAGGCCAGTATTACCCTGATACTGAAACCAGACAAAGACACATCCAAAAAAAGAAAACTACAGGCCAACACCGCTGATGAATATTGATGCAAAAATACTCAGTAAAATACTATAAACTGAATTCAGCAATACATTAGAGAGATCATTCATCTTGAACAAGTGGGATTTATCCCTGGGATGCAAAGTTGGATGCAACATATGCAAATCAATCAATGTGATACACCATATTAACAGAATGAAAGATAAAAACCTTATGATCATTTCAATTGATGCTAAAAAAGCATTTGATATAATTCAGCATCTCTTCATGATAAAAACCCTAAAAAATCTGGAAATACGAGGGACATTCCTCAACACAATAAAAGTCATATACCACAGAACCACAACTATTATGATACGAAATGGGAAAAAAACTGAAAGCCTTTCCTCTAAAATCTGAAATACAACAAGGATGTCACCACTGTTGTTCAACACAGTATAGGAAGTCCCAGCTAGATAGAGAAATCAGACCAGAGAAAGATATAAAGGACATAAATTGGAAAGGAAGAAGTCAAATTATCTTCATTTGCAGATGATAGAATCTTATACTTTGAAAAACATAAAGATGCCATCAAAAGACTATTAGAACTGATACACAAATTCAGAAAAGTGGAAACACAACAGTGCCAACAGTGGACAATGTGAAAAAGAAATAAAAAAGTAATTCTATTTACAGTAGCCACACATAAAATTAAATACCTAGGAATTAACCAAAGAAGTGAAAGAGCTCTATAATGAAAACTATAAAATGCTGATTAAAAAAATTGAAGAGGACACCAGAAATGGGAAAAATGTTCCACATTCCTGAATTGGAAGAATCAACGTTGTTAAAATGTCCATATTATTGCCCAAAGAAATCTACAGATTTAATGCAATTCCTATCAAAATACCAATGACATTCCTCACAGAAATAGAAAAAAAATCCCAAAATTTATATGGAACCACCAAAGACCCAGAATAACTAAAGCTATCCTAAGCAAAAAGAACTAAACTGGAGAAATCACATTACCAGACTTCAAATTCTACTACAGAGCCATAGTAACCAAAACAGCATGGTACTGGCATAAAAGCAGACACATAGACCAATAGAATAGAATAGAGAATGCAGAAACAAATCCACACACCTACAATGAATTCATTTTTGACAAAGGTGCCAAGAACACACTGGGGAAAGAAAATCTCTTTAATAAACGGTGATGGGAAAACTATATGCATATGCAGAAGAATGAAACTAGATCCCCATCTCTTGCCATATACAAAAATCAAATCAAAATGGATTAATGACTTAAATCTAAGACCTGAAACTATGAAACTCCTACAAGAAAACATTGGGGGAAATCTCCAGGACGTTGGTCAGGAGAACAATTTATTGAGCAATACCCCACAAGCACAGGCAACCAAAGCAAACATGGACAAATAGGATCACATCAAGTTAAAAAGCTTCTGCACAGCAAAGGATGCAATCAACAAAGTGAAGAGACAACCCACAGAATGGGATAAAATATTTGCAAACTACCCACTTGACAAGGGATTAATAGTCAGAATATATAAGGAGTTCCAACAAATCTATAGGAAAAAATATAATTCAGTCAAAAATGGGCAAAAAATTTAAGTTGACATTTTTAAAAAGAAGACATACAAATGACAAACAGACATATAAAAAGGTGCTTGACATCACTGATCATCAGAGAAATGCAAATCAAAACTACAACAAGATATCATTTCACCCCAATCAAAACGGCTTATATACAAAAGACAAATGACTTTTATCCAAATAACAAATGCCGGTAAGGATGTGCAAAAAAAGCGAACCCTTGTACACCATTGGTGGGAATGTCAATTAGTACAACCACTAAGGAGAACAGTTTGGAGTTTACTTAAAAAACTAAAAATTGTGCTACCATATGATCCAGCAATCCCACTGCTGGGTATAAACCCAAAAGAAAATAAATCCATAAATTGAAGAGATATCTGCATTCCTATGTTTGTTGCAGCACTGTTTACAGTAGCTAAGATTTGGAAGCAACATAAGCATTCATCAACAGATGAATAAAGAAAGAAAATGTACATATACACAAGGGAGCACTATTCAGCCATGATAAAGAATGAGATCCAGTCATTTGCATCAGCATGGATGGAACCGGAGATCATTATGTTTACTGAAATAAGCCAGGCACAGAGAGACAAACAATACATGTTCTCCGTTATTTGTGAGATCTAAAAATGAAAACAATTGAACTCATGGACATAGAGAGTAGAAGGCTGATTACCAGAGGCTGGGAAGGGTGGTGGGGTATTGGTGCAAAGGTGACAATAAAGCGTACAAAACAAAATAGTTAAAAATAATGGATAAGGCTTCCTATTTGATAGCACAACAGGGTGACTATAGTCAATAGTCAATAATAACAACTGAACATTTAAAAATAACTTAAAGAATGTAATTTGATTGTTTGCAACTCAATGGATAAATGTTCGAGGGGATCGATACCCCATTCTTCATAATGTGCTTGTTTTACATTGCCTGTCTGTACCAAAACATCTCATATACCCATATATACACCTACTATGTACTCACAAAAATTAAAAATGAAAAAGAAAACAAATAAATAAATCCATATGCCTATATGTCTGTGTATCAGTACCAAATTATAGCTTTTATAATACGTTTTGAAATTGAGAAGTGAATGTCCTCCAAGTTTGTTCTTATTTTTCTAAATTATTTTAACTACTTTGAGTGTTTTTCATTTTCTCATAATTTTCAGGATTTATCAATTTCCACACGCACAAAAGTCTACTGGAATTTTTGATAGGGATTGTGTTGAATCTATAAATGAATTTGGGAGATAATTGCTATCTTCACAATATTGATTCTTCTAATGAACAAACATGAAATGTCTTTTTATTTATTTAGATCTTATTTAATTGACTTCAGCAAAGTTTTGTTATTTTCAGTGTATGTTTTATATTTTTTTCTGCTAAATTTATTCCTATTATATTCTTTTTGTTGCTATTATGAATGGCATTTTATTCTCAATTTCACTCTTATTTAGAAATACAATTGATTTTTATATACTTATCTTGTATCTTGCAATAAAGCAATAGATTTTATCTTAAAAGCAGTTTCAGGTTTACAGAAAAATTGAGCAGAAACTACTGAGAATGTCCACATTTTCCCTCTACCCACTACCACTCCCCTTTCATGCTTCCTACCCAGATTCCCCTATTATTAACATCTTGCATTAGCATGGTACATTTGTTACCCTTGATGAGTCAAAACTGATACATTGTCATTAACTAAAATTCATAATTTACATTAGAGTTTCTCCATAGTGTATATTCTGTGGGTTGTTACAAATGTGTAATGATGTGTGTACACCATTACAGTATCGTATATGAACACTTTCACTATCCTAAAAATCCCCGGCCAGGCGCGGTGGCTCACACCCATAATCCCAGCAGTTTGGGAGGCCGAGGCCGGCAGATCACGAGGTCAGGAGATCGAGACCATCCTGACTAACATGGTGAAATCCCGTCCCTACTAACAATACAAAAAATTAGCCGGGCATGGTGGCGCGTGCCTGTAGTCCCAGCTACTCGGGAGGCTGAGGCAGGAGAATGGCGTGAACCCGGGAGGCGGAGCTTGCAGTGAGCCGAGATTGCGCCACTGCGCTCCAGCCTGGGCGACAGAGCAAGACTCCGTCTCAAAAAAAAAAAAAAAAAGAAAAAAAGAAAAAATCTCCTGCACTTCATTTGTTTCCTCCTTCCCTCAAGTCTCCAGAAAACATATCTTTTTTCTCCCTCTAGAGTTGTGCCTTTTGCAGAATATCATAAGATTGAAATCATGCAATATGTAATCTTTTTAGTTTAACTTTTTTCACTTAACAATATGCATTTAAGGTTTTTCTCATGTTTTACTGTAGCTTGATAGCTCATGTAATTGCTGAATAATATTCCATTGTATATTGGAATATACCACAGCTAGGATGTACCACCGTTTGTTTATCTATTTACTTACTGAAGGATATTTTGATTGCTTCCAAGTTTTAGCAAATTGTGAATAAAGCTGCTATAATTCTTCATGTGCAGGTTTTTGTGTATATATTTCAGCTCATTTGAGTAAATACCAAGGAACACAATTGCTGGATCATGTGGTAAGCCTATGTTTATTTTTGTCAGAAACTTCCAAACTGTCTCTTTCAATTTTACTGTACCAGTTTTGCATTCCCACCAGTAATGAATGAGAAACTCCATTGCTCCACATCCTTGTCAGCCTTTGGTGCTGTAAATGTTCTGGATTTTTTTTTTTTTTTTCTTACGGAGTCTTGCTCTGTCGCCCAGGCTTTGGAGTGCAGTGGCGCAATCTCGGCTCACTGCAAGCTCCGCCTCCTGGGTTCACGTCATTCTCCTGCCTCGGCCTCCCGAGTAGCTGGGACTACAGGCACCTGTCACCATGTCTGGCTAATTTTTTATATTGTTAGTAGAGACGGGGTTTCACTGTGTTAGCCAGGATGGTCTTGATCTCCTGACTTCGTGATCTGCCTGCCTCGGCCTCCCAAAGTGCTGGGATTACAGGTGTGAGCCACCGCGCCCGGCCGAGGATTGTTTTTAATGATGAAAGAGAGTATTATTTACAGGCAAGCAGAAGCTGTAGTCATTCGCTGGATGATGATCACTAACACAAGATCCCTGAGAAGGCAGGGATCTCACTGTTGTTTTAGTTGGCAATACCCTGACGACATATGATGTAGGACAGCTTTTCATATGCTTATTTGCTATCTATATGTTTTCTTTGGTGAACTGTCTGTTCAGTTTTTTTTGCTCACTTATTAATTAATTGGGTTGTTTACTTTCTTATTGCTGAGTTTTGTTTCAATAGTTGTATCTATATTTTAGGTATAATGATTCATCAGATTTGTATTTTGCAAATATTTACTTCCAGTCTGTGGCTTATATTTTTATTCTCATAAGAGTGATCTTTTGCGAGCAGAAATTTTTAATTGTAATGAAGTATGACATCAATTTTTGCTGTCATATGTTGTGCTTTTGGTGTTGTATCTAAGAAGTCATCAACAAACCAAAGGTCACCTAGCTTTTATCTTATGTTACATTCTAGAGCTTTGTGGTTTCTTGTTCTAAATTTAGGTCTCTAATCCACTTGGGGTTAACTTTTGTGAAAAGTGTGTGGTCTGTGACTGGATTCACTTTTTTTTTTTTGGCATATGAATTTCCAGTTGTTCTAGCACCATTTATTGAAAAGACTCTCTTTTCTCCATTGAACTGCCTTTGCTCTTTTGTCAAAGTTTAATTGATTATATCTGTATCGATCTATTTCTGGGCTGTCTATTCTGTTCCCTTGATTTATTTTTTTAACCTTTTGCCAATACCATACTTTCTCAGTTATTGTAGTTTCCTTCTTTTCTAAAAAATTTCTAATTTAACTTTATTTGTATAATTTTCCTCCTCCTAAATTTATTAATACTTATTTCATGACTTAACATATGATTTATCCTGGAGAATATCCCATATGTGCTTGAAAAGAATGTATATTCTTGGTGTTGATGGGCTTTTGGTCAAGTTGGTTGATAATGTTTTTAAAGTTTTATGTAGTTTTGTTGAATTTTTTTTCTAGTTGTTCTATCAGTTTTTTTCTTTGTTGCTTAGGCTTGAGACTTATCTATCAGTTTTCGAGAGTGGAATATTAAAGTCTATAACTACTATTGTTGAATTTTCTATTTCTACCTTGAATTCTACCAGTTTTAGTTTTGTATATTTAGGGATCAGTTATTAGGTGTTTATAATTTTTATGTAGTCCTTCTGAGTTGATGCTTTTATCATTATAAAATGTCTCCCATCTAGTAGCAATTTTTTAAAGTTTATTTTGTCTTTTATTAGTATAACCTCTCCAACTCCATTTTGGTTACTGTTTGCATTATATATCTTTTATTCATCTTTTTACTTCTAGCTGATTTGTGTCTTTGAATCTAAGTTCTCTCTTGTAGGCAGCATATAATTGGATCATATAGTTTTATCCTTTCAACGTGCCTCTGCCTTTTGGGTTGGAGCATTTAATTATTTACATTTAATTTAATTACTGATAAGGTAGGATATATGTCTGCCATTTTGCTATTTGTTTCCTGTGTGTCTTTTGTCTTTTTTGTTCGTCTCTTTCCTCATTACTGACTTCTCTTGTGTTAAATAGATGTTTTCAATTTTGTCATTTAAATTCCCGTGTTGTTTCTTCTACTCTTTTTAAAAATGTTATTTCTTAGTGGTTATCCTCAGGATTACAACTGCCATCTTAAAGCAAACTAGTTTGGATAAATACTAACTTAATTTCAATAGTACACAGAAATACAGAAATTTTGCTCCAGTATCACTCCATTCCCTCCCTCCTCTTATGTAATATTATTATACAAATTACATCTTTATACATTAGATCATCAACACAGATTTATATTTATTCCTTTATGCACTTGTCTTCTAATTCAGAGAAGAAAGCAGTACAAAAATTATAATTTTATTTGTCTTTCATTTTACGCTGAAGGAAGCCCTTTAGGGCAGATTTGCTGGTTGTAAATTCTGTAAGCTTTTGTTTACCTTGGACTATATTTCTTCCGCAGTTTTGAAAATTGTTGTGTTAGATATAGAACTTTTGGTCAGTGGTTGCCCTTCCCCTAACACTTCAATTATGTTATCCTGATACTTTCTGATCTCCATAGTTTCTGATGAAATGTCAGCATTAATTTTATTGAGACTTTCTTGTACATAATGAGTTGATTTTCTCTTATTGCTTTCAAGATTCCCTCTTTGTGTCTTTCTACAGTTTGACTATGATGTATTTATGTGTGACTTTCTTTGAGCTTTTCTACTTGTGGTTCATTTGTTTTTTCTATCAATGTTGGGAAGATTTCAGCCATTGTCTCCTCAAATATTCTTTCTATCCATTCCTCTCCATTCTTTCTGGTACTCTTACTATGTGTATGTGTTTTGTCTTTTATTAGTATAACTTCTCCAGCTCTATTTTGGGAACTATTTGCATTATATATCTTTTATTCATCTTTTTACTTCTAGCTGATTTGTATCCTTGCATACAAATATGGATAAGGCTTACTTAAGATGGATAAGAAGAATGGATAAGGCTTACTATTTGATAGCAAAACAGGATGACTATAGTCAACAATAACAACTGTACATTTAAAAATAATTTACAAAATGTAATTGGATTGTTTGCAAATCAGTGGATAAATGCTTGAGGGGATGGATACTCCATTCTTCATAATGCACTTGTTTCACATTGCATGTCTGTACCAAGACATCTGATGTACCCATATATACACCTACTATGTACCCACAAAAATTAAAAATGAAAAAAAATAAAAAATCCATATGCCTATATGTCTATGTACAAGTATCAGATTATAGCTTTTATAATAAGTTTTGAAACTGAGCAGTGAATGTCCTCCAAATTTGTTCTTATTTTTCTAAATTATTTTGACTACTTTGGGTGTTTTTCATTTTCACATAATTTTCAGGATTTATCAATTTCCACACACACAAAAAAAGCCTACTGAAATTTTTGATAGGGATTGTGTTGAATCTGTAAATGAATTTGGGAGATAATTGCTATCTTCACAATATTGATTCTTCTAATGAGCAAACATGAAACGTCTTTTTATTTAGATCTGCTTGAAGGTATCACACTGGTCTCTGTGGGGCTTTTCATTTTTCTTCATTCTTTTTTCTTTCTGTTTCTCAAAGTGGGTAATCTTATTTGATCTATTTTCAAGTTCACTGATTCTTTTATTCCTGCCGGCTCTAATCTGTTATTGAGCTCCTCTAGTGAGTTTTTCATTTTAGTTATTGTTCTTTTCAACTCCACAAATTATATTTGGTTCTTTTTTATAATGATTTATCTTTAATATTCTCTATTTGGTGAGATGTCACTGTCATACTTTAATTTTTTACACTCTGTTTCCTTTAATTCTTTGACCTGATTTAAAATGTTTGTCTGCTATGTTCAACATCTTGGCTTCCCTAGGGAGAGTTTCTATTGACTACCTTTTTCCTGTGTATGGGCCATATTTTTTTGTTTTTTTAAATGAGCCACATATATTTTTATTGAAAACTGGACATTTTGGGTAATATAATATGGTGACTCTCAAAATCAGGTTCCTTCTCCCCAGAGTTTGTTGTTACTGTTTTATTGCTGCTGCTGGGGTGTGTGTGTGTGTGTGTGTGTGTGTGTGTGTCTGTGTTCATTCAATCACTTTCCTGGACTAATTTGTAAAGTCTATATTATGGGTTGAATTGCGTCCCTTCAAAAAGATATGTTTAGTTCTAATCCTCAGTGCCTCAGAATGTGTCCTTATTTGGAAATAGGATCTTCACAGAGGTTATTGGGTTAAAACGTGATCATTAGGGTCGACCCTAATTCAATATGAGTGTTGTTCTTATAAAAAGGACATTTGCACACAGAGTCATATAGGCACAGTGGGAAGAAAATATGAAGACCCACAGAGAAAAAATGGAATGTGACCATAGTAGTATATTTATAAACCAAAGAGGCCCAAGGATTGCTGGAAATCATTAGAAGCTAGAAGAGGCCAGAAAAGTTCTCACCTAGAGTTGCCAGTGAGAGCATGGCGCTGACAACATCTTGATTTTGAACTTCTAGACTCCAGAACTGTGAGACAATAAATTTCTTTTGTTTAAAGCCACCTAGTTTTTGGCACTTTGAACCAATACAATCTATATTTTCTGTAGTGTGCAGCCTCTGAATTCTCTACTAAGAAGGGCTAGTATTCAGCTATTGACTGATTAGAGATTTCCACAAATACCTTGAATCAATAAATCTTCCATTGTTTACCAAAGAGCTCTCTGTGTTTGTGTTGAGCCACTCTGATGCTCAGGCAATTTTCCAGTCACCCTTAAGCTTCACTTCCTGTTTTCGCAGGGTCTCAAGTAAGCCAGAGGTGAGATACTGGGGTCCTTTCAGTTCTTTCCTGAGCATTTGCACAGTGCTGAACATGCACATGGCCTTCTAGGTCTTCAGGGATATGCCAGGGCCTTTCAAAGGCCCTGTAAAGATCCTTTCCTTCAGATATTCCAGGCTGGGATTTTATTTTCGTATACTAGTATTGTTGCCTTAGGCAATTGCTGTGTTAGATAATCACAACTGACTGTTTTAGACAAATGCTCTGCATATAGGAATTTTTCCCACAGAGCAATATCTGAGTCATGTCAAATGACAACAGTGCCCTGCAAATGGGACTTCTTCAAAGAACTAAGAGATACATTAAATAAAAACAATGCTATTGGCTATGCGCAGTGGCTCACACCTGTAATCCTAGCACTTTGGGAGGCTGAGGTGCGAAGATCACTTGAGCCCAAGAGTTCAAGACCAGCCTGGCAACATGGCAAAGCCCTGTCTCTACAAAAAACTAGCCAGATGTGGTAGCGTATGCCTGTAGTCCCAGCTACTTAGGAAGATGAGATGAGAGGGTAGCCTGAGCCCTGGAGGTCTAGGCTGCAGTGAGCCAAGATTGCACTACTATACTTCAGCTTGGGTGTCAGAGTGAGATCTGCCTTGAAAAAAAAAATGCTCTGGAAATGGGATCTTTTGAGAAGTTCCTGGTTTGCCACTTTCTAGTGGCTGAGAGACTGCTGGTTTTCTAACAGCCCAATTAGTTCATCTTGCCTGCTGCCCGGATAGAACCAATTTATCAAGACAGGGGAATTGTGATAGAGAATTTAGTACCTGTAGAGCCAACTAAACAGAAGACCGAAGTTTTATTATTACTCAAATCAGCCTCCCTGAAAATTTGGAGGCTAGGGTATCAAAAAGATAGTTTGGCAGGCAAGGGGTTAAGGAATAAGTGCTGCTGATTGGTTGGGAATGCAATCATAGGGGTGTGGTGTAGGGGATCGGTTGGCGTGGTGGGAAAAACTACAGGGAAAGGACGCAAACCTTCTGAAAGATTGGAAGGTTTTGCAGAGCCCTGGGGGAGAATAGCTGAAGGCAGCTGTTCTATAACCCTGAGGCAGAGGGCAAAGTGTAGGTACGAGGGAGTATAGGGGAATTTATCTTAAACAGGCTTGTTTATTTATATTGATCAGGAACTGACCTTTGATCATCTGTGTGTGTGACGTTCCCTGAAAGGGGAACAATGAATGTTAATTACCTGCAGGTTGTGTTTGCTCCAGGTTTTTGGCATTGTGCCTGCACTGAATAAAAGCAAGCAGCTCCAGGTTCTTGGGGCTGCTCTCTGGCCACTAGAGCCAGGCAGTCACCTAGCTGCTCTTACATTGCATACCTACCTGTGTCTGAGTACTCATTTCATTCGTTGGCCAGGGTCTATGGGACAGACCTCAGAGTGTGGAAAATGGTCCTAGTGTGCCAAATCCACTTCTGGCTCAGGGCCACAGGACCAGTTGAATCATGAATCCCAGCTCCAGGTAGAGTCATTCAGTCATCAGAAATGCAAAAGTCTGAAGAGACACCTCAAAAGGACAATCTTAGGTTCTAGTAGTGATGTTATTTACAGGAGTAATTGGAGAAGTTATGAATCTTGTGATCTTCAGAACAATGGCTGGTTATAGTTTAACTACACCTACATTTTACACCATGATCTGTGCCCATATAAGACAGTGAATTTAATTGATAAATGTGTGTGATCCAATTGCTCCACCAACTGGCTATTTCCCTGTCTCTTTCCTTTTCCTCAGGTCTCTGTGTTCCCTGAGACACAACAATATTAAAATTAGGCCAATTAATAACCCTACAATGGCTCTAAGTGTTCAAGTGAATGGCAGAGTCACATGCCTTTCACTTTAAATCAAAAGCTAAATGTGATGAAGCTTAGTGACAAAAGCATGTTGAAAGCTGAGATAGGTTGAAAGCTGAGATAGGTTGAAAGCTAGGCCTCTTGAGCCAAATGATTAGCTATGTTATGCATGCAAAAATAAAGTTCTTGAAGGAAATTAAAAGTGCTATTCCAGTGAACACATGAATGAAAAGAAAGCAAAACTGCCTTATTACTGATATAGAACAAGTTTAAGTGTCTGGATAGAAAATCAAGCCAGTTACAACATTCCCTTAAGCCAAAGCCTAATCCAGAGCAAGAACCTAAATCTCCTTGATTCTGTGAAGGGTGAGAGATGTGAAGAAGCTTCAGAAGAAAAATTTGAAACTAGCAAAAGTTGGTTCATGAGGTTTAAGGAAAGAAGCCATCTCCATAACATAAACATTGCAAGGTAAAGCAGCAAATTCTGATATAGAACCTGCAGTAAGTTTTCAGGAATATCTAGCTGAGATCATTGATGAAAGCAGTTACACTAAGTAGCACATTTTCAATGGAGATGAAACAGCCTTCTATTGGAAGATGTCATATAGGACTTTCATAGCTAGAGAAGAGAAGTCAAGGCCTGCCTTCAAAGTTTCAAAGAACAGCTGACTCTTGTTAGGGGCTAGTTTAGCTGGTGACTTTAAATTGAAGCCAATGTTCATGTACCATTCCAAAATCTAGGACCCTCAAGAATTACGCTAACTCTACTCTACCCGTGCTTTTCAAATGAAACAACACACCTTGGATGACAGCATGTCTGTTTACAGCATGGTTTTACTCAATATTTTAAACTCACTCTTGAGACCTACTGCTCAGAAAAAAAAGATTCCTTTCTAAAGATTACTGATCATTGATCATACACCTGGTCACACAATAAATTTGATGGAGATGTACAAGGAGATTAATGTTGTTTTCATACTTGCTAACACAATATTCATTCTGCAGCCTATGGATCAAAGAGAATTTTGACTTTCAAGTCTTCTTATTTAAGAAATATATTTCATAAGGCTATAGTTGCCATAGATAGTGATTCCTCTAATGGATCTGGGCAAAGTAAATTGAAAGCCTTCAGGAAAGAATTCATCACTCTAAATGGCATTAAGAACATTGTGATTCATGGTAGAAGATTAAAATATCAGCATTAACAGGAATTTGGAAGAAGATGATTTTAACCCTCATGGATGACTTTGATGGGTTCAAGACTTCAGTGGAGAAATTGAAGATGTGGTGGAAATAGCAGGAGAACTAGAAGTGGAGCTACAAGCTCATGATAAAATTTGTACAGATGAGGAGTTGCTTCTTGTGAATGAGCAAAGAAAATGGTTTCTTGAGATCTATAACTGGTGAAGATGCTGTGAACATTGTTGAAATGATGAAAAAGGGCTTAGAATATTACATAAACTTAGCTGATAAAACAGCAGCAATGTTTGAAAGGATCAACTCCAATTTTGAAAGAAGTTTTACTGTGGGTAAAATGCTATCAAACAGCATAGCATGCTACAGAGAAACCTTTCATGAAGGGAAGAGTCAATTAATGAGGCAAACTTGATAGTTGTCTTATTTTAAGAAATTGCCATAACTGGCCAGGTGAAGTGGTGCACTCCTGTAATCCCAGCACTTTGGGAGGCTGAGGCGGGCGGATGACCTCAGGTTAGATGCTTGAGACCAGCCTGGACAACATGATGAAACCCTGTCTTTACTAAAAATGCATAAATTAGCTGGGTGTGGTGGAGCGTGGCTGTAATCCCAGCTACTTGGGAGGCTGAGGCAGGAGAATTGCTTGAACTCAGGAGGCAAGTTGCAGTGAGCCGAGATCACGCCGCTGCACTCCAGCCTGGGTGACAGAGCAAGACTCTGTCTAAAAAAAAAATAAAAATAAAAATAAAAACCAAAAGCACAAAACACATAAAACAAACAAACAAAGAAAAACCACACAAAAACCCAAAAAAGAAATTTCCACAGCCACCTCTGCCTCCGGCAACTGCCACCCTGATCAGTCAGCAGCCATCAACATTGAGGTAAGACCATCCACCAGTGAAACATTACAACTTCTTGAAGCCTCAGATAATCATAAGCATATTTTTTTAGCAATAAAGCATTTTAAAAATAAGGAATGTATATTTTAAGGACATAATTCTATTACACACTTAAAGGACTACAATATAGAATAAACATAACTTTTATATGCATTGGGAAATCAAAATATTTCTGTGATTTGTCTTATTACAATATTCACTTTGTTGTGGTGGTCTGGAGCTGAACCTGCAAAATTTTTGAGGTATACCTATAAAGATCACGAGCTTTGGATAACCCAGGACTAGATGTAAATCCTGGCTCTTCTACTTCCAAGAGAGATGAAATAGACAAGTTCCCTAAAACCCTTAAACATTTTTTTGCATAGCTGTACAATTGAGTTAGTAATGTGTACTCTCTAAGATTGACACTTTCGGGCCTGTCATCATGACAGTTCTTCTCTTAGTACTGTAATTATAGAAAGAGGAAAAATAAAGATAAAAAGAAATATAATTGTAAACCTTCAGGTGGCACACTTAATGCCCTTCAATATGTCTCCTCTCTTTTGTTTGCAGTCTCCTGTTTCACAAGTCATTTACAAGATGATACGAACATGACAGTTTTTCAGTTAGCTTTCTAAAGTTCCCTTCCAAAAGCTGAACATACCTACATGCTGTGTGAAAGATATTCATCTGGGCACTGAAGGAGCTATGCAGCTGAGTCTAATATTGGATAACTTACACATCTTCCTCTTTGATGTATAGTAGTAGCCCCACACAGAATGTCCAAGAATATCCTCCTTAGACTATAGGGCACTGCTTCAAGGAATATATCTCCTGAGTTTGGAGAATCTCCGATATTCTTGAAAGTGAACAGAAATGGGGATTGATCTCCCAGCCTATCTCTTTACTTACATTCTTCATTTTCAGAGTCATGGACTTACCTGAATACAGTAGTGCACCAGGGATGCAGAACATGCCATAGCCTTTTGCTCCATATATTAGTCAGGAATCAAGGAGATTTAGAAGCAGAGCCTCTAAATCTATATCTATGTCTTTCTATGTCTATGTCTATACCTATATCTGAATCATCTCTATCTTTATCGTCTTTTTAGGTATTTATAAAAGTTAACAGGATTTACTCTGTTACAGAGATTTGACCATAAGCAACTATGGGAGGTAGTTGGGCAGTCTCTACAAGGCTGTTGTCCTCAAGTCTGATGCTGGGAACTTGAAGTTCAAGTAATTCAGAAAGGGCAATGTATGCAAAAGTGAGGAAGAGCAAAAACAAATTGGAACTCATAGGCATGAGTTGAAGACCAGGAAGATGGACTAAAATCTGTGCCAGTTCTCATTATCTCTGGCCTCAGTGATGTGGATATCTTGCAGAAGTTGAGGTCCATTATCATGGAACTAAATATACACGCTTGACCCAGGAGCTGGAAAAGCTGAAGGAGAATCTCACAGAAGGTGGAGGAATTGTATGCTCAGTCACAACCCCACATTAATGAGGGAAGCTAGCAGATACACGACAATGATAGCAATTATGTGGGCCATGTTTTGTGATTTGTTTTATTACAATATTCACTTTGTTGTGGTGGTCTGGAGCTGAACCTGCAAAATTTTTGAGGTATACCTATAAAGATCATGAGCTTTGGATAACCCAGGACTAGATGTAAATCCTGGCTCTTCTACTTCTAAGAGAGATGAAATAGACAAGTTCCCTAAAACCCTTAAACATTTTTTTGCATAGCTGTGGGCCATCACATATTAAACAATGAATGTTGTAAAAGAAAACCTGCACTATTTGTTTAAAATGGTAAGATAGATTTCATTTGAGCTGCTGAAATAAGGGAGAGAGACTTCAGTATAGAACTGAGCTCAACTCCAAATACAGCAAAGACAGCTGGGGATTTGTAGCCAATGAACAGAATGAGGGGGTTAATGGATAGACAGTTACCAAGAGGAGCTTGATTACATATGAAGAGTGCGGAGATAGTTGCTAAGCTGAGCTCAGCTGGCCAAGGATGAGGCCTGGTCAGGAAGAGAGCTCAAAGGAGCCTGACTGAAGTTTGGTCATGGGGAAATTTCTTATCAGCGTGAACTACCAATACAACTGCTGTTTCACTTTTGTACTCCAAATCTCACACAAACATCTTCCTGATGGTACATTCTAATTGAGAATTTGGGAAAATGTGGTTCAGTCTAGCCAAGGTAACAACTACAAAATGACCACACTCCCATTTGGTGGCCCTGGTTCTTCCAGACTTATTTATTTTCCTGTCATGAGATCCAAGGCTTGGGTAGTGGATTGCCTCACTATCTTCCTTAAAAGTAGATTGTTAGGTGGGGAATTTATTGGTGGGACAATGACCACCTTTGTCCCATGCTTCTATTTTGTCTCTATTGCAGCCAAGGGCAGAACTGACTAGGTTTGTCAAACTTTAACCCACTTTGCTTGCTTTTAGCTAGTTTCACTGTTTTAAAAGATTACTAACTCTAAATGGATGTCACATAGCTAAGCAATACATCACAAGACTCCCTTGAGCTTCCCTGTAGATACCATCTTTGATGTACGTATGGGTCACAATGGTAGCAGTTGCCTACATTGTTTTTCAGGAAACTAGAGTCAACTCTTGTCCAATTTAAACCAGGTGAGACCACCACCCCTCCACCTGGGTGAGCCTCCACGAATGTCCGACGTGTGATCTTTTGACATCAGAGTGCCATTTATAAGCTCCACCCTCATATCATGATAACATTATCATTTTCTGAACATCCATCCTATGAGGAGCCATGAAGCTTGACTGTGCTTGTGCAGAACATCAATTATCTCACTTTTCCTTATCCCCAGCCACCTTTCTCCATGCCTCAGACCACCCTGCTCCTCTGTCCCATAAATATTCTTAAACCCCATCTTTAGGAGGGCAGATTTGAGACCTGAACTCCCATCTCTTCACTTGGCTTAAAAAGAAAGGAATAAATCCTTTCTTTTTCGGAAAACTCATCATCTTGGTCATTGGCATACTGTGCTGTGAACAAAATAGGCCTGGTTCAGTAACACTATCTTATGGAGAACTTTCTGGTATTCTTTTCACACTCCCAGGTCCTTGCTCTCCGAGAGAAGAAACAAGGCATGGTTTTATTTGGGACATGGATCTAGTTGTGTTTACCGAAATCCATGTAGTTTTCTGTTTGTTTGTTTGTTTGAGACAGAGTCTGGTTCTGTCTCCCAGGCTGGAGTGCAGTGGCCCACTCTCAGCTCACTGCAACCTCCACCTCCCAGGTTCAAGCAGTTCTCCTGCCTCAGCCTCCCTAGTAGCTGTGATTACAGGTGGGCACCACCATGCCCGGCTAATTTTTGTATTTTTAGTAGAGATGGGGTTTTGCCATGTTGGCCAGGCTGGTCTCAAACTCCTGACCTCAGGTGATCCGCCCACCTTGGCCTCCTAAAGTGCTGGAATTACAGGCATGAGCCACCCACTGCACTCAGCCCTATATCACTATGTAGTATTATCAGTGAATTTTCTTGGATGCAATCTGCCAGAAAATAGCCAGTTTTCCCAAACCAAAGCAAAACCAAGCAATTTCACTTTCACTTACTCTGAGGGGACAATTGAGAAATACTTTACTAGGCCGGGCGCAGTGGCTCATGCCTGTAATCCCAGCACTTTGGGAAGCAGAGGCAGGTGGATCACCTGAGGTCAGAAGTTTGAGACCAGCCTGGCCAACATGGGGAAGCCCTATCTCTACTGAAAAAAAAAAACCCACAAAAGTTAGCTGGGTGTCATGGCACACCCCTCTAGTCCCAGCTTAAAAAAGAGACAGACAGACAGAGAGAGAGAGAGACAGAGAGACAGAAATACTTATTTCCTAGGCTTATATGTGCTCCAGGTTTATGAGACTTTGGAAATTCTCAGGACAGGGCTTTGCATTATAAAGTCGACAAATGTGGGAGCTACTAAAGCCCTAGACTTGTAGGTTAGGACAAGATGGTTAGGACCCTCCTTCCCTCTGCCCCTGGGGCCAGGTCTTCTTTCTCTTGTACTTTCTGTTCACAATTTTCTGTATGTGACTAAGGCTACCAGAATGATAGGTGACTGGTTAAAAGACAGGCTTATGTTTCAGAGCATTTCCCTCCCTTGCCTTGCTAATTAGCTTCTGGTAATATAAGCCTGATAAAATTGTTTCCTGAAAGCTTAGTGATTTAAAAAAATGTGAAGAAGAGAGAGTCAAGGCAGTAAAAGGACAGTGAACTAATTCCTCAGTGTTCATGGGAAGAGGTCAGTATTTGCTTTCTAAAGTTGAGATATTTAGAAATAAAAGTCTTTTTATATTATTTAGAGCTATGAAGACAAGCACCAAAAAGATCTAAAACCATACATACTTTAAAATGGTTGGCTTCTAATCCCAGGACTTTGGGAGACAAGGTGGGAGGATCACTTGAGCACAGGAGTTCAAAACCAGCCTGGGCAACAAAGTGAGACCCCCCATCTCTACCAAAAACAAAACAACAGCCACCAAGAACAAACCAATAACCACCAAAAACCTTAGCCATGTGTGATGGCTCATGCCCGTAGTCCCAGCTACTTGGGAGGCTAAGGTGGAAGAATTACTTGAGCCCAGGAGGTCAAGGCTGCACTCCAGCCCAGGTGACAGAGTGAGACTCTGTCTCAAAAAATAAAATAAAGTAAAATAAAATGATTGTTTCCAGAGCAGGGAACTGGGAAGGCATTTGGGAAGCAGTGAAGTAGAGTAGGAAGCCCCAACTTTGCACTGTAATCCATGTCTTCTTGGAAATTCCTTTTTTTTAAAAAAAAAAAAAATCTGAATGCATTCTTTTGATGATAATTGAAAGACAAGTCAGACCAAACCCTTCTACATCTTGGTCTATTTTATTGAATGTGTCACATATATTTTGTTACTTATTATTTTTTGTCCCCACCTTCCACCTCTATTTTGTTAATTATTAAAACCAGGCTATACTTAACGAAAATGGAACAGGAAGGACAGAATTATTTTATTTCAGGAATCCATCAACATCCTTTGCAGCTACATAGGCAGGAAAATCTAGAAATTGTAATTTATATAGAATTTTAAAACTCTTCAATTACAATGGATAGAGGGGAGAAAATACAGCTCAAGAGAGTGTTTGGATATTGGTGGGGCACAAGTTTTTTGCTTATTAATATCATTGGTGCAGGAATTTTTGTGTCCCCCAAAGGTGTGTTGGCATACTCTTGCATGAACGTGGGAGTCTCCCTGTGCGTTTGGGCTGGCTGTGCCATACTGGCCATGACATCAACTCTTTGCTCTGCAGAGATAAGTATAAGCTTCCCATGCAGTGGAGCTCAATACTATTTTCTCAAGAGATACTTTGGCTCCACGGTTGCTTTTTTGAATCTCTGGACATCCTTGTTTCTGGGGTCAGGGGTAGTTGCTGGCCAAGCTCTGCTCCTTGCTGAGTACAGCATCCAGCCTTTTTTTCCCAGCTGCTCTGTCCCAAAGCTGCCTAAGAAATGTCTGGCATTGGCCATGTTGTGGATTGTAGGAATTCTGACTTCTCGTGGTGTGAAAGAAGTGACTTGGCTTCAGATAGCTAGCTCAGTGCTGAAAGTGTCCATACTTAGCTTCATTTCCCTAACTGGAGTAGTGTTCCTGATAAGAGGGAAAAAGGAGAATGTAGAACGATTTCAGAATGCTTTTGATGCTGAACTTCCAGATATCTCTCACCTTATACAAGCCATCTTCCAAGGATATTTTGCATATTCAGGCGGGGCATGCTTTACACTTATAGCAGGTAACAATCCATTGAGGAAAAAAATCTAAAATCATGACTTATTGCATACAATATGAAATGCATATCATTTGTTGTATTTTGAGTCTTAAATGATTTAATGTTTCTTTCTTCTTTGTGACTTTCTGAATCAGATCATGCCAGCCTGGCACTTGTTACCTACTCTTAATTATTTTCCTATTTAGGCTAAGGTACTTATTTGATTGAACAACTTCTCTTTTTCAACTTTCCTTTCTGGGACCACAGGTATGGGACTTCTGTGTTAATCTGTTTCCTTTCTGTTAATGGATGAATGCTGGGGTTGTGAAAATATTCCTCACCCATGAAACTGTAAATCCAGGAATGATCCAATGCCAGACTATGTTTGTGTTGTAGGTAGGTATGACGCATTGAGGCTCTAAGTATTTTTATTTACTTACTTTTGGAGTTATGTTTTATATTTTATTATAATTTTTTCCTTTCATTGATGAATGTAATAATACAAATTGATTTTACTTGCACTTGACCATTTTCACGTCAAGCATTCTGATTAATGATAAAGCTATAATTTTCATCTGTGCATTATAAAAGCAGTCACCCTACAGCAACCTTGGATGCATTTAAAAGTTAAAATAGGGCTGGGTGTGATGTCTCATGCCTATAATCCCAATGCTTTGAGAGGCTGAAATGGGAGGATTACTTGAGGCTAGGAGTTTGAGACCACCTGGGCAAAATAGTGAGATCCCTCTCCTCAGATTTTTTTTTTTTTTGAGACAGAGTTTTCCTCTTGTTGCCCAGGCCAGAGTACAATGGCATGATTTCAGCTCACTGCAGCCTCCTCCTCCTGGGTTCAAGCAATTCTCCTGCCTCAGCCTCCAGAGTAGCTGGGACTACACGTGTGCACCACGATGCCTGGCTTATTTTTGCATTTTTGGTAGAGACAGGCTTTCACCATGTTGGCCAGGTTGGTCTCGAACACTTGGCCTCATGTGAGCCACCCGCCTCTGCCTCCGAAAGTGCTGGGATTACAAGCGTGAGCCACTGCACCTGCCCACCTCCTCAGATTTCTTAAAAAATTATCTGAGTGTGGAAGTGCACACTTTTAGTCCTAGCTACTAAGAGGCTGAGGTGGGAGGATCGCTTGAGCCCAGGAGTTTGAGGCTGCAGTAAGCTATGATTGCACCACTGCACTCCAGTTTGGGCTACAGAGTGAGACCCTGTCTCAAAACAAGAAAAATAAATAACTAATAAATTAGCCAACAATGCGAAGATACTGTAACCAGGATTATAGGAGCCCGAAAGAGGCTCACTTCCTTTCCCTACCCTCCAGACAAGTACTCCCTGGACACCCGAAACAGGAAATTCTCCAGCAGTTCAGACCCCTTGTCTGCAATGACAGCACTGGGCAGCTGACTGAAGTGGGTGCCAAAGTGGAACAGCATCTTCTTGGTTCACTCAGAACATCAGAGCAGAGCAACAAGTGCTGGATTTTGCCTTGCACTTTTACTGTGCTCTTGAGCATTGTTATTTTTATATATTCAGGGATCATGTACAGGTTTGTTACATGGATTTATTTGTATAATAGTGAGGTCTGGGCTTCTAGTGTAGCCATCACCCTAACAATGAACACTGTACCCAATAGGTAATTTTTCAACCCTTACCCCCCACCCACTCTCCCCACTTTTGGAATCCTCAGTGTCACAATTTCCTCTGTATATCCATGTGTACTTACTGTTTAGCTCCCATATATAAGTGAGAATATGCAGTATTTGATTTTCTGTTTTTGAATTGTTTCTCTTAGGATGATGGTCTCTAGTTGCATCCACATTGCTGGAAAAGACATGATCTCATTCTTTTTAGGGCTGTGTAGTATTCCATGGTGTGTATATACCACATTTTTTAAAAATCCAGTCATGCATTGATGGACACTTAGGTTGATTCCATGACTGCTATTGTGAACAGTGCTGCAATAAACATGCAAGTGCGGAAGTCTTTTTGATATAACAATTTCTATTCCTGTGGGTAGAGACGCAGTAGTGGAATTGCTGTGTCAAATGGTAGTTCTGTTTTTTGTTCTTTGTAGGTTCTTAAGTATCTTTAAAGAGCAGAGAAGCATAGATATTCTAGATTGCTCTGAGGCTGTATACACTTCCCTTCAATGTTAGACAGAAGTTTTCATCTTTTCATTTTCAAAGTTGGTCTTTTCCCTTGAATTCTTTATCTTTTCCCTCCCATCCCCTTAAGGACTTTTCACATTCTTTTATTTCATTTTTTCTCACTTTCAATCTTTTCTAAAAAATCAGTTCTTTTCCTTGTTATTTATATATGTATCAGACTCTTAACTACTGAACAAAACTTTTTCTAATCTCAGGTCCCCCACCACTAATTTATCTATCATTTGTGAAATCATTTGAGTAGCCACTATCTTTTCAAAGACTATTTTTAAAACCCTGTACTGGTGCCTCAAGATGAGTAAGATATAGTCTTTATCAAAAAGGCTTACAGTCTAGTAGAAGAGGCAATACCTAGATTTGGGTCTGCCATTACCAACTATAGCAAGTGTTTTCTCCTTTCTAGCCTCTTTTTTATTATCTGCAAAATGTACATCATGGTTTAAAATGACTATAATTCTGTGCCTTATAAACAAATAATTTGATACAGTATTTAATAGATAGCCATAACGGAACAATATAATTACCTTGGAAATCAATAGAAAGGTCACTTTTTGCTGTCACTGAGTGGAAAAGTGGCAATTTGAATTGAATCCACAAAATTCCAGAAAAATATGAGTGAAGCCGTGGAGAATAGAAGCATGCAGTGTAGATATAAGACAAGGCATGCAACCTCAGGTGACTACAAAATGGTTTCCATCTGAGAGTCTTGGTATTAGATACGATTATTAAGGCAAGTACATAGAGAGACGAAGGACAAAATACATAGGATTGATTACTAAGGCAAGTACATAGAGACGAAGGATGAAACGGCATAGGGTTGGAGGGGGACAGATGACTGGACAATGCCAACTTTTAAGCAGGAGGTAGAGAAAGAAGATTCAGTGAGGAAGCCAGAGGAGGCTCAGAGTGGTATAGAGGAAAATCACAATATGTTTCAAAAAGTGGGGAATAATCTATCTGGTTAAATGCTTCAGAAGTCAAGGATCATGAGGACTGGTTGGAGCGCCATCATTGATAATGTAAGAAGTCATTGGTGAATTTTGAACATGAGAGGAAGTCAGTTTGCATTGAGTTAAAAATAAGGTATTGAGAAAAGAAAGCTATGAGGAGATTACTGTTTTACATGGCTTGTGATTAAATGGGCCAATTTCAGCAGCTGGCATAACGAGCAAATCTCATTGTTTCTTGCTTTCAAGGCTAGAAGCAATATTTCTGGATTTTTATTTGAGCCAGTTTCATTGTATCCCATTGCAGAGATGTTTCATTGTTAGATAATTATTGTCAGCTGAAAATATACTTACAGAATTTATTCTTACTGACCTATAAACTATTATGGAGTTCCTCACAAGCCGCTAGTGGTGAACAAAAGTTGGAGGAATTTCAGTGTGTGCTGGAGTTAATTTACAAAATAAGTCTTAAGTACATCTAAGTTTTAAGTAACCCTTTTACCTGCAAAATAGTGACTTGTAGACAGGCGACTTTGCAAGGTGTAGGAATACCCATCTTTTTAAAAAAAAAATTCTATTTTTTATCACCCAGGCTGGAGTGCAGCTGTGCAATCATAGTTCACTGCAGCCTTGACCTTCTGGGCTTGATTGATTCTCTCACCTCAGCCTCCTGAGTAGCTGCGACTACAGGCACTCACCATCATGCCCAGCTAAGTTTTTTTGTGTGTGGATTTTTAGTAGAGACGAGGTTTTGGCATGTTGCTCAGACTGGCCTTGAACTTCTGGGTTCCAGTGATCCACCTGCCTTGACCTCCCAAAGTGCTGGGTTTACAGACGTGAATCACCACACCCGGCCGGAATACCCATCTTTTAAGTTCAAGAGTCAAGGATATTTGTCGCTTGTCTGGCTATTATAACTTTTTATTATAAATTAAATTGTAATCTCCATCTCCTCTTTACATATCAAGTACATAATGAGAACAAGTAAAAGGCTCAGAAGAAAGAACAGATAATCCAAAAAATTGCCCTTTTGTTTGTCCCAAAGCTTTAATAACTATAGTAATTAACAACAACCATTTATTCAGCACTTATTATATGCTAAACACTAGGATTGGAATTTTGTTGTCCCTACAGTTTTCACTATAAGGAGATTGAAACCTTGACAGCCAAAGTGGTGCGGGCAGGGTTAAAATTAAAACCTTCTAATTTTTTACTAATCAAGTTCTTAATCAGCTCAGATTAGTGTTCCCCATGGGCATTAGATCCAACCCCTGGGCAGACACAGATGGAAGAAATTTGATATAGTCAAATGATAGATATTTATTAGTAAAGGGGATTTGGTTTTAAGTAGCAGAAACCCACATACATTAACTTAAACAATAAAAGGGGAACTTACTGGAAGGATAATGCTATATTTTAAGGAAGATTTGTGCAACACATCTTAGGAAGCAACAAAAAATAGGGAAGCAGACTGGACATGGTGACTCACGTTTTTAATCTGCACTTTGGGAGGCCTAGACTGGAGGATTGCTTGAGGCCAGGAGTTCAAGACCAGTCCAGGCAACATAGCGAGACCCCCGTCTCTATAAAATAAATAAATAAATATGAAAAAAATAGGGAAGTTCTAGAAATTAAAAAAAAACAAATTTTCTCATCTTCCTTTCTTTTTTAACACCATTACGTTGCTTTTCTCTTGAACTTTGTTTCAAATTCTTGAGATAAATTTTCCTGTATACCGAAAATCATTGGCTTCCAGTGGATCGGATGTCTGTTCTTTGTTCCTTTCCACTGGGCAGGGCACAGGGTGCCATTGTATATTAAGGTTATAGATGATCATTTCTTCATGCCACAGAGCAATTCTCAGGGTAGGACAAAATTTGGGGAAATGGTGTGATGAATGGAACAATATTTAAAAATAAAACTGTCCTAGAGAATCCACTCTATATGATGCTAAATATCAACTTTTTTGGCCTTTTTTTGCACTTAATATTGGCATAAAGGAATGGTCAAGAGCATACAGGAAGAGATAATTTATGATGGGCTCTTTAACTCCTTTCAATATACAGTATGAGAAATGTATAATAGGAAAATTTTGCTAGCCAGGGAGAGAGTTTCCTCTCCTAGTTTCCCAGAAGTAATTATTTTCCTGAGATCTGAAGGAAGGGTAGGGTCAACTAGGCAACTAGGAAAGAACATTCCACATAAGAGAGTAGACCCTATGGCAAGAAGGGATAGGACATTGTTGAGGAACTGCAAAGGCCAGTCAGTCTATATATAAAACACAGATAGCAAGAGAAACTGTCACATTGTCACATAATATATCTCCATAGCACCTTGTTTCTTTTCATATAGACACTTACCATAGTCACTAGTATTTTAACCTTTTATTTATGCAATTATTTAACTCATGTGTAGCTCTTCTTCTTGAGGTCAAATTTCATGTAGTTTCTGCTCACCATTGTATTCCCACTATCCAAACTCAATGCCTAGGACTTAATAGATGAGGCTAAACACATAAGTGGGCTTCAAATGGTACAGGACTTATGGGCTCCGATTTCATTTTTCATTCTTAAGTCTATCTTCAGAAATTTTGCCATCTATGGAGAAAATGAAGCATATTTCATATTTTTCTTCATTTAGCTATATTAGGCAGGTGGGTGTGTAGCAGTCCACCAGTGTGTGTGTGTGTGTGTGTGTGTGTGCATTTTAGTGTATGTGTAGTGGTGGTGGCTGAATGAATAAGAAGAGCCTAGCCCAATTGTTGACACATGGAGCAATGTTGGTGGGAATGTAAATTAGTATAATATCTATGGAAAACAGTATGGAGATTTCTCAAAGAATTAAAAATAGAACTACAATTTGATCCAACAATCCCACTACTGGGTATCTCCCCAAAAGAAAATAAATGAATAGGACATCTGCACTCATGTTTATCACAACACTAGTGTGTGTGTGTATAATATACCACAGAATATTACAGAGCCATAAAAAAGAATGAAATCATGTCTTTTTCAGCAACATGAATGCAGCTGGAGACCATCATCCTAAGTGAAATAACTCAAAAATAGAAAGAAATATTATACCTTCTCACTCATAATTAACTACAAAATGTGTACTTATGGATGTAGAGAGTAAAATGATGAACCACAGAGACTTGGAAGGGAGAGGGAGTAGACAGGTGGATGATGAAAAATTACTTAATAGGTACAATGTATGTTATTCAGGTGATGGATACACTAAAACTCTGATTTGACCACCACACAACCTATCCACATAATAAAATCATGCTTGTACCCCATTAATTTATACAAATACAAAAATAATAATCTAAAAATAATGAATTTTAGAAATAATGTTTACCAATTATGGTTGTGTCCTCTTTTGTGTTATAGGGGAGCTGAAGAAGCCCAGAACAACAATTCCCAAATGCATATTTACTGCGTTACCTCTGGTGACTGTAGTTTATTTACTGGTTAACATTTCCTATCTGACTGTTCTGACACCCAGGGAAATTCTCTCTTCAGGTTTGTATGCAAATGGCTAAAGCAATAAATAAAGTGCTGGTCCTTTCAACGTAACTATCATTTCACCAGTCAGAACCACTGTTTACTGTTCATTATTCTATATATGGAATCAACTTATAATTTTCTAAAATAACAGAGGGCCAAAGGGAATGATTTGTCTTAGAAAGGAGATTCATCTTTAAGCATGGTTATGCCTTTTCTAATAATATGGAAAGATGTATATAATGTTGATGTATGGTGTAGATCAGATTCAAAATATTAGTATTCCTTTCATGATCTCATCTCACTAGAGTGACACTGAGTAATCACTGTTTACATCGATTTTAAAACTTTCAAAATGTTTGAGTCTCAATGTTTTTCTAGGTGTCACAAAAAATGATCAATTCGAAGTGTAGAATATTGGCAGTTAAAAGAGTAGATGCTAATGTTCAATTGATGCATATAATTAATATTGATGTTAAAATAATACGGTTTACCATGAACAACTCTAAAATTTATGGTGGCAAAGTGTCCTGAACATATTGGAAATCTGACCAAAAAATAGCTATCTTAGAGACCAAATTGTAGAATAAAGAATAAAAGAATGAGAAAATTTTAAATAAATATACATTGAAAAATGAGTAACAGATCAACGAATAAAAAGAAATTTGGAAAGAAATGAGAAACAGGGAAAGTGGAAGACTAGTAATTTCCTCAAGCCAGCATTAAACGACCTCACAAGATAAACCTATCACCCAGTACCTTTAGGACTAATGTCTTTTGAGCAGCTATTATTGGTTTGGTGAATCTTTGAGGCATGGACGCAAACCTAAGGGAGATTTTGATATAAAATTCTGGTAAACTTTGCCTCAATTCTTATGTTACTGCCCTGCAGGGTGATGCCATATGGTATCAGTGCTGATTCATAATGGTCTAGCTATCTTAGGGACCTATAAACTAGATGGATTCAAGCTTCTGAGTGTCTGTGGGAAAAAACCAAATGCAAATTCAGATCAGAACAAGCAGTGATTTATTAACTACCTTGATTATGTAAAGAATAAATTTACAAAGTTAATTGTGGGTGTGGTTGGGGCTGCTGGTCAGCTAGCACCATTGTTACGGTTCATTGAAGCTGGCGTCTGTTATGACTACCAGTGCTCCGTCCATACGGGTTGTTAAAAAATCATGAATATCTCCTTCGGTGTAATAATGATTATAGCAATTTTGTAGATGGCACAATGATTTTGGCATGTGTGGAAGACTCGTGAAGTGTTTTGACCATCATCACTTTTAATTTGGCTACAATGCTTACTTTTTTAGGCATATCATCTTTAGACTTTTTGTTTAAATTCTGGGGACTGTGGTGGGGTGGGGGGAGTGGGGAGGGATAGCACTGGGAGATATACCTAATGCTAGATGACGAGTTAGTGGGTGCAGCGCACCAGCATGGCACACGTATACATATGTAACTAACCTGCACAATGTGCACATGTACCCTAAAACTTAAAGTATAATAAAAAAAAATTCTAAATTAATCTTTTTAAGTCCAAATATCTGCGTGTTTATTGTACAAGAAATTTAAATTAAGAAAATAATCAGTCATACATGAAAAATGTATGTATAGGTATAGTAATCATAGCTTTATGTATGATAGCAAAAAATTAAAAACCATAAAAATATCCAATAAGCTTGAAACAAATAAAAAATTTATGGGAAATCTATATAATAGAACATTCTGTGATTTGTAAAAGATGATATTGTTGATGGATACTTGAAGAAAAGGGGCAATGTTAAATCAATAATGAGGAAAAAGTCAGGATGTATATAATGATATAAAACAGTAAATAAGTAGTTAACAATGGTGATCAATGGGAATGATATTGTATGTGATTTTTACTTTATTGTTTGCACTGAATATTCCAAATTTTCTTTAAAGTGCAAAATTTGTGTAATAAGGGGGAAAGTTATAAGCAAAAGAAATAGTTTTTTTTTTTTTTTTTGAAACAGAGTCTTGCTCTGTTGCCTAGGCTGGAGTGCAGTGGCACAATCTTGCTCACTGCAACCTCCACTTCCCAGGTTCAAGCGCTTCTTGTGCCTCAGCCTTTTGAGTAGCTGGGATTACAGGCATGGGTCACCACACCTGGCTAATTTTTGTATTTTTAGTAGAGATAGGGTTTTGTCATGTTGGCCAGGCTGGTCTGACCTCAACTGATTCTCCCTCTTGGCCTCTCAAAGTGCTGGGGTTACAGACGTGAGCCACTAGGCCCAAATATAGTTTCTTAAATTAAGAAATTTTAACGATTAAGGGATGCATTTTTTTCAATCAAACAAGTATATGTAAAAAATATGAAAAGTTTCCATATGAATATAGAGCATCCATGATGTGGCAGGAATTGGATACTACATTTTATTTAAGGAACATTGAAAGAATTACACCAGGCTGCGATAAATATTAGATTCTAATATTTGTGGTTTAGATAGAAAAAGAAAGAATGGTATTAATCATGTAATGTTTTTGTCTGTGTCCGTGTCAGAGCTCTGACTTGTTTCTTCACCTATTTTTCTCTTAGGAAATAAAATAGCCTTTATTATGAATAAGTTTCACAACTGAGAAGGGAAGGGTGTTCTTCTAGAAAAAGGTGTATGGAAATGCCTTAGTGAGGAGCCCTGTCCCAGCTTTGAAAACTGAGGATTTCATTGTTCCTAAAGGTCTGCCACACACTGCTGACAGGGGTGCTCACATTTGATTTTCTTGAGAGTTCCATGCCATATTTAAAACTAGAGAAAATTGGCATAGGATCAGATAATCTAAAACCGTAAATACATTTTATGGAAGCAGAAGCTGAGGTTTCCCTGTCCAGATGCAGCCTAAAAGTAGCTGGTCCCAAGTACCCAGATGTTGTTAAAAATTTTGATAAGATAGCCAATGATAGACAATAAATAAATAAATTAATTAATAATAAAAGAATTTTGAAGAGAAAGTGAGAATTTTAGAATCGCTTATTGGTAAATTGATGCAATTATTTTTGGAGGGCAATTTTGTAATATCATCCTTATTTTAAAATGTATATACTTTTGGACTCACAAGGCCCACTTCTAAGAATTTACTCTAAGGAGACTTGAACAACTATCAAGAATGGGAGGAATGAGTGTTTTCATTAAAGCCCCTTTTATATTAGCAAGAAATTGAAAATAAGCTACAAATAAAACAGTATGAAATGGGTAGATAAACGCAATGACAGTTATATAATGGAATACTGAGAACTTGCTAGAAGAATTAGATGCATGCAAATGTACCAATAAGAGCAAGATGAACATGAAAAAGCAAGCCTAAGTGAGCATACAAATACATGCAGACTCATATACAACCCTAATAGATGTTTATACATTCATACAAAATTTCTAGAAGAGGATCCAAACAGCTGTTAATGGTAGTTACATTGCTCCGCATGAATGGGAGGCTGGTGAGGAGAGGGACATTTACTTTTCACTTCATGTTCTTCAGTGCCATTTATTTTACTTTTCACCTAAAACATATATGAAATCATTTTTAAAAGAAAAGAAACAACATGTGGACAGAGTCACAAAGAAAAAACATCCCTTGTGGCATAGAGCTAAAGATGATGTAGAAAGATGTATAGTTTTTGCCAGCCAGCACTGACGGAGCTGCACCTGATCCTCCTCAAGTTATAACTAACCACATTTGTAGAATGCACACTGGGAAATTGAAGGGGAATTTCCTTTGCCTTACTGGAAAGAAATATTTTGGAAATGTGACTGAAGATGTGAAATTTGTGGAGGTATGGGTGTCCAGGAGAAACAACCAACAATATCTTCCTGAGAAGAACAATAAATGAGACAAGATATTTTTAAGAAAGATCCAAAGTTGTAGAATAGCACTAAGGCTAAGGAAAAAAGTAAAATGGCAGTTGAGGCTATTTAAAAAGGGTTACAAAAAATAAATATCTTTAAGAACAAGAGCTATTAATGATATTTTAATTTTGTCGCATTTGGGAAGTCCTACCTTGTGTTATAAGCCAGTATGTTGATGTCCCAAAAGTACCCCTGGAAACAAACCTTGGCACAAGAACATAGGCTCCAAGGACATCTACCCCCAGGGACTTCAGGCCCCATTGTGCTCATTCCATTGAAAAACTGATAATTTGTTTCTCTCTGACTGAGTGATCTGTCCTAGCATATATCCACATAATATGAACTGAATCAAGTGGGTTCTCACAAACAATGGATGCTTTTCTTCACAGTTGTGTTTTGTTCCTGTGGACTTTTATTAAATTAGTACTCATAAGATCTTTTATCTTTAAGCAAAAAAAAAAAAAAGTAGAATATTCTCTAATGGTTAGTTTCTTAATCTTAGTACCATGAACATTTTATACTATATAATTTTTTGTTGTAGAGAATTGTCCTGTACATTATAGGATGTTTAGCAACATCCTTGGCCTCTACTCACTAGACACCAGCAGCAACCTCCTACCTCCCCGGTTGTAACAGCCAAAAAAGTCTCCAGATATTGCCAAGTGACCCTGAGGAGTAAATTTAACTCCAATTGAGAATTACTGGTCTATAGAAAAGTCCCGAATGTCATACATATTTTTAATGGTGTGTAACTTATTTTCTTCATCTACATGGTTCCTTTTTCTGTTAAGTATTTCAAATTGCACCATGATGTGGGAAAGTCTCATTCTGGTGTCAGTAGTGTTGCACTGTGCTTTTTGGACTCTGAATGTAACTATCAGGACTCTATAAACTAGTTTTAGAAAATAAGCTTGGATTCAATCATCCATTCAACAAAATCAATTTATTTCACAAGTGTTTATTGAAAGCCTACTGGATGTCTGTCACAGAGTGATCCACTAGTTTTATAGAAAATAAATGGATTATCCTTGCCCTCAAAAACATTCTTGGTCTATTGGGGAAGACATATAAAATGATAACCATTTACAATACAGTGTGATGGAGTCAAATAGACACCTTTATAAGGTGTTATGTAGGTGTAACTAAGGAAATAAATGATAAAATTAAGCAAACTAAATGTTATTAATTACTTAAGTTTCTGTTTTCATTTTGAAATAATATTAAAAGGTTTATCATTAGTATTTCTCTTTTAACACATTTTCTTTTGTGTATTTTTGTTTTTCTGCAGATGCTGTAGCTATCACATGGGCTGATCGAGCTTTTCCCTCATTAGCATGGATTATGCCTTTTGCTATTTCTACCTCATTATTTAGCAACCTTCTGATTTCTATATTTAAATCATCGAGACCAATATATCTTGCAAGCCAAGAGGGCCAGCTGCCTTTGCTATTTAATACACTTAATAGTCACTCTTCTCCATTTACAGCTGTGCTACTACTTGTCACTTTGGGATCCCTTGCAATTATCTTAACAAGTCTAATTGATTTGATAAACTATATTTTTTTCACGGGTTCATTATGGTCTATATTATTAATGATAGGAATACTAAGGCGGAGATACCAGGAACCCAATCTATCTATACCTTATAAGGTAAAATTGGATTTCTAATTCTTTTCTGTGTGAAATAACAGATATTGAGTATAACTGTATTTAAGATTATAATCAGAGCATCTATAAGTAGATCTTCTGAATACTCAGTTACTGTGAAACACATGAGAATAATCTAGTCTTGGTTTTAATTTTCGTTTTTATTGGCTAGGTTATTCAATATAAAAATCTCTTAGATTCCATTTAACGGTTTATTAGAGAGAAAAATAGTTCTCTGGGTGGTTGGACAGATCATTATGAGTCTTTTGACCAGATATTATTTTGTCTACTTATGTAACTAGTCATGCATATGAATGTCTTCCACAGTCAGGGCCAGATTTAGCAGATGGGAAACAGAAGAGGCAAGGTGAGGTCACAAGTGATAACATCTACTGTTCTGAAACATCAGCTTACTTTGTTGGCAAATTACATCTTTTCAACTTTACTTATTTTAAACTGACTTTCAGTCTGGATGAAAAAACTTTTCACAGGAGAGGAGACAACCACTTAATTGTAGAAAAGGAAATAAGCAGCAAAACTTGGTAGCATAAGAACGTTATTGGAGAAAGATGGCCCTGACGGTCTGATTATCAGAATAATAAAATAATCTTAGTTGCCTAGGTAGGATGTTCAAAGCTTTGCTTGGATGATCACCTTTAATCCTCTTAGTAATAAAAAGGTGGATTCAATTGTTATTTCCATTTTACAGATAAGAAAACAGATTTAGAAAAGTTAGGTCACTTGCTCAAGCTCACACAGCATGGATTAGAGCCAAGATTCAAATCTAGGCAGTCTCTTTGGAGTGTTTAAATCTTGCTAAATACAAAATATAAGAAAGAACTGCTGAGAGAAAGAAAGCAATGTTCTCATCACCAACTATGGTTGATTTATGTCCTTCCTTTCCAGTCTTCTTTCCAACTTCTTCCAACCAGTCATCTCTTAATTGTTGTGTGTTTGAGTATTAGTTGTCAAGAAGCAACTATATTTTAAGCACCTTGCTAGGTACTTTCAGTAGAAAAAGAATTAAGACTTGGCTCCTGCTTTTAGGCAGGTTATAATCTATCTGGACAGTCATGTAAACCAAAAATCACGGTGTGACGATTGCTACCTAGTGGTCTGCAGAGGATGCTCAGAGAGCACATAGGGAGAGAGATCTAATCTAGAGCAGGGCTGATGGCCACAGTCCCCCTTGGAGGTGCCTGCCTAACGTCTGCTTTCTGTATAGTTTCACATGCTGCATCTTTTTAACATGTCTTTTGCTGTTTTCTGATCCACATTTTGTTAGATCACTGACCCTAATAGATACAATTATAAAGAAGTTATGAACTGGAGGATAAATTTGTTATATACAAATAACAGTATAAGATAATCATTAAGAGTTTTGGGCTCAAGTCCAGTTGCTTGGCTAGTAGCTGAGTTTAGTCTTGTTATTGAACCTCTGAACCTCAGTTTCTTCCGATCTAAAATGGGAAAAAATAATACCTACCTCATATTAACGTTGGAGGTATTAAGTAAGCTAAGGCATGCAAACAATCCAGGGTCTGACATTGATGGCTATTATTGCTTATATTATTATTCAACTTACATTTGCATCAGAAAGGAAGGCAAGGGCAGCCTTAAGTACAAGTGGCTGAAATTTGTCTTGTATGCCCCCAGGAGTGCTCTTTTCTTTTCTCTCAGTTATTTGATAACTGATACTGAGCCATGAGATGATAAAGTATCTTTTTCTGGGACGCTTTATAAGCTAAGAAGAGATTCTTTGTTTTTTCTTTTTTTTGAGACAGAGTCTCATTCTTGTCGTCCAGGCTGGAGAAGCTGGAGTGCAGTGGCATGATCTTGGCTTGCTGCAACCTCTGCTTCCTGGGTTCAAGAGATTCTCCTGCCTCAGCCTCCCAAGTAGCTGGGATTACAGGTGCCTGCCACCACACCCAGCTAACTTTTGTAATTTTAGTAGAGACGGTGTTTCACCATGTTGCCCAGGCTGATCTCGATCTCCTGATCTCGTGATCCATCCACCTTGACCTCACAAAGTGTTGGGATTATAGGCGTAAGCAACTGTGCCCGGCCAAGAAGATATTCTTAATGATTAAATCCCAACAAATGATCCTCTAATTAAAGGGTTTTGTTTCATAAATTATGACTAGCTGTGTAATATATATCTTTGGGGAATATAGATTCATATCAGTTATATCTTATATCGATTTTCTCCCTAGATTGGGTAATGTTGTAGAGAACTCTTACAATTCTAACACAAAGCAGGTACCAGGGACTGGTCTTTAAGGCTTTTGGCAAAGCAAAAACAAAACATAAAACAGGGAAAATTGTTTTAGCTAAAATTTTTGTCTTGATTTTTTTTTTAATATGCTGAGCCTATAAAGTTACAACATTTACCTGTCAGTATTTACCTGTGTAACAGACAGTCTGAGGATAGTCTTTCTGTTTTGTCATGAATTTCTTACTGCCTTGAGATATTTTCCAGAGAAGATTGTTGTTACTTCCATTGGGCCTTAGAAACTCCCTCTTAACAGATTCATGGTACCCAGATCAGTAGATAGTGATCTTACCAGCAAATGGTTCTAGTTATTTCCATTCATGAGCAGTCAAATGCTAGATGCCCATTCCCTCCAACCTGACAATGACAGTCTTCAACATCTCCTTTCACTCAGGCATTTATCTGACTTCTAAGCCAGATTTATTCAACTTTACAGCTAATTTAGCCTGTTTTCTTTAATTAGCTTGTATCTTTGCATTTTTATTTATATGAATATGCAGGTATCATTCATGGATGTTCATATCCAATATTTTTTCAAACTTTGCTCTTTTCAGGTGTTTTTGTCATTTCCATTAGCAACAATAGTCATCGACGTGGGCTTGGTTGTGATACCATTGGTAAAGTCTCCAAATGTGCATTATGTCTACGTGCTTCTGTTAGTTCTCAGCGGATTACTATTTTACATACCTTTAATACATTTTAAAATAAGATTGGCTTGGTTTGAGAAGATGACTTGCTATTTACAATTACTATTTAATATTTGCCTCCCTGATGTGTCTGAGGAATAGATGTCGGAAGTGCAAACTCTTAAAAAATTGGCCTTCTAAAAAACATATATCAGATTCCAAATCAAGGTTAAACATATGATAGAACATTCATGGTGAAATTCCTATGGTAAATATTTTTTTCTCAAATGAAATAAGTAATGTATACAAAAGTGCCTAAGACAGTACCTGGCTTCAGAGTCACTAAGAAATTGCTAAAAGCTCTGCTTCGCATGGTAAAAAACTTAAGTCCTGGTTTGCGTAGCTTGATAGAGTGATTATACAACTTCCATTCTCTCACTTTTTTTTTCTGTATCCCACCCCTTTTCTACTGAATTTGTGGGGATCCTATAATAAAAGTGAATGACTAAAAATTTTAAAAGCATTCCTTCTCTTCATCTTACTGAGTCCTTTTTGTGTGAGGTGGGCGGGGCCGGGGAAGATGCTGATTTGAAAATGAAAAGAATAATTCCATTTTTCAGTTGGCTTTTCCCTTCCAGAATGTAGCACTTTTTTTTTTCTTTTTGAGATGGAGTCTCACTCTGTCGCCCAGGCTGGAGTGCAGTGGTGTGATCTCTGCTCACTGCAACCTCCACCTCCTGGGTTCAAGAGATTCTCCTGCCTCAGCCTCCCGAGTAGCTGGGATTATAGGCACCTGCCACTATACCCAGCTGATTTTTGTATTTTTGGCAGAGACTGAGTTTCACCATATTGGCTAGGCTGGTCTCAAACTCCTGAACTTGTGATTCGCCCACCTCGGGCTCCCAAAGTGTTGGGATTACAGGCATGGGCCGCTGTGCCTGGCCCCATTTTTTTTCAAGCTAATAACTATTTTAGAAGCATGGGGCTGGGTGAGGTAGCTCATGCCTGTAATCCCAGCACTTTAGAAGGCTGAGACAGGTGGATTACTTGAGGTTAGGAGTTCGAGGCCAGCCTGGCCAACATGATGAAAACCCGTCTCTACCAAAAATACAAAATGAGCTGGGTGTGGTGGTGTGCACCTGTAATCACAGCTACTTGGGAGGCTGAGGCAGGATAATCGTTTGAACTCGGGAGGTGGAGGTTGCAGTGAACTGAGATCGTGCCACTGCACTCCAGCCTGGTTGACAGAGTGAGACTCTGTCTCAAAAAAATAAGAAGCGTGAATCTTTAGGTTAATTTTCTTTGAGTGCCATTAAGAAAAATGTGGACATGTCTTAGAAGAACAGCATTACTGTGTCTTCACTTGATTTATTAATAAGTGTGACCTACTGGGAATGATGTAGTTGTGTATAAACTTTGTGTAGTAGATGGTTGAGTGGATAGCATCCCAGGAGTCACACTCATCCAGTATTATTCAATTTTAAAAATTCATCTGCATAGCTTAGAATTTTAAAAGATCTGGTTTAGAGATGTCTTCAGAAAGTGGGAATGTGGGAAGATGTCCAGTGACCTTTGTTAGCCAGCTCTGTTCTCTGCCTCCCTTTATCCCTCAGAGGTGGCATCCACAGATGTTGAAGGACTTGTCAAGTTTGAGGAACTATCCCCTGGTATGATGGTTAATCTTATGTGTCAACTTGGCTGGGTCGTGGGGCCCAGACATTTGATCACACATTATTCTGGATGTTTCTGCAAGGGTGTTTTTTGGATGAGATTAACATTTAAATAGTTGGATTTCGAGTAAAGCACGTTGCCTTCCTATTGTGAGTGGGCCTCATCCAATAAGTTGAAGTGCTTGCTAGAACAAAGACTGACTTCCCCAAGAGGCAATTCTGTCAGCAGATGGTCTTCAGACTTGAATTGCGACATCAGCTCTTCCATGGGTCTCTAGCCTGTCAGGCCACCAGGCCACACTACAGATTTTGGACTTGCCAGCCTCCAGCCTCCATGATTCCGTGAGCCAAGCCAATTTCTTAAAAATAAATTCTCTCACACTCTCTCTCTCTCTGTCCCTCTCTCTCTTTCTCCATATACACATCCATGGGTCTGTTTATTTGGAGAAGCCAATAACATATTTAATTTAGCATGGTAGATAATCTATTTATAGCATACTACTTATTTATTCTTAAGACAGTTGCCTTATGTGAGCCTCATGGTTCAACATTCCCTTCACATAAACCTCCGCTATACTTAGACAACTGCCCAACTTTCCTCTTCCTATGAGCTTTCAACACAATATGTGACAAAATACTTCCCGAGCTTAGTTTCATAGACGTCATCCACATTTTATAAACTCAGGAGCAGAGCTTCAGATTCTGGAGACCTGGAAGATATTTAAATTACAAGTGAGAAGAACCAACAATTTGACTGACATTAGATTTAGAAGAAATCTTAAATGTTTACAGCAGCCCCACAAAGTAACTTGCTCATCTATGTTTGTATACTCCCAGGGATGGGGGAATCACTACTTGCTAAAGATGCTGGTCCTATCTTTAGACAGCTTTGCTTTCCAAAAGCTTTTCCTAATGATATGAAGCTGCAATGTAATTTCTGTCTATTGGTAAGTCTAATCGTCTTTCACATGATATCCTTTTAGATACTTGATGATAACCATTTTGTGGCTCTGTGCCTTCTCCAGATTAAAACCCCCTAGTAGTCCAAAGTTGCCGCTTTTGAAAACCTTGATCCCTCTACACCTTGCCAGGACCTTTTTAATGTAAAGATGTCTTAAATTTTTATGCTGTAAACAATGTAGTCTTTCTGAATGTGGTCTGACTATGGCAGAGCAGGGCGGATCTATCGTTTCCCTTTTTTAAAATATTGTAGTTTTGTTCACTGTTTTGGGACCACTACACACTTAAACTTCCTACATCTTTCATGTAAGTCATGGCTGAGACATGCCTATTCTAAGACTGTGTGGGACAGTACGTCGGCAAGTCTAATAGGTCAATACAGTTTCTCAGGGAAACTTTTGTTCCACAGCAAGATAACAAGAAATTGGCTGCTGGTAGCAAGAGAGGGGTTATAAAATTTCAAGACTTCAAGGAAAGTTGCAACATGAATTTCATTATAGTTTTTATATTTTATATTATTTTGGAAATGAGCCCTTACAAAATATTTGTGTAGTAAATTTTCTGCTTGGCAATTCCTTTTGTTCTACTCGGGACCACCAGTAATTCATCTTCCTGATATGTTTCCTTTAAGAAGAGTCTATTTTGAAGCCATTTATCAATAATTCCTGGCTGGGTGTGGTGGCTCACACCTGTAATCCCAGCACTTTGGGAGGCCGAGGTGGGTGGATCACGAGGTCAAGAGATCGAGACCATCTTGGCCAACATGGTGAAACCTCGTCTCTACAAAAAATACAAAAATTAGCTGGGTGTGGTGGCAGGCACCTGTAGTCCCAGCTACTCGGGAGGCTGAGGCAGGAGAATCACTTGAACCCGAGAGGTGGAGGTTGCAATGAGCCAAGATCACACCACTGCACTCCAGCCTGACAACAGAGCGAGATTCTGTCTAAAAAAAAAAAAAATTCCTTTGATGACTTCAGGCAAGGACTTATTTGCTATACTCTCTGAATTGAGGCCAATGGTACTTAACTATTTGACACAGGTGTGCTGTGAAGATTAATGAGTTGTGTGTGACATACTTTGAAGTTGAGAAGTAATCGCTTTGTTATTGTACATATAGGGCTTCCAAGGTTATCTTGGAACAAGATAAACAAGGGTTATCTCTTGTTTGTATCATGAAATTTGCAAAGCAGACACTAGCTGAGAAGCTTCTACCTCCTCTCTATTCAGAACAGTTTAATTTTTATTATTCTATTTTTTTTTATTGAGATGGAGCCTCAGTCATCCAGGCTGGAGTCCATTGGCACGATCTTTGCTCACTGCAACCTTGGCCTCCCAGGCTCAGGTGATCTTCCCACTTCAGCCTCTCAAGTAGCTGGGACTACAGATGCATGCCACCAAGCTTGCCTAATTTTTTTGTATTTTTGTTAGAGACGGAGTTCCGCAATGTTGCCCAGGCTGATCTTGAACTCCTGAGTTCAAGCCATCAGTCTGCCTTCACCTCTCAAAGAGCTAGGATTACAGGCATGAGCCATTGAACCCAGCCCGGAACATGTTTAAATAGCTTTGTGAGGTTGTATTCATTTCCCAGAGCTGCCATGACAAATTATCACAAATTCAATTGGCTTAAAATAACAGAAATTTGTTCTCTTGCAGGAGGTCAGAAGTCCAAAATCATCCTAAGCAAATTAACACAAGAACAGAAAACCAAATACCATATGTTCTCACTTATAAATGGGAGCTGAACTTAGGGTACTTGTGGACAGAAAGATGGCAACAATTGACACTGGGGACTATCAGATAAGGGAGTGGGGAGAAGGGCAAGGGTCAAAAAACTAACTACTGGGTCCTATGCTCAATAACTGGCCGATGGTATCATTTGTACCCTAAACCTCAGCATCATGCAATGTACCCAGGTAACCAGTCTGCACATGTACCCCCTGAATCTAAAATAAAAGTTGAAAAAGAAAAAGATAAAATTAAAATAAAAAAAATCTCCCTTTCCTTTCTCTCATAAGGATACCAGTCATTGGATTTAGGGCCCACTCCAAATCCGGGATGTTCCTGTCTCAAGATCCCGAACTTCTTACATCTGCAAAGACCCTTATTCCAAGTAAGGTCACATTCTGATGTTCCCTGTAGATCTGTTTTTAAGAAGGCCATTATTCAACCCATGAAGCTAGGTCCTCCTCATTATCCAATTCCATTCCCAGTTTGTGTGGTGACCTCTTCCAGCTATAGAGGCTGGTTCAAGAAGGCCACCCTGATTTTGCTTATCTCTGTAGGTAGTAACTCATCTGCATGTTGGAGTTGGAACTAAAATATGAAATCTGGAAAAGTCTCAAACTTCATCCCAAGATGTAGTACTATGAGCCTCCATTATTAGCAATGTCTGCCAAAAAGATGGGATCAGTATTTCAAAAGAAACCTTAAACTAGACTTGAGAAACAGCCAGGTAATCTCCAGAGCTGGATTATTCTGATCCTGATGCCAGGGCATCCCAGCAAACAAAGAGAGAGTATTGGGAATTCTTGACAAGCAAGAACCTGGATGTTGCTGTTTACATCATGTTTTCTTATCTTGACTAATGATATGGTTGCGAAGGAAATAACTGTTCTGCAATGAATCGGTTCACATCTTTCCATTAGGCCTAGGCCTCTCTCAGATGACTTCTCTGAGTTGCTGCTTCTTCAGTATCTCGTATAAGAAGCTGGTAGGAAGAAAAAAAGTCACTTTGCTTAAGTGTCAGCTCTGTGCCAGAGGGTTGGGAATACTGGAGTATTTCCCAGAATACAGCATATATGCTTATTTTCAAACATGAGAAACAAACTACCTGAATGTAGAGAAGTCACAGTAACTTTATAGGGAGCAAAGTTTCAGAATTATATTTCTAAGTAACGGACTTCTATTACTTTAAGGTGAAGAAAAAAATAAGTGTCCCTTTATTTAGCTGTAAAGCAAAAGTGGGTAATTTCTCAGATCCTTCCCAGGTGTAACAAATGACAAGCATTCTTCTTGTTTTAAAAAATTTCAAATTGTATTTTAGATTAAGAGGTACATGTGCAGGTTTGTTACATGGGTATATTGCATAATGCTGGGGTTTGGGGTGCAAATGATCCCATCATGCTGGTAGTGAGCATAGTATCCAATAGGTGGTTTTTCAGCCCATGCTCCCCTCTGTCCCTCCCCATCTAGTAGTTCTCATTGTCTCTTGTTCCTATCTTTATGTCTATGTGTACTCATTGTTTAGTTCCCACTTATAAGTAAGAACATGCAGCATTTGGTTTTCTGTTCCTGAATAAATTTGCTTAGGATAATGGCCTGTAGCTTCATCTATGTTGCTGAAAAGAACATGATTTTATTCTTTTTAAGGACTGTATAGTATTTCATGGTGTATATGTACCACATTTTCTTTATCCAGTCCATCATGGATGGGCATTTAGGTTGATTCCATGTCTTTGCTATTGTGAATAGTGCTGTGAAGAGCATATGAATGCCTGTGTCTTTTTGATAGAATGAATTATTTTACTTTGGGTATATACCAAATAGTGGAATTGCTGAGTTGAATGGCAGTTCTCTTTTAAGTTCTTTGAGAAATCTCCAAACTACTTTCCCCAGTGGCTTAGTTTGCATTTCCAACAACAGTGTATAAGCGTTCCCTTTTCTCCACAGCCCTGTCAGCATCTGTTATTTTTTGACTTTTTAATAACCACCATTCTGCTTAATGTGAGATGGTACTTGTGGTTTGATTTGCATTTCTCTGATAATTAGTGTTGTTAAGCATTTTTTTCCATGTTCCTTGGCTGAGTGTACATTTTCTTCTTCTTCTTTTTTTTTGAGACGGAGTTTCACTTTTGTTGTCCAGGCTGGAGCGCAATGGCATGATTTCGGCTCACTGCAACCTCCGCCTCCTGGGTTCAAGCGATTCTCCTGCCTCAGACTCCCAAATAGCTGGGAATAGAGGCATACTCCACCGCACCCGGCTGATTTTTGTATTTTTAGTAGAGACGGGTTTTCGCCATGTTGGTCAAGCTGGTCTCGAACTCCTGACCTTGGATGATCCACTCGCCTGGGCCCCCCAAAGTGCTGGGATTACAGGTGTAAGCCACTGTGCCCGACCATACATCTTCTTTTGAGAAGCGTCTGCTCATGTCCTCTGCCCATTTTTTAATTGGATTTTTTTTTTCTGGTTCATTTGTTTATTTATGGATTCTGCATATTAGACATTTGTCAGATACATAGTTTGCCAATATTTTCTCCCATACTGTAGATTGTCTGTTTACTATATTGATAGTTTCTTTTGCTGTGCAGAAGCTCTTTAGTGTAATTAAGTCCCATTTGTCAATTTTTGTTTGGGTTTCAGTCGTTTTGGGGAATTTCGCTGTAAGTTTTTTTCCCAAAGCTGATGTCGTGAAGGGTATTTCCTAGGTTTTCTACTAGGATTTTTAAACTTTGAGGACTTACATTTAAATCTTCAATTCACCTCACGTTAATTTTTATATATGATGAGAAGTAGGGGTCCGGTTCATTCTTCTGCATATGGCTAGACAGTTATCCCAGCACCATTTATTGAATAGGGAGTTCTTTCCCTATTGCTTGTTTTTGTCAACATTGTTGAAGACCATCAGATAGTTGTGCATATGTAGACTTATCTCTGGGTTCTCTGTTCTGTTCCATCGGTCTACGTGTCTGTTTTTGTACCAGTACCATGCTGTTTTGGTTATTATAGCCCTATGTATAGTTTGAAGACAAGCATTCTCGATCCTGAATTGCAGGTGTAACAAATGACAAGCATTCTGTGTTCTTGAACCTGGATTGCTAAGTGTGACATTAAAAGAGCGTAGTTCATATAGGCCATGTAAGAGCCAGATATTATGCTCATTCATACTCTTCATTATTGATACCAGATAATAAGTTAGTGTTTACTTAATGGATGTGTTAATGAGCACTTCTTTCCACTTCTGTAAAATAAATACCTTTTTAATCTCCCCATTTATTTCCACTTTTACTGACATAGTATTGATTGGACAACCATCATTTCTCATCTGTATTGCTGAAACAGTCTCCAAACTCTGTGACTCCAGAACCCAACCTATTGTTAGAATCATGAAGGAAGACTTTGAAGACCATAGATTTGAGGCCCCTGGAAAATATAATTTAATAGGTCCAAGGTGAACCACTCAAACTTATTGTTATCTTTTTAAAAAATAAGGTAGGCCAGGATTACAGTGCTCATGCCTGTAATCCTAGCACTTTGGGAGGCTGAGGCAGGTGGATCACTTGAGGTCAGAAGTTCAAGACCAGCCTGGACAACATGGCAAAACCCCATCTCTACAGAAAATAGAAAAACTAGCCTGGTGTGATGGCATGCACCCATAATCCTGCTACTTGGGAGGCTGAGGCTGGAGGATCACCTGAACCTGGGAGGTTAAGGCTGCAGTAAGCTGTGATCACGCCACTGCATTCCAGCCTGGGTGATAGAGTGAGACCTTGTCTCAAAAAAAAATTTTTTTTTTCTAACATAATCCAATCTGAATTGATTACTCTCTATGCTTCAAGCACAGCAGTTATCCTGTGTTCTTCCTTGGCCAGGATTCTCTGAATTCCCTTTCCTTCTCCTGTTTCCTTTGTCCCAAGTATTTCTCTTTTTGCTTTACTCTTTTGTTTTGAAAAAGCTTATTCTTTTGTGATGTCATAAAAAAGGAAATGAGAGGCAAATTTTATGAGATAGTCCATATATAAAAAAGTATCTATTTTATCTTGCTACTTGAGCAACGTATACAATTCTTTGGAAATATTTTTTCTTCAAAATTTTAAAGGAATTTCTCCACTGACATCTAACTTTTTTTGAGAAAATCAAAATTATTCTAATTTTTAAGTTTACTTTTCTTGTCTAATTGCTCTAGTTAGACCTTTTAGCACATTCTGATTCCTAATCTTTTGTAGATGGCCTGTAATTTCTTTTTTCCATCTAGTCTTAAAATTTCAGAGTTAAAACTTTATTGTCTTCAGTATTTTGAAATTTAATAATACTGCAACTTTCTGTGACTCTACTTTCACCTATTGTGTTGGACCTTCAGTGGGCTCTTTCAAAATGGAAAATATTCTCTTTTGGTTTGGGAAAATTTTCTTGAGTAATTTCCTTGATAAATTCCTGCTCTTTATTTGTGTTGCTCTCTTTTTCTAAAATTTGTATTACTTTTATGTTGGACCTCCTGGACTGGTCTTCTGATTTTCTTATCTTTCTTCTCTTCTTTTTAATTTCCCTCCCTTCCTTCCTCCCCCACTCCCCTCCCCTCCCCACTCCCCTCTCCTCCCTTCTCCTTTCCCTTCCCTCCCCTCCTTCCTTCCTTCCTGTATTAGTCAATTTGCATTGCTATACAGGAATACCTGAGGCTGAATAATTTATAAGAAAAGAGTTGTATTTTGGCTTATGGTGCAGCAGGCTGTATAGAAAGTGTGATGTCAGCATCTGCTTCTGGTGAGGGCTTCAGGAAGCTTCCAATCATGGTAGAAGGTGAAAGGGAAATAAGAGCATCACATGGCAAGAGCTCGAGGAGGAAACGTCAGGCTCTTTTAAACAACCAGATCTCGTGTGAACTCACAGAGAGAGAACTCATTACTGCGAGGACACTATCAAGCATTCATGAGGTATTTGCCCCCCGACCCTAACACCTCCCACCAGGCACCCACCTCCACATTGGGAATCACATTTTAACCTGAGATTTGAAGGGGACAAAACATCCAAACCATCTCCCTCCCTCCCTCCTTCCCTCCCTTCCTTCCTTCCTTCCTTCTTTCCTTTTTCTCTTACTGTCTGGAGATTTCCTCATGGCTCCCTTCTCTCCCATTTTAATTATACTTTTAATTTCCAAGGTCTTGTTTGTATTACTTTGTAACAGCATGTTATTTTTGGCTCTTGGATACAATATCTTCCCTTTTCTTTGAGGAGAAAAATTTTTTTTTCAGTGTTTAAAAATGCCTGGTCTCTGTTTCTGCCAATGTGCTTTTAAACTGCTGTGCTTCTGTTTTCCATGTTGGATTAGAGGCTTTCCTCAGCTGTTTTGTAATCCTTAGTGATCCTCTCATGAGTACTAGTAAGGGACTAAAAAGTTGATGAGAAACTCTGAATGTATGCATTAGGCTTATGGACTTTAAAACGGACTCTATGGCGATCTGGGTGGGCCGATTGCTAAGGAACCCCCAAAGTCAGTATCTGTAAATCTTTTATCTTGGCTGGTCATGCAGCCCAGAGAAGCTTTCTAATCTTCTCCCTGAAGGACAAGGCTCTGACTGCTGGCTGCTGGGAGCTGGGCTGAGGAATGCGGCTAGAGAGGGCAGTCTTGGCATTTAGCAATCAGTACACATAGGCCCCCATGTAGCTGGGGCTACAGGCACAAACCACCACTGTAGAGACGGGGTTTGCTATGTTGCCCAGGCTGGTCTTGAGCCTGAGCTCAAAGTGATCTGCCTGCCTTGGCCTCCCAAAGTTGTGGGATTACAGGCGCGTTAGCCACTGTACCTGGCCCCCAATCCTTCTTAAATATTGCAACCTCTCTGCCTTCCCCAGGTATGCCTAATATCGAGGTGTATAATGCATTTGAGCATTGTGTGGTATAAATCAGCTGTTTCTCAGTTTGTCTTATTTTTAGTTTAAGGATCCACTGTCTTGAGACTGCTTAATCAGTTACCTTTTATCCATTCACTTTCTAGTTTCCAATATTTTGTTGCTCTCTTCTTTGTGAGGTTATTTATTTTAAAAGTTCCTTTATTACCATTTTTGTGGGATTCCAGAAGGGTGGCTAAAATAGATGTTTCTTCAATCTACTGTCTTAATGTGGATGTTTAAAAAGTTTGAATAATTTAAGAATGTTTAAAATGTTGCAAATTTTTTTTAACAAATAAAATGCCAGTCAAGAAATCTGGATTGACAATACTAACTACTCTCAATAAAGTTTAAAGGAAAAATGTTGAAAGAGACTTGATTTATAAATCTCTGTCTCAGTGATCCAAATTGTTCTAAAACAAAAATATAATAATTTCTGAGTTAAAGTATTATGGAAGAAGGCTGTCCATAGCAAGCAAGAAAATTCTTTATCACATGGCAGCTACGAGCACTTTAGTGGATGAGGGAGACCCTATTGTTTGCCTCTTTCTCCTTTGATAAGAGAAAATTGATTTTATACAAATAAAAGGCAAAATCACTCCTATCTTAAGGAGATGTATCATAAATGATCTTAGCCAATCACTGTAACCCTAGGCTCCTTGCCTGTGATTGGTGTAGGCATGGGACCCAGTTTTTGCCAGTAAAATGTAAAGAGGAGTCTAATGTGAGTTTATAAGAAAGACTGTCCTCCCCTATTAAAAGACAAAAATCCAAAAAAGTTCTCTATTCTTTCCTTTCTTGGATTTTGTCATGTAAAGATGTGATACTTGAAGCCATGCTGGTCACCTCGTGACCCTGAGGTGAAAGTTAGGAGAACCAGGGACAAACAGACAGGGCCAACATATTGTTTTGCTGCAAACTTAACTAATTCTGAAACTGCCTGCTTACAGACTTTTTATTACGTAACTTAATTAAATATGGCTATGGTTTAAGACACCGTTGCTCAACTTTTCTATTTCAAGCCAAAAATAGTTTTGTGTTTGTTTATTTGTTTGTTTTTGCAATGGGATCTTGCTATGTTGCCCAGGCCGGACTCGAACTCTGATGGCCTCAGCCTACTGAGTGACTGGGACTATAGGCAAGCACTACCACACCCAGCTAGTCAATGTCTTTAAACCTGTTTTATCCTCTACGAATTAGAGTTAATATCTAGCACTTAGGGTTTTTTTAAAATGAAAACTAAATGAGATAGCATGTTAAAAATGAAAAAAAGGGTGGGGTGCAGTGGCTCACACCTGTAACCCCAGCACTTTGGCTGAGGTGGGCGGATTGTTTGAGCTCACGACCAGCCTGGGCAACTTGGGAAACCCCGTCTCTAAAAAAAAAAAAAAAAAAAAAAAAAAAAAAACTAGGTATGGTTGCACATGCTGGTAGACCTAGCTACTCAGGAGGCTGAGGCAGGAGGATCACTTGAGCCTGGGAGGTCAAGGCTGCAGTAAGCTGTGACCGCAGCCTGGGTGACAAAGCAAGACTCTGTCTTAAAAAAGGAAAAATTTAAAAAGGAGAGAAAAAGTGTTTTTCTCAGTGTCTGGCACGCTAAAGAAATGGTAGTTAACAATTATTTTAAATTAAGACTTCTATTTTTAAGATTTTAATAACTGTCTTCATAACACCCATGATTTGGCCTAATGAGTATATGCAAATTAGATACATACACAGCTTATTTTTCATGCCCAATCTGGCACATAGTAAGTACTCCATAAAATTTTAAAAACAAGTAAACATAGTAGCTATGCAATACATTTTTACTAAATGAATACATAAAAGAATAGATGGGTAAGTGAATGAACTAATAAGTGTCAACAGTTTCAAGTAACTTGATTACTTTAAATAGCTTGAAGAAACAGTAGCATGGTATCCAAATAAATTCTGTGGAAAACATAATAGATACAGTTCCTCTGGAAAACAGGATAGCATGAAAAGTAGCAAAATATAAACCCTGCATAGGGCATTGTGTAGTGTCACTTACTACTGATAAAGTAGCGCATTGTACTGTGGAAAATTATCCTGGAGCCCCTCATGGGAAATCTCTCTGAGTTGTATTAAAGGCAGACCTTGTCTCTCACTCTCTCTAGGATTTTATCTGGGAATCTCACATGCTTGTGTAGCATCACGTTTCAATTTATATAATACATGTATAGCATTTTGCCATAAACAAGACTCAGTAAAACAAATGAAATGTGCTGGAAAGGTTTCTACAGAACAAGGTGTTCCTCATAGAAGCCTGTGGCCTCTATAATTAATTCTCTTTCTTTTCTGAACTGATGGGCTCATTCTGGGCACCAAGCAGAATTCTAACTAGAATTTCATCATCTGTTGGTCCCAATCTTATCACAACAGTTTGTATTTTTAAAAGAAATACATAACATTGAAAAATAATACGATTTTCTGTTGTTCACAGGAAACATGCATTGTGCTTTTTATTGAAAACTTCTGGCTCACATACCTCTTGACGTCACATCTGAACTCAAAGCCCATTCTTGTTTTGGAATTTTTTAAAAGCCTGATTCCAAGTTCTGTAGAAATCAGCATTTAAAAGGCAAGAGCTAAAATTTCGTGATGTTTTTGATGCTGATTCAACAGAATCCAAGTTACCTCAGGTCAATATAAAGAAAGTGACTTAAACCATTTATTAAATTTGTGTAAAGTTTTCTGGAAAGAAGTAAATGATTTATTTCTAAATAGTTTATGAGCCCAAAGGCTGAATCTTAAAGCTATGGTTTTAAAAAGCCAATGCCATCGAAGAATTAATGCTCTATTTTCTTTGGTTGTTCTTCTGGAAAGCTATTGAAAGATTATGGGCACATATGTGGTTGAGAGAAAAAAGCCACTAATGAGACAGTGCCATATGCTTTCTTTACCTTGGATCTGAGCTGAAAAAATGGCTCTTGTTGAGTCCCAAGGGATGAATAGGCTTCAAGTTCAGTGGAAGACTCAGCTTGTGGTTTGATGAAGGCACACGTTCATTCACAAATTCATGAATCAGTCATGATGGAAGAGAAAGGGTGGCTGGTTTGGGTAGAACCTGACTGCATTGAAGAAATTTCCAGTTCTGATGAAAGTAGTAAAATGAAGGCTCAAACTCCAGTCGGAGAGGATATCCAGTCAAAGTGTTTCTAAATTTGGGTATATGAAAAGTTTGAGAATGACAATTATCACTCTCTGCACTGGAGATGGAGCTTTCGTTTGCAGGGTCCCAGTGACGATGGAGTTGTCTGTGACAATCCTTCATCCTCCTAGGATTGCTGTGAGGCTCAAATAAAATTATATGTAGCAATTGTTAGCCTATTGTAAGGGCTCAGGAAATGTTAGTGGGTATCATTATTATATGTGCTGTACAAAATAGCTATTGCACAGAGACAATATCTCTATAGATTATCTCAGATGCTACTCCAAATCAGGTGACTATAAAATGAGCAAGTCAGCCATTCAATCTCAGACATCCATGCCTTACTGATTCTTATTTTTATAACAAGATAGAATGGATGAAATAATTTCTGATGTTTTAGGAGAGAATTATCTTTTATCCTACAAGTATCAAGGCTCCTCAAAAAATTACTGGAAAATTTTCAGTAAAACTGAATGAAAATGATAATGCTGATTATTAGAATCAGAGCTTTTTGCCAAATTATGTGTCTGAGACAGTGCAGAAATAACCTGCCTGCCTCGCCTGCCTCACAACCTCTTCCCTCTCTCACTGTCTCTTGCCAATTTTCTATCACATCTTTTCAATATTTCAAACAAGGATAAGATACAGTCAGCTACATGTGAAAAAGTTGATTGTACATATTAAAGGAAATTGCTAAGCTGCGTATTATTGTCGTATTTTGAAAGGGTACATTTTAGAATATAGAAAAATCAGAAAGAAAAGAAAGCCTTTTAAAACTACATGAAGAAGCAAAGGAAATAGAAACCAATCTTCAGACACAGAAATATAATTAGCATACTACACAGATAAAAGCATTTTCTGGCTTAGAGGTCAGTAAAAGCATATTTTCTATACAGTTTCTAAAGGCAAGACCTTCAGGGATTTATTTATAATTTATATTTTCCTCTTACCTTGGAAATAACTATTTTTCTTAACTTCCTTTCTTGGTAGTGAAAATGATTTCCGAATGTTTGAGTTTCTTTTGAAAGTTATCTGATGGAGAGAATAAAATGTCAACATGTCCCTAAGTTTTATGTTGGTTGATCTAATCTCCATGAAGTGATTCTTTCAATACAGTATAAATACAGTTGTTACCGAACTGAACCCTGACATTTTCACCTGCCTGCTTGAGCTGGTGCACTGAAGTGTTTCACTGGAATTTCAAACTCAGCATGTACAAAATTGAACATCTTTTCTACCAAATCTCCTCTACTTTCACCTCTCAGCTGGTGGCCAATATATTCCTAGCAGTGTAGACTTTCACCTCTCAGCTAGTGGCCAATATATTCCTAGCAGTGTAGACTCATAGGTGACAGTCACGTTTGAGCTTTCTCTTCTTCCCTCTCCCTCAGTCAGTTGGTGATCTAAATTCCATTTGTTCTACCTTGACAGGTTTCTTGCACTGATCCTCTCCTTTCTATTGCCACATTTGCTTTTCTAGAAAAGTCCTTAATATCTTTTTCTAGCAGTTACTGCAATATCTTCCTAATTATTCATCCTGCATTTAATTGCATTCTTTTCCAATCCATCTTTCTCATTGGTGCTAGTTTCATCTTCCTGAACCATAGCTATGAACATGTCATTCTTCTGTTCAAAATCTTACAATGTGTTATCTCACTAAGATTAGAGCAGCATTTAAAGTTCTTCCACAATATTCACATATCATTCTGATTTTTAAAATGTCCATCATTTTTAGCCACGGATAATGGTGTACACCTGTGATCCCAGCTACTCAGGAGGTTGAAGTGGGAGGATTTCTTGAGTCCAGGAAGTCAAGGTTGCAGGGAGCTGTGATAGCACCACTGCACACCAACCTGGGCAACAGAGCCAGACTCCATCTCTATTAAAAAAAAATTAAAATGTCCATCATTTTTTAAGCATCTGTGTTAGGAACTGTTAGAGGCTTCACCTGTATTAGCTTTATTTCTCATTACTAGGCCAATGTGGTAAGACTCTATCAGCTGTTTCTCACACCTTGAGACAGGGTGGGACAGGGGTGGACGGTGGGTGCATTCTAGCTATTGAGAAGGTGCTGGTGGTCATGGAGCCCTCCCATGCTAACTCAGTGGAAGAGGGTTTTGAAATACAACCAAGGAGAGAAGAAGATAGCTATTATTTTACTTAAGTACCCGAAGTTATGCTACTAGTGGAGATATGAATCTCTTATGTAGATTCATGGAGGGAGGCTATCTGACTGGTTTTATATTCTTAAGGATAACCAAAGAAAAACAAACTAAACACCCAAACTCCAACCCACATTGGAAAATGATCTTCCTCTTCTCCTCCCTGAGACTTGAATCTTCTTCTTCTTTCTCACCCTTCAGTGAACACAGGGAAAGGGGAGAAAGACTATGATTCAAAACTTATGCTAGGAGGTGGGGCGTGGTGGCTCATGCCTGTAATCCCAGCACTTTGGGAGGCTGAGGTGGGTGGATCCTTGAGGTCAGGAGTTCGAGACCAGCTTGGCCAACATGGTGAAACCCCGTCTCTACTAAAACTACAAAAACTAGCTGGGCGTGGTTGCACATGTGTGTAATCCCAGCTACTCAGGAGGCTGAGGCTGAGAATCACTTGAACCCGGGAGGTGGAGGTTGCAGTGAGCCAAGATCGTGCTACTGCACTCCAGCCTGGGTGAGAGTGAGACTCCATCAAAAAAACCAACAAAACAAAACAATACAAATAAGCAACAACAACAAAAAAAACCCACCAAACCTTATGCTGGGAGCAAAACACCAAACCTTATGCTAGGAGCAAGCAATATTTCAGATACTAAAGAAAGCTTAAGAATTCTAGCTGCTGGGGGAATGGAAGTGTCCAGATTGGGGAAGGGATGAGGAAAACATGATGGGGAAAGTTGAAACTTTCCGGAGAGGTGATAAGAGGATAAGGAACATAAGAGAGGGTCAATGCAGGACAATCTGTTGACATAGGAAATATTCATTTGAAGACACCCGGAAGACCTGGGTAGTTAAATTGCATGTATATAATTTTAATTGTGATGAAATACACATAACATAAAATTTAACATTTTAACAATTTTTAAGTATACAGTTCTGTAGCATTGAATATATTTCATTTTTTTCTTTTTTTCTTTTTTTTTTTTTTTGAGACAGAGTCTTACTCTGTCACCCAGGCTGGAGTGCAGTGGTGCAATCTTGGCTCACTGCAACTGCCACCTTCCGGGTTCAAGAGATTCTCCTGCCTCAGCCTCCCGAGTAGCTGGGATTACATGCTCCTGGCTAAGAGCTACGAACATGTCATTCTCCTGTTCAAAATACTACAATGTGTTATCTCACTAAGATTAGAGCAGCATTTAAAGTTCTTCCACAATATTCACATATCATTCTAATCTTTAAAATGTCCATCATTTTTAGCGACGGGTAATGGTGTACACCTGTGATCCCAGGTACTCAGGAGGTTGAAGTGGGAGGATTTCTTGAGTCCAGGCAGTCAAGGTTGCAGGGAGCTGTGATTGCACCACTGCACACCAACCTGGGCAACAGAGCGAGACTCCATCTCGCCTGGCTAATTTTTGTATTTTTAGTAGAGACGGAGTTTCACCATATTGGCCAGGCCAGTCTTGAACTCCTGACCTCAAGTGATCTGCCCGCCTTGGCCTCCCAAAGTGCTGGGATTACAGGCATAAGCCACCGTGCCCGGCTGCATTAAGTATATTTCACATTGTTGTGCAACCATCACCTCCATCCATCTCCAGAATTTATTCATTTTCCCCCAGTGAAACTCCGTACTCTTTAAACACTTAATTCCCATCCCCCCTTGCTGCTGTTTCCTGGCAACCACCATTCTAATTTGTGTCTCTATGAATTTGACTACTCCAGGTACCTCAAATAAGTGGGATCATAACATCTGTTCTTTTGTGACTGGCTTATTTTATTTAGCATAATGTCTTCAAGGTTCATCCATGTTGTAGCTTGTATCTACATTTCCTTCCTTTTTAAGACTGAATAATATTCTATTGTGTGTATATATCACATTTTGTTTATCCATTCTTCTGTGACAAATACTTGGCCAACTCCATATTCTCATATAACTAGAATAGAGGTTAAAATGCTCCCCTCCTCCCTAAGTCTGTGTTATTTGGATTATCACTGAGATCTTGATAGGGAGTCTCGAACATTGCTTGAAATTTCCTGTGTGAAGTCACAGAAACTCCTCACCATCTCCAGGGGCCAATGCAATACTAGGTACCTGAGACTCTTTTTTTTTCTTTTTTTCTGTAAGAACACTGAATTCCCTACCCATCTTCTCCTTCCCCAGCCACCTTATACCCAAACCTTCCCACCCCCAAAGCCAATGTCAGGGCCATATGACCTAGATACAACTACTTTCCATAAGAAGACCCTCCACCCTTGGCCAGGCCCATTTTAATGCAAAAGTTTCTTAATTTTTAATGTTATAAACAATGCAGTCTTTCCAGACTATGGCAGGGCAGAGCAGAACTATCACTTCCCTTGTTCTAAATAATCTAGTTTTGTTTACTGTTTTGGCACCACTATGCACTTAAATTTCCTAAGTCTTTCATGTAAGTCATGGCTGAGACATGCCTATTCTGACTGTGTGGGATGTCACCTAGGTAAGTCTGAGTTAGTAAGTGGCAGCGCCAAGAGTTGAGCCCAAATCTGTCTGGATCAACACTCATACTATTTCCACCATCCCATTACCTTTCACCTAGAGATAGTCAAAGTCTCCCATCAGGTAGAGACTGCCTGGGCCAGATGGAGGGAGAGATGCACTGTCCGTGGGGAGGAATCAAGAGTGGTGGTAGGGGCATGTTGTGTATAAAAACGGCACTGATCATTGACTTTTAAGTGTCTCAAGCTGCTGCTTCATATTTCTTTCTCTAATATATTTTTATTATAGCCTTAAAAATCATCATGTGGCCATGTTAACTTCAAAACTAAAATAACGGTTTTAGAGGAAGTGCCCAAGAGAAATAATTGCTCCTCCTTTTCCTATCTCTTCTTCTGATAAACAGCCATCTCCTCATTTCTGGCCTTAAATTTTACAACTTCCCGGTATACGTTCTGACTAAACTAACTAAACTGATTAATTGTTCCTTCAACATTCAATTCACTTCTTCATTTCAGTCTATTTGTGTATAATATTATCACCTGGAATGCTTTCCTTTGTCTCCACCTTTGCTATCAGGATGCCAGCCTTAATCCTTCCTTGAAATCTCTGTTCTCTAAACAGTAGGAGTCTTCTCTCTAATGAACTCTCAAGTTCCTACAGAGAATTTAACAAATTTTGATATGTATTATAGATATGATGCATATGTATTTCCTCATTTCAGATTACAGACTTCTAAGAGGCAGGAACATATTTTATTGTTAAAGTGTAAGTTTCAAAATGGTAAAATCATGACTCTTATACAAATGTAAAATAAACTTGTATCAAAGATTATGTCATTAATTAGTGAGAGAACTAGTATGATGCTAAAACAGGTTCAAATGTGACTTATAGAGATTTATTTTCCTTATGGGACAAAATTAATTTACATCATCATGAACAGGAATGATTTACATTGTTATCAGTTTTCTACAACTTAACTTCTATCCTCACAGATTTGCCAAAAGCATAGACAACCTGAAAGTATCAAAGGTCACATCCCTATAGAATTACATAATTCCAGAGGATCTTTCTGCTAACTCCCAGGATTCCACTGAAAGGATGCCAAGTAGTCTCTGCTGGCCATCTCCAAGTCAGTGACAAATTTTCCTTATATTACCCATCTTCATTTATCATAAAATGCCAAGAATGTGAATCTTATACTGGAAAAACAATATACCACTGAATAAGTATTATTACTGTTATTTAGAAAATATAAAACAAACTAGAAATATGAAAAAAAGTCACAATTAGGTAACTCCTACAAGTACATTTGTTACATTTTCTACTAAATTTTAGGCCATTTAATGAATTCTAAGCTTGTCAGGTCTTTAACTTAAGAGCAATTTTAGTATTACTATTTAGGAACTCTTCTAGTTCCGGGGAGTAGGCAAACCCAACTCACCTAATTTTAATTAGCTTACCCAAGACATATTTAATTTTAATGATTAATAAAACATAACACAAATTTTTAGGGAATGAAATAAATTATGCTCTGGGCATTCCCAAAATATGTTATTTTGATTGTTAGTACCTCAAACAACTTAGTTCTCCCAAATGATTCAGTAAGTAAACTAATCTTTTTTTTATTATACTTTAAATTCTAGGGTACATGTGCACAACGTGCAGGCTTGTTACATATGTATACATGTGCCATGTTGGTGTGCTGCACCTGTTAACTCGTCATTTACAATAGGTATATCTTCTCTTAATGCTATCCCTCCCTGCTCCCCCCACCCCACGACAAGCCCTGGTGTGTTGGAAAAAACTATTTTAAAGTTCATATGGAACCAAAAAAGAGCCCACATTGCCAAGACAATCCTAAGCCAAAAGAACAAAGCTGGAGGCATCACCCTACCTGACTTCAAACTATACTACAAAGCTACAGTAACCAAAACAGCATGGTACTGGTACCAAAACAGATATAGACCAATGGAACAGATAGAGCCCTCGGAAATAATACCACACATCTACAACCATCTGATCTTTGACAAACCCGACAAAAACAAGAAATGGTGAAAGGATTCCCTATTTAATAAATGGTGCTGGGAAAACTGGCTAGCCATATGTAGAAAGCTGAAACTGGATCCCTTCCCTACACCTTATACAAAAATTAATTCAAGATGGATTAAAGACTTAAATGTTAGACTTGAAACCATAAAAACCCTAGAAGAAAACCTAGGCAATACCATTCAGGACATAGGCATGGGCAAGGACTTCATGACTAAAACACCAAAAGCAATGGCAACAAAAGCCAAAATAGACAAATGGGATCTAATTAAACTAAAAAGCTCCTGCCTAGCAGAAGAAACTACCATCAGAGTGAACAGGCAACCTACAGAATGGGAGTAAACTAATCTTAACTATATTTTATCTAAACCTTCTAAAAAGCATTTGACAATAGAAATCCTTTAATAGGCTGGGTGTGGTGGCTCACACCTGTGTCCCAGCAATTTGGGAAGCCATTGTGGGAGGATCACTTGAGCCCAGGAATTTGAGAGTAGCCTGGGCAATGTAATGAGACCTGTCTCTTTAGTAAAAATTGTTATATATATATATATATATATAACATGTTTTATATATATATATATATGTAATATGTATATATGTATGTGTATACATATTGATAGGTAGTACTATGTGTAGGTTTTCCAAATTGTGTATTATTTGTTTTGACAGGTAGTACTATTATAGGGATTTCATTAACAAATAGTACACGTTTTGGAAAACGGACACATAAAATAATACATGAGAAGTTTATTGAAAATTTTTGTCTTATAAATTGAAAAGGAAACTAAGATTATTTTTTCATTCAAGGAATATTTATATGCCTACTATTTGCCAGGAAGAACTTTTCAGGACTTGAAATGTATTCTGAGAGTGGAAATGGAAAATAATCTAATAAGTAGGAAGCTGCAGCATCATGGCCCATTTACCGTGATAAATCATATCTACACAGAGATGCTTTCCTGGTACCTGAAGGAAAGGCTATGAATCAACGTAGAATGTACATGATGCAGTTTCAGTTGAGCTTAAAGACACTAAAGAAACCAGGTCAGTTTTGTGCCTATGTAGGACCAAACTAATCTCTATAATTAGTCCAGCTAAAATTACTTAATTAATGAATATTCTTAATTAATTCATTAAAAGACAGTCCAAGGTTACTGACTTTAGGCTTTCAGAGGAAAATTCAGATTAACTGGTTTCTGGTCCAGGAAACTTCTCGCAACTGACTTTTTGCCAAATGATTGACGGACGTGCAGACCAGGTCAGGTAGTAAAATGGCAATTTCCGTGGGCAACTTGGTTTGCATTCCTCTCATTGTAATCAGTGTTGGCACTGCATTAATTTATCTTCCTAATCACTTCAAGGGCCAGAGAACATTCCAAAGAACTAGGGCCACATGTCACCTCTACAGCAAGAGTCTTGGAAGCTGTTTCTCATGGATGTTGGAGGAGATTGGAGAGGCACTCCCGCACAGGGTCTGTTGGGAGGAAGAGGAGTCCTGAGGTGACTGCTGTAGGTGGCTGTTCCACTCCCAACAGCAGCTGAGGAGTGGCAGGCAGGGTGCTAGGGCCAAATATTGATGCTTACTGGAGGAATCCCTGGGAGGAGATGTGGTGCAAAAGGAAGGGAGATGCAGACAAAATCAGGGGCAAATTTCCCTGCGAAAACCCTGAGATTTCATCATTGCCACTGAAATTCTGTCATGGGAAAAAAATCTAATGCATGATGGATGGTTTTAAAAAATGTTTAATTTAGTCCACCTTACATTCTACATTACTGCTAACATGGCCGTCATTAATATGTAATTCTTGAGTGCTTGCTGGGTGGATGCTATTTAAATAGGAAATCTGGAATTATTGTAAACCATGGAAAAGGGTGGATAATTTCTGGAAGATTTAACAGAGAAATCAGCAGTCACATATTAAACATAAAAATTATATATAAAAGCATGTCCATATAAACAGCTGAACGGCTATTTTAGCTTTGAGTTATTGTGTTCAGATTGGAGATGATACATTCAAATTGAGAACAGGTTATAATCTGTTTATATTGGAAACAATATGTTATAAAAGCATTGTATACACTTTTTCAATAGTTACCTAACTAACATTAAGCTTATGAGATAAATCCTATTTAATAAGGACTCAGTTATAAAACTATTTCATGTACTTAAGGTACTATGTTCTTTAAATACAGTCTTATTATGCCACCTTCATTCCCACCAATGGTCCCATGAATCACTGGAACCACTCAGATAACAATGACAGACTTAAGTTACATAATATCTGTAGGCTTTCTGGCCTCTTACTTATAGGCAAACTCTTTATAAATGGGAATATGAAAGACAAGATTAACTACAGATATGATTCTTTTAAGGATTCTGGTGTCTATTAACTCTTTGTCAAGTTAACCCAAAGAGATTCAACTAAGGAGTAGGTCAGAAAAAAATTATCTGTCTTTTGGGGAAGGGAGCTGCTATTTTCCATTTGAAATCTTGACTCCCCTCTGTGTGAGAGTGGTCCCCTCAGAGCACACCTGCCCTACTCTGGCTCAATTGCAAGCCTGGTAAAAAGCTATAAGCTCCTATCCAGGGGCACCAAGGTAGACAAGGTTAATGAAGTAAAGGCCCACTCTCCTGTACCGCCACCCGCCATTGCAGTATACAGAACAGTTTCCTCAAACTTTATTACATTGTTCAGTGTAATTCAAGAGTGATATCAAATATACTTCAAATGTGACTGTTCCCAAGTTCATAGGGCAGGGGTCCACAGGTACAGATTTGTGGCCTGTTAGGAACTGGGCCACACAGCAGGAGGTAAGCAGCAGGTAAGAGAGTGAAGCTTCATCTGTGTTTATGGTTGCTCCCTGTGGCTTGCATTACTGCCTGAGTTTCACCTCCTGTCAGATCAATGGCAGCATTAGATTCTCATAGGAGCGTGAACCCTGTTGTAAATTTTGCACACAAGGGATCTAGGTTGTGTGCTCCTTATGAGAATCTAATGCTTGATGATCTGTCACTGATATGGTTTGCCTGTGTCCCCACCCAAATATCATCTTGAATTGTAGTTCCCATAATCCCCAGGATCCTACAGGGATCCTGTAGGAGGTAACTGAATGATGGGGGTGACTACCTCCTTGCTGTTCTCATGATAGTGAGTGAGTTCTCATGAGATCTGATAGTTTTATAAAAGACGTTTTCCCTTTTGCTTGGCACTTCTCCTTCATTCCACCGTATGAAGAAGGACGTGTTTGCTTGCCCTTCTGCCATGATTGTAAGTTTCCTAAGACCTCCCCAGCCATGAGGAACCGTGAGTCAATTAAACCTCTTTTCTTTATAAATTATCCAGTCTCAGGTATTTCTTCATAGCAATGTGAGAACAGAGTAATACAGTAAATTGGTACCTCAGAGAATGGGGTGCTGCTATAAAGATACCCAAAAATGTGGAAACGACTTTGAAGTTGTGTAACAGGAAAAGGTTGCAACAGTTTGGAGGGCTCAGAAGAAGATAAAAAATGTAGGAAAGTTTGGAACTTGCTAGAGACTTGGAGGGCTCAGAAGACAAGATGTGGGAAAGTTTGGAACTTCCTAGAGACTTGTTGACTTTGTTTGACCAAAATACTGATGGTGATATGGACAATAAAGTCCAGGCTGAGGTGGTCTCAGATGGAGATGAGGAACCTGTTGGGAATTGGAGCAAAAGTGATTCTTGCTATGCTTTAGCAAAGAGACTGGTGGCATTTTGCCCCTGCACCAGACATCTGTGGAACTTTGAACTTGAGGGAGATGATTTAGGGTATCTGGTGGAGATACCCTAAATTTCTAAGTGGCAAATCATTCAAGAGGAAGCAAAGCATAAAAGTTTTGAAAATTTGCAGCCTGACGATGTGATAGAAAAGAAAAACCAATTTTCTGGGAAGAAATTCAAGCCTGCTGCAGAAATTTGCATAAGTAGTAAGGAGTGGGATGTTAATCACCAAGATGACAGGGAAAATGTCAGAGACCTTCACGGCAGCCCCTTCCATTACATGCCTGGAGGCCTAGGAGAAAAAAGTTGTTTCATGGGCTGAGCCCAAGGCACCCCCAATCTATGCAGCCTTGGAACATAGTGTCCTGCATCCCAGCTACTTCAACTCCAGCTGTGGCTAAAAGGGGCCAAGGTACAGTTCAGGCTGTTGCTTCAGAGGATGCAAGCCCCAGTCCTTGGTGACTTACACCTGGTGTTGGGACTGTAGGTGCACAGAAGTCAAGAATTGAGGTTGTGGAACCGCCACCTAGATTTCAGAGGATGTATGGAAATGCCTGGATGTCCAGGCAGAAGTTTGCCAAAGGAGCAGAGCCCTCATGGAGAACCTCCGCTAGAGCAATGTAGAAAGGAAATGTGGAGTTGGAGCCCCCACACAGAGTCCCCACTGGGGCACTGCCTAGTGGAGCTGTGACAAGAGGGCCACCATCCTCCAGACCCCAGAATGATAGATCCACCAGCAGCTTGCACTGTGCAAGCTTGCACTGGAAAAGCTGCAGACATGCAATACCAGCCTGTGAAAGCAGCCAGGAGCAGGGCTGTACCCTGCAAACCCACAGGAGCAGAGCTGCCCAAGGCTTTCAGAGCCTTCCTATTCCATCAGTGTGACTTGCATGTAAGATATAGAGTCAAAGGAGCATTTTGAAAGGTTTAATGGCTGCCCTATTGGATTTCAGACTTGCATGGGGCCTGTAGACCCTTTGTTTGGCCAATTTCTCCCATCTGAAATGTATTTACCCAATGCCTGTAACCCCATTCTATCTAGAAAGTAACTAACTTGCTTTTGATTTTACAGGCTCATAGGCAGAAGGGACTTGCCTTGTTTTAGATGAGACTTTGGACTTGGACTTTTGGGTTAATGCTTGAATGAGCTAAGACTTTGGGGGACTGTTGGAAAGGCATGATTCTGTTTTGAAATGTGAGAACATGTGATTTGGGAGAGGCCACGGGCAGAATGATATGATTTGGCTATGTCCCCACCCAAATCTCATCTTGAACTGTAGTTCCCGTAATCCCCACGTGTTGTGGGAGGGATCAAGTGGAAGGCAATTGAATCATGGCAGTGGTTACCCCCATGCTGTTCTCGTAACAGTGAGTGAGTTCTCATGAGATCTGATGGTTTTATAAGGGGCTTTTTCCCCTCTGCCTGGCACTTTTCCTTCCTGCCCATGTGAAGAAGGATGTGTTTGCTTCCCCTTCCACCATGATTGTAAGTTTCCTGATGCCTCCCCAGCCCTGTGGAACTGTGAGTTAATTAAACTCTTTTCTTAATAAATTGCCCAGTCTTGGGTATTTCTTCTTAGCAGCATGAGAATGGACTAGCACAGTCACTGTCTACCCTCACCCACATATGGGACCATCTAGTTGCAGGAAAACAAGCTCAAGGCTCCCATTGATTCCACATTATGGTGAGTTGTATAATTATTTCATTATATATTACAATGTAATAATAATAGAAATAAAGTGCACAATAAACATAATGCACTTGAATCATCCTGAAACTATCAACCCCGACCCTAGTCCCTGAAAAAATTGTCTTCCACAAAACCAATCCCTGGTGCCCAAAAGATGGGGGAACTCTGCCATAGGGACAGCACCCAAGAAGCTACAACATTCATAAAGGAACTCCTCTTGAGCTCATTCTTGTTCCTAACCTGGCTTCTTCCACCCCATGTGTCATGTTTCTGACTTCTGCTCTGCAGATTTCTACCCTCCTTTTGGGAAACTGTTTTGGGAAACATTATGTTCTGCATGTTTATGTTCCCCATTCCCAAATTCATATGTTGATGTCTATGCACACAAGGTGATGGCACTGGGGGGCAAGGACTTTGAGGGGTGATTACATCATGAGGACAGAGCCCTCGTAAATAGGATTAGTGCCCTTATAAAAGAGGCCCAAGAGAGACCCCTTGGCACTTCCACCATGTGAGGATACAATGAGAAACAGGCCCTCACAAGGCACTGAATTGCTGGTGCTTTGATCTCAGATTTCCCAGCCTCCAGAACTGTGAGAAATGCATTTCTGTTGTTTATAAGCCACCCAGTCTATGGTATTTTGTTACAAGCAGCCCACGTGGGCTAAGACAGAGATGATGCCTCTTAGCCAGAGAGATTGAGATCTGTTTCCATGCTATTCTCTTCCACAGAAGTATATTTTCCTAACTCAAGAGTCCTTGCTTTTGAAGTAATGTTCTTGTGGTGGGGGGCAGTGACAGAGCCAAAGACCCTGTCAACAGGGCAGTCCATAACCTGTGCTGACACTCCCCAGATAGCTTGGCAATATCCAGGGTGGGCATGAGTTCCCCAGGAGAATTAAACCTGTGGGAACACTGTAAGTGGAAGGAAGGGCACTTTATTCCTCCAACTGTGCAGTAAGGAACACACAAAACACACACACACACACCACACAAAACACACACACATACAAACAAAACACACACAATACACACAGACAAAACATACACATACACACACACATACACACACACACACACACAAAACACACACACACCACCTTCCAAAGCTATATGTTAATCCTGAGAGACAGTGAATTCCAGTTCTAAAAGGAAGTTGGGAAATGTCTTTTTCTTCCATAACTGAATTACTATTTCACATTTTTTAGGCTAAGCAAAAAAATAGTTTTGTCTTCTTCCCTTGTTTCCAAATATTTCTTACAATGGCCAACACCTTTTCTTCCCAAAGGCCCTGCCAAGTTGCTGAGATCAGTTTCTTTCAAGAGGAGGGAGGCGGAAGTTTTATTCTTCTAGTCACCTTTTATTCCTGCAGTTACATTTTTAACACAATAACCCAGGAGATTCATTAACTTATTCATTAATTCTCCATTCATTCACTGATTCATTCAACAGACTTTTGTTGAGTACTAATATGTGCTACTCAGTGCTTGGGAAAATATAAATAAAAACAAGATATGCTTTCAGTTCACAAATATCTCACAATGTCATTAACTATAATACCACATGAAAAGTGCTATGGAAAGTGCTAGGTGGGCATAGAGACAGTCGCAATTACATTTTCCTTGAAGAGTCATTGTCCTATTTCCCATCTGTTTTCATCGATAATGAGAAGTGTAGCTCAGTTGTGAAAAACGAAATTTTTTTCTCTTTTTCTGAATTTGCACAGGACCATCACTCAGAATTAATGTTGGGTTTTTGGAGATGTGTGTGGTATGTGTGTGTTTCCATTTCAACAACCTCTCTGTTCAACTAGAAGAGGAAACTGCCACACTTTCAACTTAGAGTGGTGGATGATGTGGCAAAGATGACTGGACCTGGAAAACCCACCCACCTGGATATCTTCTGAAAAGTCTTCACTTCATTTCAGGAATTAAAGATTCTCAGCCGGACACGGTGGCTCACGCCTGTAATCCCAGCACTTTGGGAGGCTGAGGCAGGTGGATTACCTGAGGTTGGGAGTTCGAGACCAGCCTGACCAACATGGAGAAACCCCGTCTCTACTAAAAATACAAAATTAGCCGGGCATGGTGGTACATGCCTGTAATCCCAGCTACTTGGGTGGCTGAGGCAGGAGAATCGCTTGAACCCTGGAGGTGGAGGTTGCAGTGAGCCGAGATCGCACCATTGCACTCCAGCCTGGGCAATAAGTGCAAAATTCCATCTCAAAAAAAGAAAAAAAAATAAAAAACAGAAACAAAAACAAAAAAAACCCATAAAGATTCTCATAGCACAGATACCAGTCAACCTCACCAGCTTCACCCTTGCAAGAAAGCCACTTTGTAACCTGTACATACAGTTACTCTCATGCTTCTGGAAATCTCCTGGGTCTCCTGGTCTCCTGGATCCACAGCTGCCTTGGGTAGAGGAGAGGGAAGGGGTGAGAATAAGGTATGGGTGATGTCAGTGATGGCGTGAAGATGTGAGGTCCATTCATCAATCCATCTTATGAGTATTTGTTGAGCAGGTGCTCTGGAGCAGGCACTGTGGTAGGCTCCAGAGACACTGTGTTCATGAATAAGACACAGATCTGTGGCAGACAGCTAGTTGTCTCCCTGTATTTATATTATGTATTTATTTTTTGAGACAGGGTCTCACCCTGTCACCCAGGCTGGAGTGCAGTGGTGCAATCTCGGCTCACTGCAACCTCCACCATGTTGGCCAGGCTGGTCTCGAACTCCTGACCTCAGGTGATTTGCCTGGCTCAGCCTCCCAAAATGCTGGTATTACAAGCATGAACCACCGTGTTTGGCCTGTCTCCCTATATTTAATTTCCTCTCCTTCCCTAGTATTGATAATTGCCAGCTAAAGCCTACAGTGTGCAGGTTCTTTTGCTATTAGGTGTACTCATGTGACCAAGTTGTGGCTAATGTAATGAGTGGAAGCAGTGTTTGCTACTTTAGAGAGCTCAGCTTTTAAAGTATTCAACTTATGCACCTCTCATCCTTTTCCTCTTCTTATTGACAAAGAGGTAGCAAGAACTTGGCAGCTTGACTGAGAGATGGAAGCTACATATTGAGGGCAGCAGAGCAATCCCATCAGCTAGAAGGTTATATGAAAAAATTATATATGTGCAGCTTGTATAAGTGACATTATTTGGAGTTCTATTTGTTAAAGCACTTTAGCCTGTACCTTAATTAATGCAAGCTTTGCCTTCCTTGAGCTTACAGTCTACAGGGAAACTTAGTAATCAACTGATCTCAAAATAAATATATAATTACAAACTGAGTTAAAAGTTACATATGTAAGGGCCAGGTTCGGTGGCTCATGCTGACATGAGCCCACACTTTAGGAGGCTGAGGCGGGTGGACTGCTTGAGGCCAGGAGTTCAAGACCAGCCTGGCCAACATGATGAAATCCCATCTCTACTAAAGATACAAAATGTAGCCGGGTATGGTGGTGCACACCTGTAATCTCAGCTACTCAGGAGGCTGAGGCAGGAGAATCACATGAACCTGGGAGGTGGAGGTTGCAGTGAGTCAAGATCGCGCCACTGCACTCTAACCTGTGTGACAGGGTGAGACTCCGTCTCAAAAAAGAAGAAAAGAAAATTGTATTATAAGAGCATTTAATGAAGAGATTTGGCCTAATCTGAGGGGCTTAGGGAATATTGGAGAAAGCAAGAGTGGAGTAAATGCCAGAGGTGTGTTGGACATAGTATTTGAAAATGTATTATTTATTTATTAATTTTTAAATTTTTTTAGAGATGAGGGTCTCACTCTATCACCCAGGCTGGAGTACAGTGGTGCAATCATGGCTCTCTGAAGCCTCAACCTCCTAGGTTCAAGCAATCCTCTCCCCTCAGCCTCCTGAGCATCTAGGACTACAGGTGCATGTCATCATGCCTGGCTAATTTTTTAATTTTTGTGAAGACAAGGTCTTGTCGTGTTTCCCAGGCTGTTCTTGAAATCCTTGGCTCAAGTGATACTCCTGCCTCAGTTTCCCAAAGTGCTGGGATTACAAACATGAACCATGTACCTAATGATAATTAAAAAAAAAAAATCATTGTGAGGAGCACCTCTGCCCAGCTGCTGCACCAACTGGGAAGTGAGGAGCGCCTCTGCCTGGCTGCCGTGCAACCCTCCAGGTGTGAAGTGGCAGCCTTGTGTGTGATCTTTCTGCCATCCCCAAGTTTGCGTTTTCGACAGTAAAGTTTACTTTTAAATTAAAAGATTTAAGTTGGGGAAGATTAAAGAAAAAAAAAACAACAACAACGATTTTACATTAAGCCAGTTTTGTTTTTTGAGGGCCATTACCTAAATGCATATCTTCATGAATTTCTCTGCCTGGTGTAGTGCATGAGCTTGAGGGAGAAAGTCTAATAAGATGTACAAATTGTAAGTCACATAAAAAGGAAAAATACTAAATTTTGAACAGAACAACGTTACTGGTATTTATATTATAATGCTTGGTTTAAAAATAAAAGGTGGAGGCCAGGCACAGTGGCTCACACCTGTAATCCCAGAAGTTTGGGAGGCTGAGGCAAGTGAATCACCTGAGATCAGGAGTTCGAGACCAGCCTGGACAACATGGTGAAACCCCGTCTCTACTGAAAACACAAAAATTAGCTGGGCATGGTGGTGCATGCCTGTAATCCCAGCTACTCGGGAGGCTAAGGCAGGAGGATTGCTTGAACCCAGGAGGCAGAGGTTTCAGTGAGCCGAGATTGTGCCACTGCACTCCAGCCTGGGTGACAGAGTGAGACCCTGTCTCAAAATAAATAAATAAATAAAAGAGAAAAATGTTTATATAAGGTAAATCTATCTAGACAAACATGAGGACAGATGAAGTACAAATAAGATCCAAGCAAAAAGTACAAACTATTTCTTTTATAAAGGAAAAGAATGAGGTTATTTTTTGTCTAAATCATTGGCTTATTGTCCACAATGATCAGATGCAACTGAAAGACTGTGCAAATGTCTGCTCATTTTGTATAGACTTGAAGCCAGAGACTAATTACAACAAATAGTGTGTACTGACAGGAAAAGACAACACATAACTAGAACAATGCTTCACTAAAGAACAAGAAGCACTTTCAGAATGATAGACACACAAGCAAATTTAATAAGGTGATGCATAAATGTGCAATTTTACAAGCAAGGAACATTGCATCACTGGAAGACATCCAGATACAAGAATAAGAAAACCAGTGGGAGAGGCCAACTCATGAACTGAGAGTTGACCACTTAGTCTGATTATTCTATGTAGCATCTTTGTTTCTGTTATGCCTAATATGGAGATAATTTGGACTTGAAACCATGGGAGATTGACTAGATCCTCAAAGTCAATCTAAAACATATCTACTAAATCACACCTTGTATAAAAATTAAAAAACAACAACCACTAATTATGGAAAATAGTAGCAACTCTTAGCCTATATTATCCCATGGTGGAGAATTTTAGTATCCCCAAATTAAGATGCAATAATGTGGGAGAAATAGATATACCAAGTAAAATATGATATTTGCAAAAAGTATTGCCTTTACTAATTAGTTCACATGTTAAACTAAATATAATTTGCCTTGAGTACCGTAGAGACCAAAAAAATATTCACTGGAGGAGAAGAGAGAAGAATGAAAAATGTATGAATGGTTAAAAATACCAATATAACAATGAACATATTTTTTCCATATAAATGGAAAATTTTGCCAGTGGATATAATCTTAATAATTATGATGATGATGCAATTTTCACTTCATTAGAATTCAAGTTAAATAAGTTACTGAAAGTGTTTTCCAAGAGAGTTCTGATAATTTAAACAAATCTCTTCGTGAGAAAATAGTTTACTATTATGTTTTAGCTGTATCAGCATATAAAGAATAGAGTGTGCATTTCTGGAAAGCTAATTTTAAAATAGGAAAGAAGAATTTTTAAAGGCTCCATTGAAAATATCACCCTCATTTACTCTGACATAATTAAAAACATTTTTTTTTGCCTGAGTCTTCTTGCTAGGGAACATAATTTTATTATAACAAAAGTCATATCTAATTCAAGTTAAATATATGTTAATATCATGATTCAATTATGACTGCTTTAGAGAAACAAACATTTCATCATTTAGAAAATAAATTGTGATACCATCTTAAGTGGAAAATAGAAAAAACTAATAAAAATAGAAAAAATCTATTTGTTCAGGAAACATTTTAATATCCATAATCATATCTATGTATTATTTCATCATTTTTAGGGCATTATCACAGACATCACATTGTTTTGAGATCTGTAAAATCCATGTGAGAGCAGGCACTTATTCAATAGGTACTTACCTAGCACCAACTATGCGCCAGGCACTGAAAAGCACTGAGGATTTAATGTTGGGCAAACAGAGAGTCACTGACTTCTTGGAGTTTATAGTTTCCTGGGAAAGGCAGCCAATATATTTGATAGTTCTTAAATATAAGGAACTATGACATGTTAGAGAAACTTAAAGTTGGTCAATGTGGTTAAAGTACGGAATGAAAGAACGGTTAAGCCTGGAGAGAGAACCGAGTGCTGTTAAACTGGTTCTCCTGCATGGAGGAGAGAGGGGAGGTGTGGGGAAAACCCTTTGTAGCATTTGCCAGTTTCCACAGGATACATACTCTCCCCACATCCAATGATTCAGCAATCAGCTTGCAAATTTCCAAAATATTTAACCATCTGCATGCAGGTGCCAGCCAGTATGAGCCAGATCCAACGCACTCCTTTTCTTCCCGAGAGGCTAGATCACAGAGGATCCTTGTATGCCATAAGGAGTTTGATTATTATCTTAAAGAGCAATGGAAAGCTATTGCATTGAACATATTTTTATTTTTAAAATAAAACTTTGACTATAGCATGGATTAAAATGGGATGCAATGAGACAATTTCTGAGTACAGTGTGAGAGTCCAAGAGAAAGATGATGATGGCTAGAATAAGAGTGATGGCAATAGAGAATAAGCAGTTGACAAAGTCAAGAAACAATTTGATGGTAAAATCAACAAGTCTTGATGGACTAAGACGCAAGGCAGAGGATGATGTCTACAGGTCTCTGGCTTGCAAAACTGGAAGAGTGGATGGGTGGTGGTATCAAGATAGAAAACCCTTGGGTCGGGAGAAATAGTTTTAGAGGAAAAGATCATGAGATCAGTTTTGAATTTGTAGATTTTGATGAATCTTTCGTTCAGATCTCCAGGTAAAATGTTGAGTGGGTAGTGAGATATGCAGATTTGGAGATTAGGAGAGGTTTGGGCTGAAGATAACCTTTTGGGAGTCAAAGTTTAAATTACATGATAATTGATACCATGCACCGATATTATAGCCTAGGGAGAAAATACAAAGTGAGAAAAATGAGGACACTTAGGAATGATTATTGAGAATATGCAGCATTTAAAGACAAGCAGAAGAGGCTGAGCCAGGATAAGAGGGACACCATGGCCAGTGGGTAGGAGGAAAGCCAGGAGACTCCTTGGCTTCTCTTGGTCACAGAAGCCAAGAGAAGAGAGCGCTCAGGACGGATGGAGGGGGCAATGTTGCTGAATGTCGGGTAAGGAAGTAACTTGTCCAAGCTCACCCTGGGGATTGGGATGCAAACATTCTCACTGCGTTTGTCAAGAACAAATTCTTAGTCTAACCAGAGCAAATAGAAAGAAAAGATATTTCAAGGATACGCAGATTTCATTGAGAAATGAAGACAGTATCTGAGATTAATGAGAATTGGAACTGGAAAGAGCTTACCTTTTATGTCATTGTATTTGATTATAATTATTACATGTAGCATTGGATATGATTATGCTATGTTATTAGCATTAACTGTGAGTTTACTGTGAGACACTGCTCTGCACTTCACATGCATCTTTCTTTTGATTCTAACAATCCTGTGAGAACGATACTACTATTAGCTTCATTTTACAGATGAGAAAAATGAGTTTTAAAGAGGTTAAGTAACTTGTTCAAGGTCACACAAGTTGATAGGGGAGCCAGGGCTCAGAGATAGATTTAAGTGATTCCAAAGCTCCTACCCTTGAACAATGTACAGATTGGCATGAATCAAGGCATCTATTCCCAGGAGCCAGGCATGATGGCCTCACACCTGTAATCCTAGTGTTTTGGGAGGCCAAGGCAGGAGGATCATTTAAGGCCAGGAGTTCAAGACTAGCCTGGGCAACATAGCAAAACCGTGTCTCTAAAACAAAAATAAAATAAAATAAGTTATCTGGGCATGATGGTACATGCCTGTGGTCCTAGCTACTTAGGAGGCTCAGATGGGAGGATCACTTGATCCTAGGAGCTCAAGGCTGCAGTGAGCTATGATACCATACCACTGTACTCCAGCCTAGGTGACAGAGTGAGACCCTGTCTCTATTAAAAAAACAAAAAGTGTCTACTCCCTCGATCACCCCCACCCCTTTAGAGGCCCAGTCACCTCTGCTCTCTGCAGAATGCTCCATTCTCCGTTCTTATGGTGGGCTTCCTCAGCATCAGCTTGCATATGACCCATCATAGTCTTAGCCCTGATTCTTTATGAGCTTAGTGTCCACACATCTCAATTATAAACCTCACAGAAGAACGTGCTCAGACCAGTTCATCTAGGATGTAGAAGGAAGGCAGGTGCCCTCTCATGATTCAAACAGCTATGTCTAGGGATTGAGGTCATAAAGAGAATAGTGATTTGGGGCAGGGACTGTTACCTCAGAGGGAAGCAGAAACAAGATTGCTATCTTGGATATACATACTCTCAAATTCTCAGTCTTTTTGTATCTTCAACCTTTCTTCTGACTTTTTTCTAAACATATAAACATGTTCCTCTCAGTTTTAATCAGACATTTTTAATGGTAAATGACAGAAACTCAGCTACAATTTATTTAAGCAGAAAGAGAAATTTTCTTATAGAAATACTGATTATCTCAGATCTTGAGAGAAATAATGTTTCTGGGTCTCAGGAACAATCGGAAGTAAGTAAGGATCGAAATGGTGCTAGCACTCATTTTTCTTTCTGTTAGTCTTTCATCTTCGCATTTCTCTATATTTTTATTTGTCTTCCTCATTGCAGGTTGCTTTTCAAAACATGATGGAAAACATGATTGCCAACGAATTTTACAGTTTATAGTTTCAATCACTGAAATGAAATTGATTTGGTATTTCTCCAGTATAAAATCTAAAAATCCCATGGTGGGGAAACTGGCTCATTTGAGTACATTAGCCACTCCTCATTCATTCAGGTGGTTCACTGGTATGGATTCTTTAGACCAATTTGGATTAGATTAACTACCAATTAATTCTGACAAGGAAATGGATCATATAAGAAACATGATATATCTTGACTGGGCGCAGTGGCTCACGCCTGTAATCCCAGCCCTTTGGGAGGGTGAGGCAGGTGGATCACTTGAGATCAGGAGCTCGAGACCAGCCTGGCCAACATGGTAAAACCCCGTCTCTCTCTACTAAAAAATACAAACATTATCCCAGCGTGATGGCAGGCACCTGTAGTCCCAGCTACTCAGGAGGCTGAGATAGGAGAATTGCTTGAACCTGGGAGGCAGAGGTTGCAGTGAGCTGAGATTGTGCCACTTCACTTCAGCCTGGGCAACAGAGCAAGACTCCATCTCAAAACAAAAACAAAAACAAGAAATATGATATCTCTCATTCTTCTATCCCATGTTGGTGGAACTGCTTTGGGAGGACATTGGAAGAAGTTTCCAGGAGAAGCAGGTTGCTCCATTCTCAACTTCATGATGACTGGTTTCCTCTGCTTCAGTTTGCACATGGCCCATCAAAGTCTTATCCATGAGCTCTATTCTCATGAAGGTGCTGAGCTAACTACAGTCTTCCTTCTCACCTTCCTTTTCGCAGCCCAGCTTATTTTCAACTCATATTCATTTTCTTTATCTTAAAGTCAATTCTTCATCTACTGCAGTTTGACCTACATTCTCACTACTCCAAGAAACTACTTTTGCCAAGATTGTCACTAGTTAGTGCAATAAACACTCTTCAGTCTTTTTCTTACAACAACTCTCTTCAATTTATGTCATTGTTCACTAACTCCTATGTGACAAAGGCTTCCAATTGCTTCCCAGGATCCTTTTTCCCCTTTTTTCTTATTAAATGGAACCCATTGCTCACCTGGAATTATGGCTGTCTAGAATAAGATTTATTTTTCCCAGCCTCCTTTGAAGTCAGATATGGCCATGTGGCTAAATTCTGCCAATGGATTGGAATTAGAAATGTTGTATAAAATGTAGAGTAAGTGTCTTTCAAGGTAGTGATGCACTCTTCTTCGGCCTGTCCTTTTTCCTTCTGGGATGAATCTTGAGCAACCATCTTGGACGATTAAGATGCAGAGTAGAATGTAGAAAGAACTGGATGATAATAGAGGCCCCACACTAGTGTAGGCTGCCTAACTATACATCTAGTCTATGTGAGAAAGGACTGTAACCTGCAACTAAGTATAATCCTAACAGATACATACTTTTTTCTTGAAACTCCCTTCCCTTTCCTCTGTTTACTCTCTGTAACTCTGCTCCCTACTGGCCTTCTTCCTACTATTTTAGATTTTCTAACTCAGACTTATTTTCCTTGATCCATCCCTTGTCTCCAGGGTTCTGTCTGGTGATCTCTGAATATTCTAATATTTTATATGTGAAACCTCATCAATACTCACACTTAAAATTGCTATATTATGTTGTTGACTCAGAAATACAAGTTTCTAGTCTTTCCCTCCTCTTCCGACTGCAGACCCAAGTATGCCTTAGCCTCTGAATGATTTTAACTTTTTAACATTCCTTAAGTTGCTTACATCAGTTAGTGACCCCCCTATCTTAACTGCTGCCTGAGAAAGAAGACTGAATTTCTCTCGACCTCCCTAAATGGTCTATTGCAGCAGTCTTATACTGGTCTTCTCTTATTTAAATTCTTTTCCACATTGCTGCCAAAGTTGTCTATATTTTTTTTTCTTTTGTCAGGGTCTCATTCTGTTGCCCAGACTGGAGTGCAATAGTGAGATCATGGCTCACTTCAGATTCAATCCCCTGGGTTCAGGTGATCTTCCCACTTCAGCTGCCAGAGTAGCTGGGATTACAGGCATGCACCACAATGCATGGATAATTTTTATGCTTTGTAGACAAGATTTTGCCACCTTGCCCAGGCTGGTCTCAAACTCCTAGGCTCAAGAGATCCACATGCTTCAGCCTCCTAAAGTGCTGGATTATAGACATGAACCACTATGCCTGGCCAAAGTTGCCTTCCTAAAACCAACTCCAATCATGATACTTTTCCAAATAAAAAATCTTTTAATGACTCTCCATTGTCCAATGTCTTAATGTGCATAACAGAAATTTCAGGTACTGCTTCTCTCTCCAGACTCATTTTCAGTAACGTCTTCAGATTCCAAACTTCCAAAAACACTGAACCATTTGCAGCTCCCACCTGAGCCATGCTCTTTGTAGATGCGGGATGCTTTGAAATACAGTTTTTCTACAGTTTTTCTCTCCTCTCGTTTCATAGCAAATTCCCACTTATCCTTTGAAACTCAACCCAAAGATTCTTTCCTCTATAAAGTTTTCCCTGATATCATCAGGTCTATGTAGATTGATGCTTTTCTTCAATGCTTCTAATAACTACCTAAATAGGTGCAAGCCTGCATTACATCTGCTACGTTGCGAATCACTTTAGTTACACATCTGCATTTTTGACTTGAGCTAGAGCTTATTTTTTTATATCTGGAGTGTCGTCTTCTTCCTGGTACACTGTAGGTATTTAATAAAGTGTTAAAATTATTAATTTATAAAGATAAAAATATGGGAAAAACTAAAGTTCTGTTTATTACTAAATTCATCTTGAAACTGATTATGAGCTCATCAAAAATAGCATTCCCAAATCAGGCTGCTACTCAGTACATGATTCTCTGAGTGGCCCTGTCAGTATCACTCTTCCTTTTATGCTTCCCCCGTATCCTTTGCATTGGCTATTAATCCAAAAGCAGAAATTCTAAGTCCACCTGGGCCAACAGGATATTCCCCCCACAGGCATTTGAAAATGACTTGAGGTTTGTCAGAAATGCAAGTTTCTGAGAGCTGAGTCATCCAATGTGAGTGTCTTACAGAGAGGATTTGTGAGCAGCCAGCCCTGATGATTTCCCTGGATCTGCTCCCATTTCTGTCCTCTCCAAAGACTATGTACACTGCTCTTCCTTTGATTTTGTGAGCAGCCCTTTTCACACACTCCCTTATTTCACTGAGATGAGCTAAAGTCAGTTTCTTTTCTTATAAATGAAAGAATCTTAACCAAAACACCAATTATAAAAATACTGAAGGACTGCAAACACTATTGGCTGATTCACTATTCTGCGGGTTAATGACTAGGTTCTCATAAATGCACACAGCGAAGCTCTTTGAGCATACAGATTTTATAGCTTTCTAAGAGGTTAGATTTAGCAGAAACAAAGGTAGGCAAATTCATGGTACTTTTCCATAAAACCACATGAACTCAATTTAAATATTGTTTTCATTTCAGGTGTCCTTTTTTCATGTTTTTTCATAAAAGAACATGTTTCACCTTCTAGAAACAGTCTTTTCACTTCAAATTTAAAATGCCATGTTAAGTTAGCATAGAATTTTGGCTTCAATTGTTCCTAGATGTTAGGTCCACTTCTCCTCAATGCCAATTAAAATGACATAGTCTGATGTATGTGTATCTGATGTTTCCATAGCAGCTAACACTAAGCAGCTTTACTTCCTAATTAGCTTGACGGTACACTGTGAAATTCCTTCGATCCAAAGATGAGATGTTATAAGATATGGCCTTTGTGTAAATATAACCTTCTATGACAGGAAGCCAAAAAAGCAAAATTTATCCAGATGAAACAGAAAGGGGAAATGTGCTCAGCCAAAGTGTTAAATTCAAGCTGAGATTTGGCAGAACACTGGGAAGAAAATATCCTCTACTGTTTTGTTATCACACACACACTCAGTGGAATACTTAATAATCAGAAGGAATTTAAGGCTTGGTTCTGTAATGCAGTTTGGCAACTGGCATCTCCAGTACCCGAGGTCTGTACATATCATCACAACACATTATTTAATACTGATTTAGAGGACACATCAGCCTGCTGATTCAGCTCCACTACTTCCTGTCAACAATAGTGATAATATTATAAAAACTCTCTTGTACCCAGTGGTTATTTAACAAAGTAGTCTCAGCTCTCAGGAAATAGAAAATAATCCATCAAGCTAAAAAACTTACCAAGAATTCAAAGCAGCATCTCAAAGTCCAGGTGCTAAAGCTGATCTGATCTGTATTTTCTCTTATGTTAGACTTAATTCTAACATAAAAATTTAGTTTTATGGCTCCCAAAAAATAAGCAGCAAATCAGAAGATAGAGACAAGTGACTTCTATTACACTGACAGTGAAAGAGGGGAAAGAACATCATAGAAAAAGCAAGAATAAAACTACAAAATGTGTACTTGTCTGGAGTCACTTCAAAGAAGGACAAATATTGGTGTAAGGAAGAGTCTTGGTGAAGAAATAAAAGAAAGAAAGAAAAAGCACAAATAGCCCAATTTAGCTTAGTAGCCCCAGCGGCAACTCTGTATTATTATTGGAAGGATGGGCATCCTGAACTATCAAGAAGAGTTTGGTAAATTCTGTGTAGTGGCCTCTAGTTATGAAGAAAGCAGCTGGGTGGGGTGGCTTATGCCTGTAATCCCAGCGCTTTGTGGGGCTGAGGCAGGCTGATCACTTGAAGCCAGGAGTTCAAGGCCATCCTGGTCAACATGGTGAAACCTTGTCTCTACTAAAAAAATATATATATACAAAAACTAGCCAGGCATGGTGGTGCATGCCTGTAATCCCAGCTACTCAGGAGGCTGAGGCAGGAGAGGAATTGCTTGAATGCGGGAGGCCGAGGTTGCAGTGAGCCGAGATCATGCCACTGTACTCCAGCCTGGGTGCCTGGGCGATGGAGCTGTTTAAGGAAAAAAAAAAAAAAGAAAGCAGAAACGTATTTAAATTTCAAGAAGACTTTATTATAAGACTGAATTGAGGCAGGGGCAAGGGGAGGATACTGAAGGAAGAGGAACAGCAATGAGTCCCAGGAACCAAGAACAAAATAGATGCGACTAAGGGCTCAGTTGTTGCAGCAGACCTTACCATGAAAGACTTGGAAGGGGAAACAGAAAGGAGGGCTAGGAGGAGTAACTAGAATTGCAAGACAAGCACATAAACTGCTCTAGGGTCTTGGGGAAGAGAGGCCTTGAGATGGTAACAGAAGAAATCACTGTACAAAAGAGACCCATACAGTGTAGTGCAGGTTGCTGTGGAAGGTGACAGGCCTCATGGCTTAGAATTCATCTGCAGCCAGGTGTAATTTGGGAATAAAGTAAAATTATTTTAGTCATGCATCTATAAACAGGTACTTTGATATCTAATACCAAATGTTTTATTTTATTTGAAAAGCATGTTTGCTTTATTTTGAGCAAGCATCATGCTGTGAATTAGTGAAGGCATAAAAGATAATGAAGAGATTCTTCCAAGATGGCCAAATAGGAACAGCTCTAGTCTGCAGCTCCCAGTGTGATCGACACTAGAAGACAGGTGATTTCTGCATTTCCAACTGAGGTACCTGGTTCATTTCATTGGGACTAGTTGGACAGTTGGTGCAGCCCATGAAGGGCAAGCCGAAGCAGGGCGGTGCGTCGCCTCACCTGGGAAGCAGAAGGGGTGGGGGGATTTCCCTTTCCTAGCCAAGGGATGCTGTGACAGATGGTACCTGGAAAAACGGGACTCTCCTGCCCAAGTACTGCACTTTTCCAACTGTCTTAGCAAATGGCATACCAGGAGATTATATCCCATGCCTGGCTCAGTGGGTCCCACGCCCACAGAGCCTTGCTCACTGCTAGTGCAGTAGTCTGAGATCAACCTGTGAGGCAGCAGCCTGGCAGGGGGAGGGGCATTCGCCATTGCTGAGGCTTGAGTAGGTAAACAAAGCAGCTGGGGAACCTCGAACTGGGTGGAGCCCACTGCAGCTCAGCCAGGCCTGCTGCCTCTGTAGACTCCACCTCTGGGAACAGGGCATAGCTGAACAAAAGGCAGCAGAAACTTCTGCAGACGTAAACGTCCTTGCCTGACAGCTCTGAAGAGAACAGTGGTTCTTTCAGCATGGTGTTTGAGCTCAGAGAATGGACAGACTGCCTCCTCAAGTGGGTCCCTGACCCCCGTGTAGCCTAACTGGGAGACACTTCCCAGTAGGGGCTGACTGACACCTCATACAGGGAGGTGCCCCTCTGGTAACAAGCTTCCAGAGGAAGGATCAGGCAGCAATATCTGCTGAGGGACCTGACTGTTAGAAGGAAAACTAACAAACAGAAAAGAATACCATCAACATCAACAAAAAGGACATCCACACCAAAACCCCATCTGACCAAAGGTAGATAAAACCACAAAGATGGGGAGAAACCAGAGCAGAAAAGCTGAAAATTCTAAAAATCAGAGCACCTCTTCTCCTCTGAAGGATCACAGCCCCTCGCCAGCAACAGAACAAAGCTGGATGCAGAATGACTTTGACTAGCTGATAGAAGTAGGCTTCAGAAGGTCAGAAATAACAAACTTCTCTGAGCTAAAGGGGGATGTTCGAACCCATTGCAAGGAAGCTAAAAAACATGAAAAAAGATTAGATGAATGGCTAACTAGAATAAACGGTATAGAGAAGACCTTAAATGACCTGATGGAGCTGAAAACTATGGCATGAGAACTACGCAGCGCATGCATAAGCTTCAAAAGCCAATTCGATCAAGTGGAAGAAGAGTTATCAGTGACTGAAGATCAAATCAATGAAATAAAGCAAGAGAAGTTTACAGAAAAAGTTAAAAAAGAAATGAACAAAGCCTCCAAGAAATATGTGACTATGTGAAAAGACCAAATTTGTATTTGATTGGCATACCTGAAAGTGACGGGGAGAAAGGAACCAAGTTGGAAAAACACTCTGCAGGATATTATCCAGGAGAACTTCCCTAACCTAGCAAGGCAGGCCAACATTCAAATTCAGGAAATACAGAGAACACCACAAAGATACTCCTTGAGAAGAGCAACTCCAAGACACATAATTTTCAGATTCACCAAGGTTGAAATGAAGGAGAAAATGTTAAGGGCAGCCAAAGAGAAAGGTCGAGTTACCCACAAACAGAAGCCCATCAGACTAACAGCAGATCTCTCAGCAGAAACTCTACAAGCCAGAAGACAGTGGGGGCCAATAGTCAACATTCTTAAAGAAAAGAATTTTCAACCCAGAATTACATATCCAGCCAAACTAAGCTTGATAAGTGAAGGAGAAATAAAATCCCTTACAGACAAGGAAATGCTGAGAGATTTTGTCACCACCAGGCCTGCCTTACAAGAGCTCCTGAAGGAAGCACTAAACATGGAAAGGAACAACCGGTACCAGCCACTGCAAAAACATGCCAAATTGTAAAGACCATCGATGCTAGGAAGAAACTGCATCAATTAATGGCCAAAATAACCAGCTAACGTCATAATGAGAGGATCAAATTCACACATAACAATATTAACCTTAAATGTAAATGGGCTAAATGCCCCAATTAAAAGACACAGACTGGCAAATTGGATAAAGAGTCAAGACCCATCAGTGTGCTGTATTCAGGAGACCCATCTCACATGCAGAGACATATATAGGCTCAAAATAAAGGGATGGAGGAAGATCTACCAAGCAAATGGAAAGCAAAAAAAAGCAGGGGTTGCAATCCTAGTCTCTGATAAAACAGACTTTAAACCAACAAAGATCAAAAGAGATAAAGAAGGCCACTACATAATGGTAAAGGGATCAATTCAACAAGAAGTGTTAACTATCCTAAATATATATGCACCCAATACAGGAGCACCCAGATTCATAAAGCAAGTCCTTAGAAACCGACAAAGAGACTTAGACTCCCACACAATAATAATGGAAGACTTGAACACCCCACTGTCAACATTAGACAGATCAAGACAGAAGGTTGACAAGGATATCCAGGAATTGAACTCAGCTGTGCACCAAGCAGACCTAATAGACATCTACAGAACTCTCCACCCCAAATCAACAGAATATATATTCTTCTCAGCACCACATAGCACTTATTCCAAAACTGACCACATAATTGGAAGTAAAGCACTCCTCAGCAAATGTAAAATAACAGAAATTATAACAAACTGTCTCTCAGACCACAGTGCAACCAAATTAGAACTCAGGATTAAGAAACTCATTTAAAACCACACAACTACATGGAAACTGACCAACCTGCTCCTGAATGACTACTGGGTACATAATGAAATGAAGGCAGAAATAAAGATGTTCTTTGAAACCAATGAGAACAAAGACACAATGTACCACAAGCTCTGGGACACATTTAAAGTAGTGTGTACGGGGAAATTTATAGCAGTAAATGCCCACAAGAGAAAGCAGGAAAGATCTAAGATTGACACCCTCACATCACAATTAAAAGAACTAGAGAAGCAAGAGCAAACACATTCAAAAGCTAGCAGAAGGCAAGAAATAACCAAGATTAGAGCAGAACTGAAGGAGACAGAGACACAAACCCCTTCAAAAAAATCAATGAATCCAGGAGCTGGTTTTTTGAAAAGATCAACAAAATTGATAGACTGCTAGCAAGACTAATAAAGAATAAAAGAGAGAAGAATCAAAATAGATGCAATAAAAATGATAAAAGGGATATTACCACTGATCCCACATAAATACAAAAACTACAATCAGAGAATATTATAAACACCTCTACACAAATAAACTAGAAAATCCAGAAGAAATGGATAAATTCCTCAACACATACACCCTCCCAAGACTAAACCAGGAAAAAGTTGAATCTGTGAATAGACCAATAATAGGCTCTGAAACTGAGGCAATAATTAATAGCCTACCAACCAAAAAAAGTCCAGGACCAGATGGATTCACAGCCGAATTCTACCAGAGGTATAAAGAGGAGCTGGTACCATTCCTTCTGAAACTATTCCAATCAATAGAAAAAGAGGCAATCTTCCCCAACTCATTTTATGAGGTCAGCATCATCCTGATACCAAAGCCTGGCAAAGACACAACAAAAAAAGAGAATTTTAGACCAATATCCGTGATGAACATCGATGCGAAAATCCTCAATAAAATACTGGCAAACTGAATCCTGCAGCACATCAAAAAGGTTATCCACCATGATCGAGTTGGCTTCCTCCCTGAGATGCAAGCCTGGTTCAACATACACAAATCAATAAACATAATCCACCACATAAACAGAACTGACAAAAACCACATGATTATCTCAGTAGATGCAGAAAAGTCCTTCAACAAAATTCAATGGCCCTTCTTGCTAAAAACTCTCAATAAACTAGGTATTGATGGAACATATCTCAAAACTATAAGAGCTATTTATGACAAACCCATAGCCAATATAATACTGAATAGGCAAAAACTGGAAGCATTCCCTTTGAAAACTGCACAAGAGAGGAATGCCCTCTCTCACCACTCCTATTCAACATAGTGTTGGAAGTTCTGGCCAGTGCAATCAGGCAAGAGAAAGAAATAAAGGGTATTCAATTAGGAAGAGAGGAAGTCAAAGTGTCCCTGTTTGCAGATGACATTATTGTATATTTAGAAAACCCCATCGTCTCAGCCCAAAATCTCCTTAAGCTGATAAGCAAGCTCAGCAAAGTCTCTAGATACAAAATCAATGTGGAAAAATCACAAGCATTCCTATACACCAATAACAGACAATCAGGGAGCCAAATCATGAGTGAACTCCCATTCACAATTGCTTCAAAGAGAATAAAATACCTAGGAATCCAACTTACAAGGGATGTGAAGGACCTCTTCAAGGTGAACTACAGACACTGCTCAATACAGTAAAAGAGGACACAAACAAATTGAAGAACATTCCATGCTCATGGATAGGAAAAATCAATATTGTGAAAATGGCCATACTGCCCAAGGTAATTTATAGATTCGATGCCATCCCCATCAAGCTACCATGAGTTTCTTCACAGAATTGGAAAAAACTGCTTTAAAGTTCATATGGAACCAAATTAGAAAATAGCCCACATTGCCAAGACAATCCTAAGCAAAAAGAACAAAGCTGGAGGCATCATGCTACCTGACTTCAAAATATACTACAAGGCTATAGTAACCAAAACAGCATGGTACTGGTACCAAAACAGAGATCTAGGCCAATGGAACAGAACAGAGGCCTCAGAAATAATAGCGCACATCTACAACCATCTGATCTTTGACAAACCTGACAAAAACAAGAAATGGGGAAAGGATTTCTTATTTAATAAATGGTGCTGGGAAAACTGGCTAGCCATATGCAGAAAGCGGAAACTGGATCCCTTCCTTACACCTCATACAAAAATTAATTCAAGATGGATGAAAGACTTACATGTTAGACCTAAAACCATAAAAACCCTAGAAGAAAACCTAGGCAATACCATTCAGGACATAGGCATGAGCAAGTACTTCATGTCTAAAACACCAAAAGCAATGGCAACAAAAGCCAAAAGAGACAAATGGGATCTAATTAAAGTAAAGAACTTCTACACAGCAAAAGAAATGACCATCAGAGTGAACAGGCAACCTATAGAATGGGAGAAAATTTTTGCAATCTACCCATCTGACAAAGGGCTAATATCCAGAATCTACAAAGAACTTAAACAAATTTACAAGAAAAAAACAAGCAACCCCATCAAAAAATGGGCAAAGGATATGAACAGACACTTCTCAAAAGAAGATATTTATGCAGCCAACAGATGCATGAAAAAATGCTCATCATCACTGGTCATCAGAGAAATGCAAATCAAAACCACAATGAGATACCATTTCACACCAGTTAGAATGGGGATCATTAAAAAGTCAGGAGACAACAGATGCTGGAGAGGATGTGGAGAAATAGGAAAGCTTTTACACCGTTGGTGGGAGTTTAAACTAGTTCAACCATTGTGGAAGGCAGTGTGGCGATTCCTCAAGGATCTAGAACTAGAAATACTGTTTGACTCAGCAATCCCATTACTGAGTATATACCCAAAGGATTATAAATCATGCTACTATAAAGTCACATGCACATGTATGTTTATTGTGGTACTATTCACAATAGCAAAGACTTGGAACCAACCCAAATGTCCGTCAATGATAGACTGGATTAAGAAAATGTGGCACATATACACCATGGAATACTATGCAGCCATAAAAAAGGATGCGTTCACGTCCTTTGCAAGGACATGGATGCAGCTGGAAACCACCATTCTGAGCAAACTGTCACAAGGACAGAATACCAAACACTGCATGTTCTCACTCATAGGTGGGAATTGAACAATGAGAACGCTTGAACACAGGGTGGGGAACATCACACCCTGGGACCTGTCGTGGGGTGGGAGACAGAGGGAGGGATGGCATTAGGAGAAATACCTAATGTAAGTGATGAGTTAATGGATGCAGCAAACCAACATGGCATACGTATACCTATGTAACAAAACTGCATGTTGTGCACATGTACCCTATAACTTAAAGTATAATAATAATAAAAAAAGTACAAATTTAAAAAAAAAGACAATGAAAAGATGGTGTCCAATTTCCAGATGCATTCAATCCAGTGGCTGGGATAGTCATACATGCAAGTCATTCTAATGCAAGTCTGTCTGAAGAGGGTATGAATAGAACATTTACTGAGCACTTTGTGCTAGGCTGTGTACTGCCTGTGCATTTAAACATATTAATGTATTAAACATAGTAAATATAGTTAACATATTAAACATACTATATAATTTCAATCCTATAGAAATTTCAAGGAATAGATGCAAGTATCTCGCTTTCACAGGTGGGGAAACTGAATCTTAAAAGTTCAGTAACTTGCCTCAGGCCACAAAGTTCTGGATATTAAAGAAGATAGATTCAGATTCCTCTGACTCTTCTCTTAGACTTGTTTCCTTTTCTGCTCCATCCAGTTTCTTCCTTTCCTTCCTTTCCTTCCCTTCCTTCCCTTCCTTCTCATTCCTCTTCCTTTCCCCTCCCCCTTCCCCTTCCCCTTCCCCTTCCCCTCCCCTCCCCTCCCCTCCCCTTTCTTTTTCATAGTCTCCCTCTGTTGCCCAGGCTGGAGTGCAGTGTCATGATCTCGGCTCATTGCAACCATTGACACCCAGGTTCAAGAGATTCTCATGACTCAGCTTCCTGAGTAACTGGGATTACAGGCACGCTACACTTCGTCTGGCTAATTATTATCATTTTTAGACAAAGTCTCACTCTGTCGCCCAGGCTGGAGTGCAGTGGCGTGATCTCGACTCACTGCAACCTCTGTCTCCTAGGTTTAAGTAATTCTCCCGCCTCAGCCTCCTGGGTAGCTGGGATTACAGGCATGAGCCACCACATATTTTTAGTAGAGACGAGATTTCACCACATTGGCCAGGCTGGTCTCGAACTCCTGACCCCAAGTGATCGCCCACCTGGGCCTCCCAAAGTGCTGGGATTACAGGCATGAGCCACTGCAGCCCGGTCCCCAGTTGATTTCTGAAAGTCGATTTTATTTGTTTCATGCTCAACAAGAGTCAAAGCATTTATTTCTAAGACCCTCATAAACTGGGCACAGCCTAGCAGAGTAAAGGAGATTGGAGGGTGGAGCAAGAATAGATTAAGAGGGGAAGATCTACTTGGAGGTTGGAAACCTTTTCATTATCCCAGAGAATGAATATGTAGAATGGAGCTCACTTCTGAATTTAGCATTTTGACCTTTTAAACTCTCATGCCCATGTATTACCAAAGCAACTAATAGTCTTTGAGGTAGCCCTGTTTTAAAATATTTCTCCATGACTGTGAAGTTGGTTCTAGTCAAAGGACTTAAGCACAGATCAGAAGAGCTACAAATAATCACCAGTATGTGCAAAATATCTTTATCTTTTCTGACTTTCTTTAACCTAGGCCCGTATTTCATAGGTCTTCCTAACTTTATACATATTACAGTATTAGGACTATTGAACTGGTTTAACAAGGCAGTGTCTCCTTGAAGTGCTTCTATTTTGGAAAGATGCATTTGAGAAACATTTAACAAGATTAGATTTATTGTTTACATGTCTAGGAGGAGCAAATGTCACTGAGGAAACAATGCTAGTCCACAGTGAATGCATTTTCACCATTCTTCACCTCAAAAGAAAATTGCACAACTACAGACGTTTCATAAAACTCTGCGCATTCACGTGGCTTTTGGTCTGTGTTTGGACATGGTTTGTTTCTTATTCTTAACCTATCCCTGAAGAAGCCCATTATGAAATGTTCCTCCCCACATCCCCAAAAGTTCCACATTTAAGTAAAAAAATCATTGTTTGAACAGATGTTGGAAATTGTTTGAACAGATGCCTAAATGCTACCTAATAATTGGAAGAGCATATTATGAGTATGCTAAAATGTGAAATCCCTAAAACAAAGTTTTTTCAGAAAATCTTATTGTTCTAGCTTAATAGTAGCCCATCTGAGAAACTTTCTGCTCTTAATAGGATGAATGGTTTGTGGCATGGTGCCTGATATACAGACACTAGGTTCAGTAAAATGTCGAGGACTTTGGAATTAACCTTAAATGCCATTTGCAGTTGTTTGAAATCATTTCTATTCTTCTTCTTTTTCTTATTTTATTTATCTTCTTTCCCTTAAAACACCCATTAATTTTTATCACTGAGATGGAATATTCTATGCTTCTGCTTTTATCTTGCCTTCAACACTTTGAAGGAGAGGTAAGATAATTAGTTGAATAAACAGACAGTACATGGCAGAGTAAATCTCCCTTGACAATTCAGTCTGATTTTTCCTCCTTTAATGCACTCCATACTTGAGGAAATTAACCAGTTCTTTATGTATTCTAGGTTTCTGTGAATTTCAAGATAGATATTAAGTATTTGAACAGAAAGGCAAATTGGATTGAGAATCATTGCCCAGGTTTGTGTTAGTGTTTAGGGGACAGCATGGAGCAATCTGTGAATTTACCTGTTCCTAAGGTTTGTCCCTCATAGACATCTGTATTTGTAGACTATGGGAAGTAGACTCTATTTAGTTAAGGGGTATATTTCTGTGAACTGGCTTGCCTGCTGCCTGGTGATGCTGTGCCCAATGTTACTGCAGGCAAAGAATGGCTCTGTGGCTGCTCCCACTCTCAGTGGATGCTGTGCTTGGTGCAGATCCTTGTTTGTTGCAGGGATCAGGTGGGGGTGCTGATGCAGTACTTGCCCCAGCTATAGATTTATTCATCCAACAAATATGTTGGATGCCTACTATGTGCTGAACATTGCAGTATGCTCCAGTGATTCATCAGTGAAGGGACAGCAGGGGTCCTTTCTAAAGTGTTGCTCTATGCTTTCTGAGTGAGGCAGTGACACCTTTTCAAATTCAGAATCTTGGCCTTTTCCATTTCTGGGCACCAAAATGTCTGCCATCAGTGAAAATCTATGAATCCATTGGCCTACTTATGTTTTGACATTTCTTTCTGTAATTTGAATCAGAATTTGCAGGTAGAAGAATTTGTTCATTTATTCACTAAACAATTATATATTTAGTACTGCCACATGCCAGACTCTATGCCAAGCATTGAGTAAACAGCAGTGATCAAAAAGAGAAGTTTCTTACTTTCACAGAGTATATTTGGATGGGAAGACTAACATTACAAAACAAAGAAACAAACACATTTATGATTAAAAATTGTGATAAGAATTATGAGCTTAAAAAACAGGGTGCTTTGCTGGGAGGGGTGGCTCATGCTTGTAATCCCAACACTAAGAAGCTGAAGCAGGAGGATTGCTTGAGCACAGGAGTTTTAGACACCCCAGGCAACACAGTGAGACCCCATCTCCAAAAAGAAAAAAAAACAGCTAAGTGTGCTACAGGTATGCACCTGTAGTGAGACAGCAAGTGATACTACAGGTACATACCCGATAGGGAGGCTGAGGCAGGAGAGTCACTTGAGCCCAGGAGTTTGGGGCTGCAGTGAGCTATGGTCATGCTCCTGGACTCCAACCTGGGTGACAGAGTGAGACTCTGCCTCTAAAAACAAGCAATCAAACAGGGTGCTTTGTGAGTGAATAATGCAAGGAACCTCCTTATGATTGGATGATCTCTTTTAGGAGGTGATATGAGATTTTGTCATGTACTGGTGGTTTGCACAATTCCAAAGTTATGGGAGGTGGTCACTGGAGTTGGGCAACCTGGCAATGTGGTGACATTGAAACCTGAAGGGAAGAAAGAGCCAGCCATGTGACAATCCAGAGGGAAAAGTCTCTATGTAGAGAGAACATGTATGATGGCCCCAAAATGAGTATCAAAACTAGGTGTATTGGCAACCTCAAAAAAGGCCAGTGAGAATAGGGTAGCAGACAGCAAGAAGCCAATAAGAGAAGATAATGGAAAGGTAGGCAAAGACCTGACCATTATGGGCCCTGTAAGTCATGGTAAAGTTTTTGAGTTTGCTTCAAATCTAATGAGACACAATGGAGAGTCTTAAATAAAAGAGTGACATGGTCTTAGATTTTCAAAAGCTCTCTCAGTTGTAGAGGGAGTGATAGGTTGAAAGAGACAGAATTGAGACAAGTTAGAGGTTTATAGCCCTAATCTTGACAAAAGATGATAAGGATTGGATTTAGGAGATGGGTTAAAGGAATATAATTGGGAGAATTTACTGATGGGTTGCATATAATAGGTGAAAAAGATTAAGATCTCATAATATGACTTCATTATTGAAATTTCAAATTTAAAATCTTAATTAACCAAAACTTTGATAACTAGCATTTTAAATAATTTTAAGGTTGAACAATGACAACATTACTTCCAAATATAAGTCTCAAATTACACTGAGCATGACATACTCTGGTACTCAGTAAATGAGCAAATATATATTTAACAAATAACTTGGTAAAGTAGGTAACATTTTGCCTATTCTAACAACTTATGAAAGTAAATTAACAATATATTATTTTTATCATTTTTCCTGATTTCTCAAATATTAGTGAAATAATAAATATTATGACTGAAAAGGTTTACCTGAAGTGCCTTGGCAGACCAGTCACTGGCAAACCCAGAACATTTTTGTTGCTATTGGACAAGAGGGACTCTTTCTGCTGGACTGGGTAGTTGGTGAGATGGGAGCCTGAGCTCCTTGTGACACTGCATGGGGAAAGACAGATAGACAGTTCTTCATGACATTTTTGAAGCCCTGGGTACAGTTCCGTGAGCTCTTCAACTTTCCAATGATGTGATGTAATAAATTTACTTTTTGTATTTTAAACTAGTGTGATGGGATTTCTGTCATTTCTTTACAGAATGTATTCTGAGCAAGCAAGGATCTTTGTCTTAAACTAGAGGCTATAACTTAAGGAGAAGGGAAAAAATGAAGCCAACAATAAGAAGGATATATGTGTATGTGGAAGAATCAGGACACTTGACATCTAATTTTGACTCTTCTACTCTTAGGTTTTCTGACTTTAGTTTTCTTATTTGGAAAACTAGTATTCGTTCTAGCCCTGAAATTCTATATTTCTAAGGATCTATTTTATGTCTATATTTTAGTATCTTACTTAAATCATACATCTTTTTATTTTTTTTGTCTGTTTAGGAAAGATAGAGCTGTAAGGAAATAAAGACGTGTTTCTTAGAAGGCTAAATCGAATACGAAAACCAAAGAGTATTCAGCTTAATGTACTAAAGTTGTCGGATCAAGATATGACCATAAAAGTATATTGATTTACTGTAGAAAAATTAATGGGTCATACATGTACGTAAATTTATTAATGGAGATATTATGTTGACATTTAGCTTGAATTTATTTTGTAAGATAAAGACCTAGCTATAGATAATGTAGAGAATGCTAATCTCTTAGCAACATACAAAACAAATTGTGCTGAGCAGGTGTTTTGAGGTCCATAAAAGGTATCATAAAAATATAAAAATGGGCTCTCCTAGTATTGGCTTGTATCTCTTTGGAGAAATCATGTGTTATTCATATGTTCTCTGGCTTGGTTAAAACTGTTTCCTTTATTTTCCACATCGCTGAGTGCCTACAAAATTATAACAGAGACTTGGTACGGTGGCCCAAACCTGTAATCCCAGCACTTTGGGAGGCCAAGGCAGGAGGATTGTTTGAGGCCAGGATCTCAAGACAAACAAAGCAAGACCCTTTCTCTACCAGAAATTTTATATATATATATAAAAATATATATAAAATATATATAAAAATATATATATAAAATATATATAAAAATTATAAAATATATATAAAAATGTATATAAAATATATATTCTATATATAAATTTTAAATATATATTATACATAAAATATATATAATATATAAATTTATATATATAATATATATAAATTTATATATAAATATATATTATATATATAAATTTATATATATTATATATAAAGATATATAATATATAATATATATAAATTTATATATAAATATGTATAAATAAATAAATATCTATATAATTTATATATAAATAAATAAATATCTATATAATTTATATATATAAATATATATAATTATATATAAATATATATATAAATATATATATTTATATATAATTATATATAAGTATATAAATATATAAAATTATATATAAATATATATAAATATATAAATATATATAATTTATATATAGATATATAAATAGATATAATTTATATATAAATATATTTATATATAAATATATAAATATATTTAATATATATAAATATATAATTTATATATAATTTATATATATAAATATATATCAATGTATAATATATTTATATATATATTTATATATATATTTTATATATAAATATATATATAAAATATATATATAAATATATATATAAATATATAAATTATATATATAAATATATAATTTATATATATAAATATATAAATTATATATATAAATATATAATTTATATATGTTTATATATATAAATATATAATTATATATAATTTATATATAAATATATATAAATTATATATAATTATATAATTTATATATATATAATATATATATTATTTATATATAATACATATAAATAAATTATATAATTATAAATATATATTTATAAATAAATATATATAATTATAAATATATATTTATAAATAAATATATATAATTATAAATATATATTTATAAATAAATATATATAATTATAAATATATATTTATAAATAAATATATATAATTATAAATATATATTTATAATTAAATATATATAATTATAAATATATATTTATAAATAAATATATTTATAAATATATATAATTATAAATATATATATAATTATAATTATATATATTTATAAATATATGTATTTATATAAATAAATAAATATATATATATATATAAAATTAACCAGGCATGGTGCACCTGTAGTCCTAGCTACTGAGGAGGCTGCGGTGAGAGGATTATTTGAGCCCAGGAGTTCAAGGCTGCAGTGAGCTATGATCACACCGCTACACCCCAGCCTGGGGGACAGAGTGAGACTCTATCTCTAAAATAGATAGATAGATAGATAGATAGATAGATAGATAGATAGATAGATAGATATTAGATAAAAATTAAAAAAATAAATGAAAGGCCAGGCGTGGTGGCTCATGCCTGTAATCCCAGCACTTTGGGAGGCCGAGGTGGGTGGATCACGAGGTCAGGAGATCGAGACCATCCTGGCTAACACGGTGAAACACAGTCTCTACTAAAAATACAAAAATTAGCCGGGCGTGGTGGCGGGCGCCTGTAGTTCCAGCTACTTGGGGGGCTGAGGCAGGAGAATGGCGTGAACCCTGGAGGCAGAGCTTGCAGTGAGCCAAGATAGATCGCGCCACTGCACTCTAGCCTGGGCAACAGAGTGAGACGCCGTCTCAAAAAAAAAAAAAAAAAAGGAAACAGTTGTATGCCTCCCTTTGGAAGAGAAAACTGATGTTGGTCCAAGAATACTGGAAGCCACAGACATTCTGAGACTGTGGGAATGAACGTTTGTACAGCCTTGTAATTCACACGAGGTGCATGTGTGCTTTGACATACTGGCTGAGAAACTCTGGCTTAAAAAAGTAAAGGTGACATAGATGTTCCCATTAATTTTTTTTTTTTTTCTCCAGATGAATGCTCAAAAACTCCCTTCCTGGCCAAGCGCGGTGGCTCACGTTTGTAATCCCAACACTTTGGGAGGTTCAGGCGGGCGGATCACGAGGTCAGGAGTTTGAGACCAGCCTGGCCAACATAGTGAAACCCCGTCGCCACTAAAAATACAAAAATTAGCTGGACTTGGTGGTGGATGCCTATAATCCCGGCTACTCGGAAGGCTGAGGCAGGAGAATCGTTTGAACCCGGGAGGTGGAGGTTGCAATGAGCCGAGATTGTGCCACTGCACTCCAGCCTAGGCAACAGAGTGAGACTCCATCTCAAAAAACAAACAAACAAACGAACAAAACATCCCTTCCTTAAATTCTGGCCTTGGATTTACGTCAGTTGGCCGTGTCATTTAGTCCCTAAAACTTACTATAACAGGGGTGCTAGCCCTTTCATAAGCTTGAAAAGAAAGACTACTGATCTTTCTTTATAATTCCTATACTTTATAAAGTATAAAGACTACTTTATAATTCCTGTTTAATAAAAAGGGAGCTTTTCCTTTGTATCTGCAACAACCACATTTATAAAATGTCTGAGATGAGGGATCACTCTCTATTAAGCATTTGTTGAATTTGAGACGAGCCTTCTTAAAATATACATAGAGCACTTTGGTAGCTGTGCAGGTGGGTCCTTTTGCTGTCCAGCAAAAGCTGCCCTGCTGCCTTCTCTTGGTCTGTGAGAAGTTAAGCGCTTTGCTTCCACAGTGTCTATGAGTTTAAAGCTAGCATTTGTTTTCTTGTTCTGAGTCTATTCTTTATAAATTTAGTGTTTACAATAGTTAAAGTTGGTCAAATACATAGGGAAAACCTAAAGAACTTAGGTGGAAAAATGTTAAAGCATTAGCTTGACCTAGAAAGAATATGCTTCTCATTCATATGCTTTTACTTCGTTTTCCTCAGATTAGTTATCCCTCAAAGCAGGTTACTCTCACGGCTCCAGCCCAGAGTGAATTTTGAAAAAAGTTCTACTCCCTGTTGAGGTTTCTTCTGCATTGACTGCTGATTTAGGCTTTATTATTATTATTATTATTATTATTATTATTATTTTTACAGAGGCATTCCATTTCTCCTTGCTGCTGCCTTCCCATATTTTAAAATTACTCCTGTCTTAAGTCAATTTATGTTTTCCATGTGGCTTTGGAGGGGTGAGCAGTGTCCCTGGCTGTTTTTGATTTATACACACTCATTCTCTCCATAGTCTTCCCTGAAAATGGCCTCATCAATGCAGGATAGCAGAGGCTGCTTCCTCAACATAAATATATATGCTTCCCCCTGGGAAATATATTGATTTAAATTTCCACCTGCTCTTCTGGGATTTATAGTATTTACTGAGGAGGTTATGCGTCTGTCCTGCTCACTCTTTACTCTTCCACTTGGCTTACTTTTATTTGACTTTAAGCAATAACAGTTGACTAAAAAGATAGAAATGATTCATTTCTAGGTGACACGAGGAAATGTGAGAGTGCAATTTCCTTCTATTTCACCAAAGGTAAAGGCTTAAAAGTAATTTTTTTCCATTTGATCATTCAATCCTGGAGTGTGCTTCAAGAAACATCAGCTGGTCAGCATTTGCTTTTATTTTATTTTTTATTTTCCTACAACATAATCTCCGCACAATTATTTTTTTTAAAAACAACCCACAAATTTTCACCTACTGTTCTTGCAAAAACCAATAGCATTGAGTAATGCATTTAATGGATAGGAACATTAATATTTTTAAGAAGTAGAATATGGATGCTTTGGATTATAATTTCAATTTGTTATGTAAGCAAACTACTTGTGACCTTGGTCTCTTCACCATCTCTGTGATTGACATGATTGATTGGGCAGGTAGGGAGCCCTTCTCCACCTAAAATGTTGCCTCCATCCTGAAGCTACTTGCTCAGCACAACAGGATGTCCTTTTAAGATATGGGAAAGGTACGTGTGTACATATATTTCATTTTTCAAATTAAAATTCTTTTCCATTTATTGCTGTCTAACCTGTCATTTCTTCCTCAGCTTATGCAATGGAGGTGTCTAACCTGGAGTCTATAGACCTCTAGGTTGCTCAGTGGATTTTAGAGCATCCATAGTCCTTTCATGCGTTATGCAAAATTTTGGGAGGATGTGCAAATGTCTATTATTCTGAAGAAAGATATCCATGGATTAAAGTCACTGTTAAGGACTCATATTAAATTCTATAGCTAAAATAATCCTCGTGTTTCATGGAGTTACATCCAGTATAAGACACAGTTAAACTGTGAAGTGTTAATTCCCTATGACATAATTTATGTTTGCTTATTTATTTGCATATCTGAATCCTGCAGAACTTTCTTATGATCTACTTTCTGAAAAGCATTTGAGGCTCTGAAGAATTTAATCAGCATATACAACTGTCATTGTACAACCATGGTGAATCCTTGTGTACAAATAAATGATCTGGACACTGGGAGCTGGGATTCCTGGTCACCCACCCATCCAAGCTGATCTTAATAAATATATTACTGAATTTTTAAAAATTGAATCATGAAGATATTAAATCTGAGTTCTAAGTTTTTTATTTTCAGAATAATCTTTTAATTTTTAAAAATTCCTGGTGTTGTAGAAATAACCTGAAATATATTGGTATCCACTCTTACATCTATATGAAAAACAAAATTGTTTAAAACCCAAGTTGAAATAAATCCAAAATGTGAAACAGTGAGCATCTTACACAATGAAATGTACATCTCAGCATTAACAACTGAGCAGCTAAATAGATGCTTTAATTTTTTAAAACCTCCAAAAGTAGAATCAGAAAATGTATAAATTATTTAAAATCTAGAATTTCGATTTGTTTAAAAGATAACGGTAATAATGACATTCACCACTGAAGAGCTTGACTCAGTGTCAGCGAATCTGGTGCTGCTGTCTGACCATCAATAAGAAATCTGTCCCACTAGCAAGTACCGCCAGTCTCAGGGATTACAGGCATGTGCCACCATGCCTGGCTAATTTTTGTATTTTTAGTAAAAACGGGGTTTCGTCATGTTGGCCAGGCTGGTCTCAAATTCCTGACCTCAAGTGATCTGCCTGCCTTAGCCTCCCAAAGTGCTGGGAGTACAGCAGTCTGCTACTGCAATAGAGCTACTGATGTACGTTTATATTTTGTCAGTAAGCCTAGCTTTGGAATGGCGTTTGTAGATCTAGTTAGAATGGTAATTCTCTGGGGACAATTCCTTTCTAATATATTGATATTCACAATGGTCTGTATGTGCATCTTCTTTCCTTATTCTGCTTTCATTCCAAAGATAACTCTAACCTGGCCTCCCTTACATAAGGAGCCAGATGTCATTGATGTTGAGTAGGGCTGTGATGAGTTGGATTTCAATTACTGACCAAACGTTCAGCAAGTGGTGGAAGCTGAAAACTGCAGCACGAATGACTGAGGAGAAAGGGGGAGTCAGTGGAAAAGCCACTATGGAAGGCCAGATGGAATAATGAAGATGCCAGAGAGAGGGATTACTTAGGGAAAGTAGTTTGGGCATTATTATAATTTCCATATCCTATGTTTGTGTATATATAAAACTTACACATCTTATGATTATGCAGTCATCCAAGATGACATCAAAACTCTTGGGCTCAGCTATTGTGAGACATAAGGGATGAAATCACTGAAAATGATGCCCTCTGATAATGCCACATATATTGCCCAGCAATTCTTATTCAGTATATATAAGTACTAGTGTTTCCATTTGCTGAGGTGAAGACAAAATGACTCAAAATGAATAAAATGAATCATACAACAGGGAGAATTTTGTCCGCTCCTGAGAGTAACTAAGACAAAACAGAGTGAAACTGTAATTGCATCTTTCCTGTGTCTTGTTTGTGAGATCTAAGACATTATTAATGCATTTTTAAGTGGTAGACTCAAAAATTACTATTAATGAAGCCCCTCAGATCTGATTATCACCAAGACTTTCTTCACTCTACAGTTTTGTTGTTGTTGTTGTTTTTGAGTTGGAGTCTTGCTCTGTCGCCCAGGCTGGAGTGCAATGCTGTGATCTCGGCTCACTGCAACCTCCACCCCCGCCGGGTTCAAGCGGTTCTCCTGACTTAACCTCCTGAGTAGCTTGGACTACAGGCATGTGCCACCAGGCCTGGCTAATTTTTGTATTTTTAGTAGAAACGGGGTTTTGCCATGTTGGCCAGGCTGGTCTCAAATTCCTGACCTCAAGTGATCTTCCCGCCTCAGCGTCCCAAAGTGCTGGTAGTACAGGCGTGAGCCAGGCCTACAAATATTTCTTTTAGCCTCCCAATGACCTATTACACTGTTACCATGCTGTGGAGGGGGTGGAGGGCTCTCCAGGTACTTAACGGAATTCTGTCAATGTTCAATAATACTTAGCTTTTGGGCCAAACTCAAATTCAGTATCTCCGCCAGCCCTTAGTCAGTGTTCCTCTTTCCTAAAGCATCTGAACAACCGAAACGACTGCCTTTCTTCTGAAATGTTCTCCAAATGTCCTGAGAATTGCAGCTGCTGCATTTGTATCCCATAGAGAAACACAATTCTGCAACTGCAAAATCTCATTAGAGGACTAACAAATTCTGCCCACAGATAGGCTGATAGAGGACCTGCGAACCCTTGAGAGCAATGGATGGGAGCAGAAGGCTAGAGACCCTGAGTACAGGCAGGACTGGCTGCAGACCACCAAGAATTCTGTCTAGAGTTTAATTGGAATATAATGTTCTGACACCAACTGCAGCAGATAGAGGAGGGAATTTGAGGGACTGATGAAATGTTCAGGAGGAGGGTGGAGAAGGGATGGTGAGGAGCCTCAGCTTCAGTTACTTAGAACAAGAAATTAATTTTTTTTATTTTTTGAGACGGAGTCTTGCTGTGTGGCCCGGGCTGGACTGTAGTGGTCCAATCTTGACTTACTGCAACCTCCGCCTCTCAGGCTCAAGCAATCCTCCCACCTCAGCCTCCCGAGTAGCTGGGACTACAGGCCTGTGTCACCACACCTGGCTAATTTTTGTGTTTTTAGTGGAGACGGGGTTTTACCATGTTGGTCAGGCTGGTCTCAAATGCCTGACCTCAAGTGATTCACCTGCCTTGGCCTCCCAAAATGCTGGGAGTACAGGTGTGAGCCACTGCACCCTGCCCAAGAAATTAGTCTTTGCCTCACTGTTTTCTGTGTTCCATGTATAGTATCTGAACTTTTGGGCCTCATTTTGTAAGATGTTTTTCAAAGGTTCATGTTTTCCATTGCAGCCCAGTTCCCTGAGGCATGATGAAGCAGTCAGATCCCAGCTCAGCCACTGAAAAGCTATGAAACTTCAAGGCAAATTCTTCAAATCACAATGTATATATCCTTATCCATGCTAGGTGCACTTTCTACTTGCCTCAAGGGATTAGGGAAGTTCCTCTCTTCTGTATTCACATAATGGTTGGACTCTTGGGTGGCTGAGGAAGGGGTTGGAAGGATTGGAATCGTCTGTTTATATCCAGAGAAAGGGAATTTAACTTCAGCCTGCAGCCTTGTGGCACATTAAGGGCCCTACCCATATCATGTAGAGGTGGGGTGGGAAGGGGATAGTCTGAGAATCACCTTGGTGCCTTTCTTTAAGCTATCCCTTTCCCATCAGTGTCTTTTCCTCCCGACCTTTAAGGGAGCCCTAAGCCTTAAACCCATCACCAGAAACCACAAGTTAAAATGTACAATAGAGGTGTCTCTGGGTCCAACCCCCCACCCCCCCGTGAAGGACAGCATCCTGAGCAAGGCAGGGAAGATGCTTTCCAGACCAGGGGCCACACTTGGTCAGTGGCTGCTTTGGCTCCAGCTGATGGGTCTGCACTGGAGCCCTCCAGGGGGCACTTCAAGTACTAACAGGACCCTGGTGTGGGCTGGGCCTCCTGCATAGATGTGAGGCTAGGCACTTGGCTTTCTTCCTGGTTCTATGAGCTACTATTTTACTGTATGCTTAAAAGTTCCTTTTGGCCGGGCGTTGTGGCTGTAATCCTAGCACTTAGGGAAGTCGAGGTGGGAGGATTGCCTGAGTTTGAGATCAGCCTGGGCAACATGTAGAGACACTGTCTCTACCTTAAAAAAGAAAAAAAAAATTAGGCAGTTGTGGTGGCACACACCTCTGGTTCCAGCTACTTGGGAGGCTGAGAGGCAGGAGGATCACTTGAGCCTGGGAGGTGGAGGCTCCAGTAACCTGTGATCCCACCACTGCATTCCAGCCTGGGTGATGGAGCAAGACCCTGTTTCAACAACAACAAAAAAGTTCCTATCACTAAAATTATTAAAATATTTAACTAAAAAAGCTAGATTTTTGAAGAAAATTTGATTTACTCCTTGGTCTATGCATCTAATTCTAGATATCAGTATTTGTATACTCTCTGTACATATTCTGATTTGAAGAATTTTCAAATATATATGGGTTTATTTTTTAAAACATGGCAAATATAGATTTTACATTTAGGAATATGTTAATATGTTTTATATTTAAAGGAAGGACTTGAGCAGTGCTTTGTTGTCTTTTTTTTCCTGGTAGCTCTATGCACCATTTCTACTGAGATTTTAATAGATAATTCATACCCTGAAAACTGAACCTGCGATTTTTGAATGAGTAAACTACAATTAAGGAGGTCATTTTCTTCTCATGTAAAGAAGGAAGAAACCACAAGAAAGAGAGATATACCTTTTATTTAAAGAAAGGTGTGAAAAGCAAATTTATTAACAAATTTAACACTGCTTGCATCTAGAAGATAGGATTTGAAATTGTGTTGCTTTCTCAAGCTGATTACATCAAAGTATATTAGAAAACAAAAACAAAATAAGGGGCCAGGTGCAGTGGCTGAACAAGGGGCCTGTAATCCCAGCACTTTGGGAGGCTGAGGCGGGTGGATCATGAGCTCAGGAGTTCAAGATCAGCCTGGCCAAGATGGTGAAACCCCGGCTCTACTAAAAATACAAAAAATTAGCTGAGTGTAGTGGTGGGTGCTTGTAATCCCAGCTACTCGGGAGGCTGAGGCAGAGAGTTGCTTGAATCTGGGAGGTGGAGGTTGCAGTGAGCCGAGATCACGCCATTGCACTCTAGCCTGGGCGACAGAGGGAAACTCTGTCTCAAAACAAAACGAAACAAAACAAAACAAAACAAAAAACACATTTTCCAACACTTGTGAACCATGTTGACTACATACAGCTTTGGATTTCTGTGAATCTAGGCAAGGAACAGACAGTTAAAATGTAAATGAAGCCCAGCACAGTGGCTCATGCATGTAATCCCAACACTTTGGGAGGCCAAGGGGGACTGTGGATCCCTGGAGCCCAGGAATTCGACACCAGCCTGGATAATATGTTGAAACCCTGTCTCTACAAAAAATACAAAACTTAGCCTTGTGTGGGGGTGTACACTTGTAGTGCCAGCTACTTTGGAGGCTGAGAGCTGGGAGGATCACTTGAGCCTGGGAAGTCGAGGCTGCAGTGAGCTGTGATCACACCACTGCACTGTAGCCTAGGTGACAGAGTGAGACCCTGTCTAGAAAAAAATTTAAAAGAGAAAAAGTAAAGGAGACATTCAGTATTTGGACCTGTAGAGAAGCATGGAAAAGCAAGAATAAAATACTTTTATTAGGTCCAATTTTTAACATGATCAAACAAGAATAAGAAAAATACCATAGAGTTAATTAAAACTAACCTGTAAGGCCCAGTGAAGAATGAGACAGACATGTGGAAACAAGATCTAATACCACTGAAAACAAGGAAATGCTTTGTTTCAGGGCTGGTTTACTGTGTTTCCATGGATTTGCAACTCATGAAGATATAGTGTGGCTTACTTTTGTGTAGTCTAGATAATATAACATAATTTCTTTTATTTTCTTCAATAACTTCCTTTTAACATTTATAATTTTCTACATTTGAGAACCTTACTTGGGTTATAAAATTGGAATGTAACTGTTGATTTTAGTTCGATGCCTCTGTGAAATACATTCTGCTATCCACACAATATTTCTAATTTCCTGTTCCTTCAGCTTTACATATGCATAAAACACACCGTAGTGGAACTGTCTGTTGAATGCCAGCACATTCATTTGTACCTGAGGAAAGAAAAAAAGTAACACAGATCATCAACTTATTTGGAACATTATGGAATAATATTAAGCTACTGACTGGCTTGAACTTGTGCAGTGCTTATTTGTGTTTAAACAGGCAATCTCTAAATTGGGCCAAATAGAGGAGTATGGTGACAACTCAGAAAGTTCTAAAGAGAGAGTGTCACTCTGCAGATAAATGTAGACAACGGAAGTTATTAAAGTAAGTTTGTAGAATCACAAGAAAAGCTCCAAATTGAAATAGGAACGCTTTCACACTGTTAGTGGGAGTGTAAATTAGTTCAACCATTGTGGAAGATAGTGTGGCAATTCTTCAAGGATCTAGAACCAGAAATATCATTTGACCCAGCGATCCCATTACTGGGTATATACCTAAAAGATTATAAATCATCCTACTATAAAGACACCTGCACACATATGTTTATTGCAGCACTTTTCCCAATAGCAAAGACTTGGAACCAACCCAAATGCCCATCAGTGATAGCCTGGATAAAGAAAATGTGGCACATATATACCATGGAATACTATGCAGCCATAAAAAAGGATGAGTTCATGTCCTTTGCAGGGACATGGATAAAGCTGGAGACCATCATTCTCAGCAAACTAACACAGGAACAGAAAAACCAAACACCACATGTTTTCACTCATAAGGGGGAGTTGAACAATGAAAACATATGAGCACAGGGAGGGGAACATCACACACTGGGGCCTGTCGGTGGGGGGAATAGGGGAGGGATAGCATTAGGAGAAATACCTAAAGTAGATGATGGGTTGACGGGTGCAGCAACCCACCATGGCACACGTATACCTACATAACAAAACCTGCACATTCTGCACATGTATCTCAGAACTTAAAGTATAACACAATTTTTTTTTTAAAAAAGAAACATTATCTCATATGATTAACCAAAATTTTACACTAAAATTTGTAGCATTTGTAATAATGTTCTTCAGCAAATTCCATGAGGAATTGAATGTACTTCCATTACTTCTCGCAGTTTTTAAGTAAACTCTTTTAGGAGGGTATAAAAAAAAAAAAAAAAAAGAAAGAAAAGCTACAAACTTTAGCAGCACTGCTAGCACAAAGATTCCTAGGTCTGTGTGTAACTTTGTAGCAATAATACATCACTGACTATCAAGCTATGAATGTGCCTAATCAATTGGCATGATCAGCTGTAAAAAGAAAACCCAAAGTAAGAAAATATATAAAATCCACAGTAAGAGAAAAATAAGCTAATAGTATTTCCACTTATATCATACCTCACGCTCGTAAAACACGTCCTCCAATGTCTTTCCCCCACTGCCACCTACAGCTTCAAATAAAGGTTTGTATACCTTAAAAACAAAGACATTAATTTTAAAGACATTTTCATTTCTTATAAATGTATATAAATATATTTTTCCTAGCATTATAGAAATTGTGTACCTATTTAAAAAAAAATACCAGGAGGACTGAATGTTTTTTTATAGGATTTTGGCCTCCCGAAGAAACAATAAAAAAATCCAAATAACAAGAGTGTGGATGAAATTCTAGCCTATTGGCTTGTTCAGGGCTACAAGGCAATTCAACTCTCAGTATACAGTGTTTGAGCTCATTTTCTCACTCAGGTTCTTAGGGCTAGCTAGGTACATTATAGAAGCTCAGTGAATGTTCATGATTTGGTCAGTAAGGGTTCATGGTTCTTTGAGATGAAAATTGATAAAATTCACATGTAGTTTCCAGTGTGGAAGGGGTGGAATTTGGGAGAAATTCAAATTTTAATATTACGCTAAAGAGTCTCACGCAATTACATATGAGATGTCACAAGGGTTACGCATTTGCTGACTTTCATCTTTCCTGGAGTGCTTCAGAAATCTGGAGGAAAAGATGAGTGTCATTCTAGCCCTGGAAAAGTTACCTGGAGGTTATGTAAATGTGTGCAAGTGAGAGGGAATGGAAGCTGAGCCAAAGTGTACAACCTTAAGCTGAGGAGCTTCAGGCGCTCCAAGAGCAAATGGATGCTGGAGTGGGGGAAGGACACAAGCAGCTATGTTTCCTCTCCTGATTTCTGGCCACTCAGCAAGGTGAGTGGAAAAACTAATACATCCATATTGTTCCTTGCCGTCCACCTAGACGTTCTGTGGCTAACCTTGTTTCCCTAGTGGGTACCTGAAAGGGCTGCTGGGTTAGACTATTTTACATAACGTTGATATGAGCTCACATTTCCAGAACACTGAACCAGTCTCCTGGGGGAACTTGCTTTATCAAACACTTCAAAAGGAGTGCTCAGATGACCATTCCTTGGAGATTTAAACAAGTACTTGCTTGGCAGGAACTTTAAAAATTAGCAGCTTGGGCTAGAAACTTAACGTGTTTCTTAGGGAGAGATTGCTTCAGCAAGAAACACTGATTGCTACCTTACAAATATTATTACTTCTTTTGAGTATAAGCGGAAATTTGATGTGTGAGCTTCTAAAGCACATGGAAATGAATGAACACAAAGGACTTAGGGAAGCCAGTGTCATCACATACTCCGTAATGATCCGCTACGTTCTTCATCTGGTCAAAGTCTTCTGCTTGAGCCAACAGCCGCAACCCCTCAGGATAGAGTTTGCCGAAGGTTGGATAGAGGGTCTCTCGGTCTTCTTTGCTCAATTCAGTGCCAAAGGAGTTAAGAGTGATGATAAAAGCACGTCTGTCGGCCTCAAACTGAATTTGCAAGACAAAACCAGTAAAATCTAATAAACTGCTAAATGCTATAAACAGACTCTTAAGTGCACACATTCATTTCTGAAATGATTCGCTTTCCTTTCTGGATCTATGTCTAATTATACTCCAGACATGTGTTATTAGTGTTCCCTTAGTCTTTTCTTGTAATGGAGTAACTCTGCTTGCCAGAGAAGGATCACACAGCAGCAATGATAACCTATGACTCCTGAAACCCCAGTAAGATTTATTTCCCGGGCACCCTGCAATGAATTCCTCATGTGTCTCTGTCACATTAGGCCGCTAGTGTCACAAGTGTCTCTTCTATAAAAAGGAGAATACCTATTTCTTAGGGTTCATTCAGGGGCAGAACCAGGTAACATAAGTGGAAGTGCTTAGCATGATGTTTGGAACAAAAAGTGTATGCCATACATGTTAATATCCCTTCCTAGTTGTCAATGTCAGCATAACTTTTTACATAATGAAATGTTGTGCTACCTACCATTTGTTTACACTTTTATGGCTTTGGTTTTCTTTGTTAGTGTCCTAGGTGAGGTATCAATAAATCTAAGACTGTAGCTAAGAACTATGTGGGTTAGGGCAAATCATCTTTCTCGCAAGAAGTTTTCTTCTTTGTAAGATGCTGGAATGTGGCTACATGATCTTCCAGGTAGGTCAACACATACTCACGGCCTGTCTTCTCTGTGCTGAACACCACTAGGCACCTGGGCTCGTATCCCTTCATCATTCCTGTTTCATCTGACCACTGAAGTCTTTCTTGAAATTTCGTTTCTATTCCTTTGAGCTCCATGTTTCTACAGTCTCTTGGTTCTCCTCCTCTGGCCATTCCATCTCAGTCTCTCCTTTAGGGGCTCCTCTGCCTATTGTGGGGGCTTGCCATGGTTTTCTTGGGCTACGCAGCTCTTCTCTAGGTACTCCAAATGCCCAGTAATTACCACTTCATTTTGAAATCTGTGCCTGCATTTCTCCCCACTACACTCTAAAATCTTTGAAGAACCATGTCTTTCTTGTTCATTGGTTTTTTTTTTTTTTTTTTTTCTTCCTTTGGAGATTGGGTCTCACTCTGTCATCCAGGCTGGAGTGCAGTGGTGGGGTCAGGACTCACTGCAGCCTCAACCTCCCACCTCAGCCTCCCAAGTGGCAGGGACTACAGGCATGTGACACCATGCCCAGGTAATTTTTCTTGTAGAGACGGGATTTTGCCATAATGCCCAGGTTGGTCTTGAACTCCTAGGCTCAAGAAAGCCTCTGTCCTGGGCCTTCTAAGGGTTAGGATTATAGGCATGAGCCACCACGCCCAGCCTTTTGTTCATTTTTGAATAGCCAGTGCCTGACACATAAGAAAGTCTTAAGTATTTACTGTATCCAACAGAGTGATGTGTGATCCTACTACTTTGAAATTCTCCAACATTCTCCATAATGTTGCTATTCAAAGCAATATTTTATGGCTCAGTAGATTTGACGTCACCTGGAAACTCATTAGAAGTGCAGAGTCTCAGGCCGCAGTCCAACCCTACTCAACCAGAATCTGCATTTTCATAGGATTCCCAGGCTATCTATATGCACGTGAAAGCTGAAAAGAATTGCTGTATGCTATCCTCTAATCAGCTTTTGACTGGTTAACCTATAACAAAACCCAACTTGCAACAGATTTCACTGGAAATCCTATGTAAGAACAGGTGTTTTCTATCAGGAGAGTGAGAGTTAGTTCCATCTGACCCTGTTGATTGCTCTCATGGAGATTATGTGTGAGCTGAAAAGTAGGGAGTGGCTTTATGTGGAAGCAAGGGCAGCTGTCTCTGGCTACTGAATATAACCAGTCCTGTCAGTAATTTTAGACCTTCTAGGGATAAGAGAAGAAATGGAAGAAGAAGATTTCGTGGCAATAAGAAAACTTAAAACAAAAATTAGGGCAACTAGAGCAACAATGGAGGTAATTGTCATAGATGTTCTTTAATGTGCTCTCAGATTCTAAAATGTCATGATCTTACGAAGAGAATTAGGGCAACGTAGGCAGCATTGCAGACTGGCAAACAGCAGAGTCCAGGCCAGAAGAGGGAGCTGCAGGAGACAAAGCAGGATGATTTGGAGGAATTGTCATGGCTCAATCATTGGGAAAGCAATTGGAGAAGTGGGAAGGACAGCTGGCTGGGGAGAGAATATGAATATAAGAAGAAAGGGCTTTGGCTGATACAGTAGGTTATCTGAGCCCTCCATCTTCTCGCTACCTCCTTGTCCTTGTAACCACTTCTTCCCTTAGCCTACCGTGCATGTGCTCTGTTCCATAACTCTGCATGCTGAAATCCTCCCTGCGCTCCTGTCCCATCAAATGTCATCTTTTTCATAACAAGCCCTTCCATTTCTTCTCTAATTGGATATGATTCCCTTTGAACCCTGATTACATTCCATTTTCCTTTTATCATAACTGACTATATATCTACCTTACTCTTCTAGTCTAGAGGCTCTTTTGGGTAAGTGTGTGTATTATCCTATGGTGAAAACACCCATCGTTTTAGAATTGGAAAAGGACTGTTCTTTGACCATCCCTAAGCAGAGTTTGACACGCATTTGATTAGAGGAGACTGAATGGGCTGGTGTTAGTGTGACTTAGTTCCTGTTTCTTGCAGAGAGTTGGCACGCTGTGTGGTATGGTGTATGTTGGCAGTCCCATGACTTTCCTTTTACTTTTCCCTATAAAAACTTACTCATGTTAAAACTAGACCTTATTTTTTTTGTTATTTCAAGAGATAGCAATGAACTGTTTACTTGCTCAAAATCACTATCGGTTGCACATCATAAACTCAGACCGATGGGGTCACACATTCTCTCCAGTTCCTCATGGGAAGAAGGGTGCACCTGGCAGGAGGCAGTGGGCGGAGATGTCAGTGGCAATGGAAAAGAGTGAAGTGAACTGGAATGGAGCCCAGCCTTATCAGCACATGCACTGACCAGTAGAGATCAAACAAACATATTTTATGATTGTTTTTCACTGCCCTATTAACCATAAGATTGAAGAGTAGGAGTAAAAGGCAAATATTATACTACAGTGCATTTGCCTTGAACATAAGTCAATTTCTTTTTTTTTCATATGAAGTTATAATCTTGTAATTAGGTCAAATTTTCACATGTAAGCTGAGGTTAATGGTCTCTTCTACCATATTAAGTCTCTTGAAGTCTCTGGCCAAATGAGAGTAATTGAGAATATACATGGAACCTATAAACAGTAAGTGCTTTATAGTTACAAAAGTAAAAGGGAGGTAATTACATGATCGAAAGTATTTATGTAAAGCTGACAAACACCCTTTGATCATATAATTATAAATGTTATAACCTCATGCCCTGTGTAGCTGATATTTCTGTATAAATAAAAACTGTTCAATGGATTTTTATTTTTATTTCTTAGAGACAGGATCTCACTCCGTCACCCAGCCTGGAATGAGGTGGCTTATGGCTCACTGTAACCTGGAATTTCTGGGCTGAGGCGATCTTCCCACCTCAGCCTCCTGAGTAGCCAGGACTATAGGTGTGTTCCACCATGCCCGGTTAATTTCTGTATTTTTTGTAGAGGTAGGATTTTGCTATGTTGCCCAGGCTGGTCTCAAACTCCTGGCTTCAAGCGATTCTTCTGCATAGGTCTCCCAAAGTGCTGGGATTACAGGCATAAACTACCATGCCTAGCTGGATTTTTTTTTAATGCTGTTTGAAACAAACAAACAAACACTAATCTCATCTGATACCATGAAGATTGGAAAAGTACCATGAGAACACTGGGCATATCGTAGTTTGATCACATCATCCCAGTGATAAGCATTTTTATGATACTATCCTTTTTTTACATTACCAAGGATTACAAAGCCATAATTCTTACCTATTTCTTACCTATTCAAAGATGTAATTCTTACCTTACCTATTTACCAATTTTTATAGTACACAATATGATCTTGCTTATGAATTAGCACTCACGTTTATATAAAAGAATTGTGAATGGTGAATTTAATGCAGAGGCACTATGGCAGAGTGGATAAGCACATAAGTACGTGAGCCAACTGCTTGCATTCCAATCGTGACTTACTAGCTGTGAGACGTCGGGTAAGTTATTAGCCTTCTCTGTGCCTCAGTTGCTCCTCCTGAAAAATAGATACTAGACTACCTATTCTGTGTGGTTTTGAAGTCTAAGTGAATTCATGTATGTAAAGCACTCAAGATAGCATCTAGCACGTAGTAAGTGTTAGCTATTAATAGTGCTATTGTATACCTTTGATAAGGTTATGAGTCTTGATATAACTTTTATTTCACATATTTCATGGGTATAAAGTAAGCAAACCATTTCCAAACCACAAGAATTATGCTGAGTAGAAATTCTACTTTTGAGCCATAGATAATATGGATTCTTATAGTATGGCTAGTAGTTGAATTTATGAAAAGAAAGGATAGGGCTTCATAGGGTCACCAGTTAATGATGTTGCATGATTAGCATGACTGAGAGAGACTATTTTTCATTCTGTCATTTACTATGCCTCAAAATGTTATTTATTTATTCGATATCCACTTTCTGTATAATATAGATAAGAACAAGAATATTTTTTGGAGATCTTTAGTGATAAGATTTTCACTTCACAACTATTTAGGCTTTATTTTAAGAATTTCAGGCTTGGACAACATAGAGATACCTCGTCTTTTCTTTTCTTTTCTTTTCTTTTCTTTTCTTTTCTTTTCTTTCCTTCCTTCCTTCCTTCCTTCCTTCTTTCCTTCTTTCCTTCTTTCCTTCTTTCCTTCTTTCTTTTCTTTCTTTCTTTCTTTCTTTCTTTCTTTCTTTCTTTCTTTCTTTCTTTCTTTCTCTCTCTCTCTCTCTCTCTCTCTTTCTTTCTTTCTTTCTTTCTTTCTTTCTTTCTTTCTTTTCTTTCTTTCTTTCTCTCTTTCTCTCTTTCTTTCTGAGTCTCACTCTGTTGCCCAGCTGGAGAGCAGTGGCACGATCTCGGCTCACTGCAACCTCCACCTCCCAGGTTCAACCTTCACACCTCCTGTGCCTCAGCCTCACAAGAAGCTGGGATTACAGATGTGCACCACCACATTCAGCTAATTTTTTTTTTTTTGTATTGTTAGTAGAGACAGGGTTTCACCATGTTGGCCAGGCTGGTCTCGAACTCCCAACCTCAGGTGCTCACCCAGCTTGGCTTCCCAAAGTGCTGGGATTATAGGTGTGAGCCACCATGCCCAGCCAAGACCTGGTCTTTTCAAACTTTTTTAAAAAATAAAACACTTAGCTGGGCATGGTGGCATGTGCATGTGGTTCCAGCTACTCAGGAGGCTGAGGTGGGAGGATCATTTGAGCCCAAGAGGTCGAGGCTGCAGTGAGCCATGATCATGCCACTGCACTCCTCCAGTTTGGGCAACAGAGTGAGACCCTGTCTCAAAAATCAAAACAAACAAACAAAATCTCAATAAGGAATAGCAAAATATCTTCAACTATAAAACTTTTTTGTTTCCTTTTTCTATATCAGAAGTCATCAACCAAGTAAAATTTTAATGATTAGATGTTTTGAGGGGAGCTAGTTTTATCATATGCAGTTTCAGAGCATTAGGTTGAAATACTTGCAAATGAAGTTAATTTTTTTCTTTTTACCTGAAGGGTAATGCTTATTAGGCTTTTCTTGAAATCAGAATTCCACCCACCAGTGAAGTCACTGTACCAGATAATGTAATGATGAAAAATATTCTTTAGATAAAATTTAGTTTCACAGGGCAAAGTAAGGGCTTACAAAAGCCCAAAGTGATATTTTTTCTTTTTAAGTGAATTAGGAAATTATTTACTAGCAAGAGGAATGGAGGTAAAATACTCAGTGCAAATTATGTGCAGGATGCCCCACAAATCCTTCTGATCTCTGCCCTGAATCTCCCATGCATATGCAGGTCAACATTCTTATGCAAGAGGACTCCTAAGCATAGATGAAATCTGTGGTCCTTAAGAGGAATTAAGTTATAACATCAGCTAGAGAGGTAGATACCAATGGTGGTGTTTGACACATAATTAAATGAGCTTACCAACTGTGAATCACATAACAAATGAGTCTTCCTGCCAAAAGCTGGAATGTTCATGGGTTGCTTGGGGCAGCCTTTATTTTAGGATTTGTAAGGCACAATGTCCCTGTGGATGAAGCTATAGTGGACTTTTGATGCCAAGTTGTGGGGGTTCCCAGCTGCCCAATGTTCCCTCACCAGAGGGAATTTGGGTGATTATGGAGTGTCTATAGTCCATCCATTGCTCATAGTGTCAGAGGCATTTGAACCAGAGCAACTCCATCTTGAATAGGGGCTGGGTAAAATAAGGCTGAGACCTACTGGGCTGCATTCCTAGACGGTTAGGCATTCTAAGTCACAGGATGAGATAGGAGGTTAGCACAAGATACAGGTCATAAACACTTTGCTGATAAAACAGGTTGCAGTAAAGAAGCTGGCTAAACCCCACCAAAACCAAGATGGCACTGAGAGTGACCATGGTCGTCCTCACTGCTACACTCCCACCAGCACCATGACAGTTTACAAATGCCATGGCAATGTCAGGAAGTTACCCTATGTGGTCTAAAAAGGGGAGACATGAATAATCCACCCCTTGTTCAGCATATAATCAAGAAATAACCATACAAATAGGTAACCAGCAGCCCTTGGGGCTGCTCTGCCTATGGAGTAGCCATGCTTTTACTCCTTTACTTTCTTAATAAACTTGCTTTCACTTTACTCTATGGACCCAAATTCTTTCTTGCTGAGATCCAAGAACCCTCTCTTGGGGTCTGGATTGGGACCCTTTTCCAGTAACAACAGTATACTAAATTTGTTATTGTTTACAATCTATTTTTTACATACTACATTAAAATGAATCATAACCAAATCTGTGTAAACATTATTATTTTCTAATTCCAAGCTAACTTTTCCATGTAGAAAACTTCCATATTCCAACTTAAGAGTTGGAAAATACAACTCTTAATCAAATATATCAAATCATATGTATAATAAAATGTACTGCTTGTCTTACTTCTAGATTAAAAAAAAATTCAAAGATAAGGAAATATAAGTAAGGTTAAAACAATAAAAATATGTAAGCACCTTATTTAGCATAACAAAATTCAAGGACTCTTTCTTACCTCAAGAATGGGACACATAACTTCTGCTGTGACATCACCATGATTCTTACAGAATTTATAGAATGCCTCAAGGTAAGACTTAAAAAGAAAAAAGATCATAAAGTGATATAATGAATATATATTCCTTTTGAAAATGTCTAGATCAGCTTTTCATGGTTTATTAAATGCTTTAATGGAATCTGAATTACATCTCCCATAGGAAGATATTTTATAATAAATTTGGTAGAAGCTTTCACATTGCAGCATGTTGCACAGTCTAAAAAAGAATTCCAGAAAAGGACAAAACTGCATTTATCATAACTTATAATTACTTAACAAGCACTTTTTTTGCATGGTTTTGGATTATTTCATATGGTTAATTCTTGCTATTTTAACAAGAGTGCCAAGTTCTTTTCTGAGATCAGTGAATAATTTTAGATTTAGCCCTATGCTGACATTTAGTCTCTTGTAGAGGCACATTTGGGATGGCTTTGAGCATGGAGCTATATGGGAAAGGCTGTAGGGTCAGACTGCCTGAGTTTGGATCCCAACTCTAATACGTTTTAGCTAACTGACTTCTTCCAAAGAAACCTTGGCTCTCCAAGCCTCAGTTTTCACCTCTGAGGAATGGAGATAGCATAAACATCATATTTTTGCCAGGTGGATTAGTGAGTTAAGGCCTATAAATTGCTTAGAACGGTGCCTTCTGTTAGTTATATCTCAAGGATGCCTCCTCTAGGCCCATAAGTCACTTTACCAAAAGGAACACTGCCTGCAATACAATGCTTTTGAAAGGACCACATGTTTGAACACAGCATGCCATATATGTTCAGTTACTGTGTGTGAGTGTCCAAAGAGGCTATGGTTATTTGACTAAAAATGGACAGATTTTGCTCAGCCTAAAGTATATACAGCTACTCAAATGGTGGCAGCACAGTCCAGACAGTCACATTATGCAAAGTGGTACCTATGATGCAGTGTACACAAATTGTTCATTCTGGTATGCTGCACACTGTAGATTAAAATTGTGTGGGCAGATTAGCTGTGAGATTCAGGGATACTAACAGGATTGAGGACAGAGATGAACACTACATAGCAGAAGGTTTGCTATGTATGCTGGTTGCTTTAAATGGATTGATATTGTTCACCCCATTTCTTCACCTACCATCATCCAAACACCTTTTATGTTCCAGGTACCATGCAAGGAGCTAGGAATATGGAAGAATAGGGCATGTTATTTCCTTTCAAATATCTTGCTGGCTAGGGGAAGCTGACATGCATGCATTTAACTAGAGGACAGGCCAGAACTATAAAAGCTATATTCCAAATATGCACAGTTTCATAATTGCAGAAGTTGGTTAATGAGTAAAGTAAGTTTTAATAGAGAACTCTAGTCACAATACATTGTGTAATCAAGAAAAAGACAATATTTGGGAAAACCATTACCTTGTATAGTTTATTGCGTAGCAATTCAATATTCAGTTCATCTAGAGCATTTTCAGACATGCAGTCTTGGAAGAATGGAGCTGAAAGCAGAAATTGCCATACCAAAAAATGAATCTTAAGCAAGATTATAAGCTGTAGAAAACGTATCCTGAACACACCACCCTCTGCTCACTCCTGACAAGAACACTGCAGAGTTGCAATCCATACACTCCACTAAATAGGGCTAATAGTAATGAGGGTGAAAGCAGTTATTACTTTTTAAGCATTTATCATGTGTAAGCCCTAAACCAGGGGTCCCCAACCCCCAGGCCACAGACCAACACCAGTCCGTGGCCTGTTAGTAACTGAGCCACACAGCTGAGGTGAACAGTGGGCCAGAGAGTGGCTTCAACTGTAATTACAACTGCTCCCCACTGTTTGCATTACCACCTGAGCTCCCCCTCCTGTCAGATCAACGGCAGCATTAGGTTCTCATAGGAGAGCAAACCCTATTATGAACTGTGCATCTGAGGGATCTAGGTTGTGTGCTACTTATGAGAGTCTAATGCCTGATGATCTGTCACTGTCTCCCATCACCCACAGATGGGACTGTCTAGTTGCAGGAAAACAAGCTCAGGGCTCTCACTGGTTTTACATTATGGTGAGTTGTATCATTATTTCATTATATATTACAGTGTAATAATTACAGAAATAATGTGCGCAATAAATGTAATGTGTTTGAATCATCCCGAAACCATCCCCTCTCTCCTGTCATGGAAAAGTTGTCTTCCACGAAACCAGTCCCTGTTGCCCTAAAGGTTGGGGACTGCTGCCCTAAACCTCACTCACTACACTATACACTGAATATACTTTCATTTAATCTTCACAACACCTTGGAGCTATTCACTTAAGGCTTTTTTTTGAAGTCCCTCCTCCTTCACTATCTAATAATAATATTTATTATTTGCAACTTTAGTATGTGCCAAGCATTGAGTTGTACTTAAAAGTGTGTTTTATTTTTAAAACTCTGTTATAAAAAGATACGATTATTTCCAAAATGAGGAAACTGGGGTGAATTGAATTGCTCCTAGTCACCTTGCTGGGACCGGGCAGAGCCTGGTTTCATGCTCATGGTTGTCTGATTGCAGTCTCAACCTCTCTCGATCAGCCTATGCTATCTCAGTATCGGGTGCTTAATGATGACACAAATATTTTTTTTTTGCTTTTTAAAATATCTATCTTAAACAGCAACTATTTTGACAAACGATCAATAGTGAATTGCTACTATCCAGATTTCCTGACAATATTAGATAATGATGCTTATACAATTATCTCTTTAGCATTTTGAACACAACTCTTGTTAGTGCCAAATTATAATGAAATTAACAATCATTTCATCATTGCTTCTGATGACTTGACAGATACTCTTGAGCATCTCAGAAAAATGACATTTTTAAACTTCCTGAAAGAAAATGCTTCCTATATGCAGCCTTATCTAGACAAAAATTTAAATGGAAGGACAAGAAACTAATTCTGTAAAACCAAGCTAGAAAATTACATTTTTTTTGAAGAATGACAAGTGCTATTATTTATTTGCTATGACCTGGTATAAAGTGAAAAGTTTGAAGGTTGAGAGATGAGCTCCAGTTCCTTCTCTACTACAAATGGTTCACATGTGATCTGAGCAGGTTGCTTCATTTGTCCTGATCTGAAAAATGAGGGAGCTGAACTAGATAATTCCTTAATGTCTCTGCCACTTCCAGGAATCTGCATGGTATGCTACTGTATTCATGGAAAAAAATTGTGAAATCAAAGTACATTTTCTTTTGGACCACAGGGAAGAAAAAAATAGTACATTTTCTAATGACTGTGATAACATACACAAGCAGCTACAAAATTACCTAAGTGTTCCTACCTAATGGCGTTTCGATCAGAATGGCATTAAAGAGATCTGAAGGTGTCTCTGCAATGTTGACAGCTTCCATTTCTGTGAAACGGCCCAAGGGGTGGCACTTCCCCAGAATTTCTTTCACAGATTTTTTCTGCAATGCACCATTCATCAGCAGAATCACATTGTCTATCATATAACTGCACCTGGTTCAGAAGACAACTCAATCATTAGAGGACAGCTGCAAAAGGATAAGAAGCATCCCACAAGTAAAAAACACACACTCTTTAGGTACACACTGTTTCATTCAGAAAATACATGAGTCTCTTTTTATTTTAAACACTGGGGTTTAGGAGATGTGGAGAAAAATATATGACCTCTGAGACTGTCATAAATTGAAAAAGCATATTCAATATTCTTTTTTTTTTTTTTTTTGAGACCAAGTCTCTCTCTGTCACCCTGACTGGAGTGCAGTGGCCCAATCTTGGCTTACTGCAACCTCCGCCTCCTGGGTTCAAGTGATTCTCCTGCCTCAGCTTCCTGAGTAGCTGGGATTACAAGCTCTCACCACCATACCCAGCTAATTTTTGTATTTTTAGTAGATACAGGGTTTCACTGTGTTGGCCAGGCTGGTCTCAAACTCTTGACGTCAAGTGATCTGCCCGCCTTGGCCTCCCAAAATTCTGGAATTATAGGCATGAGCCATGGTGCCTGCACCTGGCCATGAAAAAGCATATTCAATATTCTAACAACTAACTAAATAAAACCTTGGCTGGTGGGAATATGCGGAAGAAGCCCCTCCACAGTCATTCTCAAATGTGATGGTGGGGGGTGAGGGTGTGAACTTGTTTGGTTTATCAGAATGGACAAAGGGCTTGAAAAGTTGAAAAACACAGAGCTGGAGCATCTTACTCTACTTTAAAAACTGACTACTATATTTGAAACTGCAATGAAGCCTATCACTGAGGATTCAAAATTTAATTCTAAAAAATACTGTGTAATTCTGTCCTCGCATGAGATCACATTGTGAATTTTCTAGGCCACCTTCCTCACATCCCCGAGTTTATTAATTCATATTAATTCATATTTTAATCATTTTTATGTGATTTCTTTATTTGGTATAAGCTCTGCTCGGGATACCCTGGGTGCATGTCCTGGTTCACTCATGTAGTCAGCACCTAAGATATTACAAGCAATGAGGTTGAGAAGTAAATGAGACCTAGGGCCTTCCTTTACAAAGAATACAGCTTAAGTGAGGAAATGGACAAAGAATCATTTACAACAAATCACAATAGGGCATACATGCTATGCAAAATAAATTATAGGGTGGTGTGGAGAATCATAGCTGGACGCTAAACCAGTCCTGGAATTAGACTTGCTAGAGAAATGACAGTCAAGTAGAAACTTGAAGAATTAGTAGAAGCTGGCCAGCCAAAAGGGGCTGGGAACTGGGGAAAAGCACATTTCAAGGCAGAAGGGAGAACATTTGAAAAGCCCCAGAGATGGGAACACAAGGATACTCAGGGTGTTTCCTTTGCCTGGGCCGAGCACTGGAGCTGGGGCTGGGGCTGAGCATGTTGGGCCCCGAAAGACAAGATGAGGAACTTGAATGTTAAGGGCAACGGAGGATACTGACTGCCCTTACACTGAAGGGAATATTATGACCTATGTAAATGTTAAAACAGGAGAAAAGGTAAACAAACACCTATACAATGAGGTGCTTTACAAAAAGTTATCTTTTCAAACCATAGCTGCAACACTGTGAGGTATGTCGTATTATTATCTCCATTTTATAGACGAGAAACCAGAGGCCCAGAGAGGTGAAAATACAACCCATGATGACACACAAAGCTGACAAGTAGGAGAGCTGAGACTCAGACTCAGGCAGTCTGCTTCTGAAATCTTCCTCTGAACCCTCACATTATGTGCTTTTAGTTTTTGGGGTGATGTGTAGGTTTCTGGGCTTGACAGTTAGGTTATAGAGCCATTTATTGAGATGAGAGCATTAGGGGAAGAGGAGGTTGCAATGGGTGCAGATGTTTTAGATGGAATGAGTTCAAGGTAACCAGGAGGTAACCAAGAGGAGATGTCAAGTAAGCCTAAGAAGTGTGTGCCCTGAAGACAGCTGCCGATTCGAGACATTTGGGCGAGCGGGTCAGGAGGGGTTAGTTTAAAGGTGGAAGCTGAAGTCTTGGGAGTAAGTAGGATCACATCGTAGAGTGCATGTAGAGAGTTCTTTCTTGGGAACTCTGGGGAACCCCAGCTTTTAAGGACCTTGAAGGAAATTCAGAGGGATGACTAGATGGGGGAAGGAGAATCAGGGGAGAGAATTTTAGGAAGTTCTAGAGAGTTCTAAGAAGTGATTGGAGAGTCAAAGTCCACATGTAAGTTGAGACCTGGAAGTAGGCATCTGTAGGGTACAGCAACTAAGGGGTCATCAGAGAATGCAATGAAAACGCCTTCAGTGGAGTGTGTCTGTGCAAGGGAAAGGGAGAAGAGGATGGCGGAAGACTGGCCATTGTGTGTCTGAAATTAATGGGACATGGAGGCTTAAAGAATGGAGTTCATGCTGCAAGCTGACCTTGAAGGAAGAGAAAACCAGATATATGGAGATACAGGGGCCAAGGACGCTTTCGATTTTTAGTTTTAATATGTGTCCTTTTAGGGTGGGAGGAAGAGAAGTAAAGATATTTAAGTGCTGAGGGGGAGGAGGCAGTTGACAAGGCAAGGTCGCAGATCAGAAGGAGGAAGGGACAATGCAAACCTAGTCCTCGAGGTTTCACAGTGATGGGAAGCTTAGCCACCTTTGTGAGATACACTTGAAAAATGATACCTTTTTACTGGATGAAAATTTACTTGAACACGTAGAAACATTGTCACCAGAGTCTGGCTGCATGGGGTACAGACTTCCTGGGCAGGGAATTCGTTTCTGGTTGGAAAAGGGGGTCTCCTTCATTGTGGAACTTCTAGAGCTTAACCCCAAAAATTCTAACTAGAGAAGATTTTGAAGCAGGCAATTATCCCTTTATAAAAAGCACATGACTATAAAGTTTCTTCACCTCCTGAACAGCAGTACCAAATTTAGACATTATGGAATTTTAGAATCCTTTTTATCTCTTCAAAAAGATATTAAAATGGAAGTGCTTATTTAACTGTCCCTTTATGGCTCAAAAGCAATTACCTCAGAGGGCAATTGCTAGTACTTAATAATGCTTAGCAGACTCCAGACATTTAATTGTTCCCCACAACCTCCCCTGCAATGTAAAAGCATCTGAGCTGCGAACATTCCTAATTAGCAGAGGACTATTAGAGCAACGTTGACGGGCGACCAGCGTCAATGGTGTGAGCAGGATGCAGCCTGCATATAACACCCAGACCTGCCTCTACAGTGTGTGCATGTGTGTGTATTCAGGATTTTTATTTTTACTTTTTTACTAATAGACAGGCTAAGCTCCATATTGCAATGAGCAAGGGCTTTATAGATGGGGTTCAATTTTATTTCAACTCTTACTGAGTGGCCTTGTTTCTAAAATGGAACAATAATACCAGTTCTTGCAGTGTTCCTCAGAAACATGGAGAACCCAGGGCTTGGCCCACAATGAGGGGCAGGGGTGTCTCTTTCCTGTCCCCTCTCTCATCTCCATCACACATAGGTACCAGGTATATAATTATCATTGGCTGTTGGGGTGACAGGGACATAATGTAACCAGAAGACAGTTTACTTTCTCCAGACTATAATCTTTGTAGATCTCCAGGGGGTCATGCATGCAGTGGTTGGGAAGCAAATAATTGCTGACATTGCCTGAGTAATTTTTGAACAAAAAGACACCAGGATGTTTACCTAGTTCAAACCTCTGTTTTAGATAATTATCCTCATAAGTAGTGACAGAGCCACCCATTCAGTTAGGTTAATTTTTCTCCTACTCATGGTCTAGACAAATGTCCTTTGACACCTGTAAAAATCATAGTCACCTAAAACTGTGATGAGCAAATTACTCAATTTCAAAAATTTTAGGATATTAAAAAATCTTTAAATGCTGATTCTTTTTGAAGTTTTTACTATGTGGCAGTAATTATATGCACACTCTCACTCAAGCTTCACAACAACTCAATGCTGTAAGAACCATTATTAAGGAAAACTGAGGCTTAGCAGTACTAAATACCTTACCCAAGATCACAGTGCTGGCAAGCAGCAGAGTTGGGTCCCTAAAATCAAAGTGCTGGCTCCCTAGTAGGTTCAGATAAAAGAGCTCAAGCCAGATGATATTTTAACATTTCCATTTGATCTTAGAGCTATTCTTTCTCCTCCTGCTCCCTAGCTTATTTAAGGATCTCAAAGAAAACTATAATATATTTTCTGTATGATAACTACCACATTCTGCTGCTATAACAGTTGCTAAGAGGTCAAATATTATAGAGCCATAATTTGGTAAGTTAGAGGAATTGCTCTTCTCTGAATAAAAATTTTAGTACTTCAGTGTCATTAGCAATAGCTGAGAAATGACTGTCATTCACTAAGCACTCTGGCATGAGATAGAAAAAGAGAAACACCTTCTAAGAAAAACACAGTTCAGTGAAGAAGCTCTCCAGGGTATTACCTCTTCATTGTCACACCCACCCTTTCCCACCCACCACCCCCAGTGTCTAGAAAATGCGAATCAGTTCTCCCACTCTATAATTTTGCCATTTTCTGAATAATATATAACTGGCAGCAGATAATATGTGACATTTTGAGACTGGCTATTTTAACTCTGCTCAGTGTTCTTGAGATACATGTAATACATTCAAGCTGTTGCATGTAAACAGTTTGTTCCTTTTTATTGGTGAGTAGTATTCCATGGTATTGATATACCACAGTGTATTTAACCATTCACCTATTGATGGACATTTGTGGTTTTTTTCTAGTTTTTGGCTATTATGAATAACAACTGCTAAGAACATCTGTGTGCTGATTTTTATATTAAAATAAGTTTTATTATTCTTGGATAAATGCCCTGAAGTGCAGTTGCTGAGTGGCATAGTAAGAATATGTTTAGTTTTTTAAGAAACTGCAAGACTATTTTTCAGAGTAGCTGTCCTAATTTTAGTGCAGTTTTAAAAACTTTACTTCTTTTTAAGTGTCTTTTCCTTCCCTGTTTATAACTTATATTTCCTCTATGTATATCGAGAACCACATCAGACAGAGTAATGATTTTTGCTTCAACTGTGAAATACAATTAAGAAAACTCAAGAGGAGAAAGGGTATATTGTATTTACCCATATTTTTCTCCTTTCTGTTGTCCTTTCTTTTTTCCCATTGTTTCAAGATTACTCTTTTTATCATTTCCTTTGTGTTTCAAAAGCTTCGTTTAGCCATTCTTTTAGAGTAGGTCTGCTGGTGACAAAATCTCCTAGCTTTCCTTCATCTTAGAATGCCTTGATTTCCCCTTCATTCCTGAAGGATTTTCACTGAATACAAAATGCTATTTTTTTTTCTTGTCTTTAGTGCTTGAAAAATACTACACCGCTTGCTTCTGGCTCCATGAGGTGCCTAATGAGAAATCTGCTATGGTTCAAATTGCTTCTCTCTTATTGGTAAGGTGTCATTTCCCATAGCTTTCAAGATTTGTTTTGTCTTTTTTTCTTTCAGAAGTTTGATTATGACATGTCTTGGCCTGGATTTCATTGGATTTTTCCTGTTTGGGGTTTCACTTAGCTTCTTGAATCAGTCGGTGTGTGTCTTTTGCCAAATGGGGGGAATTTTCAGCCATTATTTCTTTGAATACTTTTTCAACCTTTCTTTTTTTCTCCTCTCCTTCTGGGATTTATTACTACTCTGTGTGTGGCCTCTATTGACACCAAGGCTAAAAAGAGGGCTCATTACTGCTGGGAGGTGGTCAAAGGCCCAGCTTCCCGCTCAGCCCTCTCTGACCCCACTTACAGCCGGGTAAGGGTAGACATCTGGGTCCCCATCGAGCATTTGCTGACAGGGGTGGGGTTGCAGTTTTTCCCATGGCACTTGGTTAGAGTAGAGCCATTATTATCTGAAGATTTTCTGCTTGTGGCCAGGCGCGGTGAATCACGCCTGTAATCCCAGCACTTTGGGAGGCTGAGGTGGGTGTATCACAAGGTCAGGAGTTCAAGACCAGCTTGGCCAATATGGTGAAACCTCGTCTCTACTAAAAATACAAAAATTAGCAGGGTGTGGTGGTGGGCGCCTGTAGTCCTAGCTACTCGGGAGGCTGAGGCAGGAGAATAACTTGAACCCAGGAGGCGGAGGTTGCAGTGAGCCGAGATGGTGCCACTGCACTCCAGCCTGGTGACAGAGCGAGACTCCATCTCAAAAAAAAAAAAAAAAAAAAAAAAAGACTTTCTGTTTGTGAAGCTGCCCCTTTCCTGGTCCTTTGGCTAGAGAGAACAGCCTTTCCTTGGGGGCATTTTTGTATGTGCCCATTGGCTTTCTGGGCTGTAAGATTTTCTAGCATCCAGTTAGGAGTGTATGAGGCAACCCGAAGGAAAATCCGAGAAACTCAAAACCAGGTCATTCCCTGGGTCTCAAGTTTCTTAGCCAATCAGTCTTCTTCTCTCTATCTTTTAGTCATTAGTGTCCTCCAAGACGCCAATACTTCAACCACAATAAGATAGCATCTTACCCCATTTAGAATGGACAGTATTAAAAAGACAAACAATAAAATATGCTGGAGAGAGGATGTGGAAAAAAGGAGATTCTTATACACCATTGGTAGAAATTTCAATTGGTACAAGTACTGTGGAAAACAGTAGGAAGATACCTCAAAAAACTAAAAACAGAAACACCATACAATCCAGCAATGCCACTACTGGGTATCTATACTAAAGAAAATAAATCAGTATGTCAAAGGGATACCTGCACTCACATGTTTATTGCAGCACTATTCACGATAACAAAGATATGGAATTAACCTAAGCATCCATCAACAGATGAATGGGTAAAGAAAGTATGGTACAGATACACAATAGAATACTATTCTGCCATAAAAAGAATAATATGTCATTTGCAGCAACATGGATGGAATTGCAGGTCAATATGTTAAGTAAAATAAACCAGGCACAGAAAGCCAAATATCATATGCACTCACTCATATGTGGGAACTAAAAAAAGTTGATCTCATAAAGGTAATGAGTAGAATGACAGATAATAGAGGCTAGGAATGGTGGGTGGTAGGGAGGGGGAGAGGAGGAGAAGTAGATTAAGAGGTATAAATATACAGTTAGATAAAAGGTATAAGTTCTATAGTTAGACATAAGAGCAGAGTGACTATAGTTAACAACAATGTATGACATATTACAAAATAGACTGATGGTTCCCAACACAGAATGACAAATACTCAAAGTCATAGACTCCTCAGATACCCTGACCTGATCATTACACATTCTATAACTGTAAAAAAAAAATTGCATGGACCCCATAAATATGGAAAATGTTATTTATCAATTAAAAAAACAACACACTAACACTTCAAATGGTCCTGTGGTTTGTTTAGTGCCCTAAAGCTTTTTATACCTCAGGGCTATACATCATAGTATGGTGTAAAAGGATGGTGGAAAAAGAACAGTTGTGATAAGGAGGTGATAAGGGGAACCCAGCACAGTGTTCTGACTTCAAGTACTCTTAGGTAGTTTTAGTATATATACATATAGGCACTCAGGATCTGGAAAGTGGTCATCTTATAATCACTCCTGTCTCCATAACCCTTGGAAAGCATCCTGTAGACCTAGGGGGACATGTATAACAGTGGAAAGGTTGCTGTCTTATAGAATGTTCAAAATTATTCACTAAGATAGGTTTTAATTTCTTTCTTTTTTAAATTTCAATTTTTGCATATGTTTTTAAATGGACATAAGGCTGGGTGCAGTGGCTCCCAGCTGTAATCCCAGCACTTTGGGAGGCTGAGGTGGGCAAATCACCGGAGGTCAGGAGTTCGAGACCAGCCTGGCCAACATGGTAAAACCCCATCTGTACTAAAAATACAAGAATTAGCTGGGCGTGGTGACAGGTGCCTGTAATCCCAGCTACTCGGGAGGCTGAGGCAAGAGAATCACTTGAACCCGGGAGGCAGAAGTTGCAGTGAGCTGAGATCGCATCACTGCACTCCAGCCTGGGCAACAAAGTGAAACTCCATCTCAAAAATAAATAAATAAAAATGGCTGGATGTAGTGGCTCACATCTGTAATCCCAGCATTTTGGGAGGCTAAGGCGGGCAGATCTTGAGGTCAAGAGATCGAGACCATCCTGGCCAACATGGTGAAACCCTGTCTCTACTAAAAAATACAAAAATTAGCTGAGCGTGTTGGTGTGCGCCTGTAGGCCCAGCTACTGGGGAGGCTGAGGCAGGAGAATCGCTTGAAATCAGGAGGCAGAGGTTGCAGTGAGCCGAGATTGCACCACTGAACTCCAGCCTGGAGACAGAGTGAGACTTCGTTCCCCCCACCTCCCACACAAAATAAATAAATAAATATAAAATTGACATAATATATTAGAAAAATGCATATAATATATAATTAAATATGTTATATTATTTTGGGCTTGTGTGTTAATGATAGGTGTATGATTAAAGGATGGTGATCACTGATCTAAGGGGACAGAAGGGACATTGGACACTATATGACAAAGAACCGCTGGCCACACTGTTATTTATCTCTAAGATAAAATCCAAAAGGGTCTCTGAGGTAGAGAAGGGGAGAGTTAAGATTTCTGATGTGCTTACAAGTACTGAGTCAGAGTGAGCAGAGACGGAGATAAACCCAGACCTTGAGAACAGAATTGAAAGGGGAAGAACTGGGGTGGGGGGTCGTTATGGCCAGCAGACATGCTCCGAGGCTTCCCCATAGGGCACATGGGGAAGAGGACAGAGGCAGGCAGCTGGGCATATTATTCTTCCTTTCAAGTAGCAGCAGGAAGGAGGGCTTCACTCTGGGGAGGGAGTGCTTCTCAGGGTGCGTCTGCCAGGATTTGCAATGGTATTTGATGAGTGTAAACACCCCTCCAGGACACCTTCCTCCTCCTTCCTGGAACTTGAATTCTGTGATAATTTGTCTTATGGTTGCCCTATCTCCCAGGCCTGTCGTTTTCTTTTTCTATTTAGCTCATTCTTTATTTTGTTTTTCCTGTCTGTCTCTTAAGCATTGCACACACTGAGATTAGAAAAACTCTGTTTTGTAAAATTATTTTTAACATAATTTAATTTTTAGAATAATTTTAGATTCATAGAAAAAATTGAGATGATGGTACAGAGAGTTTCCATATACCCCATACCCAGTTTCTTCTCATTAACATCTTAAAATAGTATGGCACATTTGTTATAATTAATGAATCGATATTAACATATTGTTATTAATTAAAGTCCATACTGTGTTATTTCCTTGGTTCTTAAGGGATAGAAAGGAGATTTTTGCAAGGAAGAAGGAGAAAGAGTGAAAATGGTAAAAAAGAGCACAAAGAATTGTCACAAAGTGAATGGGACAAGGTAACAACAGTAAATGCCATGGCGAATTAGGAAACAGCTGAAAAAATATCCATTGGACTTAGCTATTAGAATAGCTTTTGGTGACCTGATGGGGAAGGAAATAAGACCGAAGTGGGATGAGGAAATAAGTGAGAAAATAGAGAAGTATAGATTATTATTTTCTTTTTTCTTTTCTTTTCTTTTTTTTTTTTTTTTCTTTTCGAGACAGGGTCTCTCTCTGTGACCCAGGCTGGAGTGCTGTGGTACAATCACAGACCACTGCAGCCTCGACCTCCTGGGCTCAAGCAATCCTCCCACCTCAGCCTCCAGAGTAACTGCGGCTACAGGCATGCACCATCATGCCTGGTCAATTTTTTTCCCTTTTTTTTTTTTCCTGAGACAGAGGCTGACTCTGTTGCCCAGGCTGGAGTGCAGTGGCACGATCTCGGCTCACTGCAACCTCTGCCTCCTGGGTTCAAGCAATTCTCCTGCCTCAGCCTCCTGAGTAGCTGGGATTATAGGCACGTACCACCACATCCAGCTAATTTTGGTAGAGATGGGGTTTCACCATGTTGACCAGACTGGTCTTGAATTCCTGACCTCAGATGATCTGCAGGCCTCGGCCTCCCAAAGTGCAGGGATTACAGGCATGAAACACTGTGCCCGGCCAATTTTTTTCCTTTTTTATAGAGACAGGGTCTCCCTGTGTTGCCTAGGCTGGTCTCAAACTCCTGGGCTCAGGCAGTCCTCCCACCTCAGCCTCCCAAAGTGCTGGGATTACAGGCATGAGCCACCATGCCTGGCCAGATTATTCTTTTCAACAAACTTGGCATCACAGGGTGAGAAGAAGTAGACAATTACTGTCTTCACAGGGTCGCTGTGCACACTAAATCAAATTACACATAGGAAAGCAGTTTGTAAATCATAAAGAAGTTGTCACAGTAGGAGCCCAGGCTTTGAAACAGATAAACCTGATTTAAGCCCAGCTCTGCAACTTAAAAACCCTAAGAGTTCAGTTTCTTCAGTTTTGAAATGAAAATATTCATTCAACTTTGAATGGTTGGCATCAGGCTTAGTAACACATATGAAAGCACTCGTAGAGTGCCTTGGATAAAGGAGGACATACACTGTTAGAAGAAGATATTTTCCTGTAAACTGGACTTTGCAGGAAATTATAAGCCACATCATCTTTAATGTAAAACATTTGAAAAGTTTAGTTGAGGTAAGCCTGAGCTTTCTTCATCTCTGTAGTTTTGGATTTAGTTTTAGCTAAGAGAGTTCTTTCTAAATTTACCTATTGCTCTTAGATAATAGGAGATTATCATGTCAGTTGTGGTGTGAAGACAAGAAGCTGAGTGATACAGTCATTTGGAAGGCTGGGACACCAAAAAAGAAGACCATAAATCGTATTACTCAATAGTGTTAAGATACTAGCCCTCAAGTCTGATTTACACCTATTTCATAAAACCTATTACCATCTTGTTTTGTATCTTGTAACCCCAGAGTTGTCTTTGTGTGGTCATTATTTTATATGATGTTTCCTTTAAGTTATCCGAACTTCAAAAAGTTCAATATTACTTCTTTGGAAATGTAATCAGTAATCTCAAAACATTGCTTGCCAACTGTTTGTCAAAACTGATAACAGCTTTCCTGTAAAGAGACCTGAGCCCCTTTGCTAGATGGAGGTACCTCAATACTCAGTCTGAACTTTGTCCTTTGGGCCTGAGAGAACATTTAACTTGGTGATGACAACAGCTTCACTGTGTACACACATTGTGACTAATATTTGGCTTGATCACAGGAGCTACATCCCTTTTATTGTTTGTTTGTTTGTTTATTTATTTATTTTGAGATGGAGTTTCACTCTTGTTGCCCAGGCCGGAGTGCAATGATGTGATCTTGGCTCACTGCAACCTCCACCTCCCAGGTTCAAGTGATTCTCCTGCCTCAGCCTCCTGAGTAGCTGGGATTACAGGCACCCACCACCATGCCCGGCTAATTTTTTGTATTTTTCGTAGAGATGAGGGTTTCACCATGTTGGCCAGGCTGGTCTCTGCCCGCCTCAGCCTCCCAAAGAGCTGGGATTACAGGCATGAGCCACTGCCCAGCTTTATTTTATTTTTTTAGAGACAGGGTCTTTGTCATCCAAACCCAAGTGGCGCAATCATAGCTCACCACAACCTCTAATTGCTGGGCTCAAGTGATCTTTCCACCATGGCCTTCCAAAGTGCTGAGATTACAGGCATGAGCCACTGTGCCTGGCCCAGAAAGCCACATCCTTTTATCAGGCCTTGATTGCTACAGGTTTCCTTTCTACCTAGGAGGCCAGATCCACATCCTTCATCTGCAACATGTAATCTAATTCTTAATGACAACCATTTTGTTTTAGGTGACCAGAGAACTATGTGAGATGTTGGCTAGGTAACAATTATACATACAGAATGTACAAGGATAGGGACATATAATGCATGTTCAGGCTGGGAGCTGTGGCTCATTCCTGTAATCTTAGCACTTTGGGAAGCCAAGGCAGGCGGATCGCTTGAGCTCAGGAGTTTGAGACCAGCCTGGGCAACATGGCAAAGGTGCCTCTCTACAAAAAAGACAGAAATTAGCTGGGTGTGGTGGTGACTGCTTGTAGTTCCAGCTACTCAGGAGGCTGAGGTTGCAGTGAGCCATGATCACACCACTGCACTGCAGCCTGGGTGACAGAATAAGACCCTGTCTCAATTAAAAAAAAAAAAGCATTTCAGGGGTCATTGTTCATGGAAAGGATCGGTGTGTGTGTGTGAAAGGCACCTTTCATTTACGAGTTTCATTGAGGAATTAAATAATTTATAAAAGTACACCAAATATATTTCACACTTTTTCAATGTATGAATTTTCAAATGAAAGTTTTCCTTGATTACATTGGTAAACATTTTTTGTTATACTGTGGATTTGTTCAATCCAGCACTAACCACATATGCTTACATGGGGAAACCCTGTCATATCGCGTGATTTCCTAGTCAGCTGAATTTAGAATATCCCCATAAACATTCTTCTCTCTCTTAAAATTTCACATTTTTGGTAACATTTCTTCCTTCTCTGAAGCTTCCCTTTTTTAAATAGAGGAAGTGAAAATTAAAATAATTTGAAAAAGCAAACAATTTTGCTGTCACACTTGTTTTTCCTTGAAGCAAAATAAAATACTGAAAAGTTACTTACAAGTCAGCATTGCCATAATAGCATATTTTAGAACAAGAATGCTGATAACTTTGCATTTCCCAAGCCCTTGGTTGCTCTGGAATTTTAAGAAACCTCTTCAGTATTTAAGATTCTCTACAATCTTGGTCTAACCCAACTGTTTAGATTAAAAATTCTTCAAACTTAACTTGTCCTTTTCTACATTAATGTCTTGGTTCCTACCCTTCTCCAGAGGTATAAAATTTCCCTTCCTTACCAATCCTTTAAGGCCATATTCTAGTATCATATTTTTCATGAAGCTTTTCAATTGTCTCCAGCTAGAGGTGATATCTTTTTTCTTTCTAAATTTCTGTATTTATATTTATCCTGGGGTGAAATAAATTTTCTATATACATTGGCAGTAGCAGTGATGAACATAAGGACTAGTTAGCTCATTCATTCACAAATATTTAATACATATTTAGTGTGACATAAGGCTTGGATTCCAGTACTAATTCTGCCACTGTAGAGCTGTGTGCTTTTGAGTAAGTCGTTTTACATGTTCATTTCAAACATAGTTATTTACAGATAATAAATAACTATAGGGGAGTGGGAGAGGGAGAGCATCAGGAAGAGTAGCCAACGGATGCTGGGCTTAATACCTAGGTGATGGGATGATCTGTGCAGCAAACCACCAAGGCACACGTTTACTTAAGTAACAAACCTGCACATCCTGCACATGTACACCTGAACTTTATACTATATACAAAAAGATATATATATATATATATATATATATAGGCTGAGCACGGTAGTTCACGCCTATAATCCCAGCACTTTGGGAGGCTGAGGCAGGTGGCTCACTTGAGGTCAGGAGTTCGAGACCAGCCTTGCCAACATGGCAAAACCCAGTCTCTATAAAAATACAGAAATTAGCTGGTCATGATGGTGCATGCCTGTAATCCCAGCTACTCAGGAGGCTGAGGCAGGAGAATCACTAAAACTCAGGAGGTGGAGGTTGCAGTGAGCCAAGATCACACACCTGCACTCTAGCCTGGGTGACAGAGTGAGACTCTGTCTCAGAAAAACAAATAAGTTAATGAATTAAATTAAGTAAATAATACATAAATTAAAAATATATTAAATAAAATATATCTTTATATATTTATGCAAAAATTATAATAGATTACATTTTAAAAGGACAAATTGTGGACAATACATGTATGATCTCACTGTTCTAAAACAAACAATAAGCCCAACTATGCATATTTATATTTGTGTTTAAATATAAACACATGCACATATAAAAAAACATTTTTCACAAGGAAAAAGTTTAGAAAGATATGCATGAAAGTTTTGAGTGGTTACCTCTGGGCTCTGTGACATGAATTCTGAAGTATAGTCTTTACTCAATCCATCGTCTTATTTCTAAAAAGCCAACAATACTAGTACCACTCCATAGGGTTGCTGTGAAAATCTATTAAATTTAATACAGGAAAGTGATTATAAAGGTACTAACTTGTGTAGTGAGCACAAAATACATTTTAGTAAAAAACCTCTTTCATTTTTTAAACACACGTGCTTATTTTCAGTTAAAAAATAAACAAGTTAAAATAAAACTAGGACAATGGATAAGTGTGGATTTCAGTCTCCATCCTGAAAATGAAGGTTATGGGACAGTCTCAAATCTCTTAAACTAAACAACTGGGGAAGGAGTAGTGTTTTGGAAAACAGGTTATTGGGATCAATATCGCCTCCTGGTGGTTGATTGATGCCTTGCCATACAGTTGCCCAAGCCCACCTTGGTACTGATTTGTATCCCACTCAAAACTGTTGTTGTAGCGATGGCATCCTAAGCTCTTTCACATCCATTACCTTAACATCCTCAACCTCAGACGCTGATTTTGCTGACATGTGGCATCAGCAACCCAACAACAGTAGTGGTGGGGCCTGTGTTTTCTGTTCTCTCTGCTGTTTGCCTCTCTCCAGCCATGTCCACCTACAAACGCTTAGCCTTTCAAGCCTTAGCTTGGGCATCACCTCCTTCATGCCACCTTTTCTCACTCACACAGGTGAACATTATACTCAAATACACAAATAAAATTAGCTACATTTTTTGAGCATGTGTATGGATGTGTGGGTATATTTATATATTGTATAAGTATACATTTTTTTCAATCAGCCAGTTTCAGGGGAGTGTGATCTATGTAGTCACAGAGGACTCAATGCTTGGTTTAATTCTCTGCTGCTGTTCTCTTGAAATCACTGAACATATTTTAAACAAGGAGCTTTATATTTTGCACCGGGCCTCACAAACTATGTATCTGGTTCTGTTTTTAAATTAAACTCACAACTCTATATTGTATATAATTACGATCCCTGTACTACAGATGAGGAAACCAAGGCTTTGAGTGACTAAGGGACATTTTTGGGGTCCTACAGTTGGTATATTGTAGACCCAGTTTAGAGTCTACCTACTGGTTATAAGAATTTCTCACCTGTATCAGGGTCGCCTGGAGGGCTTTTAGAAGAGCAAATTCATTGACTGCATTCCAGAACCTAGTAAATCATGATTTTTAAAAGCATGATCTTAGAATCTGCATCTTAAGTAACTCTTCCATTGGTTAATGAACAAAGTCTATATTCAATTCGTTTCTAATCTTGGAGTCTCGCATAAGCCTTTACTCATAGTAGTCACTTACTGTTATGCTGATTAAATGAATATCATTCAGTTACAGGGAGACCAAGTATAGCTTTGGCAGAATAGCGCCAGTGTTTTTCAATTCACAAAATGCTTGAGAGTTTTAAGCACTGAAGGTCTTATCAGCAACTACAGTAGGGATGTGTTTGCCCTGCACTTGCTCCCCTTTGACTATTCCCATTGAATCTCTGAGTGCAAAGCCTTTAAGACAGTGCAATCTATAAGACCACAGAAGAACTTTTCCGACCAGAGACTCAGGATCACAAGGGCATGGTGGTGTCAAAAAGCCAATTTCATATTATTAGAAATTTGATTGTTGAAACTGGAATTCAACAAATTAAATATTATGCAAAGTTTGGGGAAAGAAAGACACAAAACTCAACATATCTATGTTCATGACCAGATGGAAGGCTATTTACTCATTTAAAGATGTGGGGAAAATGCTGATAATATACAGAGAAAAACCAAGATTCAAAATTAAAGTGATGATAATGTTAGTTCTTTAAAAATGTATAGAAAAAGAGTATAGGCATATGTCAATTGATGGTGAGATTTAGGGTGATTTATTTACTTCTATAATTTCCTCTAATTTACCATGGTCTTCCTAGTCTCTTTGATAAGAACTAAAAATAAAATCCACTTATCTTACTTGCAAATCCTTTCTTTCCTTAACTTAGAATTCCCAGGAATTATTGTCTGCTTTCCCTCATGCCTCATAAATCAAGATACTAAATCCTGTTAAATCTCTCTCTCAAATGAATCTAATCATATTCCCCGCCTTCCTGTCTCTACCATTCAAAGTTCCAGTCTAAGCTTTTAAAATAGCTTCCTCTATTGTTTCTCTGCTTTAAGTTCCATCCCCTCCATGCATCTTTTATAATACTAACAAAATCATCTTCCTAAGATATACATCCGATCAGCTCCCTCACTTTGCGAAGCAGGAGTTAAAAAGTAAAAACATACAAATAAGCAAAAAAGAAAAAAATGATCACTTTTGGAATGCTATTTGGAGTGACTTGATATCACATCTTAGGCTTTTTACTTAGCAGCTACAAGGACTTGGACACTTTATTTTTAAGTATGCCCCAGGAAAGCAGCATAATAATAGCAATCACCAGTTATTGAATAAGTACTACATGCACAATAATCCTAAGAACAGGTACTCTCCCATTGGCTAGATGAGAAACTAATGCTTAGATGTCAAACTGCCTTTGGCCACACAGTCAGAGGTAGCGGAAGTGTTCAACCACTCTATCACATGGCCACCCAGGGGGAAAATACTTCTCCCCTTACAGCGTGGTGACCATTAAGTGAGGGGGTATCGTCTGCAGCACACAAGAAGCATGGAATTGATAGTATTTTCTGAAAGCCTTCCTGTAGTGACTTTTATTTAGAGACTTAGTGACAAAGCCCTTCACCTGGTCAACCTCTTTACTCTCTTGCCCAAGTCTCTGTTCTCCCTACTCATGTCTAGGTTCCAGCAATATCAGAGATGCCATGTCATCTCCAAACACAAAATCCTTTCATGCCTCACTTATTCTTTCAATCTATGCCAATTTTAAACAATGGCCAAAATTCTACTTTCTCTACAGAATCATTTAAAGTCAAAATTCATTGTTTCAGTCCTCTAGGTTCCTCTCATTGAATGTTCAGCCTTCTCTTATAGCTGTGGCTTAATTCTGTCTTACTTTTACACCATTTGTGGACTTGCTTGCTGCATTAGAATGTAAGCCCTTAGTGAGCCAGAGTTATGTTGTTCATTTTTTGACTATATGGTGATAGGGTGATCAAATGATCTGGTTTTCCAAGGACTTTCCTGGTATCAACACTACAAGTTCTGAGTCCTGGGAAACACTTTGGGTAAACTAAGGTGTTCAGTACCCTAATGTACAGCACACCACAAAGGCTGTAAATGGTTTATTATGTGTCATTGGGATATTTTAAAACTTTAATTAGCCTTTAGGAATGAATCTTTAAAGATTTCTTCAGTGTGTGGTCCTTAACGTCAGATTCTTAGTAAACTGAGAATTAGGACTTTAACCTAGGATTACTCATTACTGTTTAAGTACCGAAGATGACATTTCCTTGGTCATCCTCTACTCAGAAATTTTACAGCCTCTGAGGTGGGATACTTTGAATGCTTGAGAGATTATTTTTAAAAAGATGCCTGGTTTCAAAAGAGATGAGAAGTTGAAATGCTGATGGAAAATGTTCAATAGGAAGGAGGAAAAATAAAACAACCAAGGCTTATATTAAATGATCTCTTCGTTAAAATGTTATTGCATTCATTCCTTTGTTTCACACAACTGTGTATAATTATAGTATACAAACCCTCCAGCAGATCTTCCTGCTATTAAGTATTTAAAAATATCCATTCCAGATTTTCAAAATAAGTTTCACATGTACAGTAATTATATCTCATAAAATGTGCAATGCTTAAGATTGTATTTATTATACCAACTTAAATTTAGACTGTCTCTAATAAAACAGATTTAATCATTTGTATAACGTTGTCTCGGGCATTTTCTAATAGGACAGGAAGTTACTTCATTTGATGGAATTTCATGGGTGCTAGAGAGACCCTCGAATTTGCAAGATATACTGGAAGAGAGATAAGAGAAATGGTTTCAGAACTGTGGGATACCTTTCCACCATTTGTATATTCTTTTTTCTTTCCTCCTTCTCCTTCTCCTTCTCCTTTTCCTTCTTTCTCCTTCTCCTCCTCCTCCTCCTCCTCCTCCTCCTCCTCCTCCTCCTTCTTTTGAAATGGTGGAGTCTTGCTCTGTCACCCAGGCTGGAGTGCAGTGGCACGATCTCAGCTCACTGCAACCTCCACTTCCCAGGTTCAAGCAATTCTCACGCCTCAGCCTCCTAAGTAGCTAGGACTACAGGCATGCGCCCCCACACCTGGCTAATTTTTGTATTTTTAGCAAAGACAGAGTTTCACCATTTTGGCTAGGCTGGTCTCAAACTCCTGACCTCAAGTGATCTGCCCACCTCGGCCTCCCAAAGTACTGGGATTACAGGCATGAGCCACTGTGTCTGGCCATATATCATTTCTTATTGTAATAAACCTCTAAGGTCTACAGACAGCAACTGAATGCTGCCAGGGTTGCTAGTCACAAGACATCACATGACATGATGGGACAGATCATGGATGGAGATTCAGAAGACCTAGGCTTTGGTGCTATCTAGTCTCTGACAGGGAGATAATGCTATCTGTATAGGTAACTGTCAACAGAAACTCATGGAAGTATTTGTGAAAGTCACCTTCAAGTAATCAATCTGAGGCCCCCTGATTAAACATTTTAAATCAGATGTGCACCTCAGTATAACCTGGGTGCCTTCAAAAATACACATGGGCTCCATTCCAAGGCCAACTAGATCAGAATCTACTGAAGTAGGGGTCAAGAATATGAGTGGTTTTTGAAGACCGACAGATATTTCTGATTTGTTTGCCTTATTATAAACTAGGAGGACAGTGGTGAGATCATTATCTTGCTAGACTGATAGACCTGGAATGGAATCCCTTCCATGTCTCTTACCTTTGTAACTTTGGAAAATGCATTAATTCATTGACACTCCATTTCCGTAATTTTAAAATTGGAGATATAAACACCTGTTTTGCAGGGTTCTTGTGTAGAGGTGAAGGTAAAACATTTAAGTCAGAGTAAATATGTTCAGGGGTCTGATAAGTAGCTTAAATACAAGAGTGTTGGAGACTGTGGCTAATGGAAGAATGCAGCCTTGACAAAAAATTTTTTTAATTTATTTATTTAAAGAGACAGGGTCTTGCTGTGTTGCCCAGGCTGGTGAATCAAACTCCTGCACTTAAATGATCCTCCTGCCTCAGCCTCCTGAGAAACTGGGACTACAGGTGCAAGCCACCACACCTGACTTCAAAGTGTTTTTTGTATGTTTGTTTTTGGTTTTTTTTGAGACAGGGTCTCACTCTGTCACTCAAGCTGAGGTACAGTTGTATGACCATGGCTCTGCAGCCTCAATCTCCTAGACTCAAGCAATCCTCCTGCCTCAGACTCCCCAGTAACTGGGACTACAGGTATGTACCACCACACTGGGCTAATTTTTAAATTTTTTCTCTTGTAGAGACAGGGTGTCACTATGTTCACCAGGCTTTTCAAACTCCTGGCCTCAAGTGATCCTTCCACCTTGGCCTCCCAAAGTGCTGGGATTACAGACATGAGCTACTGTGCCTGGCTCAAAGTGTATTTTTTAAAAGTTATTTTTTAAAACACTGAGCTGGCCTCACAAAATGTATCTGCAGGCATGACATCCAGTTTTACCCCTAACATAATGGTCAATAAAAAACTAATTTTCAAGTGCTATATAAAATATAAACTGCTGAGTTATCTGGATATATTTTTCTAGCTCCGTGTAAAGTACTGCTGAATGCAGGATTCTATATTGATTCAACAAATATTCAATGCCCATTAGGTAATAGGGAGTCCAGACAGAGATACTAAAAGCACTAATTCAAAGCATGTATAGCCAATAGGAAGAGTAGATAAATTAAAATATATCCTTTAGTAACAATACTGATACTACCAAAACCACCTTTCCAATTCTAATTTTGTGTTAGCATTCCACCCTGGGCTTTGTGATTATCTGTATTTTTGTACATAATTTTTAAAAATACTGCTTATAACTAGAAATATTTAAAATTTTAAGTAATTATTTTTGTTTTAGAAACAGTATATTTGTAACACAGTAGTTTGTTGTGAAATAAGGATGCTTGCTTAATTAATGAATGCTAAGTTTCCTTCCATGTCTAAGATTCTATGATTAGGGCCAGGGGCAGTGGCTCCTGCCTGTAATCCCAGCACTTTGGGAGACCGAGGTGGGTAGATCACTTGAGGTCAGGAGTTTGAGACCAGCCAGGCTAACATGGCGAAACCTCATCTCTACTAAAAACACAAAAATTAGCTGGGTACGGTGGTGTGCACCTGTAGACCCAGCTACTTGGAAGGCTGAAGCAGGAGAATTACTTGAACCTGGGGGGTGGAGCTTGCAGTAAGCCGAGATTGCGCCACTGCACTATAGCCTGGGTGAGAGTGACTCCATCTCAAAAAAAAAAAAAAAAAAGATCCTATGATTAGGAAACAAGAAATCTGTGGGATCATCAGTGAGCGGAACCTTTGACCAAAGGACTCACAGCTGTTTTTAGAACTAGAGCATTTCCCAGTGTATTCTGGGCACATTGCCTTTATATGAGATTTGTTTCCCAATCCCAAAGTACAAACCCTGGCAGCTTTCTGATTCAGATAAAATTGGGCTGCCCTCTGTCACTGTCATGGTCAGATTTTCTGAACTCAACTAAAATCTGAGCAAAATAATTTTATGAAGCCTACTGCTAACAACTATTTCAAATCATGACTCCACCGCTCGTTAGATCTGTGATCAGGGCAGATTATTGCACTTAAGTTCTAGGTTCCTCATCCTTAGAATGGTGATGGTAAGAATTGAGTAAGACTTGTCAGGAGGGTTAAATGAGGTAATATTTGTAAAGCACTTAGCTTTCCAACCTAATAAAGTCCCCGGCATATTGTAATATTCTGTAAATGTTGTCTAGTATATTGATTGTTATTTTTCCTTCCACACAACTAGGGCCATTTTGTCCTTCAGCTCAGGAATCTTTACTGTTTCCATAATTATCCATGCCAGGTATTTTTGCAGGAGGCACCACTGCTTGCAGAGCCTCTCTCATGCCAGCTATTGAAGATTAGGTATGAATTTGGATCTGACTCAGCCCAAAGCCTAAGCACTTTCTACTTCCTCCCAACCATCACTGGGAGGAGGAATACGTTCTGTGAGTAATCCTGGCATCTTCTTTCATCTCTTTTACATTTTGGGTTTCTCCTTAAGGTTTTTACTTTTTAGGAAGGGCCTTGCAGATACCAACAAAATACACCACATATACACACAACCTTGAAAAATACTCTGCGGACAGGCGCGGTGGCTCACGCCTGTAATCCCAGCACTTTGAAAGTCTGAGGCGGGTGGATCACTTGAGGTCAGGAGTTCAAGACCAGCCTGACCAACATGGGGAAACCCTATCTCTACTAAAAAAAATAAAAAAAAATACAAAAATTAGCTGGGCGTGGTGGCGTGCGCCTGTAATTCCAACTACTCCTGAGGCTGAGGCATGAGAATCACTTGAACCCGGGAGGCGGAGGTTCACGTCTGGGCAACACAACAAGGGTGAAACTCCGTCAAAAAAAAAAAAAAAAAAGAAAGAAAGAAAGAAGGAAGGAAGGAAAGAAAAAGAAAGAAGAAAGAAAGAAAAAAAAAGAAAGAAAGAAAGAAAGAAAGAAAACAAAGAGAAAGAAAAGAAAAACACTCTGATGTGATAAGGCTCAACTTCCTTAGCCTGGCATCAAAGACTTTCCATAATCTGACTGGAGTTTGCGTCTCCAGCCTCGTTTCCCCACTTCCTCCTTCCTATATGGCACACCCACTCCAGCCAAAACTGAACTGTTCCTCACGCATGGAACAACCTTCCCATCTACATGTTTCAGACCCGGATGCTAAGGCTTCTCCCGTATTGCCAAATTCTACCGTATTTCCAGGCTCAGTAACATCAGCCCTTCTGGGAAGGTTTTCCAGAATCCCTGAACTGAGTCCTATGTAAGTCCATATCTAATCTCTACTCCTGACTAGCTGTATGTATATTTGTGAATTCTTAGAAAACATCAGCATCTGTGTCTTGCCTGTAAGTAACATGGAAGGAATTATCCTAACCCATAGCGCTGATAGGAGGACTGAGTATGGCAAACAAGAAACATCCGCACTAAAGTCATGCCTCAGGTATATCCACAATTCCTTCCTTCCTTGACCTATGGTCTTTTCTTCTACTTGCTTACTTACAGAAATGGAGTAGAAAGGGAGAGCTATTTGGGAAAACAATTTGAGCTAGATCTGTAGTCTAATTCTTTACACGAAAATAAATTCTAAAATGGACCAAAGTTTTAAATGTAAAAAATGAAGCAACATGTGTAACAACAAATAAATAGAAGAAAAGACAAGTGGGTTTATTTATGAATTTGGAGTGAAGGCCTTTCTAAACAGGGTACAATAAAATACCCAGAAGGCAATGAATGAAAACATTGATGAGTATAGCTAATTAAAAGTGTTCAATGTTTCCACAGCAAAAAACCACAAACATTATAAAAATTAAAATATATAACACAAAGAAAATAGTTTTGCAACATATATTATGAAGGGCTAAACTTTCTTAATTTACAAATAGCTGTTATATGTCATTAAAAACTGCTGAAAACTCTAACAAAAATAGACAATTAGGTCCTGTATCAAATCCACATAAATAATAAATATGAAATGATCAATTTCACTCCTGAAGAAATATAAATTGAAGCAAAGAGATACTATTTTTTTAACCTATTGGACTGGCAAAAATTAAAAAGAAAATATCCAATGTTGGTAATGGTAAAAGGACACAGGTCTTTCCACAGGTTGTTGTAGGGGGTTAAAATTGGTGCTACCTTTGTTGAGAACTTAGAAATATTTACTAAAATATAAAGATGCACATTCCTTTGACTCACTACTTCCACTGCTAAAAACTGAGCTTAGAAATAAGTTCAAGACCTGCATAGAAATAAGCTAATTGATCTACGGCCATACCACCCTGAACGTGCCTGATCTCGTCTAATCTCGTAGGAAATAAGCTAATTGCAAATTTTTTTGTAAGCGGAAAAAATAAAAATAATTTAGCTACTTGTCAATAAATGATTGGTAAATGGAGTCATGACACATATAGCCAATTCTATGCAGTTATTTAAAAAGTATGATGTTTTCCAGGCATGATGGTGCACGTCTATAATCCCAGCACTTTGGGAGGCCAAGGTGAGAGGATGGTTTGAGACCAGCCGGGGCAATAAGTGAGACTCTGTCTGTAAAAACAGAAATAAATAATAAAATAAAAAGAATGACAGTCACAAGCATATTTCTAAGAAATATTAAGTGGGAAAAAAGTACAGAAGGAATATGATTCCATTTGTATAAATTTGAAATGTGTGGGTGGGAGAGTGTGTAGCAATAGACACACGTACATGTAAGTATTTTTCTGGAATAACACATAAGAAACTGAGAAGTGGTTACTTTTGGAAGAGAAACTGAGTGGGGAAGAAGAGGAAATGTAGACACAGAGTGATATTTTTATTTTATGCTTTTCTGAACTCTTGAAAGATTGTAATCATGTCCCTTAATTACTTTTCTTTTTTTCTTAAAGATATTATTCATTAAGTAAAATTGATCCTCAGATTGTATGATGCGATGTGAAATTCCAAACAGAAGAGCCTTCCTTTACTTCTGCTCTTGCCCACTGTCAATAATAGGAAATTTGCATTGGTTTTCCTTTGTGCCAAAGGCCTAGGAATGCAGGTCTGTTTTCATGGAATATTTTCTGTTTGCCGTATTTAGATGCCAAGGAATATCTGCTATAGTGTGAGAAATCTTTCTGACTGACATATTATTTTCCCCTGAAATTAAAGGCATGTGTAGAAGTTAAGGTCCACTTAACTTTGTTCAGCTCAGCAAGTATATTTGGATATTCTTAGTTCCATTTTCTTGTTCACTGGACTGAAGGGCAGAGATACTGTCATTTGTAAAGTGGAAGAATATATGATGGAGGCCGGGCATGGTGGCTCACACCTGTAATCCCAGCACTTTGGGAGGCTGAGGCGGGAGGATTACCTGCGGTTGGAAGCTCGAGACCAGCCCAGACAACACGGTGAAACCCCCATCTCTACTAAAAATACAAAAATTAGCCGGGCATGGCAGCACATGCCTGCAATCCCAGCTACTTAGGAGGCTGAGGCAGGAAAATCTCTTGAACCACGGAGGCGAAGGTTGCAGTGAGCCGAGATCACGCCATTGTACTCCAGCCTGAGCGACAGAATGAGACTCAGTCTCAAAAAAAAAAAAAAAAAAAAAAAAAAAATGGATGATACGGAAGGACAAAGAAAGAATAGAAGGATAGAGGGAGTATCATCTTCCTGGTCAGATAAGCGGATTCTTTTCATTCCCTGCTCCTTGAGGCAGCGCCATCATTTTATCGTTCAACCAGACAGAGGCTGAAACTGCTCTGCTCTTTCAGAAGGAGTCTCTGCCCTCTATTTTTCCAGGCTTTCTCTTATTATATTTTCTTGGAATCTGCCTCTAAAAATCTTAGATTGTCTCCCAAAGCCATGCTTTCATACAGCCAACGCCCAGTTTCCTGTATTCGTATAACATGTCTCTAATTTCCTACTTCTAGTACTGAGCACAGTGTTTGACATGAAGTCCTGTTCTTTTGTTCCCCTTTGACTAATCTTTGGCTTATACTATGCAGCATTTTTTCATTGATATTTTCTTTCCACAAATATATTGACGCCTGAGTGCCAGGCACCAGACCTGGGCTTGGACCTAGTCTTCAGAACTTTGTGCTTTACATCTACATTTTATCTACATAACACACAGCTCATTTATTTGTGTGTCTTTGTTCCCAGTTTTTCAGCTAGGAGAGCTGAAAGGGCATAAGCTTATTTCAAATGGTCCATTTGAGCACTAAGTAAAATTTATTAATTGGTGTCATAAAAGTGCAGTTCACTATTATGTGGGAGTTCAATTTTTTTAATTTATTTTATTTTTGAGATAGAGTCTCATTCTGTCGCCCTCGCTGGAGTGCAGTGGCACAATCTCACCTCACTGCAACCTCCGCCTCCCGGCTTTAAGCGATTCTTCTGCCTCAACCTCCCGAGTAGCTGGGACTACAGGGGAGTGCCACCACGCCTGGCTAATTTTTGTATTTTTAGTAGAGATGGGGTTTCGCCATATTGGTCAGGCTGGTCTCGAATTCCTGACCTCGTGATCCACCCACCTTGGCCTCCCAAAGTGCTGGGATTACAGGCATGAGCCGCAGCTCCCGGCCCCAAATATTTTGTAGAATGAGGAGCTCATGTGTTGCACAATTGGAACCACAGATGATGGATAAAAATAAAACATATATAACTTTCACAACTGCTACTTATACTGTTACAAAGGGAATTAGGAGTGGTTTATGTGACCTTATGAATACTTTGAGATATTGTCAACCCCACCCTGAAAAGTGATCCAAGAATGTCACATAACATTTACCTTCAGTACTAACACCTTAAACACTGGCAACACTTTTTTTTTTTAAATGAAAACTGAAAAGATTCCTTTAGATGGAGGCCACCACCGCTGATATAATCATGTTTATAAATCAATGAAATCCATTTTCTAATGCAAAAATGTGGCTCTATGAGCTTATCAGTTGCTAAAATGTGAATGAATTTAAACTTACAAACAATGGAAAAGGTCTTAAGTCTCACTCTGGCTTGATACCCACCCTGTAATTGTTAGGGGTCATCCGCACGAGTACATTGGGGCTTATTAGGGCTTTCTGTCATCACTTACGTCATATAGGTGAGAAATGTGCTGAGGGGCTCCAGGGAATGATTCCGGAAATACTCAAATTCTCCACATAGTCTTTTCCTCATCTCAGTGTCAATTTTGGAAACAGTAAGAGGATTTGTGTGATTAGCCAAAAAGTTACCATAATCAGTAGTCTGGAGATGAATTTTCAGGTCTGAAATTAAATGAAACCCCAATTCAGGTTAAATTTTGAACATACACAAATAGCTTTTTCAACATTAGTTGAATTCATGCTAATTTTGTGTTACATACATATGTATTATCTTATTAGATTTTAATATAAGGTCTAAATATGATTTAGACTTGATCTGTAAAGCAACAAAAATGTTATGTGAATATGGATAATCCAGCACACCAGAAAATGTGTTTTTCTTTTGTTTTGAGAGGGAGTCTCCCTCTGTAGCCCAGGCAGGAGTGCCGTGGTGCGATCTCAGCTCACGGCAACCTCTGCCTCTTGGGTTCGCGCAATTTTCCTGCTTCAGCCTCCCAAGTAACTGGGGCCACAGGCGTGTGCCACTATACCTGGCTAATTTTTGTATTTTTTTAAGTAGAGACAGGGTTTCACCATGTTGGCCAGGCTGGTCTCGAACTCCTGACCTCAAGTGATCTGTCCACCTCAGGCTCCCAAAGTGCTGGGATTACAGGCAGGAGCCACTGTGCCTGGCCCTCACAAAATATTTCAATTACTAAGAAATCTGGTATTATTTAGCAGATCTGAAAAAAAAAAAAACCTAACAAACACCTAATCCACAGATGGCAAACAGGTTTTAGTCTTTTGGAGATAGCTACCTGGGAAACTGTTGAGGATACAAATGCTCCATCCCAACTTGATGGAAAAGATAAATGTATTAGTAGTAGCTACCATGGGTGTGGGGGCAGGTGGCACGGGCAGCCATCGGTGCTCTGTTTCAGTATCCTTTTATTACAGACGAAGAAATTGAAGTTCAGTGGGACTAAATGGTGGAGTTATCTAATGAGACTGAAGTAGGCGATTAGTCCCCTTATTCTTATAACCCAGCATCGTTTCCACCAGACCATGCCATGCATCCTTTAAATGTCATCCATTTTGGTTGCCAGGTAATTGGATTGAACTGAATTTCAGCTTTGTTGATTGTCACTTCCTCCTGAACAAACCATGTATTTTCTAGCATCCATACTTCAGTAAATGCTGACCCAACCCCACTCTAGAATTTCTTCCCCCACCCCTTTTCAGATTGGCTTATTATAATCTACACTTCAATGTTACCCTACTGGTAACATTAAAATAATAGTTACCAGTGATTGAGTGCTTATTAGGTACCAGGTATTGTACTGAACTTGTATTATCTCATTTAATACTCATGGCAATTTTATGAGGTAAAAATGATTTCTATGCCTTTGTACAGATAAGAACACTGAAGCTCAGAGAGGTTAGTAACTTGTTCAAGATCACATAGATTAAAAAATTTAAAAATCTCACGTAGATAAACTGTGATTCCAAGCCAGGTATTCCTGACTTCAAAGTCACTTAAAACTTTATTTTATTGCCAACTAATTCAATTAGATTATCACTTGTTCTGTAAAGATTTAATTATCTCAGGCAGAATTATTCACTCTCATGCATCTGAATTTGAAAGTACTCTGATAAAACCTCTAGCATAACACCTATTATAGGATATTATATAGTCTTAAGCATGTTAACCCAGAAGGCAGTTACACTATCTTAGTTATATCTTTTACCTGTGACTCCTTATGCAGAACCCAACATGTAAGTGTTATTGCATATCTGAGTATCTAAAATGTCCTTGGCAACATCCAGCACACATATGGAGCTTATTGGATCTTCCACTCAAACATTTATTAAGCATCTATTATGTGCTGCCAACTACAGGAGACCCAAAGATAGACCAGAAATATTCCTCATTCCCAAGGAAACCCACTGTTTGGTAAAGAAAGAGGCAGTCACAAATGATTCAAACAATGTGTTAATTTAGTGATAAAGATAAGGTCCTTGATTTATGGGAACATAGAAAATGAGACCCAGATCCATAAAGATAGGAGCAAGAAGCCTAGGAAAGTGTCTTGAAGGAGATGAGCCTTAGAATATTATGTAAGAGTGGAGGAAGAGGGGAGAAAGATTAAGAACAGAGGCAGGCATTCGATGACTTAGTACAGGTATGCTGTGTGCAAGGAGCTCAAAGCAGTTCAGTGTTGCTGAAGTATTAAGTGGGAGAGAAATAAATTAAAAATAGAACCCCCTATGATCTAGCAATCTCACTACTGGGTATATATCCAAAGGAAATGAAATCAGTATGGTGAAGAGATATCTGTACTCCTACATTCATTATAACATTGCTCACAATAGCTAAGACATAGAATCAAGCTAAGTGCCCATTGATGGATGAATGGACAAAGGAAAGGTGGTATAAATATACCATAGGATACTGCTCGGCCTTCAAAAAGAAAGAAATCTTTCATTTTGATAACTCAGAAGTAGAGAGTAAAGTAGTGGTCATCAAAGGGCAAGGAGTGGGCCAGCAGTGGTGGCTCATGCCTGTAATCCCAACACTTTGGGAGGCAGAGGTGGGAAGATCTCTTGAACCCAGGGGCTCGAGGCTTCAGTGAGCTATGATCTCGCCACTGTACTCTAGCCTGGGTGACAAAGCAAGACCTTGTCTCTACATTTAAAAAAAAAAAGAAAGAAAAAAAAAGAAAAAAACGACTTAGTGGGGGACAAGTGAGAGGGTGAGGGGTTGGAAAGATGTCAAAGGATACAAAACTCAGTTAGATTCAGTTAGGAGGAATAACTTCAAGAGACCTATGGTACAAAATGGTGACTATAGTAAATAACAATTTATTGTATTTTTAAAATCATGTAAAGAGTAGATTTTGTGTTCTCCCCACAAAAAATAAGTATGTGAATTCACATACTTGTTAATTCACTTGATTGATAACATGTAGGTCACATTGGGCAGGCTTCCAAATTTACCTGCCTGGCGGAGGTCTTATGATGCCAGTCCTGTCCTGTCCTGTCCTGTCCTATCCCAGAGTAAAGAATCTTACCGTGAGTCCCTCAAATTTTTAATGTACTGATTAATACATAACCTACTGGCACTGAAAAGGACACTGATTTGTTTCCAAATCATCAAGTTTTGGTGATTGGTTTCTGCATCATGAAGTTTACTGATTGTCTTGCACGTAGACATTTTAGCCTGTATATCATCTGTAGCCAGTGATTGTAACCTCTGTATTGTGACCTGCAATGAAAAGGACAACTCTAGTATGAAGAGTCCTCCTCTGTTCTTCTAAACTTTCCCTTAAAAGCCTTCCAACTCGCAGCAGACTCTGGGACACACACAGCTTTGTTGCTGTGTCTTCCTTGATCAGTCCTTACATTTGGCTTCCAATAAACCTTTACTGAACTATTTCTGCCTCAACAAACTTAATTTTGGTTGATACCACAATTAATACATATATTAAAACACCATAGGCTGGGCGTGGTGGCCCACGCCTGTAATCCCAGCACTTTGGGAGGCTGAGGCGGGTGGATCACTTGAGGTAAGGAGTTCAAGACCAACCTGGCCAACATGGTGAAACCCCGTCTCTACTAAAAAGACAAAAATTAGTTGGGTGTGGTGGTGTGCGCCTGTAATCCCAGCTACTCAGAAGGCTGAGGCATGAGAATTACTTGAAGCTGGGAGGCTGAAGTTGCAGTGAGCTGAGAATGCGCCACTGCACCCCAGCCTGGGCAAAGGAATGACAGACTCTGTCTCAAAAAATAAAATATAAAATAAAATAAAACATCATGTTGCATATGATAAATATATGCAATTTTTATGTGTCAATTTTAAAGGAGTGGTAGAGAAGGGGAGGTGAGAATTGAAGCCAAAGAAATAAGCAGAACTGTCCTAGGGAGGGTTTGGTATGCCATGTTTATCCTGAGATAACAGGAAGCCACTGCGAGCTATGAATGGATTGCTCTGGTAGCTGGGGGAGGGTGCACCTGCAATTAGGGACAATGTGGTTCTTGCAGTCTTCCTCAGTGTCTGGAGTAGATTTTGCATCGTAAATGCTGTTCATCTGACAGCAGAATTTATTTGCTCAATTACCTATTTAATTAACTTAAAACAATTCTACTTTGTTGCCATGCCTTATTTAGCTTTCATTTTGGCATTTCAGATTTTTATGCAACTTGACAGTTTGAATTCTCAGCACCAAGGAATATTTGCCAACAGAAGTGACACAAATGGTATTTCTTTCAAAACCATGATATTTTGCTCATGTGACATATGTTTCTTTCAAGCTAAATAACTTTCAAACCTTTCAGCTGCCAGGGACATCCTGAAATTAAATGTCTCAGTGTTTCATACCCTGTAGGAATCTTATAATACTGTAATCAGTGAAAAGTGGAATAGAAGGAACCTCTCTTCCCCAGCACTAAAATGATCCAAGGGATGCTTGCTTTCAGATTCCAAGAGAATCTGAGGGTCTGAAATGCACTCTGGGATGATGATAGACTGTCAATAATAACAACAGTACTCATAGTTTTATACTTTTCAAAATGAGTTCACTGAATTTTTTTTCCTACATTTCCCTAAATGCTTATCTAAATAGGTGTGTGAGTAATAAGACTTTATGGTAAAATAAATTTGGAAGGCACAAGCTTCTTTACTGTAGGAATTAAAAGCCTTTACTACATGAAAGTGATTTCTTTGAAAACAGTAAGGGACAGAACCTCCCAAGCCACTAAAAAACAATGGGCCGCCCACAGAGCACACTTGGGAAAATTACACTACTTTTTATCTAGAAAGGTAGAGTGGCAAATGGTGTTTTTTCCTTTTTATTAAAATAAGGAAAATAGAATATATTCCAAACTGTAGGATCACTACCAACTAAATCACTTTAATAGGTGCCACACAGCAATAGAATAAAAAAAATAGATTACACCATTTTAACAAATAGAGTCTATCACATAGTGTGAATGTGTGCCTGAATGTATGCACTGAGTCATAATATAAACATGCGTTTTCTGTGGGTTGTGGTCACTGCATGAAGGGAATTATCTGAGATCACTTGGCTATAGGGAAGTTAGACTTCATGGTTATTGTCTACTAATTTGTTGGCAGACTATTTTTAGAAAATTCCTTTTTGGCTGGGCGTGGTGGCTGATGCTTGTAACCCCAGCTACTCTGGAGGCCGAGGCAGGAGGGTTGCTGAGCCCAGGAGTTTGAGACCAGTCTGGGTAACATAGGGAGACCCCGTCTCTACTAAAAATAAAGAGAAGTGACTATCTACTGTTCTATCCAAGCAGCCCCCTGCCTTTCCCCACACTCTGCTGCTGCTGAACTTAGGGAAATTATCTGAATTTTCCGAACTCAGTTTCCTCATCTACAAAATGGATATAGTCTACGCTTTCAGGTTGTTTTGGGGATTAAACAAGGTTGTCTGGTACAGTGGCTCACGCCTCTAATCCAAGGGGTTTGGGAGGCCAAGGTGGGAGGATTGCTTGAGGCCAGGAGTTTCAGACTAGACTGGGCAACATGGCAAAACCCCAACTCTACAAAAGAAAAAAAAAGTTAGCTGGGTGTGGTGGCACATGCCTGTGGTCCCCATACTCAGGAAGCTGAGGTGGGAGAATTGCTTGAGCCTGGGAGGTGGAGGCTGGAGTGAGCTGTGTTCAAGCTACTGCACTCTGGCTCAGGAAATAGAGTGAGATCCTGTCTCAAAAAAGAAAAGAAACAAACAAACAAAAAAAGATGATTCAGGTAGGTAAAGAGCCAGCATAGAGAATCCACCACAAAATATTGTTTTTTCAATTGTACCCACCTATCTCCAAAATAAATTGCTAAGGAATTCAGCTTTTATCCTCTAAACCAGAATTTTTCCAACTAACATATTGGAATCAACCATCAAATCTGGTAATTACTCAGACTTTTAATAAATACACCGGAAGATGTACAACCAGACACTTCTTTCTCCATTTTTGCTAATATATTGCCGTTCTCAGGGTGTTGAAACTTCAAAGTCCTCTTTGGTGCTTTATTACTCCAAATGCCCTGCATTTCTTCCCTGATTTCTGCTGCTCACTCCCGTTTTGAATAACATCTGGCACTTCGATTACTGCAGCAATCTTTGAATCGATTTTCCCAGGCTCATTTCTCCTCATGTGCTCCCCGCCTCAAGTTTAATCTTTCCTAAGAATTGTTTTGGTACTGTAATGATCCTAAAAATAGCTTGCAGCCACTGAAAAGTTTTAGGCAGATTAAAAACAACTTTTATAAAATTTGTAGAGCGTTTTACCATTGCCAGAATGGTTTTAGTATACATAATCTCTTAACTTTAACAATAATCCTATTTCATAGATGAAGAAACTGAGGCTCAGAGAAGTAACTTGTTCCTGTTTTCCACGCTGGCAAGTAGTTAACTGAGAATCATACCTGACTCTTGTCCTCATTCAGTGTTAGCGTCAGGATCTTGAAACTTCAAATCAAACCTTCAAGGTTTTTCAGAGTTTTCCCAGCCTGAATTCCAGCCTTCTCTCCAAGTATTCTAGTATTGCAGCCTAACTGATATACTCCCCATCCACAGGCTTTTATTTTTTCCCTTTTTAAATTCATTTGTTTTATCTGCTTGCTGAATGTCCTGACATCTCAATTCTTCTCCTCCTGAAACCCCATTTCATGGCCTTTTATCAATCTATTATTCAAGATTTGGTTCACCTTCAAGTATATCTGCTATCAATAGGTTTGAACCATTTTTGGATTCTGAATTTTTATCTCATTTTACTTATTTGTGACATCCTATCAACTACACAGTTGTCTAGGTAGTAAATGGTGTCATTTTTTTTTTAGACAGATTCTTGCTGTGTCACCCAGGCTAAAGTACGGTGGCATAATCATAGCTCACTGCAACCTTGAACTCCTGGCCTCTAGCAATCCTCTTGCCTCGGCCTCCCAAAGTGCTAGGATTACAAACATGAGCCACTGCATCCAGCCTGTTCTTTTTTGTACTCTCCACAGCTCCAAATGCATTTTTTTGCCACATAAATGAGCCTCAAATATTAATTTGTGATTAAAACTTAAGATCCATGTAGCAGTGGCCCCACAGAACTTCATTATACAGTCCAGTAAATCTTACTAGGGTTGAAAATCTTCATTTTAATTTTTACTTACCAAAATAAATATTTTCAAAACTGGTGCTCTCTGAAGAACAGAATAAACTAAATGGATTCATATCCAAATGCCACTATCCAAAACCATAAAATGGAAAGAACTATTTCAGGAATTCCAAAGTCTAGCAGAAGAGGGAAAACAAATTCTTGTTGTATGTAAACTACAGTGCAGGGGTGTATTGTTAAGATTTACAATTTACAAAACATCTTCAGATATTTTGGATCCTCCCAGTGAACTGGGAGTTAGGCCACGGAGATACCATCTAAAGATGAGATAAGAAAGCACTTATCAGTGCTCACGCTTGTAATCCCAGCATTTTGGGAGGCTGAAGCAGGAGGATTGTTTGAGGCCAGGAGTTCAAGACCAGCCTGGGCAACAAAGTGAGACCTTGTCTTTGCAAATGACAAAAAAGTTAGCCAGGCTTGGTGACATGCACCTGTGGTCCCAGGTACTTGAAAGGCTAAGGTGGGAGGATCACTTGAGCCTAGGAGATTGAGGCTGCATTGAGCCATGATCACGCTACCCACTACTGCATTCCCTGGCTTGGGCAACAGAATGAGACCCTGTCTCAAAATAAAAAAATAAAAATAAAAAAAAAAAGCACCATGTTAAAGGTTAAGCACTTGCTTAGAATCCCAGAACCATAAAGCAGAAGATCCAGGACTTGAACCCAATATGTAGATATTTCCAGTGTGTATTTTCAGATTCTTACTACATGCAAAATACACTCTTAGGCTTAGGGAGGTAGGAGAGAGAAAAGTTTAAGGTGTACTTTCTGCCTTTAAGAAGTTTACAGGCAGCCAGGCACAGTGGCTCACGTCTATAATCCCAGCACTTTGGGAGGCCGAGATGGGCAGATCACGAGGTCAGGAGATCGAGACTATCCAAGCTAACACGGTGAAACCCCATCTCTACTAAAAATATAAAAAATTAGCCGGGCGTGGTGGTGGGTGCCTGTAGTCCCAGCTACTCGGGAGACTGAGGCAGGAGAATGGCATGAACCTGGGAGGCGGAGCTTGCAGTGAGCCGAGATCGCGCCACTGCACTCCAGCCTAGGCGACAGAGAATCCATCTCAAAAAAAAAAAAAAAGAAAAGAAAAAAGAAGTTTACAGGCTAGGCACTCGCTGGCTTACACCGGTAATCTCAGTACTTTGGGAGGCTGAGGTGGGCAGATCACTTGAGCTCAGGAGTTCAAGACCAGCCTGCGCAACATGAATAAACCCTGTCTCTACAAAAATACAAAAATTAGTCAGGAACAGTGGCCTGTGCCTGTAGTTCCAGCTACTCAGGAGGCTGAGGTGGGAGGGTCGCTTAAGTCCGGGAGAGGTAGAGGTTGCAGTAACTGAGATCATGCCACTGCACTCCAGCCTGGGTGTCAGAGCCAGACCGTCTTAAAAAATAAAAATAAAAAAGCTTGCAATAAGGCAGATAGAGCTATATATTTATTTATCAGTTAAGCCTGTAACTGCAGCAGCCTCTGGAGCTAGATAGACAAACGAGGCAAATGTTCTGCCTCAGGATGACACATCTATGCAAATGTCACAGATGTTATACAGGATTAGGTTCATTACAAGGTACCGTGGAGCTAAAGTTGAAGCTTGTCAATTCCATCCCATGATAGATTCTGTAGGAAGGGGCTTACAGAGGAAGTGACTTAAATGAAGACTTTAAAGGGAGATGGTCGCTTTCCAGGAACATGGGATAAGGGATGGAATTTGTGATTGAAGGTGCAGCTCTAGAAAAGGCAAAACATTCTGACGAAGGGCTTACAAGGTGGATCAGCCTTTTAAGCTGTCATTTATCATTTATCTTGCCTGATGGAAGCTCTTGATGTGTGTGTGTGTGTGTGTGTGTGTGTGTATGTGTTTTAAACAGGAGAGAATTGGATATGTCTTTTTAATATAAGGCAGAAAAAGTGCTATAATTAGAGGTACAAATAATGTCTAAGGAAGCAAAGAGAAAGCTCTTTGAAATCAGTCATCCTCCCATATGTTATTTTGAAATTAAAAATAAGTAATAGGTGTATATATGGGTAAACAGTGACAGGTCCCTATGCTTGTCACTCACCTACCCACCACCCCCTGCCACTCGTTCCTAGCTTCACGTAACCTCTATTTTTAGTTTCTTTTTAATCCTTTCACAGTTTCTTTGTAGCTAGGTAATCATATAGGAAGTATATTTTTAAAATTTATCCCACTTTTTACTAAAGAGTGCCATGCCACACCTGGTTCTTCCCCTTGCTTTTCTGACTTAATGTATCTTGGTAATCTTTCCATATTTCTCCTTTTAGAGTGCTTCCTCATGCGTTTTTCCTTTTAAATGCAGAATATTCCATTATGTGAATGTTCCATAACTTATTTAACTTATTCCTGGCTGGTTGTGGTGGCTCAGGCCTATAATCCCAGCATGTTAGAAGGCCAAGGTGGGAGGATTGCTTGAGCCCAGGAGTTTGAGAGTAGCCTGGGCAACATAAGACCCTGTCTCTATTAAAAAAATAAATTTTAAAAAATGAAAACTTATTTCCTGCAGAGGGACACTTGATTTGTTTCCATCTTTTGCTATTCCAAACTATGCCACATAAAAGGCCAGCCGCGGTGGGTCATGCCTGTAATCCCAGCACTTTGGGAGGCTGAGGTGGGTGGATCACTTGAGGTTAGGAGTTTGAGACCTGTCATGGCCAACATGGTGAGACCCCATCTCTACTAAAAATACAAAAAATTAGCCAGGCATGGTGGTGCACGCCTGTAGTCCCAGCTACTCGGGAGACAGAGGCACAAGAATCACTTGAACCCAGGAGGCAGAGGTTGCAGTGAGCCGAGATTGTGCCATTACATGCCAGCCAGGGTGACAGAGTGAGACTCTGTCTCAAAAACAACAACAAAAAACTATGCCACATAAAGAGCCTTGTATAGCTGTCATCTCACATGTGTGTAAGTTTGTCTATGAGACTTGGAATTCCTGGACAAAGTGTATAAGCATTTGGAATTTCAGTAGGTACTACCCAATTGCCATCCTTAAGGGGTTCTCATTTTTCTAATATTTTTATTCTCCAGGTAGGATCCTTTTTAGGGCAGGGACTCTATCTTGTTCATCTTTACTTTCTTGGCGCTAGCTAGAAAGTACTTACTAGATGGTGTTGAATTAATTCCTACCTGAAGACACTGCTGGAGAAGCTCTGAAGCTCAAGCCCCTTGACAGGGGGGCACCATTGTTAGTGAGATATAATCAGCTTCCCTAATTCCCTTCTAAACAAACTGTGTCAAGGACAAAGTAAAGACTTAATCCAGGCCAGCAGCTCACGTCTGTAATCCCAGCACTTTAGGAGGCCAAGGCAGGCGGATCACCTGGGGTTAGGAGTTTGAGACCAGCCTGGCCAACATGGTGAAATCCCATCTCTACTAAAAAAAAAAAAAAAAAAATACAAAACTAGCCAGGCATGGTGGCACATGCCTGTAATTCTAGCCACTTGAGAGGCTGAGGCAGGAGAATCACTTGAACTTGGGAGGCAGAGGTTGCAGTGAGCCAAGATCGTGCCATTGGAGACCAGCCTGGGTGACAGGAGCTAAACTCCGTCTCAAAAAGAAAAAAAAAAGACTTAATCCAGAATGACCTCCCACATCTTGAGAGCCAGTGGACACTGTTGTCATATGTTTTAGAAAAGATTATTTACTACTAAACTTTAAGTATTGATTTACTATTTTGTCTTTTTTGAGGAGGGAAGAATATTTCCAAAAGTCTTATTTGTAATTTTTAAAAATTCTGATGCAAGCAGTAGTGTTAGTTTTTAAAATATGCTCTTTTAAAGTTATTGTTTTGGTTCAAAGTCACTTTTAAAGACCCTAAAATTTCTTTATAGATACAACTTTAAAGCAATACCAGTGACAAAGGCAATGGGAACTAATTTCCTTCTTCTGTACCTAGGAAAGACTGAGTCACAGTGGATCCAGAGATCTGAATCAAGTCACAATTAGTCAGGGGCAGGCCTCAGAATACATGGGTATTTCTTACTACACTTAACCCAATTATGCACACAATTAAGCACAATTATGAATACTAACACTTTTCAAAGCTTTGCTGGATGATCTTTTTCTCTCTTCTAAATTTACCCAAAACCTTATTATGTTCCTTGCAAGTTGTTCTAAAACAATTTGTTGCTATCAGAACACTTTCCTTTTAAAGACCAGATGACTTAAAAAGACTGAAAGCAAATTTAATCTTGGCCAAGTTAGTTTTTCTTTTACAGAAAGTCCCTGCTTCAACATATAGTATTGGAATGGCACAGTGTAACCTGTTGTTTATCCATAGTTTGTATGGTGTATATTTTGTGCAAAAGTAAACTAAAATCCTTAAGCCTTTAGGATTCTATTCCAACAAGTTGATTTCTTCTCAGCTCTGAATCTAGCTTGGGGCAGACTGAGTCTCCTTAAGTACATTCACAGATGCAACAGTTGAACTGCTGTTCACACACTATTTATTTCTCAACATCCTATAAAATAATCAGGTAGAGCAGTCATTATTTTCTGTTTCAAAATGGAGTGGACATCAACTCCACACAGACCTATTCATATATCTTCAATTTATACTCAGGAGGCAATGGCATATTTTTGTGGAAAAGGAGACACAGATAGCTCTATCCATCCTCCATCACCAATAGCGTGTTAGGTGGTCACAGCCATTCTAAGCCCCAGTGTCCTCAACTAACAGAGGACATGAAATTCTTGTTTAGATTTGTTTTCTCAGCAGTCATGATAACCTAAACATGGTTTGATGATTCATGCTTGATATTTCTGGGAGTCTCTGAACAGTAGATTGGCACACAGATTCAAATGTAGTTGAGAATTGGGAAGAGAGAGAGTTAGAAATCATGAGACACAATGACAATAAAGCAGTAGAGCACAGGTGGGGTGGCTTCAGGTGGTTTCTCATCCCCTGACGCTGTATGGAAAATTCTGCATATGCCTGCTTATGTATGTTTTTCTAAACACAAGCTTTATTCTTGAGGTCTTTGAGAGGGATTGAAACCTTTTCTTCTGTCCCAAACTGAAAATGAAGATACCAGATTCAGCTAACTGTCTATGTAGAGGATAGATCTGTTAATCTCATTTCTTCCTCCTTCTATCTATCCCCTTCCCTCGACAAGTCTTTTGATTAAAAGGGACCTTGGCAGAAAATATAGGGTACAATTTTTAAATTCCTGATTTTTATCTTTTTACTTTCTAGAATTCTTTTTTTTTTTTTTTTTTTTTTTCCTGAGACAGGGTCTCACTCTGTCGCCCAGGCTGGAGCACAGTGGTGCAGTTACAGCTCACTGCAGCTTCAACCTTTTGGGCTCAAGCCATCCTCCTGCCACAGCCTCCCAAGCAGCTGGGACTACAGGCATGCACCACCATGCCCAGCCAATTTTCAAAATTTTTAGTAGAGACGAGGTCTTGCTGTGTTGCTCAGGCTGGTCTTGAACTCCTGGCCTCAAGCAGTCCTCACACCTAGGCCTTTCAAAATGCTAGGATTACAGGCATGAGCCACTATACCCGACCTATTTTCTAGAATTCTTTTTTTTTTTTTTTGAGACAGAATTTCACTGTGTCACCCAGGCTGGAGTGCAGTGGCATGATCTCAGCTCACTGCAACCTCTGCCTCCCAGGTTCAAGAAATTCTCCTGCCTCAACCTCCTGAGTAGCTGGGATTACAGGTGTCTGCCACCACATCCAACTAACTTTTTCTATTTCTAGTAGACACGGGGTTTTACAGGCATGAGCCACCTCTCCAGGCCTAGAATTCTTTATATGGCTTTAGATATGGCTTCCCTTGATTTATCTCTGAATTCTTTTTTTTGTTTCCTTCTTTTTTTTTTTTGGTATCACAAAGATATTTTATGTATTCCTTGCATTTAAATTTGCATTCCTTAGCTCATTTAAGAGCTTGGCTGAAAACTAAATAGAATTCATTAAAATGTCTCCTCTCAGAAACACTTAGTCAGCCCTGTGTTCTTTATTTTATGTAGATTTTCTATACGTGACCGACGTTCTCCAGTCACCAAACTCTTATTTTAATATGCTGAAGTGACTTAGGATTTGGGGTTTTACTGTAATTATTTGTAGCCAACAGAATTAGTTATCTAAAAGGTTCTTGCTGTTTCCAATGCTAATGGAAGTGCAGGGTTTGTCGTAACTTGGGTGGTTCTGTCTGAACTCTGGCTTTAACTGGTCAGAACTATAAACAAGTGGCCTCAGGACCCTTCAGCCCTAATTGAGGAGACTGCAAAGTCACCTTTAGAAGGTTCATTGGTTCGTTTTTGCCTTTTAATACCCTTCCTAGGAGGCTTTATTCTTAGTGCTTTCTTGCCTTTTCTAGAATAATCTGGAAGCTTTAAACCACCTTATTATTGACCTATATGGGTTTTGTAAGTATGTTTCAAAATCAGTGAGTGTAGCTGTTTTTAATAATAAAAATACTGTTACAGACGTGGAATCTTTGGTAAGGTTTTGAAAAAAAAAATGTGGTTTAGAGACAATTTCCACTTGTTGAGTATTTATTTATTATAACTGAGAACACTGAGACTCAGAGGCTTGGAGCCACAGGTCACCTACTGGTGACATGACAGAAGTCAAATCCAGGACTTTTGAATCCAGGGCTGGCCCCACCAGTAACAGCTCTTGATTTTTTTTTTTTTTAACTTCAGTTAAAGGTAGACTTCAAACTCTCAAATCAATAGATACTGAGAAATGTGATAGAATAAAATTCTATAGAACAAGGTTTTAAATATATATATTTTTTCTTTGTCATAGATCCCTTGGCAGTTTGGTGAAGCCCTTCTCCAAATGTTTATAAATATGTAGAATGAAAATACACAGGATTATAAAGGAAACCAAATATTTTTAGATATAGTTGTCAAAATGTCTTTAAAATGTATAAGAATCTGGCAGGCATGATGGCTTACGCCTGTAATTCCAGCACTTTGGGAGGCCAAGGCAGTCGGATCACCTGAGGTCAGGAGTTCAAGACCAGCCTGGCCAACATGGTGAAAACCCGTCTCTCCAAAAAGTACAAAAATTAGTCGGGCCAGGTGGTGGGCACCTGTAATCTCAGTTACTCGGGAGGCTGAGGCAGGAGAATTGCTTGAACCCGGGAGGCGGAGGTTGTGGTGAGCCAAGATCACGCCACTATACTTCAGCCTATGCAACAAGAGTGAAACTCCATCTCAATAAATAAATAAATAATAAAGGATGAGTGTGGTATCTTACTTCAAAATAGAGAAAACATACATGACATTTCAAGGTATCTGCAAGAACTTTAAAGGGATATGAAAACATTGAATTTTTGTTGGTGACAGTGTCACAGATACTACTTATCTCAACTACTGTGATTTGTTGCCTACATTAGTAATGAAAGATGTTATAGTTCACTTAGAGATTAAAAATAGAGATTTATTTTTTTTTCCTCATTCAAGTTTATGGACCCCAGAAATCTGGACTGCAGGAATAAGGATCTGCTCAGAACTCTCAAACCATATGATTATGGGCTTTTTTTCTCCATGCTTCTGGAGAGGGACATCATTTCATTTTTTTTTTTTTCTTTTTAAAGGGTGAGAAGAGCTACACTTACCTTCTAGGGTCTCACACTGGACCAGGTTGATATAGTCTTGCTGGGTCAGGAGGCTGGCCTTGCATCCTCGAACCAGGCCCTCCAGGTAGCCATGGTCCACGTTGAAGTACAGCTCCGCACCTTCGAGCATGGGGGAAGAGATTGAAGCCAAGGTAGGGTGAAACAGCTCTGTAGTCCTGGACGGCCCCTGAAGATTTGCACTAGCCTGGGAAAAGTGCGAGTAATTATCAGGCAGCACAAGCAATCTATCAGGTGATAGTCAGGGTTTTTGTGACTAGTTTCCTCTGGTTTCAGTGGCTTTCAACACAGCACACTCAGCCCTGTTTATACAGCAACAATGAATCAGCCAGATGACCCAAGTAAACCCAGGCAACAAACCACGATTGGGAAAAAGAGATATGAGAGTCAGGGGAGGATCCAGGCTCAATTCTTACTCTCCCACAGATGGGACCCTTCCCAGCTTTACTATTGGGAGGCTTCAAACTCCTGAATGTTTTGTAAACATTCCTACCACCAGCTGAGCTTTCAACTGTAATTTACACTAATCCAAAATTCTTTGAGGACTATCAATATGAACAAAGAGAGGGTTTTTAATAAAAATAATTTAATTTAGGCTGGCATGATGGCTTACCTGTAATCCCAGCACTTGCGGAGGCTTAGCGGGGCAGATCACCTGAGGTGGAGACCAGCTTGGCCAGCACGGTGAAACCTCGTCTCTACCAAAAATACAAAAATTAGCCAGGCTTTGTGGTGCATGCCTGTAATCCCAGCTACTCGGGAGGCTGAGGCACGACAATCGATTGAACGTGGGAGGCGGAAGTTGCAGTAAGCTAAGATTGTGCCACTGCACTCCAGCCTGGAGGACAGAGTGAGACTCTGTCTCAAAATAATAATGATAATTATTATTATCATTATTATTATAATATAAGTAAATCAAATGTGACTAGGCAATTTGAAGAGTCATGAGAACCTAATTCTACCACACAGTTCATTTGTAAGACAAATGGTCAGAAATGCCCTAAAATTGCCAAAGGCTGGTAGTTGCTTCCCAGCCAGTCGAAGGGCATAGCCCAGGAAACAATCCTGGAAACAGATACAGAAGGCTATGATTCTATAATAATAAGCCACTACCTCTGCAAAATTGGACTGTTTAGAAGGCACTCTATTTTCTTTTTCCTACTTGAATCTCCTGTTTATTCTGCAATGTGAATCTGCACAGACAGTATTATTACTAAAATCACAAATAAGGAACCAGCCCTCAGAAGCTGTGAGGCAGCTCAAAATGCACAGCTGGCAATACAGTAAGTATTTAATGAAGCTGGGACTTGTGTTGAGTTTCATACTCCAAAAGGAGTGCTTGTTCTGCTATATATTGTATTTAGTTAAAAAATTATGTAAAATATCATGAATGCTATTTGCATATAAAGTGTTTCATATATATTGTGTCAAATCTTTAATTGGAACTAAAGTCCCAGAAATTCTCCAGTCTCTATCAGGGTTTTTCCGAACTGTTTGGGAGAAGCTAGATAAAAAGGAATCAATGTAAATTCTGCTTTGATTGTTGAAAATCACAGAGAATCAAACCTAGCTTTTCACAGTGCCCAGACTTTGAAAGTATTCAATAAATAGTAGAGGCTGCCATTATTGTTATCATTCTCTATCCACCCACCACAATTCCACCATCCTTAAACATCCTGAGTGTGTTTTATGTTGAATCAGTCACTTATTTATCACTTCTGTGGTCTAAAGATGGTTACATATCCACAGTTTTATAGAGTTCAAACTAATACAACTTAAATAAATTATAAATACCACACTTATCTTTTTTAAATTATTTTACTATGTTTTACTGTTATTTATGCACTTGAGGTTATTATGTCTATTGTATTTGTAAGGTAGATATTCTATATAATGACATGCTCTCATGCATCTCTTCTCAACTCCGGGTTTAATGACATAATGACGGTAGCTTGCAGCAGACCATGGCAGGAATGAAGTATTTATACCATGAAAATGGGCAAATGCTACAAATCAGGGCTTGATTCACTGTTTGGTTAATTGTCTGGACTTGAGAAAAAGATGGAGAAAATGTTAATAAAGCAAAGTAAAAGTATGTAATGTTTATAGCCATTATATTGTAAATTGCAAAAAAATTTGAAGAAATGTTCTTTCAGTATTTAAAAACTGTTATCTGATTCAGCAAGGAAGCCACTCCCTTTATGAAGATCAAGAGAAGTTTTACATATGTCTTCGTTGTTTCACTTTCATATTGTTCATTAATGTAAATAGAAATATTAGCCAACATTTATGTTGGATATTCACTTATTTGTCAATTCCAAGTATAGGTTGGGTACAGATAGAAGAATTGAACAAACAAAAAAATCAATGAAAGCATTCTGTGAAAATCAATTGACTATTGAATTGGAATTTACAATAAAGAGTATTTTTTTGGCTGGCTCACGCCTGTAATCTCAGCCCTTTGGGAGACTCAGGCAGGTGGATTGCTTAAGGCCAAGAGTTTGAGACCAGCCTAGGCAACATAGTGAGACCCAGTGTCCACAAAACATTTTTAAAAATTAACCAGGCATAGCGGTGTGCACTTGTGGTCCCAGCTACTTGGGAGGCTGAGGTGGGAGTATCACTTGAGCTGGCTAGGCGCACCTTGCAGTGAGTCGAGATCACACCATTGCATTCCAGCCTGGGTGACACAGTGAAAGCACATCTCAAAAAAAAGTATTATTTTACTGTTGCTTATAAATTGGTTGAGACACATTCTTTGCATCAGTAAAATTTAAAATAAACATGCCATACATTTTTATGGACAGCCAGTTGTTAAATGTGCACACCATAGCTTCTTCACAGTCTTGCCTAGAGCCAGTCCTGGACGTCAACATGCTCAAAAAAAAAAAAAAAAAGGAATTTTGCTGTTGTGTGTGCAAAACAACTTTCCAATTTGCCATATTTTACATTTATATGTAGTGACAATTTCAATGCATCTTTAAAATAATAGTCACCCACATCTTTTGTTATTATGAAATTGATGGGTAAGGCAGCAAAGTATTCCCCTTCCCTTCACATTGTCCTTCTCGCCTGGCAGAAGCAAAAATGTCTCACTCCTGCTAAAGGTACTCGTCATAAATGCCATCAAGCTCACAAGAGATGAGAGGAAACCCAATAGAATGACAAGATCTGGAGTTTCTTTATAAATGGGTCCTTATGGTGAAAACATAATAAAATTGTCATTCCAGTGTTTAAACTACCAATGATGTTCAGGAGAGTGGGCTTTGGAATGTGGCAGGCATGGGTTTGTGGCTCCATCTCTCTAATGGCCAGTGTTTTCATGCGTAAAATAGAAATAATAACACCTGCCTCATAGGTTGTTGCAAAAATTAAATAAGATAAAATCTTTAGCATGCTTAGCACAGGTGGGCGTGTGTGCTAAGTACTTGGTGAAAGGAAGCTACAGTTTTAGTTATCCATGGTCAATGACAGTCTGAAAATATTAAATGGAAAATTCCAGAAATAAATAATTCATACACTTTAAATTTTGTGTCATTCTGAATAGTGTGATGAAATCTTTCTCTCGCCAGCCCCCTATGCCCTAGCCAGAACATGAATCCTCCCTTTGTCCTCCAGGCTGTAGGCACCCCCTGCTTGTGAGTCACTTAGTAGCCATCTCAATTATCAAACCAACTGTCAAGGCAGTTGTTTTGTGTTCAAATAACATTTATTTTACTTAATAATGGACCCAACGTGCAAGAGTAGTGCATCTAATTTATAGATAAACTTTAAATTACACTGGTATGTATGTACAGGAAAAAAACATAGTATATAAAGAGTTTGGCATCCGTTGGGGTGGATTAGGAGGGACTATTGTACAAAAACCACTGTAATCACATTTATTTATTTATTTATTTATTTATTTATTTATTTATTTAAGAAGGAGTCTCACTCTGTCCCCTAGGCTGGAGTGCAGTGGCGCGATCTCAGCTCACTGCAACCTCTCACTCCCGGGTTCAAGCGGTTCTCCTGCCTCAGCCTCCTGAGTAGCTGGGATTATAGGCACGTGCCACCATGCCCAGCTAATTTTTGTATTTTTAGTAGAGACGGGGTTTCACCATGTTGGCCAGGCTAGTCTCAAACTCCTGGCCTCAAGTGATCTGCCCACCCCGGCTTCCCAAAGTGCTGGGATTACAGGCGTGAGTCACTGAGCCTGGCCTGTAATCACTTTTAGATTGAATTTCTTAAATCCAGGAACAGTGCCTTATTCATTTTTCATTTTTCTTTTCTTTTTTTTTTAAAGAGACAGGGACTCACTGTCACCCAGGCTGGAGTGCAGTGGTGTGATCACGGCTCACTGCAGTCTTGAACTCTTGGGTTCAAGCCATCTTCCCACCTCAGGCTCCTGAGCAGCTGATACTACAGATGCACACCAACAGTCCTGGCTCATTTTTCCATCTCTTCAGTGCTTAGTAGCATGCCTTGTGGGGGCAGATAATTCAATACTCATTTCGTGAATTAACTAGAGTCAGAGTTTTAAAATGACTTAAAATTACTTTTACAGAATCTTTAATTCCCTGTTTCTCTAGGAAACACTATACTTGGCAAGTGTATCTGAAGAGTGAGGTTATTTTGTGGTTTTGTAGCCTAACACACATACATATATAATTGTGGATGCGTGTATACCTGTATAGGATGTATAGGAATTATTGTGACTTTTTGTCAACTTCAGGGGCTCCCAAGAGTCATTATCTTCATAGCATTAGAGGATCAATTTATTCTGCAAGGAAAGGAGATATTCCTTGAAGAGGTAAAGTGTCTGTTATTTTGAGCATAAAAAGTTTCTTTCTAGATGTGGTAGGTTCTTCAAAGCGCAATGCAAAAGCAAAGGAGAAGAAGGCTGCTTCCCACACAGCACACAGTCCTCTGATGTCTTCGATGCAGCTAAGGCAGCCAAGGCTTTGCCAACTCTAAAATAATTGTCAGGGTGGACAGTCATATTCACCCTCAGCCCCTGAAAGCATCTTTAGAGGCAGTGTGTGGTACACATTGCCCCTCAGAGCAGAACTATGATGCCATCGTTAATAGCCAATCAAAGGCCAGGTCAAAGCTCTCTCCTAGGACTATCAGCACTTTAAAAAAACAAAACAAAACTTTTAAACTTTTTAGGTTGGGTACAGTGGCTCATGCCTGTGATCCCAGCACTTTGCGAGGCGGAGGCAGGTGGATCACTTGAGCCTAGGAGTCCAAGACCAGCCTGGGCAACATGAAAAAATCACGTCCTTACAAAAAATACAAACAAACAAAAATTGACCTGGCTTGGTGGGCACGTGCCTGTAGTCTCAGCTACTTGGGAGGCTGAGGTGGAAGAATCAATTGAGCCCCCAGAGGTTGAGGCTTCAGTGAGCCTTGATCACGCCACTGCAATCCAGCCTGGGCAACAGAGTGAGAACCTGTCTCAAAAAACCAGAAACAAAAACCAAAAAAAATCCCAAAACAAACAAACAAACCAAAACCAAACCAAACTTTTAAGCTTTTTATGATGGGAAATTTTAAACATACAGGAAAGAAACACTACTATAATTAACCCCCACGTATCCATCACCTACCTTCAATAATTATGGACTCATGGCCAACCTTGTGTCAGTTATACAAAGGATCAGTAAAGTATTTTTTATATAGGTCAAATAGTAAATATTTTAGGAATTGTCGGCCATTTCAACTCTATTGAAATGACTCAACTTTGCTATCGTAGTGGAGAAGCAGCCGCATATCACACATAAATGAACGAATGTGACTGTGTTCCAGTAAAGCTTTATTTACAAAAACAGTTCGTGGGTCAGATTTGACTACTAGGGTATAATTTGCCAACCCCTGATCTATATATAACCTTGCTTGCTTTCTTCCCACCCTGAATTATTTTCAAGTAAAACCAAGATGTATTATTTTATCCATAAACATTTCAATATCTCTAAAAGATAAAGATCCTTTTGCAATATAATCACAATTCTATTAGCATACTTAAAGTTATTCCTTAATATCAACAAAATCTAGGCTGGACACGGTGGCTCACGCCTGTAATCCCAACACTTTGGAAGGCCAAGGCAGGTGGATTACCTGAGGTCAGGAGTTTGAGACTAACCTGGCCAACATGGCAAAACCCCATCTTTACTAAAAATAAAAAAATTAGCCGGGCATGGTGGTGGGTGCCTGTTGTCCCAGCTAAGGCTGAGGCAGGAGAATAGCTTGAACCCAGGAGGCGGAGTTTACAGTGAGCCGAGATCACTCCACTGCACTCCAGCCTGGGAGACAGGGTAAGACTCTGTTTCAAACAAACAAACAAACAACAACAAAAACCCAAAATCTAGTCAATGTTCAAATTTTCCCAATTGTTTTATAATTTTTATTTTATTTTTTTGCCGTCGGTTTATTTGAATAGGAGACACTACAATTGGTTTACGTGTTTTATATTTTCTTTTAGATATGCCTTCCCTCCTCTAACCCTTCTTTTTAAGAAACTGGTGGGTCATGTACCCTGTAGAGTTTTGCACATTTGGAATTTGCTGATTGCATCGTGTGGCGTCATTTAACATGTTGTGGTGTCCCCTGTAATTCCTATAAATTGGTAGTTAGATCTGGAGGCTAGATCACACTTATGTTAGATTTTTCTTTTGCAAGAACACTCACAACAGTACTGAATACTTGCATCAGAATGCATGTAACATTTGTCTCTCACTTTTTTTTTTCAAAGCAGCCATTTATGATCACCACCTAGATCCACTATTTCATTAGGAATAACAAAATAATTATATTTTTAGTTTATTACTCCTTCATTCATTAGCTGAAATACTCTAAAAAAGAAACTACATCAACTATTGGTTACCCTAGTATATAGTTTGTATAGAAAAGGCAGGATAGGCCAGGGGCAGTGGCTCATGCCTGTAATCCCAGCACTTTGGGAGGCCAAGGCAGATAGATCATGAGGTCAGGAGTTCAAGACCAGCCTGGCCTAGATGGTGAAACCCTGTCTCTACTAAAAATACAAAAATTAGCCGGGTGTGGTGGCGGGTGCCTGTGGTCCCAGCTGAGGCTGAGGCAAGAGAATTGCTTGAAACCAGGAGGCAGAGTTTGCAGTGAGCTGAGATCACACCACTGCACTCCAGCCTGGGCGACAGAGCAAGACTTTGTCTCCAAAAAAAAAAAAAAAAAAAAAGAACAGGCAGGATAAAGGCCAGGGTTTCTAACAAATAAAGATATTATTAAGGTACATATTTAAACATGATTAACATGTTCTTTTGATATAACTCTGGCAGGATTTTTTTGTGTTTCCTTCCTTCCTTCCTTCCCTCCCTCCCTTTTCCTTCCTTCCTTCCTTCTTTCCTTCTTTCCTTCCTTCCTTCCTTCCTTTCTCTCTCTCTCTTTCTCTTTCTTTCCTTCTTTCCTTCTTTCCTTCCTTTCTCTCTCTCTCTTTCTCTTTCTTTCTTTCATTCTTTCCTTCCTTCCTTCTTTCCTTCCTTCCTTCCTTCCTTCCTTCCTTCCTTCCTTCCTTCCTTCTTTCTTTCTTTCTCTCTTTCTCTCTCTCTGTCCCTTTCTTTCTTTCTTTCTTTCTTTCTTTCTTTCTTTCTTTCTTTCTTTCTCTCTCTGTCTCTTTCTTTCTTTCTTTCTTTCTTTCTTTCTTTCTTTCTTTCTTTCTTTCTTTCTTCCTTCCTTCCTTCCTTCCTTCCTTCCTTCCTTCCTTCCTTCCTGTCTTTCTTTCTTTCTTTCTTTCTTTTTTCATACAGAGTCTTGCTCTGTTGCCCAGGCTGGATTACAGTGGTGCAACCTTGGCTCATTGCAACCTCCACCTCCCGGGTTCAAGTGATTCTCCTGCCTCAGCCTCCTGAGTAGCTAGGATTACAGGTGCCCGCCACTACACCCAGCTAATTTTTGTATTTTTGGTAGCGATAGGGTTTCACCATGTTGGCCAGGCTTGTCTCGAACTCCTGACCACTAATGATCCACCCACCTCAGCCTCCCAAAGTGCTGGGATTACAGGCATGAGCTACCACACCCAGCCAACTCTGACTTTTTGATAGCTTCCTTGCTTTCTGTAATGACTGGATCTTCCAAGCTCATTTTGTACAATTTTTTGCCCAGACCTGGAATGAGCTGTTCTCTGAGAAGCTCTGATTTAACATTGCAGTTCTTATTCCTGCTGCTTTATTAAAATATAATTGACAAAATTTGAATATATTTATTGTATAGAATGTGAATTTTTGATACATGTATACATTGTGAAATGATTATCTTTTTTTGTATGTGTATGTATAAAGAGAAAAATTTAAGATCTAGTCTCTTAAATTTTAAGTGTACCATACAGTATTGTCACCTATACTCACCATGCTGCACATTAGGTCCCCAGATTTACTCACCTTGTAACTGAACATTAGTACTCCTGGACAAACATCTCCCCATTTCCCCCGTCCTCCAGCCCCTGGCAATCAGCATTCTACTTCTGCTCTTTTTTTCTATGAGTTCAGCTTTTTCAGATGCCTCATCTAAGTGAGATCATACAGTTTTTGTCTTCTTAATCCCACTTGTGGGCATATGTCCAAAGGAAACAAAGTCAGTATCTCAAAGAGATATTTACACTCCCATGTTCATTGCAGCATTATTCACAATAGCCAAGACATGGAAACACAGTGTCCATTCAATGGATGAATGGATAAAGAAAATTGATAAAGCGAATAGATTTATATGTATATGTGTATATACATATGTGTGTCTGTGTGTATATATATAAAATGGAGTATGTATTATTTATTATTATTTATTTAGTCCTAAAAGAGAAGGAAATCCATTTGCAGCAACGTTGATTAGCTTTGAGAAGACGGCAGTTCTTTTGTTAAAAAAAAGGAAATTAAAAAAAAAAGATATGGGATCTCACTATGTTGCCCAGTCTGCTCACCTGGGCTCAAGTGATCCTCCTACCTTGGCCTACCAAAGTGCTGGGATCCAGGAAGATTGCAGTTCTTAATGCATGTTCAGAAAAATGCAAAGCCCCTGCAGTGCGTGGACGGTACAATACGTGGTGTGATGGCCCCACACTTCTCTCTGGAATCTAAAGTGAGGGCCCAGGAGGCAGATTCTAAGAGCAGATGTGCTCAGTAGGGAACAGTGCTTTTGTGGATGGCTATGTGGTTACCTTTTCTTAACTTTCCCTCCACTACTGAAGTTTTTCTAATTAGAACATGTCAAAACAAAACAAACCTTCCATATCAGTCCAAGAAAAACATTATCCTGGAAAAAGTGAATTATAAGGTCGTATGAACTTGATGCCTGTGTACGTTCTTCAAGAATTCTAACTTGACTAAGGCAGATTACAGTGAGAAAACTTAGCATGTGTCTGTCTTCAGTATCAGAACACAGCAGGCAAACCTGATTGCTCACTTGACATTGATTCTGAACAGATACTATGCTCCTCAGCCAGAGCACACTCCTGGTTTAACTTGCTTTTGATAAACAGAGAAGAATTTGTGAACTGTCGCCAGAGTCATTGACTTTCTGGACTACTTCACCTAGAAGGATCTCTTATATTTGGAGTTGGAAGTGGGGCCATTTATGCTTTGTTGATTTTGGCGATTTAAAGTTATGAGTATTTTAATATTTTCTTCTTCCTGAAGAGAAGACTAAAAGAATTTCAGGTGTTGGATGGCTATTAAATCTTCCTTGGCAGTAATTTGTAATGTGTTATTTGCCCAAATGGTTTACCTTTTGTATTTTAACAAAATAATATTTTTGCTATTATATATTAATTAAACCTGGACCTGATTTAGTACATCTTCCTTCATAGTATCTCACTGTTCTTCAGGGACCTTATTTCATCTCTTATTACAAAATCTGTCTAGTGGCAAGAATTTTTATTTGAATTAGAAAAATGGGAAAATCAATCATCATTTGTTAATATTTGGATAAAATATTTAATGTAGGTATAACTACAAAGCAAAAGTAAGAAGTTCAAAATCATGGAATAGCTATATATTTCAAATGCTTAAAGGAATTACTTAGTACTTTAATCCAAATTCTATATTCTGATTGCAGTGAAATGAGTAATTACCTGGGAAAGATGATAATTTTTGTCTATATTTTATTATATTTTATTGTCCTTATTTTCTTTTCTGCTTATCAGAGCAATGCATACTTTTTATAAAAATTGAACCATTACAAAAATATATGAGATTAAAGCTACTTAATACCACTCTTAAAGAGAACCTCTGATAACAATTTGGGGGAACACTAAAGTTGCTTATTGAAGCACCAAAATATTTGCTTCGGGTGGCCGAATTAATTTTTCAAAGGTCATTTTGATTTTGAACCACAAGAGGTCGCCATAACATTATAGCAAGCGTCTACATTTGGTTCCTCCCATCTGCACATTTTTAATTTGAAATATGTCATGTCAAAGTTTTAACAAGTGGCTTCGGGTTGTTTATGTTAAGAGATTCTTTAGACATCTCACTAAGTGTCAAGAAGTTCTGCTACTCCCTAGCTCTTACTCACTCCCCAAACCACTGTTTGTCTTCATCACAAATGTCAAGCCCTTCTCCTCTTTCCTAAACAGTAAGTGACTTTTTACCTTTTTGGCTGTTATTTCACACTCTGTATATGTTTTCATTTCCTTTGTGTATTCACAGTGACTTATTTTATTTTAAGAATCCCTGAGAGATGCTCTGTAAAAAAAAAAAGAGAGCTCTGTGAACAAACAGGTTTGGGAAATGCAGTTGATAATCAATGTATCATCTTGGACAGTCAGCGTGCGCATTAGCATAGTAAAGTCTCCGAGAAGCCCTTTGTAATTAAAGGTGTTTAACTTTAACCCAGTGCTTTCCAAACAATTGATTGGACAATGCCTTCCTTTGTTTAGATAATTGTATTAGTCCTTTTTCACACTGGTATAAATAACTACCTGAGCCTGGGTATTTTATTTTATTCTATTTGATATTTTATTTTATTTTATTTTATTTTATTTTATTTTAAAGAGACAGGGTCTCCCTATGCTGCATAGACTGGTCTCAAACTCCTGGACTCAAATGATCCTCTTGCCTTGGCCTCCCAAGAGCTGAGACTGAGTAATTTATAAAGAAGAGGTTTAATTGGCTCATGGTTCCACAGATTATACAGGAAGCATGGCTGGGGAGGCCTCAGGAAACTTACAATCATGGCAGAAGGCGTAGCGGAAGGAGAAACGTCTTACATGGCCAGAGAAGGAGCAAGAGAGAGAGGAGGAAGATGCCACACACACACTTAAAAACAACCAGATCTTGTGAGAACTCTATCAGGAGACAGTACTACGGGAATGGTGCTAAACCATTAGAAACCAACCCCATGATCCAATCACTTCCCACCAGGCCCCACCTTTCACACAGGGGATTACAATTCAACATGAGATTTGGGTGGGGATACAAAGCCAAACCATATGACTATTTAATACCTTTAGCAACCTGAAGAAGTGGTATTCTTTTGACCATTATCTGGGAAATTCTGATTTATAACATTAATTATTTTAAAAGTGTTACAAAACTCATATATCACTATTCTATACATATCCACTTCATTTTTAACTTGAATAAATTATATCTTTTGAATTCACATGAAGTTAAAAATTTGTATTTTAAAATATGTATTTTTAAAGCATGACAGTATTTTCTTCTGTCTTCCAAATATTTCCTATTTTTAATTTTTTTTTTTTTTGTATTTTGATGGCAATGATCCCAGGAGCTGTCTTGCTACAGCAGTAACTTGTATAGTAATTACATAAACTAATGATGGAAAATTTACCAGCTGGACTTGTAAATGGTATTATTATGATGAGAATACTATTTTCATGAGAAATAATGAACAAAGAAAAGTGAATTATAGGCAGAAAGGTCATTATTTTAAATTATTATAAGGCCACAAAAATGTCACAGAAGAAAGATTAGTAATCAGAAAAGGTTTTATACTAACAAACCTTGCAATCTTAGTGTACAAAGAGACCTCAGTGTCATTTGATATAATGTCATATCACCTGCAGAAATCGGGAAGGACTCATGACTGTTTGAGGCTGATCATTAAATTTTCAGATATCTTCAAGTAGTAGAAATATCTGTTTCCTAGCAAAGCAAAACGTGTTCCCATGAAACTAATCTACTGGTTCTATTTCTGCAATATATAGGTTTTCTTTTATTGAAATGACTTTTTTATTTTCTGGAAAATAAATTTCTTGATGTGAGAGTTCTCCAAAGATCACATGGAATAGAATAATAGGACATATTGGCAATGACAGAGAATTTAGGACAACAACAACAGCCTTCTTACCTTAAAGAAAGAGAAACTCAACTTCTAAAAGATTAAGAAAATTTTTTAAATGTTAAATTAAGTTAAATTTAAAATTGTAAACATCTTTATTGAAATATGATTCAATGCCATAAAAGCCAACCATTTAAAGTGTGCAATTCAGTGGTTTCTTATATTCAGAATTGTGCAATCACTCTCAAAATTTAAGTTTAGAACATTTTTATAACTGAAAAGAGAAATCTCATACCCATTACTACTCATTTCCCATTTTCTCCCTCCTACTTTCCCCCACCTCTACACAACCACTAATCTACTGTCTCTATAGATTTACCTATTCTGGGCATTTCATATACACGGAACAATATAATTTGTGTTCTTTTGTGTTTGGCTTCCTTTGCTCAGCAAGATTTCAAGATTCATCCGTGTTGTAGCATATACAAGTACTTTACTCCTTTTTATTGCCAAATAATATTCCTTTCTCTTTTTTTTCTGTCTCAAATCTTTTTTAAAAATAATTTCAACTTTTATTTTAGATTCGGGGGTACATGTGCAGATTTGCTACATAGGTTTATTGCATGATGCTGAGGTTTGGGGTACAGATGATCCTGTCACTCAAGTAGTGAGCATAATACCTGATAAGCAGTTTGTCAGCCCATGCCCTCCTCCCTCTCTTTCTGCTCTAGCAGTCCCCAGTGTCTATTGTTCCCATCTTTATGTCCATGTGTACTCAATGTTTAGCTTCCGCTTACAAATGGAACATGCGGTATTTGGTTTTCTGTTCCTGTGTTAAGTTGCTTAGGATAACGACCTCCAGCTGCATACATATTGTTGCAGATGACATGATTTCATTATTTTTATGGCTGCATAGTGTTCCATGGTGTATATATGTACCACATTTTCTTTATTTAACCCACCATTGATGGGCACCTACGTTGCCCAGGGCTGATGCCCACCTAGGTTGATTCAGCGCCTTTGCTCTTGTGAATAGTGCTGTGATAAACATGTGACTCCCTGTGTCTTTTTGGTAAAATAATTTATTTTCTTTCAGGTATATACCCAGTAATGGGATTGCTGGGGTGAATGGTAGTTCTGTTTTAAGTCCTTTGAGAAATCTCCAAATTGTTTTCCAAAGTGGCTGAAGTAATTTACGTTGTCATCAACAGTGTATAAGCATTTTCTTTTCTCTGAAGCCTCACTCACATCTGTTATTTTTGTTTGTTTTTTAATAATAGCCATTCTGACAGGTGTGAGATAGTATCTCATTGTGGTTTTGATTTTCATTTATCTGATGATTAGTGATCAAGAGCATTTTTTTTCTTATATTTGTTGGCTGCTTATATGTCTTCTTTTGAGAAGTACCAGTTCATGTCTTTTGCCCACTTTTTAATGGGTTTACTTATTTTTCACTTGTTGATTTGCTTAGTTCCTTATAGATTGTGGATATTAGACCTTTGTTGGATGCACAGTTTGTAAATATTTTCTCTCATTCTGTAGGTTGTCTGTTTACTCTATTGATAGTTTCTTTTGTTGTACGGAAGCTCTTTAATTAGGCTCCACTTGTAAATTTTTGTTTTTGTTGCAATTGCTTTTGAGGACTTGGTCATAAATTCTTTCTTAAGGCTAACTTCCAGAATGGTGTAAGAATTTTTTTTAAAAAAACAGACATCACAAATCAATAATGGCAGAACTGGGGATAAAACAAAGATATTACAATTCCAGGTTTATGATACATTTATGTTTTATTTTAAAATTGATTTATAAATGATACATAATTTTTTCCAATTATTAGTTAACTATTAATTTACCTTAGAGCTCTATTCTGAAATGGGGTTATTCTTCTGGAGAAAAACTTCTACTTCTCTATTTCCACCATGAGATGGCAGGCTACTGAATAGTACACAATACAGGATCTCAGATACAGGTATCAATGAAAAGAGTGGTGAATTGCAAAGTCAGCAAAGATAGGAGGTTATAAGATTTGGGTGAGTGGAATTAACTTGGGGAGAATGAGGTCATCACCTTCTCACTCCACTCTACCGCTAAAGCAATGAGATCCGGTCTAATGTCTCCTGAACCCTAAGATGTAACTTGCTTTGGTGATCTCACAGATGTGGTGAGTAGAAAATGAGAAAATTTAATCAAAAGCACTGAGATTGATCATACAGTGCATTTCAATGTCATAATGTATCCAATATAGAAGGCTTTTCTGGGTATATGCAAAAGGCAAAACAACAAAGGAAAAAAATGGAAAAATTTCTGCATAAATATTTTAAAAATATATATGTTTAAAAATATCATAAACAAAACTGAAAGACAAGACTGACATTTATTTTTCAGTCCCATAGACTGAACCATCTGCTAAGAAGGGAGTATTCCCTTGGGCAGAACTGAATATGCCAAAGAGTTAATATCTTTAATTTATAAAGAGCCCATTAATAAAGGAAAGAAAAATTGACAAAGGGCAGATAGTTTTATTGTGAGGGTGGAGAGGAGAGCAATTCAAAAGAAAAATTGACAAAAAAGAGACAATTCACAAACAGAAGTATAAGTGGCCGAAAGATGTCAGGAGCAAAACTGAAACTTTCTAATAATCAAAGAAATGTAAATTCTAACTATCAGGTTTTATTGAATTCTTCAAAAAATTGAAAAATTCGTATTACCCGTTGAGTTCCTCAGGAAGCAGGATTTCTAGTTAATTTTTAACTTTAATTTTAGTGTGTAGGACTTTTATTAGGGAGGGGTCCTGGAATCAACACCTGTGGAAAGGAGTGGAAGTAAGATTGGGCAGAGGGAGAACTTGAGCTCTGATGCAGACTCAAAGAAGTCCTCAGTCCACCCTGCAGGGAGCTCTGGAGTTGTGATGACCTTCAGAGTGATTGGAAACAAAGAGCTGGGCCTTTATACCTTCTGTATATTGGTCCTTAGACATGAGCTTAGGCATGACCTTGGGCGAGGCAATTTTCTTTAGCTGAGGCATTCCCAAAGAGGAACCAGCCAGGGGCTTACAGAGGGTGGGGCAGTGGGAGCAGCCACCTCTGGGTGCAGGTAAGAAAGAAGAGCGATGCCTGTAGAGAATTTAAAAACAATAACGAACTGCCTACAAAGTAGGTCTTCTTTTTAATACCACCATACACCACCAAGTCTAAACAATGTCAGTGATAAAATACTCTCTCTCCAAACTTTTGTTGGTCTTAGGTCAAAATAATTGAAATTACTGTGGAATTTAATAATATGTATGTAAGTTTCACATTTGCACACTTTTATTAGTCATCTGTGATACAGTGATATAAGAAGAAATATCTATCTGTATATCTATAGTTTATCTATATCTACTATCTCTCTTTATATCTATTTTGCTATCTATATCTGTATCAATAGATACAGATTTTATCTAGCTATATCTATCTATATTTATATCTATATCTATCTATATCAATCTATGTGTATATCTGCTATGTATCTATATCTATTGATATGAATAACTATATCTATATATTTATTGCCAGGAACTGGGGGCAGATATGTAGATATGCTTCTCAACTATATATGTCTATATCTATAACTATATCTGTCTATATGTACAGATATAGATAGATATAGCTATAGTTGAGGAACATCTGTATAGATATATTTACAAATATAGAAATATTGGTCCCTGCCCCCAGTTCCTGGCATAGACCTCCTAAAACCCTCATAGATGGGGGTGCTATAAGTATTTTTTGTTCTAATATTTGTTCTAATAGTATTTGGTCTCTGACCCCAGTTTCTGACACAGAGCTCTTAAATCCCTTGAAATTTCCTGGGTGACAGGATCTTTTTTTGTTCTAATGAGGCAAATCTTGGAGGTTCCTCAAGAGCCTCAGGACGTGGGCTGTTGCCAGGGGAACCAACCATGTGATTAGAGGGGTGGAACTTTCAGTTCATTGGGTGCTTGTGAAAAACACAGCTTTTTGGCTTTCGCAGGCTGGTATTTTGAGAACAGTGTTCTCGAATTTGTGCTTTTTTTTTTTTTTTAGACAGGGTCTTGCTCTGTTGCCCAGGCTGGAGTCCAGTGGTACAATCACAGATCAATACAGCCTTGACCTACTGGGCTCAAACCATCCTCCTGCCTTTCAGCCTTCCCAGTCACTGGATCCATAGGTGTACACCACCATGCCTGGCTATTTATTTATTTATTTATTTATTTTTTGTAGAAACGAGGTCTCCTTATGTTGCCCAGGCTTAGAATTTCCATTTTTAACTAGCTCCCTGGGTTATTTTTACATTAAAATGAATTATGATTATTATTATTTTTAGAAATGGGGTCTCACTATGTTGCCCAGGCTGGTCTTGAACTCCTGGGCTCAAGCAATCCTCCCACTTTAGCCTGCCAAAGTGCTGGGATTATAGGCATGAGACACTGTGCCCAGACCTTGATTTATGCACATTAAAGTTGGAGAACTGTTGATAATGGCTGGGATCAAGGGTGACAAAAATGACAATATACATATTGAACTAGTGAATACTTTTTTTTTTGAAACAGCATTTGGCGCTGTCACCCAGGCTGGAGTGCAGTGGTGCAATCTTGGCTCACTGTGTCCTCCTCATCCTGGGCTCAAGTGATCCTCCCACTGCAGCCTCCTGAGTAGCTCGGACTCCAGGCTCATGCCACCACGCCCGGCTAATTTTATTTTGTATTTTTTATAGAGATGAGGTTTCGCCATGTTGCCCAGGCTGGCCTCAAACTCCTGAGCTCAAGTGATCCTCCCGCTTCGGCCTCCCATAGTACTGGGATTACAGGCATGAGCCACTGTGTCCGGGCCCTGAATACTTTTATTTTTAAATTTTATTTATTTATTTATTTGAGACAGGGTCTTGCTTTGTCACCCAGGCTGGAGTGCACTGGTGCAACCATGGCTCACTGCAGCCTTGACCTCCTGGGCTCAAACGATCCTCCCACCTCACCCTCCCAAGTAGCTGGGACTACAGGCATCAACCACCATGCCCAGCTAATTTTTAAATTTTTTGTAGAGACAGGGTCTCGCTATGTTTCCCAGGCTGGTCTTGAACTCCTGGATGCAAGTAATCCTCCTGCTTTGGCCTCCGAACATGTTGGAATTATAGGCGTGAGCCATGGCACCCAACCTGTGAATGCTTTTAAATTCTGAATTTTATTTGACTCCTTATCTGAGCTATTTTCCTAGCACGTGATTATATAATCAACATTTTAAAAGGCCCAAACAGATAGAGACAATCAATGATGCAATTTTAATAACCTGAGAGCTCTTTTTCTCTCAGGAATTTACTGTTTCATTAAGGTACCCAACATGTAGTTAGAAACTGAAGTAAATAAACCAAGAAGCAATGTCTTAAACAAAACAAAGAAAACACGAGATAGCATTTCAGAAAGAACACTTCACATAATGGGGGAACAAATTCTGGAACTAAACATCCTCTGGTATTCCTGAAACTAAATGACTCCTGAGAAATTTGGACACCAAACAAGTTGATAGTAGGGTGAAGATAATTAGGTCTTGAAAGCTTTCACAATTGGCTTCAGCTTGACCACAGTCTTCTCTTGGGCAGTGGGGCTGTGTCCTGCATTCTGAACTAATGTTTGGAAGGAAACTGTGACCTCCAATTTCAATCCACAGCAGGGTTCTCCAAAATGTTGCAGAAAGAAAATTGGTCACAGACTAACAGCTGGGGAGAAAAGTATGGTCAAAGGTGCAATTGATGGTGTTCTAGGAAGAAAAAGCTATTTCCCCAGAGAGAAAGAATTGTGTGGAAATTGTAGATATATGAGAAGTATCTTATATAGGTTGTGAAAATGCATAGAATCTACAAATCAAACAAGAACCAAGGTTCTTTTTCCCTATTAACTTTTTAAAGCCTTGTTTATCTTAAACATTGCAGCAAGGAAAGCCAGAGTATGTTTCAGTAAATAGTTAAGAAACTTTGATTTATTTAAATTAGAAATCAGTTTTGAAATGTTTGTGAAAACTATGCAAAAATTCTTCAAATAAAAATGCAGAATTGATTTTTATTTGTTGAAATGTTCATTTGAAAATAGTTTATCTAGATATTCAGTGTTACTTTTTAAAATAATAGTTGCATTGAATGCTTTGTATCTATGGCATCCATGAGAATGGTGTCTTGCAAACCTCCTACTATGGGGAACACAGTTGATCGGGGGCCCCAGGGTCCCAGCTTTGAAATCCATCTTTGAGTTTGCACAGCGGCCACACCACCCATGAGCAGCTCCTCATCAGCTGACTGAGTGTGGTGTGGTGAGGATGCTAAAGGTGATCTTTTTCTGACAGACAGGGGACTCCTTTCTCAGTTGACTTTGACTCAAGGACTCCCCGATGACCTGCATAGCACTCTGAGACACTTTCTCTCAACCCTCTTCAGTGGTTTTCCTAGTCTTTCCCATCACTCTATTTTTTTTACATGGATATTACACCTAATAAAATCCTTGCACATTTAGTTCTGTCTTGGCATCTGCTTCTTGGAAGATCTAGAATAACAGTATCTCTTTGGTAGCTTCTTCCCTCAGAATGGTATTCTGATTGGAGGTTACAGTGGTTGAATTTGAGGTGCAGGAATAAAAATGCAGTTTTTTGGTAAAAAAAAAAAAAGACTGTGAAACTGGAATCTAGAGTGCAGTGATGGAAAGTTTAAAAATGTTTAACTGCTGACATGCCACTGATATTTATTTAGTTTCTTTTTATTTCCATTATCCTCCTAAATATTTTGGATGATTTGGTCCTCCTTTTCATATTTATTTCTCTATCACCTAGCAACTGCACATTTTCCTTTCATGATGTTTTACTTGAAATTGCATGAATTAATAGTTATCTTAGACGTTTAAAAAGTTTATGAAATGGAGGGAACATCCCTGAAGAAATGAAACAAATAAATATAAATAACTTATTATGGCAAAGTCAAAGAACTTGATTTAAAAAGCATAGATATAAATATATTTAAAAATAAATGAGCATACAGATACAGTCTCATAATAGTTTTTTTAAACTTTTAAAATTTAAATATTATTAATTTATTTTTAGAAATGGGTCTTTCTATGTTGCCTAAGCTGGTCTCAAACTCCTGGGCTCAAGCGATCCTCTCGCCTCAACCTCCCAAATTGTTGGGATTACAAGTGTGAGCCACCATGCCCAGCAAGTCTGATAATAGTTTTAATGTCATATGAGGGCTGGGTGTGGTGGCTAGCTCCTGTAATTCCAGCACTTTGGGAAGCTGAGGTGGGCAGTAACTTGAGGTCAGGAGTTCAAGACCAGCCTGTCCAACATGGTGAAACCCTGACTCTACCAAAAATACAAAAATTAGCTGGGTGTGGTGGCATGCACCTGTAGTCCCAGCTACTCAGGAGGCTGAGGCGAGAGGATCCCCTGAACCTGGGAGGCAGAGGTTGCAGTGATCTGAGATTGCACCACTGCATTCCAGCCTGGATGACAGAGCGAGACTCCCTCTCAATTAAAAAATATCTATCTATCTATCTATCTATCTATTTATCATCTATCATCTATCTATCTATCTAGATATCTATATCTATAGATATCTAAATATATCTATGTCTATAGATATCTAAATATATCTATGTCTATAGATATCTAAATATATCTATGTCTATAGATATCTAAATATATCTATGTCTATAGATATCTAAATATATCTATATATCATACGGGCTACAGACAATTAATAAAAATGTATAGATTGAAGTCAGGTAGCATGATGCCTCCAGCTTTGTTCTTCTTGCCCAGGATTGTTTTGGCTATGAGGGCTCTTTTTTGGTTCCACATGAAGCTTACAGTAGTTTTTTCCAAATCTGTGAAGAAAGTCAGTGATAGCTTGATTGGGATGGCTTTGAATCTATAAGTTACTTTGGGCACTATGGCCATTTTCAGGATATTAATTCTTCCTATCCATGAGCATGGAATGTTATTCCATTTGTTTGTGTCCTCCTTATTTCCTTCAGCAGTGGTTTGTAGTTCTCCTTGAAGAGGTCTTTCACATCCCTTGTAAGTTGTATTCCTAGGTATTTTATTCTCTTTGTAGCAATTGTGAATGGGAGTTCACTCATGATTTGGCTCTCTATTTGTCTGTTATTGGTATATAGGAATGCTTGTGATTTTTGCACATTGATTTTGTATTCTGAGACTTTGCTACAACTTCCTGAGAAGTTGCTTATCAGCTTAAGGAGATTTTGGGCTGAGATGACAGGGTTTTCTAAATATACAATCATGTCATCTGCAAACAGATACAATTTGACTTCTTCTCTTCCTAATTGAATATCCTTTATTTCTTTCTCTTGCCTGATTGCCCTGGCCAGAACTTCCAATACTAACTTGAATAGGAGTGGTGGGAGGGGGCATCCTTGTCTTGTGTCGGTTTTTGAAGGAAATGCTTCCAGTTTTTGCCAATTCAGTATGATATTGGCTGTGGGTTTGTCATAAATATCTCTTATTATTTTGAGATAAGTTCCATCGATACCTAATTTATTGAGAGTTTTTTGCATGAAGAGGTGTTGAATTTTGTTGAAGGCCTTTTCTGCATCTATTGAGATAATCATGTGGTTTTTGTCATTGGTTCTGTTTATGTGATGGATGACATTTATTGATTTGCATATGTTGAATCAGCCTTGCATCCCAGGGATGAAGCCAACTTGATCGTGGTGGATAAGCTTTTTGATGTGCTGCTGGATTTGGTTTGCCAGTATTTTATTGAGGATTTTTGCATCAGTGTTCATCAGGGATATTGGCCTGAAATTTTCTTTTTTTGTGTGTGTGTCTCTGCCAGGCTTTGGTATCAGGATGATGCTGGCCTCATAAAATGAGTTGGGGAGGATTCCCTCTTTTTCTATTGATTGGAATAGTTTCAGAAGGAATGGTACCAGCTCCTCTTTGTACCTCTGGTAGAATTCAGCTGTGAGTCCATCTGGTCCTGGACTTTCTTTGGTTGGTAGGCTATTAATTACTGCCTCAATTTCAGAACTTGTTATTGGTTTATTCAGTGATTCGACTTCTTCCTGGTTTAGACTTGGGAGGGTGTATGTGTCCAGGAATTTATCCATTTCTTCTAGATTTTCTAGTTTATTTGCATAGAGGTTTTTATAGTATTCTCTGATGGTAGTTTGTATTTCTGTGGGATCAGTGGTGATCTCCCCTATATCATTTTTTATTGTGTCTATTTGATTCTTCTCTCTTTTCTTCTTTATTAGTCTGGATAGTGGTCTATCTACTTGTTGATCTTTTCTAGTGGTCTATCTACTTGTTGATCTTTTCAAAAAACCAGTTCCTGGATTCATTGATTTTTTGAGTTTTTTTTCATGTCTCTGCCTCCTTCAGTTCTGCTTGATCTTAGTTATTTCTTGTCTTCTGCTAGATTTTGAATTTGTTTCCTGTTGCTTCTCTAGTTATTTTAATTTTGATATTAGGGTGTAAATTTTAGATCTTTCCTGCTTTCTCTTATGGGAATTTAGTGCCATAAATTTTCCTTCAAACTATACTACAAGGCTACAGTAGCCAAAACAGCATGGTACTGGTACCAAAACAGATATATAGACCAATGGAACAGAACAGAGGCCTCAGAAATAACACCACACATCTACAACCATCTGATCTTTGACAAACCTGACACAAACAAGCAATGGGGAAAAGATTCCCTATTTAATAAATGGTGTTGGGAAAAGTGGCTAGCCATATGCTGAAAATTGAAACTGGACCCCTTCCTTACACCTTATACAAAAATCAACTCAAGATGGATCAAAGACTTAAACGTAAGCCCTAGGACCATAAAAGTCCTAGAAGAAAACCTGGGCAATACCATTCAGGACATAGGCATGGGCAAAGTCTTCATGACTAAAACACCAAAAGCAATGGCAACAAAAGCCAAAATTGACAAATGGGATCCAATTAAACTAAAGAGCTTCTGCACAGTAAAAGAAACTATCATCAGAGTGAATAGGCAGCCTACAGAATGGGAGAAAATTTTTTCAATCTATCCATTGGACAAAGGGCTAATATCCAGAATCTACAAGGAACTTAAATGAATTTACAAGAAAAAATCAAATAACTCCATCAAAAAGTGGGCAAAGGATATGAACAGACACTTTTCAAAAGAAGACATTTATGCAGCCAACAGACATAGAAAAAATGCTCATCATCACTGGTCATTACAGAAATGCAAATCAAAACCACAATGAGATACCAACTCACGCCAGTTAGAATGGCGATTGTTAAAAAGTCAGGAAACAACAGATGCTGGAGAGGATGTGGAGAAATAGGGACACTTTTACATTGTTGGTGAGAGTATAAATTAGTTTAACCATTGTGGAAGATAGTGTGGCGATTCCTCAAGGATCTAGAACTAGAAATACCATTTGACCCAGCCATCCCATTACTGGGTATATACCCAAAGGATTATAAATCATGCTACTATAAAGACACATGCACATGTGTTTATTGTGGCACTATTCACAATAACAAAGACTTGGAACCAACCCAAATGTCCATCAATAATAGACTGGATAAAGAAAATGTGGCACATATACACCATGGAATACTATGCTGCCAGAAAAAAGGATGAGTTCATGTCCCTTGCAGGGACATGGGTGAAAGTGGAAACCATCATTTTCAGCAAACTAACACAGGAACAGAAAACCAAACAGCACATGTTCTCACTCATAAGTGGGAGTTGGACAATGAAAACATATGGGCACAGGGAGGGGAACATCACAAACTGGGACCTGTCATGGGTTGGAAGGCTAGGAGTGGGAAAACATTAGGAGAAATACCTAACGTAGGTGATGGGTTGATGGGTGCAGCAAACCACCATGGCATGTATATACCTATGTAACAAACTGCACATTCTGTTCATGTACCCCAGAACTTAAAGTATAATAAAAAAATTTATAGAGATCATTCTTTGTTTAGAATACTAGGCTGGACACAAAGAGTTAGGTTTTCAAGAGGTTTACTACCTAGTTATGATTAGAATTGACCACATGAAAGAAAAAGTCACAGAAGCCCAGACTTGGAAGGGATCTGAAGATTCAAGTCCAATCACTCTTGTGCTTGAGTATCCTTTTCCTCAGCAAGGCCAAGGGGTGCCCAGGCTGCTTAAACAGCTCTGGTGATCGACAGCCTGCAATTTCCTAAGCATAGTGTTCATCTCTAGATTTATCTTTGACTTTCAAAATTCCCCTTTGGGTGCGGTGGCTCACACCTATAATCCCAGCAATTTGGGAGGCTGAGGCAGGAGGATCACTTGAGCCCAGGAATTGGAGACTAGCCTGACCAACGTAGTATGATCCTGTCTCAAAAAAAAAGAATTCTCTTTGTAGTGAAATTTCACTCATCAGTCCCAGTTCCATGACAGTAGAAGCCAGCCTCCATGATGGCTTCTCCAAATCCCCACCTCCTGGTAGCCACATCCCTGCGGAGTTTCCTCCCACATTGACAAGAGTTGCTCTGCATGACTAACAACATGTGGCAAAAGTGATGGCATGCCACTTCTGAGATTGAGTTATGAGAGACCGAAGCTTCTGTTTGTGTTTTCTCCTGCTCATCTGCTCAGGCACACTCACACTCCTCACTGGCTATGGGGGATGCCAGCTGCCATGCTGCAAGGACACTCAGGCAGCCTATGGAGAAACCCACGTGGTGCGGAGTGGAGGCCTTCTGCCAACAGCCAGCTGGGAACTGAGGCCTGCTGACAGTCACGTGCATGCACTTGGAAGGGGATTCAGTTCCTGTCAAGGCTTGTGATGACTGTAGCCTCATCAGACAGCTTGGCCGCAACCTTCCTCCTCAAATCCTGAGCCAGATCTACCCTCTCATATACTCAATCTTCAGAAAATAAATGCTTGTTGTTTTAAAACTGTAAAATTTTGGGGAAATTTGTTATGCAGCAATAGATAACTAATGCAACCCCTTGAAGCCATTTATTTATTTATTATTGAGACAGGGTCTTGCTGTGTCATCCAGGCTGGACTGAAGTGGTGTGATCCGTAGCTCACTGCTACCTCAAATTCCTGGGTTCGAGGGATCCTCCTGCTTAAGCTGTGACTACAGGTGCACACCACCATGCCAGGATAATTTTTTGTGTAGACAGAGTCTCACTATATGCTTAGTCTGGTCTCAAACTCTTAGTATCAACTGATCCGCCTGTCTCAGCCTCCTAAAGTGTTGGGATTACAGGTGTGAGCCACCACACCTAGGACCATTCACTTATACAAGATAATATTTATGAGCATTTATAATATTCCAGGTGCTGATGTAAGTGCTTCACATGAATTAAATTATTTCCAGCCTGGGCAACATAGCAAGACATTGTCTGTACAAAAAAAAAAAAAAATTAGCTAGGTGTAGAGGTGTGCACTTGTAGTCCCAGGTACTCAGGAGGCTGAGGTGGGCGAATTGCTTGAGCCCTGAACCCAGAGGTCAAGGCTGTGGTGAGCTGTGATCAGGCTGTGGTGAGCTGTGATCATATCATTGCACTCCAGCCTGGCTGACAGAAAGAGACCTAGTCTGTAAAAAATAACAAATAAAAAGTAAAAGAATTAAATGATTCCCAGCAACCCTATAACATTTGTGTTATTATTATTTCAATTTCACAGATAAGAAAACTGAGAAGACAGAGAGGTTAAATATCTTTCCTAAGGTCACAGAACTGGTAAGTGGTGTACCGGGACTTGAACCTGGAAAATCTCCTCTCAGAGCTGTCTCAGGAGGTTGCCGTCAGGCTGTCGGCCAGAGCAGCAGTCGTCTCAAGGCTCAGATGAGGTTGAGAATCGGTTCCCAGGATCACGCCTATAGTTGTCGCAGGCCTCAGTTCTTTGCTCTCTGTCAGCTGGAGGCCTCCATTCCTCACCATAGGAACTTATTTTATCTGTGATTTTAAAAATGAGATCATGCCATGTAGGCTTTTTTTTTTTTTTTTTTTACCTTGCAACATATTGTAACTATTTTACCATGCAACTAAACATATTTCTAGCCATCGTTTTTGAAAGCTTTGGGTGCAAATTGCCAACTTGAAAAGGCAGAAATCCTTTAGGCAAATCAGCAAAAATACAGTGAAATACCCTATCACTTTATCTTTTTAAATTTGTGCATCAAAATAAGAAAACTTCATTTCCTGTTGTGCCTGGAGATTTCTTTAAGTCACTACAATAACAAAATGAAATTTATGTTTTTACTGGACAGCAGAGATTTTTTCTATCACTTATTACTATATACTAATTTTTATTTTCTTTTTTATAGTTACAAGACAAAACATAAAACTTGAAATTCTACTAAAGCTAAATATTCTTTCTTTGGTGCTAAATATAAAGATATGCAAGTTAACATGAATTATTCATTAGTGTAGTGACAGAAAAATATTCTCAGTAATTCAAAAATTATTACTGACTTGCCTGGATTATTACAGTCCTATTTTTGTAAGGTGTTGTGATAGTGCAAAATAGTTTGGCAGGGTGGCAGGAAAGTGCCCACCATCTCTGAGTTTCACACAAAGACATCCTACTTAGAAGCTCATTATTATTTGTTTATGGGAAGAAAACTGTGAGAGTAGCTTTGCATTGTTGGTTTCACACGTCATGGTGTATGTGAAATTGGCTTAAAAGAGCCCCATGCCAGTTGTCATGACAAACACAGACCCTACACCTTGGGGAAAAGGAAGCTGATAAGATGTATACCTTCAAACTGATGTTTGAGGCAGGAGATCACTTTAGAGAAAATTAATCCCTGTAGGGGGGGATCTAAAGAGAACTAAAACTTGAAAAGCAACAACATTGAAGCTATTTCAAGCAGAACTAATAAGTGAAACAAATTCTTCATTTTACCTGTTAAAAATGAAGGTTCTATCTTTTTAGCTGTAAGGTAAAGGAGGGTATAATATTGTAGGGCTTCCTGGTATATCACTCCTTAGGGTATCCGTAGTTACTTGTTTTGTACTCTTCATGTTGCTGGAGTATAATAAAAACTGATGACAGAATATCACGATTGTATTCTTTTCCATATTTTCCACCAATATTGTTCATGAAAGAAAGAAGTGTGTTTTCCCTAAATGTTAGTCTAAATCTGCAATGATTTTTTGATTTGGCATAGTTCCTTAAATCCTTACAGTGAAATACTCTTTAGGGGTTGGATTATACTTTGTGAAGAATATCTGTCATAAACCAAGCCACTTAATTAAATCACTGTATGAAATGTAAGTCAGAAAGTTATTCTAGGAAGTTTCTATAGTTTCAGAATCTCGATAGTCCAGGACACATTCTGGATTTAATTCTTTGTGTCCTTCTAATTCTTCTCTTTAAAAACTTCGTGTAGAGTAGAATCTGGTATCAGGTGATGGGAGCTATGTATTACACATTATTATGAATGTTACAGTTGACTAGTAAGAATTTGTGACTTTTGGGCAATAAATGGCAGTTGAAATACGATTTTTTTTTATTAAGAAGGAGGTCCAATCTAATTACTTTTTATAATAAATACCATGTCACAGAACCATTTCCATTTATTCAGTTGCTTTAAGTGTCACAGGTAGCCACTTAAAAGCACTAAACACATTGATATAAAAATAAAGCTTCATTTAAAGCTGGCCTTAAGTCTAGAGCTATTTTAACATTTTATTACTTTAATTAAGTTAAATATATAATTGAAATAACTATGAATAGTTAATTAATGGGTGAATAGCAAATGGTCCCAAACAATGCTTGAGTGGTCTCCATATAATCAAGCAATTATACACAATAAAGAGAAATACATGCAGGAGAGTCTATGTATTTGGATATTTTTCTATATGTTACTTTATGAATTATTCTTTCTGAGATTAGTCATATTAAAAGGATATACTTATGACCATTTTAACATTTCAGAGCTTAGTGGAAGTCCTTGAAAGTGAAAGTTTCAAATGCACAGGTACTTAAATTTTGTCTCCAGGCAAAGTATTTACATCAACAACACTTCTAGTTAATAGTTGGGGCTTTCCAAAAGAGAACTAATCAGTGGTTTCATCAATGTTTTCATTTTTTAAGGGCTTTAAAATCAGCGACTGTGTTTTCCAATTTTCAAGGAACATGGTTTAGACTTAGTGGGAGGCTTGTGACAAAGCTTTCTCTGCTGTGCGGCCAGCTGCAGACAGGACAGAAGAGGTTTCTGCAGCCTACTATGAAGGCCCTCACTGCTGGGAGAAGGTGGACAGGCAGAGGGACTGCCTGCCTCGTGGAAGTGTCTGGCGCCTTCACTGCTGCCCAGGTTTAGGTTTTATAGCAGATGCTTCCTATTTGCTGTGCGATCCTTATGCAAACAATCCTTACAACAGGCTCTCTGAGGAAAAAATTTTGTGTTTTTTTGAGTAGTACCTTAACATCTGACTTCAGTTTGTTCCCTTTATTTCTCTCTTCCATTCTGTTTATACTGTTAGGTTGGTGCAAAAGTAATTGCAGCTTTTGCCTTTTGAGATGAACTCTTGCTCTGTCACCCAGGCTGGAGTGCAGTGGTGGCGCGATCTCAGCTCACTGCAACCTTCACCTCCCAGGTTCAAACAATTCTCCTGCTTCAGCCTCCTGAGTAGCTGAGACTACAGGCACGCACCCCCAGGCCCATCTAATGTTTGTATTTTTAGTAGAGATGGGGTTTCACCATGTTGGCCACAGTGGTCTGGAACTCCTGACCTCAGGTGATCCACATGCCTTGGCCTCCCAAAGTGCTGGGATTACAGGTGTGAGCCACTATGCCCGGCCTTGCCTTTACTTTTAATGGCAAAGACACAATTACTTTTGCTCTAACCTAATAGATAGCCTATTCTGCAAATTAGTTCAAAAGCTCGAGACATATAAGAACGAGTTGTTTACCTGCTTAAAATAAACCTTCTTTCCTTGTTTCTTAGTAGTTGGAGAATTCTGAGGGTTCTTTAGGAAGAAAAGTCCATTATTTGGTAGTTATGCTCTCTTTGCAGGATGAACTAATTTTCCCTCAGCTATATGCAAGCCGTATTTTAAATTTTCCATCAAAATATAGCTCTGGGAAAGTTCATGACTAATTTATTCATCACAGACATTCCCTGTTAAGCCAAACTACAAATTAAATGAAATTAGAAAGGAAATTACACAAATTGAAGTAGCATTGGCCTGGAAATCGGGAAGCAGCCTCCAGTTCCGGTTCTACAACTTGGGAGGCATGTGATCTTGACTTGCTTGGTCGTGACTGGATTTCATTTCCCACACATCATTTGTGTGTGTGTGTGTGTGTGTGTGTGTGTGTGTGAATGAATATAATTGACAAATATCAATGAAATCTAATCAATATAGTGATATAATCAATATACATTTATCAAAATGATAAATATTTATAAGTATTATAATACTGTGTGTGTATAATATATATACACACATTCACATACATGTATAATATGTATAAATAATACAAGAATGAAATATATAGAAAATGTAAAGTTACCATACATAATATTTATATTTATTTATATATATTTATATCTATATACAGGTTTTCTCACTATATTTGTATATACGGGTTTTGTATATACACTGTATATGTATATACAGGTTTTCTCACTGTATTTGCTTAGGGTGTTCGTCTGGGTTCTAGACATCTATCGTGGCCCTCAGTTTTTCTCTCTTAGATGGATTACCCGGAAGATGAAGGTCATGAGTGCCAGACACAGGCCTTTGTCATCCGTTTAATGCAATAGAAGGCAGTGAAGTTATACTTTAAATATTATAAGCTCTTAGAATTTTAAATATATATATATATGTATGTTTAATGTTCATGTCATCCGAATATGAGCTCAGCGAAAAGTTCTTTAGAGGGACGATATCCTTTATACAATCGTATAATTTTATATGTTCACTTTGTCAGGTTAGAGATGCAGAAAGTGAAGCCCAGACAATTAGGCGCAGGTTCTGCCTGTTGGTTGACTTTGCTTTCATCACGTCAGATTACACACACAGACGGTGACCAGCGATGATCCAGGCGTCTCGGTCGTTAGCGGGTATCCTGGGGGCTGTCTCCCTGACCACGACCCCCCAGTGGGGTTTCTTTCCGAGGGTCCCGCCCCTCGCAGCTGCTCTTTGATAAAGGGCGGAGGAACGGGGCTGGCTGCTTCCCGAGTCCCCAGGTCCCGCGAGCGGCGGGCGTGTTGCGGGTATGGGGTGCGGCGCCAGCAGGAAGGTGGTCCCGGGGCCACCAGCGCTGGCTTGGGCCAAGCACGAAGGTCAAAACCAAGCCGGCGTCGGAGGCGCGGGGCCTGGGCCCGAGGCGGCGGCCCAGGCGGCGCAGAGGATACAGGTGGCTCGCTTCCGAGCCAAGTTCGACCCCCGGGTCCTTGCCAGGTAAAGCGCCACGTGAGGAACTGGCCTGGGACTGGGCTGACAAAGAAAAACCCCTGGCCAAGACCGCCTCGAGGTTCCCTTCAGCTTGACTCAATTTTGGACAGGGTTCTTTCGGATGATAGGCACTGATCTCCCCCTTTCTCTGCCCTTTTGAGATGTAAATCTTCTACAACCCAAGAGTGTCTTTTTCAGGCACCTGGCAGCCATCCCTTTGAAATGTAGTCATCAAGAGAGTTAGGGCCACTGTCTCCCAGTCTCTGTGGGAGGGCAGGAGCCTAACTTCCATAAGGGCCAGGTAGCAAACACAGATCTCATTGACCACCTCTCCCTAAGCTTCTCCCATTCTTTTCCACTGGCTCACCCCAGCGCTTAAAAACTTTCTTGCCTTTTGTTTCGAAGGCGTCCATTTTCTTTCCCCTGTTGCAGAAGCCTCGACTCCTATTGCAATAGTCTGGGATAAGCCTTCCTTGCTGTGTTCCATAAGTGCCCAGTACAATTTCTCTTTGACATCTCTGAACAGGGAGTTCAGAGGATGGGAAAAAAGAGAGCAGGAGCAGCAGCAAACAAGGGAAGGAATTCCTATCTTCGGAGGTGGGGGGTGGGGGTGTGAGAGGACTGTCTGCCAACCTCCAGCATCTGCGGTGGAAGACGGCTTTGCCTCTAATATCCTGGGGCTGGGTCCTGCCAGACCTGGTGTGTGAAGGATCTTCCACTAATTCTAAAAATTGGGATTACAGCGAGTGAACTAGAGATGCGCCTTTGAGTCAGCCAGACTTGAGGTCCAGTTCCATATCTTCTATCATGTACCATGTAGAACATTCCTTAGCTTTTTTCCTTCCTTCGTTTCTAGCTCTGTAAAATGGGAGTATCTATCTCATAAGACTGTTGTGAGCATAATTAAAGTAATACATGTAAATTATGCTGCACAGTGCATGGTACCAGTCCTCATGCAGACATTAGTGCAATGCTGATTATTGTTTTCATGAAGTACAAATAAGCCCTTCCTATGTAGAAGATTTCAGGTTGGTTGGCCTCCTGAGTGTACCATGTTGGACATGTTGGACATTTTGACCAAGTAAATCACGGAATCCCCTTCTCCTCTGTGTGTTTGGGGAGACACAATAATGGGTGGCTCAGCTGGCTTCCCAAGGCACTGCTGGTCCTAGAATTGCATGCTCACTTCGTCACAGTGCTCTGTCCAGAATCTATGCAGAGCCATTTCCTGGCCTCCTTGAGAACTTTTAGTACAGTGACTCCTGGAGGATTAGTTCGGTGGCTGCTAAGCTTACAGAAGAACAAGGCTGGCTAATATGACTGAACTGAATCTGAGTAGGTACAGGGTCTTGTCAAGACTGAATTGGTTAAATGGCATCTCTGGTCATTTGTAGTCAGAGAGATGATGCTAGTCTGGTCTAGTTTTCATCCACCCTACTAATTCCCAATCCAGGGGTAGACCCAGCCCCATAGAGTGTAAAGGCATCACAGAAGTAGAGGATCTCAACATTATAAGGGCTTCAGAGATTTTAACTCAAGGCTCATCTTTAACCAATGAGTAGTTGTGTCCCCAAAGGTTAAGTGACTTGTCCAAGTTAGTGGTAGAATTGGGACTAGAACACAGTCGTCTTCCTTCTCCGTTGTGATTCCATCTATAACTTTTGCAGAAAAGAGATGATAGAATTTAGATATGAGTATATTTACTTTCTTGTTGGGAGTTTATTATAATTGTTTCTCTCAAGCAGATTGTAACACTATTATTATTTCCTTGTTTCAAATCTTTAATCTATGTTCAAAAATTCCCAGTTTGTATCATAGCAGCTGAGGTTAAAGTAATATTTCCAATTTACGTAGTCTCTGGGATGATACAAAATTGTCCAACCTACTAAACTGACTCTGAGGCTACTCTTTAAGAGAGTGGAGGGGTAAAAGTGAAGGAAATGAAAAGACCTTATAAAGGCATTCTTCCCAGCTTGATGTGATCTTTACTTAATGTTTGCAAAATATATATGATGATTCAGGAATAATATGTATTCAGTGAATGATTCTTTTGTTCAGTGTTTATTGCTACTCCTCTGTGCTAGGCACTTTACAAGGTATAGCCACGCAAATCATAAAGTTGGTCACCATTCATGGCAGTTGAGGACTCACGAGCAAGGCTGTAGCTATAAGAATTTGTTATGGGACAAATTGAATAACAATCTGAGGCATTTATTTCCACCACTCTAAATCTTGGCTTCAAGTGTACTGTTTCCTCCAATGCCAAATTACTAGCATTTTTTCAAATATTGGAAATATGAAGCCCCCTTAACAGTATTGAATAAAGCTTCTTTTATTTGAGCAAAAGCGTGTAGTTCTCAGAAATGGTAGTTTGTTTGATATGATTAATTCTGTGAACAAATGAGTTTGATGGCAGCTTTGAGGGCATAGCGATAAATTAGCATTTACAAAGTGCTTTCATCCACAATAGAGGTAATATAAAACTTGGTTGGTCTGCAAAGCAATAGAATTTGAAATGCCTGTGATTATCTTCAAAATCACACTGAGAATGCATGTGAATAGAAAAGCAGAGTTGGAAAGGGAAAAGGGGAAAGAATCTATTTAAGATTACTAAATTGCTATCTGTTTTGATAAGGTAATTGGCCAGAAAATTAAATGCTCTGTGGAGAACAAAGCTGTTTTCTGTAATCTGGTACAGCCAAATGTCATTTTTATTCAATACACACAGGAATATAAAGAACAAACAAGAAGGCAAAAAAAAAAGTTACAGGAAAAATAAGCTCAATAAAAGAAGTAAGACTATTTAAAGCATAGTTTAGTATTTGCATTTGAATCTTTGGTATTGAATATGTGATATAAAAACGTGCCTTCTCCCTGGGTACTCCCTGAGTACATTCCATTCTCTGTCATCCTTAGCTAGGAGAGGTTTTATTAAAATGAAGTCCAGGCACAGTGGCTCATACCTGTAATCCCAACACTTTGGGAGGCTGAGGTGGGCAGATCACTTCAGGTCAGGAGTTCAAGACCAGCCTGGCAAACATGGTGAAATCCCGTCTCTACTAAAAAAAATACAAAAATTAGCCAGGCATGGTGGTGTGCACCTGTAATCTCAGCTACTCAGGAGGCTGAGGCAGGAGAATCTCTTGAACCCGGGAGGCAGAGGTTGCAGTCAGCCAAGATCATGCCACTGTACTCCAGCCTGGGTGACAGAGCAAAACTCCATCTCAAAAAAAAAAAAAAAAAGGAGACCTGCGTTCTAATCCTGACTCTACAACGTAAACAACCAATTGGCTAATGTGGTCTTCAAATTTCCTCATCAGTAAAACAAGAAGTTGGGTTAAATACCCAACTTTAATATTCTTTCCAGCTATACAATCGTGATTTTAAGTCTAGCATTTTCTCAACATGTCTTAAATATGAGGTAGAGGGTTAAATTTGATAGGATTCTATTTTATTTTATTTTTTTAATTTTTGAGACAGAGGTCTCGCTCTCTCACCCAAGCTGGAGTGCAGTGGTCTGATCACAGCTCACTGCAACCTCAAATTCCTGGGCTCGAGGGATCCTCCTGCTTCAGTCCCCTCAGTAGCCGGGGCTACAGCTGTGCATCATGATTGGCTAATTTTTAAATTTGTTATAGAGAAGGGGTCTCAGTTTTTTGCTCAGGCTGCTCTCAAACTCCTAGGCTCAAACAGTCTTCCCACCTCGGCCTCCCAAAGTGCTGGGATTACACGATGAGCCCACCGTGCCTGGCCAGATTCTTAAATTTTAATAGACGTTTACACAGATAATTAAAGCTTAAGATCCCTAGCATTTGAAATCTGAGCTGATATCCTGGCCTTTTTTTCTTCAACTTTTATTTTAAGTTCAGGGGTACATGTGCAGGATGTGCAGGTTTGTTACGTAGGTAAACATATGTTCTTGGCCTTTTTGTGGGATAATTGGTTTACAAATTATTGACATACATTCCATGTTAAAATTCTCTTTACTGCCGAGAAATTCCAAGTGTGGGTATGGGGATGGAGGGAGACTGTGAGAAGCTACTGGCTGCAAGGTGGCCCTAACACTACTCCCACCAGACTGCTGAAACCGGCTCTTATAATAGCACAGCTGCATTTACTTCTTCCTTATTAACAGCTACTGTGTACAAGATGAGCCTGGGGCTGAGCTCACAGTCAAGCAACCCAAAGAAACATACTGTTTATTCTCTGTCTTCTGATATGGGATCCTCAGCCTTTGAGAAATTATAAACAGGAGTAAGCTTCTACTTTATTCTCCCCCACTTGATTTGTTTGTTGTTGAAGAATGACAAAAACAAGGGCTAGAGGAAGGAAAGAAATTGGTAGAGGGGGGTCTTAACATTCTTGAAACAGTTTTTGTGAAATGCATTTGAAAGGGCTGGATTTGAATCCCATCCATTCCAACCACAATCTGGGTGCCCTTGATAACTCATTTAACTTCTTTTTAAGTCTGAATTTCCTTATTTGAAAAAGGGGGATATTATTATATTACCCAGCAGGGTTTTAGTAGGGATAAGATTTTTAAAAATTGTTGGCATATAATAACTGTATAATAAATGGTAGTTATTGTATTAAGATTGTCTTTCTACCAACAAATTACCTTTATATCGTTTTCCTCCATTTCAAAACAGGATTTGGGGTACCTTTCAAAAAATAATAAACACAAGTAATAATAAACAAATAAATCTGATGGGAGGAATAGAAGGATAGAAAAGATGATATAAAGCATGGACTTAAATAATTTTGAGAATCATCACTTCTGGGGATAACATGTTTGGTTTTTCTTCCCAACAGATATGACATCAAAGCTCTTATTGGGACAGGCAGTTTCAGCAGGGTTGTCAGGGTAGAGCAGAAGACCACCAAGAAACCTTTTGCAATAAAAGTGATGGAAACCAGAGAGAGGGAAGGTAGAGAAGCGTGCGTGTCTGAGCTGAGCGTCCTGCGGCGGGTTAGCCATCGTTACATTGTCCAGCTCATGGAGATCTTTGAGACTGAGGATCAAGTTTACATGGTAATGGAGCTGGCTACCGGAGGGGAGCTCTTTGATCGACTCATTGCTCAGGGATCCTTTACAGAGCGGGATGCCGTCAGGATCCTCCAGATGGTTGCTGATGGGATTAGGTATTTGCATGCGCTGCAGATAACTCATAGGAATCTAAAGCCTGAAAACCTCTTATACTATCATCCAGGTGAAGAGTCGAAAATTTTAATTACAGATTTTGGTTTGGCATACTCCGGGAAAAAAAGTGGTGACTGGACAATGAAGACACTCTGTGGGACCCCAGAGTACATAGCTCCTGAGGTTTTGCTAAGGAAGCCTTATACCAGTGCAGTGGACATGTGGGCTCTTGGTGTGATCACATATGCTTTACTTAGCGGATTCCTGCCTTTTGATGATGAAAGCCAGACAAGGCTTTACAGGAAGATTCTGAAAGGCAAATATAATTATACAGGAGAGGTAAGAGAGCATTATTTTATTTCTATTGTGTTGGTTTAGAGTGGGGCTTCTCCACCTTGTCACTTTTGACATTTAAGACTGGATGATTTTTGGGGTTGTCCTGTGTGCTGTAGGATGCTTAGCAGCATCACTGCCCTCTACTCTAAATACCAGTAATGTACCTCCCCCAGTTGTGGGGCCCCCAAATGTCTCCAGACATTGTTAAATGTCCCCTGTGGGGCAAAATCGCCCCTGACTGAGAGCCATTTGACTCAAGATAGCAAGGGCCTCCATTACTAGCTGCCTGTGGTTAGCACATGACACTGACAATCAAGTAGATAAATGAGTTCCTCTGCAGTTTTTTTCTCCAATCTGTGCAGAGCCTGAGCTGGCTGACTAGACTAATGTGTTCACAGAAACTCAGCATGACGCTTGGGTGTTTAGCGAGAGATTTTTCTGCCTTAAATCTTGATGATCCAAGCCCTTTTTGTGATGAAGTGTTTTCTCAGCGAAATGTTTAACCTCACAGCTTGTGTAAAATATTTATCCACTGATTAAACTTGAAACTCCCAGTGTTCATGAATGTGTTAACTTTTTTGTTGTTTTGGGTAGGGAAGGAAAGTTGCCAATGCTTGTGTGTGGGAAGCCTGACAAAATAGGAAATTCATTTCATGTACAGCAGATGAGCAAATTTATTTGACTTCTAATTTCTCATGAAGAAAAACATTGATATTTGCTTATACCTACTTAAAATGTAACGTGTATATCTACAGCAACATCTTTAAGCAAAATTAAAGTTAAACACCAAATTTAAATATAATGTTTTCTACACTCTGACAGACCTTTAGTGCCTTATGGTACATGTATATGTTTTTACAAACTCATTCAAATTGATAAATGAGAGCTAAAATTTATACAAGGAAGTAGGAAAGGATGGGAAGAATTCACAGACAATGCAATACCACTGATTATTAAAAGTCTGAAAAATGTCCAGCCTCACTAATGACCAAAGAAATGCAAATGAACACAAAAATGTCTTTTTATTGTCTTTCAAATTCATAAAGATAAAACAACAAACAACTAAATTCTACATATGGCTGTGAAGGGTACTGAGAGATTAGCCCTCTCACTAAGTACTAGTAGAGGACAAATTGTCACAGGTTTCTTGGAAAGTAGTTTGAAAATATGAATCTAGAACTGTCTTAGTCCATTTTCACACTACTGTAAAGAAATATTCAAGACTGGGTAATTTATATTTTAAAAAAGGTTTAGCTGTCTCACAGTTCTGCATGGCTGGGGAGGCCTCAGGAAATTTACGATCATGACAGAAGGCCAAGGGGAAGCAAGCTTGGACCTTCTCACACGGTGACAGGAGAAAAAGAGAGGCGGAAAGAGCCCTTTATAAAACCATCAGATCTCGTTAGAACTCGCTCACTATCATGAGAACAACGTGGGGAAACTGCCCATGATCCAATCACCTCCACTTCGTTCCCCTCCTGACACACGGGGACTACAGGGATTACAATTTGAGATGAGATTTGGGTGGGGACACAGAGCCAAACCATATCAAGAACTTTAAAAAATTTATGTATTTTGATCTTATAATTCGATTTGTAAGAATCTAAGTAATCCCAGATGCAGCAAAGGTTTCACTGTAAGAGTACTAATCCAAGCTATGTTTACAAAAGTAAAAAATTAAAGAGTCCTGAGAGAATGTTTGAACACATAACTGAGCATCCATATGATAGAGTATGATAGTCCCCAATTCATGCACATTTAAAAATTGTAATGACATTGGAAAATTTTCACAATATACTGCCAAGTAGAATAAAAGCAGGATATAAACTGTGTATACACTATGATCACATTCGTGTGGGAAAACGTTTGCATGGGAAAAGACTAGGAGGAAATATAATAGCATGTTTACTGGGCTTTTCTCCTGGTATGGTGATTTGGATCATTTTGATTTTCTTTATAGCTTGAATATCTTTGTATTTCTGTTTTTGTTTTGTTTACAAAGAACATATATTTCTGTTTTCGTTATCTACCACTGCATAACAAACCATCCCCAAACCTAGTGGCTTAAAACAATCATCACTTTTTTATGACTCATGAACCTGTGGTTGATAAGGCTCAGCTTGTGAATCTTCTGTGCCACATGATGTTGGATGGGACTGCAGTCATCTGGGGGCTTGACTGGGATGGAATATCCACGAGGGCCCCACTCAAATGTCTGGCATCTTGGTGCGGATGGCTGGAATCTGGGTTCAACTAGATCACTGGGACTCCTAGGCCTTTCTCTCTCATTCTTTCTATGCATCTCTGGCTCTCTTTTCCTCCACGGGTTTCTCCATGTGCTTTCTCCAGCAGGGCAGCCAGATTTCTTACATGACAGCTGAGGGAAGGGGATATTCCAAAAGGGAGGTATGGAAGTTGCCAGTCCTCTTCAAGGCTAAACTTGAAAATAGCACAGCTCCATGTCTGCATCATTCTATTGGCTACTGAGTCCTAGGCCAGCCATGATTCAATGTTGGGGGGAACTACACAGAGTGTGATATGGGGGTGCGGTCCATTTGGGCCATATTTGGACTAGATACTATAATTATTTTTAATGTGAAAGAATAATAAACAATATACAATATTTTCTGTTTAAAAATCCTTTTGTTAGGTTTAATTCAGAGAGTTCCTAAGGTCAGTTTCCCCAAAAGCAACTGAGAAGAGGATTCATGTGCAAGTGATTTATTATGGATAGACTCCTGGGGAGACAGGTAAGGGAGTGAGGGGAGCAGGACAAGGGAGGCAAAGAGGCCAAGGCCACAGAGGGTAGGCCTTATTCAGCAGGGGAGATATTAATATTTCTCAGCATTGTCCAGAGGCTAATGGGCAGGGTTTTCACACCACACCTATCTGTTGGTCACTGAGGTTGGTAATGGTGGTAAATTCTCAGGCCTTCTGAGGTCAAGGCAGAGTGACTCCATGAGCCCCAGGGCAGTCTGCTGAAAAAGAGCAGGGGGCTGGGATTTAGAAGCAAAGCACTTCAAAAGAAGGGTGCGTGCATGCATACAGGAAAGAGGGGCCCAGGGTCTAGATGGAGCATTAACAGCATCTCCATGGTGGGAGGTGCAAGGCACCCTCTGTTTCTTGAGGAAATGTCTGCCTATAGCACCAGAGTACTGACAACATGCACCACAGAGGAGTGTGACTGCTTGTAATAAAGTACTAGATTTATATTATCTTGATTTCCCTCCCCATGTCTGTCAGGCACTCATGTCTAGCATATTAACATTTCTTTTGATATCATCAAGTGTCTTAGTCAGTGCAGGCTGCCATAATAAAATAACACAGGTTTGGTGGCTTAACTACTTCCCTAGAGGCCTCATCTCCAAACATAGCCACACTGGGGGTTAGGGCTCAACAGAGAATTTTGAGAGAATAAAATATTCAGTCCATAATACCAAGGAATCATATATCGGTAGACTCAGAAAAGTATATCATCATGTTTTCATTTGTCATCATATTACCATATATTTAGCGTCTATTGCCAAGTCTAGTAATTGCTAATTGTACCAATTTTATTTAAAACCAGGTGACCACTGTAGAGTAAAGGGAATTTTCCTTCCCCTTCTTCCGAATATAATTTGAATCTATAAGGCAAACTGACAATAGGCAGATCAACAGGAGAAAATGTATATAAATTTATTTCTGTGCACAGGAGCCACACAAAAGATGAGACTTAAAGAAGAGCCAAATGACTGAAGTTTTCATACTGTACAGAAAGGAACAGAGACTTGGAGTTTGGAGACAGGTTCTGGGAGGGGGAGGGGAGAAAAGGCATGGTGAGCAAAGGCTGTCTTGTTATGCAGATGAAATCTCTCAGGTAACAGCTCTCAGAAAGAATAGATGGAATCCAGTGGTGACAGTTTCCCTGTTGGAACTTTAATACTGTCAGATATTTTCTATGAGTTAATCTTTCCTAGTTTAGGATAAGGCTGATAATGGGTCTCAGAGAAATCCTGTTTGCATCCACTGTTTACTTCACTAATGTAGATTTCCTCTACAGATGCAAATCTTTTCCACAAAAGGACAGCTTTCAGAGCCACTGTTATGTCTGCAGCCCCTCTAAAGAGCCATCTCAAAATATGCCAAAGAAGTATATTTTGGTGGATATATTTTGGTTTCCCATATCGTCAAGTCTGGAAGCATAGATGTGGTAGACAGAATAATGGCCCACCAAAGATGTCCATGCCCTAATACCCAGAATCTGTGATTGCTACCTTATGTGATAAAAGAGAATTTGCAGATGTGATTAAGTTAAAACTCTTGAGATTGGGAGATTATTCTGGATAATCTTGGAGGCCCAATACGATCACAAGTTTCTTCATAGTAGGGAGACAAGAGGGTCAAAGCTAGAGAGAAGAGATATGACTATGGAAACAGGTTGAAATGATGTGCTTTTGAAGATGGAGAGAGGGGTCATGAGGCAAGGAATAAGGACAGTCTCTAGGAGCTGGAAAAAGCAAGGAATGCATTTTCCCCTAGAGCCTCTGGAAGGAACACAGCTCTGGTGACACTTTGATGTTAGCCTGTAAGACCCATTTTAGACTTCTGATTTGCAGAACTGTAAAATAATAATTCGCCTTTTTTCAGAAAGGTTTTCTTTTGCCTATAACTGAAATTCCAGATATGACACATTGTATAAATCACTTATTTTCCCCAGAATTCAGGTATAAACATCAAATTAAATAGGTTGGGCATTGTGGTGCACACCTGTAATCCCAAAACTTTGGGAGGCCAAGGCAGGAGGATTGCTTGAGCTCAGAAGTTCTAGACCTGCCTGAGCAACATTGCAAAACATTATGTCTACAAAAAATACAAAAAATTAGCCACACATAGTGATGTGTGCCTGTAGTCCCCGCTATTCTGGAGGCTGAGGTGGGCAGATTGCTTGAGCCTGGAAGGTCTAGGTTGCAGTGAGCTAAGATTGCAGCACTGCACTCCAGCCTGGGTGAAAGAGTGAGACCCTGTCTCAAAAAAATAAATAAAATAAAATAAAATAAATTGGATGAAAACTTCCAGAGATTTATGTGGTATACCTCTTATGGTGAAGGGGAGTGAGGTGTTTAATATAATACTAAATATTATACTAATATCTAACAGAGCCATACTCTAGCTCCACTCGTATATAAGTAAAAGTTAGCCATAATATTAATGTTTAACTTTTTTGGATTTTGTTGTGAAATATATTCTTTTTCATGAAATCTTCAATGATCATTCCACTTCTGTCATTCTTTCCCTTTTCCAAATACTGTTTAGAATTACGATTAATTTCATTTGTTCTAATTTAATCTGGTTGCTATAGGTTGCTGCTTTAAGACATTATAAGCTCCTTAAAGGCAGGGATACTACCATATTTTCTCTCTGCATTCAGTAAGACATCTAAAAGGAATAAGCATGGAGAATGCATTCAATTACAAATAAATTGCTTTTGAAAAATATTAAAAGATTCTGATTTATAACTGCATGAGTAAGTGTATCTCAGATATAACTGTTTTGAACACAGCATAGAATTTCTGACTTATAGTTAGGTAGATGATAATTAACATCCTTAGTTGCTGAGTTTATTAGGTCCATTCTGGAATAGGTAGGTGGTCTGAAAGGCTACATCTACTGTATTCACTGGGTTTTGCAGGGTAGGCATAGGAGTTCCTTTTTCTAGTTTTTTTCTGCAATGCTGGAGGAGCAGCCAGGGTAGACAGGTACAGCAGATGGTGGAGAAGGGATGGAAGAGAGCAAAGATTTCCTCCCCAGTGTGCAAGGAAGGCCTTCACTTATCTACTTGATTGCCAGTGCCATCACAATGGCTTTTGGATGGTGGCAGAGCTCGTGCTTGAGACGCTAAGTAAAGGACTCATTATGGAGACCATTTGAAGGCATCTTTATGTGGTCTTCACCCCTTCCTTCTGGTCAGGCCTTCCTCGTGCCAGAAATTTTGTTCAGCTCAGTGTCTCTGCTCTTAGGAGCCTCGTGGTCTTGGCTGAGAGACAAGTATGATTATATATCTCTTCAAATACAAGTGCTTTAATGTAAGTGGGAACAAAGCCTCAAAGTTCACAGGGGCAATGGAAGAAAATCTATCATTGCTTAGGAAAACTGGGTCAGGGTCCATGAAAAGGGCCACATTTGTGCTATCTTGCAGGAAGGGAAGGAGTTTCTGGAAGGAAGAAGATTCCAAATAGACAGAATATATGCAAAAGCACATAAAGGAATACATTGACTAGTAAAATGTAAAAACTTTAGGCCAGGAATGGTGGCTCATGCCTGTAATCCCAGCACTTTGGGAGGCTGAGGCGAGGTGGGCGGATCATAAGGCCAAGAGATCGAGACCATCCTGGCCAACATGGTGAAACCCCATCTCTACTAAAAATACAAAAATTAGCTGGGTGTGGTGGCGCGTGCCTGTAGTCCCAGTTACTCAGGAAGCTAAGGCAGGAGAATCGCTTGAACCCGGGAGGTGGAGGTTGCAGTGAGCTGAGATCGGGCCACTGCACTCCAGCCACTGCACTCCAGCCTGGTGACAGATTAAGACTCTGTCTCAAAAAAACAAAAACAAAAACAAAAACAAATGAAAACAAACAAACAAAAAAAAACTTTAGAGCTCAGATGCATGCATTTGTGTGTATGTGTGTGTGTGTGTGTGTGTACATGCATGCATATTAAGTATTTTGAAAAACTGTATAATATAATAATTAAGAACACGATCTGGGCCAGGCATGGTGGCTTATATTTATAATCCCAGTGCTTTGGGAGGCTGAAGTGGGAGGATCACCCGAGCCCAAGAGTTCAAGGCCAGCCTGGGCAACATAACAAGACCCCATCTCTACCAAAAACATTTTTTAAAAATTAGGTGGGCATGGTGACATGTGCCTATAGTCCTAGCCACTTGAGAGGCTGAGGCAAGAGGATCATAGCTGCAGCGAGCTATGATCACACCACTGCACTCCAGTCTTCTGGGTAACAGAGTGAGACCTTCTCTCTAAGCAACAACAACAACAACAACAAACAAACCAAAAAAAAAAAAAAACTCCAACTACCTGGAACAAGACTGGCTGGATTCCACTACCAGCTCTGCAATTTACTAACTGTGTAACTTTGGACATTTAAAAGTTTTTTCTGTATCTCAGTTTCTGCATTTGTGAAATGGTAATCATGGTGGTACCTACCTAAAAGGGTTGTTGTGAAGATCAAATAAGCTAATAGATGTAGGTGCTGAGACTATTTTCATATGCTAGTATATACAGAGTTAGTGCTGTATATATGTTCATTATTTTTGTTATTGTTACTATTAACTTGGGAGACTAGGACTGAAAGTTTGAATTTTGCCTAAGTAAGTTATTAGTTTTATGGCTTTTTTTCTGCAGTACAAACTTCATTTATCAAGTGCACCTTTTAAATCTTTTACATGGAATAGTGAAGAAAGGTTAGTGTTAGAATTTTAATATTAATGATAAATTACAAGAATTCTCATCAATGAGTTGTGAATCATATATTCTTGTCTAATTATATTCCACTGTATCACAGTCATCTTTTTTTGGTGAGCAATGCATTGATTTTAAAAAAAGGAGAATTATAACCATATTAGCTAGCTGACGAGGACAGACACTGATATTAAAAACATTTTTTTCTTTTTTGAGAGACAAGGTCTCACTCTGTCACCCAGGAGGCTAGAGTGCAGTGGCGTGATCATAGCTCAGTGCAGCCCCAAACTCCCTGGGCTTTGGCAATCTTCTCACCTCTGCTTTCTGAGTAGCTGGAACTACAGGTATGTGCCACGCACAGCTCATTTAAAAAAAAAAATCTTTTGTAGAGATAGGGTCTTGTTATGTTGCCCAGGCTGGTCTTGAACTCTTGGTCTCAAGTGATCCTTCTACCTTGGCCTCCTGAGTTGCAGGGATTACAGATGTGAACCACAGTGCCTGGCCTAAACACACACACACACACACACACAGACACACACATATATATGTATATATATTTTTAAATCCCACATGGATATTGATAGAAAATGGTCCCTATCTACTTAGGTTCACCTGTGATTCTCATACTGTTAGGAAATACTTTTGCTGATATTCTCTTTTAGAAGTAACATGTCTGTTTGATTATGCTCATTTTCACCAGCCATGATCCCAATTTTGTTATGTCTCCTTTTCTCCACTAACTTCTCTTATTCTCTTGTTCTCCATTCAGGTTATTAAGTAGGAAAAAAGGAAAGAAAAGCAGAACATTCAGTACTTTAATTCTCTTTCCATCATGACTAGAATTCTTGGAATGAATATTGTACCATATTTCAGATAGGTCTGCTAAGCTGTAATTCCTGTAATTTGGTTCCCATTCCTATGGTTTAGTTCCTAAGTACTTATGCTCACCAAAATATGTGGTGCTTAATTATTTTTAATGATATTTTTACTTTAAAAGTTACTTTATAGAAAATAATTTTAGTGGTTTTAAATCTTACAAGAGTAACTTCATTTTCTGCTCTATCACTTTCTTCATCTCTTCTCTGACTTGCCTTAAACTGAATGGATATAAACCTTCATCTCTTAAACTCAATCACAGACAATAAGTGTTTCTAGGAAGGGAAATGATGGTGGTGTGTTTTGTTTTGACTGTGTAGATGTCACCTTGCATTAGTGATTAGGGTATAAACGTAGCTATGCTATCTGCTTCCTTGATTAGGTTGTATCTTGACCTTGATATCATCAGTGGAATTCACAGAGTTGAGAGGAAAGGAACTATTTAAGTTTCCAGAAACTGACTTAATATTAATACTATGTTTATATTGTTTATATTATACTTTAATAGATGTACACTGCAAGAACTAGTTATAAATATAAATACATTATTCTATATGTTTATACTATAAGCACCAGTTATGAATAATAAATGTATATTATGCATAGAAGAATGAGTCATTTGTTGATTTGGGGTTCAAAGGCCAACCCATTTATTTTGGTCACTGTTACGTTGTTTTTTCTTTGGAGAAAATGGAACACTCCTTTTGTTAACTTCTGGTGCTTTGAAAAATAGTAGGTGCTCAAAAAACTTCAACTGTACCCAATTTTACTTAAATTTAGGGTTTTCCTTATGAGTAAAGAAATGGAAGCATTCCTTCTCTCAAAGCAGAACCCCTTCACACACAAAAATAAACTCTTTATGAGCCTAGTGTAAGATTAATTAACTTTCCATTTTAAAATTAAATGGCACCTGTGACTTGTGAATATGTGTTCACTCTTCCCAGAATTTACAAATGCCCCAGCAGACAGAGCATTCTGACATAATTAGTCAATGCTTTGTCTTTCTGCAGTTTCGTTTTTGTCAAGATAAAGCATTTAAAATCTGCTTTGTAGATTGAGAAATAAAGAAATAAAAATATTAAATATCTATAACAAAAATGATATATGGAATCTTCTGCTTCCTGAGATGTGGAAGAATAATTTTTGCCATGCCTACTACTAACAAAGTCATAGAGAGTAATCAGTTTGGGGCATATTTACATAAAATTTATTTGCAAAGCCTGAGCTAAATTCTACCAAGACCACACACTAATGTTCAAAGAAGGAAGGAAAATTCATCAGAAGGTTGTCATGAGTAGAAATTTTTAATAAAACTTATGATTTTTTGTGGAGATAAATGTGACAATGATTATTTCTAGTGCAAGGAATTGAATGATAGCTTATTTATTTATTTTTAAAAATAGATATTTGTAGCTTTAAAAAAATTATTTAATTAAATCCACCAATAATTGTCCTATACTTCAAGAGCTCTATATTTAGCAAATTGTAACATTAATTACAATCTTAAATTCAAAGGTTTGCATCTAGAATTTTAGAGACTGGGTCTATGTTGTGTGTGTAGTGTTTAGCTTTTTAATAATTTTTGTTTCTTTGTATTTTGAGACAGGGTCTTGCTCTGTCACCCAGGCTGGTTACTGTGGTATGATCACAGTTCACTGCAGCCTCAACCTCCTAGGCTTAAGCAACTCTGCCACCTCAGCCTCCAGAGAAGCTGGGACTACCGCTGCGTGTCACCATGCTAAGCTAATTTTTGTATGTAGAGACAGTGTCTCACTATGTTACCCAGGCTGGTCTTGAACTCTTCGGCTCAAGTGATCCTCCTGACTCGGCCTCCCAAAATGCTGGGATTGCAGGCATGAGCCACCACTCCTGGTCCTAATACTTATTTTTATAATGATTTTTTGTGGGCATTTATGCAAAGGAACTGAGAAATATTAAAGCGTTGACTAGTTGTAGGAATATTAGTCATTCTTTAAACCAGTTACCTAGTTAGCTTTTGTATATTTACCAATCTTTTGCACAAGATATTAAATTAGCCCCACTAATTGGTGTTCATAAAAAAGAAGAGAATGAAAATTTTAATCTTGAATATATGATTCTTGTCTCCTTGAAGAGGCACCACCAATCTCCATGGGATTCCTGGGGCTCATGGTGAGGAGGGGAGATAGGGGGTCTATAGTACACAAAGTGATGTGTGACCGCTAGATAAAGAGAAGCCTGAACAGAACATTTAATTTGGAAGCTGATGCAGAAAACTGGAGAGGGAAGTGGGGTCTGACTACCAGACCACGGAAGGCAACTGAAAGGAAGAAGAGGGCAGAATAGGAGGGAGAACAGAGTCAGCAAGTGGCAAGCTGGGGAGATGGGTTAGAGAGTCACCACTGAGGGGAAGTTAGAGAAACCATGCTGGAGAAGAGTCCAGCAAGGTCCTCACCAGGGCAGGCCAGGCTGTGTTGTGCGAGGAGAGCCAGACTCTTTTAAAGGGCCTGGATGTGGGCAAACAACAGAGGAATATTGTTCATCAAAAAACTGGAAAGCCGTAAACTACAATCATTTCTGACTTCTCTGAAGGTGAGAGTCAAGACATCTACAGCATGTAAGATACCATCCCTCCGAATTCCTTTGAATCATTTAAAGCTAATAAGTAGTGCGATTCCTGGTGTAAGTTTCAGTTTTATGCCTTTTTTGGGTCACTGTTGTTTTATACAGTGAAGCCAATCTCTATTGGAAAAGACAGAAAAATAGGCAAAGAACCAGAGGAAGAAAGAAGAAAAGGGGAAAAAGGCCTGAAATATCCACAAATATTACAATTTACTTGCAACTAAATTAATTTAATGATCTTGGGATAAAATAAAGTTCTCCTTTTTTTGTAAAATGGTTCATTACCTCTTAACACATAACTTTTTTTTGAGGGTGCACATTTGTCATGCTATTGTGAATGGAATTGGTTTGAGAATTATTGGATAATTTTCATATTCCAGTTCTCTAAGTGCAGTCAGTTAATCTATCCACAAAAGAACTGAGGAAGGAATTAAGGTGTGAGGATTTAATAGTAACAAGAACAACAGCAACAATATTTACAGTTTGAAAACTCTTTTTCACATGCTTGGTCTAATTTGGTCCTAATGGCAATCTCGTGAAGGAGATATGATGATCCCCATTTTTCTGACAAGGAAACTGAGACCCTGAGGTTGCAGAGCTGTGTGTGGTCAGACTGCCTGTCTAGTCCAGATCCAAGGACTTCATGCTTTTTCCACAGTAAGATGGGTTAGCAGTGGGACTCGGGGTCATGTCTACCTGAGACTGTCGAGAAACGCCAAACAAAGGGGAATTTTGAAGCAAAGAGTGGGGGTGGCCGAATTTGGGAGGAGAAATTCTAAGGAAGTTTATTGGACATCAAGTGGATGGGAAAGCTGGTGAAAAGACTAAATGATGTCATCAGGTGACAGCTGGTCCAGAGTGGGTATTCGATTCAACCTATGGTTTCCTAGTTGTTTTTGGTTATATAGCACTATTAAACATTTGGGGGCATGCACACTCCATTTTTATTCATTAATAGATATGTACGTGTATGTATATTAGTCTATTTTATACTTTACTAAACATAGATGAAAATCAATTTTAGATTAATAAAAGAAAAATAAAATAGTTCATTTTCTTTCTGTAGCTGCCCTTTTCTAATGTGAAATGTGAAATTGACTCCTAGATACTCTCCAGTTGTCCTTTATGGCTCAGGAATTCTGCAATTTATAACTCATGTTTGAATAATAAGCTTTGGCTGAAGAACTTTTTCTCCGGTTACTTTATTTTCTTCAACTGCATTTTAAACGTACAATCATTTGGGGTCATCTTAATAAGCTCTCCATAAACCTTGTTGCACATATTTTATACTCTTTCAGAAAGATTCAGTTGCTTGTCTTAAAATGTTCCAGAGGAGCCATCTAATTTAACCTTCATTTAAATAGTCTTGAGCTCAGATAGATTTGTCTGGATTCAGGGCCAAATAGATGTCTAGCCAGAACCAGAGGGCATGGCATTGTGAGTGTCAGTCACTGATGTGCTTTTTCTAGACTTGCAGAGTTTATATTTTGTTTTTCCTGTGTTTGAGTATTTGTCAGATATGCTTATTTATTTTATAACTTTTATTTCTGGGATAAATATTTCTCATGTCTCATTTACCTAAATACACTGAAGGAAAAAAAAGAAGAGTTCTTTTACTGGTTTCTTATTATTCAAATTCTGGATTAAGGCGGGGGGCAGTGTTTACGCCTGTAATCCCAACAATTTGGGCGGCCGAGGCAGGCGGATCACCTGAGGTTAGGAGTTTGAGACCAGCCTGGCTAACGTGGCGAAACCCGGTTTCTACAAAAATGCAAAAATTAGCTGGGCTTGGTGGCACATGCCTGTAATCCCAGCATGTGAGAGTGAGGCACTCTCCCAGCATGGGAGAGTGAGGCACGAGAATCGCCTGAACCCGGGAGGCGGAGGTTGCAGTGAGCCACGATCATGCCACTGCACTCCAGCCTGGGCAACACAATGAGACACCATTTCAAAAACAAACAAACAAACAAATTCTGAGTTAAGTTGGCATGGGTGGGGGTGGGAGTGGGTCTGCAGTCACAGTTACTTGGGAAACTGAGGCAGGAGGATGGCTTGAGACCAGGAGGAGTTCAAGTCCAGCCTCGGCAATATAACAAGACCCCATCTCTAAAAAAAGCAAAACAAAACAACAAAAAACAAAACATAGAGTTAATAGGGTGCTAAGAGATTGGAGAATGTGATGTCTATGTATGGACTCTGCTTTATCGTTACACAATGGCAGAGACAATACATGGAAGGATTCCCTTATCTTTCCTTGGAAATACCATCTTTTAAAAACACACATCAATTAGAAATTGTGTTTGAGATACAGCAAACGTATGGGCAATTTTCTCAATGTTTCTCTTTTGCAGAGGACAAAGGACACTAAACTGTAGTGTTTTCCGGGTATACGGTATGTGCTGGTAGAGTCAACCTACAGGATGAGGCTGAGGCACAAAATATAGTTTTTAAGAGCTTGTCTGATCAGGCCAAAGTGGGGACAGCTGCTCTGGAAAACGTCCTAACTTCTGTGGGGCGTGTGCTCTTAGGTCTGGGCTGATACAAAGTTGTTTGAGAGGAATTAACACTGGTTTACATAAATAACATTGATTAGTGATTGGCTATATTGTTGAACTGTGGGGTATGAGTGATGGTGTCCAACCTATGGCACTTTATGGCTACTTGGTGTTAGATAGCGTAGAGCCCACATAGCAAGTGGCTTCAAGAGGTAATTATTTAGCACAAGAGGAGAATGAGAAGTGAAGGCTGTTATATTTCAGTGCCTCTCTTGGCCTGATAATTTAAAGGGGCTTGCATTCCTCAGATTAAATTGTTTCTTTTCTTTCTCAGCAGATAATGCAGAAAGCAAATTTGAATATAAAGCAACAGCCTTCTTATTCCCATGCTCAGAAATGCCACTATGAAGTGCTGCTATTGTATTTAAAGTATGTGCAATTGCTGTAAACACTGCCACTATAAATCCCTGAAATAGGAACTACTTAGCTGTGCATATTGTACTGTGTCATAGCTGTTACGTGTTGAATCTATTTGTAGTCAAATCTATTTGAATCTATTTGTTACATGTTGAATCTATTTGTTCTCAGCTGATTGGGAACAGTGAGGGCCCAGTGTGTTTGAGGAAGTGCACTTCACTTCCTTCCTTCCTTCCTTCCCTCCCTCCCTCCTTTCCTTCTTTCTTTCTTCCTCTTTCTCTCTCTCTCTGCCTTTCTTCCTTTCTTTCTTCCTCTTTCTCTCTTCCTTTCTTCCTTTCTTTTTCTTTCTTTTCTCTTTCTTTCTTTCTTTCGTTTCTTTCTTTCTTTCTTTCTTTCTTTCTTTCTTTCTTTCTTTCTTTCTTTCTTTCTTTCTTTCTTTCTTTCTTCTTTCTCACTCTTTCTCTCTCTCTCTCTCTGCCTTCCCCTCCCCTCTTCTCTCTCTCTGCCTCTCCCCTCCCCTCTTCGCTCTCTCTCTCTCTCTCTCTCCTCTTTCTTTCTTTTTAGAGACAGGGTCTCACTCTGTCACCCAGGCTGGAGTGTGGTGCTGCCATCATAGCTCACTGCAGCCTTGAATGCCTGGGCTGAAGGAATCCTCCCACCTCAGCTTCCTGAGTAGTTGGGATTACAGACATGTGCCACTGTGCCTGGCTAATTTTTACATTTTTTGTAGAGATGGGGTTTTGCTGTGTTGTCCAGGCTGGTCTCAAACTCCTGGACTCAAACGATCCTTCTTCCTCAACCTCCCAAAGTGCTGGGATTACAAACGTGAGCTACTGTGCCTGGCTCAGAGTAAGCTTTCAAAGGGAGGGAAAAGTTGATGATTTCTCAATCCATTCCACTTTCCCCTTCTACTCCTTCTCATTCTTGAAGTCACAGGAACTCTGTGAGATGACCACAGTGTTGCAAACACTGACCTGATGTTGACATAGTTCGTAAAAGACAGCTGCTTTGCCTTGTCCAGCTCCCGTAAATGCAGTATGGGAACTCGTATTGATAACAACAGCACAATGGACAGATTTCTGAGAAGGTTTTCTCACTCATTGGACAAAGAGTTTGGAAGAGAATTTCTGTGTTTGTGTTTGTCTTTTTCTTCTGTGAAAGTTTTTTCTTTTCCTCCCTCAAAAGTGGTTTAGTTCCTCTATATATGTAATGACACAGTATTAAAACTGCTTATTTGAAAAAGTTTTTTGGATTCGATTGGCATTGATCTATGTAATTAAGAATAGGATTCTTTGTGTTTGTGTATATTTCCATTTTATTTATTTTATTCTAACTTATTTATTTTTATTCTCAGCCTTGGCCAAGCATTTCCCACTTGGCGAAGGACTTTATAGACAAACTACTGATTTTGGAGGCTGGTCATCGCATGTCAGCTGGCCAGGCCCTGGACCATCCCTGGGTGATCACCATGGCTGCAGGGTCTTCCATGAAGAATCTCCAGAGGGCCATATCCCGAAACCTCATGCAGAGGGCCTCTCCCCACTCTCAGAGTCCTGGATCTGCACAGTCTTCTAAGTCACATTATTCTCACAAATCCAGGCATATGTGGAGCAAGAGAAACTTAAGGATAGTAGAATCGCCACTGTCTGCGCTTTTGTAAGCAGATGACCTCTAAAACTATTTTTGCCTATTTTAGGACCATTTCATCATGATTAGGGCACCCTCAAGCTCCAAAGACACGGGACTCCATGGTATTGTTGGATACTATTGATCTTGACTTTTAACATTTTCTTGTTCTATAATTTTTCCTATACCTGTATTCATTTTCCCAAAATATACTGCTGCAAATGATTAACAGTTTAGTAAATACTAGCTATGTTTAGATAACTGGAAACAATAAATAGATAAGAAAATCTTTAAAGTATGTAATGGATTAAATAAAATACAATACTATAGAAATAAGGGATGTATATGTGAAGGCATGGTGAACCAGAGACATAGCAGGAATAGTTAGATATGGGGAATATATGTATTTATCCTGAAATTACTGATTTTTATTTAAGCCCCAGTATACAGTGTTAACTAGGTAACACTCGAAGTAGTTATAAATGTCTGTTAATTTCATATTTAGTCTGCAAATATTTATGAAAAATTATTAATTATGGGGCCTATAAAGAACTATAAGATATAATTTCAATCTATCAGAAACTTTTAGTCTAATTGGGGCATTATTCACGGGAAAAATAGAGATTTTTAAGAATCATAAAATAGTGATTTTTTTCTAATGTTAGCATTCATCAACCACCAGGGTTTACAAAAAAATATAAACATCTTGCTTCTTATCACTACTGTCAACTCTTTTCAGTATGTACTGGTTTCTTTTAGAATTATTTAATCAAATATCTTGATGACTTTAAACACTCACCATGAAATAATTATAGGTAATGCAATAAAGGGGTAAGTTTCAAAACTTAGTTCTCTAGGCAAGTCACATATGGCCTGATCTCTTATATGGTAAATTTTTGTAAAATGATATAAAGATTGAAATATTATTAATCATATCTGTGAGTCACTCATATGTGTGGGTAAACATAGTAAATAAATGATTAATTAGTTGATATTGCTTATTTTATTCAGAAAAATAATAAAATGTTAGAATGACATTTACTGTAACTTTAAAATCAGTCTCAATTTTTTCATTTTATTTTTCTCTTTTAGGCTATATAGATGGAACAGCTATATATCTGATATATAGATAAGAATATGTAATTAGTGACACAACTATTTTCTTTTTATGTTGTAATGCTGTATCACATGATATATGACAGACCTGGATTAATTCCTTTAATATAGAAAGACACTTACAAATTCATTAGATAAATAATAGAAAAATGGGCAAATATTTTACCAGGTGGTTTATAAACATATAGATGGCTAATGAGTAAATGAAAAAAATGCTTCATTTCATTTGTAATTTACAAAATGAAAATAAAAATGACAAAGAAAATGAAAATTTAAAAGGCAAAGAATTTTTTTTTACCTATTAGATCAAAACAGTTTTAAACTTGGATACTACATATGGTAGAAGGTTGCAGGCAAGCAGATACTCTCATGCCCTGCAGAGAGAGAGGAGTGCAATTTGGTGCCACCTCATGGCCTTGGGGGACAGTTTGGTAGTAATATCTACTCACATTAAAAATGCATTGACCTTTGATCTAATTGCATCATTGGTAGCAATTTGTCCTACATATATTCTTGCCAAAGTGTGTATAAAACATTGTGCATAAGGTATAAAACATTGTTATTATATTAACAGTCATAAATAAATGCCTATTAGTAGGAGAATGCCTTAAAGCATGTTACCTTTAAGCAAAGGTCTACTATGTAGCCATTAAAAATAATGCGGTAGATCTGTAAGTTTTGTTATATAACATGTTATTGTGTTAAATGAATAAGCAAAAAGCACAGAAGTATTACAGTATGTATTTGTGTGAAAAAAATATGTTCAGAAGCTTGAAAGATTGCTAAGAATTTGATAAAGGAGACAGTGATTATTTCTGGAGAAAAAAAGAATAAGTCTGGGGTGGGAGGGAAAGGTTTACTTTTCATTTTACACCTATTTCTACCTTAACATTAAAAAAATTGATGTATTTCGTCTGAGTGCAATGGCTAACCCCTGTAATACTGGCACTTTGGGAGGCTGAGGCGGGTGGATCACTTGAGGCCAAGAGTTTGAGACCAGCCTGGCCAACACGGCAAGACCTCATCTCTACTAAAAATGCAAAAATTAGCTGGACGTGGTGGTGTACAACTGTAATCCCAGCTACTCAGGAAACTGAGGCATGAGAATCACTTGATCCTGGGAGGTCAAGGTTGCCGTGAGCAGAGATCATGCCACTGCACTCCAGCTTGGGTGACAGAGTGAGATCCTGTCTCAAACAAACAAACAGAAAAATTGATGTATTTCTTTTAAGTCTATAGTAAAAAGAAAATGCAATTAAAAATGCAAGTGGCAAAAGGGAAACAATCTAAAAGGGAGAAGCTTGAATAAGCACCCCGATAGGAACTGGGGATTGACTAATGAGATGTGAAAACTGGTTCTTTTTAATTGAATATTTCATATATTTGCCCCCTGAAGTTTTTAGAATACAAAAAAAGCAATCAAAATTTCTAATGCTAATACTTTCAGATTTCTTAAGTGATCAGGAAGTCGCTTTCACATGCTGCCATGGTCATTTTATCCTAATATTTATTGAAAACTTACTCTGTGCCTAGTACTATGCTAAGACTTTAACATACATTATTTCATTTGCTCCTCACAACAAAGCTATAGGGTATTATACTTAATTTGGTTTCTATCTGAGGAAACTGAGGCTCACAGATGTGAAGTAACTTATCCAAGGTCATCAGTAGGTAAATAGCAGATATGGAATCAGAAACTCAGAACTTTTCCCTTAATCTCTTTGTTGGATATTTCCAAGAATTGAGAATGCAAAAGTCAGGTTCTGATGACTTAGATTTTGTCTATGCTGCCACAAAGAAACAATGCCACACAATATTATGCTGAGTTATGGTGTAAATATTTCTAGTTTCCACGGATAATTGACTTTCATCTTTGCCTGTGTAGGTTGCCTTGAGGTGCTTTTCTACCCTCACCAGCCGTAACGAGCCCGCCCAGCAAGCATCCTGAAGTCCAAGGGCAGGACTAGGTTATTGCTGGGACAACAAAGGTTATTAAATGCAGGGCAAGGCGCGAGGTCTAGGAGAAGTGGGGCTGGTCTAGGAAGACGGTCAAGCCTCAGAGATCAGCAAAGTCAGGGAGTTTGTAATTTGGAGAGGCCGTCTGCAGAAGACGAGATCAGAAGAATCTCAGACACATGCTCCAGGCAACCCAGGCTCAATAACCCAGGTAGAGGGAAACAATTGGGTGTCAGAGCCTTTGAAGAGGGGCTTAACACTGAGTCAAAGATTTCTCAAGGTCAGAGTGCTTGTGTACATGGTGACTGGGGGACCATTAATGAGACAGCCTACAGGATAGGAGGATTGAGAGGTAGGCAGTGCCTCTTGACTCCTACGTTTTTAGGTTCTCAAGAGCACGGACCAGGTCTTATTATCTTTGAAACCCTGGGATCTGGTAGCCCACATATAGCAGGCACTCAGTTAGTGTTTGAAAATGAATTGTGGACTGGTGTCTGTATCCCCTTTTCTCTGCTCAGCAGCCAGAGTTCCCTTTGAAGATCTTCTAAATCACTCGCCTCTGTGTAGAAGGATGAATGAGACGGGAAAGGAAGAGGCATGACGAGGGAGACAAGATGCCTAGCGGGATGTACACTGGAAATTTTCATTCGTAGAAAAAAAATCCTTCTCTCTCCTGCTGAGTACCCCCGGGCCCTCGCTAAGAATCCTCCCAACCTTAAAGACTTTTGAATGGAAGGTTGTGATTGGGTTATTAGTTCTCTTCTCTCCAGCTTTTGTAAAGTTCTTACAAATCAACTCAGTTTGTTTTTTAACTGTTTCTCTAATAAGCTCGTGGTTCTCTCAGAGGCTTAGTTTCCTGTTATCTTGATTTGGTGTGACAAGGAACTTCTATGTCAGTTTATCCCCCAGAATGGAATTCTCCCCCCTCCCTTTTCCTACTGCAAACAAAACAGACCAACAAGCAAATTAACCAACCAACCAATCATCTTACCTTTCTAAATTGTACTTTCGAATAAATAGATTTTGACAGTCGAATAAATAGATTTTTACATTCCTACAAATTAGACATATCATTCAGCTTTATTGTGAACTCCTGGGAGAAAAATAGATAAACTAGCACTTTTTCATCTATTTTGACCCTATTCTACCATCCTCTGGTGAAATTAGGTATTGCAAATCAATTTCTAAATGTGGATATTCTTTTCTTTATTTGACCAGGGTTAATATCAATAGAGTGAAAAGAGCACTCAGTTTATTTTATAATAAACACATTAAACCTCACCTTTTCTTTTCTTTCTTTTCTTTTCTTTTCTTTTTTTTTTGTGATACAAGGTTTTACTCCTGTTGCCCACACCAGTGTGCAGTGGCATGATCTCTGCTCACTGCAGTCTCAACCACCTGGGCTCACATGATCCTTCCACCTTAGCCTCCAGAGTAGCTGGAACCACAGATACGCATCACTATGCCTGGCTAATTTTTGTATTTTCAGTAGAGACAGAATTTCCCCATGTTGCCCAGGCTAGTCTGAAACTCCTGGCCTCAAGTGATCTGCCTGCCTTGGCCTCCAAAAGTGCTGGGATTTCAGGCACGAGCCGCCACACCCAGCCATGTTTCATTTTTCTTATTACCTTTCTTATTACTTTTGTGGAATCACTTTTACTTATTTCCTAATAGAAAAAACAAGTGTCTCCTGAATGATAATGTAAACTTCTTTCATTGCTATGTAATACTCGTTTAGGTTTTGTCTTATATTATTATTTGTTCTGAGCTCTCTTACTTAGTATATTCTCTCTCACCCTTTTTCTGTTTCCTGGAAGCTATGTGATAGTTCATTGTCATCTTTGCCTGCCATATTTTATTTTTCAGTTTTTTATGGTGGTTTTATTGAAACACAAAACATGCACATGAGCTGTCTCTTCATTTTCTTTGCTGCACAACCTGGCATTGTGGTTGGTGACTCTGATGGCCAGCTGGGTGGCCCTTTCCATGTGGCTTTGCGGTTCTGGAAGGAAACATTGTGAGTGATCTCAGCAAAGTAAGATTTGTTGCACATCAGCAGCACTTCCAGCTCCTTGGCGTTGTGGACCAGGAACTTCCGGAAGCCATCAGCAGCATGTGCTTTGTGTTTTTTTGTTGCGCCCATAACCAGTGTTGGGCATCAAGATCTGGCCCTTGAACTTTCTACGAACCATGTTGTCAATATCTCTGGGTTTCCCGTCAGTTACGCTTAATTTTGACATGTTTGTCTAACTGGTGCTAGATGAACTTCTTGGTCCTCTTTTTGATGATCTTGGGCTTCATGAGGGATCTGAGAACGGCCATGATGCCATGGAGAAGATGACTGCCATCTCCATAGGCAGTACCGAGGAAGACAGCTTTGCTTGCCATATTTTAAAAATGTTTGTTTAAAAGATCTACTTCAATGACATATACAGAATGTTAATGACTATGTTTTGAAGGGTTCTATAATGTTTAACATAACCTGTAGAACAGAAATCATGCTCACATGAGTTGTAGTCACCTTTTCATACTATTGTATATTATACCATTGTCTATTAGCTACATATAAATACGTGATGGTGAAAAATGAATAGAATTCTGGAAAGTTAAAATCTTTAGGCTAATGTACACTTTCCATTTAATATGACTAATAATGATTGACTTGTGCTTGGGATTTTTTTAAAACTTTTACTACAGATGCTTTATTTATTTATTTTAAATTTTACTTTTTTATTTTTTGAGATGAGGTCTTACTATAATGGTAGGTTGGTCTTGAACTCTTGGCGTCAAGCAATCCTCCCACTTCAGCCTCCCAAGGTCTTAGGATTACAGATGTGAGCCGCCACAACTGGCCATTAGAAGCTTTACTTTAAAAAGTGATTTTTAACAAGAATTAAATTCACAGAGGGAGGTTCTAAAACCTTAAACATGAGTTAATATGACCTCAATTTCAATCTTGAGACCTAAGACGGTGCATTAGTTTCCTAGGGCTGCTGTAATAAAATACCACAAACCAGGTGGCTTAAAACAACAGAAATTCATTCCCTCACAGTTCTGGAGGACAGAAGTCCAAAATCCAGGTGTCTCCGGGTTTGGTTCCTTCAGGAGGCTCTGAGGGAGAATCTGCTCTGTCCCTCTCTCCCAGCTTCTGGTGGTGGCCAGCAGCCCTTGGCGCTCCATGGCTCATGGCTGCCCACCTGTTTCTGCTGTAGTCTTCACTTGGCTTTCTCCTCTGTGTGTCCCTGTGTCTTTTCCTTTTCTGTCTTTTATAAGGATTCTCATCAATGGATTTAGGGTTCCATCCTATTTCAGGATGATTTCATCTCTAGATCCTTACCTTAATTACATTTGAAAAGACTCATTCCAAATAAGGTCACAGTCTGAGGTTCTGCTTGGATGTATCTTTTAGGGGTCACTGTGCCACCCACTACACATGGAAATCATCATCTGTGGTTTGCAGCTTTGAAGAAAATATGTGGTATCTTCCCTGAGCCCTGGTGTCCTAAACCACTTTCTTTGTCTTTCTCTTGTCTCTGGCCTTGGCTTTATGGCCCTACTTTCAATGTTTTATGAAATGGTGCTTTCAGTATTAATTAGTGGATTTGTTCAGAACAATATTCTATGTAATTGTTCCAATTCCATAAAATTATGTAATTACATTCTATTTCTTGGTATATAAATTCAGGAAAAGAGAGAATCTTATTTGCCTCTGAGAAATAATGAATTGAAAGTACCAGATATTACTGTCTGTTTATTTATTCATTTTCCTGTTTTAAAGGTTTTAAGGTATCTTACGTAAATAGATAAAAATGAGATAAAAGGCCACTTGAATTGAGTGGAAAAGGAATGCAGGAAAAAAAACCCCTGAAAGTAGGAGGGATAGGAAAAACTAAGATAATATTCTCACATAAAAATTAGAAACAAAAATATAAAACATTTAAACCCATAAATTACAGAAGGCGACTTTATATTTGACTTCGTTTTCTGGTAATCCCTTCAAAGAAGAAAGCAGATACATGCTTCAATGTGGTCATAAAATTACAACAAATAATTTTAATTAGTTGCTTGAGGGAAGCACATTCATTCCTGACCCAGACTGAAAAGAATTTCTTGTGGGATCTCCCAGGGAGGATGTACAATGTAATTAACAAGTGCAATGCAATCAGCAACATCCTCGTAGTAAACACAGTGAGCAGTTTCCACAGGTTCTTGTTCATAATGTCCCTCAATGTCGGCCAGTGGGTAATTTGATGAAAACAAGTCCAGGGAGCTCAAAAGAACATGGTCCAGGGATGGAGCTCCATGTTTGTCTGGATTACTGGAGAGAGGGATTTTTAGAAGATTCAAATGAAGGAATAGCTTACTTGCTTTTCAAATAATATTCCAGAAATATTGTTTCTCACCCTGATTTTGGTTTGCACTGCACAGCAGTGATTCCAGGTCCTACACGTGACATTACCTGCAAGGTGGCTGCCTGCAGTGCCAGCTCAGGGCACAGCCATGTGGGTGAGCTGGCAGCCAGTGGGCTGGGCTGACAACCTGTGCCACACACACGCTGGACAGAAGCTGCCTCCCCTCCACATGGAGGTGGGATGAGGGCATATCCTTGGATGCCACCAGGATTTTCTTCAGAAATTGGAGCCTGCTGCAGTGCCCAAAAGAAGGGGCAACAAAGGCCACCAAAACTCCACAGTAAATGGCATGGATTATTTTAATATTTGAAAAACCTTAAAGTGACTGTGGCAAAATACTTACTTCTGATACATAAAATAAATTTCATAAAGTGTCACATGATTTTTATTGTTAGTGTCCCCTCTTGGTGTACCTTCTTCTAAAATAAACTGGCATAAAGAACTGTTTCTAGGGAAATTGAATGAATTAGTGTGTTATGTAGAATTAATATCTTTATGCTAGTTAAAAGTTGGGGAACCTCTGATGAAAATGATGACTTGGATTTAAAAATAGATCTCTAGTTCTTCTTCCCAGCAGATATCCTATAGGAGGGTCATTTATCTATTGAAAGCATACCTAGTTTGTGATAAGAGAGCCTCTTCATCTATATTTTGGCTACTTATGATTTTATTTTTATAGGATTCCTTATCAATTATTAACACATTTTCTTGATAATAAATCATCTAGGCACAGATGGAATCTCCTCCCACTGGTGAAGGCAAATGCTTGTCTCAGCAGAAGAGCAGAAAAGTAAGAGCAAGAAGCTTTTCCTTGGATACTTTATGCCACAGCAAAGCCAGAGAGAAGCCAATTACATTTGCTTCCCATGATGCTGCAAAGGTTTGGGGAGAGTAGGAAAATCTTGGACTTTTATATTGAGTCCTTGATCACCCACACCTCCTAGCCCCCTTCAACATCAACACCTCCGGCATTTAAAAAGTGGGGCAGTGAGTCTGTAGCAGGAGGATGCAGAGGCTGCTGCGTGTTTACGGAGCCGTCCAGGGGATTAACCGACTGGGTTCAGCTGGGTAGTTCTCTTTTGGATCTAGAGGCGGAGATCTCCTTGTTCTCACAAAATGTCTAAAGTTAGATTCATGCCCCAGGCAGGTCTCCTGGTACCAACTTGGTGTGGCGGCTCTGGCCACAGTTTAGAGCAACTTCAGAAGCATGCTGTTTCACTCTGTGCCAGAGCTGGCTTCAGTTTTGAAGCGATTAGCGAAGCTCAGCGCTGGGCGCCTTGCATTAGCATTGCTTCAGCGCTAAGGACATTCCTGGCCACAGTCACTGCCATTTTCCCCTACCCACAGGTGTGAGTTAGAGACAAGCAGAATAGTGAGCAGGGGGTGGATCATGCGGGAGAGAGCTTTTCATGGCCTTTAGGACAGACTTGTGCTTAGAAGGGAAAAAGAAAGCAAAAGGGAAAGGAATCGAGAACGTGACCACTTCTTAGCACACACTCCAATGTCCTTAAAGCAACCCAGGGACTCTTCTTCCTCTGCCAGAGTTCATCTGAAATAAAGCCCCCCTCCAGAGTGGAGAAGCCACCCCAGAGTTATTTGTGAATCACAGCTTAGGTTTGAGGGTTTCACTAATCCAGGCACCAACCAAGGCAGAGGACCCGGGACTGGGACTGGCATATTTCCAAGAGATGGCCAGTCTCCATTGGCACTCGCAGACAAAGCGGGAGACACTAACAGCTGAGGGGACCAGGCTTATTTTTCTCTGGCAGGAAAACCAGGGAAGAAGGAGGCAGTTTGGAAATGTGGCTGTGCACAAATGCCAACTTCAAAGTGCTCTGTGTACAAAAGCCAGCACAGAAAGTAGGCTTCTTAGTGGAAAGAAGTGCATTGCCCCAGTGGAACTATAGTACATGAAAGATAAGAATTACTGAAACAACTGTTTTCTATATTGCAGTATGGGTGATTCTGAAAATAGGACCTCTTTGTGAAGAATAGCCTGTGGCTGCTGGATACAAAATAAGAGAAAAGAAGCGAAATCAGTCCAGGCCTGGGCTCTTAACATTCATACCTATGCAGACTTCAGGGAAGAAAAAAATCTCTGAGCACAATTTTATCAAAAGCCTTTACAAAATTGGTAGATGGATTGAAACATGGGTGTTGTAATTTTGAAAATGCAGACTTTTTAAAAAAAATTCTGATAGCTTTTCAAAACAAGGAAAGAAGTAAATCTCGTTGAGAAACAGACATCTAACCACTACATTGCAAAGTAGTAAACAAGCTTTTCAGCAATAATGAAGCATAATTCATCATATTTGTCTTATTAAATATAATTTTTATGAAAGTAAAATAAATCCTATGTTAATAAATAATTATATTTTACCATTAATAAAGACAAGTTAAAATTACTTTTAAAGAATTGTTTTATTTTTAGCTTGTCTTTTTGAAATTTCTAGTTTTGCACAATTTTCCTGAAGTGTATGTTCATATAATGGCATATGTAGATAATTTAATAGTAAACAAAAATAAGTAAATATATTTACTGATAAAGACTAAATAAGAAAGTTTGGAGACCATTAATCAAAGCTATCAAATGACATTTCTAATAATCTGCACACTCAGAAGGATTAAAGTTATTGATATTATTGAATATCCTGATGTTTGCTTTGGACTCAGGAATGCAACCTCAACTGAATTTTGTCCACAGAGTCAAAAGCAAAGGAAAGGCCAACAAAAGCCACAGAATATCTTTGTTATTCCTAGCAGATTTTTTTCACAAGAAGATTAAGAATATAATTGTTGTTTATATCCCAGCCTATAATTTATCAGAAGAGAAAAACGGGAAAATGGAATCTTTTTTTTTGCAGTGTCTGATAAGTTAATAGTTTACATCTTAGGGAAAGAAACAGATTACCTTTTTAAAGATAGGAAAGCCCACCTCTAGTTGCAGAAGGAAGGGATATACTTGTAGAAGTTGTAAAGATAGTCAGAGGCCAGGATGGAAGCCCAGTCTTCCTAATAGTCTTTAAGTAGTTCTGTGGTCGGAGCATCACATTGTTAGTCAATGCACATCCATTTTTTTTCAGCCTTCTCTGTATACAAAGCACTGCTATTTTAAAACTTTCTTTCACAAAGTTTTGTTCTGCTAAGATCACCTTCAATCCTTAAGAATGCTGTAGTTATGTATATTGAGACAGGGTCTTGCTCTGTTGCCCAGGTTGGAGCACAGTGATTCGCCCATGGCTCACTGAAGCCTCGATTCCGCAGGCTCATGTGATTCTCCCACCTCAGCCTCCCTAGAAGCTGGGAGTAGAGGCGTGTGCCACCACGCCCAGCTACTTTTTATTTTATTTTATTTTATTTTATTTTATTTTATTTTTGTAGAGTTGGGGTTTCACCATGTTGCCCAGGCTGGTCTCAAACTCCTGGGCTCAAGCAATCTACCCACCTTTGCCTCCCAAAGTGCTGGGATTACAGGTGTGAGCCACTGCGCCTGACTGTAGCTATGTATTTACCCAGTTTTATTTTTAAATTTATTTTTATTTATTATATATTTATTTATTTTTGAGACAGGGTCTTGCTCTGTTGCTTAGGCTTGGGATCGTGCCTAGGGGCACAATCATGGCTTACCTCAGCCTTGACCTCCCAGACTCAAGCAATCCTCCCACCTCAGCCTCTCTGATAGCTGGGACTACAGGCACATACCATCATACCTAGGTAATTTATAAAAAAAAATTTGGTAGAAATGGGATCTCACTATGTTGCCCAGGCTCGTCTCAAACTCCTGGGCTCAAGCAACCCTATGACCTTGGCCTTCCAAAGTGCTAGGATTACAGGAGAGAGCCACCATGAAATAGAGCCACCAGTTCTATTTTAAATTTTCAATAGATTTTAGTAGCATTTCCAAGTGATGATAAATATTATGCTTTCAAAAGAAATGCCAACTCTGAAATTTGTTTAAGCCAATGAACATTTCCATTGTAGATATAAGGGCGAAATATGAGATGTGAGATGCAGCCTACACAAGTCAATGATCAGAAAATCCTTAGACACTTTGCCTAAATGATTGATTGCTCTTTTTGGAGTAGCCAGTGTGGCAGGCCTGGGACTCCTGGTCACATGTGGCTTCTTTGTGGGGTGATGACTCACCATGACTCTCATCCATCAGCCTCTTTATGTCTGTCTAGCTCAGCTGAACACCCCCATTCCCCTCTACCCCAAGTGAAAGATGGCCTGAGGCTCTTTATTTACTTTATTGAGCCGAACTAAAGAGCTGAGGGTGTCTGCTTCACATGTCACTTAGCAAAACAGCAGCAGCAGCAACAATAATAATAAAACCTATAAATATAATGAATTCTTTTTTATTTTTGGTTAGGTCAAAAATTGCTTATTTAAAAAACATACAGGTTTAAATATTCCAAACCCAATATTTAAAAGATAACTCTTCAGATTAACCATGCCACTGCTCTTCTGACCTTGTACTTAATGCAGAGGTAGCTGGACCTGTCGGGAAGAACCCATGTCCTCTAGGGTTCTAAGGAACTCCTTGTAGCTATAATAAGCTATGAGTGGAGGTGGCACATTGTCACTTGTTAAAGGGTCTGTAGGACTTTTTCCGTTCATATAAACTATGATGATAAAAACATCCAAGGTTTGTGCTAGCTGCATTATCACAGCATGAGCAGCCACCTTACAAATGTCCCGTCTGTCCCTTTCTGCTTCAATTTCATCACCAAGCCCTGTCCTCTACCTCCACAATGCCTCTCCACAATGTCTCTCTCATTCATTTACTTTTATCCATTCCCGTTTTAGATCTTTTTTTTTTTTTCCAAACTCTGCACTACTGCAGTAGATTTCAGACTGGTAGCTCTGCTTTCAGTTTCTTTTCTTTTTAATTCATTTTCCACATTACACACACACACACACACACACACACACACACACACACACACTTCTAAAACACAGATCTTGATTGTGGCATCAGCATTCTTAAAATCCTTGAAAGAAAAGGCCTACCAATAATCCACTGAATATATTGAAACTCCAACTACAGTCTTCTCATGCCATCTTTCTAGTCATCTCCTCACCCTCGTCCTGCCTGCATACCCACCATGTGTTGTGGTGACACTGCAGACCCCAGGTCACTGAAACACTCTGTGGGTGCTGCACTTTCTTTCAGTGACTCCAATTGTAATGTCTTGCCACAGCTGTGTGCCTACTGTTTTTACTGTTTGTCAGCATTAAGCCTCGATTAAGGCCAAGTTACATAAAAATGATTGTATAGCTTCACTTCCAGAGATTTTTCTTATTCTTTGTAAGGACACACCTCTATCATGTAAGACAATCACTAATTGTCTTAGTCATTAGTCTAGATTAGCCTAATCTAGACTAGATTATCACTGCCTAATCTGGTCCTGCTCCAGAACAACACTAGTGTAAGCTATTATGAAAATAAAATCTGAAGTAGATTCATGTGATCTCATCACCTGGGTTCTAAACAGTGATGACACTTGGCTAGCCTGTGTTATGACTGCTGAGTTGCAGTTATAGTCATGGTTCTTTTGGAAGAACAATGGATATTCCTGTTTCTTCATTCAGGCTCATGACTTTATCCAACTCATGACTAATTTTTTTGTGTATAAATTTTATTGTTTTTTTTTGGGTTATAACAGATGTACATGCTCATTGTGCAAATATGTAAACCCCAAAGAGAAAATCAAATTACCCATAATTACAATACTCAGAGATATCTACTGCCCACATTACCATACTTTATGTATGCGCTGTTTGGTCTCCACTTTTATATTGTGGAATTTTTCTATCTCTTTAAATATTCTTCCACACATTTTTAATGACTGCCTGATGCTTTAGCACGTGGATATATCATAACTTATTTAGCCATTGTCCTACCTTTGAGCATTTAGTTTATTTCCAAAACTTTGCTATTGTAAATAAATGGTATAATGAAAATGCTTGTAATGTCTTTCTTTCCATTTTTGTTATTGGGATAAATTCTCGGAATGTAATTGGCAGATCAAAGAGAATGAACTTTTTACCCTCTAAAAAGTTTACATAAATGTACACTTCCCATGCCCTTGCCAAGATATTGGGTACTGGTAGTTTAAAAATAATCTGGTCTACTCAAATAGATGAAAAATGATATCTTGACTTAATTTTGATTTCTTTACTTTCCAGCAGCAAGTGAGCCCAAAGATGAATTTGAGGGTAGAGACTAGAACTCAGGACATATGTATGGAAGGATAGTGTATGTTACTTTGATAAGCCGTCTTTACTCAACCCCTGTCATGTCTTTATTTGCCTATCAAAAATAAAACAAACAAAATAGTCAAGCCTGAAATGCCTTGTACTATAATTTATTGACAAATTTTATACAATAGCTTATTTTAATGAGATTTTCTTGGCAATCCCATATTCTTCCCTCTGCTGCTGACATCAGAGCTTGGGGAAGGGTTCAGGGCTCACTCAGTAGTCAAGATTGAGATGTGTCTAAACTCAGGACCAAGATAATATAAGCAGTGATGGTTTATGACCTTCAATTTGAGGCAGGGGCAGGAATAGACTGCTCATTTGCCTCAAAACTTCTGTGAAATAAAATGTTGATAAAAGAAAATAAATTGCATTTATTTTGTCTTTGTAGTGCCTACAACTGTTCTCATCAGAATTCTGCAGTTATGCTTTCAGGGAGGATACAGTTAAGTGGCTTTCCTCCATTTGGGGAAGTTGCTGGTGACTAACAGGCTCTTGGTTATAAAATAAGTAGAAAATGTAAGAACTCTTATCACCAGTAGCTGGCAACTTCTCACAAGGAATGAAAATACCAATTTTTAACTCTACTTTGTTGAAATGTTAGAGACAGTTCAATTTATAATTCAGAAACCAATTTCCAGTCCTGCAAAACAAACAAAGCAAGGAAGCAAGCAGAGTGAATTATTCTTCACTGAAACTGGGCATTCTTCTTTAAGGCTACAGACCTAGACAGCTGAGACCTGCATGTGCTTGTGGTTAGGCAAATGCTATAATTGCATATTTCTAACCTCAATTCCTCTCTCTAAAGTGCTATACTAATGTGAGGCATTTTTTTTGAGTAAGGATCCTTCACAGCCACACTATCAGGCCATCAATATCAAATCGCTGAAAGACTCAACTAAGGCCAAGTTACATAAAAATGACTTTGTATAGCTGTACTTCCAGAGATTTTTGATATTCTTTGTAAGGATACACCTCTCTCATGTAAGACAATCACTTTGGATATCAAAATTTTTCCTTTTGAATGGCAGTGTTATTCTACCAAATTGTTGATATTTCTACTCTTGTCCATTCAGATTTACTTAGCACTTGGTCTGTTCCAGGCACTGCATACAGCCTGGTGGCCACAAAGATAAAAGAGACTGGGTTCCTACCTGTCTAGGACAGTGGAAATAGGCATGTGTGGGAACAAAGCACGTGGACTCAACAGGTAATTGTCTTGAAATGTGTACAGAGCATGATGTTAACAAAGGACTTCTGACCTAGTATTGCCGGTGTGGCCCCTTCTAAATGATGGATGAATTCTCTATATATCTAAGATTCAGATGCTTATTCCTAATAAAGCAGATTGTATTAATAAGCATTTGACACTAGATGGAGCCATAAGACATTCAGATGTTAGCACTTTGTAGGTCTGGAGTAATACTAGTTCAAACAGAAGTCTGAGGTTAAAAATTTATTAAGGAAAAGGTACAGTTTACAGAGCTAACATTTTTTACTTTCACATACATTTATATATTCTTCAAAAACTAAATAAATTGTAGACCTACATTTTAGATGATTACAAAGTGGATTTTTTGTTTAAAAATTATACATAGATATTACCATACAGCAAAATGTTTGGTGTTTTTTATATTTTCAGGTCCAATCTTTATTAAACGGTCACTGTCTTCTATGTCAAGATGTTATAAGTTATGAGTCTAGATAGTATTACTCCCAGTAATGAAGCATTTGCATTCTAATGAGTTTCTTTATTTTCAGGAAACTTTGCCGTAAGAACAGATAATAGAATTATAATAGAAACATATTTATTATTTAAATTCTAATTTAATGAATGAGCAATTATTGAATGCTCCTGTGTATTATAACCTGGGCTAAGTGCTTTCTAAGCATAAAATATCATTTAGTTTTCAAAAGGACCCTTTGAAATAATTATCATGATTCATGATTCCCTTTTTATGATAGAGGAAACTAAGTCTCCAAGAAGTTAGTAATTTGCAGTAGATCATATTGTTAATAAATGCCAGGATGACTAATAATGTCAGATTGTCAAAGATCAAATGGATGCCTTAATGTGAATTTTAACATATCTGAAAATCTTCTTCATTTGTTTTTCAAATATCTATCTTCTGCCATCTATATTCACCCTTTCTGCTACTTCTATTAAATAAGTGTTGGAGCTCCTTCATTTATCTTCCAAATATTTTATTTTCCTTTTTTTATCACTCCATACCATATTTTAGGTAATTTCCCCAAATCTATCTTCCAAAATTGCTAATTTTCTCAATTCTGTTCAATCTGTTATTTAATCTTTTCATTAAGCATTTATTTCTATAATTCTATTTCTATTTTATTTGGTCTGCTCTTTTTTTTTATTAGATCTTGTCTTAGGGATCCTATTGGAGAAGTTGTTTAGTGCCAAGGGTTAAATAAAGGTGGAGGTTCTGGAGTCAGACTGCCTGGTTTGCATCCTGATTGTGTGATCTTGGGTGGGTTACTTAACCTCTTTGTGCCCCAGTCTCCTCTTGTAAAGTATGGTAGTAAAACCTACTCATGGGGTCACTCTGAGCAACAGATGAAATCACAAATGTGAAGCGATCAGCATAGCACTTTATATTAGGTAGGTGCTCAATAAATGTTAGCTTTGTTAGGGTGTGTTCCTTTTATGATTTCTCCATGATCAGAAGTTCTTGAGAAGCAGCCTATGTCATTCGTTGCATCTTCTGGCTTTCTCTATGGTTACTCATTGCCTTGTGAAGTTTGTAATTTTTTTTTTTTTTTTTTTTTTTTTAGACAGAGTCTTGCTCTGTCTCCCAGGCTGTAGTGCAGTGGTGCGATCTCGGCTCACTGCAACCTCTGCCTCCCAGATTCAAGCAATTCTCCTACCTCAGCCTTCCAAGTAGCTGGGATTACAAGTGCCCACCACCATACCCAGCTAATATTTTGTATCTTTAGTAGAGATGGGGTTTAGCCATGTTGGCCAGGCTGGTCTTGAACTCCTGACCTCAGGTGATCCACCCACCTCGGCCTCCCAAAGTGCTGGGATTACAGGCATGAGCCACCATGCCTAGCCAGAAGTTTGTAATTTTTGACTGTGAGCTTATCCAAGTGAAATTGAATTGTTTTCCACAGATGTCCTGCGGTGCCATGGGTTGCCAAGGTGTCCTTATAGGGTGAGGTCACATTTGCCTCTGCATGTCTGAACCAGCTTTGGTGATAAGTTATCAGTTTGGGTAGGGCCTCATGTAGACAAGGCCACCTCTGATCCCACACTAACACAGGGTGGGGACTTGATGTTTTGATTTCTAAGGGGTGAATCTCCTTCCACCCAAGGCCCTCTCACACTGTGTCCCTGAGCCCAAAGGATGGGTGGCTCAGCTTCTTGTCTTAGTTTGGAGACTGAATAGCCTTTCATGGCTCTCAGATTTAAACAGGTAAATTCCTCAGTTCAGTGTCCCATCTTCCTCCATACTCAGGGGACCATCACACTTTCAAGGGATCAAAGCTGACATCTAGCCCTGAGGCCTTAGATGAGCACAAAAGCTCACTGTCCTCTCTGGTTTTGCTTCTGCTCGTGGCTCTGGTACCCAGTTCTGGTTTTGTTTAAAACATGCCTAAGAAGTTTTTCCCATTTGCACTCAGGCATACTTTTAAAATATTCCATTCTTAAATGTTATCTAGAATTATCATGCTTTTGAAAGAGTGGGATGTTTTTTCCCACTAGCTCAGTCCACCATATGGACTGGAATTCCACTTTTACCATTTGAAAAAGAAACCCAGCATTGAGAAAGATAAATTAGATGGAGGTGAAGTGAGTGATGGCTGTTCTTGTGTGGGTTGTGGGGCTTGGCATCTTCCAAGCCTGCCTACACAAATGGAATATTGTCTGCTGCAGTTGTATGGTCCCAACGACAACTTTGCTCTTTTCTTCCGGATAAAGCAATCTGTGGCTCCCTAGAATTCCCACCCTGTCTATGAATGCAGCTTGGCAGATAAGGCGGGTTTTGTGCCTCCCTCAGGGAATCCCCCTCCACAATTCTATCCCCCATCACTGGTGACATGACTTGCTCAGTTTGGCCAATGCCCTTTGTGAGTCCCTGGAGTGTGATCCTTGCTGCTCCCAGCCCCACAAGAGCTCATATAAGTTGCATTCCAGATGTTTCCAACACATTCTCCATTACTGCCACACACCCAGGGCACAGGGGCCACTAGCCCCCACCCCCACCCCCACTCTGCCCAGCCCTCACTTGTTATCTCCCGGCAATCTAATCCTTTCATATCCTGGCCTCCAAAAGCTATGAAGCTAAACAGAAATTGCTTTTTAAGAGTTTTACTCTTGTGTTGACTTCAAAAGCCAAACTTTACATAATATTTAAAGAGGTTTATTTTGAGCCAAATATGAGTGATCATGGTCTGGGATATAGCCTCAGGAGGTCCTAAGAACGTGTGCCCAAGGTGGTTGTGTTACAGCTTTGTTTTACTCATTTTACGGAGACAGAAGTTACAGGCAAAGACATAAATCAATATGTGTAAGATATACATTGGTTTGGTATGAAAAGTCAGGACATCCTGAAGTGGGAGCTTACAGGCTACAGGCACTTTCAATGATTTTCTGATTGGCAATTGGTTGAAAGAGTTAAGCTTTGCCTGAAGAGTTGAACTCAGCAGAAAAAAATCTTGAGTTAAGATAAGGGTGGTTGTGGAAGCCAAGTTTCTTGTTACATAGAAGAAGCCTCCAGGTAACAGGCTTCAGAAAGAATACATGGTAAATATGTCTTACATGATGGACCTTAAAAGGTGTCAGACTCTTAACTGAAATCTCTCCTGGATCTGGAAAAGACCTAGAATGTAAAGGAGATTCTCTACAGAGGTGGCTGGAGTGCAGAGAGGGCGAATAAAACCAGCATAGCTATGGGTACATTGAGTCTGCTGGCTCTTCATGTGGGCGTGCCAAGAGTCTTTGAAAGGCTGAAGAGGCGCAGCTCCCTTGCTTGCATCTTCCGCTTTGACTGCTCCTCTCTGACTTACAGACCACTTTGCCCCGTGCACCAACTCCAGGCCTTCTCTCTGCTCAGGACTCCTTTCTCCTCTTTAGCTCCTTGACTTCACTCCCCAGTGTTCCATACATGATGGACCACATGTATTCTGAGAAACTGAGATTCAGATGGATTCTTCATGATTTCATAGAACCAATCAAGACCCAATTGGAATCACTCTTTTCAGCCTAGCTCTCTATAGTCACTTTTCCCATAATTCTTTCCCACAGTTTTTAAGGCATAGCAATAATTAATCTTGATTAATAGCCAACTGATCAAGGAGTGTGTTTAAATGTAGTGAATATTTTCTTTAAATAGAAATTTTAAAAGGTGAGTTATGTCCACTGTCTTAGGAAACAACTCTATACTTTAGTAGTCATGTCTAGAAGCCAAGCTAAATATACATCTGGACCATACAAAATTGAGCAGCTGGTTACTATCTTATTCCAGAACATTTTCTCCTCTCTTTCCTGGTTAACTATTGCTCACTTTTTATGTCTCAATTTAAATGTTGTTTTCTGAGAGAGACTTGATTGGAATCCTTAGTCTCTGTTTTTGTTTGTTTGTTTGTTTTTGTCCAGAGCACCCATATTCACTATTGCATTTGTACAGTTGGAATTATATATTGGTTTGAATGATTGCTAATTGAGCCCGTCTTTTCCTCTAGACTGTAAAGTCTATGAAGCTCTTATTTCCTCAGGATCTCACACAGTGCTTGGTACCTGGAAGGCACACTAAATATTTATTATGTAAAGACATTAATGAATCTTGCTCCTTTAAGAAATTATTCTGCCAACTAACAGCTACGGTTATAGGGAGAAATGGCTCTTTGGGAGTAGCGCAATATTTGAAAATACATATTTGACTCCACTCAAACCCACACAGCTCAAGACCAATTTCTTTATTAGCCAAGAAAATGTCTAAGTTCTAATTATTAATTTGTAAGTGAGTGCCCAGTCATCAGAGGTTGATGATGAACTTGAAGCTGAAAACTAAATAGAATTTAAAGGTAACAGGTTGGTTGAACCTGGGGTGGGAAAGAAAGCATCTGTTATTTTGTGTATGTAAGACTTTATGTTTCACAAGCATAACAGAGAAGCACATGTTGACAGAAGGAAATTGAAATGCAGAGAATAGCAATTGCAATCACAGTTTTCCGTTGCAGGGCTTACAATATTGCCAATATTTACTGACAAGCTTTTGGGACAATAAATAACTGAAAAAATAGTGATAATAAAGCAAATAAGAGCAATACTTGTGATATTCAAGGAAACACGCAATAGTGCAGACAAGAGTAATTCACTCTCCCTAGGCGAGTCAAGTAAGGCTATAGAGAGAAGGTGACACAAACTAGGTCCTCAAAGATGAGTAGGGGCTCACCACCTGGCAGAAAGAAGAAAGAGAATTCTAGGAAGAAGAAATGTATGCATATGGCATGATGATGTTTGGGAGCACAGCTTATCTGAAGATCAGAGAGACGTTGAGTGTGAAGGGGTAGGGGCAGGTGGTGGGCAGTGATAAAAAGGGAGGCTGGGAGGTGAGGCTGTGGCTGGCCTGGGAAGAGCCTTTCATGCTATGCTTTCAGGGATGGCAGTGGAAAAACAGTTTACATTACAAAATAGCATTGCAATTAACTACTGTCTGGAAGAGGATATATTTTCTGGCTGGCATATATCTTCCCTTTTGAGGTTTCCACACTGGAAAATAAGGAAGAGAACCATTTAGCATAAATATGACTGCATTTGTTACTCTGGCCATTAAAAGAGTCTCAAATGCTGTAACCAATGTTGTGGTTCCTCAGCAGAGTTCTGGGATGAGACAAGTAGCAGTACGGCACAGCAGTTCAGAACATAGAAGTTTGGCTTTAGATGATCTGAGTTTGAATACTGGCTCTCTCTTGACTAAGCGATTTAACCCCTTAAAGCCTCATCTGTGAAATGGACTTGAAAACAGTATTACTGATGACAACAATAGACACAGGGGACTATTAGATGGGGGAGACAGGGAGGGGTCAGGGTTTGAAAAACTAACTGCTGGGTACTACGCTCACTACCTGGGTAACAGGATCAGTCGTACCCCAAACCTCACCACCATGCAATATACCCATGTAACAAACCTGCACATTTACTCTCTGAATCTAAAATAAAATATGAAATCATAAGGAAAAAAATATATATATATAATTTTTTTTTCTTTTTTCTTTTTCTTTCTTTTTTTTTTTTTTTTGAGACAGGATTCCGCTCTGTCACCCAGGCTGGAGTGTAGTGGCATGATCTCAGCTCACTGCAACCTCTGCCCCCTGGGGTCAGGCAATCCTCCCACCTGAGCCTCCCAGGTAGCTGGGATTACAGGCACATACCACCACACCCAGCTAATTTTTGTATTTTGTGTAGAAATGGGGTTTTGCCATGTTGCTCAGGCTGGTGTTGAACTCCTGGACTTAAGTGCTCCACCAGCCTTGGCCTCCCAAAGTGCTGAGATTATAGGTGTGAGGCACCACGCCCAGCCTGAAAATAGTATTATTTAACTTCACGGATTTGCATGAGAATTGAAATAATACTTGTAAAACACTCAGTTCAGTGCCTCCCACAAATGGAAATAATCAATATTAGGTAACAAGAAGTCAACATTCAAGATGCATTCAGTACACATCAGAATCCAGTCTCTTATCCATAAAGCCTAAATCAGCACTCATTCAATCTGAGAGTTACCTCACTGGAACTTCACTAACATCAGAAATAAACTTGCTTTTCTGGGGCTATATTAAATGTTCCTTGCCAGAATCTGCACAGAAATTCCAATGGTAGATGAACAACAGCTACTTGGCATGTCAGTCACCCCGAGACACTGACATCATTAAGATAATCTCAGTACAGGTAGTTTTGTCTTAACTATCTAAAAAATAATAATTAAGAGACTTAAAAATTACATTGTGGTTACTGTGAAGCAAAAGAGTTGGAGTGACTTTGGAGCAGTCGTTACTCTTGTCATCATGAAAATGATAGAATAAAATGAGCTGAGACACACAAATTAACGGAGGATCATGCATAAGTTTTTATACCACGTGGCTTAGAAAATTCAAAGAAAGGTTGTAGTAGCTAGGCAAGAAGAAAAATGTGGTTAAGAAAGGCCATGGCAGAAGAGCTCTAAGAAAAATGGCTGGTAAGAACAGCTCTTTAACTCTTTCTCTCTGCCTCTCCTTGTCTTCTCCCTGAAGGAGTGCAGAAGGAGAGTGAGTGGGGAGGAATTAGTTAAGAGGCTGGCTTGGCATAGCCAAGCACAATGATAACTTTTAGAAAAAAGGCCCTAGACATCTTAAATTTATAACAAAGAAGAGAAAACAGAACAAAATATGCCAGCTATTCTTTTGGTAAAGGGAGCGAAGTGTGCCTCTTCGCATTTTATTATGAAAGGAAAAATCTTTTTCATACAGCCCATCTCCACTCACTGCTGGGCTGAACACAGAGAATGGAGGGAAGCAATTATGTGCAGAATGCCCACTCCCTGGGTGAGTGGGAGCCAGGCAAATACAATCACAGGTAGAATACTGGAAAATTTCAAGAACAAGAATGATGTTAACTTAGAAAATTGCCTCAAGTCAGGACTTTGAGATGACTGTGGGGATTATGAAAATGAATTATTCCCACATGTGATGATTATATAAGGAACTTGGCAGGCTTGTATTTATATTTCTTAGGCCTGCTAAGGATTGGATGTCCCCATTACATGTTCTCTCTCTCTCTGTCTTTTATTTTTTTGAGACAAGGTCTTGCTCTGTCATCCAGGATGGAGTGCAGTGGCATGATCTTGGATCACTGCAGCCTCAATTTGCAGGGCTCAAGTGATCCTCTTCCCCAGCCTCCTGAGTAGCTGGGACAACAGGCCCATGTCACCACTCCTGGTTGATGTTTTGAAAAATTTTTTGTAGGGTCCAGGAGTGTTGGCTTACACCTGTAATACCAGAACTTTGGGAGGCCAAGGCAGGAGGATTTATTTTGCCCAGGAGTTTGAGACCAGCCTAAGCAACATAGTAAGGCTGAGATTGAGAGATTTAGAGAGAGAGAAAGAGAAAGAGAGAGAGAGAGAGGCCAGGAATGGTGGCTCACACCTGTAATCCCAGTTTTCTTTAACCTGGTCTCACTACATTGCCTAGGCTTGTATTGAACATGTGGTCTCAGGTGATCCTTCCTCCTCGGACTCCCAAAATACTGGGATTATAGAAATGAGTCACTGTGCCTGGCCTCTCTCTCTCTTAACATTTCTTGATCCTTCTGTTGAATACTTTTAGTTAATATTTCAGGGAGTAAACATTAAAGACACAACCAATTAATAACTAAACCAATGTGCATATGTTTTAGTTTTTACCTACTAGATTTTCAAGTCCTTAAGGGCAAGAAACATCATGATGTTCCCACAACACTCTATAATTACCAATAATGTGACCTCAAGTGAGTCATGTGAACTGTCTGTGCCATGGTTTCATTAGCTACTATATATTAATGGTAGTAGCTCCAACATCATTTATTTCTTGTGATAATATACTGAAATGATTCAAGTGAAGTGTTTATCATAGTGCCTGACCCATGAGCTCTATTTGCTGATATGTTGCCCAATGTTTGTAAATGCCCTGCTAGACCTTTCACTCAGAGGGTGAAATCTCTCAAAGATTTTATCATGCTGCCCCGATGAGATTCCTAGAATGCTGTAACAAAGTGTCACAGACTAGATGGCTTAACACAACAGAAATGTATTGTTTCACAGTTCTCGTGGCTAAAAGCCTGAAATTAAGGCATTGGGAGGGCTATGCTCCCTCTGAAACCTGCAGGAGAAAATTCTTCCTTGCCTCTTCCTAGCTTCTGGTGGTTTGCTCTCAATCTTTGGTATTCCTGGCTTGTATCTGCAGCAATTCCATCTCTACCTCCATTGTCATATAGCCTTCTCCCTGCATGTCTGTCTTTCTTCTTCCCACAAGACACCAGCATACTGGATTTGTGGCATGCCCTCTTCCAGTATGACCTTATCTTAACTAATCAATCTCCAGTGGCCCTATTTTCAAAGATACTGGAGGTTAGGACTTCTGTATATCTTTTTGGGGTCACAAGCCCATAAAACTACTTTATTTTATGTTCATTAACTCTGTGGCTACCTGTAACCATCAAACATTAGTTCCAATTAAATAAACCATGAAAGGGGAGGTTATTTAGATTGCCCAAGATTATGGAAGACAGAAGTCAAGATCTCTGCTTCACAGCTCTTTACTAATAAAAAAGCTAACTGCAAGTATGTGACTGTAGATAAATAAATCACAAATGAAAGGTCAGCTTTTTTGGTAAGTAATTGCTTGATTTACATGTATTTACACATATTGTGTTTATGTTATGGTTGTGTTTTCATGTCAGGCTTGTTTGCAACAATATAGAATGCAATCCCAAAGCAACAATCTGGAAATAAAGTAAATGGTGTTTTGAACGCAATCTGGTACAGATGAGGTAGATAAATGTGATGTTGAAGGTTTTTATTGTTTTGTGCTTGTGTGTTTGTTTTTTGAGACAGGGTCTCACTCTGTCACCCAGGGCTGGAGTGCAGTGGCACAATCACAGCTCACTGCAACCTCGGCCTCCTGGGCTCAAGTGATCCTCTCGCCTCAGCCTCCCAAGTAGCTAGGATTACAGGTGTGTGCCGCCATGCCTGCCCAATTTTTTATTTTTTGTAGAGACAGGGTCTCACTAATTGCCTAGGCTGGTCTCATAGACCTGGGTTCAAGCGATTCCCCTGCCTTGGCCTCCCAAGTGCTTGGATTACACGAGTGAGCCACTACTCCCAGGCTGTTTGTCTTTTTTTGTTCATTTGTGTGTTCAATCAAGAAGAAAAGATTATTTTCCAAGAAAAGGATGACAAAGGGAATCCAACAAAAAGAGCACCTTTTGGGATCTTGGTGGAGTCAGAACCGAGTTACAATGTCTAAAGTCGTAAAATCACATAGACAGGAGAGCAGTGTCCACGTAAGACATTCAAATGACCTGAGCAGTCCTGAGACTTAGTATGGATGAGGATACAGAGAGGCACTAAGTACCTTTTCTGTGGTTCCTGGGCAGGTATGGTTAGAATGTTGGACTCCAGAGCCCTTGCTTGATTAATCGTCTTGCGCAGCCTCTATCTAGTTGGGACCTGCCTGGCCCTGTTGCTTCTACCACCTCATGAAGCTTTCTCAGTCCCAGGCTTCACACTGGGGCCTCTCAAGACCCCACCTTCTCAGAGAAGATGTCATTGAGCAACAATATTCTCATTACATCATCCTTGTTTTATATTTGCATCATATTTGTTGAAGAATACCTCATTTTGATTATACTTTGTAGGAATAAACTTAATTATTTGAAATGCAGTTAAAAGCAGCACCTATATGACAGCAAGAAAAACTATGGAACACCAGTTGAGCAAGGTTTATGTATAAGACACTGCCTCACTCTTTTTTACCCATCAATTTGATCCTCAGAACTCTTAGACATAAGGTTGGATATAAGATACTATTATTTGTTATTCAGAGATTAGAAAACAGATTCATGAGGTTGGTGCTTTGTCCAAGGCCTACTGAGAAGGGAGTCATTCAGTCTGGAGAGATGTTGAGATCATCTTTGGTCTTAGATGTTTCTATTCTCTTCTGGAAGCTTACTAGGCCTACAGCTAGTGTTGATCATACATTTTGTTTGTTTAGGTCCATTACATGGCCATCACTCTGGAATGTGTCCAGGCTAAAAGAATTTAAACTTGTCTCAGGTGCAATTAACCTGCTGGTTGCTCTCGGAGTCACATCTCATAGTGCTGCCTGGCTGTTCCTGAGGAAGCCTCACATTGGCAGATGATCAGCTCTGGAGTGCATATCCTGCTGTTATAAATCTGCATTTTCTAGTTGTAGAAATACAAAAATATTCCAAGGAAATGCACACAAAGTGTTTTTGAAAAGCAAACATTTGTGCAAAATGATGTTTTTCATTTTTCTCTGTGCTGCTGGCTGCATTTCTTTGGAAGGTGATTATTATACTGAATGATTGTTAGCACAGAACATCAAGGCCATCACGATCTCATTTTATGCAGTCAGCATTTCTATTGAATTACAAATGTGGCATTCACATTCTCAAACCATTTTTGTCTTTCTGGCATTTGCCTGAAAGACTAAGTTCCATTGCTTGTTTTAATAATCTATGTCTGTTTGACATACAGTAATTCAGATCTTCCTTTATGTGGAAAGATGAGCATCCCTCCTGTGATGAGATGGTCACCACCATTTCTGACCTAGAGGGAGGGTCGTAGCAGGTAAGGGTGCAGTGTGGGGCTCTGAGTCTGACATAAGGTCAGAATCCCAGCTCTGCTTCTCTGCTGAAAATTGCTTAACTTCTTTTGGTCTTGGTTCACCCATTAGTAAAATAAGGATAATAGCAATTATACCTGTTTCTTAGCATTTTAGTGAAGATTAAAGGAGATTGTTTGGGGGAAAAATGTTTTTTCTCTTCTATACTCTCAGAACACTTCGGGTCACCAAAACATGGGGATTTCTCCTTTACTACACAATTCTCCAATTCTTTGCAGACACCAACTGGGTGCCCTACAATTTGTAAACCTAAAATAAAATTCTAATCTCCCCAGCAGGCTGAATGGAACCCTTCTTGGCCAAGGGTACCCCAAAGAAACCTGAAAAACTAGTTCAGGCCATGCTATGAAAGGGGGTGAATATACCTCATTACACCCTCATCCCTTTGGAACTTAGACCCAACTGACCAGCATTAACATTAAAACAGATATCTTAAAATTCACAAAACAGACTTTGTAGCAAGATATACCAAATTCTGACTCTGATATCACATCACATGACAGAAAACAGGCCCTGAAGGGAATCAAAGTAATTTTATCCTCAAATTTATTTGTTTAACATGAGAATCTCTTTCCCTTGCTAGGTCTTTTCAGCAAAGTCTGACACCTTTTAGGGTCAAATAAGAGATATTCTCCATCTATTTTCTCTGAAGCCTGCTACCTAGAGACTTCATGTACATGACAAGAACCTTGGCTTCCACACCTCATTTATCTAAACTTAAGCACTTTTTCTGCTGAATTCAACTCTTCAGGCAGAGCTCACCTTTTCCAACCAATTGCTAAGTATTTGAATCCACATATGACCTAGAAGCCCCTGCTTTGAGATACCCTGCCTTTCCAGCTCAAACCAATGTATACCTTACATGTATTGATTTAAGTCTTTGCCTGTAATTTCTGTCTCTCGAAATAAAACCAAGCTATAACCAAACCACCTTGGGCACATATTCTCAGGACCTCCTGAGGCTGTGTTGTGGGCCACAGTCCTTAACCTTGGCGAAATAAACCTTTAAGCTGATTGAGACCTGTCTCAGATACTTTTTGTTTTCCAAATTTAATTCAATTCTGACACCAACATAAGTTAGTGCACACCCCCACAGGTGAAGGGCTCAGGCCCATATGACTGCCCCCATGTAAGACGTTAATTGCAAGTAGTGGGTTCCCAGGTTACCCACAACTTCTGATGGACCAGTTACAAACTGGAGGGTCTCATAACCCCCTTCTTGGGTTTGATCATTTGCTAGAATGGCTCACAGAACTCAGGGAAACACTATCTTTACCTATTTGTTATAAAGAATACAACTCAGGAAAAGGCAAATGGAAGAGGTACATAGAGCAAGGTATGGGGGAATGAAACCACCTTTGCAAAGATTATGTTACCAAAACACCACAGGTTTGTCCTAGGTCAAGTTGCTTGCCACAGTGAAAGCCAATTACTGAGACAATGAGTATTGCCAGGAAAGAAGGCTTTAATCCAATGCTACAGAAGAGGAGATGGGAGATCAGACTCAAATCCATCTCCCTGACCAACTAAAATTGGGGGTTTATATAGCAGGAAAGGAACATAACTACATGTGTGTAAACAGGAATTGGGGGGTTGAGTAAGGAAGAGGAGTTAATTAACCAACAGGAAGCAGATGGTCAGATAGGCAATCATGACAGGTGAGAGATCTGGCATCTTACTGTTCAGATGCAGTGATCTGGTAAGTTTCAGTTTCTTGATACTATCTGGGAGGACTGATGGTTTGTTTCCTGAGAAAGGGACTCAGATAAGATAAATGTAACTTTCTTAAGTTTTAAGATTGGGAGTATCAATTTCTATGTTTATTCAAAATAAACTGTAAATGTCACTTCTATGGGAGAATTGGGCCAGTTTCAGTTTCCCCTATTTATCAGTTCCTCACTCGTGTGGAATCTGATCGTTCATCTTTCTGGCTGCTTCATGCTAAGGAAGGGCATTGTGGGTAGTTCCATGCAATGGGTGACCATGTGACCACTCAGGAATCAAAGGTTGATCTAATATCATGATTTTCTTCAGAAGCACACTTTTTTTTCTCTCCAGTCCCCAACTTTCACCAAAGACAAATCACAGCAGGACCAACCTACCTGCAAAATAATCATCAGTCCCACTATACTGGGCCTGATTACCCACATGAAGTGCAACAAGAATCACTGTCCATATAGGCTCTTCTAAACTGGCTTTTCTGAAACCTCTCACAAGGCCATTTTAGTCAAAGCCCTGGGAAAATAACCAGTTCTTCCAACTGTATCCCATTATGAAAGAAAACAAATTTTTATTGAACTTATGCAAACAACCACGTTGTCATGAATTAAGAATATTCACAAATAGTTTATGAATTCTGGAGAAATTAGACAGAAAGAGAGAAATATGTCTCAAATTCTGCATACTCTACTTATTTGCTAAAGGCTATAAATAGCTCAAAGAAAAAAGTTCTGTCGACTCTGAAAAGCAAAAGAATCAGCAATGTTTCAAAGAAAAAAGCCATAAAAAAGTACTTCTGTCCTCCATTAGTTCAGTCCATGCAATCAACTTCTGCTCTGCTTCATATTGGATTTGTAAATGTTATTGACACATCCACCTTTTAATTAGAGTCCTGGACATTTTTCTCTAGTCCAGTGGCACAATCTCCAGTTATGAGAAACACGCATTTAAGAGTCCTTTTCATGAACTCTCCCAGAGAAGAAAGCCCTGGACTGTAGCTGATTATAAGCTGCTTTTTGCAAAGAATCAAAGCAAAACAATTGTGGAATGCAAAAGTTTCAGGACAGACACAATTGACAAGGAAATTTGGTAATTTTTGTGGCATATAAAAACTTAACATAATAATCATAATTATTACTGACAACATATATTAAGACATATCAAGATTTTAGGAATCTCATAAAATCCTGAAACACATTAACAATACATCTATATAAACATAACTCAACAGTTAACATTTATTTAACGTGTGTCTGGTTCTTCACCAAGTACTATAAACTCACTTTATAGTCTCCATTTTTCAGACCAGAAAACTGAGACTAGAAAAATAAGCAACTTGCCAATTGTCGTGCAGAGATGCTGAATTGCATAGAATGGACATGCTAATGTGAAGATTAATTTAGAATTGCATCTCCCAAGTTCTCTAGTGGTGCCTAGCACCCTAGTGGTGACAGAATATTGGAGCTTGGAGGGATTGTGGTGTATATATCCAGTTCATTGCCACCAGTGTACAGATATTTAACCTTTGGGAGGCAGAAGACACAAAACTTAATGTGCTCTAACAATACTGCCTATTCTAGTTCCTGTTGATGTTTAGGATGGCAAGTATATACTTTGTCAGTAGTGTAATACTCAAGTTAACTTATGTATACAGTAAATGCAGCCCTAGAAAGCTGATATCTTTATTCACAGTTCTGAGAAGCATCCAGCAGCTGTTTAGCTTTCACTCTCAGAGAAAGCTTTCTGGTGTCCAGAAACTTCTCCTTTGCCTCATTCCCTGATCCTCTGATAGTGGCAAAATGTGGGTTCTGTGTCCTTATTATGGCAGATAAAGACCTACTGATAAATCCAGTTGTCATGACTTGTTATTTCATTTATTCACTCAAGCAATTATTTATTTATTCATTAGATAACCTGACCAATATTAACTTTATTTTTTTAATTTTATTTTTTAAATTTAATGTAATTTGATTTTTTTAAGAGATGGAGTCTCCCTTTGTCACGCAGGCTGCAGTGCAGTGGCGTGAACGTGGCTTACTGCAGCCTTGACCTCCCAACCTCAAGCCATCATCCTGCCTCAATCCCGCAAGTAACTGGGACTACAGGCCTATGCCACCACGCCCAGCTAATTTTTAAATTTTTTGTAGAGATGGGGTTTTGCCATATTGTCCAGGCTGGTCTTGAACTCCTAAGCTCAGACGATCCACTCACCTCGGCCTTCCAAAGTCCTGGGATTATAGGCGTGGGCCACTGTGCCCAGCCTGACCCATATTTATTAAGCACTTAACCTGTGCTGTGTACTATCCTAGGCTCTGGGGATAAAAAGAAAAATAGGACATGATTCCTATCTTCAAGGAATTTACAAGCTTCTAGGAGAATCAGTCTGGTAAACAAAAAAGCAGTATAAAGATATCAGTACTAAGTTAGAAATAATGTTGTGTAAAGAAGAAGGAATAAAGAAGCTGTGATTCATCAAAGTATTATTTATGGTAATTACGGTATTATGGCAAGACCATGGGCTTCCTGACTATTCTAGGATTCATGTCACTCAAGTAACTATAAAAATTAGAGGCAAATTACCAATTAGAAACCATTGAGAGACAGCATGATTACATCAAAATGCTGTTATGATTTTATGGATTTAAGTGTGTGTATATAGATAGCACATATGGTAAAAAAAATAAGCGTACACTTTGAATCATTAACAAAACGGGCAGAGAACATGGGTGCTGATCGCTGAGTCTGAAAAATAGTACATGTCAGAGCATCGGGAATGAAATTGTCTGCCACACTCTCTTGTTAAAATGCAATCATAGACATCAATGGGCTTTGTTCTGCTTCTCCATCTCTTGCAGGTGGTTGACAAGATAAACTCTGAAAGATCTTCTTAGGAGATATTGTTTCTCATTTTTGTTTTCTTTCCATTCCTGTCATTCCACACTCTTGTCAGGGTTCTGTGGGCCTGGTGCCACCTGCCTCATGTCCAAGGGCACACAAAAAGACTGCCATTTTTGGCAGAGGGCCGCTGGGGGAATAACAACTTACAAAGGAAATACTTGTGAAAGGGAAGTACATACAAGTCCAGGGTCCAGGAAATATTTCTTTTTCCTCATGTACTTCTTTTCGAATGAGAACAAACTATGGTAACATATTCTAACTGCAGTGTTGTCGGCAAGATGTCCTCCTCTTCTTTGCTGAGCTAGTAAATCATTTTAGACTCCTCTGAAGACTTGGCCCAGAGCCCTATAACACTTATTGAAGCCAATTCCTCTTCTCATCAAGTAAGGACAGTAGTAATTTTCTTCCCTGGGGACATAAGTTTATGCTTGTGAAATTCAGAACTATAAATGGTCCAAATTTGGGAAAATGAAAAAATGATAATGTACTATAATATATAAAATATTATGATACTATAATTGAGGGTTACTTTTTTACCTTTCATTTTTTTTGAACATAAACTCAAGATTTTATTGTCTTCATAATAAAAGAAAAGATGACACTTAGAATTGGATCACTTGGCCCTTTCTCTTCTTATCTACTCCCAGTTCAAAACGCATCTGTTAATAGCCTTAGACGTGCAGTTGGGCTCAAAGCACTCAAACTTTAGCACAATCTTCTTTGTAGTTTTGGCCTTTTTCGGGATAATCAGCTTAGTCTGCCCACCATAGCCACTCTGCTTTCTGTCATAACGCTGCTTTCCCTGGGCATTCAGAGAATCCTTGCTCTTCTTGTATTTTGTCACTTTGTGGGGTTGGTGTTTGCCACACTTCTTACAGAAAGTCCGACGGGTTTTAGGAATGTTCACCATGTTTGTGTGAGTGCTATCACCACGGAAAGAAAGAGGCCGGGCCAGAAACAGAAGTATATAGCACCTTTTTACTTTTCTTTTGACAAGGGCACAACTGTGGAGAGTGGATTGTGTCTTAAAGCCAGATGGCCTTGTAATTGATGCCTTTTGTACTTACTAGCCAAGTGTACTTACGTTAATTTCTTAACGTCATTTGTCTCCTATATAACACCATTTACAGCAGTAGGATTAAATGTGAGTAGAGGACAAGGATACTGCTAAACACTAGCAGATGCCAGGAGCATACTCTGCCCCTCACGTTTTGACAATCAGAAATGTTTTCAGACACTGCTTGGGTGCCGAAATCATCCCTGGCTGAGAACCATGGTCATAGAGAAAGACACCTTGGACTTGGAGAATGGAAAGTGGGCTCCGCTAGTTATAACACCTACTTAAATTTTGCTTTTCTCATTTTTAAAATGTAGGGGTTAAGCAAGATGATCTTTAAGATGATTTCTACTTCTAACAAGCTGTGATTATGTGGAAGAAGAAAATAAATGTACCAGGGATTGAGGAAGGCATGGGGTTGAAGACCAGGGAAATTGGCTAAGATAGGGAGTGGTCAGGTAAGTTATGTATTTCTGAGCAGACAAAGTTGATAATCCATACCCCTAAATAGACAGGATTGCCCACCGAAGCTAACCAGCTGGGGAACAAAGGGCTGGAAATCCAGACAAGGAATTGGCACTTCTACAGATGACAGTGATGGTGGTCATGATGATGATGATGGCGATGGTGACAGTTATGGTAAGGACAAAGCAACTAGTATTTATTTAGCACTAACTGTGGACCAGGTTCTCAGTCTAGGCGGTGGGAAACGAAAGGTCAGCATGTAGGCTGGGGTGAGGTGTAATGGTAGAAGTTACAGAGGAAAGCTAGAAAAGTCAGGCTGCCCTTAGATCCAAGCCAAGGGAAAGCAAGAAACTTGGGACTTGGGCCTATGTTTCATGGAAGGAAATGAGACAAGACCAGTAGAGAATGTATCTTTGCAGATGAAAATATTAATGCTTCATTATTAAAATCCAAGTGGAGTCATTTTTAATAGAAATAGAAGAAAGGGAACAGTGAGAGGAGGGTAATCCTAAAGGCGCTAAGAAGCAGCGGAAGTGGTCAAACAACAAATCAATCTCATTAGCGGAAATATTTCCAGGTTGTAACTTTCATTCTTTCTCTCTTAGGTACATTTTATTGTTAATTACATTATATTTTATTTATTTTTATATTGAAACTGAATGAGTCAGGGCAGTTTATTTTGTTTTGGATTTTAGGATTTACCTATAGTTATTTGCCAGAGATTTAATACCCTAGTGGATATGTGCACACATTTTACGTGGTCCTTTTTAAAGCCAGTCCAATTTCTTTTCAGTGTTTGGTACTGAATGAATGAATCCAATTCTTAACTTCTTGCTTCATCAGACCCGGTTTGCTTGGCTTTTATTATTTATTTATTTATTTATTTATTTATTTATTTATTTATTGAGACGGAGTCTTGCTCTGTTGCCAAGGCTGGAGTGCAGTGGCACGATCTGGGCTCACTGCAACCTCTGTCTCCTGGGTTCAAGCATTTCTCCCTGCTTCAGCCTCCTGAGTAGCTGGGATTACAGGCACACACCACCATGCCTGGCTAATTTTTGTATTTGTTTTATTAGAGGTGGGGTTTCACAATATTGGTCAGGCTGGTCTCAAACTCCTAACCTCAGGTGACCCACCCACTTCCTTGACTTTTAGGAAGATCAGTCTGTTAGGCTGGAGTTGCGATGAGTTACCAAGAAGGAACTTTGGGACTCCAAATCCTTAGTGCATTACAACATGTGCTTTGGATAGTGACCTGTCTGCACATCCCAAGAAATCTTTCAACAATGTCCACCTGAGGTGAAAACGTTTTCCCCCATGAGCAATGCTTAGCATCCCATTTTTAAGTTCATTTTTCACTGAAGTCTATGTTAGTCATCTGTTGCTGCACAATAAATTATCCTCAAACTTAGTGGCTTAAAACAAGAACCATATTTTTCACAGTTTCTGTGAGTCAGAAATTTGGGAACAGTTTAGCTGGGTGATTCTAGCATAAGATCTCTCTTGAGGTTGATGTCAAGAAGTTGGCAGGGCCATCAGTAATCTGGAAGCTAAAGTGGGGGTGGAGGATCCACTACCTTGATGTGTTGCTCATGTGGCTGTTGCCAGGAGGCATCAGTTCCTTATCACGTGAGTGTCTGCACATGGTAGCTTGAGTGTTCCCATGACAAGGCAGTAGGCTTGTAATTGTTTTCCTTTCTATGCTCCTAGCACTTATCACCAGATGATGAGCAGAGTCCCTATCTTGTTATTATTATTTTCAACTCTAGGACCTAGTGTAATGCCTGGGACACATGACCAGTGCTTGATAATTATTCACTGAATTGACAGCTAATTAATTATTTCTTTGTGAGACTGTTTTCCTCCAGACAGCAGAGTCAGAGCCCTGGGAGTCTGGGCAGAGAGGTGCACCAATGGAAAGTGGAAGCACTATAGGAAACTTGGCCTCCTTCATTTTCGCCTAGGATAACATCCTAGGAATTTAGCAGACTCTGAAGGCCCTATCCTGTGTCTCTTCTTGACCCAGATAAATATCTTCTGCTTTTCATATCGTTTCATATCTATTCATTAATTCAACAGATATTTCCTGAGTTTCAACTATGTCTCAGACAATTTTCTAGGTGCTAAGCACACAGCGGTGGAAAAAAAAATCCTTGTTTTTAGAAAGCTTACATTCTAGTAGAGAAAGAAAGATAATAAACAGATAATGTCAGATTACTTTTTAGCAGATATTGTTATGCAAAATCCAGGAGTTAAGTCATTTAGAAAGAAAAACAAATTTAAAATTTATTCTTCCAGGCTGCCCTGGAGCAAAGAAAAACTATTTGACAACGCCTGTCACAGTGGTTTCTACCAGGGAGCTGATTCTGTATTGATAGATATGCACATAGGGACTTTGTTTCAAGAGAATTTGTAGGGTTACAAAATTACCTAAAATTAGCTAATGAAAACAATAATGAATTATACTTGATGATTAGCCTGATAGTCTAAATAGAATAATAGTATTCCAGCATAATAGTCTAAGTAGAATGGTAGACTAGCTTAAGAAAGTAGTGGGGAGGGATAGTGACTTTTTTCTGTAGTAAGATAAAAATTGGGATATTTCCAAGGGCAATGTCAAAGGTGTATGCAGAAGCATAAATGAGATCTAATATCGCATAGTTAGGTGAGGCATTAGGAATATGAGTTTTTGAAAAATAATTAAAACCAAGTGAGTTAATAAAAACAACAAAATATAGTAGTAGTACTGGCTTTTTCCCTGGGAAACACACTGGTGATTTTTAACATTATGATTCGTTAAATTCTATACTTCCAGAATAATAGATTGGGTGTACAGTTTTCAAGAGGGGGGTGACAGGGATGATGGGGGAGATGTCATATCTCTGACCACACTGAGCATATATGCAATTCAGAAAAAAAGCTGTCTTTCTATCTGTATCTCTATCATCTCTATCTATCTAAATTTTCTGTAGATTTTCCCACTCTTTAATTATGATAATTTATTGGCACAAGTTAATTAATTTGGAAGAAATTTTGCTTCCAGAAGTAAGAGTAGTCCTTAAATAAAATTTTGTAACGAGGCATCACTTCCTGATAATACTGTTAACATGATCAGTGGAAGCTTGACTTATGCATTTATACTTCTCATTGTTGTGCAGTAACTCAGGCAAAAAAAAAATCTTATGGATCTTATGCTAGGTGTGCTTGAAATCCCCACCCATCAACACTACTTTCTTGGAATAATAGAGAATAATGATTTAGTTTGGGCAAGTGGTAAAGAAACCATCACCATTAAGAGTGTAACCCAAACACAGACAAGAAATATGAGCATTCCTCTTACTTACATTTGAAAAAATGCAATCTGGAAAATCAAGTATGCGAGTTTAAAAGCATGTAGGTATGCATTTTGATTTGATAGTATGACTAATGAAAGAAAAACAAACATTACATGCACAAATTTAGAAATCATGTAGTTCTAAATACATTTCAATTAGTTTGGCATTTCCACTACTGATTGGATTAGAAAATTGGTGTGAAAAAAGTTGGCATTCTCATAGGATTACCAAAGTAACTCAGTGGCATGGTCTATGGTAGCTATGAGATTAAAATTAATACTTTACTCTCAATATTTATAAAGTGTCTCCTATCTTCAAAGCAATTCACTAAATTAATGCTCTCACTTGTTAGGAAGCAGCAACAAAAGTCATTTCAAGTAAAATGCAAAAAGAGCTTTTGTCTAGGCCTAGCTGAATTATAAGACTTGGAAACAGATTTTTAATCCTTTAGCTAAAACCTCCACACTTTGCCCAGGCCTGTCTTCTTGGTCTGATGCTTCTTTAAAAATGGCCTCCAACTATACATTTTAGGTTTTATCTCCTATTTTCTCATCATGCCCATCATACTATAGCCAAGCTGAAGTTTTTTTTTTTCCTCTTTGCTAGTAAATCCTCCTCTCTTGCTGAGAATTTCCATTTCTTCATCTCCATTTGTGAAATCCTTCACATACATAAGACCCACAGCCACCACTGCACCTTTTTTTATAGATCTCTTATGATTTCTCCTGCTGGGTGTGATTTCTTATTTTTTCTAAGAAGCAAAGCTGCTATTATTTCTCACACAATGCCTAGCCCAGAGTGCTGTACAAGGCATGAGCTCATTAAATATTGATTAGATGGATTGTGTGTGGAATGATTTTAGTAGGGGCCAGCAGAGATGTACTTTTCTTCCCACATCCACAGGGCATTATCCACACCCCATGGTATAATATGGGCAGAAAAGGAATAAATCTGTCCTGGTTCAGAGGAACAACAGGAGTACAGGCTAAGCTGCTGAATAAAAACATCCCAAATATACAATATATAGAGTGGCTTGCAGCAGACTGAAGCTTACTTCTCTCTCATGCAACAGTAGCTGATTGAGAGGCTATAGGGCAGCTCTGCTATATGTGGTCATATGTGGTCATTCAGGGACATAGGTTGCTTCCATCATCTTCCTTCTTTTTCCAGGGCACCAGCTTGTGTGGAAAGCAGAAGCTGCATTTCAGGCATGTCTGTGTCCAGTTAGCATGAGAAGTAACAGAGCAAGTCCAGGGAAAATCATTTCCTATTAACAAGTGAAGCAGAAGTTGCATCCATCGCTTCTGCTTACATTCCATCAGTAAGAAATTGAGTCACATGGCATGGCCACCATTAACTGCAAGGGTGGCTATAACATTTAGTTTCTAGATGATGCCCTGGAAGAAGAGGAGAATGCATTTGGTGAGGGGGAGTGGCGAGGAGAATGGATTTGGAGAGGAGGACACTACAAGTCTCCTTCCATCAGTAACAAGGCCTCTGGTCCAGGGAGGATCTGATTAAACTTTGACGAGTCCATACCACCCCTAGGAACTCAACTCCCTCAGCCCTCATCAGAACTCCTTAAGAGGAAAGAGCAAATGTCACAAGTAGTTGTTGGAATTCAGTTTCAAAAGAAGCAAAACATTAAAAAAAATCATCAAGAGCGGTAATAACACAAAGGCAAACTTGACATGATAGGACATTCTTCATTATTTGGAGGTGAGAATGGAGAAAGTCAGAGAAGAAAAAAGAGCAGTGAGGATCAACTGAATTTCTCCTACCCCCAAGTCCAATGTGAAGGCACTGGATGAGGATTGATTTAATTCTCTTTTATTAGCCATATTTGACAAACCCACAGCCACCATCATACTGAATGGGCAAAAGCCAGAAGCGTTCCCTTTGAAAACCAGCATAAGCCAAAGACGCCCTCTCTTACAACTCCTATTCAACATATTATTGGAAGTTCTGGCCAGGGCAATCAGGCAAGAGAAATAAATAAAGGCATTCAAATAGGAAGAGAGGAAGTCAAACTATCCCTATTTACAGTTGACATGATCCTATATCTAGAAAACCATACTATCTCAGCCCAAAAGCTTCTTAAACTGGTAAGCAACTTCAGCAAAGTCTCAGGATACAAAATCAATGTGGAAAAATCGCTAGCATTCCCATACACCAACAACAGTCAAGCTGAGAGCCAAATCATGAACCAACTCCCATTCACAATTGCCACAAAAAGAATAAAATACCTAAGAATACAGCTAACAAGGAAAGAGAAAGATCTCTACAAGGAGAACTACAAACCACTGCTCAAAGAAATCAGAGATGACACAAACAAATGGAAAAACATTTCATGCTCATGGATAGGAAGAATCGACATTGTGAAAATGGCCATACTGCCCAAAGCAATTTATAGGTACAATGGTATTCCCATTAAACTACCATTGACATTCTTCACAGAACTAAAAAAAACTATTAAAAAATTCATAGGGAACAAAGCCAGGTGTAGTGGCTCATGCCTGTAATGCCAGCACTTTGGGAGGCTGAGGTTGGCAGGTCACTTGAGGTAAGGAGTTTGAGATCAGCCTGGCCAAAATGGCAAAAACCCATCTCTACTAAAAATACAAAAATTAGCCAGGCGTGGTGGCATGCACCTGTAATCCCAGCTACTCGGGAGGTTGAGGCAGGAGAATCGCTTGAACCTAGGAGGCAGAGGTTGCAGTGAGCTGAGATCATGCCACTGCGCTCCAGCCTGGGCAACAGAGTGAGACTCTGTCTCAAAAAAATAAATAAATAAAAAATAAAATTTACATGGAACCAAAAAAGCCTGAATAGCCAAGGCAATCCTAACCAAAAAGAACAAAGCTGGAGGCATCACACTGTCTGACTTCAAACTATACTACAAGGCTACAGTAACCAAAACATCATGGTACTGGTACAAGGACACACAGACCAATGGAACAGAATAGAGAACCCAGAAATAAGACCACACACCTACCACTATCTGATCTTTGACAAATTTGATGAAAACAAGCAATGAGGAAAGGATTCAGTAAATTCAATAGATAGTGCTGGGATAGGCAGAAAATTGAAACTGGACCACTTCCTTATGCCATGTACAAAATATAACTCAAGATGGATTAAAGACTTAAATGTAAAACCCCAAACTGTGGGAGCTAAATGATGAGAACATATGGACACACAGAGGGGAACAGCACATACTGGGGCTTATCACAGGGTAGAGGGTAGGAGGAGGGAGAGAATCAGGAAAAATAACTGATGGATACTAGGTTTAATACCTGGGTAATGAAATAATCTGTACAACAACCCCTCATGACACATGTTTACCTATGTAACAAACCTGCACATCCTGCGCATGTACCCCTCAACTTAAAATAAAAGTTAAAAAAAATCCCTTTTATTGTATCCTAACCTGATTGAAGCCCAACACCAATCCGCAGAAACTGCTGGGATGGAGAAAGTGAATGACCAGTTCCTATTTTTCTGAAGATGTATACAAAAGACACATATTTTTTAAAAGGTTAAAATGCCAAAGGTTTAAACAGACAATTGCAGTAATAGAGAGAAAGGAGCCATTTAAAGCATTGTCAAGGAGCAAGAGAATCCAAATTAACCAGTGACAACCCATTTGGAAGTGGCATTTACACTGAGTGAGTCAGGATCTGCAATGAAGCCAACAGAAGTTTCCACCATGGAAGTTTCTTGCCTATGGCAGAAGGTGAGAGCATTTTTACAGTGCCATTTCACTGACCTTTTTATAAATTGTAACAACAATCGAGAGAATGTTAACAGCCTTATTTTTTTTCCTATGGAATATAATAAAATCTGTAATAGCTTTACTTAAATTGTGGCAGCTCAGAGAAATTGAAGTGCTTCTATTATTGTGTCGGCAGGAAACCAAGGTACCCAAGGATAAAATTTGGAAAAAGAAACCAGATTTTCAGAATAAAAAAATAAGAATTTGTTATTCTTCCTGAGAGAGAAACTACATAACATATAAATATCTTAAAATTATAAATAATTTCTTTATCCTAAAAATGACTACAATCATGAAACCAAAATTCTTTTTTTTTTTTTTTTTGACAGTCTCGCTCTGTCACCCAGGATGGAGTGCAGTGGTGCGATCTTGGCTCACTGCAACTTCCGCCTCCCAGGTTCAAGCGATTCTTGTGCCTCAGCCTCCTTAGTAGCTGAGATTACAGGCATGTGCCACCATACCCAGCTGAGTTTTTGTTGTTTTTACAGAGATAGTGTTTTACCATGTTAGCCAGGCTGGTCTGGAACTCCTGGCCTCGAGTGACCCACCTGCCTCAGCCTCCCCAAAATGCTGATATTACAGGCTTGAGCCACCGCACACGGCTGAAAACAAAATTCTGAGACACTAAAGGGATTAGAAATATGCATATTAAAATAAACAAAAATGAAGGCTAAGAAACAGATTTTGTTTTCGATATGAAAGATAAATTATTTTAAGGGGAGATTGGAGAGGCTGAATTTAAGTCCATGGAAAATGATTTTTAGAAATAAATGTACTTATGTCATTGACACATTAGTGCACATACTCTGACCTGAACTAACAATACAAGAGGCAGCAGTTTTATGAAGCAGAAACCTTGGGGACACAATGATTTCTGGACTCACTATGTGCTGTGTGTTTCCAGCTTCTGAATCCTCTCTGTCATTGTTTCTGTGCTCATATATATCAGTACATATAGATACATACCCATATATATGGTAAGCAGTCAATAAATAGCAGTTACCTTATGATAACATGAGGTTTGCACTTATTTTTCCACAGCCTGAGGTCAAGAGAAAGCAAATAAAATGAATACACAGCTCTATGAATATGGTTTTTAGCTGCAAAAAATGTCACATCGCTTAGTTCTGCTGGAAACCTCCCATAAGCAATTTGGACTATAGAATAGTTTTTAACTATTACATCACAGACGCAAACCTTCCTGTTTAAAGTGCCAAGTTGGCAGTACAAACAAGCACTCATGTCATTTATAGACACATTTTTAGATGACGAGCTCACAAAATAAGCTTTGTCTTACTACTGAAAGACCTATTTGGTGTAAATGATTTAATTTTCTGCTCTTTGAGCCTCATTAAATTATATTGTTTAGCAAAAAGTTTGCTGCTAACTAGATTTTATTGTCAAGACAAATCCTAGGAAGGGAAAACTCAGTAATTGTTAATCTTCCTAAAGAAGATGTTGTATTTTTCTTGTTATGTAAAGTTTGGCAATAATCACTTTTCTAAATTATTAGAAAAATGAACTTTTAATTAATTAAAGCATAATTGTATTCAGAGATAATACTATATTAGTCTGTAGTAATCTACCATTATATTGAACATTTGAAATTAAATTTCTGGTGACTCCCAAAAATAGTACACCCTGAAATAAAAATAGAAAAACGTACTTGTTTACTTTTTCAATTCTGCTCACAGCCAAGAGATCTTTTTTTTTTTTTTTTTTTTTTTTTTTGAGGCAGGGTCTTGCTGTGTTGCCCGGGTTGGAATGTAGTGGCACCATCACAGCTCACTGCAGCCTTGACTTCCCAGTTTTAAGTGATCCTCCCACCTCAGCCTCACAAGTAGCTGGGACCACATATGTGTGCCACCATGCCTGGCTAATTTCTTAAACATTTTGTAGAGACAGTGTCCCACTGTGTTGCTCAGTCTCAGACCGAGTCTTGAATTTCTAAACTCAAGGGATCCTCCCACCTTGGCCTCCCAAAGTTCTGAGATTACAGGGCGGCCAGAGAGATCTTGAGGTTACAGACAGTGATTGTTATATTTGGCAATGGGTTTGACCAACTAACAGAAGTTTAGATGCTATCATGTACCCACAGTTTTTTCTTTATTCTATCTTATTTTCTTCTTATTTTAATTATTTTATTTAATAGGAATAAATGGAATAAATTCAGGAGAGAGGACACATTTTTGGGCTATTAGTTTGTGGGGTTTTTTTGTTTGTTTGTTTGTTTGTTTGTTTTGGACAGCATCTCACTGTGTTGCCCAGGCTGCAGTGAAGTGGTGCAATCTCAGCTCACTGCAGCCTCAACCTCCCGGGCTCAAGTGATTGTCCCACCTCAGACTCCTGAGTAGCTGGGACCACAGGTGCACACCACCACAGCCAGCTAATTTTAAAAAATTTTTTTTGTAGAGATTGTGTTTTGCCATGTTTCCTAGGCTAGTCTCAAATTCCTGGGCTCAAGCTGTTCTCCTGTCTCAGCCTCCCAAAGTGCTGGGATTATAAGCATGAGCCACTGTGCCCAGCTCAGTTTGTGTTTTTTATGTCAAAAAAGAACTAATACCCTTGAGATGATTGCTATTTGCTAATGATAACAATTCCATATCCTAGTTTGTCACCACCCCCACCTCTCAACATTGAGATATTCAGTAAGCAGACTGCCAATGAAAAATTTAGCAAGAGTAATAAGAATCGGACAAAATTAGGACAGTGAAGACAGAAGGAAAGAAAAGGAGATAAGAGAAAGGATATAGTCTCATGTAGATTCATGTTTTAGGCAAGACAAGACAGGAAATTAAGCAAACTTAGTTTGACATATGCAGCAAATAAAAGGAGTTTTGAAATATCACACTTTACATTGGGATATTCAACAAGCAGAACTTTTTTTTTTTTGTGTGTGTGTCTTTTTAAACGTTGTTTTCCAAGAATGTTGCCAGGGACTGCTTGGCCTCGTGGAGGAGATGGCAAGGCATCTTGGAGCAGACAGACTTTGCTCTGGAAATATCGACTTGAGACGCTTCTCGTTATGGTTCTATTTTTTAAAAAACAACACACACAATATCCTAGGGGAAGTATATAACAAGGCAATATTTTCATTTGTCATGGAATCCTCAGTTATTCCTTGTTTTGTGAAAATGGTGTGTGGCTCCAGGAGAAGTGGAGATTTTAATAAGGAAATATTTAGTCTTCTAGGAGGAAAAAGATTGAGAACTCAATTCCTCCTCCTTTGGGAATCAGTGCTATTCAGTGCTCTCTGATAGGTTAAAAAGGCCCTGGCTGAGCTCATCTGACAGAAGACAATCCCAATTCTTACTGAGGGGTATTGGTCGCGAAGGAGAGGGAAGCCTGTGACAAAAGATCAATGTCAAGGTCAAGTGATCCAGGAACAGGCAATTCTGGACACAGCCTACAGTGGAGGCTGGAAACCAATCCTGACCTAGTCAACCTTGCTCAATGAGCCTATGGCTGGGCCTATGAAAGTTAAATAAAGCAGAATAGGGCTGCATTTCAGACCAGTGGTGGCATGCAGTGACCACAGCTAACCCTCAAAAATAAAAGCTCCTTATCCTTGATATATGTAATCCAAGAGACCAAGACTAAGTCAGCAGGGTTACAGCCTCCATCATCTCAAGAGTGACCAAGGAGCACGCAGGATTATTCTTTATGAGGCCACAAGAGCACTGACAGGTGATCTGGTCCTCCTGATCTGTAGGAAAGGACCACTGCAGGGAGGGATGCTGAAAGAAAAAGGAAGTTGTTATTTTTAGGATTAAACCTACATAGATGGAACCCTAGTAGACGGAAGAAGCAAACACTCACCCTCCTGAGAAGTCTCTTGCCAGCAATGAAAGCCTGGCCCACTGATCTAGCTCTTTCACCAAATAACATGGATTTCTACAGTTGTTCTTTAATCAGCAATGTTTCTTGTATGCCTGCTATGGTCCAGGAAATGCTGGGTTGCCCAGTTTCAAAGGCCTTAGTTCAATTTTTCTGAACTCAGTTTTCTGCTCTGGTAGGAGGATGGATGGGTTTTCAAATAATGTGTTACTTGCCTTTTTATTTACATGACTGTGATCCTGGAGTATGAAAAACCTCTTCTTATGTTCCAAATATTTTAAGAACGTTTTAATGTAAAAAAAAAAATCTGAAAAAGGTGGTAAAATCCCTACTTTAGATTTATGTTTACTAATTTTTTTCTTGTTCTCTTGATATTGAAGTGCCCTGAAGACCACAAGCTACCTTGGAGCTGCTCGCCTGTGTTCTGGGAAGACAGAGTTAAGTTATGAATCTATGCAGCAAGGCAGCACCCAATAACCTACAGAAAGGTTATAATAGGACATCTTTTTAAAAGTTGACCAACAAGCCTGTTTGCCTCTCAATTAACGTTCTTAAGGTTATAAAACTGGAATTCTGTTTTAGAAGGAGTGGATCATTGTTCATAATAAGACAAAAACTAGGCCCTCAGGAGAAAATTGATGGAAACCACAAACCCTTCCCTTTGGCAATCAAATTTTGTTAGATTATCAGCAATGCATTATGAAATCTGCACTTGTACTCAGCTGGCAGGGCAGAACACGCAGTCTTCTGGGCTTAATGTCCAGATCAAGTGGTCCTGGAAGACTTGAGGTGTAGGCACAGCCTGCAGCTGAGGCTGGGAATCTTTCCTGATTTAGCCAAAATTATACCATTGGGCAGCTTTGTGTGGCCTGTGAGTACGAACCAAGAAACTGAAAGACTGGATTGCAGACTTTTGGTGGCATGAAATGACCACTGGTGAATCCAAATCTGAGGAGCAAGAGAGACCCCTCATTCTTGCCACCTGTTATCTGAGAGACTCTAGGAACATGCACCCACAACCATGGCACATGGAATATTCTCCACATGGCAGTAGTGGTGGCACCACTCGACACCTCCTGTCCTGTTATATTATGGTTAAGAACTCCAAGGCATGTGCTACAGGAATTATGAGAATAAGTAGCAGCCTGGCTGTTAGTGAGGCTCCCCAGCCTTAAAGGGCTACACCTGAATTCCAGCCCAAACTGTTGGAAAGAGCCTCAAGAAATGATTGACAGGTGTCAAGGGCATGAGGCCTTGGAATTTTCAGGGAGGGTGACCCTGGGAAGAGGAGAAGGACTCTTATGATTAACTTAGACAACAGTTTGAAGCAATTTTAACTTCAGTAATAAAGAAAATCTGACCTTATTTTGTAGGTGATATCAGTTATGCTTCATAAGGAAAAGATTTGAATTTGTACCAAGTGTTTTAGAAACATAGTGTAAATTATTCAAATTGCAAAAAAGTAATCCTCAAATTTTGTCCTTTAAGATGTCATCTTAAGATGGACAAAATTCATTCAGTGGGATGGAAAATTACATTTGTCAAATCTTGTGCTAACCAACGTGCTTCTCCCACCCAAGAAACACAAACACATCTCTGAGATATCCAGAGAGAGTTGTAGTAAGTAGAACAGTGGTAAGACCTCTCCTTCTGTTTTTCTCAGTGATTTTTAACTGCTAAAACCTGGAATTTAGTGTAGTACATTGTTTCCATATATTGAAAGGGTCAAAAAGTGAGGCAGAATGGATATAGGTGCTAAGAGAATGAAGGTGGGTGAGGCATTTAAAATTTTTCAAAATGTTAACAATTGCACCTGATATTTTAATTTTTATCAAGAAAACCCTTGCTTAAAGCCATATGTTACTTTTTCTGTACCGAGACCAGGAGGTACCCTGCATAGTTACCCATTTGTTCTTGCAGTTCTTGTTTCATATGCACATTTTATCAAAAAGAATAAGTAGTCTCCCCTTATCCACGGGGAAAACATCCCAAGGCCCCTACAGGGTGCCTGAAACTGTGGATGGTATGGAACCCTGTATGTACTATGTTTTTTTTTCTATAGATATATACTTATGACAAGGTTTAATTTATCAGTTAGGCACAGTAAGAGATTAATAATAATAACTAAGGTTAAACTAGAACAATTATAATAATATGGCAGCATCACTAGTCTTGTGCTTTGGGGACATTATGTAGTAAATTAAGGGTTACTTGAACATAAGCTCTGCGATAACTCTACAGTGAATCTGATAAACAGCTACTGAGTGAGTAATGGGTGGGGACTGTATACAGCGTGGATATGCTAGACAAAAGGATGATTCACGTCCTCGGCAGGTAGGAGCAGGATGCCATGAGATTTCATCACACTTCTCAGAACACTGTGCAATTTTAAAGTTATGAATTGTTTCTGGGTAACTGAAACTGCACAACATGAAACCATGGATAAGGAGAGCCCTATCGTACTGGTATCATCTATGATTAATTCAAATGTGTTGACGCATCATTGAACTTACGTGATTTATGAAGGCCAATTTCTTTAGAATATAATAACATCATGATGTTTATTACTTGGCAGGCATTTGCAGGTGTTAATTCCCATTATGAGGCACGCACACTGATGGCTACACAGCAGGAAAAATCTCCTATTGGAGAATACAATTGAGATGTACAAGGCAGGGGGCATTTCGTGCTTGATTCTTTTCTCCATGGAGAATTTGGAAGATGATATTATTTCAGTCATTTAAATATTTGTAGAAATTACTCTCTTTAGGAGGAATAACATGATGCCAACATATTGTGGGCTCAAACAAGCATCAGAAAAACCATGTCGTCTGGTCAATGTCTACTTTTCCTTGTGACATTTCCCATCTCTGAATCCCATGGCAGTTCTGTCTTTGGAATCATCTGTGCAACTCTCTAAGGACATGTGGACACCTCTTCACTTCTAGGTAAAATCACATGTTAAAATTGTCTGTGGCCATCTGTCCAGATAGAAAGGAAGTGAACTATGTGCCTACTTGTCAAGATGCTTCAGTATTTATTTGGGAGTAAGAGGCAAGTCTTGGTGAGATGGCACTGTCTGGTCAACTTAACAGAACGTGCAACCCAGATGAATCCGAAGTGGGAATGAGGGTCCCAGCAGGAATAAGCAATGCTTTCCTCCCTTATTCCCTGCTTCTTCCTCCCCTCTCTTTGCAGTGTGCCTGCTGAGACCCAAGCTGTCCTGAGGAGAACAGCTGCTTTATGCTCAGGAGATCTGCAGTCAGGGCTGCTGTGTGCTCCTTTTCAAGGTGGTAATTTCACCAAAACTCATCGAGGAAGATGGTGGAAAGGCTCCTGTCTTGTCAGTTTCTCCTTGAGAGGAAAGTGAAGCTAAAATAATCTTCGTAACGAAGTTGCCAAAAGAAAAATGCAGGAAAATCCTATCTTGCCAACACAATTTGATCTTGTGTAGCCTGTTAGAAGGCAAACTTGGTTCCTCATAAAAAGGCACTTGGTCTGGCCAGGACCTGAGTCCACTGACTCAGCTCTGCAGTCATTTATTCGTTCACTCAACAAAATATTTTTGATTGCCTAGTACATGTGAGTAAAATACTGTGCTTGCCTATTTTAAAAAGCTTCAATAAAAACCTGGTACCTTCATTTTACTGCTTGAGAGCAGAATGGTTTTGAAAAATACAGTGTGTATTTTAATGTACATAATTCTGGTTCTAGAGTCCATGAAATATCACCTTTCTTTCCTCATATATTTAGGGTGCATTTAAATAAACAAGCTGGCAAAATTTCACTTTTTCATCTTCATCTAAAGATATTTCTAAGCTATGCCTGAGCAGTAAGTTTCATAGTCACATACCAATGTAGCTACTGACCCAATCGGCAGGATCTTTTCTTATACACACTTGCCAGTGGAGGAGTTTATGCTTGATCATTTATATTCTCACACCCAGTTTTCAGGTCATGTTGCTAGAGACCTGCACAACCAGCCTGGGTAAGGGAAAGAATGGAAAGAGATTTCTCTATGACAAAGAAGTGAAGTGATCCAAAATGGAATTAAATAATAGCTTGAAGTTGTAACCAATAGAGCTAACTAGGTTTGCCTTGCACTACTGAATTGGCTTACGTGCACTGCTTAATGGAAAGACACAGTGGACCATTCTCTAGCTCATGAGGCAATGGCCTTCTGTTTAAGTTAAATTATATTTCTATATGCTTCTGTCAGTGCCTCTCCATCCCCATTTAAAGCATTCAGCAGTCCTATGAATACTTATTCAATGGATTTTCCTTGATTGGCTGTGAACTTCAAGAAGGCAAAAATATCCTCACTTCCTTGGTTCACTGAGAGGGATAAACCCAGTTCTAGCACTAGCACTCAATAAATTATACAGAATTTAGTTAAAATAAAAAATTGAGATTTTTTATAGGCATGGATGACCCATAATTATTTAATAATAACAAAATTTAAATACTATGACTTTATTCTGCTATTACAAACTTAGGAAAAATTGTTTGATTGATTAGGATTTTAGTTACTATACAGAAAATAAAAAAATTGTGCATGGAGTATTCCAGAAATGACCCTTTTATGTCAATTCTTGATATATAAGGAAAAGTATATTTCAGATAGAGATGTGTTTGTATACAAAAAAGAACAGTTTTATTTTCAGAGGCAATTCAAGGATGTACTGTCCATAGCCTCCTGTCCTCTATTAGCATTAGCTACAAAACACAACCTGTCCAGGGACATTTGTAACATTGCACAAGAATTTCATGGTGAAAATCTGAGGCTTATGAGTCATTAATGATTGTTTTACTATTTCATATAAAGAGAAGGCAGTAAGTAATAATTAGGTTTTTAGAGGTAGGTTTTTGGTGTCATATAGAAGGCAGTGCATAATTCCCATTAATAATAGAATTTCTGTGTTGAATTATCTACACACCCAACGTGCATATTTACCCATTCATAGATGGTCTCTAAAACATGAGAATATGTGTAACATATTGCTTTGACTACTTAATAGCAGTTACTTCCAGTATAGAAATGATTTAGCAACAATAAAGATTATGTGTTCTGAAGCATAAGAGCACCTTGAAGATTGCTCCGGAGAATTTTTCCTGAGGCTTTCACTATTGTATCAGCTTCTCACTGGTGCCCATTACTTTAGCAATAATTAAAATGAGGTAAACATATCCTAAGAGCGTTTAATATAACTGTGTTAATGAAATTGTCTTCTAGTTAATTAAGATTCTGAATGTTAATATGGTCATAGCTGCTACTGACAGTACTGTTCAATTTCATGCTGGCTTCTGAAGTGAACGTAGCATTACGCACATTCTCTGTCCACTGGGTTTCTAATCGGAATGGGTTGCAGGCAAGGCACAGAGAAAGGATAGGAATCACTCAAGGGAAAGGGGCTTTTGATAGACTGGAGTGCAGGAATACTGTACTCAGTATTATGCAACTGACTCTGGAAATCTTAAGGTGACTGAAGCTGGTTCTTAAGAAAGGTGAGTTTGAGAAAGAATTAATATGAGGAAAGGAAAGGAAACAAGGTAATGAGCTTATTTAGTTCATTCAAATGCAGATAAAGAAGTAAAGTAAGATTGTGAAAAAAGTAAAGGACCTAATAAGGATTTTTGTTTATTTAGGCTGAAGAAATTGGATGCAGTTACACCAAATATGCAGGCCAGGGAGGAGGGTCCAGTGGTCTTGAGGGGCTGCTCATATTTGATCTAAAAGGTTAAGTATAGTTCCTGGGAAGAAAGAAATAAGCACGGTAATATGGTCACAGAATGCAAAACTATAGACACCTTTTTGTTAGATATATATTAAAGAAAGCTGGACCCAAAATTGTATTCTAGTCCCAGCTGTGCTGTTTTCTGACTGTGCAATTTTAGAAAAATCATCCAACTCCTTTTAGTTCAGTTCAACATACTTTTTTAAACTATGTGGCCTGCCCTTTGCAGGGTGCCAGAAACAGATTAAATATCTGCCCTCAAGGAAATTGCAGTGCGGTGGAAGAAGGTGCCCCATAGATGGACTAAACCTCAATCTTCCTCAGCTGCAAAATAAAGATAATATGTATCATTTTGGTTCAAATGTGTTTCCTAGAAGGTTAAAAATAAAAGTTTACATCAGTAAAACTAATGGTTTAGTAAAATTAATATTTCAAATCAGTTTAAAGTATATAAAATTTGCACAGTAATTCCAATTTGAATGTTTCGTTTCATTTAGTTGAAAGAAAGGTTTGGTAATGACTTATCAGACATCACATAATCTTAGTTACCCTAGTGCCCCATGAGGAAAGGTTAATTTTCTATGTGAAGGTGTATGTGCATGTGTGTGTGTCTGTGTGTGTGTGTGAGAGAGAGAGAGAGTGAGATGGTGGGGGTGGGCAGGGTTTGTCCTAGCTAAGAAGGGCCTGACATTTGGAAATATCTGTTGTTAGAATAAGGTAAGACCTCTGTTGCTCAGGCATCTATTTGCAACCACCATTCAACATTGGACCTAAGAGTTTCCTGGGAAAAAAAGTTGAACTGTGTCTACAAATGAGTTTCAAGAATATATAGCCTTATCTTAAGAAATGAGAGGACTGAGATGGGGAGAGGCAGCATTTAAATTTCAAGGGGTAGCCTAGGAGAGAAGTCATCCTAAGGGAAGTAGTTTAGCCATGGCATAAATAAGACCTGAGCATTGATGAGCACTGATGAGCACTGATGAGCATCCTTAGCACCACATATAGGCCATTACCTAAAACCAGCCTGGTGGAGAGGTGTCTATGGAATGAAAGATTTGAGTGTAATTCTGTGGCTCCTCAGAGTCCTGTTGTGGGACTCTTTTTTTTATAGATGCAATGGAGGAGAGAAAGGCTTTCAGCTTTTCATTTGCAACTAATTTCTAAGTAGTTCTGGAACCACAAGTTTAGATGGCTCTGCAGTGACAGCATAAGCCACCATATTGCAGCAGACAAACTTTGGCTCAGAGCTGAGCATTGAGCAAAAATGGCAGCATAGGCAAGTGGCAGCCTGGAATGAAGCATTGATAAGACTGTGGTAGCTCAGCAGAGCCAAGCACTGATCACTAGTGATGAGAGGTGAGCCCAGCTCCAAAATGATTTGAAGATGCATGTAGACATCCTCAGCAGTTCCCAGAAACCCCAGAGTTGTAGAGAAGCTGAAAGTGCAGCAAAGATGATGGGCAGATAAGATCTTGATGTTAAAATTCTTGTAATAGAATTGGCATCCAAAGTGGAACCCAGAAATGGAAACTAGAAGATGCTATTGTCACTTTTCAGGAGCTCAGCCAATCTTACCTGAGCTCTAGTTTAGCATATAGTTACATTTTAAATTAATCACACCTTTTCCATTAGAATTAATTGATTTATTTATGACAATGGGACTGACACTGTTAAAGAACTGATGCTTGGAATGGATGTAGACCCTTAGAAATCCAGGCTTGAGCAAATATGTGAACTACAGCAAGTTTGAATTAAGATTCCAGAGGCCTTTTTAAAGACTCTAGTCATATATAAAACACTTGGCATGCGTGTTGGAAGGAAAAAAATCATGAGTGCAAGGCCCATTAGTTTGCTGCCAATGAATCCTCAGAAAGATACAGAGAAAGTTATTCTTAAGTCACCCTTCTAACATCCTATCTTAGATGTTGATTTTTTTTTAACCTTTAGCTAGATGTGGGGCAAATACTTTTATGGAACCAGAATCTTTGGATATGAGATCCATTTTATAACACTAAGCTTCAGCATGCCAAGCTTGGAGAAAGAAAGTTCAGTTATTACCAGAAGTCATCCAGTTTTCCCCTTGGTCATCATAGGTCACAGCTCTCTCCAGCTCAACTCCATGAGTACTTCCTATGTGTATGGTGCCCTGCTAGGTTACTACAGCATCCTGGGAAGCACATGTAGAGGGTGTGCCATAAATGCCAAAAGGAGTTATTGACAAGGCGTTCCATCCTAGTTGGAGGCACCAATATATATGTAATAGAAATTAATAAATAAGCTGGACATGGTAGTTCACACCTGTAATTCCAGCAGTTTGGGAGGCCAACACAGGAGAATTATTTGAGGCTAGGAGTTCAATACCAGCTTGGGCATTATAGTGAGACCCTTTCTCTAAAATACATATATATATATATATTAGCCAGGTGTGTTTTGGGATGTTGAAATGGGAGGATCAGTTAAGCACAGGGGTTCAAGCCTTCAGGGAGCTACGATCATGCCACCACACTCCAGCCTGGGCAAGAGAGTGAGACCCTGTCTCTGTCCATCATTCAGTCAACCAGCCATTGCTGGCATTTGAAGTTAGCTTTAAAGGATACATAGAGTTCTGACAGGTAGAGAAGGTCTGGGAAAAGCTATTAAGGTACATAGGGGGAAATTGTGCATCAATGGAAACTACACATTATCTACAGATTACCCCTCCTGGCTACCTGATTCTATGAGAGCTATTTTACAGTTCTGTAAGTTGTGGGTAACTGATAGCAATGTGTGCTAGCTTCCACAGGCTGCTGTAACTTTGTGGCATAAAACAATAGAAATTGATTCTGTCATAGTTCTGGAGCCAGAAGTTTGAAATCAAGGTGTCATCAGAGCTCCACTTCCTCTGAAGACTCTAAGGGAGCTTCCATTTCTTGCCTCTTCCAGCTTCTGGTGGCTCCAGGCATTCCTTGGCTTGTGGCTGCACCTCTCCAACACCTGCTTCTGTGATCACATTGCCTTCCCCACGTCTGCTGCCAAATCTCCACTGTGGGTGTCTTATAAAAATATTTGTCATTGGATTCAGACCTCAGCTTGGTAATAGAGGATGATCTCTTCAAATTAAAATCCTTAACCTAATTACAGCTTCAAAAAGCATTTTTCCAAATGAGTTAACATTCACAGGGTCTAGGAATTAAGATGTGGACATCTGTTATTGGGCTTCTATTATTCAACCCGCTAAAATGCAAATAAATTTTGTCCATAGATATGCAAATTCAATTTTTCTGGTAAAGATTCAGTTGACTTCCCTACCTCTCAACCCTTTTGGAAAAATCAGGTTTGCCTCTATTTTCACATTCATTTAAATACTCCTGATTTATAAATGAGTCTGTTCTTTAGATTCTCTTTTCAAATGGCAATGACACCTACCTGGTATCCTCATTGATTGAGTTAAATGAATAAAATCTGTAATGTGTTCATTTTATATAAACATAAAAGTTATGAATTTGGGGGATAATTATCTTTTAAAAATAGCTTTAAGAGAAAAGTGCTGATTGAAAAGAATGTTATAATCATTTATTTACTTGTTCTCTCTTTCTCTCTCTCCTCCATTAAAATGTAAGTTTCGGCCGGGCACAGTGGCTTACGCCTATAATCCCAGCACTTTGGGAGGCCAAGGCAGGTGGATCACGAGGTCAAGAGATCGAGACTATCCTAGCCAACATGATGAAACCCCGTCTCTACTAAAAATACAAAATTAGCTGGGCGTGATAGTGCATGCCTGTAATCCCAGCTACTCGGGAGGCTGAAGCAGGAGAATTGCTTGAGCCCAGGAGGCGGAGGTTGTGGTGAGCTGAGATCACCATTGCACTCCAGCCTGGGCAACAAGAGTGAAACTCTGTCTTAAAAAAAAAAAAATCAAGGTTCACAGTAGCAGGCATTTTTTTCCTGTTTTGTTCACTGATGTATTTCTAGTACTGAAAAAGTGCCTGACACATATTAAAGACATCATAACAACTATTTTTTTAGTGAGTGAATGTTGGATTTTAAAAAAATGAGCAATCTGGGGTGTTTTATATTTAAAAGCACTTGGTGGGAGTGAATGTGCTGAAGGAGCAGGGTGCAAATTGCTGGTGTACTTGAACGCCATGCCCAAGCATTTAGCCTTTGTCTAGGGGTGATGAGGAGTCATTGAAAGTGCAAGCCAATCTTTTACTGAGTTCTGCATTCATCTTGGTCTGTTTTTCTGAAACCAGACTATTAAGGCTCTAGCCAGTAATATAATGATTTCTGCTCCGTGTATAACATTTTTCTTTTTGAAGGGCAGAGAATTCGGATTTTACTAAAATGGAGATTTAGTAATGATAAAAGATAATAATCACAGTGGTTTATAAAATGACATGAAGACATCAAGCTCAACTTCTGGCTATTGGTGTTTGAAAAAGAGATGAAGAATTTTACAGTGAGCAGACACCAATATACATTTATCTTAGCATATCTGTATACATCAGAAATTCTTTTTGATGTAATAATATTGTTGAAAAGATCATTAATATTTATTTCAGAATAAAATATGGTATTTAATGATTTTCAATTCCAGATCCTAGAAATCCATAAATATGAAAGAATCTAGTACAGCCGGGCGCGGTGGCTCATGCCTGTAATCCCAGCACTTTGGGAGGCTGAGGCAGGTGGATCACAAGGTCAGGAGATCGAGACCATCCTGGCTAACACAGTGAACCCCATCTCTACTAAAAATACAAAAAATTAGTCGGGCATGGTGGCGGGCACCTGTAGTCCCACCTACTCAGGAGGCTAAGGCAGGAGAATGGCATGAACCCGGGAGGTGCAACTTGCAGTGAGCTGAGATTGCGCCACTGCACTCCAGCCTGGGCGACAGAGTGAGACTCTGTCTAAAAAAAAAAAAAAAAAAAAAAAAAAAAAATCTAGTGCAAAACCAATAGATGAAACTCAGAAACATGGTGGGAATTCATGCCTAGTTTCTAATTTTCTGGGTCTTTTTTTTTTATCTCTATTTAGTTTCTAAATACATATCAAAATATTTTTCTGTGTTACCTAATGTGTCATCATGTCATCCAACATAAAAGAGTATATGCTGAACTCATCGAAGGCTTGTTTTTATAAGTTGATATTTTTGGTAAACAATCTGTACTTTAAATTGATGAATCTTGAATTATTTACTGCAAGGAACTCTGTCAGATTGAATGTAAAATAGCATAGAATTTATGGTAAAGTCTGAATTTGCTCAGGTCCAGGAGAGTCACAGGGCATCTCTTGTTCAGGGACAGTCCCTATTCTCTCTTTGTATTCTGAATCAATGGCTCTGTTGTAGTCAAGGCTACGGTGACGCATTGTGAGGCCAGGGAGAAATACAATCCCAGCTCTGAAGTTGTTGGAAAGAATACAGATTTGTGGAACACAAATTAGTCTCTAGTATGTTTTAGTGATACTTCGGATCATTAATGACCTGAATTTTCTAGAAGTTTAAGTTTCTCTTATTATTAACCCAAACCAAAATTACCCTATTGTTTCCAACCAAGCTGTTTTCTCTCTTATGAAGTCATTTACCCATGTAAGAACAAATTTTCTAAGTATTCACAGAGAGTTTAAACAGTTTTCAGGGGCAGAGTGCAAGGGAAAATCACAGTTTAGAGAATATAAAAACTACGGATATATTTATACTATTATAAATCTCACCATGAAATTATATTTTAATGGGCTGCCAAATGAATCGAGACTAGGAAGAATAATAGCTTGAGGACCTTTAAGTGTTTTTTTTCTATTGACTAAACAGAAGAACTGTAAGGAATATTCCTATAGGAATATGTCTTAGAACTAGAAAATTCTCTTTCTAATTGGTTGAGAAATAACACCATAAATTGATCTTAGTTAATGTTGCTTGTCTCCACATACCAACTGCAAACTTAAAAGAAGTTTTATTTATGTTTTAAAATACTACTACTTCTGTCAGAAAAAAACTTAAGAAAAGTATTCCAGACTAGTTCATTCCACATTTTTATGATTAAATAAACACATGCTCACATACACAATATCACCTGCAGGAAATGAATTGACCATGGTCATGGTCATCCTATCTGAGTTTAAAGGGTGAAAGAGGCTCTAATGGGAAGAGGATTGAAGAGCATAAATCTGAGGCAAGAGGAAGGACAAATGAGCACTGTTTACAAGGCATGGAAACAAATCACCTAATTAACTAGCACATTTGCAGTTTCTACCCACGGGTAAGCTTCTTTGGCTACTAACACTTGAGCAGGCTGAAGAGCTTCTGGAGACATAGATGTTAATAAGAACTCAAAAGGCTGGGGTCGGTGGCTCACGCCGGTAATCCCAACACTTTGAGAGGCCAAGGAGGGCAGATTACCTGAGGTCAGGAGTTCAAGACCAGCTTGGCTAACATGGCGAAACCCCTCGTGCTCGCCTGTAATCCCAGCTACTTGGGAAGCTGAGGCAGGAGAATCTCTTGAACCCAGCAGGCGGAGGTTGCAGTAAGCCGAGATCGTGCCACTGCACCTCAGCCTGGATGACAGAGTAAGACTCCGTCTTGGAAGGATGGAAGGAAGGAAGGAAGGAAGGAAACTCAAAAGATGGTGGATCTGACATACAAACATGATTGATTAGTCTCTATTCTTTATTGTCCTTACTGATAGGGTGGGTGTATGACTTTTTGGTTAATATCAAGTGTTTATTGGTGAAATAAGTACATATCCTTTTAGTTAAAACCTTTTTAGCTGAGAAGAGTGTTAATAAGAGAAGGGTAGAAAAGGCTTGGTGAGGGTTAGGAATAATGTTGAAGGTGTTCTGAACACTAGATAAGGCTGTAGTTTCACTTATTTTGTTATTTCTATATGCCATAATATCCATATTATTCATTGTTAAGAAGGTAATCAAGAATTATTTTAATAATTCTTGTATTATTTAATGAAATATATTATTTAATACATATGTATTAATATATTAATCTGTATTATTTAATACAGATTATTATATGTATTAAAATATATGTATATATTTTATATACATACATATTTAAATATGTATGCATATATAAATAATACATATAATATAATCATGTATTATTTAATAATAATACATATAATATAATCATGTATTATTTAATAATAATACATATAATATAATCATGTATTATTTAATAATAATACATATAATATAATCATGTATTATTTAATAATAATACATAAATGATTTCTCCAGATATCATGGGAAAAACAGGAGTTTAATTCCTGTCATTTTAATTCTTATTTTTTCCAAAATTCAATCCTTTATAGATACCAATTTATTATGACTTGGTACACTTAAAAAAATCCACATACAGTAAACTTCACTTTTTTGGGAGTATAGTTCTATGAGTTCTGGCAAATGCATAGAGTCCTATGACTAGGAAGATATAAAACAGCTCCGTCACTTCCCAAATTCTATCCTGCTGCCTGTTTATGGCCATCCCCTTTCTCCACACTTAACCCCTGGCAACCAGGGGCTTAAGTGCTTTATTCCTATAGCCTTTTTCCAGGATGTCATTTAAATGCAGTCACTCACACACTATTCATTTTTTGACAGTATCTTCAAAATTTTCAAAGAGAACTATATGCCTTTTTAAAAAGAAAAGTATAAATCAAGGATGTGATACCTGCAAGTATAGTAGACTTGTTATATTGACATTTATTTCATTAAAATACACAACATGAGTATTAGTTATGGTTCTGAAACCATACATTTCTTCTTGGACTCTGAAAGGCCAGGCAAGCCCATGTACATCAAATAAAAATAAAGGAATTCTTGACTGTAAAGAAGTATTGAGCTGAGGCTACCTCCAAAATAAGGAGGGACAGTTATTCTGGGAAGGGCAAGATCCATTTTCTCATTGGCTTCCGGTTAAGCTAGTCATAGAGAGAAGACCTGATGAATGAATGGCCTTTGAAACTCTCAAATTTGCATGGGAGGGCACATTCATAGATGTAATTGGTCACTCCACTCAGCTCTTGGATTGAATCCACTGCAATGGTTTCCTTGATGCGTTTTCAGGATGCACAGATCACTACCATGTGGTCTCAGTGGAGAGGCCCCTTAACTAGTCAATGGCATGTGGGAAACTGCACTCCCTTCTGAAAACCTTGAAGCAACTTTGGTTAAAAGCCTCACAATTTTTCCTTAATAGCAGGCTTTTTCCTTCCACATAATGGCTCTTTCCTTTTCTCTGCCAAACTCACTGCATTGTTCAGGAATCAAAAATAATCCCATGAAAGGAAAATGATGGTATTAAAGTGGTCCACAGGGCCTCATGCAGGTTCAGCCCACAATGCTGCCTTCACTCAAAAAAGCACAGCAATACATTTATTTGGTAAATGGTTTTGGATTATAACAACAATATTGATCCCTTTTTTTTTCTTAATTTCAGGATTTGTCTTTCTAAAGGGCTGCAAACTAATCTTTTAGTTTAGCCACAGCCAAGTAGCCTGTCTAGGTCAAAAGATGTATTTTGATGATTAATCCTTATTGTTACATTGTAGATAGCTGTAGGACTTGTAAACATTTTACTAAATTTCATTTAAAAAGTCTCTGAACCCATTAATTTTGGGAAATTCCAAATACATATAAATTATTTAAATATATGTATTAATAGTAAGATAGAATCTCGAAATATTAATGTTTATGTGTTACTTTTCCCCACTTATTTATGCATGGCCTTTCTTCCACATTAACTCAAGAAGACTGTTTTACTGGGAACAAAAGATCAAGAAAGAATTTGCCTATCTCTCTCCTCCTACTCCTCCTCCTCCTCTTTTTACTTTTTTAATTATCTAAGTCACATTCTTGATAATCAGCAGGATGAAAGACCTGAGGTAAACAAGTCCCAGCTGTTATGAGTCAATACTAGATTTAGAAAGAAATAGAAGAACCAGATTACTCCACCCACACTGCCCTCCTGTCTTCTTAGATCAGAAGTAGGATACCCAAGAAGTAGGGGTTATGGGGCAGAGGACAGGAGGTAGGAACTTCTCTTAGAGGAGTTTGGAGGGGTTAGAGGAGTTAGAGGAGTTTGGAGATCAGAGGATGGGACCTGGCTAGACTCTGTGGGAAGAGTGGGGTGCCGCGGGGAGACTGCTGAGGACTTTTGGGGTCTAAGCAAGGCTGAAAAACCTTTCAGAGAAGCACATCTTCCTGCTCTGGGGAAGGTGCATGAGTCTTTTCACTGTAAGAGACTTTGATGATTCCTGATGATCCCAAGAAACTTGCGGATGCCCCACACATGTAATCCCCACATTCCAGAACATATTTAAGTCCATGGAACAAAGGGTGGGCATCTTTGTATTCAAAGGTGATGAGAAGGTGTGAGGGAAAACACCAACCCCAGAACTGGGATGGGACTGGCTAGCCGTGAACCAGCAAAGAATGAAAGACAATTACTCAGCTTTTAAAAACAGACAAACTAATTAGAGTATCCACATGAGATAGGATGGTTGTGGTCAACACGAAAGCAGCAAAAATTCCAAGTGTCTCTTTGCTGCCTCTTGCTGCCACAATCAATGTTTCCTCTTCCTCCCTGGGTGCCTGACTTCTATTTGCATCCATTCACAGCTAGCTGCCACCTAACCCCTAACAGAGGTGTCAGCTGGCACATTTTGGGTACAGATTTGCATTTTCACAAGTGGCAAGTTAAAGATCGTTGAATTCAGAGGTATATCTCAGGGCAGAATTAAAAGTTTTAGGAGGTTGGATGGGAAAATTTGATGGAATAATAAAAGGAATAAGCTATGGATATATGAATAATATAATGATGTCAAAGATACAGTGTATGATGTAATGTATATAAAACTTTAGAAAATGCAAGCTAAATATAGTCACAGATCAGTGTTTCTTGGAGACGAGAGGGGATGGGAAAGGGCAGAAGGGAGGGATTACCAAGGGGCACAAGGAGATTTGTGGGGGAGATGGATATGTTCAGTATCCTAATTGTGGTGATGGTTTCATGGTTGTATGCATATGTAAAAAATATCAAAATGTACACTTGAAATTTGTGAAGTTTGGCTAGGCATGGTGGCTCATGCCTGCAATCCTGGCACTTTGGGAGGCCCAGGTCAGTGGGTCACTTGAGTCCAGAAGTTCAAGACCACCCTGGGCAACACAGGGAGACCTGTCACTACACAAAATTTAAAAATTAGCTGGGCTTGGGGGCAGGTGCCTGTAGTCCCAGCTACTTAGGAGGCTGAGGCAGGAGGATCACCTGAGCCAGGAGGTCCAGGCTGCAGTGAGGCATGAACACGCCTTTGCACTCTAGCCTGAGTGACAGAGACAGGCTGTCTCAAACAAAAACAAAACAAAAAAGAAATCGGAGAAGTTAATTTTATATAAATTATAATTCCATAAAGCCATGAAAAACAAAACGATGGAGTAAGGAGCCAGTTCTGCCTTCCTTGAAGCAGAGCAGTCATTTGCCTGCTCCATCAACTCATAGAGTCACCCTTGAGAACAGAGTTATCACTCTTCCTTGAAGCTGGTGAAGCTACAGGGCAGAGGGGTAAAGTAACTTAAGGAAGACCATATGGTTTGAGCTGTTTCTCGTGTTATAAAGCTGCAGTGCTGTGGAATACCAGGCTGTTTGGTGTCTCAGAGAGGCAAGGTTCACCGAACTGTCCCTCATTTCTCCATCAAAGTATTACTTAGCATGAGTGAAGCATCCAGTATGTGCTAGTGATTGCAAATATTGTGGGAAAACACATAATGTCATTTAAATTGTAGCATTAGACATGGCCCCTACAGCTAAATTAGTAAGTCCTGGTGATTTTTCATTCACTTTGCTTCTCTTTATGCTACTTCTCTGAGTTGCTTAATAGGCATCTTTAATTTAGCCTTGAAGAGAGGAGAGTTTCCCAACCATCCTTTTATGTATGTTTAGACCTTGTTTAAAGGTGTGAAATTGCCTCACAGATAGGGAATCTTAAAATGTGTTTGGGGTTGTGGATAATACCACTTATCTTTAACACGTTTGTATTTCAAAGCTCTTTAACCATACCATCTCCTCTGGCTTCTCACTCTTTCTCCCTTTCCCTGCGCTTTAGGAAACAGAGTTCTTTGCTGTGATAAAGGCCACAAGATGGTCAGTGAAGAGCCAGGACAGAACTTGATGCTGCTTAGCCCCTTGCCCAGTGCTCTCCGCACACAAACTCCACAAGAAGAGCTTTCCCATTTGAACTATGTTAGATGTCTGGGAGCAGGAAGCCCCTCACGGGTGCTGGAGCTTGCTATAGGTATAAGCTAAATCTCATTTCAATGATTCAGTAAGTCAGACATTCTTGCATTCCATGTGCAAAGTATAAAATTCGGCTGCCTAGAATGTTTTTCATTAGCGATGCCCCAAATAAACATTTACTGGTTAAACATTTCCATATTCATTCTAAGGAATTATTGTGATTCTGAACTGGAATTACACTGAATATCAGCCTCTTCCTAACAAGGAGCTAAAAAGAATAGTCTGCGCAGAGTATTTTATGGAAATAACATGTAAATAATTAAAATAAATCTTAATAGTCTTTCCTTCCCAGAGGGGATAATGAGTCATTCTTTTTGCTCACCTCTACATATCTGTCAGAAAAAAAAGTCAAACTTCATCAGTATTTGAGATGCTTCCGTGGATGTAAGCCCCTAAACAATTCCTTCCTCCCTCCCATAAAATTAAATTAATCCATGCCTGAAAGCATAGCCCTGTTTCCTTTGCTTATTTTTGTCCTAGAACATGTCTGATCTCTCTGCCTGTCTCTACTCTAATCCTGCTTATGGACCTTAACTCCTTGAGGTCAGGCAAGGATGCGGCACAGATTAATTTAAAGTGTTGTGAGATTATGCAACTACTTACGTCCCTAATGTATTTTTAATATATTTTGAGGTATCTTCTTACCTTTGTTTGTTTGTTTGAGAACTCTTTTCTAGGAAGTGGGCAAAGCAAACCACCAAGAAATCCATTAATAACCTTCCAGAATACATAGAGTACCAGGGTTTGAGAGTGGGTCTCCAAGTGACAGGCACAGTGGCTTATCTTGGCTCTACCACAGGAGGGAGCATTCAGGTGAAGTCGATGCAGGGGCTGCCTTACCCTGAGTTTAGATCCTTAGCAGGGAGCGCCTTCAGGAGGATCAAATCATTTTCTGAAACGAGGATCTCATCCCAGGTTCTGTCAAGGGAAGGGGCACTATCTCCGTTTAAGGCAGCTCTCTAAGGCAACCTTGCTGCAGCTCCGGGGAGGAGGGGCACAGGAGGATTATCTGAGAGTAGAAGGAGGGGATAGAGCAGGAGAGGATTTAACTGACACATTCTATGACCCTTGTCACCATGGATTTGATCAAATACTATTTTTTTCTTGTCTTTTTTATTGAGACACCTAAGAATGTTGGTTTGGTAGTCTCAGAGTAAATAGATCATTTTTTTTGTCCACTCAGGGATGTAAAGCTATGCTTGCTATTTATTTTAAATACATATTTCTTGGGTATAGCAGGTATCCTCTTATGTTGTTTGCCAAAAGAAACAGTCTCCAAGCTAAGCAGTCAGCTGAATGGATTGTCTTTCATAGCACTGGTAACAAGCCAGCTCACTTGAATATTTCAAAAGCATAATGAACCCCATGCCCCACCACCAGTATCTGAAATCAGTTCTAGAATCAGCAAAATTCTGTATTTGTAACAAAGACAATAGACTCTTCCAGAACAAGTTCTTTGCTGGCTATCCAAGAAATAATGATAATAAAATAAAAATAAAGTAATTTTGGGGTCAAAGCAACATAGGAAGCATTTACTAAACAATTTATTATTTCAAAAAGCAGGCACGAAAGAAGAACTTCTGTTCATGACAGTTATCTAATAATTTTATTTTAGTCAGCTTCACAACTAAAATATTGCTGTATATCAGAGTTTTTAATGATATTAACTCTAAATGTAGGCAAAAGTGTTAAATGTGGTTTATGTGGTTTTCTTAATTCCACATTTGATAATGAACTTTTAAAATATTTGAAAGAGTTGATTTTCACAACTTTTTCTCAACTCTCTGTCAATGGGCCCTCGATATATATGGCAAAATAATTCGTCCCCCAGGATGTTTCATGCTATTAGATTTAGGAAACCACAAAATTATTTTAAGATCCAAAAAGATGAGTCATTAAATTTCAGACATGGTGACAATATGTGGAAGCTATTTTGGGACCAAGGGCCATCCCATAGGCAGACACATAGGTATAGAGGAGGTGAACAGGCTAATCCAATTTGTCTTTTTGTTTTTTAAATTTATTTTTAGAACACTTTTTTACTGGTTACAGAAATTTTTATGCAAATATACATGATTATCTTTTTATATATTGTGCAACAAACAAAAGAGAAGGTAAAAAACAAGATTATCCAAGCATAGTATAGGGAGAGAAATCTGGACTGGTAGCCAGGAAATGTATATAAATATGAAAAGGAGATATTTGATACTTGATTTTGGATATCCACGCACACTAAGAATACAAAGATCACTTTCAGGACTGGACTGCATTTTAAATGGAAACCTGACTAATTAGATTAGAGTTCAGTCGCTTGCCTGTCCAGACCCCACAGCCAACCCTTAATTGCTAGTGTGATTATGAGTTTGTCAGTGACCTACATTGGAGCCTAATATATCACAGTTTAAAATGTAGATGTTGAGCAAGTTGACCTCTAAATCCCTTTTTAGATCCAACCTATGAATCTTGAGTACATGATCCTGATTGTATCTCTTATACACATGAAGTGTTAGGACAACTGGTGCACTGGAACTGACTGGTAAGAACACACTTCTTTCCAACTCCTCCTTCAGTGATATCTCTTTGGTATTTTGACATCAGCCAGAGTGGGAATATTTACACCACAGAAACTGGCAGACTCTACAAATGTACCTTCCCCACACAAAGGGAAGATTGTTTAATCTTTGCCTAAGCACTCACTGAGTAAGTTAATATACTTGTAAAGCTTTTGGAACAGGGCTGGTACATTGTAACATCTGTATAACAGTTAGCTATTTGGGAAATTCATCTTAATAGAAAATTGTTGCTTTTCAATGATGATTTTCATTGAATTCACAACATTTAAATGTTGTTTTCAACTAGCTGATGCTCCAGTTTCTCTCTGATGTCTGATCTTACTCCTGTATGTCCTGTCTTTTAAGCCCTATAAGGCTTAAAGTTTGCATGACCAAATCTATGTCTTGTCTTATATTATTTTCTAATTTTTAATGTATGAATTGTGTCTTTCCAACTAGACAGCACTTTTCACGGAGTGCAGCAGCCACATTTTCTACTTTTATGTCTCTCTTTTTTAGCCTATATAGACACCTGGCAGTCAAGGTTGTTCATCAATTAATTGAGCAAAGTCAAGGAATGAGGATAGTGAAAGGGAGGATTTTTTAAAAATCCCAAACAACCTAAATTTCAGGTTGTCTCTGATTCTTTCCTTATGTTTCCATTTCACTCTTGCTCATTTTCTGCCTTTCGCCTATACTGTCACCTATGTTCTCCTTCTCTTCAGCTAGCTCACCTACTCAGAGAAGGCAAGAACAGTACCACGCACCTGTTTGTTACTCCAGTGCATTATACTTTACAGTTCTTCAGTGCAAATAACAGAAACTAACTTTTACTTAATCTAAAATTATATTTATTGAAAATATATGTAGAAATTTAAAAGCCAAGAAGAAATTGCTGAGGATTCAAGCTTGGGACAAACAGGCCCAGGAGGTCCCCGCAGCAGACAGCATTTGGGAATGTTTCCTGGGCACAGCCACCAGAATCTGTCCACTCTGTCTGCTTCATGCATGCTACGTCACTCTGCTCACAATTCAAACATCCCTGGATATAGAATCATTAAACAAACTTGAACCATATGCCCACCCTTGGCTATACCTGGGGAGTGAGAAGAAGGATCTATCAGCCTTTGAAAACCTTTTAACTTTTTTAGAGGGAGTGAAGACTCTTGGATTTACTGTTTCATCAAGGCTGTACATGTCTTTTAAGAGATGCGTAGGAAAGCTGAGCAGCTTCCAAATGACAATTGTCCATTAAAGGATTCAATAAGTATTTGATTCTTTGGTTGATGATAAATGAGAAAATATGGGAGTTAAATTTTTTTTCACATTTATTTACGAGGAAAGACTACCTTTCCATAAACTTTGATGTTAATTTTTTACAACCTTCTATCTATATTCTTATAAAATATCTAGGCCAGGCACAGTGGCTCATGCCGTAATTCTAGCACTTTGGGAGGCCAAGGCAGGCAGATTGTTTGAGTCCAGGAGTTTGAGAGCAGCCTGGGCAACATAGTGAAAACCTGTCTCTACAGAAGCTAAAAAAAATCAGTCAGGCATAGTGGTATACCTGTAGTCCCAGCTACTTAGGAGGCTGAGGTAGGAGGATCACCTGAGTCTGCGAAGGTCAAGGCTGCAGTGAGCCTTGATCACACCACTGCCCTCCAGCCTGGGCCACAGAGCAAAACCCTGACTCAAAAAAAATCTCTAAAATAATTAATATTCAAAATTAAGAATGGGAAGATAAAAATATGTTCAATAGAACCCTATTTTAACAGAAAATCACTATTAGAGGTCTCTCATAAATTCAATTATTTCTGTTTCCAATTTAGGCATGGCTGTAAAAAAAAAATGCTGAGACAACCAGCCTGTTGTCGAGGACCACAATCTTCACTGTACGCAAGGGCTTTGATGTGATAGCTACGTTTATTACTGAAATTATGTTCCCATAACTCATAAGGTTGTAGTGACTACCACAAAGTGCTGGACTAATTAAATTCATTGCCAACAGTTCCAGGGTATGTTAGGTTCAACAGGTCACAGTGGCTTCCATAATAGCTTCAGTCCCCTCCCTGCACTGTGCAGTGAGGAGTGAGCACAAAGGAGTTTTGTTTGTTTGTTTGTTTGTTTTCTTTTGTTTTGTTTTAGAGACAGGGACTTGCTCTGTAGCCCAGTATGCTGGAGTGCAGTGGTGCAATAATATCTCACTGTAACCTCAAACTTCTGGGATCAAGGGATCCTCTTGCCTCAGCCTCCCAAGTAGCTGTGACTACCCGTGCACGCCACCATGCCTGGCTAATTTTAACATTTGTTATAGAGATAGGTCTCACTATATTGTCCAGCTTGGTCTTGAGCTCCAGGGCTCAAGTGATCCTCCTGCCTTGGTCTCCCAGAGTACTGGGAGTACAGACATGAGCCATTATGCTGGACCCCAAAGGGGATTTTAAGAGTGATAGTAGGACAATCCTGGAAGAGCCAGGCTTTGGTGGAATGGTCTGCTTGTAGAATTTATGCACTCATTCATTTTTTCATGCACTCATCAGACATTTATTGAATATCTAGTATTTTCCCAGGCATTGTGCCAGACACTAAGGACAGAATAGGCTAATACAGTTGCCCCTCTGTATCCATGGATTCAACCAATTGTGGATCAAAAACATTTGGAAAAAAACATTCACAAAGTTTCTTAAGCAAAACTTGAATTTGCCATGTGCCAAGTACTATGTGAATAAAGTGATGTGTAGGCATTTTATTGGGTATTATAAGTAATCTAGAGATGATTTAAAGTATAAATGAGGATGTGCATCGGTTATATGTAAATACTATTTGCTTATGTGTCTATTCTTTCTACCAAACTATAAGCTGTGGATTTTAGTATCTGTGGGGAGGAGGGTTGAGGCAGTGGGTGGCCGGTGGGTTTTGGAACCAATCCCTCATGGATACCAACGAATGACTGTATTTAACCAGCATGCAAGTCAGCCATATTGGTGATTTACAGCTAGCATCCATTCTAATTGGTCAGAACCTCTCTTGTACTGGTTGCTAAATATTTTGCGTATCATCTCTGGATATGAAAATGAGTAAGATAAAGTTCCTATTCTCAAGAAGCTTGCAGTTTGGTAGAAGGGATAGACACATAGGCAAATGAAAGCTACATGGTATGGGAAGTGCTGTTCTTCACCTGACCATCTATTTATTCTAGCTTGTTTCAGGTTTCTGGGCTTCTTTATATGTTTAATTTTCGTTGTAAAAATTAAAACCATCCAGAAACAAAGTAAAAGTATGCTATATTAATGACCAAGATATTGCTGGAACTCGCTGACCTCTCACTCTATAAATTCTTGGAAATAATTTATTTTCCCAGGCAATGTCTCTTGCTCTAATAAATTGTTGGAAATGATTTATTTTCTCAGGGCTTGTATATTCATACAAGCATAATGAACTTCATAATGAGAGACAGAGACAGAAAATAGCCAATGAGCAGCTATGTTCCTTCTTTTTCTCAATTATGTTCTATAGATTTTCCTGCAACTCTAAAAACCAATACCTACTGAAAACCTCCTAAGTACCAGGCAGTAGATGTGAGGGCTGAAAATACAAACATTTGGGAAAAAAAATTCACAAAATTTTTTAAGCAAAACTTGAAGTTGCCATGTGCCAAGTACTATGTGGAATCTGCACAAATGAAGTGATGCGTAGGCATTTTATTGGGTATTATAAGTAATCTAGAGATGATTTAGAGTATAAATGAGGATGTGCATTGGTTATATGTAAATACTACTTGCTTTTGTGTCTATTCCTTCTACCAAACTGTAAGCTGTGAATTACAGTTTACAGTAGATGTGAGGGCTGAAAATATAAACATTAAACAGATGTGGCTTCTTTTTTTTTTTTTTTGAGATGGAGTCTCTGTCTGTCGCCCAGGCTGGAGTGCAATGGCGCAATCTTGGCTTGCTGCAATCTCTGCCTCCCAGGTTCAAGTGATTCTCCTGCCTCAGCCTCCCGAGTAGCTGGGATTACAGGCGCCCACCACCGCGCCTGGCTAAAATTTGTATTTTTAGTAGAGATGGGGTTTTGCCATGTTGGCCAGGCTGGTTTCAAACTCCTGACCTCATAATTGGCCCCAGTTTGCTAATTCTTCACCTCTTCATATAATTATTTAATAATTAATTTTAAGGTACTATGAGTAAAGCCTAGTCAATACAAACCAATATCATCATTTTTTTTTCCTGTGTTTCTTTTTTTCTGCACTTATGACACTCTGGTTTGTTTTTTGGAGGGGTAAGACTGAATTAAGTGTTACTCCATACAAACCAGTGTCTTTAAATTTGATTTTAGCTCAGTTAACAAATGAAGGAGACAAAAAAGCCACAGCATCTATAGCCTGGTTGTTTAGAATGATGAGGTTGTTAACATTTTGGCTCCTCATCTTTCATTTTTCACCTGCAGCCAATACCATGTTGCCACACACAGTCTTCTTTGTATCTTGCTGTTTGATTATGTCAATGTTTATTTTACAGGCAACTGGTGCCCATGAGGTCACCTAGGGGAGACCCCACGTGTGTGTGATGTACATTTTTAAGGAGCTACTGGTACAGCAGTGCACATTAATGAGCAGGTGAAAGCTACAGAGCAGCTCCAGTAGCAGCATGACAGTGTGAAATTGTAAGTGGTGATGTCTGAAGATGAGTTTGGGAAATGCAGACTCTGCCTTTCTCGTGCACTCATATGAAAAGTCACCTGGGGAGCACTGGATTCTAGGTAAGTTGTTCAAAGAGGAAACAGGCCAGGTGCGGTGGCTCACACCTGTTATCCCAGCACTTTGGGAGGCTGAGGTGGGCGGATAATTTGAGGTCAGGAGCTTGGAACCAGCCTGGCCAACATGGTGAAGTCATGTCTCTACTAAAAATTTGAAAATTAGCTGTGCGTGGCGGCGTGTGCCTGTAATCCCAGCTACTCGGGAGGCTGAGGCAGGAGAATTGCTTGAACCCAGGAGATGGAGGCTGTAGTGAGCTGGCTGTACTCCAGCCTGGGTGACAGAGCGAGACTCCATCTCAAAAAAAAAAAAAAAAAGAAAAAAGAGGAACAGCCCCTGTGTTTAGCAGGTCATTGGGTCGCAGTAATGAAATGCTTGTGAATAAATTCCAGGTTAATATTTTCAATTTTAAATGCAGCCAAAACTGATCACGTTAGGATGCTTTCCATACCTCAGCCTTTGAGCGAAATGTATATCTTCACCCCTACAAATGAAGAGAACTGGGGGGTCTCCCTGCTTTAAACCTCTAGAGACTTTTTGTTCTGCAGACTGTACAGGAAACATGGAACCAATATCTGCCTGGCTTCTGATGAGGCCTCAGGGAGCTTTTACTCATGGTGTACAGTGAAGAGGGAGCAGGCCTGTCACATGACAAAAGAGGAAGCAAGAGAGAGAGGAGGAGGGGCCAGGCTCTTTTAAACAACCAGCTCTTGTGATAACTCATGATCATGGGAAGGACACCAAACCACTCGTGAAGGATCTGCCTCCACGACCCAAACACCTCCCACCGTGCCCCACCTCCAACATTAGGGATTACATTTCAACCTGAGATTTGGAGGGGACAAATATACAAACCATATCACTGTAGTTTGGCAGGTTTTGGCCATCTTTCTCAGCTTTTAGCTTTTGAATTTCAGCTTCTGCAAAGGTTCTAAATATAATATAATAATAATATCTACCATATACTGATTATGCACCAGACTAGGTGCTTAATGTATTACATTAAAACCTCATGACTCCACAAGGACATATATTGCCTTTATTTCACAGATGAAGAAATTGTGAGAGATTAAGCCACTGCTCAAGGCCTCTTAGCTAACAAATGCTTGAGTCACATTTTGAATGAAGGCCTATGTGACTCATGTTTGTTTTTGTTGAAGTAAAATATGCATATGCCAAGCAATAAGAAGAGGCCTACAAATCACGAAATAGCAATTGATGATCACCTCTCTTCATTCCCTATTTTACTTCCCACTGGCCAACACCTTCAACCATCAATTTTCTCTAATGGTGTTTAACTCCACATTTCTAAGTAATATTCTTTGTGATGGTTAATTTTATGTGTCAGCTTGACTGGGCTAAGGGATGCCCAGATAGCTGATAAAACAGTATTTCTGGGTGTGTCTGTGAGGGTGTTTCCCAAAAAGATGAGCAATTGAATCAGTAGACTGAGTAAAGAAGAGCCACCCTCACCAGCCTGGGTGAGTATCATCCAATCTGTTGAGGGCCTGAGTAGAAAAAAATGATGGAATAAGGGCAGATTTATTCTCTTTTTTCTTTGAGTTGGACATCCATCTTCTGCCCTCAGACACTGGTTCTTGGAATTTCAGAGTTGGGCGAGGAGTAACACCATTGGCCCCCTGTTTTCAGGCCTTCAGACTCTGACTGGGACTTGCACCATAGGCACTCCTGGTTTTCAGGACTTTCACTTAAACTGGAACTATATCACCAGCTTTCCTAGGCCTCCAGCTTGCAGGCAGTAGATTGTGGGACTTCTCAGCCCCATGCTTGTGTAAGTCAATCCCTCATAATAAATCTCCTATATATCTCTACATATACTGTTGCTTCTGCTTCTCTGGAGAACCTGGCCTTATACATGCATATACCATTGTTTCTTTTTTATTTTAAATTAAAAATTACATGAGAAATAAATAAATTTACATTCTCATTGTAAAAGATTCAAACAGTACTGAAATTCATTGACTAGAAAAGTTCTCTTTACTTCCCCAATCCTACTCCCCAACCTACTTTTTAATTTTGTATAATGAAAAGTTTTACACACAAATAAATGTGGAGAGGACAGCATATTGATTGAACCCCTGTGGCCACTCTCAGTAATCTTTGATAGCATCCCTGCTTTCAGGCATAACAAATGTCCCAGGCACATCCTGTGCATTTCTTATTCCAGACCTGAAATCAGGCATTTCTCCAACGAATGTTCATTCTTTTTCCTGGAACATGATATTGAGAGACTCAGCAATATCTGTTAACTTCCTGTTACATAGATGAGGAGTTTGCTCTCTTGTGTCATTCTCTGGCCTTAATAGCTGTATTCTAACTTTGGGTTAAGGCAGTATTAATGGATGACATTATTATGACCACGTAATATAATTCATGTATGTATTATGACTATATTTCTATTCTTACATAATTTTTATCTTACCCTTGAGCTATTTATTGTTCTTTTATTTTTATTTGCTTAGTTTTCTATGTACCTTATTCTGTATAATCAAGTCCCCTAGCTGTTTCTTAATGAACATTTCTTGACAAACACATCAGAAAATCTATAACTCTCATTTTTTATTTTAATTTTTTTTGTTCTGGACATTTCTTTCAGTCGTTCTATTCAATTGTGTACTGGTTATTTTCTTGGCCTATTGTGAAGCTGTTATTCTGAGGCTTTTTCTTTTTCTGTCATCAAGAGAATTCTGTTTGATGTTCTTCTATGTTGAATCTCCTTGTTTTCGTTTTGGAACTTGTGTCTTCCTTTTTCTGGGTTTATTCCCTTATTTTGATAGTGAATACCCTCAAGTAAACTTCTAAGAAAACTACAGATTTGGAGCTTCAAATGCCTTGGTGAAGTTTCTAAGAACTTGGATGTCTAAAAAGGTATTTATTCCACCATTGCTCTTGATTAATAGCTTGGCTGGGTATGGAATGCAAGATTGAAAATCTTTTTCATAAAAAATTTGACAATGTACCCCTATTTGTTTCTAGTTTCTAGTGTTGCCTTAAGACTATGATATTATTCTTATACCTGATCCTTAATAAATGATCTTTTTGTTCTCTCTCAAAATTTTGGAATCTTCTCTTTATTCCTATATTCTGAAATTTCATAATGATTATCCCTGTTTAAATCATTTTGTTGTTGTTGTTCATTATAGTGGGGACTCAGTGGGCCTTTTAATCTGGATTTCAAGTCTTTAAATTCTAGGATGTTTTGTGATTTATTCTTTTGATCATTTCTTTTCATCTGTCTTCTTTCTTCCCTATGGAACTTCAATTATTAGATATTTGACTTCTGTATCACGTTTCTTTATCTTTGAGCCTTTTTGTTGAAATATTTTTCTGCTATAATATTTTTTATTTTCCAAGACCTTATACTTGCTGTGTTCCTTAATTCAATATCCAGTATCTCTCTGAGGATACATATATATATATATATACATACATATATATACACACACACATATGTATGTGTGTGCGTATTTGAATAGTATATCATTGACACGGTTTTACATGGTTTATGTATGTATGTCCATGTAATGTATGTCTGATAAATAGCATATAAATCAAATTATTGTGAATGTTAAAAATGGTTTTAAAAGTATTGTCAAGCATTTCCGATTTAGACAAAGAGAAACCTTCCAGAACTAACTTAATTGGTTAGCTTAATATAAGAAAACATTTTCTTTTCTATCTGTGATAAAAGCTTTGTTCTTTTAGTAACTTGTGGTTCAAAAAGAGCAATTATAAAAATGGCAAAGCCATGACCAATCACAATCTCTCCTTTGATGAGACTGTGGCTGATGCTCTATACCAGTGATCCATGGATTCCCTGCTTGATTACACAGGTATGTTTCAACCCTGCAGTGAATCAGTGTATATTGTTACTGACAGGCTTTAATCTGGAGATATGTGATGATACAGCCTCATAGCTCTCTGTAACTCTCTTAAGGGGCCCACATCAAAGGGAACATTGTGGTTATGGTAATTTTAAAATGTCTATTGGTTTGTACCTAACAGATAATAGGATGTACCCTGTTCCACTCTACGATTTTTTCCTTTTAAATTTCTCTTACTTTCATCTTCTAGCGCATCTGGATGCTCTGCATAATTGAAGAACTACTCTTGTATCCACAATATACTTGATATTTCAGATCTGGCTGCTTTCCAAATGGCAGACTGGTTTTAAAACTTTCAGTAAAATTTAGTTAAATGAACCGCTTTGTGTTGATATAATAATAACGATCTCTGTTAGTGGTCATTGTTTATTGTCTTTATTGAACTCTGTATTTTTTTTTAATTTTCCTCTTCCAACATGTAAATCTCCATTCTCAGATAATTGCTTACCCCTGCTAAAGTAGTTCCCTATATTAATTTTTCCCCATTTAGATTACAAACTTCTTGAGAAATCAGACTTGATTTAAAAAAAAATTGCTGTATTCCACTAAACAAAAGACCTAATTGATACGTTCTGTTTCCCATTTTGCACAACCTAAAGACTTCTTTTCCTTCTTTGGTATATTTTCCTAAACTTCTGAGGCCCCAGTTTTTTAGACAACATAGTGCTCCTTGTATAGTAATGCTGGTGTTCCTCACCATTATGTGAGGATATCACCCATCAGAAATGAGAAGGGTTTAGACAGCTGGGGTTTTCAATGTGTGTGTAAGTGAGTGTGTGTATGTGTGTGTATGTCTGTGAGTACATGTGTGAGTTTGAGTGCATGTGCATGTATTCTGGTCATAGAGGCACAGCTGGAGATTCCATTAACCTCTTAGTCACTTGCACAGTATGCAGAAGTAGAAGCTTGCTTCTGAGTAGTGTCATTTCTACTCATAGGCTCCTCTGCTTCTGCATTCTTTGAGGAAGCTCCAGAGAAACCTGAGTTTGAATCTTAGCTTTACCACTTACTAACTGTGTGCTGTAGTTATCTATAATAGCAAGATAATATTTTTCCCTTATCATAAGAGTGATGTGAAGCCTAAATGAGGTCATGCGTATAAAGTGTTCAGCATGAATGGAACCTTAACAAACCCCCAACACTTTGTTAAAGAAATGACATGCTTTTTCTAGGCTATTGCTCTGGATATAAAGCAATTTTGAGAAAGGTCTTACTTGGACTCTTTTTGGTGTCATTTTCAGAACAGGGCAGGAAATTATCCAACTTGCAAGAGAATGCTAGCTGAAAATCGTCCCATCTTATGGAAAACCGGTAGAAAATCCAGGAGGTGAAATGGAGAACATGTTCAACTGGAGAATTCTATTTCTTATGCATGTCAAATATGTTTCCTTCTCCTGCACTAGCTGTTCCTTCTGCTGGAAGAATATTTATATGACTGGCTAAACTTACTGTTCAGATCTGAGAGTAAATTTGCATTTCTCAGAGAGTTAGTTCCTGACCACCCAACTCAAAGTACTAACACTCTATCTAGTCCTTTTCTTGTTTGTTTTTCATGTTTATTTTATTTCCCACCACTAGAATCTAAGCTTTTTGAGAGCCGGCACTTTGTCCATCTGGGTCACTGAATCCCAATGAGTTATTCACAGATGTTTTTAGTACATAGTAGGTGAAATGCATAGATAATATTTCAACTAAGAAAGTGAACAGAAGAAAGTTGGTCATTGACTTATTACTAGTAGCTCACTACTCTCTATGTATGAAGACATCACTTACTGATGGTTATGAAGCAGATGCTCAATAATTTTTTTTTAATAAACAGGAGGGCAAGGAGCCAATGTCGTTTGTAGTGGAGGGTAGTCATGGACACTGAGAGTATGTTTTAGACACAATTTATCAATGGCCAGCCTCAGGCTGAGATAAAATATAACAGAGTTTGCCAAGGTCTTTCATGCCCAGGCAGTCAGTGCTCACATGTTCCCTGTAACTGCCTGGGTACCTTTCCCTGAGTCATCAGTCCTGTGTCTTAATTCTTTTAGTAGCACCTGCATTCTGCTCCTTTAACCTTCCATCAATCAGCTCTTATATACTGTACATCTCTTTCTCAAGAAGCCTTGTGCAACGCATGGTGATTTCAACAGTGATGAATATTTCCTTCCCTCTGACTTCTTATGAAACCAGGATAATGAAGCAAATTAGAATGTATTTTAACATCACTCTCCCTTGTTTGCTGTCCAGCTAATGAACAGTGGACTGGCTGAAGAAAGACCAGCATGAAGCAGAAAAATTGTTTGGTGAAAAATTCAAGAATGGGCCAATATCCATTAAAAGATTGAAAGAGGAGATGTTTTGGGTCCACCTCCACTGGGGACAGAAATTCCATTCTGCCAACACCCCCTCCATATCCATTGTCTGAAAGAGGCACTGCTGTTGAGTCATAAGTAGGCTCCAGTGGCCCATGTTGACCCTTTGAAATTCCCATGGGACTGTCAATTCTATCTATTCTGGGAGCAGCCAACCATAGCTAATTACAGGCCTGTGGTATTAGTGGAACAAGCTTCAGCTTTTTACATTGGCTTGATGGAGAACTGAGTAGATATAAAAGTGTTACATGTTTTTCTGTAATCATAATAACGTAATCTTGTTTCATAATCATTAATAATTCCTAACATTTATTGAAGAGTTAATATGTGTTGAGTATTTTTGTAAGTGCTTAACATGCAGTTTTTAAAATTTTAACTCCTTTTTACAGAAAAGGTTTACAGAACGCCAGAGGGGTAGGTGATTTTGCCAGAGCTCTTTTAGGTAATAGGAAACAAAGCCATAAATTTGATCCCAGCTAGTTTGACCCCATAGTCCAAGCATTAATCCCTGAACCACACTAGCTCTGGCAAGGGTATAAATGAGCAGTGATTACTAACTGACTTAAAACACAATAGGAATTATCCCCAGTGAATTCCAACATATAAAGGGACACTAATTCTTGCCATAGAAAATCTATTTGATAAGTATGAACAAGAATTCCAAGGTTATCAAAAATAATTTCTAATAGTTTAATTCTTTAAAAGAAATGGTGTATCTCATGGACACAGGAAGGGGAACATCACACTCCGGGGACTGTTGTTGGGTGGGGGGAGCGGGGAGGGAGAGCATTAGGAGATATACCTAATGCTAAATGACAAGTTAATGGGTGCAGCACACCAACGTGGCACATGTATACATATGTAACAAACCTGCACATTGTGCAAATGTACCCTAAAACTTAAAGTATAATAATAATAAAAATAAAATAAAATAAAATAAAATAAAATGTCTCATTCTGATCACTGTCAAAAAAAAAAAAAAAAAAAAAGAAATAGTGTATCTTATTAAGCATAGTCTCTAAGGCAAAGAACTATACTTCGCCAGTGGCCTCAGGAGGGCTATCACAAGTTATTTTTCTAGATGGATTTTCCATCTGTTCCCACTAGATGGTGCATGGGTTACACAAATACCCCCAATCTCTACTTGAGAGGAATTACCCTAAAACAAGAAGAAGAGAAATTGAGCAGAGAAAGGTGAATGTGGAATTTGGACTCAGTTGAAGATAGTAACACCCTAAACAGTGACTTGCTAACTATTGGAGCCTGGGTTTCGAGTTCCATCTTTTTTTTCCTCTCAGAATAAACACTAATAGCTACTTAATATGAGTTAAAGAAAATTTGAATCATAGTCAAAAGCTGTCTGAGAGTTTGTTTTCTCAGAAAACTGTGTTACCCATAGTTGCAGCCAGGAGTGGCATTTTGAAAAAGATATTGAGGAACCAATTCCAATGAGCCAAATAAGTGTGTCCTTTAATTTTAATGTGTGTTTTCTAGAACAAGCCAGAATCTGCAAATTGTTATTTCTTCCTAATTTTCCTCAATTAGTTTGTAATAAAATGGTCATGAATAGCCAGTTACCACTTTCTAGTAATCATACAACCAATTATTATGATATTCTAAAATTCCAGATAGTTCAATGAATAGGACCAGAAAATTCTGGGAAATCCCTTGAGAATAAATTTTAAAACCAATAGTCATTTATTGTATTTGAACTTTCATGTCTTCCTCTACAAAATGAAATAGATCACCAAAAACTCTTTGCAGACTTCTTTATGATCTCTAAAGAAAAAGAGAACAGTATGAGTGCTTATACCCAGAAACACACATATGTACATATACACTCTCCTGTTTGAGTCTAAAAGAGAGTTATGTTCTGTTTCCAGAATCAGGATTATGTGGAAACATTATTATGTTTGCTGAAAGGGTAAGAAAACAAAACTTCATTTATGTACAAGGATGAGGTGGTAATTGGAATTAGGTACTGCACAAGAGAGTACTACCATACATTGTATTTTTCTCAACTCATGTAGAACCTGTTTTGAGGCAAAAGATGGTGATGTGATTATAGGTACTAATGTGCATTTCTAGATTAATGTATTACTTTTCACCATATGAGAAGTTCTTTTCTTAACTTTTTTTCTCAGGTAAATCTATTTGATAACTATTTGTATTTAGTACCTCTAAAGATTGAATAGAGCCATCTCCCAATTAATTAATCGTCAACCTCATCTCAATCCCTTCATAAATGGGTCAGTAAATATGCCAGCCCTGAGTTGTGCTGGATAATCTATAATTTAGTACAGAAGATAGAAAATATTCAGTACAAGTTTTTAGGATATGTAAATGGTGCATAAATGGTTATTCATTTCTCTGAAAAGAGTTTTAGTCCCAGAAAGGAATCAATCCTTAACTGAAAATACAAAGAACATTTGATTGTAGTGTCATCAGTCATTTTATATCAGAATAAATGCTTTATTTCCAAGAAAAATGGTCAATAATAGGCTCTGTATGTCCTTTTAAAGCTGATGTTTCAGGAAAAATGAAAAAGATTATGTAAGGTTTCAGTTAGCACTGAATAGTTTCAGCACCAGGTACCTGGGTGTTGCAGATAGAAGTCAAAGGAAAAAGAGGATCTTTAGATGCTCTGTAGAGCCACTTCTGTATCTTAAATCTTCAAAGAAATAAACTTGGTCTATAAATGAAAATGAGTGTTCCAAGAGCCAGGGCACATCATCCAGTGAATCTGGCTATGTTAGAAATGCTCCCTTTTCTGAGAAAAAAATAAGTGCTGGGTTCTATGACATGGCCAAAAATGGAAGGTTTTTTCTTAGCTTGCAGTCTCTTGGGATCACATATCACTATAACTCACTCAGATCCTCCAAAATGCAGAAGATTGATGTCTACAGTGCTGGGTATTAAACCAGGTAATTAGCTCACTGTGTCCATCATAACTTTATTATAATGCCATTGATTAGGAGTTAGTAACAAATAATGATGACAATTCAAAATTACTTGCATAAGGAAAATATAACTAAAAAACAAACACACAAAACACTGGCTAGTCAAGGAAACACCTAACACACCAATTCTTGAAAAAATCATCTAGTAGATAAGGCTTGCAGTTGTCAGCCTATGGAGAGCAAAAGAAATTTCTGTGAGCTTTCCTAAAATGCTCCTTAGGGTATGCTAATATGGAATTATTTCCTTTCACCTATTTCCTGCAGCCTATTCTTACGCGGAGGAAAAAGAACAGCCCCAGTGATTGAGCGCTTAGATAAGATAGCTAGTCTCTTGCTTACTGTTGGTTAAAAGGAAGTCACGTAGTTGTGAAACCTTCGAACCCTAAAGGAAATGGGTGGTATTTGATGGCATAAAATCCACTGGATGCCTTATCTTCCAAGGTCTGGATGACATCTTTTTAATTTCTGCTGCCTATTTCATTGACTTCCCAGGTCAAATGAGTGAGACCTATTAATAAGATGCTTCACACAACCTAAGTTGTTGAGTGGTCTTGGATTTAGTATCTCTGATTTGATCTTAGGTCTTTTTAAAACAACATTGCTTATTTTGAATAGAGCTTTGATTTTCCAAGTTAAAAACAAAACCCAAGAAATAAGTGAAGTATACCAATGAAATATGTTGAAACCAAATGACTATTATGGAGAGACTGGAATTCTTTTTCACTCCAGTGATATGATTTTGTCAACAGGATTTTATTTTGTAGATAACTATCCTTTTAATATATTAATTTTATAGTTTTAAAATTCATTATCTCTCCTTTCTTTCATTCTTGGCAGTGAACATATTTTTTGTACTTTTTTGTTCTAATTGTAGTAAAGACACCATAAATGGAGTGTACTTTGAATCCTAACAGAAATTGCATTGTTAAACATCATAGATTTCCTCAGCATTATAATCTCTGGAAATAATTGATAAGTTTGTCTTTATCAAACATATATAAGATCATATTTGCTCACAGGATCACATATGACAACACTGTACCCATCATGGAAAGCAACTTTTTTCCCTTTCAGAAACTCTTGCTCTACGAAGTTTGTCATATAAGACATGAGAGATGATCTTCACTGATTAGTCATAATAAACAATAGCAAAAAGATTATATGAGATCCTATGAGTATAGCGTTTGGTGATATGCATATTATTAATATACTTTATATTTGTTGGGTAATTTATTTAGGTATACAGAGCATTGTTTAAATTTATTCTCTCATTCAACCCTCCAAAGATATTCCCTCTTTTACATATGAACAAACTGAGGCTCAGATAAGTGAAGGGATTTTCCCTCAGATACACAGATGGCAAGTGTTAGAACCAAATACAGAATTGTTTTGTCCATATCTCATGTGCAACAATTGGAGTTTGGAAAATAAATATAGGACATAATTTCTGCCTGGAGGGAACATGCAGTTTAGTTGGCAAAATGACTGATACCATGATAACAACTTGTATGGTTGGTAAGTGAGCACAGTCCTGGGACTAGATAGACTTTGCGGCTTATGTAAACCTGTTTCTTTGAGTTGACTAAAGCCATATGTAAAGTATAAAACAGAAAATCTTTGGACTGATCAAAGATGCTGTTAGAGACATTTGTTGTCAAAGGATCTAAGACAATCTGTGATACAAAATGTCTTTTAGTCTCAATCTGTGATATAAAATGTCTTTTAGTCTAGACCTACCTCTATGCAAACATGTAACATCCATAATACCATGTGTTTCTCCAGCAGCCATGCAACACGCAATGTAACTACAAAGAGGAAGCCAGACTGTGTCTTTGAGACATGCATTCCGTTTTGCCTCCTAGATAGGTTTCTAGTAGGACCAATAAGTGATGCATGCACGGTATATTGATTAAACATGTTACTGCAAGTGACCTCAGGTTTTGGCCTATGTAAAACCACTAGTTGGTGGTTAATATTCAGCTGGGCTGTAAACTAGAGCACAAAAGTGGGAACAGGGTTTGCAATCTGTTAATGTTTTCTTAAAATCTTGTTAAGTAAGCGCTAAGTTCATCATTAATGGGAGCAACATAAATTGGGTGTTATGATTAGCAGTACAACTCTGTACCTTTGTAAAAGGTTATTTTTTATGTCTTTTTGTTCATTAACATAATTGTGTGTTTTGAATAATTATAGCCAAGGGGGGAAACTGAGAATGGCAGTTTAGTCAAACAGAAATGTAAGTACTCCAAATAAGACATGTAACTAATTAGAATACTATTGAGGTAGTTAAGTTTCTTTGGTGGGAAAAGAGATAGGGACAATTTAAATATAACTCAGTATCTTACTCTTTATGGAGATGATGTACATTTATGCACATTCACAGAGTTTGGCACCTAGTAGGAATTCAAAAAATGTGCTAGCTTTTATGAAATAGTCACTCTGTTCATCGAAGAATGTAAGTCCTTCTCTGCTCCTGAAGCCTTCCTTCCATACTTCCATGGAGCCCTCATCACACCATAGGCTGATGTTTACCTGACTTGTCCCATCCTCCACACTTGGGCTTTTTAAGGACAAGACCCACATTTTACATACTTATCTTTCTCTTTTAGGTAATTAGCATGTCATCTGTCAGATATTATGTACTTAATAAATATTTGTTAAATGTTACAGTAATGCTTGCATTTTCATTTTTACTGTTTATTAAATTTCATATTGACTACCTGATTTCAGCTAATCAAAGTTAAAATTGAATGTTTATAACTTTTCTAAATTTTTTTACCAGACAACTTAGCATACTTCAAGATTCCTTCTACTTCTTGCCCATCGACTGCCCCTTTAATCAGTAAACTCCCTAGATTCTAACTCTTTAATAATTAAATACTTTGCCCCCTTTTTCTATATTTCCACAGCCAGTTCTTTAGTTCATGCCAACACTATTTCTTCCTTGGATAGCTGCTGCAGCCTTCAAAACAGCCTCCCTACCTCTATCTAGCCTGATTCCCCTTCAGTTCATATTTCAAACTGAAGTTAGGGGCCATTCTTGAACAAATGTCTGATCATGACACTGCCCTTCTTAATTAACTCAGTGAGGTCTTCATAGCTTTTAGTAAAATTCAGACTCCTCAGTTAAGTACACATGTCCTTTCAGACCTCAAACCCTACCTGTTCTCCTTCTCCATTTTATTCCAGTTGTATTAAACTATTTATTGTCTCTTAGCTTGGAGCCTTTATCCTTCCCTCTGCCTGAAAGACCTTGCCTCTACCTTCACCTCTTCTTCCCCTCACTAAATTCAATTCATTTCTCAAGGTTCAATGTAAACCTTGTCTCCTCTAAAAAAAGTTTTCTGGATCTCCTCAGGAAGATAGGAGACAATCTTTCTCTGTACTTAGTGGATTCCCATTGCATTCTCTGTGTTGGTACATAACAGATTCTCAATATTGTATGCATACCCATAGGATGTGAACATATAGGTGTTAAATTTTTTTTAAATACAGTTCTAGCTACTTCAATTCAAACAGACATTCTCATATGGTTCAAGACTCCCTGGTAAGGATGGGCCAAGCTGGGCATATAGTGTAAGAATTAAACGAATGTCCATTGGCTTCTGTTAAAGTAACTTATTGAAGTTGTGATAGAACTAAAGGCTGTGAATAACACTCATTGGTAAAAGCAGATTTTAAACCTGATTTATATTGTCTAGTTTAGATGCAAGGTGAATAAGAAAACCAAGAAAATGCTGTATCTTCTTTTGAAGGTCCCATCATATATTATTTTCTACTTTAAGTTGGTTTCATTGAATGTTCAGTAGCTACATATGCATATCTATGGGATATATGTAAATCACAAGTAATGATTCAACAAATCCCATGTACCCCTACTCAATGTAACTGAAAGAATACTGTATTACCTTTGAAACCCTGTGGGTCTCTCCTTAAGCCCATTTTCTTCCCTCTCCTCAGAGGGATCACTATATTGAATTTTCATAAGGTTCCTATATTTCTTTATAGTTTACCACCTGCTGGTTTTGCGTGGTTTTGTACTTTTTATAGAAGTCATATTATATGTATTTTTCTATGTCCAGTTTTTTTTTTACTCAGTATAATATTCCTATGATATAACCATGTTGTTTTATGTAGCTGTAATTCACTTCACTTCTGTAGCATATTCTATTATTTGAATATACCAGAGTTTAAAAAAAGAATACATTCTATGGTTGATAAATCTTTTTGTTGTTCCATTTTTTTGCTATTATATATGATGCTTCTGTGAACTTGTCTAGCATATCTCCTGGTATAGGAGTAGACATGCTTATTTTTTATACGTTTGATACAACTCTACAGAAAATTACACCATACTGGGGCAAGCAATTATTCCTCATAATATTGTACTTACATGATAATGCTGCACGGTTACACATCACTTGGTTGTTAGGATTTGTTGACCATTATAAGCTGGAATAGTTTCCATCCATTTCTACCTGCCATTACTGGCACTACACACGTTCCAGAAACCCTTGTGTTTAAAGCAATTGCCATGCTTAACTATATATTATAGTAACTTATTGATATCTCTGTCTCCCCAATGAGACTGGAAGTTTGGGGATAAGTTCAGTAGCTCTCTTATCTTGATATGCTTTTTGCCCTAGTGTCTAGCTCATATTAGGTGTTTAGTAATTATATTTGAGTGAGCAAGTAGTAGGCACTCCATAAATATTGAAAGATAATAGAATAAACGGTGTTTACCAAATATCTGTATTATGTTGATCTATGATTTTTTTGTCACAAGTGTTCTATATATATTTCCTCTCCCACCTGCTCCTTTAAAAGATGAACCAATGAAGAATAGGGTCTATAGCCACACATCCACTTTGCTTACAGCATTTGGATACAGCACATACTTAGAAACTTTTTCTTCACAGACAACTTGACAATACAAATGCAATGTAACTATACTTAATAAAAACTGCAGGGGACTGGAAATTATAGTAATATACTAATATTTAAATATCCTGTTGCCCACATTATTTTTCCAAACTGAAGTGCTCATCTTGCTCTGAATTTGGTCATCTCTCCTTATCCATCCCAATCCTTCTTATCTCTACCAAACGTAACTTAACGTGCAATGATATTTTAAACACTTCCTTGAAGTCTCTCAAGTTTTTCCTTATCTTAGCAGATGAAACAAAGTCCTGAAAACTTCTCATATTGGATTATGTTGAACAATCTCCGGAGCTGCTCAAGTTCACCTCCCATAGCAACACATTGCATTTTGGGTCCTCAGACCATCTGCATCTGAATCATCCGTGGTGCCTGTTTAAACCTGACCTACTGAGTCAGCATTGCTGAGGCTAGGATCCAGAAATGTGTGATTTCAGCAATCTCCTCTGGTAATTCTTATGCCCATTAAATCCTAACAACTCACTCTCTTATCGAGTAATAAATTCAGTGGGTGGGAGAAGCAGTGACATAGGGGAACACATTCTGATAGAAAATGAGACAAAAACATTCTAAAGAGATTTAGAATACTTTAGAAATATATATTTATCCATAAATTTAAGCCCCAGATTTTAGGACAAATGTGTGGTAATCTTTATGAGTGTATCACAGTTTGACAGATCCATCCCAATCTCTTATTCTCTGTCTCTCTCACTGTGCAATTTTCCAGCTTTGTCATGCTTCCCAGCCCTCTACCTGCCCTCTTCCTGGCACCTGATTCCATCTTTTCTTTAACAGGGAACAATGAGGTTACCAGGGACACTCCCTCAGCTTCTTGCCCCTGTTCTGTGACACTTGGTGGCACTTCATTCATCCTTCCCCACACCAGTTCATCTCGGAAGAAGGACTGCCTCCATCCCCACCTGAGGCCAGTCCTCTCCACTGTGCTCTGCGCTTCTCATCTCCACCGTTTCCCAGGCCAAGCTTCATCAGTTTCCCATCTCCTTCTCTTTTGGCTATTCTCCTCACCATACAGACACCCTCATGACTCTTTCATATTCCCCATCTTAGAAAACGGAGAGAAAAAAAACCTTCATCTGGTCATTGTTCATCTGGTTATCACTCCACATTTTTTCTTTTTCTTTTGATTTGAGACAGGGTCTTGCTCTGTCATCCAGGCTGGAGTGCAGTTGTGTGTTCATGGCTCACTGCAGCCTCAGCCTCCTGGGCTCAAGTGATCCTCTTGCCTCAGCCTCCCACGTATCTGGGATTACAGGTGCATGACAGCACACCTGACTTTTTTTTTTTTTAACTTTTTGTAGAGATGGGTCTCCCTATGTTGCCCACGCTAGTCTTGAACTCCTGAGCTCAAGCAATCCTCTGGCCTCAGCCTCCCAAAGTGTTAGCATTACAGGCATGAACCACTATGCCCAGCCTAGGCTTACTGGGCCCCCTCCCTCTCTTCTCCTTTCTCCACACTTCTCATTATCATTAATGCAATCCTCACAATGCCATCAGCATATCTTTAGAAAACAAAACATGATTATGGCATTCCTCAAAAATTTTCAGTGCTTTCATATGCCCCCGGGATAAATATATAAACTCCTTTTCTTGAAACACAAGGTCTTCCCGTGAGTAAAGTCTTCCTTCCTTCTCCAGTTTCTTCTGCCACTTCCTTCTTTTATTTTACACCTCAGCTGTACTGCAACATGTCACATCTCCATTTTTCTCAACTTTGCCAACTGCTTGGAACACCATCTCCCCCGCACCCCATTCTGCTCACACACCCTATTGCTTTTCTGCTTAGCAGTCTCTCACTCATTCTCCAGCTCTCAGACCCATTGTTACCTCTCTTGTTACTCCTTCCCTGATTCTTACAGCGGACTTAGGTTCCTTTGCTTTGTTCCCTGATCCCTGCCCCCGAGGTTTGCGTATATCTTTATTAAACCAAATTTCTTGTCATATGAAAATTGTTTCATACAACAAACAAAAGTGTGGGTTTGCATGTCTATCTTCCGTCAAGACTGTAGACTTTTAGAGTAGGGTATTGCTTGGCATCTGATAGTAACTTAAGACATATTTGTTGAATAAATAAATGCAGGAATGGGTAAATGAATTTGATGGATATGACTATAAAATTATCTTCATAAAATCAGAAAAATTTTTTAAAACTCTGCAATCTGGAGATCTGTTGAAACGACTAATATTCCATGCAGGTCATGGAGGTAAAGCAGAAATAAAAAGAACATAAAGTCCCAAGTATTCAGTCCTGTTTCTCACAGGCACATAAAACAGATGTCCTAATACTTTCTTCCCCCTGCTTTCTGTTTTAAGAAACAAAGGGACAGGACAACATAACCCACAGGAAATGTTCCATGACATGAAAGAATATCATGAAAGCTGCTATACAGCTGGTGAGATGAATGAAAAATAAACTTAGTGATTTAATATAAACTGTCACTTGCTTCTGCAGAAAAGAAACATTGTGCAGGTGCACGCATCCTGGTGAAACCCACATGGGGTTCTGAAAACAGGATCTCTATCTGATTCGTCTTTGCTTTCTTGGCGCTGCCGAACACAGGCCGTACGCGCAGTAGGTGTTTGTTAAATGAAAGAGGAAAGAAGAAATCTGATCAATTTTTTAAGAGGCATTGAACAAGTAATTTGAAGGGTGCTGAATATTATCCTAATCTCTCGATTATGGTACTTAAGTCAAACGAATGCTGCCGCAAGTTCTTTTACTGCAAAAATAAGCAGTCAATAAAAAGGAAAATATAATGTCTGCAGATGCCATTAAGCATAAGAAGGGAAAATGAATCGAAGACAACTCATCTCTCTGGTTACTGAAGGTATTAAAAAATGAGGCTTGTTGTTTGGTTAGAAACAGCATGTTCTTGAATCACGTGCCCGCTGCCTTGCTCAGTGTTTTTAACTGCAGCTTTTAAACACTGTAGCTTGGGACGGAAGGGTGGGAGTAACTGAAGCATTCATCTCACGTGTTCTACACACAGCTTGTCTGTTTTCAGCACCTAACTCAGGTGTACTTCTTTCTTTTTGCCTAAGTCTTTCCCTTATCCAACTACCTCTCCAATTCCTCTCAAAGTCTGTTCTTATTCATTTATTTGAAAGATATTCATTGAACACCCACTCTGTGCCAGGCACTATTCCAGGTGCTGGGGAGACAGCAGGATTCTCTGCCATTGTTCTCATGGAGGCTGTGGTCTAATCCTGTAAAATCAATGACAAACAAGTAATGCATGCTATGCCAGGTGGGGATAAGAATTACGAGGGGGGCTGGAGGAGGGAGAGCTCTTTCAGACTGGGTGGTCAGAAAATGCATCTCTGAAGAGGCAGCATTTCCTTTCATTTCAGTCAATTTTTCACTTGCACCCATGTGATTGTCACAGGGCCTACCTTAGGTGAGTCTGAGGCTGATAGCTGTTGTGGGCTTGGTCCTGCTGGATTATTTTCTGTTTTTCTTATTGTCCCCTGGCTGTTGTGTGCCCTGTACAATTCTACAGAAAAAGCAATTCTCTTCCCATGCCTTCACTACTTTTTGAAGCTGCAAAAAAATTTAAAGAACAATAGCCAAGAGTCTGAAGGCCCCAGTGTACACACACACACACACACACACACACACACACACACTTTTTTATGCCAGTTAAGTAAATAGTATGAATATTAAATGAGATAATGCTTTAAAATATTTTGTGCCAGTACCTGATACATAGTAAATACTCAAAAAACACTGTTACATTATTATGATTACTTTTATTATTATTTCATAGACACTTGTAAAGATATTGCTGGATCTTGCATTCTTTGATACGCTCCCATTTAGACATCACATTATCGAAGGTTTGCTGGGTGCAGAACTATAGTAGGTGCACAGGTCCTAGGGAAGACAGAGTTCTCTCCCTTTTTTGCTTAAGAGACAGAGCACACACACCACCTATTCAACTATTGAAAAACACTTCCATTTACAAAGCAGCCTAAGCAGAAGCACAAATTAACACATCCAAATTGAAAACCCAATTCTTTAGGGAAGGATGATTAAAATGTCACCTACTAGATGATTTCATCTTTTAATCATAGTGTTCCCTCTTAGAGAGAAGCATAAAACCCTGGAAGCCCAGTAGGAGAGGGTTCTATTATTTACCACTTTGAAAATGAAGAGAGAATCTGCCTGCTGGAGAGGGGAGAAGCGCTCAGGGAAATTTTTGTTAATTAAAAGTAATTCTAACCCACTTGCCATATAACTCTACTTTCTTTTTGGTTTGACTCTTGTAATTTCATTTGGGGTAGTTCATTACAGACGGAAGAAAATGAGGTTAGCCTTTAGGATTCAAATATCTGAACTTCATATGCCAACTATATTCTAGAGTTTTCAACATAGTTTTGAGAAATGCTGGTATGGTGAACCCATGAAGCAGGGTGGCTATATTCAAATAGATCCATTCCAAAAATTCTGCCAATTAATTTCTGAAGCTATGGGCATGACTTTAATTTGTAATTTAATTTCTTCCCAATACCTATGTTCCAGGTTACTGTTGCTTTATAACTAACCTAAACCTTAGTGACCTAAAACACACAAGTATTTTCTTATCTTTATAGTTTCTGTGAACCAGCTCCTGGGAAGGAAGGTCTTGGCTGGGGCGTTTGGGCACATGATGCTCATGTAGTTGTACACTTAGCTGACCTGGAAAAGCAGGGGCTGGGGCCGGTAGGGGCTCCCTTGATGTCAGGACTTCTTCACGTGATCTCTCTGGGGATGTTAGTTTGGGCTTCCTTCTAGCATGGCTGCCTTGGGGCAGCTGAACTGCTTCTAGGGCACTCCAGCCTCCTGCACGAGCATTCCAGCTCCCAGGGCAGGAGCTGACCTAGCCTCAGAGGTCACGCACCATCACTCTGCTTCATCCCAGTGCTTAAGAGTGAGTCACAAGTTTGCCCAAATTCAGGATGGAAGGGGGAGCTGCAAGGTCTTGGAGGAGCATTTGGGATAGGGGATCATGTTGTGGCTGTCCTTGGAAAATACAGTCTGCTGCAGCCTACTAATCGCAGGTTGCAGGAGAAGGTCTACGCCAGAAGACTGCCAAATTTCTCAGGAAATGAAAATGTGATTTCTAGCATTTTAGTGAGAAACTGGAAATGAGAAGTCAGGAGAGCCTAAATATTAGCTAACTAAATCTAAAAGGGGGAAAAAAACACAAACGTTTTGTTGCCTTTTTTTTTCATATTGGGATAAAAACACCGTAGTTATTTTTAACAAAATTAAAGTGTGATTTTTTCCTTTAGTACTTCCATATAATTATTCTGTGATGAAAAATAATGATCCCAGATCTCTTTAATAACTTCACCATTTCAAACCCTAACAAAAAACTTAAAAAATGTTGATACCGATAAGTTTTTTCCTGCTGCCTGAAAGAAGTAGCAAAAACTCAAACATCTTATCTCACAGTCACAGGAGAAATGTGATAAAGACCTGTGCAAACGTTATGTGATACCACTTAGTGCTGAAACCAGGGCTTGAGTCCCTGGTTTACACCTCCTACCTTGCTATTTTAAAAATGGTTTGGTTCTGGTTGGGCTTATTAGGAATGTAATATAAACCACGTGGTCTTGAATTATAAATTAATTTGAACCAACTTTCAGGTGTGGGATTCTGTGAGCTGAGAAGAAAATTATAATTCAGAATTACTCATTCTTTTTTTACCCTGTGTAAATATTTTAGCCCCTACCAACAGTAATTATATTCAAGATGACTAAGAAAACATGATGCTGTGTAATTTGGCTTTATTAATGGATGGCCATTAACATATTCCTGATCTTGACTTGGGGGGAATTACTGTTGTTACCTATTGCATCCATTATGATTTTGCACATGAACATTCCATCATGTGTATATGGGAGAAGGCAAACTCTCCCACAACAAAAGATTCCCCTTAGATTCATATCAGACCCAAATTTGCTTCCAATGTGGAGCATAATATTCACCTCCAGCTTTTTTTCTACTTTAGTTTTTTGAGTTTTAAAGTTTTTATGAGGTAAATGTACATATATAATTTACCATCTTTACCATTTTCAAGTGTATAGTTCAGTGTCATAAATACATTTATATTCTTCTTTTCCCCTCATCTCCCTTCTTCCTCCCAGTGTGGATTTAAATTCTGTGTGTGTGAGTGTGTGTGTGTGTGTGTGTGTGAGTGTGTGTGTGTGTTTGTCCATGTGTGTATGTGCATGTGTTGGGTGAAGGTAAATGTTTCAAGTGGGTACAAAAATAGGCAGAGGCTGGGCACGGTGGCTCACGCCTGTAATCACCGCGCTTTGAGAGGTGGAGGTGGGCAGATCACTTGAGGCCAGGAGTTTGAGACCAGCTTGGCCAACCTGGTGAAACCCTGTCTCTACTAAAAATACAAAAATTAGCCAGGCACAGTGGCTCACGCTTGTAATCCCAGCTAGTTGGGGTGCTGAAGAAGGAGAATCGCTTGAACCAGGGAGGCGGAGGTTGCAGTGAGAACAGATGGTGTCACTGCACTCCAGCCTGGGTGACAGAGCAAGACTGTCTCAAAAAAAAAAAAAAAAAAAAAGTAGATAGGCATTTTAGCAGGACTAGAGAAAGGATACACTCCAAATGAATGGAACAAGCTGGTCCTTATTTGTGGGATAAGTACCCTGGACTGCGTGGCTGTCTCCAGAGTCTGTGCAGCAGCAGCAAATAACTCCAGTGGGAAAGGCATGTGTCTCAGCTCACCAAACTAGGACTACGCATCTAATTAGCAGAACGTTTAATAACTCCCCACCCTCTTTTAAACAAAAACCCTAGGAGTTTCCTCCAGTGGCCTGCCGCTGACAGTGGCTACATGGACTTCTCTGAATGTTCACATTGATATAGCTCTTAGCACAGATGGTTTGTAGAATCCTTTTTTCTGGAAGCCAATACTGTCAGACATTTTCTCAAAAAGAAAGTGAGAATATCAACAGCAGTAATTTCTTCATTTTACCTTATTTTAACTAAATTGTATGTAGACCCAGACAATTTTTTTTCAGATCTGCTTACAGTTAGAGTGTCAAGGCAGACTGGGAAGCAGTTTGTTCTCTTGTCAAAAGGCAGTTAGGTAAATGCAGCTGAAACCTTAAACAGCTCTTTAATTACTACTGAATAAATTAAGCATGAGTGGCAGCCTGGCATTGGACCATTCTGGGTTAGTCTGACATGTTGCAAATGTCTTCAGGTTGAACTTAAGGATAATACCGTACTTCATCAAATACTGCCAACAGTTTCAAAACCAGAAATCACTTGTAGGGCTCCACTTCCTCCAAATAGCTCCATCTTCATTTGATCCAGGAAAGAAGTTGGCTTTCTGTAACTGTTACTCAGACCTCAAATGCACAGAAAATAAGCCAGCTTGACAACAGAGGAAGAATGACAAATGTTATCTTTGGAGACCAGATCTGAAGTGCTAACGTAGGATAGCAGGGAATGGAATTTGCAGAAGAGTTAAGTGACCAACATTACGGTGAATAATGGGAAATGATGTCAAGGATGTTTCTGTCTAACTTCAGAAGACTCAGTTACACAGACATTCAGGATGTTTGCACATTTCCAGGGAGAACAAGCAAAATTAGAACACTCAAGTCAAAGAAGCATCTAAAACCTGATGACTCACTTTCTCTTTTGCTTAAATAAGAGCTTCAAACACAAATATACAGATTCAATACATCTAAATACGGTTCTAAGAAGGCAAAACAAGTTCTCAAATAATGTAACAGAAAAGGGGTGAGTGGCAATTAACAAATTCTTAAAGATCTTCCTATTTAAGAAAAGATTCTACTGATTTAGTCATCTAGAATAGCCATTAAAAGTGTAGACTTGGTAGTGAAATTGCTGTGTTCAACATAAAGACTGTGTCATTTAGCAGGAGTGTGCCTTTGGGCAGGTTACTTACATTTTGTTTATCTCAGTTTCCTTATCTGTAAAATGGGAACACTCATAGTGTCTATCTCTCTACTAATACGATACTCTATATTTATCTAGATAATACTAATACTATAGTGTCTAGATAATGTGTGCAGAGAAAGTGCCTGGTACACGGTGACTACTCAATAAATGTTAGGAATTATAATGATGATGATGATGATGATGATGATGATGATAAGTACCTTTTGAAAAACTAACTTCCTTAGGATGCCAGTACCTGTAATCCTGGATGATTCCAAATTTTCTGTATATCAAGAAAATACTCACCTTTACCATAACATCAAGAAAAATAAAATACTTAGTAATAAAGTTAAGCAAGGAGTTAAAAGACCTACACACTAAAAATGATAAAACATTGATGAAAGAAATTGAAGAGTACACAAATAAATGGAAAAATATCCTGTGTTCATGCTTTGGGAGAATCAATATCATTAAAATGTTCATACCATCCAAAGCAATATTCAGATTCAACACAATTCCTAAGAAAATTCCAATGACATTCTTCACAGAAATAGAGAAAACAATCCATTTGTATGGAACCACAAAAAAAAATGTGTATGGAACCACAAAAATCCCCAAATAGCCCAAGTAATATTGCCAAAGGAAAGCACAGTTGAAGGCATCATACTGACTGACTTAAAATTATATTACAAAGTGATAGTAATCAAAACAGTATGGTATGGGCACAAAAAAGGAAATGCAGGCTAATGGAACAAAATTGAGTCCAGAAATAAATCCAAACTTGTGGTCAACTAATTTTTGACAAGGGCACCAAGAAGACACAATGGATAAAAGGTAGTCTCTTCAGTAAATTATGCTGGGAAAGCTGGATTTCCACAGGCAAAAGAATGAAGTCAGACCTCTATCTTGCACCATACATAAAAATCAACTCAAAATGGATAAAAGGCCTAAATGCAAGACCTGAAAGCATAAAACTCCTAGAAGAGAACATGGAGGAGAAGTTCCTTGATGTTACCCTTGACAATGATTTTTTGAATATCACACCAAAAGCACTAGCTACAGAAGGAAAAATAAATAAGTGGGATTATATCAAACTAAAAAGCTTAAACACAGCAGAGAAAGAAATCAACAAAATGAAAAGGTAACCTATAGACTGGGAAAAATATTTTCAAACCACATATCTGATAAGGGATTAATATCCAACATTTATAAAGAACTCTCACAACCCAATAGCAGAAAAACAAATAAACCTACTAAAAAATGAGCTAAAAACCTATGCAAATATTGATCCAAAGAAGACACAAAAATGGCCAAACAATATATAAAAAGGTGCTAAACATCATTAACAATAAGGGAAATGCAAATTAAAACTACTATGAGATATCACCTCACATCTGTTAGGATGGGCATTATGAAAAAGACAAGAGATAACAAATACTGGTGAGGATGTGGAGAAATGGAAACCCTAGTACACTGTTGGTCGGAAAGTAGTCATTATGAAAAACAGTGTGGGGGTTTCTAAAGAAATTAAAAATAGAACTACAATATGACCCAGAAATCTCTTTTCTGGGTATATACCCAAAGGGGATGAGATCATCACCTTGTAAAGGTATCTACGTCCTTCAATGTTCATTGCAGCATTATTCACAATAGCCAAGATATGAAAACAACCTAAGTGCCTGTTGACAGATGAATGGATAAAGAAACTGGTATAAATATACAATGGAATATTATTACTCAGCCTTAAAAAAGGAGATCCTGCCACTTGCCACAATATGGATGAAACTGAAGGACATTATGCTAAGTGAAATAAGCCAGACAAAGAAAGACAAATACTGCATTATCTCACTTATATGTGATATGTTTAAAAATGTCAAATATACAGAGAAAGAAAATAAAACAGTGGTTACCAGAGGCAGTGGGGAGCCAGGGGAATGGAAGAGGAAATGGGGCTATGAAGAATGAATGAGTTAGAGATCTAATGTACAACATGAAGACTGTAGTAACTAAAATTCTATTTTATTAGGAATCTTTGTTAAATAAGATTTTAGCTCTTACTGTGTTCTTGTCACAATAAAAAGTAACTGTATGAGTTGCTAGATATATTAATTTGCTTTGCTATAAGTAATCATTTTACTATCTATATGTATCTCATAACATCATGTTGTAAACCCCAAATATACACAATAAATTTATTTTTTAAATATTTTGTGTAACAGATTTAGTTTTGATACTCTTATGACTTTAAAACAATGACAGGAACTATACTGTATGGTTTTGTTTTTTAAATGAAGCAGGCTATTGTCTAAATGTATTAAAGCCAGCCAAAAGATTGACCATATGTGAAAACCTCAGGCAACAGCTCAAGGTGAAAGACAGAAAATATGGGACTATAATCCTGCAATGTTTCTAAACACAAAGCAGGCATAGCACAGATATGCAAATGAAGTAAAAAATAGGAATCATCATTGCTAGTCTTGAAGGCTTTCTGTCCCAAATGGAGACTCAAGGACAAGGAAACCAAAATGCTTTACTGTAATGCTCCAGAGACTCATTTAGCAAACAAGGGTATGATTATAGTTTATTTCTTTCTTGGAAATATTTCACATTCATCTTTCCCCTCCAAACACTTTGACCCTACCCTAGCTGGCTTCTTTTCCTTTCATGCCAGATTGCTGCCACAATCTAACTGTTTACCCTTATGTAAGACTATTCCTATCATAACCCTAATACTAACTGAAACCTTGCTTTAAGGAAGCTTCTGAAACAATTAGCAAAATCTTTCTAAACCCAAATCTTTCATCTCATTCTTCCATTTAAGATTCTTCATTACTTTTTACATTAAATCTAAGATTCACTTTCTAGTTTTCGATATTGCAAAGAAACTTTTTTCTTGATGGAAATTATATCTACATTGCTTTTAACATCTAGTTAGAGAATTATATATTGTACAAAAAAGTGACATTTATAAATTCAAAGTAGTTTAAATACAAGTTCCAACAAGAAAATTATAGAATGTTATAGGCTAACTGCAAAATTCATCTGGAAAATAAAACATGAAAGAATAATCAAAAAATTATTTTTTAACATAAGAGGGAATTTGATCTTTCATATATTGAAGCATGTACTTAAGTTATAATAATCAAAACTGCCTTACATTCCTTAAAAAATAGAACAATAGGGTGAACCCAATAGAGAGTTCAGAAACAGAGTAATGTATACTTTGAAATTTAGTAATGATAAAGGCAGTATCTCATATCAGAGTGAAAAGTACAAACTACTCAGTAAATAATTTTGTGCCAACTAATTTTTCATTTGAGGAAAAAAGGTAAATTATTTAAATTACACTATGTACAAAAGTGAACTCCAGCTGGATTAAAAAGTTAAATAAAAATTGTTTTAAAATAATTTCAACTTTTATTTTAGATTCAGGGACTACAAGTGCGGGCTTGTTACATGGGTATATTGCATGATACTGAGGTTTGGGGTACAAACCTCATGATCCTGTCAGCCAGGGAGTAAGCATAGTACTGATAGGTAATTTTTCAGTCCATGCCCCCCTCCCTCCTTCTCCACTCTAGTAGTACTAAATGTCTATTGTTCCCATCTTTATCTCCATGTGTACTCAGTGTTTAACTCCCATTTAAAAGTGAGGATGTGTGGTATTTGGCTTTCTGTTCATGCATTAATTCACTTAGGATAAATGCCTCCAGCTGCACCCATGTTACTTCAAAGGGCATGATTTTACTCTTTTTTAATGGCTGCATAGTATTCCATGGTGTATATGTATCACATTTTCTTTATCCAATCCACCATTCATAGGCATCTAAGTTGATTCTATGTCTTTACTATTGTGGATAGCACTGTGATGAACATACAAGTGCATATGTATATCTTTGGATATATACCTAGTAATGAGATTGCTGGGCTAAATGTTAATTTGGTTTTAAGCACTGAGAAATCTCCAAACTGCTTTCCACAGTGGCTGAGCTAATTTACATTCCCACCAGCAGTGTATAAGCCTCCTTTTCTCTGCAGGCTCACCAGCATTTGTTATTTTTTGACTGCTTAATAATAGTCATTCTGACTAGTATGAGATGGTATCTCATTGTGGTTTTGATTTTTATTTCTCTGATGATTAGTGATGATGAGCATTTTTTCATATGTTTGGTGGCCACTTGTGTGTCTTCTTTTGAGAAGTATCTGTTCATGTCCCTTGCCTATTTTTAATGGGATTGCTTGTTTTTGCTTGTTGATTTAAATTCCTTATAGATTCTGGATATTAGACTTTGTTGGATGCACAGTTTGTATCCAAAACAAACACAGTTGTTTGGGATGAATATTTTCTCCCATTTTGTAGGTTATCTTTAGTCTGTTGCTAGTTTCTTTTGTTAGGCAGAGTAGTTAAATAAAATTTAAAACTGCTAAAGAACTAAGAGAAAACATGAGAGGATATGTTTACAAATCTGATATGAGGAGTGTCTTTTAAGCAAGTTGCAAAATGCAAATACCATAAAAATATTCATAATTGAACTCTATACAAACTACAGTGTTCTTGTACCATAAAAAAGTTAAGAGTCAAAGAAAAGACAAGAAGAAAATATTATTAATATAGAAAACAGATGGAGGAGTAGTATTTAGACTATATAAAGAACTCTTACAAATCAATAAGAAAAACACAACTAAATAGTCAAATGAGCATAGGACAAGGATAGGAAAAGAGAAACAGTGGAAAATATGAAAAGAAGTTTCTCTTCATCAGCAACAAGGGAATGCAGATTAAAACAAATGAGATTTTTTGCCTCTTTAGCAAGACAAATTAAGTAAAAATGGAGCTAATCTAAGTATTATATGAGGACATAGAGAAATGAAGAACACTCAAATTGGTTAAGTAGTTTTCCAGAGAAATTTGGGAATTTTTATTAATATTAATGATGATGGAAAAATATTCCCATATATGTATAAAGTGGCATTTATAAGAATATTCATTTCAGCACTATTGGGGAAAGTAAAAGTTGCCAAGCACCTAAGGAAACTCATGACTAAATTATGGTACATTCACATGAAGTAACCATGCAGCAGATGAAAGAATAAGGAAGACCTATATTTGGAAAAGAGAAAATATTTTCAAGGCATAGTAACTTAAACATGTTGCTAAACTAAATGAACAGAATGATCCCAGTTTTGTAAACAAAACTAAATAAAATCTCACAGAACAAAACTAATTTTCTATATGTACGAAGATGTATGTAAATGCATAGAAAATGGTTTGAGAAGATACAAGGCAAAATGCCAATGGTAGTTTTTTCTGTTGCAGGTAACAAAAATTGAGTGGAATTGATGAAAGTGACAGACTTGAACTTTATCTATATTTTTACAAAAAGATTGTTTTCATGCACAGCCTCTAATTAGACAAATACATTTTTAAAAAGTAAACAAAAATGGTGATGAGATAACATTAGATAGATAATTTCACTCTGGCTGAGGAGCTATTGGGTACCACCTGGCAGAGTAAGCAAATGGTAAACTGAGTCAGGGATGTACATGAAGGTTGTCTTCACCTTTTTCAAGTTACTCCATTTTCAGCCATCTCTGCTAAAAATAATAGTTTACATCTTGTTGTTCTTTTAGATTTGATAATGTGCCTTCCCTATACCATCTAATTTAGTTAAGAATTTGGTATGCCGCTCTGATAGGAAGAATAAATTAGTAAGCTGGCTGAAGAGAACTTAAGGCTTTGTGAACTAAGAAAAGAAATATGGTTGAAGACAATGGAGAAGAAGAAATCCTGTTGAAAGTGCAAGAATCAAGTAAGAATGAGATGGCAGCTCTGTGGGTGGTAGGGTGGTGGCTTGGATGGGTATGTGTTTAGATTCTGGTTGTGTGCTTAGAGCACTAGTTGTGATGACTAAACTTAGTCTGAATTTCTGGCCAGTGAGAATATGCATCTTACAAATGAAATGGATCAGTGCAAGAACAGGGGCAACAATTTGTATGTATTGATTGGCTTACATTACTTTGGCCTGAAATTTCAACACAATGTTAAATATTTGGCCTCTATTTTTACAACCATTGGTGTGGTAGCAGGACCTGAAATTCTATCTGCCCTAATCTAGCGGGAGTGTGCATGTTCCAGGTGATAGGAATGGGTTCACAGCCCTCACTTAATTTTGGCTAACACAGCTTCTTTCTCTCTTAAATGGAGTTGTCCCCCTCCTGGAAAGAAGAGTGTCAGAATAAGACAAACTAGGCCTTAAATTCCAGGTAGGAAGCTGATGGGAAAAAGGACAATTGTGTCTGTAATCCCAGCACTTTGGGAGGCTGAGGCTGGCAGATCACAAGGTCAGGAGATCGAGACCATCCTGGCTAACACGGTGAAACCCCATCTCTATTAAAAAAAAATACAAAAAATTAGCTGGGCGTGGTGGCGGGCGCCCGTAGTCTCAGCTACCCGGGAGGCTGAGGCAGGAGAATGGCGTGAACCCGGGAGGTGGAGCTTGCAGTGAGCCGAGATGCACCACTGCACTCCAGCCTGGGTGACAGAGCGAGACTCCATCTCAAAAACAAACAAATAATCAAATAAAACAGACAATTGCATGGGAGGGGAGGAGACTTGGGATAACAATAAAACCATTGTTTTTATATCAGACCAGCCTAGTAGACAGGAATGGAGGTTAAAGTATGTGATTTAAAGACCTCTGAGTTCCTGCTCTCCAAGCAAAATCCTCCACACTTTCTCAACTTATCTGTTTGAGATTTACCTGGGTTCATTAGTTACACTCCTGGGAATCAATTTGATTCTTCCATCTGGCTGAGTACAGATACCACACAGAAAATTATGACTGATGAATTTAAGAAGATAGACATAAAGTACATTATGAGCCAATTTTTGAGACCAGAGCCAAGGGCTAGCACAGCTTTTGGCAAAATTGTGATTACTTTTGCACCAACCTAATACATGGTAAGCATTATATAAGTGCTTGAATAAATAAATAAATGAAGAGCTCTGTGATTTACAACATGATTTTTGAGCATCTGTCAATCATTTCAGGGTAGAAGACAAAATTAAATTTTAGGGACTTTGGAAACAAGGGAACAGAGGTCAGAGGTCTTGACTGGCCCTACTTTGACCTCCCCTTGCTCATATTTTTTCCTTTTCTCTCCTGCTGCAATGGAAACACTTCCCAGGACTAGGGGAAGGCTTTCTAGGTTTTGCTGTGTCTCCAATGGAGGCTTCATGTGTTTGCAAACATCTAAGAATTCATTAAAATAAGTTTACCTTTCTTTTTCTATTCTTTTCTTTCTTTCTTTCTCTTTCTTTCTTTCTTTCTTTCTTTCTTTCTTTCTTTCTTTCTTTCTTTCTTTCTTTCTTTCTTTCTTTTCTTTCCTTCATTCTTTCTTTCTCTCTTCTTCTTCTTTCCTTCTTTCTTTCTCTTTTTTTTTTTTTTTTTTTTTTGAGATGGAGTCTTGCTCTGTCACCCAGGCTGGAGTGCAGTGGTGCGATCTCAGCTCACTGCAAGCTCTGCCTCCTGGGTTCATGCCAATCTCCTGCCTCAGCCTCCTGAGTAGCTGGGACTACAGGCGCCTGCCACCACGAGCTGCTAATTTTTTTGTATTTTTGGTAGAGACGGGGTTTCACCATGTTAGCCGGGATGATCTTGATCTCCTGACCTCGTGATCTGCCCGCCTCAGCCTCCCAAAGTGCTGGGATTACAGGCGTAAGCCACCGCACCCGGCCCTCTTTTTTTTTTTTTTTTTTTTTTTTAAGCAACTGAAGTTTGTTCAGGGAACAAATAAGTTGCCTTAAAGACTATTTAAGTATAAGCAGAAGAAACATTTGAATGTTTAAAGTCTTAGAAAAAGCTAAATTAAGGGCCTAATTCTATTGAAGACTTTCAAATACCAATATTATGTTCAACTTACCTCTTGTTAGATTCATTTAGGCGCAATGTTCTGGACACGCTGTCAAATTGTTAAGAATGATGGACAAGATCTGGAAGATAAGGCAGTGGGTTAAGGGATGCATTTCAGGGTGCTTGTGCAAAAGAAGATCTGGAAAGTTGGAGTCCTCAACTCCAAGGGTGATATCTGAGAGAGTACAATGAAGATTCCAAAGAAGGTGAATTGTAACTACACAGAGAGAAAGAAGGAAAAACTGAGAAATAGATATTGGGCTTAAACATCTATTCAATCTACAAATCAAAAATAAGGTAGATAAGCAAGCAGGTAGGGAAGAAAATGAGCAGGTGAACAGGAGAAAGCAGAGCTAGTTGATCAAGAAAATAAAAAAAGAATCAGATGAGAGTTAGAAGACAATGTTGGGGCCGGGTGCAGTGGCTCATGCCTGTAATTCCAGCACTTTGGGAGGCTGAGGTGGGTGGATCACAAGATCAGGAGATCGAGACCATCCTGGCTAACAAGGTGAAACCCTGTCTCTACTAAAAACACAAAAAATTAGCCAGGAGTGGTGGCAGTCGCCTGTAGTCCCAGCTACTCGGGAGACTGAGGCAGGAGAATCGTGAACCCGGGAGGCGGAGTTTGCAGTGAGCTGAGATTGAGTCACTGCACTCCAGCCTGGGTGACAGAGCTAGACTCTATCTTAAAAAAAAAAAAAAAAAAGAAAAGAAAAAAAGGAAGACAGTGTTGGTAGCAGAGTCAATGAGGTGAAGTTTTGCACAAACACAGTTGTGATATTACGTACTTCGTTGGATCAGTGGCATAATTCTTGCCTCTCACCCAGGTTCGATTATTAATAATATACTTTATCTTACCCACCACTGTCCCAAATATGACATAAAGTAGTGCAGATAATCAGCTATGCTTTCCTTATATATGATCGAAGTGGTACATTTTATAGATTGACAATTTAGTGAGGTATTCGGTTCTTAAATAATGAAATTAAGTGTGATTTTGAATTTGGATTAAATACTTCCTAAAGTAACTATGCTAGAGTAAACCAGACTTCAGTTTAATTTTAGGAAAATGCACTGGTGGTTTAAAATAAAGCACTTTCAAAGTATGCTGCCTGTTGTTTTCTTAAAAAGTTTTAGAAGAAAAAATCTGTAAACACCAAGGCATGACTATTTTTAAATGAAATAAATTTAAATGCATTTTCCTTGTTTCTTGAAATTTGCAATTTACAGTTTATGCAAAAATCATTTTCATTTGGCTGCTGACTTGGTAAATATTTGAAACACAAACACAAAATATGGATGCAAAAAGTTTTAATATAATCTGCTTGCTACAATCTTTAAATTCTCTACATCTTTTGACTTCTACAGCTTTGTGACATATCAAAATTGACACAAGGCATTTATTTAGAAGACTTCACATTGAGAGACTTTAGCAAATCAAGATTCATTGGGCCTTTCATAAATTTATTTTTAAAAATCTGGATCTAATATAGAAATACGTAAAGAAAATGTAGTTTAGTATGCAAAATAAACATTTTGAAGACTCAGTTGTTCTATTCATGGACTTTTTTGGATAAAAATATTCATATCTGTGTTTCTGGCCTTGTTTATGTGGGACAAAGGGATCAAATATAAATCAAAAGTTGGTTTGCACTGTCTGTATGAAGCTGTTGGTTTACAAGTCAGAAATCTCAGCACCTGTAAACAACATCTCATACAATTTCTTGTTTTTTGTTTTTTTTTTTTTTTTAATTTGCATAGTTCTTGCTAGTTAAAAGCACTGTTCTGCATACGTTAGTCAATTCTGGTCTTCCAAGATGGAGGAAAGTCCCGTGGAAGGTGAAGTAGAAGTCAGGGAAAGCCTTCAAGCAGCAACGTAGGTCTGACCTGAGGAAGGAGAGGAGCGAATGGAGGATCGGGTAGGAAGAGCCTCTGAGTGCAGCACAGCTCCGAGGTCTTGGCCAGGCCAATGGTGGAGCCTTAGGAACAAATATTGGCCATTGGAAGAGTCCTGTGTTGTGCAGAAATGGCCCAACTCTAGTACTCCCACCGTGCTCAGGTACTGGCAGAAGCAACCTGGGGAGAGAGTCACCTCAGTGCGAATGCTCCAGTGGATCCTAAAAATGCGGCCGCTGGAAGTGTCAGCCAACTACACACTTGAAGGGGCACAGCTTCTTCTGAGGGGCACAGCTTCATGGCTGCTCAGTGGGAAAGCCACACAGGCTAGAGAGGGGAACAGATGAACTGCAATCTTTTCGTTTAAGTCATTTTGCCCACTCCCTTGTAATGATAATAATAATAGTTACTATGATTATTATTTCATGGCTCAACTTACAAAGAGCTATTATATAATTTATCTAATTTTATCATCCTCACCTCACAAATGAAGGGGCTCAGAGAGGTTAAGTGACTTTGCCCAAATTCATTTTTATCAGTGCCAGGACTTTCTTCACTAAACCACAGCTGTTACCATTTTCATGCAGATACAGTTTCAGATACTTTATCCTGATCTTTCTTCTTTTCTGATGAAATCTAACACATTGACAAAAAAGTAAATATAACTTGTATGCACATTCCAGTGAATAATTATTAAGCATATATCTGTATAACCACAAGTAGAACATTGCTAATATCCCAGAAGTCCTGAAATGCCTTTTCCCCATCACAGCCTCATTCTTTTCTTGAAAGGAAGCCACTGCCCTAACTTTTGTGACCACTTATTCTTACTCTTCTTTATGGTTATATGACATAAACATGCATCCTTAAATAATGTAATTTAATTTTGCTTATTTATAAAGTTTATTTGGAAAACTTATAATTTAGCAGTTTTTGTGTTTTTCTTCTTAGTATTTGTGAGATTAATTCACAAATAAATTGCACATATTGCGAATTTATTCATTTTCATTGAGGTGTACTATTCCATTTAATGAATGTACAACAATTTCCTTTTATATTCTACACTTGATAAATAGATGGGTTAGGGAATGGAAGGTGTTTTGTTTTGTTTTGTTTAACAAACAGGGCTGGAACAGAGATTTTCATATAGAAAAACAAACAACTGACACCTCACACTCTACACAAAAACTTACTTTAAATGACTTATAGACCTAAGTATAAAATTTAAATCTATAAAATCTATAGACAGAAACATAGGAAAAAATGTCTGTGCTCTTGGTTAGGCAAGAATTTCATAGACAGAAAATAAATGCATAAGAAGTTGATAAATTGGACTTCATTTAAAAAAAAATGATTTGTTCTCCAAAGACACCATTGAGAAAAATTAAAAGGCATGCCACGGAATGGATGGGCATTTTTACAACACATGAGTCTGACAACAGATTTGTATCTAGAATACATAAGTGTTTATTAAATATTAATAAAGATTAGTGTAGCTAAAATTAGAATAAGAATACATCAGAATATCTAAGAATATAATGCAACTAGAACTCCCATAATTTGCTTATGAGAATGCAACATAATAGAGTGACTTATTAAAACTGGAAGTTCCATAAAACATTAAACATTCCCTTGCCATATGACCCAGCCATTCTACTCTTACGTGTTTACTGAAGAGGGGGCACAAAGACTTGTATACAAATGTCTGCAGCAGCTTTATTCACAATAGCAAAAAACTGGAAATAGCCCAAATGTCTATCAACTGACAAATGCATGAACAAATTGCGGTACATCCATACGAAGGAATATACCTTTCAGCAAAATGAAAGAAATACCTACTGATATGTACAATAATATATATGGCTCTTGAAATCCTTATGCTGACTGAAAGAAGCCAGGCACAAAGCTGTGCATACTGTATGATTTATTGAGTTGGTGCAAAAGTAATCATGGTTTTGCCATTACTTTGAAAGGCAAAAACCGCAATGGCTTTTGCACCAACCTAATAATTACATAAAGTTCTAGAAAATGCAAACTAATCTATAGTGACAAAAAAATAATTAGATTAGTGATTGCCTGAGGCTGAGAGTGAAAAAAGTAATGGACCGTAAAGAGGCATAAAAAAAGTTTTGGGGGAGATAGGATATCCTGTATCTATCTGTTAAAAATTCATTGAATTCGGCCAGGCACCATGACTCATGACTGTAATCCCAGCACTTTGAAAGGACGAAGCAGGCAGGTCACCTGAGGTCAAGAGTTCGAGACCAGCCTAGCCAACATGGTGAAACCCCATCTCTACTAAAAACACAAAAATTAGCCAGGCGTGGTGGTGCAGGTTTGTAATCCTAGCTACTCGGGAGACTGAGGCAGGAGAATTGCTTGAACCCTGGAGGCAGAGGTTGCAGTGAGCCAAGATTGCACCACGGCACTCTAGCCTGGGCAATAGAGTGAGACTCTGTCTCAAAAAAATAATAAATAATAAAATTTAAAAGTCATTGAATTGCACACTATGAAGAATGCAGTTTATTGTAAGAAAATTATACCTCGTCAATGTTGGGGAGAGCAAACTCATTAGCGACAACAGCAAAAATATGTGGTTGTATATTTATCTATTCCTCTTTGTGTTTCTGTCAATTTTTGATTTTCATATTTTGAGGTTATGTTATTATTTGCTTATAAATTTAAAGTGTTTCATTTTTGTAAAATATTGAACCTGTTATTTATATGAAATTACTTTATCTTTGGTAATGCTTTTTGCTTAAGAGCCAGTTTTATCTAATGTTTATATAGCTGTGTCTGCCTTGTTGTTTGTTAGAATTGCATAATATACTTCTATCATTTTCTTTAGACTTATCTTTATGTAAAGCACATATCACTTTCTTTAAAACAACTCTGACAATGCTTGTCTCATAACAAGTATTTAGTGCATTCAAATTCTATTTTTTTTTTTTTTTTTGAGACAGGGTCTTGCTCTGTTGCTAAGCCTGGAGTGTAGTGGCATGATCATGGCTTACTGCAGCTTTGACCTCTTGGGCTCAAGCAATCCTCCCACCTCAGCCTCCGAAGTAGCTGGGACTACAAGTGTGTGCCACCATGCCCAGCTAATTTTCTTATTTTTTTGTAGAGGTGGGGTCTCAGTATGTCACCCAAGCTGGTCTAGAACTCTTGGGCTCAACTGATCCTTCCACCTCGGCCTTCCAAAATGCTGGGATTACAGGTGTAAGGCACAGCACCTGGCCAATTCAAATTCTTCAAAGATATTTTTTATGGATATATAATCATAAATTGGCAATTATTGTATTTCTGCACATAGAAATGATCATTCTACTGGCTTTCATGTTCTATTATTGTGCTTAAAACACCTCTTTGCCATTCTTTTGGTGATCTGCTTTTTCCCCGTGGCTGCTTGAAAATTGCTGCATTTTTCTTTGGTGTTTTGCAGTTTCACCATGACACATCTAAATGCAATTTCCTTTATTGAATCTGTTTTCTCTGAGTTCTGAAAAATTATCAGCTATTATCTCTTTAATTTTTGCCTTTGTTTTCTTCACTCTTCTTGAGTTTGTCTTCTTGCATAACTTTGATTAAGAGTATGTTAGCCCTTCTCTTTATCCTTCATGTCTCTTGGTTAACTGCCATGTTCTCCATCTTCTTGTCTCAGTGCTGCATTCTGGTTAATTTTTTACCTTTCAATTCACTAAATCTTCTTCAGCTGTATCTAGTTTGTTCTTTAATCCCTCACCTGACTTTTTATATTTGCCTTTCAAATTTTTTTGTTTCTTTTATATTATTTGTCTCTTTTTCAAATCTGTTATGCCTGTTTTTATAGTTTCATTTCTTTGCAGATTAAGTTGTCTTCTATATCTTTAAACAGAGTAGGAATACTTTTTTTCATAGTTTGGATAATGTTAATTAAGTATTTTGGGATTTGTTTCGGTGATTTAATGTTTCTGCTGATTGTTTTTCATGGTGCCTTGTCTTCTGGTATATTTTGTTAATTTTCATTGTGGATTATTCAATGACTAATTTTTAATTGAATTACTTAATCACTTTTTATGATTATTTAAGACCTAGCATTAAGGTGCCTTCCTGCACCAGGACATGGCTGTGGTGACCATAACATCTCAGGGACTTTTTATGCCTTATCTCTTTTCCTGTTTACTCAGTGCCATGAGAATTTTCCTAGGTTCCCCTGAGGAGTGTGTGTGTGTGAGGCAGAGAGTAGAATGCTTATTTATAGTTTGTTTTTGTTTTGTTTTGTTTTGTTTTGCTTTGCTTTTACCATGAGATGTAACCTTCTGGCATGCAATTCGATGTGGGGAAGCTCTCACAGTCAGTTTACCACCTTGGGTGAACTCTGGGGCTTAACTTCCGTCTACCTAATACCATAAATTCAAATATACTGGGTTCAGCAAATGCCCCTGAGGCAGAAGAAGCTTCAATGTTCCATTTATTTCTCTGAATTCCCATTTGTTTTTAGGTTTTGGATTGGCAGTCTCTTACTTTTTCATTAAATATTTTATTCTTTTGATAATATTCTTTAAAATCTTACATAGTCTTTTAATTTTTTTGGTAGAAATTTAGCCTGAATCTAATTTGCCATTTATTGGAAAAAGAAATCCTCTGTTCTTTGTTGTTATTATAGAAATAATAACTTAGAAATTAACTAGTAGAAATGATTGAACACATCTTTGAACATGGAAGTAGAGCACAAGTAAAACAAGTTTGACTTGAGGTGTGAGGCACTTATTTCCTTTTCTGAGATACAACTTTGCAGCATCAAAACTCTGGCTAGACTGAGTCACCCCAGTACAATTGTCAGCTTTCAACATCATCCTTAGTGGACTCTTACGAATCTCAAAGCATGTGAAATTCATGGACACCTACAGATCGTCACTTATATAATGTCTTCAAAGGGGAGCTGGGAAATGATGACTTAATTATTTTCTATGAAGTCCTAATGTGATTACATATACTCCTAAGTTTCGTTGATTAACATACAGAAGGCTTCTACGTTAGCAATATGTTCAAGTTAGCCAAATCTTCAGGTTTGTCAATCTTATAGAAAGTCATAATTGAATTTTGTGTCTATGAATCACTCTGCAGTTTCCCATTTATTTTAATGTTGTAATGAAGTAAAACTTTAAAGCTACTTCAGCATATAACAGAAGTTCTTCAGAATTATCTCCCAAAGATTAATTTGGTTAATAGTAATAATAAAGTATTTCTTAAAGTATTAATTTGACTAGTTATTTTCTATAATCTCCTCTTCAACTTACAACTATGGTTGAAAAGACAAGGAATTTTATGATAAGAAGAGAGATAATGATTTCATGGTTTATTTGAAAACTTATCAACTACATCATTGCTGGGACATGTTAAGTTTGAAATAGGCACAGACATTTTTGATAGCTAATAGAGACCAGAATACAGGCTGCAGAGAAACAAGAGTTGGTCTTCCACTCCCATTTGGGGATCAATGGGATCATAGCAGAGTCTCATCTGCTGAAGTATGTCAACTAGTGGTAGACAAATTTAATAGGCATGATTCTTACTTGAAATATAAGTAAAATAAACATTAGGAGAAATAAAGCTTTCAAATTTTCATCATGAATACAAAATTTAAAGCAAAATATGTTCAAATGTTGAGAGAATCTCTGCTTATAATGAAGAGTGAAATAAGACAAATCACTGAAACTTATGAATGCCATATATGTAAAGTTCTATATCTGTTTCCTGGAAAAGAAGACCATTCAAGTCATGTTTCTGGTGAGGGAAGAGACAATAAATAAGGAAAATCATCATTTCCAAATGATTTATTTTTAAATATATCATTTGGAATTGATGAATTTAAAGATAAATCATTTGGAAATTATGATTTTCCTTATTTCCTGCTACTCCCAACATTATATGTTTAAAAAAATTCAAAGAATTTTAATAGACAGAATCTTTCCTCTATTTCAGATGCCACATTTACTGGCATTTGTAGCTCTACTAAGACATAAAAGTCAATATGTCAACATGAAATTGTGAAATATGAGGCCTGCCAGTTGATGAGAAACTATCTTCGAAATATCAGACTTTATTAGTATTAACCAAAATAGTCTTCATGAGGTAATTCTGAAGAGCTCCTGTTACATGTTAAAGTTCTTGCTTTGAAACATTAACACATTACAAAATTAAAATAAATGCAAAACTAATTCATAATCATAGAATGATTCATAGACACAAAATTCAATTGTCACTCTCTGGAAGATGGAGAAACCTTAAGAGTTGGCTAACTTGAATATATTGTTAATGTAGCAGACTTCTGTATGTTGATCAATGAACATTTAGAAATATATTTTATCATATAGGCCTTAATTCTTTTCACAGAGATTCCCTAATAGACTAGGTCATAATTGATGATTCCTTATTCAGAATCTTACAAATCTGCCAATGGGCTTCCGGTGCTGTACTAATCTGATATGCTTGGCTAATTCTTTTTATTAATCAGAAGTTATTTTTTTGCTGAACACATTTAACAGAAGGAACTTTTCTTTTACATATCCATCAACCAATGATAAGGTGGTCGAGGTATCAGGTAATAACCCAGAGAAACTGAGGTTTTCTGCTTGAGGACTGTCAAAGTTCCAAAGAGCTGATGACTTATTGTCTCAAACAAGGATCAAAACGATCTGGTCATTGTTGTGTACAGATTTGTGTTATGTGCACTGTAGCTGCACGTTTAAAAATAGACCTAATGAAAAAATGTTCAACATTACTAATTTTTAGGGAAATGGAAATCAAAACCACAAGGAGATATCATCTCAACCCAGTGAGAATGGCTATTATCAAGAAGACAAAAAATATAACAAAAGCTGATGAGGATGCAGATGTGGAGAATGGGAAACTCTGGTACACCTTTGGTGGGAATATCAATTAGTACAGCCATTACAACAACAATATAGAGGGTCCTCAAAAACTAAAGATAGAACTGCCATATGATCCAGGAATCATATTTCTGGATATATATCCAAAGTAACTGAAATCTGTAAGTCAAAGAGATATCTGTATTCCCATGTTTATTGCTGCCCTATTTATAATAGCCAAGATGTGGAATCAACCTAAGTGTCTATCAATGGATAAATGGATAAAGAAAATGTGGTATATACTGCATGTTCTCACTTTTAAGTGGAGCTAAACATTGAGCCCACATGGACACAACTATGGAAACAATAGCCATTGTGAACTGCTAGATGGTGGAGGTGGAGTGGGTTAAAAAACTACCTATTGGGTACTGTGGTCACTACCTGGGTGGTGGGAGGGATCCATACCCCAAACCTCAGCATTGCACAATATTCCCATGTTAACAAATCTGCACATGTAACCTGTGTATCTAAAATGAAAGTTGAAATTAAAAAAAATTTTTTAAAGAAAATGTGGTATATATACACAATGGAATACTATTCAGCCTTAAAAAGAATGAAAGCATATCATTTGTGGCAACATGGATGAGCTTGAAGGACATCATATTAAGGGAAACAGGCCAGGCACAGAAAAATTACATACTGTATGTTCTCATTCATATGTGGAAGCTAAAAAAAGCTGATCTCATAGAAGTAGGGAATAGAATAGTGGTTACCAGAGGCTAGGGAGGGTGGCGGTGAGGAAGATAGGGAGAGTTTGATTGACAGATACAAAATTATAGCTGGATGGAAGAAATAAGTTCTAGTGTTCTATAGCACTGTAGGGTGGCTATAGTTAACAATAATTTATTGTCTATTTTCAAATAGCTAGAAGAGAGGATTCTGAATATTCTTAATACAAAAAATTATAAATGTTTGAAGTGATAGATATGCAGTAATGTGTGGGTATTTAACACATACATACAATGTGTAATGATCAAATCAGAATGATAGATATGATAATTATCCTGATTTGATCATTACGCATTGTATGCATGTGTTAAAATACCCTCACTGTACTGCATACATATGTATAATTATTACACTTCAATGAGAAACAATAAAAAATAATGCTTTTCAGCATATCTTACTTTTACTTTTCTTACATTTTCTGTTTTTCACTCCTTTTCCTCTTTTCTGATGAACGCATATAAATAAGACTAGATGCTTCCATAGCCAGCCAACCTTCCTGTCTCTGACACACAGGTGAGCTCACAGTCCATCACAGCATCAGGTGATATTGCGGAAAGAGGAGGCTGAAGTGTACAGATGAATCCGTCCTAGCAGTTCTCACCATAAATTTATCAGGCTGCCTAAACTACTGCCCACTCGGTTACCCCGGTTACAGCCCACATGATCCATCTTCTCACGCCCATAGATGTTCATCAATAAAACAAAATTCATTATTATCAAAAGAAAATTTTTTTCGGCTTCTTTTGGGAAAGGAACAAATTATTCTTGTATTGAATTTGCTGCCTACTCACAGCCAGTCTCCTTTTGTGCCTTCCTCCTTCTCCAGCCCTTCCTCATTCTCTCTCTGTTGCTGAACTTAACTGATTTCTGCCTGTAGAGCAGGTACCCCAACGCCAGGCAGCAGCAGCACAATAGATCTGCTTTGGGAAGGACAGGGCAGGACATCTGCCTTCCCTCCAAGATGCTGGCTGCTCCACTGCTTTTTCAGCCTCTACAAACTCCGAGCCTCTGTGCCTCCAAAGCCATATATATTTTAAAAGCTTATTGATGTAACAATGTAAGGGCATAGTAAGTCACATTTCTTTTGGTTAAGTGAAAGTTGTGATGCTAAGGGCAAACAAACTATTTCAAGGATTTCACAAACATCAATTATTTCAGAAAAGTAATGCTAGTGAGTGAGGTAACGGGGAGGACTGTGAGGAACTAGATCCCTCTGCCATTTTAAAAGGGTCAAAGTCAATTTTTAAGTGGCCTAGAACAATTTTTTAAAAGGACCAGATACTGCCTATGAGGCCATTACATTTGTAAAACATTTGAATGTTTATGTAAACCATATAAAAGACCAAACTTTAATAATGCTTCCTAAGTATTTATGTGTTTCTATAATGCATGCAACCACTTGCCCACGAAACAGGTGTTTGTGTGGATGTTATGTCTACAGTGTCAGAGTTAATCCAAATTAATCCAAGTTAATCCAAACAAACTCTGTGTAAGGAAGTGAACTCCGTAAGGCCTGAGCTGAATTTCTACTTTAGTTTCCCCTAGTCAAGGAAACAAGCTGACTACTTGCATTTATTTTCCAGTAGAACTGTGGTCTGTGAGAAAGGTCTGCTCCTTTCCCTGGTAGGCAGGGCTTCTTACTGGCATGATGAGTTCTTAAACGTCTAGAATAGATAGACTCTAAGGGCTCTTATAGTGAAAAAATTGAGGGACCAGAAATGCTACTGGAATGTAAAGAGGGAAGAGCTTGTTTCTGTTTCACTTGCTTCAGAAAGTACTTAGTGTGCTTAGTCACTAGGGGAGATAAACAAGCTTAGGTGTCAGATACATAAATAAGAAAAAAAGCCATTGCTCCAGGCCTGTCATTTGGATTCTAGACATAAGTGCCTCAAACCAGGATAGTGCTACAGGAGTGGGAGGCTGCATCTCCCAGCCTTGAAGGGGCTGAATCATTACAAGAACAGCACCCCCATAAAGCCCAAAAGGAGCATTTTGCGTTGGGACCATTCTGTCTTTTTTTTTTCTTTTTTTTTTTTTTTTTGAGACAGACTTTTGCTGTTGTCGCCCAGACTGGAGTGCAGTGTTGTGATCTCAGCTCACTGTAACCTCCGCCTCCAGTTTCAAGCGATTCTCCTGCCTCAGCCTACCAAGTAGCTGGGATTACAGACGCCCCCCACCATGCCTGGCTAATTTTTGTATTTTTAGTAGAGACAGGGTTTCACCATCATGGCCAGGCTGGTCTCCAACTCCTGACCTCAGGCGATCCGCCCTCCTTGGCCTCCCAAAGTGCTGGGATTACAGGAGTAAGCTGCCATGCCTGGCCTGGACCATGCTGTCTTTATCCTTAAAGAGACAGGCCAAATAAATAAGAGCCATTGGACAGAGAAAAACCAAAACAAAAAACAAAAAAAACAAAAAACACCCAAACCTTGAAAAATATTTGTACAAAACAAATCTGTAGCCTAAACATTTTTGATTTTCATGTTAGCCCCTTTCTCTTTCCCAATATATTCAAAGCATTTGACAGTAAATCAGAGGAAGTTTACATTCAGAGAAAGAGAGGCATGCCAAGAGTAGCCTGCATCCTCTCGTTTCCATTTTGAAATAGACTGTGACTGTGGAGTGGTAGAGTTTGTCTTTCTCTTCATTGTTCTGGCCTGATTCTGTGATGGCCCAGGAACCTAGGCTTCTTAGCTCTGGTGGGCTTTCCTTTAATTTGTCCAGCCCAGGCTTCCCTTATTGAACCAGAGGGAAGGACAGCTGCTGCCTTGTCCTCAACTCCTGCGTAGCTTTGAAGAAGAGCTGTTTGCTGGCCTCAAAAAACTTCTTGGACCAAAGGTTAAAGAAAAATAGTAAGATAATCCTCTCATTGCTTCTGTTAAAGAAGAAAGAGGAAGGAAGCCTTAAGACATATAAAGTAGTGTAAAAATAGCATTTGATGTGGTCAGTTTTGAGCATTTAATAGGATAATAAATCTTGATTTATTCCACAGGCACGACCAATTTAGGTGATATAGTACCCATTAGCTAATGATTTTGACCTTAAAATACTAGCTATTATTTATTGAATACCTACTATGTGTGAGCACAAAATATATATTAACTCATTAAGCCTAAAAGCAACTCAATAAGGCAGATGTTACTATGTTCATTTTGGGTGTGGGGAACTAATATACAAAGAGATGGAGTAAATTGTCCAAGGTCAAACAGCTAGCAAGTGGCAGAAGTAGGAATTAAGCCCAAAGCTTCTGAACTTTCCACGTGGACCTTCCACAACCTCAAATGAGTAAGGGAGGGGTCTTTATCCCCTCAACAGGCCCCAGTTGTGCTCCACTGCATACAAAGTGGGAGCACTGACCTCAGTAATTACCATCATTGACCTCACTGAATTCACATGCAAGCCTTTCTGAGTTTTCTTTAAGGACAAAGAACTATGTCTTAATTCAAAACAGCTCATGAAAATCCCCTAAACCTCAAAGTGGCTGGTCTCTGTCTTGTCTCAGAAAAGTAACTGATGATTATTATATATGTAAGTAGGGAATTTTTAAGCTTCAGAAAAGGACAAGGAAAGAAAATGATGAGAACATACTTCTCATGAGAACACCCATGGTGGCTCTATGTCAGCACCGTCATCCTTGAGAATGACAGTGTTTGGCTCAGTGCCTGTGCATAGTAAGTTCTTGATAATTGGTGAATGCTCTCCTGAGTGTGGAATGGCTCTGTCCTGGGGTAGGTGGGAGGTGGCCATTGAAAGGGTTCAGAACTTGGGCAGGGTTGTCCGAATGCATCAATTATTAGCTCTTTTTCATTCAGCTCTTGAGGAGCATGGCCATGAAAGTTTTGTTCTCAATTATTGTTTAATTTCTCACCTCCTTGCCTAAATTATTCTCATGTAGCCAAGGCAACATAACTTGACAGTCTCATTTTATCCTCTCTCTCTGTTCCAGTCTATCTGATCTCTACTGTTCGGTCTCCCAGACAGTCTCCCTGAAAATATTAAGACTGTTTCAATTGCTATCCTACCAATCCAGAAAAGCTGGAGAAGCCAGTTAGTCTTCACAAAAGGACAGCTCTTCTTCCTTAGCATGATTAATCAGTGAGGGGAGACGATTTTTTAAAATTTAATTTATTTTAATTTTAAGTTCTAGGATACATGTGCAGGACGTGCAGGTTTATTACATAGGTAAATGTGTGCCATGGTGGTTTGCTGCACCTATCAACCCATCACTTAGGTATTAAGCCCGGCATGCATTAGCTATTTATCCTGATGCTCTCCTTCACCCCGCCCAAGTGGAGACTATTAATTCCAAGAAAGCAACTGTGAGAACAAAAGTTGCTGAACAGATGGAAAGGTTCAGGATTAAAAGATATAATGTATGAAAAAAAATTAGCTCAGTTCCTGGCCCAGAGAATAGACTGAACAAATGTTCGTTGTCTTTCCCCACAAAGTCTTACATCATAGAGCCTATAAAAATATTAAAAGACATAATGTGTGTTCAAATAATGTTTTCTTTTCTTTTCTTTTTTTTTTTTTGAGTTGGAGTTTCACTCTTTTTTCCCAGGCTAGAGTGCAGTGGTGTGATCTCGGCTCACTGCAACCTCTACCTCCCGGGTTCAATGATTCTCCTGCCTCAGCCTCCTGAGTAGCTGGGATTACAGGTGTATGCCACCACGCCTGGCTAATTTTGTATTTTTAGTAGAGACAAGTTTTCACCATATTGGTTAGGCTGGTCTCGAACTCCTGACCTCAGATGATCTGCTCGCCTTGGCCTCCCAAAGTGCTGGGATTACAGGCATGAGCCACCGCACCCAGTCGTTTTCTACATTAACGTTATAAATACATATTATTGTGATAATATAAGGTTTAAAGTTTGCACATGACCTCTTTTTGTTACAGTCACCTGCCAATGCTCTCAGGTGTCTCATTTCTCAATCCTGGAGACTCCCAGTCCATCTCTCATTTTGTTTCCCTGCCATAATCATTGTAGTTTCAATAGCCATAGCAATGGTTCTTCCAGGACCTTGGTTTCTGGGTTCCTTCACTTTCCCTCCATCCTTCCTCAGCCACTCACTTCACAATCTCAACTGCAAGCATCCTGCCCTCTGCCAACACCCTGTCTCTTTCCAGCTTGCTTCCCTAGTCTAACAAGCCATTGACTTGCTGTGATCCACTGTCCTTCACCCCCTCACATTTTCATTTGACAGGCAATGGGGAAGAAGGAAGAAAAAGGTACAACTGTGCAGGTGTGAGCCACCTGTGCAGGCATCATAAACCATGATACGGAAAGTAGATGTGTTTCCATGTACTTCTATGTGAAAAATCAGTGAAGGGAGTTGATGGAAGCAGATAAGTCTGATTGCTGTGTGAAGAAATGACTTATGAGGACAAAATGAAATGTTAAATAATGATGAGGCAATTGTAAGAAACAAGGGGAGAAGTGATTGCACATGGACTAGGGCAATGAACAATAAAATGGAGAAAACAGGCAGGGTTGTCACCTATTTTAGAGGCAGACATGACAGGACTTTGTGATGGCTTGCATATAGGAACCATGAGGGAGAGGAAGGATTCAAGATAATTTCTAGGATTTTCTGTTTGTGCAGCGGGATGCTGTCATTTACAGAGCTGTGAAGACTGAGAGACAAGCAGATATGAGGGAGGTGAGCACTGCATGAAGGCTGGGTTTTAGACATGTTAAGTTGAGGAGGCCTGTAGGACATTCAAGTGATCATATTAGTTGGTAGTTAGATTTATGTGAATGGAACTTAAAGGGGTAATTTAGCTGAGAAATACAAAGTTGGGCATTATTAAAATACAGAAGGAACTTAAAGTCACAGGAAAGCATGAGATAACTTAGGAAGAGAGTTATAGAAAGAAGAGCTCAGAGCCCAGGACCAAGCAATGATAAACAACAACTTCATAGGTTAAATGTAGCAAGAGAAAGCAACAATAGACACAGAAAAAGAGCAACTAGTGAAGATACATTGCAGAATCTGCTGGAGTTCTGGAAACAACATGTGGTGGTATTTAGGCTTCTGTTTGTGAAGAACAGGAAGACACGTTTTTACTCAAGTTCTAGCCTTCTTCTCAGATTGTTTCTCCACATTCCTCCGCATCCCCTAGGCTCAACTCCAAGTTAAATTGAGAGACACACTTTTAGTTATTTAGTCTAAGAGAAGGCTGAGTTGGTGGGTTATAGAGGTGGCAAATGCAATCTAAAAATTGTCAAAAAGATTAAAAGAGATTATGGGTGTTTTCTGTTATCTCTATGTTCTCTCATTCCCTAGTTTTACTTTCACAAAAAAAATAATTTCTAAGTCTCTTCTTATTTTCAATTCAAAAAGAAAAAAGACAGAGTGAAAGAAGGAAAGAATAGCACAGATAAATTAAGCTAAATGATGATGGTTTCTTGATTAGATTAAGTGCACTTTAAGTATGGTACATAATCAAATCAAGATTATCTTTGCTTTTTTATTTCTTGAATATTATCAGTACAATTATTATACTGAGAATCATTTCTGGGACATATGGAATTCTTAAATAAAATTACAAGGAAACTAATATTCTCTGGAACCATTTGAAAATGCTGGTATAAGATGCCTACCTCAGCAACACCAGCTGAACTCAATGTGATGATCTCAACAAGCAGGCAAGTATTCCCTGTAGTTTGATGACCTTCTTCCTCTATTTCCTTATGCCTTCCTGGAGAGAGAGCTGATTAAATAATAAGAAACCTCCATTTCTGGGGCCTGGGAATAGAACTAGTAGTTTTCTTATCCAAGATTGTCACTGACGTACTCTGAGATCTGAGAACCAAGAAGATAGGAATGAGAGCAAGAAAGCAGAGAATCAATGAGCTGAAGTCTCTTGGAAATTGTTTAAGTGCTACTGTTCTTAGTTTGCTTATATACTGTATTGGGTATGGAAATTCAGGGCAAAAGTCAAATATAAAGTATCAGGGACAGACTAAAGAGAAGTCCTTGGTTTTTGTTTTTGCTTTTTGTTGTTGTTTATTTTTTATAAATCTTTTGCTTCTATTTAGGCCTTGTGGTGGCCCCCAATAATCCCCACCTGGTATTCACTCTGTTGGGTGTTTGCCTCCCACTTTGCATTAGGGTCACTCTGTGTGACCATTAGAATATGGCTGAAGCATTGGTAAGTGACTTCCAAAGTTAGGTCATAAAAGGCACTGGACTTCTACTGGCTCTCTCTTTTTTGGATTGTTCACCCTAATGGAAGCTAGCTGCCACGTTGTGAGGCTCTCAAACAGCCCTGTGGAAAAGTCTACGTGGAAAGGGACTGAGAGCTCCAGAAAGTAGCTTGGTGGGCTGTTTGGGAAGTGGACTCTCCAGACCTTCAGATGACTGCAGCCAAGGTCAGCATCTTGACTGGGGAATCCAGTGGAGAGACCCTGAGTCAGATCTAGCCTCATAAGCTATTCCCAGATACCTGACTCTCAGAAAATACGTGAGATAATAAATATTAGTTGTTACAGGCTGTTAAATTTTGGGGTACTTTATAAGCATCAATATAGGCCTTTTTTGTTGTTGTTCAAAGCTAGAAAGAAACAGCGCTTAGTATCTTTTGGTCTGTGTAGACTTAGTCCTGAAGAAGTGTGCAGCAAATGAAGAAAGTGTGAGGTTACAATTTCTGGAGTCAGGTAGACATATAGAGAGAAATCAACTGTAAATAGTAAGAAAAGTTTCATCTAAGCAAGCAGAATTTCAAGAATAGAGAATAAACAACAGGTAATACGTGGCATCCTGTGCTGCAATTTTGATGTCAGGAGCACCCTAACAAGCAGAATGAGTAACAGCCAGGAGTCTATCAGCAGACTCTACCCTTGTATCCAGACAGGCAGCACCAGGGAACACTTTTAGCAGGTAAGGGCCTCAGGCTGAGGGTTCTGACTTCGTGCTCATGAAAGAAGATGGGCACGAAGAAAAAGGGACTGGGGACAGGGTTATCAAAACGAGGCTAAGGTACTAAGAACAGTACAAGGACCAAAGTTAATAAGTAATCCACAAAGAAGGGCCAGAACTCGGGAGTAAATCTAGCTGCTAGAAAAGACCAATGAAGTCAAAGCTCAATTAGTGGAGAGGCTGACTTGTTTAATCCTCCAGCAGTTACCTGGAGTTCCTATGAAAGGGTTGGGTATTAATAGTGGTCACTGATCCTAAGATAGAGATAGATATGTGGGCATGATCCAGGTCTGAAAGAGAATCAGGGTCAAAAGAACAGAACTTTAGGAAAATCCCAAGAGCCTGGATTGTTTCTTTGATCTACATAGATTTCTGACAACACCTGGGATTTCTTTTCCTATTTTATCCAAAAGGATGTAAGAATAGACTCTCAGATTTTTTGGTGTTACCCAGAAGTAAAAATGCTTCCACTGGAATATTTGCTGGATAAGTTTATATATTGTTGTCCTAACCACATGGGAGAAATGGAATGAGATAGAGACCTCCACTGAAATAAGAAGTATCCTTAAGAAATATAAATTTAACCAATGCAAAATGTGTAGACCCATGCCAATTGCCATGCTGGGTAATGTGCATGATACTGTTGTGTAATACTGCAGATGATTTCTGATTAGCATCTAGTTATTTGCTGACACGTTTGATTTTTCTCCCAAAGGAAACTGAGGACAGGCTCAGTACCTTTTACAGAGCAATGCTAAGTATACCTGTACAAAATTTTATCATCACTTATTATTTATTTTGCAGTCTATGTAATAAAGTCACACTGCATTTGTTTGGAGAAACTAGAAATTGGTTTCTAGACCCAATCTAATTAATTATTTTTATTTTAGTAAAACATAACATAAAATTTACGATTTTAACCAATTTTAAGTGTACAATTGAGTGGCATTAAGAACATTTACATTGTTGTGCAGCCATCACCACCACCCATCTCTAGGACTTTTTCATCACTCCATGTTGACACTCTATGGCAATTAACTCCTCATTCTTCCTTCTCCCCAGCCTCTGATAACCACTATTCTCTTTCTGTCTCTATGAATTTGACTACTTTAGGTTCCTCATGTAAGTGGAATCATACAATATTTATCTTTTTGTATCTGGTTTATTTTGCCTGGCATTATGTTCTCAAAGTTCACATTGTAGCTTGTATTAGGATTTCATTCCTTTTAAGGCTGCATAATATTGTATTTTATGTATACAGCCATTTTGTTAATCTCTTCGTCTGTTGATGAGACTTAAGTTGTTTCTACATTTTGGCTATTGTGAATAATATTTCTATGATGATTGGGATACAAATATCTGTTCTAGTCCTTGCTTAAAATTATTTTGTCTATATACCCAAAAGTGGAATTGCTGGGTCAAATGATAACTCTATGTTTAATTTTTTTGAGGAACCATCATACTGATTTCCACAGTGGATGTACCATTTTGCATTCCATCAGCAATATACAAATGTTCCAATTTCTCTGTGTCCTTGCCAACATTTGTTATTTTCTATGTTTTTTTTTTTTTAATAATAGCCATCCTAATGGGTAAAGTGGTATCTCATTTTGGCTTTGATTTGCATTTCCCTAATGATTAGTTGTTAGCGGTGTTGAGTATTTTTTTTCATGTGCTTATTGACCATTTATATGTCTTCTTTGGAGAAGTGTCTATTCAAGTCCTTACCTCATTTCTGAATCGGGTTTTTTGTTTTTGTTTTTGTTTTTGTTTTTCTTTTTTTTTTTGATGTTGAGTTTTAGGAATTCACTCTATATTCTGGATATTAATACCTAATCAGATATGTAATTTGCAAATATTTTCTCCCATTCTGTGAACTGCCTTTTAACTCTGTTGATAGTGTCCTTTTATGCAGAAAAGTTTTTAATTTTGATGAAGTACAATTTATATATTTTCCTTAATTGTCTGTCTTTAGTGTCATAGCCAAGAAATTATTGCCAAATCTAAGATCATGAATCTTTTCTCAATTTTTTTCTTCTAAGAGTTTTATAGTTTTAGGCCTTACATTTTGGCCTTTGCTTCATTTTGAGTTAATTTTTGTATATATTGTCAGGTAAGAGTGCAACTCCATTCTTTTGCATGCAGACTTACAGTTTCCTTAGCACCATTTGTTGAAAAGACTGTCCTTTCCCCATTGAATGGTCTTGGCACTCTTGTTGAAAATCATTTGACTACATATGTGAGCATTTATTTCTGGGCTCTATAGTCTATTCCATTTGTCTGTTTGACTATCTTTATGCCAGTACCATGCTGTTTTCATTACTGTAGCTTTATAGTAAGTTTTGAAATCAGAAAGTCTGAGAGCTACAGCTATGCTCTTTTTCAAGATTGTTTTGGGTATTCGAAGTCCCTCAAAATTCCATGTAAATTTTAGCATGGATTTTTCCATTTCTGCAAAAATTTCATTGGGATTTTGGTAGGGATTTCATTGAATCTGTAGGTTGCTTGGGACAGTATTACCACCTAATTTACTTGTATGTAATAATCATAATACTAACAAATGTTTTCTGAGTGATTACCATGTGTTGGAAACTCTGCTAAGCACTTTTCATGAATTATCTAATTTAATTTTTGTGACATCATGAGCTAGGAAATATTACTATCTTCACTGCACTGATGAGGAAACCGAGGCTTGGTGAGATGAAGAGAGTTGCCAAGGTCTTTCTTCTGCTTGGTGAATAGCTGTGCAGTGGCATTGGGGGACCCGGGTCGGATGCCAGAGCTCTCCTAAATGAGTTACCACAGATCTTGCAGCTCATTCTGGAAGGCACTGGAGCTGGCGTCTATGCCAGGGGTCCAGATCCAGACACCAATTGCAGAATTATTACCTGGACCTCATCAGCATGTGCCTGGGTCCTGAAGACCTCTTCTCATAGCCAAGAACACTTGCTGTCCATCAGCAGATACAGCATCATCCCAGGGCCCTGGCATACAGGCCTCACTGTTAGGAAAGCCTGCTCCTGAGATCATGGGAAAATTTCAGCACAGCTTCCTCTGAACTCCATCAGCATCTGATATGCCTCCTAGATAACTTGTCATATTATAATCTTCTACCATAAGTATCTTCGTCTTAATAGCTATTGAGCACATGGTGTGCAAGACTCATTTCTTTTTCACTTTTCTCCCTCTTGAATTGAGCCTAGTGCCTGGTCTATGATAGGATCTCAGTAAATACTTGATCTTTTTCAAATACACACAAACATATAAAAGTGATATATAATATATATATACATACACACACACACACACACACACACAGTATATATTACACATCTATTTATATTGGATATGTATGCACTCAACTATAATTCTATTACTCTGGGGGAAGAAGAAAATGGTTTTTAGTGTCGGGGGCAGACTCAGCTACACATGGTTCCCAGTTATGATTTGCACCTTGTGTTCTAATTCTGATAACTAGAACCTAGATTTATTTATTTATTTATTTATTTGTTTGTTTGTTTTTTAGGCAGAGCCTCGCTTTGTTGCCCAGGCTGCAGTGCAGTTGCACAATCTGGGCTCACTACAGCCTCCACCTCTCAGGTTCAAGCGATTCTCGTGCCTCAGCCTCCCAAGTAGCTGGGATTATAGGCCAGTGCCACTATGCTTGGCTAGTTTTTGTATTTTTAGTAAAGACGTTTTCTATGATGGCCAGGCTGGTCTAGAACTTCTGGCCTCAAGTGATCTGCCCGCCTCAGCCTCCCAAAGTGCTGGGATTATAGATGTGAGCCATCACGCCCAACCCCTAGTTTTGATTCTTGTTATTGAGAGCTTTTTTTGTATGTAAAACCCACTGTCCTCCTCTGACCAGTCCTGAGTCCCAAGGTCCCTCTTGTCACTACTTAGGCTGAGTCCAGCAGCTTTGCTGCCAGCTGTGAGTAGACTACCCTGATGCTGTCTGTCTGTCAGATCGGCCACATAAATGTCAGCTACAGGGTTCTACTGGGCCACTGGGAAATCTTGTGGCTTAGGTTCAACTTTCTGGATATTATCTGTAGCTGTGGGCCTGTAACCTGCATGCAACATCCACCTGTCAGCCTGGATCTCCACTTACAGCTGGTACTGCCTTCCAGCCCCCACATGGACATACCACGAGTTCTAAATGGCTGCATGCCCTGTAATGAAAACCTAACAATTACTGTGGCTTCTAAAATGTTGGGGGGTCATAAATCCATTTTGAGTAGCTGATGAGAAGTAAATGCCTTCTCTGCAGAAATATACATACATACATATATAAATACATACATATATATATATATATATATATATATATATATATGCAAGTATAGATACAATTTTGCATTTAATTTGCAGTTAACGAACTTCCAAACAGAAGATCTAAAGACTTGGCAGGTTTTGGGGTGGGTCAGGCAGAAAGAGTAGGGCAGACACAAAAGCCACCACCACAGTGGCACCGATTATCATCACAGTTGTTGCGCCTGCCAGATGGGAAAGGGATGAAGACTTTCATTTGTGACGGAGGACTGCCAGCTCTGGGTGGCAGTTACTCAATAGGACAGGACTCCTTTTATATGTGATTTTTTTTTTTGTATAAAAGGAGTTTTCAAAAATCACAGTCTGTAAAGTGGTTTCATGAATAGGCTGTAATGTTGTGATTACTGAACAAAAAAAAGGAGTATGTTCTATCATGTTCTATCTGTCAGCAGGGGACGATTGCCACCTTTTGCTTAATGTCTTCAGTGTTGAAAAGAAACGTGGCAAAGCGAAAAACCCACAGTCTAAGCTTTCAAATATGTATCAATAATCATGAGCTAATGGGGAGTGAAAAGGAAGGAATTTGAATAATCTTGAACAAAGATTGCTTCAGATTTTTTTAACATCAATTTTGTAAGTAATTCTAAAGATTGAATCAGAAGAAAAAGTAAAATCAGAAACAATGTTTGGATTTTATTGCTACTGAAAGGAAAAAGAAGAATCTTGTGGAAACCTGAACTGAAGTTTTTCAAATCATTCTTTCACACAGAGATGAACCAGCCCTGGCTAAACAATTCTGAGGTTAGCTTGGCGACGGGTTTTGGGTTTTTGATATTTTGTGGATTAGTAATAAAGTCCACAGAGGATATGTAGTATGCATATATCAACACATAGTATTTACATTTTGTCATTTTACAAACTATTGTCTTTATAGTTATGTGATACTTGTCAGATTCTAGGAATAGATTAGTGATTCTTGTGAAACCAAGTATTGTGTCAGATTCTAGGAATAGATTAATGATTCTTGTGAAACCAAGTATTGTGTCCAGAGTTGGTTCCTTCCAGCAGGTTCATGGTCTCGCTGACTTCAAGAATGAAACCGTGGACCTCCGTGGTGAGTGTTACAGCTCTTAAAGGTAGTGCACACCCAAAGAGTGAGCAGCAGCAAGATTTATTGTGAAGAGTAAAATAATAAAGTTCCCACAGCCTAGAAGGGGACCCAAGTGGGTTGTGCTGCTGGCTGGGGTGGCTAGTTTTTAATTCCCTTGTTTGTCCCCACCCATGTCCTGCTGATTGGTCCATTTTACAGAGCACTGATTGGTCCGTTTTACAGAGTGCTGATTGGTCCATTTTACAAATCTCTAGCTAGCCACAGAGCACTGATTGGTGCGTTTTACAATCCTAGCTACAGAGTGCTGATTGGTGCATTTTACAATCCTCTTGTAAGACAGAAAAGTTCTCCAACTCCCCACTGGACCCAGAAGTTCAGCTGGCTTCACCTCTCAGTATCACAGGCCACCAGGACAAAAATATTCATTGGAGAGTTAATTTCCTGATCAGTTTTAGATAATGGAGAAGAACCTGATTCGTCCATGCTAAACAATTTAATCTTGAAAGAAAAAAATATTTTTGTAGTATAAAATGTGAATAGAGAATTTATAGTTCCTGTTGATAACTAAGGCAAAAGTTATTCCTTACATGAATTTTTTAGTAATTATTCTCATTTTGTTTTACATAAATTTATCTGATTTTAAAATAATTTTATGTTCAGCTATTTTAGGAGTTATAAGAATCTAGAGCTCAATTATAGCTATTCCTTCCTTTATTTAAGTAACATGAAAATAAAGAAATAAATGAACACCCTTTCTTACTCATTTCTTGTTTCCTTAAGACTTCTCATCCTTTTTTTTTTTTTTTTTTTTTTTTTTTTGAGAAGGAGCCTTGTTCTGTTGCCCAGGCTGGAGTGCAGTGGCATGATCTTGGCTCACTGCAACCTCCGCCTCCTGGGCTCAAGCAATTCTCCTGCCTTAGCCTCCCAAGTAGCTGGGACCACAGGTGTGCACCACCACGACTGACTAATTTAATTTTTGTGTTTTTAGTACAGACAGGGTTTCACCATGTTGGCCAGGTTGATCTCGAACTCCTGGCCTCAAGTGATCTGCCTGCCTCAGCCTCCCAACGTGCTGGGATTACAGGCGTGAGCCACTGCACCTGGTCCATCCTCTATTTTTGAAGAGGAAATATTTCTTTTTCCTTTTCTCCAAATATTAGGTTGGTGCAAAAATAATTGCAATTTTTGCCATTACTTTTAATTATGCTATGCCAGCATAAGTAAGGAAAACTCTTAAAGTAAGCAATTGAAGAAGGTGGTAGACTCCTAACTATGCACCAGTATATGATTTCTTGCTTCATTGAAGCATATGGGAGAATTACACATCCCAGTCCCTTCCTTTGTATTGGGGTGAGGATGTGTGACTGGTTCTATCTAGTGGGTTGTGATTCAATTCCAGAATTAAGCATTTAATTGACAATGCCAGACCCTCTAGAGTTCTTCTGCTACTACAGTAATGATGTAAGCATGCATGAAGATGGATTCCCCTTCAGTATGTGTCTGTGAGGGTCTATGATGAACAGAACAGTAAGCTGAGCTCCTGCCAAACCACATTGGTCATTTTTCATAAACTAGAAAGAAATCATTGTCAGCTGGGCATGGTAGCTCATGCTGGTAATCCCAGCACTTTGGGAGGTGGGAGGATCCTTTGAGGCCAGGATTTTGAGATGAGCCTGGACAACACAGCGAGACTTATCTCTAGAAAACATTTTTAAAAACTTAGCTGGGCACATGGTACTTGCCTGGGAGACTGGGGCGGAAGGATCACTTGAGCCCAGGAGTTTTTGGATGCAGTAAGCTATGATCACGCTACTGCACTGTAGGCTGGACAACAGGGTGAAACTCTGCCTCTAAAAAAAAATAAATAAAATTTTTAAAGCCTTTGTTGTTTAAAGCCCTTGAAATTTTGGGGTTGTTAGCCCAGTGTAATCTTAGTTATTTTAATGAATACAGAGAGAACAATTAATAATTGCTAATAATTTTAATGAAACAACTAATAGTAATTCAAAGAAAAACTGATGTAGATTTGATACATACTGTATGTTAGACACTTTAAACTACCCTATAAGGTAGTGATTAATATAATTCTCATTTTATAGATGAGAAAACCAAGTCGCTGAGAGATTAAATAACAAGATTACCCAATTAAGAGGCATTAGAATGAGGATTTGATTTGAAATAGAATTGTTGCCTAGCTTAACTATTAACCAGCATGACCTCCTAATACCTCCGTAATGCAAACTGCAAGATTTTATCGATATGCCCTAGGGAAAATGATGTTCTTGGCTATAACTTTAGTAGTTCTATCTTTTAGTCAGTAACTATGGATGGGAAACATTTAACCACAAGCTAGTTTTCTTCTCCCCTAATAAAATCATATTTAAAAATTTCGAAGTTGAACGAACATTTAGGGAATATCCACTATGAACTAGGGATTCTTCCAGGTGCATTTTACACACGTTTTTCACGTATTCCTCTTTGAAGTCCTTTCACTTATGACGTTATTGCCCTCACTTTATAAAGAAAGAAATTAAGGTTCAGGAAGGAGATTTAATATGCCCAACAACACTCAGCTTGTAGGAGGCAGAGCCAGAGTTCAAACCCTGTTCTGTTTGACTCAGGATCCCATGCTTTTTCAGTAGGAGATAATTCGTGCAAACAAACCTAGTAAATGAAGCAAAATTTTGTTAACCAGATTCTTTTAGGATGGAGTGGGCCTTGAACAAAGTTGGCTTAGGAAACTGTGGGAATTCCTGCCAGCTCTGGATTTTTGGCAGTCGGGGTGTATCTCATCATGCTGGTTCAAAGCGTGTGCTGTGCTCAGGCTTGCAACCCAACAGCACTGAACTGTGAAATAACTCTCCGTGTGGTTCTTGAAGTGAAAGTTCAGAATGGCTTTCCAAATATGCCTGCAATGACACTACAAAAATGACAAACACACCATCTGTTACAGCTTCGGGTTATTCCAAAGGTTTCATCCTGAAGAACCTAAAATGTCTCCCTGAAGTTGTGGTTCTCTTAGGGTAAGCACTAGGACTTCGGTCAGCTACAACTTCCTGGCTTCCATGGCACTCAGACGAATGTTTCAGAACATGATCTGATTTCTGTCCTTCATTCAGTCCTTTACTTCAGACCTTCTTCTGCCTTTGCATTTTTTAAACCTTCACTTTAAAGAAAGCATGAAGTGAACTTTTTCATACATTACCCTTTAACAATATTACTGACTTGTCTGTAGAGTCAGCATCAAAACCAGCTAAGCATTAAAATTTACATTTACATTAGATGTGAACCTAATATTGCCGGAGGAGCAGTAGTAAAACAATGAAGACTTGATTCCTGTTACATCCAATTTTAAACATATTTGATGTGCCAGGAAAATTCCTCAGCAAGCTGGGAGTGCCTTGCTCCAGATGTGATAACAGAATATTTTATCATAATACAAATAAGTGTAAAGCCCTGCCCTTTACTTGCTCTGAATTTCAAAGTTTCTTTATGGAATGTTCTGAATTCCTGATCCCTCTCTCCATGTGAAATGCTTACCTCAGCTTCTTTACACAGGTCTTGTCAAAGGTTAAGATTTTTGACTCCGTTTTTGGAACTAAATCAAATGTAATTATAATCTTTATTCTGTTTTTGAAACTAAATCAAATTTAAAAGTATCAATGTCTTTTAAGAGTCTTTCTATGAGTGTCACGCAGAGCCTTCTTGCATGCTTGTGGTTTACAGGGCTGAAATTGCTTAGAAGGTGGTTCTGAGGATTGTTGACAAGACAGAGAAATGTCCAGTGTCTAGATCTTCTCTCTTATCCAAAGCCAGATAAAGGACCACTAGAAGGCAGCTTTTCCTGCCAGACTTGCAGCAGGAAGGTGTTTAGCTCATCATAGTAATTTTCTTTTCAAATTATTTTGTATCACTGGATATACTAATGTTTTTTACATGATCACATATAATGTAGAACATTATAAATAAGACAAGAAAACAGTGTTAGAATTTTATCATCTTGTTAGCCTCAGAGATATAACATCTACCTGGCAGAAGTAACTGACTTCAATTTCTGCATATTTCTTCAATTTCTGCATCTCCTATTTGAGTTTTTTTATATTTTCCTTCTTACATCACTCCCATCCTTCCCTCCATCCTCATCACTGCTACCAACCTGAGCAATAAATAAAGTCAAACTAAAGAAAGAATATAGTTGCAAAGGACAGAACTGTTTCTTAATAATAAAAACATTTCGTGTCCTTAGTATTCCATTTAAAATTGGTCAAGCTGTTTTCACAACCACAACAAAAATATGAGTGTTGAAAGGTGAAGAAAAGAAAGTTCTAAGCCACTGAAACTTTGTTTCAAATTAAAACACAAATGTTACTTACATTTAATCTTCTTGTTTGTGGAATATTAGTGTCTCTTGAGAGTGTAACAAATATTTTCACCTGCCCCAATCACCTCTCCCCATTACATACATACACTCTTAAAGAGTTTTGTAGTCATCAAGTTTGGGAAACTGCCTGCTCTCTCCTTCTCTTTGTGATTCATAATGTATATATGCATTTTAAAGCCTCTGTGGAGTTCTAAGTGAAGAGGACTCTTTGACTTTGTTTAACAGAGCATCATTCTCCTAGGAATATTGATTATATTTTGGTAATCACAATTTCAGAAATGCTGGACTAGAGCTATAAATAAGAATTAAGGGCCAAACTTGCAGCAACTTAAATACCGGCTGAGTTGGAACCTTGTGTGGGCAGGACAGTTTCTAATTGTTGCAGAGGTGTTATAGACCTACATGATCAGGGACATGAGGCTGGTCATCAGAAATATGGCTTGAATCCAGCTTGGCCACCTAATATTGTACATTCAAGGGCAGATTACCTCACTTATCTTCAGCTCTGATTCCTCACTTATAAAAACTGGGCATGTTAATAGAGACTTCACAGTGTTATTGGGAGAAGCTGGCGTATTTGAAGACTGGAACACCTTCAAATAGAAATTCTCTGGGAATGTTATTGGAAATTTGGAAATCTCATTAAATAACAGTCTCTTTAAAGACAATGAATGGCTGTAGAAATGTCAACCAAATCAATTTTCTCCTTATTTTTTGGTAATTACAGGCTCACAAGAGTCTCTTTTCTTTTAGATCAAAGCAGGTAGCCTCCCTGAGTAATTGTGGCATGATTTCATGGCTCAATGCAAATGTAAAGAAGGAATAAGTCTGTTTTTCTCAGTCTGTGAGGAGAGTTAGTGAAACAAATATAGTTCTGAGGGAATCAGGGGAAGAAGGTGTATCTTTTTATCATGTATTAATCTTGCTGCTTTTTATATAGATGTTGACTATAATATTTACCAGCTTTCATTCATTGCCCTTGTGCCTCCCAAATTCACATCACATATTAATTACAAGAAAATTACTGAGGTGGGAGAATTGCTTGAGCTCAGGAGTTTGAGACCAGCCTGGGCAACATAGTGAGACTCCTATCTCATTTTTTAAAAAAAGAAAAATATGTTCTTTTTTTTTCCTTTTCACATATGAACATTTTGATTCATAGAAATGCGCCATAAAGATTGGTATAGGGAGGAAGAGGAACCCTGGGAATAGGATAAAAGGTCTATAAAGTGAGAGCTGTCTTGGAGGGGATGCAGAATACAATGCTGGCAACTGCTGTTGAAATGATTTGGATGCCTTTGTCCCTGAGTAGAATTGTCAAGCATTTGGTGATGTGAGAGTCACAGGGGAAATGCAGGCTTGACATAGATGACAATAGATGACAATACAAATACCCTGCATGACATTTAATATGGATTTATATATATGTTTCCTGAGACTTCTGCAAGTAGATTGCGGTTTTGTTTTGTTTTGTTTTGTTTTTTGTTTTTGAAAGATTCTTGCTCTGTCTCCCAGGTTGGAGGGCAGTGGCCTAATCTCAGCTCACCGCAACCTCTGCCTCCCAGGCTCAAGCAATTCTTGTGCCTCAGCCTTCCAAGTAGCTGGGATTACAGGCATGCGTCACCATGCCAGACTAATTTTTGTATTGTTAGTAGAGACGAGGTTTTGCCAAGATTGCCAGCCTAGTCTTAAATGATCTGCCCACCTTGGCCCCCCAGAGTGTTGGGATTAAAGGCTTGAGCCCCCGTGCCTGGCCTGCAAGTAGCTTTTCCATAAGACTATGCCTTAGTCCATTTGCGTTGCTATAAAGGAATAGCTGAGGCTTGGTAGTTTATAAAGAAAAGAGGTTTATTTGGCTCATGGTTCTGCAGGCTGTACAGCAAGCATGGCACCAATATCTGCTTTTGATGAGGGCCTCAGCAAGTTTCCACTCATGGCAGAAGGTGAACGGGAGCCACTGTGTGCAGAGATCACATGGAGAGGAGGAGACAAGAGAGAGAAGGGGGAGGTGCTCTTTCAACAACCAGTTCTTGCTCTTTTCAGCAACCAGTTCTCATGGGAACTAAGAGTGAGAGACTGCTCACTCCCAAGACAATGGCACCAAGCCATTCATGAGGGATCCCCCACTGTGATCAAACACCTCCCACCTCCCACACTGGGGATCAAATTTCAACATGAGACTTGGTGGGGCCAAACAAAACATATCCAAACCACAGCAGAGTGCTTGTCTTGTATTTCAGATCCTGTTAGAAGTGTGGGTTTTGAGAAGATATAGGTGTGAATTATGTCTGTCGTTAAGAGAAAATAATTTTGGAAAATGTGTGTAAAATTGTGCAGATATGTCTTCCACACATATTTTCTTCCCTCAAAACCCCTTCATTGCAGTGGGGCCCTTATTGCTGCCAGTAGTGATACTCTTGAAACCATGAACATTGGTTCTTGCCAAATTTGAGAAGAGAACCTTTCTGCTTTACTCAATCATTAAAACAAACAAACAAACAAACAAACAAAACAGGACCAGGCGCAGTGGCTCATGCCTTTAATCCCAGCACTTTGGGAGGCCAAGGCAGACAGATCACCTGAGGTCAGGAGTTCGAGACCAGCCTGACCAACATGGAGAAACCCTGTCTCTACTAAAAACACAAAATTAGCAGGGTATGGTGGCACGCACCTGTAGTCCCAGTTACTCAGGAGGCTGAAGCAGGAGAATTGCTTGAACCTGGGTGGGCGGAGGTTGCAATGAGCTAAGATTGCACCATTGCACTCCAGCCTGGGCAACAAGAGTGAAAGTCCATCTCAAAAAAAAAATACTCAATATATGTATTTTGGAGTTTTTTTTTTAAATTAGTAACTATTTGGGATTCAAGAGCACACATGCAAGTTTGTTATAGGTAAATTGTGTGACACAGAGGTTTGGTGTACAGATTATTTCATCAGTCAGGTAATTAAGCGTAGTACCCAATAGGTAATTTTTCGATCCTCATCCTCCTCCCAACCTTCACCCTCAAGTAGGACCCAGTGTCTCAAAACCGATATTTTTTCAGATCCTTCTGTATATTGGATATTGTGCTAGGCTGAATTCTTGTATTAGGGAAATACAACAAACACACATTTATTTATTCAATAAATATTGAGTACTTACTATATGCCAGACCCTGTATTAGGTCATGGGATATGCTACTGCACTGAATAAAAAGACAAAAAAAAAAAAAAAGCAAGCAAAAATTCCTGCTGTCGTGGGGCTTATATTCTAGTTGGCTAACTGGGGACGACAATGAGCAACATAAGTAAATTGTAGATAAATTAGATAGTGATGAGGAGTATGTGCTGAGGATGAAACATAGCACAGGGAATGAAGGGTGGGAGAAGGAGTTGAAGTTATAGACAGGGTGGCCCAGAAAGGCCCCGTGAAGAAGGTGTCACTTGAATAAAGACCCAAGGAGGCCAGAGAGGGAGCCCTGTGGATATCTGGGGGAAGAGGCCTGGGTAGGAAGCATGCCTGGCATGTTGGAGGAATGGCTGGGAGATGGAATGGCTTGGAACAGGTGAATGAGGGGCAGAATAGCAGGAGATGAGATAACAGGGTGACAGAGAACCAGGCCACATAGAGCCTTGTCCATCTTAGAAAGACTCAGGCTTCCACTCTAAGATAGAAAGGCATTAGAGGGCTTTTTGTTTGTTTAGGTTTTCTTATTTATTTATTTTTGTAGATGAGAGAAAGATGAGACTTCCATCTGAACAGCATCACTTTGGCTGAGAGTGGTGATTAGAGGGAAGGAAAAAGATGGAAGTGGGAGACCATTTGGGAGGCTACTGCAGGAATCCAGATGAGCCATGATGGTGACTTGCTATAAGTCAGGGAGGGTGATAAGTGATTAGACTTGGGGTACATTTAAAAAGTATATCCGAAAGGACTTTCTGGTGGGTTAGATTGGAAAGGAGGAATGCCAAAATCTCTGAAGCTTTCGGACTGAGCAAAGGATGAGATGAAGTAGACTGATGGACAAGCAGGTCTGGGTGGGGTGGTGAGATCACCCTCAGTCACGCTGAGCTAGAGGTGCCCATTAGGCAAGTGGCTGTGTCAAGTAGGTGAGTGGATATGGAAGCCTGGACTTGCAGGGAGAGGTCTAGTTTGGAGATATTGGTCTGTAAGTTGGCAGCCTAGAGGTAGTATTTAAAGCAATAAAATTGAATGGAATCATCTAGGAATAAATTTGGATACAAAAGATAAAAATTCAAGGGGTACACCCTTGATCGCTTCTAAAACTGAAGATCTGGAGAACTGGAGAAACCAGGAAAGGTGAGTGAGAAGGAGTGATTTGTGAGGTAGTAGGAAAACTGAGACAAGGATGTAGCTAAGTGTAGAAATTCCTGGGGTAGGGGTATGGAAGAGGGAGGGGTGTGTGTGTGTGTGTGTGTGTGGTGGATATGTGGTATATATGTCATATAAACTGTATCAAATGCAATTTGTAGAAACTGAATTGACTGCTGCATTTAGCAACATAGAGGTCATTTGTGAACCTGAGAAGCACATATAAAACAAAAATAATGGAGCACAGATTAAGTGACTAATGTGTGGTAGAGACCCTGCATGTGAGAACAATGTAAAGGTCTTGTAAAACGTACAGATTCCTGAATCCTATTCCCCAGAGAATTGAACCTGTAACTCTAGAATGGTGCCTGGGAAGCTTTCTTTTTAAAATGTACCATTTCACTTAGATGACCAGCCAGATTTTGAATTCCCCACTGTAGGTGCTTCACAGTCAGGAGAAAATAGTAATCACGCTGAGCAGCAGAATGTTACCCGAAGCAGAATAGATACAGTTGAATAGGCCAGAGAAGCTAGGAAACCTTATCACTGCCTCATGAGCAATGCAGCCAATTGACCATAATAAATAAGGAAAAGGAGCTCAAATTTCTCCAAGGAGTTCAAATTAGGGAGAGAGGATTTTGGAAAAGGACGTTGAAGCTGAATGGTGCAAACTGCAAGTCTAGCTAAGTCTGTGTAGGTAACCAAGAGTCACCGAGGGCATCCGAACCTGAATGGGACATTATGAAGTTGATATTTTGTGAAAATTATATATGCTAGCATTTTTCTTTATTTATTTTTTATTTATTTTTTATTATACTTTAACTTCTAGGGTACATGTGCACAACATGCAGGTTTGTTACATATGTATACATGTGCCATGTTGTTGTGCTGCACCCATTAACTTGTCATTTACATTAGGTATATCTCTTAATGCTATCCCTCTCCCCTCCCCCTACCCCATTACAGGCCCCAGTGTGTGATGTTCCCCTTCCTGTGTCCAAGTGTTCTCATTGTTCAATTCCCACCTATGAGTGAGAACACGCAGTGTTTGGTTTTTGTCCTTGCGAGAGTTTGCTGAGAATGATGGTTTCCAGCTTCATCCATGTCCCTACAAAGAACATGAACTCATCCTTTTTTATGGCTGCATAGTATTCCATGGTGTATATATGCCACATTTTCTTAATCCAGTCTATCATTGATGGACATTTGGGTTGGTTCCAAGTCTTTGCTATTGTGAATAGTGCCGCAATAAACATATGTGTGCATGTGTCTTTATAGCAGCATGATTGATAATCCTTTGGGTATATACCCAGTAATGGAATGGCTGGGTCAAATGGTATTTCTAGTTCTAGATCCTTGAGGAATCGCCATACTGTTTTCCACCATGGTTGAACTAGTTTACAGTCCCACCAACAGTGTAAAAGTGTTCCTATTTCTCCACTTCCTCTCCAGCACCTGTTGTTTCCTGACTTTTTAATGATCACCATTCTAACTGGTGTGAGATGGTATCTCATTGTGGTTTTGATTTGCATTTCTCTGATGGCCAGTGATGATGAGCATTTTTTCATGTGTGTGTTGGCTGCATAAATGTCTTCTTTTGAGAAGTGTCTGTTCATATCCTGTGCCCACTTATTGATGGGGTTGTTTGTTTTTTTCTTGTACATTTGTTTGAGTTCTTAGTAGATTCTGGATATTAGCCCTTTGTCAGATAAGTAGATTGCAAAAATTTTCTCCCATTCTGTAGGTTGCCTGTTCACTCTGATGGGAGTTTCTTTTGCTGTGCAGAAGCTCTTTAGTTTAATTAGATCCCACTTGTCAATTTTGGCTTTTGTTGCCATTGCTTTTGGTGTTTTAGACATGAAGTCCTTGCCCATGCCTATGTCCTGAATGGTATTGCCTAGATTTTCTTCTAGGGTTTTTATGGTTTTAGGTCTAATATTTGAGTCTTTAATCCATCTCAAATTAATTTTTGTATAAGGTGTAAGGAAGGGATCCAGTTTCAGCTTGCTAAATATGGCTAGCCAGTTTTCCCAATATGGTAGCATTTTTAAAGAAGTTAATTTGAATAATAATCCATTGTAAAGGTTATTTTTCATCTCTAATGTTGATAGGTACTCTGTTTTTCGTTTCATTGTGGACCTCAGTTTTAGGATTTTTATTATGTTTCTGGCCACTGCCGCATCTTTGCAGTTTCTGTCATCACTCTCTTTTCTGCCATTTTTTACATTTATCTTGAATAGTGATTCTCAAGCAATAAGCTCTAATGTTCTGATGAGCCCACATATTTTTATCAATCTGTAATATTTATTTTTATGTCATTGGGTATAAAATATATTTGTCAGACAGAACCCTGAGTGGAGTGGATCTTGCATTGGAGTGTAACAGAGAGAAAGTAAGAGGTAAGAGGAGGGTGATGGTACAATCTATCATCCATGCAAGGACACTTTCAGGAGTGAAAAGGGGTGCCATCAACAATCACATCAGGACAACAGGAAGGAACTGGAATTGTTTAGGTAAATTGGGACATATGTGCACCTAGGAACTACAGGCTTTAAAGCTAAGTTTAAAGCTAAAAAGAATGCTCTGCTTATGGAACTTATGAGAACTTTGCCTTGTGAATATATTGAGCGTGCCCTAGGTGGCAAATAGCATTATTTAAACAGCTGCTAGTGTGCAATGAGACGATAGTGCAGGAAATGTGGATACTTTTAGATAAACTGCAAAATATTGTGGTATTTTCATAGTGGTTGTGCCTTGTGATTATGTGGATCGTTTACATCTATTTTGAGGTTTATACTTTATATGTCTCAGCTGTATAATTATGGTAAAGGTTATAATCCCTTCTAATATGCTTCAGAAACTTCTACTATTTGGAAATCTGCAGTGAACACAAAAGGAATGAATACGACTAACGTGCTCCAAGTGATTACTTAGAGCAGTTCGCCTGAAGGTTTGTTAAGATAATAGTTAATAATATCAACTCCTGCTAAACATTTCCACTCATTTCTAGGAAACTCCTCCTAGTTTGCATTTCCTCCATCTTCAGACATCTTCTGGTATCTCCTAGCCTGAATAAGAAAAACTCAATGTGACCCTGACAACATTTCTATGTACCTTTTCTTTTCAACAATTACCACGTTGATTGTTGAATCTGACGACGTATTTTAAATTCATGCTGCTTGATGACTTCACATCACTTTTATACCATTGATCTCTCTCCTGAAAATTCTCTTTGAAACATTACTATTTGCTTCTGCTTAAACCTTCTAGAACTGCTTCACTGATGCTTTTTTCTCCTCAGTTACGAAAGCTCTTGGTATTGTGTGTGGGCAATTCTGTGTATATTCTTGATGTTCTTTTTTTCTAAATTATTTTTATTCTACCCTAGAGGTTTCAATATCACTTATGTTATGCAGATGACCCCATCATACTGTGACTTTTTTCTTCATCTCGCTCTCATTTATTGCATGTGCCTTTTTTAATTTTAATTTTAATTTTAAGTTCTGGAGTACCTGTGCAAGATGTGCAGGTTTGTTACATAGGTAAACATGTGCCATGGTGGTTTGCTGCACCTATCAACTTGTCATCTAGGTACTAAGCCCAGCAGGCATTAGCTATTTTTCTAATGCTCTCCCTCCTCCAATCAGGCCTCAGTGTGTGTTATTCCCCTCCATGTGTCCATGTGTTCTCATTGTTTTCCTCCCTCTTATAAGTGAGAACATGCAGTGTTTGGTTTTCTGTTCCTGCCTCAGTTTGCTGAGGATAATGGCTTCCAGCTCCATCCATGTCCCTGCAAAGGACATGATCTCGTTTTTTTAATGGCTGCATAGTATTCCATGGTGTATATGTAACACATTTTCTTTATCTAGTCTGTCGTTGATGGGCATTTGGGTTGATTCCATGTCTTTGCTATTGTGAATAGTGCTGCAACGAACATACATGTGCATGTATCTTTGTATGGATTTATATTTGAATGATTTATATTTGAATGATTTATATTCCTTTGGGGTATGTACCCAGTAATGGGATTGCTGGGTCAAATGATATTTCTGGTTCTAGATCTTTGAGGAATTGCCACACCATCTTGCACAATGGTTGAACTAATTTACGTTCCCACCAACAGTGTAAAAGCATTCCTATTTCTCTGCAACCCTGCTAGCATTGAATTTTTCATAATACCTCGACTTCAGCTTATCCCAAGAAAAACTCATCCTGTTTTTTGCATGACTAGTCCCCACATTCTACTTCCCTGCACAGTTCTCTACAAAGATTGACTGATGGATACTTTGTGACTGAATAGCACAGCCTTTCACACAGTCACACTGTTCTTCCAGTGCTTAACAGTGACAGTCACAGGACATTTTTCATCTTATAATTCTGCTTCAGAAATCCCAGGGGCACAAGTGAATTTATACCATCTTAACCCCAAGGAATGGGCAATGCAGATCTGGGGCAGCCTCCCTGCACAGGGGCAAAGGTTGACTCCATAAAAGCTTACAGTATAGAATTGCTGAACAGAACGCATAATTCACATGGGTAGCTTGTACCTAAGAGAAAGAGGAGAGGAGGGAATTAAACTTGACTTGTCCAGTTTTGCTTCTAAAAGTTACTGGCCAGATTAAATCATAGAGACTAGGAGAGTTGTAAAAAGGGCATTTCATTCACATTAAAAAAAAGAAAAATAAAGATCTCTCAATAGTCCCAGTTTTAATTTTTTTTTTAACTCATTGGGCAAATAGTTGGAAACAATGGTCAAATCTACCACTTAATCCAAAAATAACATGATAGTAATAAGGTGCCCCACATTTGATCATAAAACCCAACCTCAGGATCAGATTGTCAAGGAGAATGAAAGTCCAAATATAAAGTTTCTAAAATTCAAAATCCAAAGTAATTCAAATCCATAATCAATCTTACTGCCCTTGTGGGCTAATTTCACAGGAATTGAAGTCCAAAATTCATCAACCACCTCAACTTCCTGTTCTGCTCAGTCCCAGCCAGATGGTTCTCGATGACTGAGGAGTGCTATGATTTCTTCAGCAGCTGCAGCCAAGTCTGTCTCAAGCCAAATCTCTCATGCCTCACTTGACAGTCCCAAAAGACTATCTGAGAACTGGCCCCACTCACCCACCAAATTTAGAAAACAAGCCAGTCTCCAGGCTCCTGGGCCAACTATTTCAGACAAAGATATGTTTACAACTTAGTGGAAACCCACCATACCCAGTGTTGCCAAAGATCTTAGCAGATACTCATGGCATCAGAGTGATAGAGGATGGGTGGGAAAAAATTAGATTTTTGCAAGGAAAGAGAAAGCACAGAGGTAGGCCAGGTGTTATGCTAGTGCAGCTCCTTTCAAATGGAAGGAAGCATCAGGAGTAGGGAGGAAGTGTCCTTCTCACCAACAAAAATTAAAAGTTCAGCATATAATTTTGCTTAGAACAAATCTCTTTTGTGATTATTTTCTGTCTCTTGACATATATCCACATTTCAAGTAATGGAGTATTTTCATGACTAAATTATAATGTTGTATTCATAAAAAATTAGCCAGGCGTGGTGGCGCATGCCTGTAGTCCCAGCTACTCGGGAGGCTGAGGCAGGAGAATTGCTTGAACCTGGGAGGCAAAGGTTGCAGTGAACCGAGATCGCGCTACTGCACTCCAGCCTGGGCAACAGAGCGAGACTCCGTCTCAATAAATAAATAAATAAATAAAATAAAAATAAATGTTGTATTCACAGATGTCAGCTCTAGTTCATTTATCCAAACTCAATAAATGACATCTTTATTTCCTGATTCTGTTTCATTCAAGAAGCAATGAGAAACTCATATGATATCTGAACGCAAGGGTAATTGCCTATTGTTTCAAAACTATAGAAACATTCAAGTTGTATATAATATTAGTTACTTAATCATTAGCATGTCATCTCTCAAGCTAGTTCACTTCTTGAGGTCATTTTCTCAGTCAACAATAGTTTCTGAAGAAAAATTAATGCTTTGGTGCTTTTGAATTTAACGTTGATTCCTTCATCAAAAACAGATAATCATAAATGTTCTATAATAGGATTAGTAACCTTTTTCTGTGAAGGACCTGACAATATGATCCCTGTTGCAATTACTAAACCCTGCTTTTTAGCAAGAAAGAAGCCACAGATGATAGGTAAATGAATGAGTATGGCTATGTAACGATAAAACTATCTACAAATGTGAAATTTGGCCCTTGGCCATAGTTTGCTGACCCCTGTTCTACAGGGATTAGTTTAGGACTCAGTGAGATAATGTGCCTAACACAATGTCTGACACAAGGTAGCCATTCAATAGATGCAAGTCTCCCATCTTGCTTTTCATTAGAAGAATTCCTCCAGAGCCTTGTAAGTATTTTAGCCAATTACATATATTCTTTCCGGCTTGGGAGCTCCGAAAGCTTAAAAAGAACAATTATCATTAGTTCCAAGGTATTTTAATAATTATTAAAGTTTGTTGCTTAATTATTGTTGCAAGAGTTCAATAATGCTTGGACCCAGGTAAATTTAAAAAATATGTATACAAAGAAATTAATTGTTTTTAAGCAGATTCTGAATATGTGAGACTGCTATTTAATTAAGTTTCTACCTACGACATAAAAACTAGTGTAATATGTAGTAGTCTTCCCAGAATGAAACATTAAAAAATAATTATGAGGATAAGCTGGCCCTTTGAATCAATTTTTTAACTAAAATTAATTTTGTCTTCTTTGCTTCCCAAACCAATAATTTCCTCCCTTTTAAAATAACAATAGGAATCTACACAAAATTTGTTATAGAGAATTTGACCAAGCCCTTTACATATTGTGTATTAAACACATACATGTGTTTATGTCTGTGTGCGTATATATACTTTCTGCCCATGTGCAAAATATACAGCATTATCTTTCCCATTTTTAAGCCATTACAATGTGTTACTTTTCATGCGTAGGATTTCACAACCTAAACTAACTTTCCTCAACTGTGCCTGTATATTTGAATCATCTGGGAACCTATAAAGTCACTAAAGTCAGGACCTTGTCTCCAATGATTCTGATTTAATTTGTCTGGGAAAGGGTTCTGCACTCACATTTAAAAAAAACTCCCCAGTTGTTTCTCTATATTGACAGCCCCAGTTGCTGAATCTGGCTCTGTACACTGAAGAAAGTAGAAAACTGATTCTGAGAGAGGCTCCTCTTACACCAGACATCAAATTACTGATTTTTGCTGATCAATCACTAAGTAACTATAAGTGATTTTAAACAATAATTGCAAAAGGATGTTAAATCACAACATGAAAATTTAAAGGAAGTTTCTAAGGCCTAGACATCCCAGCTGTTTTAGCTTCATGTGATATCCTTTCAGCAGCCAAGTTTTGGCAAGCATAGGAGCTGCAGGAATATTCTGTTAGTCCTGAGGGCTTCCTTTAGCTTCAGTAGTTTTATGTAAGCCCCTTAAACAAATGGATAGATACATTTTCTAAGCATGAAAACAGTTGTGACTTATTTGGACTTTAATTTCTAAGAGAGATTAATTTTTCCTGGCTAAAAATTAGCCTAGAAAACAGGTTAGGCTGATTGGCACAGATTGAATATTAATATTGATTGGCATTCCATCTTAATATTGCTTTTAATTGCTGTTAAATACAAGGATTTTTATGTGATATGAATCTAGGAAGTTGGACCAGATTGGAGGAGAGGAGGTGGAGAGAGTGCAAAGAACAGTCATTTATGCCTAGAAAGGCTTCAGGTGTAATTCAGTTCGCTGGCAGCTGAGCTACTGTTGTTTTGGTCAAACTCCAGACAACACCTGCTGGAGCTCCAAAAACATAGCAGCCCTGTGTCTGAATATTCCAGCTGGGGATGGGGATTTAGCTTTGCTACATTCCAGCTATAGCTGTCTGCACAGCAAATTGAACTTTCTCCCCAGGAGTTCAGGTAGATATTTGATAACATTCCCTTCATCATATCCCAGCCCATGATTTTAATTTGAATTTGCCCTTTGATTTTGAGTCACACTTCAGTGCAAGCTTGAGCTTTTAAGACAAGAATTTATGCTCTGCCCCATGGCAATACTTAAGAGCAATAGGCTTTTGATGCCTTCCCAACACAGGCTGGGGAATAGTTCGTGTAGTGGCCATGGTTTAGTTTTTAAAACTAAGAGTATGGGCTGATTTTGTAGCCTGTGTTCCAGTTGTGGTAGATTAAAGGATTTTTACACAATCCTTTTTGATAAACCTCTAAGCACTGGGCACTGCACTTGCTCCACCCCCACAACATATTCTCCAGTGGAGTTGGGGCTTCGGAGAAGCTCTTTAATTCTGCCAATAGACAGGGGTTAAAACTGTTATCTAAGTGGAGGATTTGAGGATGTGCTACTGTTTCTATACAGAAAAAAATTGTAGTAGTCAGAACCCAAATTAAAATGAAAAGCAAGTTAGTTGAATTCTCCTGGCTTACCCCCTTAGACTCTATTCTTTATCCAATAAATAATGGGAACTGAGATAGGCTGGATTTGAATCCTGTCTTCCCATTACCATTGTGTTGTCCTGAGCTTGTTTCTTTTTCTTTTTGAACTTTGGTTTCTCCATCCAAAAATGGGAATAACGATGTACCTACCTCATTGGATTAGCAGAAAGATTAAATGAGATAATGTTTTTAAAGTACTTAATATCACGTCTGGCCCATAATAAATGCTTTGTATACAATATTATTATTAAAAGACAACAAAAGTCAGCTATTACTGTGCTGTCGGACACTTAAACAACTTGCTTTAAGATTGCTTTGTTCTCTATTGTTCATGTGGTTACTCTCTCTCCAAAACCAAATTATAAAATTTACATCAAAGACAAAGATTTGGGTTCTTTTTCTTTTTCTCTTCTTTCTTTTTAAATCCACTTGAGCTGTTCACTACAGAAGCAAGAGCAAATGCAGTGTAAACAGGAGGACTAGATTGCTTTCAAATGTATCAATCTAAAATGTATGAGTCTGGTAGAACAAATGTATTTTTTACCTTGTACACTATCAGCAACAGACACCCTATTCCCATTTTGTTTTTAACCTCTGCTTTGTATGGAAAGATTATTAATAATTTATAGATAGGGCATTACATAATCTTAAATCATAAAGTGAGAAAATTATTTCTTCTCGATTATCTTTCATTCCTTCTGATCATGTCAAGGAAAGGTGTCTCAGTTTCAAATTAATAAGGCTTTATTATCTTACTAATCTTGTTAACAGAGAGCAGGGATCAAAGAGCAGTTTTAGTAGGCAACAGTATTTAGTGGTAATTAAATAACATGATATTATTTAATTCCTTCTACATATTTTTATTTAACTCTATTTTTGATAAACTGGTTAGTAAGATATCATTTTTAAAGAAATTATTTGAATAAAAAATTGAGCCATTTAAAAAATTATTTACTAAATAATATTACAGTTGATACTCAGATATGGAAGGAGTACAACAGTGGCAATTCAACAGCTCCAAATTGGAAAAAGACTGGATGACCTGTTATTTTCCTTCAGACGTACTTCAGGGAACCTGAATGGCAAAGGGAGGATCTGACTCACTCCTTTAGTGCTTGGAGGAACTCATCTGCAGGGTAATTACTCAAAGAGCCATATTGGCATGAGTACTCTTCCTTTACCTCCTACTCTGCCTGCCTTATCCCTGTGAGCTGCAAAGAACAGGAAAAAAAAAAAAAAAAAACTAGAAAAGAAAATGAGATTGGGGTAGGAATAAGAATATTCATTTCCAGATTGTGTGAACGTGACATATGTTTTCTCAAAAAAAAAGGTTCTCTTATAAAAATGAAAGATACTGTAATCTGAACACAAGTCTCATATTTTAACCCAGCAACTAAGATATCCTATTAGTCAAAGCTATCAGCTTATTCATGGGTTTGCCATTGTTTTCCCTGAGATAGGTAGCTACTTTCCAGTATCCACAGGAGACATTTTCTACATAGTGGATTCTATCTATATGTCTTATCTATCTCTCTATCAATATCTATCTATCTATCTATCTGTCTGTCTGTCTGTCTGTCTGTCTGTCTATCATCTATCATCCTCAGCACCATCTTTCAATTCCTTTTGCTGTTCTATACTATTCTGAGATGTTTTTTCATTGTTACCTAGAGAATAAGAAATGATTTATTCACTGAATTTAATTAAACAGCCAAAAGACTATGAAATCATTCATTAGAGTATTTTAGTCTGATAAAAACTATTTCTTGATAATCTACAATTGTGTCGTGTTTATGCAAATACTGAAAGTTGACTGGAAGTTCATCCTTTGTGCTTTTTCTACACTGAATCCCAACAATGTCCATTGAGTGAATAGACCTATGATTTAAATTTAAAACTGATTATTCTTTTTTTAAAAAAACTATTTCTATAAGGGGTAAGATTTTACATGTATTTATTAGAGTGTGAGTATGCTTAGTTAACAGGAACTAAGGAACAGGCCATTGGAGACAGGAAGAATTTCAGAGAAGAACTAGTTCTTCTCGTGCACTTTAGGAGTAGGTAATTTGAGGCCCAGAGAGTTAAATAAACTTGCTGAAGGTTGCTCCTTTAATGGTTGCACACAGTTAGAGGTAGAGTCCAGCCCACAGCTTCCCAGGTAAGGGCTCTATCCTACTGTTTACCCACCAAGGCATACAGGACTAGAAACCATTTGTTTTAATTTCCTGTGACATGTCAATCTTCACTATCTTGGCAGCTGTTTAAAAGAGAAGGTAATTCTTTCAAATTAATAGTACAAAGCCATTCATTACTCTTTACTCAACTTTTTATTAAGCACTCCATAGTATAGCCTCTAGAAGCTTTTGATCCTAATTTATTTTTAGTTGTAAAAATGCACTTTTCATAAATAACTCTATAATTGAGATCAAAGCTAGCATTGAAGCTGTCTCAAGAGTTGAGTTTCTTTCTTTCGTTTCCTTTTTCAGGCATTTGAACTTTAGGAAATTGCACCTCAAGCTGTAGTTTACTAGGGGATCCATCCATCTTCCCTTCAAAGCAATGTTTTTCCTTCCATATTGGTTCCTTTGATAAACAGTGTTGAGAGAGTATTGCTAAAGGGAAAATAGAAAAAAAAAGTTGTCATCTAAGCATAAAATGACTTCTTCAGAGAAATGTTTTGAGATATATAATGTTTTGATCTGATAGATTATTTTGCATATGGATATGGATGGAGATCATTTTATAAGGTATTTTATGCCTATAAATGGTTGGGTGAGTTCATCTTTATATTATATATAATACACATACACATACACACATACACACATTAACATCATATTAACATGTGATCTTTAAATTATACTCCTGGACCATAGTTACAAGGAGCATTTCTGGAGTCAATGATCTAAGCCAAGCCCTAGCTAGTTAACCCTCTAAGCAATCTATTTAAGTAGTATGATTGAACTAAGGGCTGTATAATTCACCTACTGAAAATGATGTAAGTATCAAATTGCCCTCACAATTTCTTATTTTTTTAATGGATAAGAAAAAATTCTGAGTGAGAGAAAACGTAGTATCAAAAACTCAGAATTTTAGTTAAAAGCCAAAGTTAATTCAAGGCTAGCTTCTGTGTTCAAAAGCAACACAAGGCTGAGCACAGTGGCTCACACTTTTTAATGTCAGCATTTTGGGAGGCTGAGTTTGGAGGACTGCTTGAGCCTAGGAGTTCTAGGTTACAGTGACCTGTGATCATGTCACTGCTCTCCAGCCTGGGTGACAGAGTGAGATCCTGTCTCTAATGAAAAAAAAAAAAAAAGGAAGCAGAAAAGCAAAACAAGAATGCTTCCCCCTCAAAATACATACAAACCAGGTACAGAAATTAAAAAAAAAAAAGACAACTTTCCTATTACAGAAAAGATAAAAGTTGGTTCTATTGTGTGCAGTACTCCCTAAAAAGAAACAGAAAGAAAAAATCTAGGGAGAAATACAATCCTTCTAGTGAACATCCAACATATGAACCCCCTGCTCTGCAGGGCCTTGGGTTGCTCTTGCCTTTCCAGCTTTATTGTGATAGATCCTCAGTCTTGTTATGTATTTGACAGCTACAAAAGCTTTCAGGTAAGCCAAATTCTCTCATCTGAATATCCTAAAATTATATGCCACATTCTGTGGGAATGGATTTCTCTTCATTTATTTCTCTGGGAAGATGGCTCATAGAATTTATCAGTCTCGAGGGGATTTGTGACATAGCTAAGGTTAAGAACCACTGCAAGGGGTAATGTACTGAAAATGGAATTTTAAGCATCTGGCAGCAGTTAGGGAAAGACTCTGGGTAGGTCTGCACCTCCCCACCAAAAAAGGGTACATACTATATGATTCCAGGTACATATAATTCTGGAAAATGCGAACTAAACTATAGTGATAGAAAGCACTGGGGCCTGGGAGGAGAAGACAGTGGGAAGAGGGACGATGTCTGTTTTGAAGCTTTTTTTTCTCTTGAACTCTTAGACTTTAACATTGAATGAATTCTCATTTTAGGAAGACAAATTGTCTCTGATTCCTAGGGATTTTATTTCCCAGGGATGGATGGTGGGGATTCTCAGACTTTTGAATATTCCTTCTAGTTCTAGCTACCTCATATTATTTTTCAGTACAACAGTCTTCTCTTACCAACCCTGATGGTTGTTGGTAAGAAAACTACACTCCATGCAGTTGCAAACTAACCCGCTCCTAATGCAAAGCTAACTGTGAGTACCATGAGTTGTACGTACATATGGCAGGGATTGTGTTTTGAAAATATTATCTATATTAATTCTCACAAAAATTCTATAATAGGCATTCTTCTTATATTATACCAATGAAAAAATGAAATGTAGCAAAATTGAGCAATTGGCCCAAAGTTACATAATTATTAAGCAAGAAGGTGATAATTTGGAGCAAATAGGTCTGATTCTGCAGAGACAATACTTGGCTTCACCGCAGTTTAATGACTCTTCAGATAATAACCAATAATTGACACTCAAATTAAAGTACTGGTTTCCTACCAAGTTATATCTTAGGTTAAAAAATTGCTTGACTTGAATTTCATCTCGTATTTCTTCCTATGATAGAATCAAGTTGCCAAGTATATGAAGAGAGACAAAAAAACCTGGGATAATCCACCATGATTAGTAATAATCCCCAAGATGAAGACAAGTTTAAAACTAATTCTTCAAAGAGCACGATTGTTGTATCTTTCTGCTAGAGTAGTCATCATCCAAAATCATTTTTAAACTTATTATGTATGTGTCCTTACCTGTCATTTTCACAAACTACATTGCCCATACATTTTATTATTTTGGGTGTTATTTTGTTTGTTTGTTTTTTGTTTTTTTGAGACAGAATCTCACTCTGTCACCCAGGATGGAGTGCAGTGTGGCGGGATCTTGGCTCACTGCAATGTCTGCTTCCCAGGTTCAAGCAACTCTCACGCCTCAACCTCCCCAGTAGCTGGGACTACAGGCATGCACCACTATGCCTGGCTAATTTTTGTATTTTTAGTAGAGACAGGGTTTTGCCATGTTACCCAGGCTGGTTTCCAACTCCTGGCCTCAAGCAATTTGCCTGCCTTGGCCTCCCAAAGTGTTGGGATTACAGGCATGAGCCACTGCTCCCAGCCTATATTAAATTTTTTAAAAAAATGTCATTTCATGGTGGTGGGAACAAGGGACCTTTCATGAAAACTACAAGCCACAGTATGTCTCAGTTAGTTATTTTAATTATATAATACTGTAATAGAATGGTACTTCTTTCATCTTTACACATGCAAGGATTAAGTGTTTTGATGTTGAATTTTAAATGAAACCATTTGTACTCTTAAATAGTTTTATAGACTAAAAGACTTTGCTATTAAGAGTTTGCATTGCCTTTATTCTCTTGGACTATGACTATCTAAGGAGGGGCCTATCTATAATATTGCCTCCTGAAAGACCCACCCTTTACATAACCACAGCTCTAAATCTGCCAGATGCCAGCGTATGCACTATTCACTGAAGGCCATTAAGTCTTGGCATTGCCAATAAGCTCTATTACTCAGCTGTCAAGGAACTATCCTCAGCAAATGTGGTCTCACTGAGCCTTTATACAAAATTTGACAAGGCGGGAAGGCCTTGCAACCTCTTTAGATAAAATATACATTTTCATGGTTGCTTTTTCTGTATGTATATCAACCACATGATAAGTATTATTTTTGTTTATATATGTATATGTATTTGTGTGTGCATAAAATCAGAAATAAGTGGTTTTCCCCCACTGGTACTCTCATTCTTTTTTCCTGCTTTATTTTCATCTCCTGTTCAGTCCAAAATTTCAAACAGATGTATTAACTGTTTACATGTATATTCCCCCTTAGTTACACTGGGTTATCTGGTGTTTGTTATGATATTCAAAACTTCAAAAGGATGGAGAGCTCCAGCAAAGACAATCCTTCATAGCCAAATGTCATTTCCTGTTAGAATGAAACTAAATTTATACATTCTTTCCTCTGGTCTTTTCTTCTCAAGTTTATCTATTCTAAAAGATCTTATGGAAATTAATTCAGAAGAGAGGGAGTCTAAGAATTTCCCTAATCTCTTCAACAAAAAGTCATTGAAGGTAACAAATTAAACTTTCATAATTTAAGAGAAATTTTTCTTCCCACAACTATCAGATAGCTGATACATGTGGGAGCTGGGATTAAATATGGTAAGATTTAAATAAAGTGCCATGCTTACCACTTATTGTATCTGTTTTTTGGAGGAAGATTATTTTCTTCTCTAATCTACAGGTTTTGACTTCTGCCTAGCATTTTCTACCCATATGTAGCAAGATACAGATTTGCAATATTTGCAGATATATAGCAATTGCAGCTAAAATGTTATTTTCATTATTCACCAGGATTACAATTGTCTTTAATTTGACTGATCACTTAATATTATTACCCTTTCATCACAGCTGATTCGATAAATTCTCCTACTTCTGAAGAAAAGGATACCTGAATAAATGGATTTAAATATATGATTAATGGCGAGGCACAGCGTCTCACATCTGTAATCCCAGAACTTTGGGAGGCCAAGGTGGGTGGATTCCTTGAGCTCAGGAGTGTGAGACCAGCCTGGGCAACATGGTGAAACCCTGTCTCTGCAAAAATACAAAAATTAGACAGGTATGTTGGCACGTGCCTGTAGTCCAAGCTACTGGGGAGGCTGAGGTGGGAGAATCACCTGAGCTGGGGAAGTTAAGGCTTCAGTAAGCCGTGATCACACTACTGTACTCCAGCCTGGGCAACAGAGTGAGACCTTGTCTCAGAAAAAGAAAAAAAGATTTTTATTAAAGTATTAGTATCAGTCTCTCTCTAAAATATCTAAAATGTTATCCCTTAAATAATATGCATCCACTATATTGTCTCATTGTATTAATATAACATCATAGATAACTACATAGACATTTTAGCAGATTTATTAATGTATACTTGAGCATAAAATGTACAGTTTGATAAGTTTAACTTATGTTTGCACCTGTGAAACCATGTTATTGTATTAATGTAGCTATATTGCTACATAAATTTTTTTAATCAAAGGAATTTTTAAAAAGAGAAAAATTTTAAATAAAATCACTATTTAGGCAGTTAGCTCCCAAATGGTTCATTTTCTTTACCCAGTTTACACACTCAGGGTAATATAGTTTGGTTAGCAGATGAACTAGAATAAACTTTATAGCAATTTTAAAATGATCAATATTTTTATTTACTTGTTTTTAACCTAACAGTTTCTTAATGTTATTGTATCTCACTGGACATCTTTGCAGCCCAAATTTGTGCGGCCTATTTTTCTAGATTCTGTAATACAGAATGTATTTGACTTTGCTTATCCTTGTAGTTAGTATTCACATGTACAAATTCCAAAACAAAACGAGATTATTTAAACAACTAGATCTCATTCTAAAACTATTTATGACTCCCAGGTGTATTTCCTTTTCATTAGTCTGTACCCGAGTTAAACATTTCCAAAGAAAAAAGTGTGTGTCCTGGAAACCCTCTGTGTTGTCAGTCCCAGCTGTTCAAAAGGTGCCCTGGTATTGTAACCGGCCTGGTAGTCTGACACCTGCACCCAGAGATAGCAGTGAGATCTTGCCCAGCCAGAGTTGGACTGTGATGTGGCTGCAGTGTCTTTGTGTCAAAAATGTACATTCTCCTCCTGCATCTCTGTGACTGCATGAAGGAGAGAGCAGATTGCAACTCTTCTAACACATTTCTCAGAGTTCTGAAGTGAGTTCTTTTTCTTGGAACTTAATGCCTGAGTGCCTGGTTTTTCTGAGCTCAGAAAATTCATCTATTTCTGATCTGTAAAAACTTGCCTTTAGCCCCACATGGATATTGATTTTTTAATATCTTTATTTCTTCTGACATTTGTTCCTTTAAAAATATCTATGCTATTTTATTGCCTAAGGTAAAGGGGATGAAATACTGTTTTCTATAATATCTTCCCCATCACAGCATCAATATAAACATTTATGCTTAAAAAGAGTTTCCAGTGACACTGCTCCCAAACAACTGTGATGTTCCCAGAAGGTGGATGGGGTCCCATTCTTGTACATCTTTTTTAGACTGTAGGTGTCTTGAAGGTAATTTATTCTTGCATTTTAACTGTGCTGGCAGAGTACTCACATGTGGCCAGTGCTTAACAATTGTTTATAAAATTAATCTTTTTCGGGCCCAGAAGAGAGGTAAAACACAGTGCTGTATTCTGTCAGGCTAGAGGCAGCAATAATCATAGAAAAATGCAGTTCTGTGTGATATATTTTTATTTTTTATTTTTATTTTTTGAGATGGAGTCTCACTTTGTCACCCAGGCTGGAGTGAAGTGGTGCCGTCTCGGCTCACTGCAACCTCCGCCTCCTGGGTTCAAGCGATTCTCGTGCCTCAACCTCCCAAGTAGCTAAGATTAGAGGCATGTGCCACCACACTCAGCTAATTTTTGTTTTTTTTTTTTAGTAGAAGTGGGGTCTAGCCATGTTGGCCAGGCTCGTCTCAAACTCCTGACCTCAGGTAATCTGCCCGCCTTGGCCTCCCAAAGAGCTGGGATTACAGGCATGAGCCACTGTGACCGACCTCTGTGTGATTTTGAAAATTAATATTGGGTTCTAAAATTTATTTGATATACATTTAAGTGGAGATTTTAAAGGTATGCCATTATTGCCCAGATCCTAAGAAAATGAATGTTTAGTGCTATTTCTGCATTGTTAATTGTAGACTTTATTTGGTTGAGAGACGGGCAGTTTATGCAGTGCTATAAACTCAGTGAACAACAACACTTCCACCATCTCGTGGAGGATATCTCAGAATAAAATCTCACTATGACAAAAAGTACAAAAATATAAACTACAGAGAAAAGTATTTTTTAGAAATTTGTCTTATTTTTTGCGTCAGGTTAGCATAAAGTTCTGTGCAGATAAATGGAATGTCCAAAACACTGTTAGAGATTCCTATCATCCTTAAGATTCTGGGAAAGCCTGAAAAATGATGAGAAAAAGAAAAACATCTAGTTACATCTCAGTGATAAAGAATAAATGAATTCTTTTAATTTAATCGTCACTGAAAATTCTTAAAATATATTGATCCATATCTCTACCTCAAGAAATACATTATGGCAAATATAATTGAATGTTTCTTCAGAAGTCCAGACTCTGGTTCCTTGAGTCATGGTAGTTCTATAATTATTAATCAAATTCTTGATGAATTTCTAAAACATTATTAATATGGGGTTGAGGAGTATGAAAATATAAAAATATATTCTTATATATAAGTTGAAGAAGTAAAATATACAGACAAGATCTGTCTAGTGAATAAGATAGCATTTCAAATACTAGTAAGACTAATTTCCATTGACTGCAAGATGCCAGAAATTATGATATACACTCTTTCTTTTTGTGCCACTTAAGAAGAAAAGCAGTTAGTTATATTTGCAATATGTCATCGATTGTTAAGATACATCCTGATTTGAGAGACACTACAATAAGAAATGCATCTTAGAATTAGTGACACACAGCATATAATAGAGTCAATGACACACTGCATATTTAATGTTATAGAATAAATTGTAATCAGTACTCTTTGGCTTAGAGATGATAACTGCATTGTGACCACATGAGGACTGGTAGATAGGACATCATCAGGAAGAATGGGGAAGGTCTGAATAAAAATGGAGAAGAGTGGAAGATGAAATATTCCAGGAAGAGCAAGGGAACATAAATAAAAATGTATCGTAACTTTAGGTGCAGAAACAGAAAGATATGTTAGAATATATATATATATATATGTGCCAGATCTAGGACATATCTCCAAATTTGCTTTTTTGAATAAAACTCTAGTATGTACTTTCTGGATTTCAAATAAATAAAAGAAAGCCTAGATTTTAGAATTATCAGAGACCTTGAAATATTAGAGACTAATATGGTATCCTTCAGACATTTTTAGTTTACATTTATACCTGAGAGAACTGAGTCCATATGAAGAGACATGGACAAGAGGTTTCAAAGCTAGTCAGCAGTGAAGGGAAGATGATGCCTCAGGTCTCGTACCTCCTACATCGGTGCCCCTGGTCCAGGACCAGGGAGCTACGGATTCCAGTGAATGGGAATCTCAGTGTATCCATCCAGGTAACACACGTACCACAAAGACAGCCAGGAGTGCTCATTTCCAGAAATGCTTATCGGGGTCTTCTGACTCATTTCTAGTTAATCAGAAAATTATTGTCCATCTAAACCCTATGTTCTAAGAAATGTAATTGACAGATGCCACCAGTTACTAAAAATATTTCTAGTGAAATTTTTGCTAGAGGCAACAATCGTTAAATGAACTGGGCAGTATGAGGCCAGAAATATAACTTATTGAGGAAAACAAAATGGGCAGTTGTGACCTTCATTAAAGTGTAAAATGCTTGAGTATATGCTAAGTGCCTTTAATAGTACAGGGCAGTTAATACATATCAGTTATTATCATACCTCCCCAATCTGACAGTAATGACCTTGTAAGCGCTAGAATTTAGAAAAATGTTGCCTGATTAGCCAAGATAAGCCATGTGTGTGTAGGTATACAAATATATATATGTAATTTAAAATATATATATATATTTGATTTTAAAATATTGTGGAGAATTCTGGATGATGCAGGAAGAGGGCTTTATCATGTCAATAAATGCTGCCACAACAGAGAAATCAATGGAAAACTGCAAGACTTGCTGGTTTTTTCTGCTTTTATCAGTGTAATTTTAATTGTCATTCATCAGTTATATAGTTAATATCACTTTCAACGAACTGTTAGGAAGTTGGAACTAAAGTTCCTGAAATGGCATATTTCTTTAGGAGCCTGAATATGATATAAATATAAAATACAGAAGGGATATTTATCATTAAAATTCTGTTCAAGCCAAGTATGCAAAATAGCTCCATTAATTTAATTCCATTGGGTGATTGAGAGAGGTTTTATGGCATCTAAAAGAGTTACTGAGAATGAGCAATATAAACACAATTTAAATATTTAAGTGATTCTATGATAATGTATATTCTTGATATGTACACATTTGAACACTCACTCTACCCACTGTTATCATCTTCCCCAAAATTCTTTAGGCTATTTTTAAAAAGAAGACCTATAAATATTTAGAATAAATGTTCTTAGCACAACACTTAATCACTGTAGTTGCTGGATAGTATATTCCTTATCAGGACCTGTATTTGGTCATGGTTTAGCTGGGCTTCGGTGAATCCATTTCAGATTAGGTATGCTTGCCAGAGACAAGAATCTGGTAAGGATATTACATCTGGGTTACACTGGAAAACAGAAAATCCATTCAAATAACCAGGAGATAAAGCAAGAAAACATAATTTAAGTGTATGTGCGATAAAGACTGTGTTAAAAACCCACAGTTCTTACCTTCACAGAGTTTTAATAAGCCTTATATAGGTATTTACATATATAATTAATAACAATTATTCATAATAATAATTATAGTTCTATTTGCTGAATTTTCACCATGGTCAGGAGCTGTGTTGATACATTATTGAACTGTTACAACAGCTCTGTTTAGTAGCCATATTCATTTACATTTTACAGTTGAAGAAATTAAGTACAGGGAAGTACAGTGGTTTGAATGAGGTCACACAACGACGTGTCACAGACTCAACTTTGAAGTTGGCCTCTATGTTGTACCATGGCGGAAAAACGTGTTAAGTATTCCAAAAGAGATGCAAGCAAAATGTTGCAGGAAGAGGAAGCCCAGATATTGTACCTGTGGGAGTAAGGATGGCAGATGGGTGGGTCAAAGAAAACTTTAGAGAATATAACATTTGAACTGGTGCTTGAAAGATTACTAGGAATTCACCAAGGAAAGACCAAGAAAATGTCTCTCTCAAGCTGGAAGTCTGAGAAGGATGTTGGAGGAAGAATGAGGACTCCTCATGTGTATAAATAATACAGGGGGCCTTGGTGACAATGAGGTTAGATGATGTTTAAGTGATGCTATACTGCAAAGGGCCCTGTAGACGCTGCCAAGGTGTTGGGCTTTATCCTGTGTGCAAAGAGAGTGTATTTATCCTGTGGTTATTGGGATGATTACCTTGGCAGCTTGTAGATGGATGACCCACAAGAGTAAATTAAAGTTAGTGACACAGGGGATGATGGAACGGGAACCTTATTCAAGAGTAATTTCTAATGTAGAATTAATAAATGTTGGTGACCAAGTAGATATGAAGATTGAGGAAGAGAGACTGAAGAATATCATAAAGGCACATCATGATTATGTTGGCATGACAGATTAGGACATAAATATATATAATCCTCATAGGTTTACTTCTTAGATTCCGGCCAAGTAATGGAGATAGGTTTGTCCTTGGATCAATCAGTTTTCCCCTATAAAGAATAATAGATGACAGAATATCTCTTCTCATTTCCTTCTGATAGCTAGAGTTACATTTCTAAACCTGCGTGTCAATTTTAAGTCTAACCCAGGGCAATTTGAATGACTAAGAAGGCATTACAATTTAGACCATTTTAATAATTTGGTTTTATTAATAAGCAGCCATTTGCTATGATTAATTTTTACCTTATTGTATGGAAACAGTGGCCAAATACACAGTTTTGCACTGAAATCTGACTTCATTCTGATGGTCCCTGGAGTTCTCTGAAACGGGATGACTGTACATCACTCTGTGGCTCACTCAGCCTGCTCTCTGCAGTTTAGCCTGCCTGTTCCCATGCCCACCCTCTAGTCAGGGTCTCTCCAATAAAAATAGTGTTGTTGTTCTCCTCAGCTCCTAAACTGGGGTAGCTGTTGGGGCAACAGAAGCTTGATTTGGCATAAGCAGAAGAGATAAGATCAAAGTCCTAAGAAAAATAGAGTAAGAAGTAGCCTGCCCTTTGAAACCTTGGCTGACTACACTCCAACCTTGTGTTTATAAAGCCTTCAGCATATCACAAAGGAGACAAGAAGACAGAGAAACTGGATGAGATGTTAGAGTTCCTCCGTATTTTGGGTTCAGGAGAAGCCAGTTATATATCTTAGAATCCCTTTTCTCCCCACCATTTTTTGAGAGGTTCCCTAAATCACATCTTGCTGAAACCAGACTGAAATATTCCTTTTGCTTTATGAGAACATGCTCAACTGAATTTTTAAGGTATAATGAATAACTTAAAAGTTAATAATTTAAGGTGTGTACTTTAGAAAAGAGGAATAATCAGAACTCTACATAGGTTTAAGTGTTGGTAGATCTGCCATTCTATTTGGAGGTCTAATAGCAAAAATTTAAAAATATTTCTTCCTTATTAATAGTCCCCTCAGATGAATTCTTACAGCTGATCTAATCCTTTTGCTAGATTTTGTGTCCTGAGCTTTTTCTTTCTTACTTTTTATTTATTTTATTTTTTTAATTTTTCTTTCTTTCTTACTTTTTAGAGGAAAATATAGTAATAAGTGAATATATTATTCTATAGAAGAGTTTTTGAAACATAGAATCATTCATAAAATATTTCTATTGCTTTAGGCTGTATAATTAGGATCTCTATGATTGATTTCTTATTGACAAATGGTGACTTAGGAGGGCCCAGGTTTAGCATATAGAAAGTAGATCAAATTCTAGTACACATTAAAACCTTATTTATGCATTCTTCATTTTACTGAAAAAAACAGATATGTTGAAATTTATATAATTCACCCTGAATTTATTTAATTCAAGATGTTCTGATTATTTATATATAAAAAAGCTTTGCCAAAGTTACCAGGAAGTTTGGATTCTTGGGCTTCAGTATCTCTGCTCTAAAATGCTTTTGGGGACCTTATCTGAATGGTCGGAATTCTAAGAAGTTTTTCAACTTTCCAATAGTGATTTTGAAAGAACACAACACACACAAATAATGAATTGCACATGAAAATCATAAAACCACAGGAGAGAAAGAACACTCCAGAACCTGTTAGCCTGGTATCCCAGGAGACAACATTTTTCCCAAGAGCATAACTCATCTTTAAAAATATTTTATGGCTCTTCTCTTTAGCTTCTCAAAGAAGTCCTTGGCAGACAAATGGTTAAAAAAACCCTGGTCTAGGCTTTCCACTGCTTGAATGGTAATCAACCTTACTTTTACCACTAGATTAGTACCCAGTTAACCAACAAGTACTATATTAGTCTCTAGGGTGAACCATGGTTATTTTTATATATAGGGAGGTCATAAGTCTTAGCCACAAAAGCAATGCCTCCTTTCTGGTGTGTGTCCTGCTACAACATCATCTATTACCTCCAAGACTGTGGGATTTCTTTGATTTTTACACATTCAAGTCAGTGAGGTTGTTTGCATAAACCACAAACTCCAAGGTGCTGACTTACCACCCGCTGCCTGGGTTAATCTGGTCCCCTGACAGTGCTATAGACACTGTCACATTCACCATGAATCAGGAAAGCTAAAAATGGTTTAGGAAAAAAATAAGTTCATGGTAATATTTCATTCCTGAAATGTATTATTAGTTGATCCATTTAAATATGAAATGAGGCAGGCATAGTTAACTATTGAATAACTATTTATATATATATATACATATATATATATAGTTATTTATTTATTTATTTAATTTACTTTTATACCTCACAGGAATAGCATTCTTTGAACACCACTTTGCAAGATGTTGCTAAAAGAAGAAATCAAGAATTACAATTTCATCATAATCATTATCTTCAACAAGTCTTCTAGATACATAAGAGGTCTGTGGACTAGTTTTACCTGTAATCTTCATTGCTGTGGATAGCTGCCTTCACAGCTTTACAAGAAATGGGATAGGTTGAAAGCAAGAGTTCAACTCTAGGGTACAACTTCCCTAAAGAAATTAAATTTTATTGAGCCCTTGCCATGTACAAGGTGCTGGGAATGAGGCAAAGATAAAAATAAGATAATTTTGATCTTCGCTCACCAAAATGCTGTGAAGGAGTTCATAGACTCAATTAATTTGTGTATACAATACAACTTATATAAATTAATTTGGTGAACTATATTGCATTGTTATCCTGTCATATTTTGAGAGAGGAGGAATAAGTTGTAATGGGAGGAAGGCTTCACAAAAGAAGTAACTTTGTTGAAGGTCTTAAGGACTACATAGGATATATGTGATGTTTGTCTTCCCCCTCAACAGAAAAACAGGGGAAAGCAGGGCCTGAAACAAGGAGGTGTGACAATGCTTGATTTGCTCAGAGGCTGGTGAGCCATCCTAGGTGGCCAGAGTGAAGAGTGCTTGAGGAACGTGGTGGGAAGGAAAGCTAGGAGGTAAATTGTGGACAAAATGTGACTGGCCTTAGATGACATGTGAAGGGGTTTAGACATTTTTCTACAAACAGTGGTATGCAAATTAGAGTGGGCAAGGAGATGCATTGTGTGCTGGAAAAAAGTATTAGGGTCTCCTTTATAATTTATTTTTTGTATTTTTCTTTTTAAATGTCTATTTTAAATGTGCTTTCTCAATTTACCTATTAGTGGAACATTACATGGATATCATGTGCCAATTAATATGCATATATTGGGGATCCATGTTCCACCTTTTCCGGGTTGGAGAGTACAATCGAAAGCTTGGGGACCACTGCAAAAGATATGAAATTTCAGTTCAGAAGTCTATTATACAACATGGTGACTATAGTTAATAACAATGTATTATATACCTGAAACTTACTAAGAGTAGATTTCAAACATTCTCACCACAGAAACTGATAAGTACGTTAAATAATAGCTATGTTAATTAGCTTGATTTGGCCATTCTGCAATGTATACATAGGTCAAAACATTATGTAGTACACCATAAATATATATAATTTTTATTTGTCAATTTAAAAAATTAATGAAACAAAAGTACCTGAAAAAATAAAGCCTAGTACCATTGTTGTAAATGCCTACCTCTTGTCCAGTCTCGAGAATGAAAACAAATCAGCTTCTGAATGGATGATGCTTACTAGATCTGGAAGGACCTCAGAGGTGATATAATTTAGCTAAATTTTTCTACAGATGAACTAGATCCCGGTGAATCTAAATGATTAACCAAAGCTTTCCTAGTGTATTGGTGGAAGAACCTGGTCTGGAGAATCCATCTATATTTCTATGGGAAGCCCATAGTTTTTTTTTTTTTAACCTATGACGTTCCTGCCTTTTAACAAGATTCTACCAGCAAATTGAACATAAGTCCTGTGTTATGGCACTGACGAATAAAACAAATAACGTTAGCTGAAACATGATGGAAAGAAGATTGATGAAAGTATACCCTAATGATAGGAAGTATTTTAGAAAAAAATAAAATTTTAGAAAGAGAATTTAAAGTGAAAGCTTGTTATCTGGAAAACTGTCATCTGGTGTAACTTCTTACTCTCCAGTCCACCTGATAAAACAATGCTCCTGCACCATGATAAGAGGAGAGGATCTGGATGGGAGGATAATCTGACTCTCAGGACCCTTCACAAACCTCACTCCTTTGACTTAAGTTGAAATTTTTACAAAACAATATTGTGTTGTTTGGAAATTTCCCTCCTTTATCCTTTTCAAAATTAATTTTTAGGAAGAAATCACACCCCAGACAACAGCCTTGAGGTGGGAAACTTTAAAAGCTTTTTATTTTCATTGATTTCTGTTTCATTGCAAATGGGTGGGTTTTTTGGTTTGTTTTTTAATGATTTCCTTAGCTATTTCAGGGAAGTCAAATGATGTTTTAAACCTGAGGCTGCAAACTGGCAGCCCATGGATAGAATTAGACTTACAGATTGTTTTCATCCATTTACCCCACACAATTTCTTCAGAATTAAAAAATTCTGAAATCTAATTTTTAATTTTGAAAATTTGAAATGAGAACATCTATACATGCTTTACCTAGACTCACCAATGTTTACACATTTTGTCACATTTGCTTTGTCATTCTCTCTGTCTCTCCAGGCGCACACACACACACACACACACACACACACACACGGTTCTTTAAAACTATTTGACAGTAGATTGCATACATTATTGCCCCTTACTTCTTAATATTTCAGTCTTTACATATTTCCCAGAACAATTAAAATTCATAACTTCAATACAATACTTACATTTAGAGAATTTGACATTGATACATTTATCTTATCTATATTCCATATTCTACTTTCATCCCCTAGTTCAAATAATATTTCTTAGAGCAATTTCCACCAATACATAACCTAGTCCAAGAACGTATTTCGCATTTAGTTGTCATGACTGTTTAGTTTCTTCAATCCGAACCAGACCCTCAGCCTTACTTTGGTTTTTGTTTGTTTGTTTGCTATATCGATGACATATTTGAAGCATGCAGGCCAGTTATTTTATAGAATGTCATTTAGTTTGGATTTTTCAAATGTTTCCTCATAACCAGATTTAGGTTATGCATTCTTGGCTGGAATACTCTATAACAGATGTTGTGTCTTTCTGGCAGCACAAGATGCCCATCTGCCTTTCCTTGGTGGTGTTAATTTTCATCACTTGGTGAAGGTTTTGCCTATTTTCTCCACTGTATTGTTGCTATTTTCCCTCTGTCATTATTAAATAATTAGCGAGAGATACTTTGAGACTGTAGACATCCTGATTCTTGTTCAATGCCTTTCCCTACTTTGATTTAGCATCCATCAATGATTCTTGCCTAAATCATTTTTCTGATGATGGATGTAAACAGATTATTTTCTAAGTTCATTGTTCTGTCTCTGTATTAATCAGCACCATACTGTAAGAAAGAAATTAACTTTCTTCTTTCTTTCCACCTTTCTTTCCTTCCTCCCTCTCACCCCCCTCCCTCCCTTATTCTCTCCTTTCCTTCCTTTCTTTCTTCCCTCCTTCTTTCCTCTGTCCCTCCCTCCTTTCCTTACTGTCCCTCTCTTTCTTTCTTATCAATATGAATTTATGGATTAATTTTTATTCAAAGGTTTGTTTTTAAAATTTTCCTTTTTTCCCATTTTAAAAATTATTATAAAATACATATAACATAAAATTTACCATCTTGACCACTTATGAGTATACAGTTCAGTTCGGGCTAGTCTTGAACTCCTGGGCTCCAGTGATCCTCCTACCTCGGCCCCCAGAGCTCTGGGATTACAGGTGTAAGCATATTGTTTTTCAGAAGGACTGCACCACTTTACATTCCCACCAACAATGCACAAGCATTCCATTTTCTCTACATTCTTGCCAACACTTGTTATTTTCTTTTTTTTTAAATTGTAGCCATTCTAATGGGTATAATGTGGTATCCTATTGTAGTTTTGATCTGCAGTTCCCTAATGATTAGTGATGCTGAGCATCTTTTCATGTGCTTATTGGCCATTTGTACATTTCTATGGAGAAATGTCTATTCAAGCCCTTTGCTTATTTTTGAATTGGGATGTTTGTTTTTTCTTGTTGAGTTTTGGAGTTCTCTCTATATTCTGAATATTAATCTCATATCAGATATGTAATTTGCAGTTTTTCCCATTGTGGGTTGCTTTTTTACTCTGTTGATACTGTCTTTTGATGCACAATTTTTAAAATTTTCATAAAGTCCAACTGTCTAATTTTTCTTTGTTGCATATGCTATTGATGTCATAGAAATTATTGCCAAATCCAATGTTGTGACAATTTCCCCCTATGTTTTCTTCTAAGAGTGTTATAGTTTTAGGTCTTACATTTATGTATTTGATCCATTTTGAATTAATTTTTGTATGTGATGTCAGTTAAGGGTGCAACTTCATTCTTTTGCAGGTGAATGCCCAGTTTTCCCAGCACCATTTGTGAAAAGACTGTCCTTTCCCCATTGACTGGTCTTGGCACCCTTGTGAAAAATAATTTGATCATATATAGGAGTGTTTATTTCTGGGTCCTATATTTTGTTTCATCTATATATCTCTCTTATGCTAGTATCACACTATTTTGATTACTGTAGACTTGTAATATGTTTCAAAATCAGGAAGTATGAGTCCTCTCACTTTTTTCTTCTTTTTCAAGATTGTTTTGGCTATTCAAGGTCCCTTGTGATTCCATATGAATTTTAGGCTACATTTTTCTATTTCTGCAGAAACATCATTGAGATTTTGATAGGGATTGCACTGAATCTGTCAATTGCTTTGGTAGTATTGACATCTTAATGATATTAAGTCTTCAAACCCATGAACATGAGATGTATTTCCACTTATTTATGAACTTCTTAATTTCTTTCAGTAATGATTTGTAGTTCTCAATGTACAATGCTTTTCCTTGTTTTTAATCCCTCTTTTAAGTTGCTCAATTCAACAACAAAATTAACGATAACTTCTATTACTGTACATTATGGAAAACAAATTTTCTAAGAGATCATGATTTGTTTGCAGTTCTTATTTTCATAGACTGATAATTTATAATTGAAATCTTCATGTATACTACTTTCTTAATGTTTGTTCTTTATGATTTTATCTCTCTTGTTGCTATTGTAGCCTGTTATTTGTCTGGCCCCTAAAGGCATTTGAGTTTTATCGACCATTGGAAAAAAATTTATATTGTTTTATAAAAGAAGCCAATATAGTTTTGGTGTGTAAATAAATCATCCATAATGTAATTCTCACCCACATATAGATGTTTTAAAATTTATATATATATATATATATATATATATATATATATATATGTTCCTTTTTTAAACAAGCAGAGTCCTCTTACAGTTAATTCAATTTTATCTAAGACATACAGTTTGCTACCTGGTGCTGCCCCCAAGTAAAGAATTGAATCTTTACTTGTAATTTGAGATTTTTCTCTCCACAAGGGCAATAATAAATACATATTGCATATGTGTAATATAATAACTATTATAATAAACTTTACATAAAATGTCTTTTTTTTTGAGATGGAGTTTTGCTCTAGTTGCTCAAGCTGGAGTGCAATGGTGTGATCTCGGCTCAGTGCAACCTCCGTCTCCCAGGTTCAAGCGATTCTTCTGCCTCAGCCTCCTGAGTAGCTGGGATTACAGGAATGCACCACTATACCCAGCTAATTTTAGAGACAGGGTTTCTCCATGTTGGTCAGGCTGATCTCAAACTCCTGACCTCAGGTGATCCACCTGCCTTGGCCTCCCAAAGTGCTGGGATTAAGGCATGAACCACCATGCCTGGCCCTACATAAAATGTCTTAATATTGCTTGGTTGGCATTTACAAATCCAATGGTCTTTAAGAAAGAAGATTACATCAGAATTGTCTACCTGTCCTACTTTTAAGTCATTTAAAGAGTGAGCAAAAGTCAGCCCTAGAATACAAAATGCAATTGTAAGTAGCTTTTGAATGCCTTATTAATAAGCAAGGATATAATTATCACAGGTAGTTATCTAATCATCTGCTAATTTTAAAAAAATCTGTAGTATGGTGTTTTCTAACATCAATCAGTTCTCCAATTCTCTGACACCAACTGGGTGTCTACAAATTCAATTCAATGCTGATACTATCTACCTGGATTTAGTGTCAGACACAAGTTAAAGGACTCAGTCTCACAAGGCTGCCTCTCCTTCAAACAGCAGTTCCAAGTCTTGGGCCACATGTACTTCTGACCAACTGGCTCTAAATCAGGGGTTCCCATAACTCCCTCCTCAGGTCTGATGCTTCATTAGAATGGCTGACAGACCTCAGGAAAGGATACAACTGAAGAATAGCAAAATGAAAAAGATTCATAGAACAAGGTATGGGGGTAGGGTGTAGTGTTTCTGTGTTATTTCTGGGGGAACCACCCTCCTAAACTTTGGTGTGTTCACCAACCAGGAAGCTTCCTGAATCTTCATTTCCAAGGATTTTAAGAGCTCTAAGGACAAAAAGCAAATATGTTTCTCTTTATACTGTATGTAGATATTTCAGATATAAACTAAGGCTTTTCTTTGGATTTTCATTCATAAAATTGGAGAGAAAAAGCAATGTTGGAGACAAAAATGAGTGAATAAATTGAGAGGAAAAAACTCCAAGGAGGAAGGATGTAGAGATAAAAGAGGAAAAAAGCAAAGTAGAGAAGAGCATTTATGTGCTATAGGCAACTGTTTTAACTTCTTACAACATCCTACAGATTTTTAGAGATATAATTTGAGGTTGGAATTAGTATAAACTGAATAGTAATTATGAGAAAAGTTTTGGTCATTTATAATTATTTCTCTTTTAATAATGATGATATCAATGATGAGGATGATGATAAATCATACTATTAAAAGATAGTGTCTTTTAAAGTTTGCTTATTATTTAGATAGGTATCAGACTTACCATAAACTTTAATGATGGAGTATTTTCATGAACACATAGTTCAGTTTCTCAACTGTTGAAGAAGTCACCAGTAGCCTTGAAATACCACAAGAAAACATGACCAAATAGATATCCTTGAGATTTAATGACTCAGGAAACACTTTAATACAAGGCAATTATTACAGGATGATAAAACTATTATAATCATTTACTACCCAATTGTAGAATGGTTCAGTTATCTTTTCCATCAGAAATACATAGCCACCAGAGTCCCAGTATTACTAGGTTCCATAAACAAACATGACAAATTTGCTTTGTGCTGGCTTGTCAAGTATTTAGTTTAATAAAGAAACTTCAATTTAAAATGTCTAAAATAGCTCCCAAAAATAAATTCAGGAATACAGGAATAATGAAAATAGAACTTCTCATCTGAAAAAATCTGATTAATTGCTTTTCAGCTAGAGTCTCTAATGGACAAGTGAATAAGGAGCAGTGTATCTTGGGACAAATATCATTGGGAAAAGTTCTGTGATTACCATAGTTGCAGCAGTAAATTTTATTCTTATTGGCTTTCTAAACAATTGTCTTCATCTACTTCATTGCCATACAATATGAATTTAAGAATTATATATATATAAACAATTAATTGAAGAAGCCTTAATCATATTAAATTTATGTTCAGAGAAGTAAGAGAATTGATGAGAAGGGTCTGAGAGATAATACTCACCCCCTTTCCTCAAATAAACAAAGTGATTATAATAACAACAATAGCTACTACCATGCATTGAGTGGCTTTCAGGTGTCAGGCACTGTACATCTCTTACATAAACCTTTTCTTTTTGTCTTAGTCCATTTTGTGGTGCTACAACAGAACAACTGAGACTTGATAATTGATAATGAACAGAGATTTATTGGTTCTGGGGGCTGGAAAGTCCAAGATTGAGGGGCTGGCATCTACTAAGGACCTTCCTGCTGCATCATCACATGGTAGAAGGGCAAAGAGAAGGAAAGGGAGAGTAAGAGATAGAAGTTGAAGCCTCAAGCCCTTTTATAGTTAGCATTAATCTTTTCATGAGGATGGAGTCCTCTTGATCTAAACACCTTCCATTAGGGTGGCATTGGGGATTAAGTTTCAAAAACACACCTCCCAACCCTGTGGCATTGGGGATTACATTTCAAAAACATGCTTTTTGGGGGACACATTCAAACCATAGCACCTCTTCTTTGCCAAAACTGGTGATGTAGATAGAACCATAGCATCTATTTGCTGATATAATTTTATACTTTTTATTTCCATTCTGTTCTATAGAACTGCAAAGGAATTTATCTAATTCTCAGCATTTACAAACCCAGTGATCTTTAAGAAAGTCTCTCAAGTATATCTTTTAATTTTGAAGGCTTACTTCTTCACACCAAATCATCTACATTTTTCTGTTTCTCTGTCTTTTTAATATTAAAGTTTGCCAAACATCCTTGTAGGTATGTCTCCCTGAAATGTACATACAAATTCAGTGGTCCTCTAGCATGTACATAATTCAGTGCGAGAAAAAAAAATTATTTCCTTGTTCTGGACTCTAAAATTTTATGTGTGTAGCTCAGCTCATTAATTATTGGCCCAGCCTCATCACATTACTCATATAAGTTTTGATGGCAACTACAAAATCAGATTGCTTTTCACATAAGGACTACTTAGCCATAAGCATCTATCCTGAACCTGGGATTGTTGATGGGAAGGATTTTGTCTTTATATATTTACATTTTTATGCTTGATTATATATTTATGTATTATTTTTATGTTATTTTATTAATATATAACATTTACACATTATTTATATATTATATAACCATATTGCATAAAATATAGAAATATATTTTGTATTTTGCTTATGTTTATGTGTTTATATTTGATAAATATTTAGTTTATTACATTTTGTCTTGTTAGATCTGTTTATCATAACTTTAAAGCCATTTTTAACGTATTTTTTCCTCTGCCTTCATGTTATCACAATGACCACTTATTCAGTAAGTTTGTCAGTTTGCCAAACATAGTATTTCTGTCCTCATTTAAGTCACTGACCAAAAAATTTTTACAAACACATATGCACACACACACACACACACACAGAGACTTGGATAGAACCATATGCACATTTTTGTGCAACAGATTTCTAAAAGCTCTTCCCACGCCCATTCTGCATAACTGAAACTTTACATCTACTTATCAACTCCCTACCTTTTCTTGTTCCTAGAAACCACCATTCTGCTATTGCTATGAGTTTGATTAGAAAGACATTGAATTGGTGTTTGCTTATTGATGACATTTCGACAACATAATTTATTAAATTCAGCCTCCTGAGAGATTCTCTTATCCTAGAAAGAAAATTATAAGCTTTTTACAAGATAATCTCTAGGATCAAGTTCTAAGCAATAAACTCATGAAATTAATTGGAAGATTAAAAGAGACCTTCAAAATAGGTTCCACCTACCCTTCTAAAAATTTTCATCTGAAGTTTGAAATTTACTTAATATTTAGACCGTTGCATTTGGAAAAATATGTAATCCCCAGTGCTCAGTGAAAGGAAATTCAAGGCAAGTTCAGGTCATGTCAGTAGGCAAAAGCTGAATGTAAAACCTCCGTGGAAAACTACCAAGAGAGCCAACTGATGTTGCTGGCAGTACTAAATGTTTGTAACTTCTCAGACCCACTACCTGGGCTTTTCTTCCTCAAATGGTAGCTTTCTTCTTTATCATACACTGACTTTTGGTTTCTATTTACCTGCATAAGCAATTTTGTTGGAAGGAGTGATTTAATTCTTTTCTGACTAGATCTCCTCTATAGGAACAGTGCTCTAAGTAATTGTATATTACAACAAAAATGAATCAACCATTCTTTTGGCTTCTTTCTTTTGGTTGTTCACAGATGAGTTCTGCTGGCATAGAGTTATTGGCCTGCAATTATTCTATTGATTTTCAAACATGAAAAACTGCGTTTCCTCTTCTGAAGGAAGGAAGAGCAGAGGAAAAGCATCTAGAGATGTTGATTTTCAGATCAACTGAAGTGAGAGCTGCTGATCCACTTGTGCTAATTAAAATCAATATCCCGAACAATGAACTGCCGGGATCATCTGGAAACAGGAGACACTTGCCAAATGTAGTATTGTATTGACATGCAGGAAGAAGCCTATGTTTATCCTAAACAAATAGAGGGAAAAAAACAGCCTTGAATTTAGTAAAACCTGGCAACCTTTTTTTCCATAAAATTGATTCTGCATCTTTAGTTTTAACTGGAAGTAGAAATAATCAATCTTATCTTTATTCTAATTAGCTCTCATTAATTTTATTTTATTCTAATTAGTTCTCACTATTGAAACAAAGGATAAATAAACATCTCAGAAAACCTCAAGGCATCCTAGTGTGAGTTTCTCTGCATCTGTTAGGAATACATCTAGAGTTCATTTTATTTTGAAAATAAATTTCAGAGTGGTTAAACCATTTATTGTACCTTACACAATAAATCAATTATTAGATAAGCTAAGAATTTACATTTTGATTTGCACAGTTTGTGAACCACACAGTCACTCTAAGCTCCTCTCAAGAATATAGCATCATCTGTAAGAGAAGCTTTTAGCTGAACTGGGTCATCCAATGAGACTTGGTTACTGTTATCTTTAGTTACTCACGCAGCTGGGGGCACATTCCAATTTTTTTCAGATTATCTTAAAATGTTGAAATCTTGAACTCTGCAAACAGATATAAAAACTCTTATCAGTCTTGACATAATCCTCATTAGTAGAAACAATATTATAAATGAAGTTTCTATTTTCCAGGACAGATGTCCTTTTCAGTAAATGGCCTCTTGATGATTGTTCTGTGAACATCTAAAGCCTGTGATTAGAGCTCTTCAAATGACCAGAAGTCACTACTCAAAATCTTCCTTACCACACAATTACTGGATCATGTGCTTCTCTTGTGCTTCTGTGCTACTCCAGCATGATCCAACTTTTGTTTGGGAGGAAATAGATGTTGTTTGTGTCAGCAACAAACGAATCACTGTCTTTTATGGTAATCTAAAACATTGAAACTTGCATTCTTTTTATGAAATCAAGGATGTGGAAACTATGCCTTAGAAGTATTGATTTCTATTGTGTTACCAAACATTTATTGATTATGTGCTAGATTTAGCATTTTTATATAATTTAATCTAGGCATCACTCCTTTGAGGTAGATTCTAAATTTAACTCCATTGTGAAAAGAAGGAAACTGTTTAATAGTAATTCCTGTATCACCCAGAGTCACACAGTAAGTAGGGATATGAAAATAATTCTTGGACGAGATCACAAGAATCTTAACAGTAGTGGTGAGAGTGGAGAGGAGGAGGCCAATGTGGTGAGAGGTAGAGGGAACTGAAGGGACGATTGGGAACCCTTGTTTGATTCACTTGTCTAGGTGCCAAAGAATTAAAGGGGCCATTTCTAAACTTTCATGAGGCCAGTCTCTGCTCTTCAAAAGTCATGCTCTCCCTTGAGGCTTCCATATGTGGCTTTAAATCTCTCTTTGGAGTTGAAAAGCACTACATAGGTTTGGGGCTGATATTTCCAGTAAATCTCTCCAAATCTCCAGCTAGTCCCTTGGGTTATCTGGGGCATGGAGACATAGGTTCCCGTGTCTCATTGGGGTTACTCTTAAAAAGGCCATTTAACACCCAATGGAAGTTTAAGAGATGGGTGATAAGGAGCAGAAAAGTATACAAGTAGATTTGGGGATTGCCAAACTGGCGATCAATCACCTATAATTTTTACTGTGTCATCAGCATAGCCTTTCTTCCAAAGTTAAAACTCTTTGTCTGATAAAGGAGGAAATCAAACAATAATTTACAAACAGTTTGTTTTTGTTTTACTTTAAATCCCAAGTTCAATGAGGACCAGATCCTAATAAGCTACAATTTTGTCTTGTTTTCCCCATCTAGAAATTACAATAGATAATATGTTGTCTTTTGTTCTTTGTCAGTGTTGTCAGATTCTAGTCTTTACATCTATTGTTAATTTTCATGATCACTACACCCTCCATATTTGGTTACAAAGCTCCAGGATGCATATGTACAAACCAAACAATAGCCAGGGAAGGACAAAGGTTCATTCATGAGACTGTCAGAGCTCCAGCAGAATATAGAAGCTAATTGTTTTCTTTTAAATGGGAATAAAACACACAGGACAGATTATTCTTGTTGTTTGTACTGTCACAAGAGCAGATAGTGATATTTGTAGCTCATAATTCTTTCCTTTATTCCTGCTGCTAAACATCCACTCAGGCCATTCAATGGAAAAGAGGCAGGAAAGATTTTACTCAAACGTGAATGTTTATAAAAAAGGTCAACAGATTCTCACTGGATTTTGAAATTAGTTTCCTTTAAAACATATCCTTTCTGAGCTACGTTTTCATATTTAATATTAATATCAAACTAATCAAATTTAATAAATTAATTAGATCGTTAGTTCATAAATACTATAACACATTAACTAATGTAATTAATATTTAATATTAAAATCACCTTTTAATAATATTAACAATAAGTATAATAATAATGCCTTTTCACAGTATATAAAAAGAGAGATTTTATATAGGACTTCTGGGCATGAGGTAAGAAGAGGCAACAGGCTCACTTTGATATAATGGATGAATAGTTTAAATTCCCTTCCTTATTCTGCCAGACTTGGCATTTGGATTCTGGTAACAGCCATGGATTTAAGTGTATGAAGGGCAGCATCTCATAGAAGTCTTTAATATTTTGGTATAAAGCCAGATCTGCCTCAAAATGTAATTGGCCTATTTCATTTCTCCAATTTACTACCATTTCTCAAATATAAGCCTTACCCTAAGCCACCTCTGCAAACTAAATGACCAAAAAAAAAAAAAAAAACAGAGAGACTGTGTTCAACCACTCATTCATTTATGAAACACTTACTAGCATGTACTATGCGTCAGGTACCATGCTAGAGGCAGAAGAACAGAGATGAATAAGTAATTCTCTCTTGCCTCAAGAAGCTCACAGATATTTTCATAAGACCAGTGATGGAGATAATCACAGTAGTAGCTAACATGCATTGAGCACTTACTATGTGGCATGCAGTTTTCTAAGAACTTTACATAAATAAACTCTTTTAATATAAAATAATATCCTTTTGAAGATAACTATATTATTATTCCCATTTCATTGGTGCTTAACTCGGGGTACAGAGAGATTATGTGACTTGCCCAAAGTCACCCAGGACAATGAAGGGTAGAGCTAGGATTTGAACACTGGCAATTTGACCCAGAAGCCATGCTCTCACACATTGTGCAGTGATGAACATGGTGCTATGGAAACCATAGAAAGGGTGGTTGCCTCACTGGGGCTGATGATGGAGGCAAGCCAGAGAAGATATTCAAAATGAAACAGAGCTGAGGCTGAGCCTTAAAGAGTGAGTAGAAGTTAGCTAAGAAAGGAATGATGAAGAAAAGGTAAGGACATTATAAATATGGCAGCATGGTCAAGCCGAGGCGTGAGAGTGACAGACAGCAAGGAGAAGGGGCATTTGGTGGTGGGTGAGTGTAAAAAGAATGGGAGATCAGATAACAGTGAGGCTAGAGAACGTTGGTAGGGCTCCATTCGGATGGGCCTTGAGGGCTTCCTTAGAAAATGTGGATCTTATCTCATTCTTGACATTATTATACATTTTGTGTTTTGTTTTGTTTGTTTTATTGTTTGTTTATATTCATTTGAACTACAATTCATGAGCTGAGTAAATGCCAAGTCACTTGTCTGAGACATGAGTAGTTAATGAAATTAATTGGGTTAATCAAACAAAGTGTATTAGAAATTATACCAGGTTTTAGATTGTTAGAAAATCATGACTAAAATTAGGTGAAATGGAATTAAATCTCACAAAAGATTTCAATAACATTTTACTTTAGGTCAAACAAAAGCTGTTCCCTTTGGAATCTAAGATGTCCATTTTGGTATTTAAAAATGACTGCTTAAAATACTACTGACATCAATTTAACATATTTATTTATACTTATTTTCAAATATACTGAACATAATTGAAAAAGAAAGCCTTCAATTGGTAGAGGTTGACGTTTTTGGGACAACATCTTTTTTCTTTCTTTCTTTCTTTCTTTCTTTCTTTCTTTCTTTCTTTCTTTCTTTCTTTCTTCTTCTTTTTCTTTCTTTCTTTTTTAACTGACCTAGTTAATCATTTTTAATATCATGGAGCCATACCATGACTAAATTTACAAAACAAATATTTCTTAGATATGCATCAAAAACCTCTTTCAGTGAGCCTTATATATTTAATCTCTGGGTACAGATGAAGAATTCGTAAGTTCTATTCTAGTTTCCTTTTTTAGTGTAAACAGACAGGAAATTAATAAAAGATATTTAAAGAAACACTGTTGCAAGTCTTCTGGTTTTATTATTAGATGTAAAAATTCTCACCAAAACTATTTTTTCTCCAAGCAAGCAAACAAATAAATAAATAAGCATCAATGAATAAATTGTACATGAGTCAGAAGTTCTCTCAAAAAAATTTTCTAAGCAGCACCTTTGCAGGAGTTAGTTGTTTTCCATTTTCAGTCCATTCTCTCCCCTTTAGTTACGCAAACATGCTATTTTGGATCACTATTTATCTGAGGTATAAGGCAGATTCTAACCTATCTTCATTTTCAGAACCCACATAACAATTAAATCTTCTTGCTGAGAAAATTACTAGGCAGAAAGGAGTCTGTATCACATTAGACTTCACTGGATTAGGAGGAGTTTTGCACATTGGACAGTTTAAAGAATTATAAACTACTGGTTAAAACTTCCAGTGAGAGATATGCTTCCCTTTTGAAAGTTATACACAGTATGAAATATTACAACTGGAAGGAGTTCTATCCCATAATTTTATAGATGCAGATATTGACAATAAGGGGTGGAAAGGGATTTTTCCTATACTACAGACAAGTTTGTGGCAAAAATGAGAATAAAACCTGGACATTCTTATTCCTAGACCAGTGATTTCATTCATAGAAATCTGTATAGAATAGATAAATCATTTTTTTCCTGCTGATCAATGAGTTTATAATAACATGAAGACAGATTTATAGGAATCTACTAAGCACTGACTGTGTTTGTAAATAACATAGTAGCAACAGACTGAGCCAGAAGATCCCAAGGTCTAAAGTAATTGTGGTGTTTGGAGGAAGCTCACCCACACTCAAGCTACTTATTGGACTGAGAAAATGTGCAACATACATTACTATCACACAGCTAATCCTTACTCTCATTCTTCTCTAAAGTACAACTGCCATTTATAAGCTGGAGACATTGAAATATAGATCCAGCCTTCTGTCCTTTGGCCTAGCATCACAAATCCAACTGCCTATGGGGCATTCACTCTCAGGCACCTTAAATTTAAGTGAAATCACTTTGCTACATTTAAGGTGCCTGAGAATGTATGCCCCATAGACAGTTGGATTTATGTTATCTTAGCCTTCAATCCTGTCCCCACCCTGAATTCCTGTCTTAGGAATGCCCTTAACATCCCTTCATCTTCCCAACCTGGAAATCTGGGCATTGCCCTGGACACTTTTCTCTCTTTCAACCCTCACATTCAACCAATCACCACATCATAGAGCTGTTACTTCCTTGGTAGCTTTGGCATTCATGACCTTCTCTCCATCTTCCCTACAGAGCTTTAGTTCAAGCCATCACCATTTCTGGTGCATTGCTCAGGCAACAGAAAATAGATTTACTTGGTTATCAGAACCCTTTCAAAGTCTATGTAAAGTATTACCATAAAGGTGGAAAGAGGATGATTCTTTTCCTCCCCATTGTAAAGGTTCATGGTGGGCACCTCTATAACAAAAACAAGTTAACAAGAGAAAAACATAACAAGTTTATTTCATGCAATTTTCTTAGAGAAGGATATTTCAGAGAGAATCCCACCAAGTGCCCCCAGGAAAGAGGATCAGGGAGGCAGGGAAAGGGTCAAAAGAGACCTTGGTTCTGAGGCTTATTTTTGAGACCTTTCAATTTTCAAAGCAATCAGCATGCCTGAGCACCTTATTTTGGGAAATCTTTTTCTGGGACCCAATGGTCTTCACCATAGATCTTTGCTTAGGAACTGGCTGATGCTAAAGCATGTTGATTGGTTGAAGCTGCTAATTGAGTTTCCTCTTATTTACAATAACCACATATTCTATTTCTTCTTTGTTTTGTTAAATATCATGGGAGATAAGGAAGAGTATGTGGCACGTGTAGAGTGGGCTTTGGGGATACTTAATTAAATAGGCTACAATAGTTTTCATGAAACATATAAAAAAACTAATCGCTTAGGTGCGATATGTGTAGATAGATATAAATATAGATATACTGAAATGACATCATGGCTGTCTTCCTCTTTTTAAAGTGTTTATTTAGTTCTAAGAATGACATGAAGTTAGCAATGTACATAGATGTTAAGCAAATAAAGGTTCACAAAGGTTGATACAAATGAATTTGGGTTACAACCAATGGAAGAAGTTCTAGAATACCTAAGTATGTGTGTGAATGCATGAATGTGTATGATTATCTCGTTTTCTCTCATTCATGATCAAATACAGTTTTAAGCCATTGCTTCAAAAACATCAAGACTGCAGCTGACAGCCCTGACTTTTGAAAAAGGGCACATTTACTTTCTGGAAGTTACAATGGAGGATAAGTTGTTTACTCTCTTAATTCACTTTACTTTCTGTAATTTCTTTACTTTACTTTACTGTAATTTCCCTCCAAGGGTACTGATTTCATCTCTTTTCTAAATTCCTTTGCCAGAAAATCCATACTTTCCTTTCAATTCAAAGAAGTTAAAGAGTCTAATTAATGACACCTGCAAAAAGCCAGGCAACCAAATAGACTACCTGAATTTCATAACCCTGCCCTATGAGAAAGCACTTGGAATTACAAAAGGGCATTTATGCTTCAATCAATAGATGTGCTTTCTATACCTTTCCAACCCAATGCACTCTGCCAAATTATTCATATGATTCTTATTTTAAAGTGGAATCCTGAAAATCAATCAGTTGTCTCTATTTAGATACTTAGTTACCATACATAGCCCAGAATTCCTCCCTTTCTTTTCATTCCTGTCTCCATTTCTAGAGTACTGTAAACAGTTAACATATCTGAGAAAGCCCATAAAACTGACATAAGCTTATGTATGAGAAAATACATCAGCAGATAGGGGACTATGCAGAAGTAAAATAGATCCAAATATTCATAGGACTTTCAGAGTTAGATAAGAGCACAAAATCCAACTTCCCCATCTTATAGATAAAGAAAACTAATTTTGTCCCAGACAGATAATTCAGACTTAGGTAACACAGCCAGTAAATGGACAAACTGATATCAGTACCCAAGATTATTATTCTTTCATCGAGAAATCACTGAGGACAGGAAGGGTGATAGGAGCTGCATCGAGGCGACCTATTCTGATGTAGCGTTTAACTGTCTATTCCAAAGCCTATATAATCAAATTACCTCTTCTAAGCTTAAGCATGTTGGATCTGATAAGAAACTATGCAGGTCTAGAAACATGTAAAAGCATATCAGGTGACAATTATTTGAAGGGAATTGGGAAGGCTTTTATCCCAAACTTCGCCATTATTAGTCTATGTCATTATTTCCACTTCTCACTAAAGGAATTCCACCAGATGGGAGAATGAGCACATCAAGTAGGGTGTATATGGCCACATACCTATATCAGATAAACAGGGCAGTCACTGCCTATCTTGCGGCCTCTCTCTTTTCTATCTCTATTCCTCTCTCCCTCCTTCCATCTTTCATTTCTATTCTTTTCTTCCACCTTTCCTTTCTTTTTTCCTTCCTAATGTATCTTTTGGTTGTCTACCATGTACCAGGTACTGATAATAGGCACTGCAAATAGAAACATTAAAAACTCAGAGTTTTTGTCCATGAGTAGCTCAAAGCCCAGTGGGAATGACAAATATATAATAATGTGTTTTGCTATTACAGTGTGAGAAGTGCTAACATGGAGCTCCTCACACAGTATTATGGGAACCCAGAGGAGGGAAAACCCAAAATTAGAGTTGGATTGGAAGGTGGAGAGAGGATAGAAATGGTCAGGAAAGGCTTCAAAGATTTCAAGAGAAGGGGTCATGTTCATATGGTCTTATAGGAAAAGTGTGTGTGTGTGTGTGTGTGTGTGTGTGTTGTGTGTGAGAGAGAGAAATTGGGGTATTGAGGAGGGGCAGAGGGGCACAAAGGTATATGAAACAATATGATAGATTTAGAGAATTAGACGTGATAGGGATGAGTGAATCATAGGTAGCTAAGGAGGTGGTAGAAGATGAGATTCAAAGGAAAGGCTTTGCACACCTCCCAAGAAGTTTAAAATGTATCTTCTAATTAATGGGGGGCCATTGGCAGGAATAAGAACCACATAATGATAACTATAATAATTATAAGCACGTTGAGTACTTACTATGTTGTAAGCACTGTTATTATTATCTTACAAGTATTACATAATTTAATCCTCACAACATCTGTATGAGACAGATGCTAATAGTATTTCAATGTTACAGATAAAGAAACTGAGGCAGTTTGTAACTGTAGCTTAGAAACTTAACCAAGGTCACCAGGTTTAATTAAGAGTTACAACTAAGATTCATTCAATTGTAGGCACTCTAGCTTAGGAAACCCTTATACTTAAATACCATATAACAATGGTGGTTCTGCAGGGCAAACTATGGCCAGTGGGCCAAATCCAGCCTGCTACCTGCTTCTATATGACCCTTAAGTTGAGAATGGTATTGACATTTTTAAGTGATTGAAAACAATCAAAAGAAAAAGAATATTTTGTGAAAGATGAAAATTATTTTGATTTCAAGTTTCAGTGTTCACAAATACAGTTTTATTGGAAGACGGCCATACCTATTCAGTTATGTATTGTCTATAGGAATCTTTTGGCTGCACATGGCATACAAAGACTAAAGTATTTCTCATATAACCCTTTATATAAAAATATTGCAGACCCCTGGTGCAGTGGAGAGAATGCTGGAAGAAAATCTGAAGGCAGACAGGTTTGGAGGTAGGAAAATAGGAGATACTCTTCAATCAAGAGGGTTTAGTTCAGTGCATAGGACATCATCTATAATTAGCAGGGCCACCATAGTTGGGGACCTTGGGAGGCAGTTGAAGCAATCAGTGGTCTCTGCCACTTAGCCCAGTTCCTAATATGTAATAGGACTTGAATAAATAGTGATGAATGAATCAGTTAAATGAATTAATGGCTCTGGATTGCAGCCAGTCCTGAGTAGGAGATAAGGCATTCTCTACTGACATAGTTAAGACCCCAGCCTGGAAGATTACTACCTCCTATAACTCTAAACTATAGAATGGCATCCCTGTATAAGTCTCCCCTCTTCACGGGGCTATGCCTATGTAAAAGACATCAAATAATTTCAGAGCTAAAAACAAAGAGAATTTTAGAGCTGAAAAGAGGAAAAGAAAGTTCAACCTTCTCAATGTACACACTGTGATCTAAAAAGTTTAGAGATGGACCCAAGGACTTAGAGGGTAGAGGATCTGAGACACTTTCACCCTGTGCTATTCCTGCTACACTGTCAGGAGGCCAGGTGAAGTTTACATGTCTATCTCACAACTTCTTGAAGGGCTGTGGTATGCATTAATCCTTTTAATAAAAGTTCTGGGGAGGATAGTAATCATTTCTGTAGCTTAATCCTTCAAACCACGATTCTACTCTTTCCTCCTACACACCTATACTACTTTGGAGGGATAGAAGGAGAAGCTCTTCCATTTAATCATTCATTTAATAAGAATTGCTAAAGGTTGTTCTAAGAACTAGAGATTCAGGAAACCAACCCTGCCAGTTGCCTAGGACTTTCCTAGATTTAAAACTGAAAGTCCTACATCTCAGTAACTCCCTCAGTTCCAGGCAAATCAAGATGCTTGGCCACCCTACTAGAAATAGGAGAGTCTCTGAGGTTATAGACTTTACAGTCTAGCAGGAGGGACATGCTGAAGATATAATTGCAAAAAATATATTTTTAAATTTCGCTACAATAATTTGATTTTATTTATAATTGTATATTATTTTATTTTGTATTTATAATATTTAATTTAGTTATAAATCCTACAAATAAATATAATCTTATAGGTGAGAGAATGCTTCTTCAAAGAATGTTTAGGCTGAGACCTTAAGCATAAGTAGGTGCTAACCAAACAAAGAGGAACAGCAGGAGAAAACCACAGAGAGCATCAAAGGAGAGCAGTGCTCCATGCATTTGAGAAACAGTCAGGAGCCAGATGATGCCTGGTATTGAGGGTCATGTTAGGGATTTTTAATTTTATGCAAAGAGGAAAGGAAGTCATTGAAAAATTCTAAAGAGGGTTGAGATGTAATCAGAATTGTTTTTAAATGTTACTCTGGCAACTGAGTAGAGCATGAAGTGGAGGTTGGTGTAGACCAAGCTATTGCCATGGTCAAGGTGGTTTGATCCAGACAGAAAAGGGCAGAGGTGGAAAGATGAGACTTGAGAGATGTAGGGAGATTGAGCTGATGGGACTTTATTTGTTGACTGAATACCAAGAGTGAATGCAGGATGAGGGGCCATTTACTGAGATTACTGGATTACTGAACACTGAAGGGTTGAAACACAGCTCAATTTTGGCAGTAATCCATTTGAGATACCCAGTGAGAGAAGCCAAGCAGACAGTTAAGTGTGTGTATGCTTAGAATGCAGATGAAACCATGGAGGTGAAGCTATAAATTTGGGGGTTGTCAAATTTCAGTCCCTCTTCAAATACCATCAAAAGAGGTATTTGAAGCCATGATAATGGATAACAGTACTTGGAAAGACTGTGAAGAGTGATACAAGAAGAGGGCTTGAACTCAGGTTTGTTTCTGTTCCCCCACCCACCATCCCAGGTAGTGGGAAGAGGGGAAGGTAACTGCAAGAGGGTAATTGAATAGATATACTGTGGGATCTGAGCCAGCTAAGTAAGGGAATGAAAGACCAAAGAGGATTCATGAATAAAGAGAAAGGAAGGAAGTGGGTAAGAGGGAATGATAAAGGCATTAGTGAACCCAGTGATGTGAAGGAACAATTGCAATAATAAATAGTGGAATGAGTGAGCTAGCTAGAAGGTTAGAAGGAGTGTGAATTTTAATTAGTGGTTTTGGAGGCTGTACCATTTCACCTTGATGATATTAGTGTGGCCTTGGGAGGGGACAGCTGTGCTAAAAGTGAAATAGGTAAATATCCACATAAGACTTAAAATCTCCTAGGACAGTGGCTGACATTGGTGTGGAGAAGAAGTATTTCTCAGGCAAGGGGAGTCTTCCATAAAGGAAGGGGATGGGACTGGGAAGTCAGTGGATGATTGCAATGAGGAGGGTAGAGGGTGGTTTGGCTCAGCTGGAGCCTCAAAGCAGATGTGGTATTTTTCTTTGTAAATCAGCAGGGGTGGGGGAGTGGAGAATCTGCAGCAATGAAGAGCAATGACCTAAGATTGGTGGGGGAGCAAAGAAGACACGGACACTTCTTATCCATGAGTTTCAGGGAAGGTAAAAGAAGAAATGCTTCCACTTGACAGTGTTGTGGGAAGTGCAGGTCCCTCTGAGAAGCCAAGGTTTCAGGTAAGGCAGGGAGGTTGAGGAAGTTGAATATGTCAGGCAATAAGGAGTAGGGGTTTTGGGCCAAGCAACTGGAGATGACAGGTTGTTTCAACAAGGAAGCTTTTTCTTGAATAGTGACTGGGGAAACCAGGAATGGGTGAAAGGTTGATTGATTCCCTCTTGGTGAAGGAGAAATGTTTGGGCTTGGTAGCAATGTGGTGTGGGGCCAGGTGTCAATTTCTAGTAGTCTTCTCTTCTAAAGAGTTGTAATGAGCATGACAGGTGTGGCTGGGGAAACACTAAGAGGGCTCCTGAATGGGGCAAGCAGGTGAGTCAAAATCCCAGGGCCCAGGATAGGGCATCTCCAGAGCCACGCTTCCAGGTGGTGATTGGCTTCCAGCATCCCACTGGCCTTCTCATGATGAGTGGTGAGCAGACTTCTAAATGAAAGGGCCTGTGAAACTTGAACTATCCTACTGTTTTCTTATATTTGTGCCTTTGTAGTCATGGGTCTAAATAATAAAACAATAAGTAAACGACCCATTTATTTTAGAGTCTTCTACTTACAGAGTAGAAGGGAAAATCCCTTTGAAACTTAAGTTGTCAGATTTGAGGGGGGTGGTTCCAAGATGGCCGAATAGGAACAGCTCCAGTCTACAGCTCCCAGCGTGAGTGATGCAGAAGACAGGTGATTTCTGCATTTCCAACTGAGGTACTGGATTCATCTCACTGGGGCTTGTCGGACAGTGGGTGCAGGACAGTGGGTGCAGCCCACCAAGCATGAGTCGAAGCAGGGTGAGGCATCACCTCACCTGGGAAGCACAAGCGGTCAGGGAATTCCCTTTCCTAGCCAAGGGAAGCTGTGACAGACAGCACGTGGAAAATCGGGTCACTCCCACCCTAATACTGTGCTTTTCCAATGGTCTAGCAAACAGCACACCAGGAGACTATATCCCGCACCTGGCTTGGAGGGTCCCATGCCCAAGGAACCTCACTAATTGCTAGCACAGCAGTCTGAGATCGAACTGCAAGGTGGCAACAAGGCTGGGGGAGGGGCTTGAGTAGGTAAACAAAGTGGCCAGGAAGTTCGAACTGGGTGGAGCCCACCACAGCTCAAAGAGACCTGCCTGCCTCTGTAGACTCCACCTCTGGGGGCAGGGCACAGCTGGATAAAGGCAACAGAAAACACTGCAGATTAAAATGTCCCTGTCTGGCAGCTTTGAAGAGAGTAGTGGTTCTCCCAGCATGGAGTTTGAGATCTGAGAACGGTCAGACTGCCTCCTCAAGTGAGTCCCTGACTCCCGAGTAGCCTAACTGGGAGGGACCCCCTAGTAGGGGCAGACTGACACCTCACATGGCCAGGTACCCCTCTGAGATGAAGCTTCCAGAGGAACAATCAGGCAGCAACATTTGCTGTTCACCAATATTCGCTGTTCTGAAGCCTCTGCTGCTGACACCCAGGCAAACAGGGTCTGGAGTGGACCTCCAGCAAATTCCAACAGACCTGCAGCTGAGGGTCCTGACTGTTAGAAGGAAAATCAACAAAGAGAAAGGACATCCACACCAAAGCCCCATCTGTACGTCACCATCATCAAAGACCAAAGATAGATAAAACCACAAAGATGGGGAAAAAACAGAGCAGAAAAGCTGAAAATTCTAAAAATCAGAGCAACTCTCTCCCTTCAAAGGAACGCAGCTCCTCACCAGCAATGGAACAAAGCTGGATGGAGAATGATTTTGACAAGTTGAGAGAAGAAGGCTTCAGATGATCAAACTTCTCCGAGCTAAAGGAAGAAGTTTGAACCCATCGCAAAGAAGCTTAAAACCTTGAAAAAAAATTAGACAAATGGCTAACTAGAATAACCAGTGTAGAGAAGTCCTTAAATGACCTGATGGAGCTGAAAGCCATGGCACGAGAACTATGTGACAAATGTACAAGCTTCAGTAGCCAATTCAATCAACTGGAAGAAAGGGTATCAGTGATTGAAGATCAAATGAATGAAATGAAGTGAGAAGAGAAGTTTAGAGGAAAAAGAGTAAAAAGAAATGAACAAAGCCTCCAAGAAACATGCGACTATGTGAAAAGACCAAATCTACATCTGATTGCTGTACCTGAAAGTGACGAAGAGAATGGAACCAAGTTGGAAAACACTCTGCAGGATATTATCCAGGAGAACCTCCCCAACCTAGCAAGGCAGGCTAACATTCAAATTCAGGAAATACAGAGAATGCCACAAGATACTCCTCGAGAAGAGCAACTCCAAGACACATAATTGTCAGATTCACCAAAGTTGAAATGAAGGAAAAAATGTTAAGGGCAGCCAGAGAGAAAGGTCTAGTTACCCACAAAGGGAAGCCCATCAGACTAACAGCTGATCTCTCAGCAGAAACTCTGCAAGCCAGAGGAGAGTGGGGACCAATATTCAACATTCTAGAAGAAAAGAATTTTCAACCCAGAATTTCATATCCAGCCAAACTAAGCTTCATAAGTGAAGGAGAAATAAAATCCATTACAGACAAGCAAATGCTGAGAGATTTTGTCACCACCAGGCCTGCCCTACAAGAGCTCCTGAAGGAAGCACTAAACATGGAAAGGAACAACTGGTATCAGCCACTGCAAAAACATGCCAAAGTGTAAAGACCATCGATGCTAGGAAGAAACCGCATCAACAAATGAGCAAAATAACCAACTAACATTATAATGACAGGATCAAATTCACACATAACAATATTAACCTTAAATGTAATTGGGCTAAATGCTCCAATTAAAAGACACAGACTGGCAAATTGCATACAGAATCAAGACCCATCAGTATGCTGTATTCAGGAGACCCATCTCATGTGCAGAGACACACATAGGCTCAAAATAAAAGGATGGAGGAAGATCTACCAAGCAAATGGAAAACAAAAAAAGGCAGGGGTTGCAATCCTAGTCTCTGAGAAAACAGACTTTAAACCAACAAAGATCAAAAGAGACAAAGAAGGCCATTACATAATGGTAAAGGAATCAATTCAACAAGAAGAGCTAACTATCCTAAATATATATGCACCCAATACAGGAGCACCCAGATTCATAAAGCAAGTCCTTAGAGACCTACAAAGAGACTGAGACTCTCACACAACAATAAAGGGAGACTTTAACACCTCACTATCAACATTAGACAGATCAATGAGACAGAAAGTTAAAAAGAATATCCAGGAATTGAACTCAGCTCTGCACCAAGTGGACATAATAGACATCTACATTACTCTCGACCCCAAATCAACAGAATATACATTCTTCTCAGCACCACATCACACTTTTCCAAAATTGACCACATAGTTGGAAGTAAAGCTCTCCTCAGCAAATGTAAAATAACAGAAATTATAACAAACTGTCTCGCATAATGCAATCAAACTAGAACTCAGGATTAAGAAACACACTCAAAACCGCTTAACTACATGGAAACTGAACAACCTGCTCCTGAATGACTACTGGGTAAATAATGAAATGAAGGCAGAAATAAAGATATTCTTTGAAACCAATGAGAACAAAGACACAACATACCAGAATCTCTGGGACACATTTAAGCAGTGTGTAGAGGGAAATTTATAGCACTAAATGCCCACAAGAGGAAGCAGGAAAGATCTAAAATGGACACCCTAACATCACAATTAAAAGAACTAGAGAAGCAAGAGCAAACACATTCAAAAGCTAACAGAAGGCAAGAAATAACTAAGACCAGAGCAGAACTGAAGGAGATAGAGACACAAAAAACCCTTCAAAAAATCAATGAATCCAGGAGCTGGTTTTTTGAAAAGATCAACAAAATTGATAGACCACTGGCAAGACTAATACAGAAGAAAAAAGAGAAGAGTCAAATAGACATAATAAAAAATGATAAAGGTTATATCACCACCAATCTCACAGAAATACAAACTACCATCAGGGAATACTATAAACACCTTTACGCAAATAAACTAGAAAATCTAGAAGAAATGGATAAATTCCTAGACACATACACCCTCCCAAGACTAAACCAGGAAGAAGTTGAATCCTTGAATAGACCAATAACAGGCTCTGAAATTGAGGCAATAATTAACAGCCTACCAATCAAAAAAAGTCCAGGACCAGATGGATAAACAGCCAAATTCTACCAGAGGTACAAGGAGGAGCTGGTGCCATTCCTTCTGAAACTATTCCAATCAATAGAAAAAGAGGGAATACTCCCTAACTCATTTTATGAGGCCAGCATCATCCTGATACCAAAGCCTAACAGAGACACAACAAAAATAGAGAACTTTAGACCAATATCCCTGATGAACATCCTCAATAAAATATTGGCAAACTGAATCCAGCAGCATATAAAAAAGCTTATCCACCAAGATCAAGTGGGCTTCATCCCTGGAATGCAAGGCTGGTTCAACATATGCAAATCAATAAACATAATCCAGCATATAAACAGAACCAAAGATGAAAACCACATGATTATCTCAATAGATACAGAAAAGGCATTTAAAAAAATTCAACAATCCTTCATGCTAAAAACTCTCAATAAATTAGGTATTGATGGGATGTATCTCAAAATAATAAGAGCTATTTATGACAAACGCACAGCCAATATCATACTGAATGGGCAAAAAGTGGAAGCATTCCATTTGCAAACTGGAACAAGACAGGGATGCCCTCTCTCACCACTCCTATTCAACACAGTGTTGGAACTTCTGGCCAGGGCAATCAGGTGGGAGAAAGAAATAAAGGGTATTCAATTAGGAAAAGAGGAAGTCAAATTGTCCCTGTTTGCAGATGACATCATTGTATATTTAGAAAACCCCATCGTCTCAGCCCAGAATCTCCTTAAGCTGATGAGCAACTTCAGCAAAGTCTCAGGATACAAAATCAATGTGCAAAAATCACAAACATTCTTATACACCAATAACAGACAAACAGAGAGCCAAATCATGAGTGAGCTCCCATTCACAATTGCTTCAAAGAGAATAAAATACCTAGGAATCCAACTTACAAGGGATGTGAAGGACCTCTTCAAGGAGAACTACAAACCACTGCTCAACAAAATAAAAGAGGACACAACAAATGGAAGAACATCCCATGCTCATAGATAGGAAGAATCAATATCGTGAAAATGGCCATACTGCCCAAGGTAAATTATAGATTCAATGCCATCCCCATCAAGCTACCAATGACTTTCTTCACATAATTGGAAAAAACTACTTTAAAGTTCATGTGGAACGAAAAAAAAGCCCACATTGCCAAGACAATCCTAAACCAAAAGAACAAAGCTGGAGACATCACGCTACCTGACTTTAAACTATACTACAAGGCTACAGTAACCAAAACAGCATGGTACTGGTACCAAAACAGAGATATAGACTAATGGAACAGAACAGAGCCCTCAGAAATAATACCACACATCTTCAACCATGTGATCTTTGACAAACCTAACAAAAACAAGAAATGGGGAAAGGATTCCCTATTTAATAAATGGTGCTGGGAAAACTGGCTAGCCATATGTAGAAAGCTGAAACTGGATCCCTTCCTTACACCTTATACAAAAATTAATTCAAAATGGATTAAAGACTTAAATGTTAGACCTAAAACCATAAAAACCCTAGAAGAAAGCCTAGGCAATACCATTCAGGACATAGGCATGGGCAAGTGTTTCATGTCTAAAACACTGAAAGCAATGGCAACAAAAGCCAAAATTGACAAGTGGGATCTAATTAAACTAAAGAGCTTCTGCACAGCAAAAGAAACTACCATCGGAGTGAACAGGTAACCTATAGAATGGGAGAAAATTTTTGCAATCTACTCATCTGACAAAGGGCTAATATCCCGAATCTACAAAGAACTCAAACAAATTTACAAGAAAAAATCAAAAAACCCCATCAACAAGTAGGCGAAGAAGATGAAGAGACACTTCTCAAAAGAAGACATTTATGCAGTCAACACATACATGAAAAAATGCTCATCATCACTGGCCATCAGAGAAATGCAAATCAAAACCACAGTGAGATACCATCTCACACCAGTTAGAATGGGGATCATTAAAAAGTCAGGAAACAACAGGTGCTGGAGAGGATGTGGAGAAATAGGAACACTTTTACACTGTTGGTGGGACTGTAAACTAGTTCAACTATTGAACCATTGTGGAAGACAGTGTGGTGATTCCTCAAGGATCTGGAAGTAGAAATACCATTTGACCCAGCCATCCCATTACTGGGTATATACCCAAAGGATTATAAATCATGCTGGTAGAAGGACACATGCACACGTATGTTTATTGCAGCACTATTCACAATAGCAAAGACTTGGAATCAACCCAAATGTCCATCAATGATAGACTGGATTAAGAAAATGTGGCACATATACACCATGGAATACTATGCAGCTATAAAAAAGGATGATTTCATGTCCTTTGTAGCAACATGGATGAAGCTGTAACCATCATTCTCAGCAAACTATTGCAAGGACAGAAAACCAAACACTGCATGTTCTCACTCATAGGTGGGAATTGAACAATGAGAACACTTGGACACAGGAAGGGGAACATCACACCCCGGGACCTGTCAGGGGGTGGGAGGAGGGATGAGGGATAGCATTAGGAGATATACCTAATGTAAACGACGAGTTAATGGGTGCAGCACACCAACATGGCACATGTATACCTATGTAACAAACCTGCACATTGTACACATGTACCCTAGAACTTAAAGTATAATTTAAAAAAAAAATTTGTCCGATTTGTTTTGTAGCAATGGATAACTAGAACACTGGGGAAGTTACTTAAGCTTTCTGAGCCTCAGTTTTCACATGTTTAAAATGGGAATAATAAGAGTAACTAAAACCACATTGAGCTTTTATGAGTATTATACGAGATGAAAATATATCCATGTGGCACATCACAGTACTCAATAATGTTAGCAATTATCATTTGCAAAGATAGTTTAGACATCCTGACCAACCTAACTAGGTAATATTTGTAAGTTTCCATTTACCATGCATGATGATACTATTTTTTTTTCCTGAGACAGGATCTTGCACTGTCACTCGGGATGGAGTGTGGTGGTGTGATCATGGCTCACTACAGCCTTGACTTCCCAGGTTCGAGCAATCCTCCCACTTCAGCTCCCCGAGTAGCTGAGACTACAGGACTACAGGCACGAGCCACCATGTCCAGCTAATTTTTTGTGTTTTTGGTAGAGACAGGGTTTCGCCACGTTGCCCAGGCTTGTCTTGAACTCCTGGGCTCAAATGACCTGGGCTCAAATGACCAGCCCTCCTCGGCCTCCCAAAGTGCTCAGATTACAGGCGTGAGCCACAGCACTCTGCCTCATGTTGATACATTTTGGATAAGGGTGTATTCTGTAAATAAAAAACTAACTTCAAGGTAAAAAAAAAAAAAAAAAGAAACTTATGTTGTCTTCTCTGATTTTCATAGAGCTAATCTGGGCTCTTCAACATCTCTAGTTTTCAATTAGTCCTCAAATTAACTCTTCATGGTAGTGCTCTTAATTAAGCCTACTTTGATCTGTGTTAATCTATCTTTAGCCTAACTTTCAAGAGCTGCTTTGTTTTCATGGTCATGGCTCTACAAAGTCTGCTTTGCCAGATGATAACTATTATTGTGTATTTATCTAGCTTTGTGTTATCCTTCCGTTTTCTTCAGTATCAGCCTTGATATTGAGAAATGCTTGTTCCTTCTCTGAGTTTCTCAGATCAGAGATGATAAAATCTGGCCCAGTGATTTATCTGCCACTCGACTATCTCTGTGTAACCTCTAACAACCCCATCGTTATGTGAAAGTTCACTGTTACAGAGCTTCCCAATACAGGACCTGAGGAAAAAAACAAATGAACACTAACATGCCAAGAGTCAAAGATTATTTTTTATATTTCCAGAAGCGATTTCCTTCCCCCTGTAAAATGGCCAGTTCATAGATTGCTCGTGTTATTTGATAGTTATGGGATGTAAAAACCTTGAGAGTATGTCAGATTTTAGCCATGAACATAAAAGTTAGAATTAAGAAAGAAAAGTCTATGAATTTGAACATTCCTATGCTCTGGAAATACGATCTGCATATTGTGTTTACCCCTGAGGGTGAAATGGCTCAGTCTGATCAGCCAGCTCCACAAGGATATCAAAGCTCAGATACCTCTGGGTTTTAATGTATGCACCATTCTCTCCTTGGCCTCATCACAGATAGGATAGAGGGCTGCAGCCCTTATCTGGAAACCACAACCAGTGCTTTTTGCCCCAGTTGCTTATTCCATTTTCTTTAAGGTCTTTAAAGAAACTAGACAGGCTTCTATGTGGCATTACCTCTGGCTAGACTAAGCTGCCTCATTCCTTGCTTCCGTTACAATCCAGTGAAAGGGAAGGCCGGGGCAGAGTTTCTAGGTGAATAATGCAACTCTTATTCCTTGTTCTGGATTGAGTCTGGATTTGTTTGATTATAAGTTGTATTGGTTTGCTTAATGTTTTAAAAATATATATTTGTTTGTATAGTTGTTAAACCTCAGGTCCCATGCTCTACTTAATGTTTTTTAAAGTAAACAACAAATGCAAAGAGTCCTGTGTATGCTTTTTGAAGGATCAAGCCTGGACCACAGACCAAGACTCATGAAACTCACTGTGATCCCTTTGCCATTCTGACAGAACATCCTGCTCCTCTAAAACAGTCCTGCATGCTTCTTTTAGAGAAGCTGACACTGCACACAAATATTTAGAACTAGTTTCCCAGAACTGTCTACAGAGCCACTTCATAAGCCACTCAAGAAAATATGGCTCGTTTGTTACCTGAGTATCAATGCCTCAATTTTATTAAAAACATAACAAAACAAAACAAAACAATACAATCTTCCTGCTATTTTCGAGTTTGGTTCCCCACCATACTTATAATTAACTCTTGATGAATTTTGAGAGTTTTTCACATATCAAGTCTTCCCTCAAGGTAACGATTTGTCACTGTTGAAGATACTGGTGTATTGAAGAAAAAAATAATTGTGGGTCAGAAGTTGAAAGTTTGTGTTCTTACATCTTGGATGTTGACTTTGTGAACAGAGTCACTCACTTCCCTCCAGTCTCCATTTTCGGCTGTCAAATGTGTTTAGAAGTCATTCTTTCAAGTATATATTGAGCGGGATACAGTTAGCAGTGTGCTCCTGGTATATGAATTGTGATAATCCCCTGATTAGTATAAGGACTAGATTAGACAATGTGACAATGTTTGTGCACTGGCTCCATGAATGTAAGGTGTTATATAATTGACACACTTCTGACCCCAAAAAACAAATAAAAAAAAGTTCTGAAAATATTTTGATCATTGGCAGAGTCACCAGAGTAAATATTTGTCTTACCAAGGTGCCTGGGACTAGCTGAGTATTTATCAAATGAATAAATTTACTGAACGCTGGGACTGAAGAAGAAAATCAATAGCTATACCTGTGGTCTGTTGGAATATGTGAATAAATGATTAAATAATGATACTCATAAAATGTATATTACTGTGTGTTAAGTGAGGTATCTGACATTATTTAACACTTGAACTTCATATCTTAAGAAAGCTTATACTTGAGCATTATACTGAGCATTGAGTGAGGCAGGCTGAGTGGTGCAGGAGAAATGTCTTGGTCTTATTTTGTGTTGCTATAGCCAAATACCACAGACTGGGTAATTATAAAGAAAATACATGAATGTGGCTCACAGTTCTGAAGAATGGGAAGTCTAAAAGCATGGCACCAGCATCTGGCAAGGTTCATCCCATGTGGAAGGGCAGAAGTGAGCATGCAAGACAGAAAGAGCATGAAGGGTGGACTCCCTTGCATAACAATCCACTCTTGCAATACCTAGCCACCTCCAGTACCAACTTGATCTATTCATGAGTCCTCTGCCCCTACAGACCCAATTACTTCCCAACACTGCTGCATTGGGGGTTAAGTTTTCAACACATGTATTTAGAGGACATATTCAAATGATGGGATCTAAACTCAAAATAATGAAAGTCAGTGGGGCTGCAGCTAATACCACTATGGTTGTTAACAAAGCCCTTTATATTTCCCTGTGATTGCCCTGATCTAGGGAAATAAGGGTAACATCTTGGGGTTACGTGTTATGTTTGTTGGTGTTGATGGTTGTTGTTTAAATCAGTAGACGTGTCTTGGGTGGCATTAAAGCCGGGTTATGGCCCTAGGGCACATACCAGGAGGTAAAATGGAAAAGACAGCTGGAAGTGGGCTGCATATGGGTTGGGAATGAGAAAGTCAGCTCAGGATTTCAACTTGTCTATTGCTGATCCACAGGGAAGGTAAACCATATAATGGAAACTTAACAATATATTAAAACATGTAGATTTTTTGGAATGTTTCTCTTTTAGAATTGCTTTCATGATTTCATGTACAGCCTATTTAATAGTACTTGGAATTTTTTTTTAAATGCATGTTTATTCATTAACATCACACTTTTTTTTCCCCAAAAAACAATTTAAAGTAGATTACTGTTCCACTTCTGAATTCCTAGGTCGATTTAAAAAATTTTTTAAATCTTGCTAGTTAATTTGTACTTTAAAACATTTAATGATCCCATCTTTATTTATATAGTTTTCTAGTAAAAGTTTAACTTTTAAGGATGCCCTTGAATGATAATATTGCCATGAAGGCCCCATAAAGTGCTTTTAATCTTTATCTTTAAAGTACTTTCCTGAAAAGTACATTTCCTGGCACATAATATGTCCTACTTGATTTCAAGTCCCTTGTCTGGCAAAATATTGGTAGGGAAAGTTGCATGAACTCAAGACATTGAGTACTTTCAGTTCTCTTCATGGTGGACTCAAAACCCAAGGCAGTCACTTAATGTTCTCTCACATATTTAAATTGGTTTTCTCATTGGGCCAGCTTGACAGGACTTCATGTCTTAGGGCTCAATGCTGATGTGAATTACTAAAGATAAAACTAGTAGACTGATCAAGTGGAAAAGTAGGTTATAGGCTGCAGAGACCTGTCAGCTCAGAACCCAAAGGGAGGGGACGCTTGAGCCAGAGGGCAAAAAGACCTGGGTGGTTCCTGAAACAGAAAACAGAATCCCGCACTCTTGCTTTCTAGACACATGACAGCAGATAGAAAACAACAGTTTTTGTTTCTTTTTAAAGAAGTATTTTTACTACCTATGGGCTTATCAAAACGGTCCCCAAATAAAGCACATAGAAATATAATAACTAGGTCATTCTAACAGCTACATTCTCAAATCCAAATTGGCTCCCTAGTTGTGAAATATGCATGTTTTTAAAATTACTATGTGGGAAAGTAATTGGCCAGAAATGTCTTTATGGTATTAATTTATTATTTGTTTTATGTAATGCCTTCATTTGGTTTGGGAGATTTTAATATTATTCATCCAAAGAGCATTTTAAAATGCTTCTAAAGCAAACATAACAGGATAGGAGTGTCATCTGTTCTGTGGTCCAGCACAGAAATCAGCCTTGAGCTGCTTGCCAGCCATTTCATCGAGAGTGGGGAGCAGAAGTAGGCTGAAACTCACTGCATTCTGAGCTTGGCCATCATCCTACCAGCATCTCTAGTTTTAAAATATAATCACTGGCTTTGTAAAATATGAATCAGTGATCTGAATAGCTGGATATCGAATTTAGTAAAGCTACTCTGGATTTTTTTTTAATTTAAAAAATGCAAATCTGCCTGAGAATGTTGAAGTCCCAGCAAGAGGAGGCCAGTGCTATTTTGGGCTGTCTTTGAAGAATATCACAGAGAAAGAAGGGAGGAAAATGGAGGTAGACACATCTGGGATACTATTTTCAGGCTCCTGGATTCCAGAAAAACTCTGAAAGGCTGGAAAGATACCAGAAGTGTGAAAGGAAATGATTTATGAGTGAAATCATGGCAGAGCTATAAGAATGACTGTTTAGGGTATAGCTAAGAACTAAAAAACCAAGGAGAGCAAGAAAAGGCAGGAAATAAATCTTGACCTGAATCAGCCCATGGGCGAATTATACATCTTATAAGAACCGGAGCTGTAATTATTAGCTTGAGGTCTGCGGATCAGATATTCTGGAGACTAAACAGCAGCCCTCAGTCCTAGCTGCATACCAGCTTCCCCTGAGAAGCTTTTAAAAAATACCCATGCCTGGATCTCATTCCAAGGGTGCTTGTATAAGAATGAATGTGAATACCTGTATAGATTACAAGAATATTTGTAAATTACACCAGAACATTTTTGTAAAGGAATATTCAGGTCAAAGATTCTTTTGAATGGCAGCATGATATTATAATGGAAATCTTAGTTAAATGGTCAAGTATGGAAACTTTTAAATTTTAATTTGAAAAACTGTAATAGTAATGGAACTATTTATCGTGGATGTTTTAACAATAATTATTTAAACAAAACTATGGAGGCCTTTGTACTCTATAGATCAGTTCTCAAACTTTAATATGTGTAAGAATCATCTCATGAAATTTATTAAAATGCAGATTCTGATCTGGGTAGGTTTGGTTGGAGCTTGGGATTCTACTTTCTTTAAAAAATTTTTTATCTTAAATTTTAAAGTTTTGACACATAATTGTATATATGTATGGGGTACAATGTGATATTTCAACACATGTATATATTCTGCAATGACCAAATTGGGGTAATTAACATATCCATAGACTCAAACATGTATTATTTCTTTGTAGTTAGAACATTCAAAATCCTTTCTTTTGGCTATTTTGAAATATTCAATACATTATTGTTATTATAGTAACCCTATTGTGCAATAGGACACCAGAATGTGGATAAACCTGGAAGACATAATGTTAAGTGAAATAAGCCAGACACAGAAAGACAATACAATATGTTCTCACTCATATGTGAAATCAAAAAAAATTGATTTCCTAGAACAGCAGTTACCAGAGATTGGGGAGGGCAAGGGAGAGGGAAACAGGGAGAGATTGGTTAGTATGTATAAAGATACAATTAGACAGGAAATTCTGCTTTCTTAAGAAACTCTCAGGTGAGACCAAAACTGCTGGTACAGGCACACACACAGAACAGTGAAGCCGTAGAATTTTAAAAGACCTTTTCCCCATATTCTCAGACCTGGAAAACTTCCAGAAAATGATTTCTACATGAGATTTGGCATTCACTTCCAATCCAGGAAGGAGAGTTGAAAAAAAGAAAGATTTTTTTTTTAATGCATCATGAATGACTCAGCATTTACCTTAAAAATATAGAGATCATGAGGAAGGCACTTCTTAAAGAAATTTCATCCCTACTATTTCCAAAAAGAGTCAATTCTTGCACTCTAAAATTAGGTCTTGACTTGAAGTAAAATGTTAAATGCTATAAATAAACTATGAGCACACACAAAAAAGCAGCAATTTCTTTCATGCTAGAAAAGTAACTTGGGGCTGATGGGTCTGGCTGGATTTTGCTGCAAGTGTAGTACACTGTCTGCAATCATTGCTAACATAAGGGGACATGTATGTGGCAAAGAAGGTGAAGATTCCACTGGGAGTCCAGGATTCCTGATGGAGGCCAGGAAGCAAAGGTACTTGGAGTTAGTATCTTTAAAAATGTTTTTGATTTTACACTATCCTCAAGGATGTTGTACATATTCTTTGGGAAATTTGTTGTTGGTTTTTTAGTTTTCTTAACACAAAGTGAATTAAGCAGACAGACTCTCACCTTCCCAGTAAGAGTTCGACTCTAAGCAAGTCACTTTAGAATTATAATTCTTTGCCAACTTTAAGTTTAGTTATAGTTTTATTTTTTCAAGTTTGAATTTTTCAAGCCTTTAAAATATCTGTGAAATATCTAGGTGCTATGCTCTCAAATGCTCATCAATTTTTTGGCCCAGGGAACAGACTAAATTAAAACTCAAAATATTTCAAATCCATGGCTAATGTGCTCAGAAATAACATTAAGATGTTCTTAGAATCCAAAGGAAATAGAATAAGAGAATGAAGGATAGTGCAGAAGCAAATAACGTTTGATAAACTGGTAGAAATTAAAGGGGGAGTAATGTTTTCTTCCCATTGAATATTTTTTTCCTAATTGTATTCCCAAATATTCTGTTAAATCAAGTTTAGCCTAAAGTTGCCTGCTTACATATTTTAAGTTCAGCCTAAAGGTTTCTCTGTACCTCGTTAACCATAACAAGTAGAGGTATAAACAGACTGTAGCCTACTCTTGTGACAGTAGCCAAGTTTTGGCCAATCAAATGTGGCCAACTGTTCAAACCATGTTTAACTAAGGCAAACACCAAGCTGTAACCAATCTAGCTGTTTCTGTACCTCACATCCGTTTTCTGCATGTTCCTTTTCTTTTTCTGTCCATAAATCTTTCACCACATGGCTGCACTGGAGTCTCTGAGCCTACTCTGGCTCGGGAGGCTGCCCCATCTGCGAATTGTTCTTTGCTCAATTAAACTCTGTTAAATTTAATTCAGCTGAAGTTTTCTTTTGACCAATCGTACCCTTTCATATTTCAAAGAGAGTTATTCAAAGGATATTAGAAACTGTCCCATACCTGAAGGTTGTTCTCTTTCCAAAGTTTCCTTATTAACCAGGTTTAAAAATGCCTTACTTTTTCCACACTTCTGTCTCAACTACTCTAGTCTCCAAATATCTTCCAAGAAGGTCTATATGTGTGCCATCCAATATGGCAGCCACCAGACACATGTGGCTACTGAGCACTTGAAATTTGGCTCGTCAAAATCGAGGTGTGCTGTAAGTATAAAATACATACCTAATTTCTAAGACTTAGTATTAAAAAATGTAAAATAACCCATTAATAATTTTTATATTGCTTTTATGTTGAAATGATATTTTAGATATATTGAGTTTAATAACATTAAAATATTAAAATTTCACTCACCTTTTAAAAAAATAGCTGCTTTTAAAATCACTTGATTTACATTCAATTTCTATTGAACAGTGCTATTTTATAGTGAATATTTAGATCACTCATTTTGTTTTGAAATAATATTCTTTTTACTAAATATCTGTTACGTCCTTAAGCTTATCAGTACTTTAGCTGTATTAACTTACTTAATTTAACTGGCTCCACTTTACAAATATTGAGCTTACAGAGGGCAAGTAACTTGCTCAGGTCACATCTCCAGTAAGCGTGAGGGATGGATTCAAACCTACATCTGTCTGAATCTAAGGCCCATGCTGTCAGCCAGGGGATTACCAAGATGAGGCCAGTGAGGCATTCTCTTTGGGCACAAAATTTAAGGGGCCCTAAACAACTCAGCAATTAAGATGTATAATATTTTGATAGAATATTTTTTAAAAATCAAATTAGCACAAAAAAATTTCAGGATGAACAAAATATCACATTTTAAAATAAAGCCAGAATTTGATCCTGCCCTTGCATGATGCGGCCTCACTTGCCTCCCCTTAATGTTGGCCCTGGCCATGATTCCCTCTTGCAGCTCATTCTGTACGATTTTCCTTTCAAATATACTGTCAGCTCTTGGAGAGTGGGGTCTAGGCTTCACATTTCATGGCTGCTTCCAGTGGTGCCCAGGCCTAAGGAAGTAGTAAACACATGGAAGGTGCTGACAAATACACATGCAGCAAAAAAGACTAAAAGGAAGCATGCTGAAATGTGTAGAGAGGTTTTCTCTGTGTGGTAGGACCAGAGTGATTTTCAATTCACTTCACTTCATAATATATATGAAGTGAATTAAAAACAAATGTGCAATTAAAAACAAACAAAGTCTTACCAAATTGTTGGGAACAGCCCCCCCAGAATCTGGCCATAAACTGGCCCCAAAACTGGCCATAAACAAAATCTCTGCAGCACTGTGACATGTTCATGATGGCCATAATGCCCATGGTGGAAGCTTATGGGTTTACTGGAATGAGGGCAAGGAATACCTGGCCCGCCCAGGGTGAAAAACCGCTTAAAGGCATTCTTAAGCCACAAACAATAGCCTGAGTGATCTGTGCCTTAAGGACATGCTTCTGCTGCAGTTAACTAGCCCAACCTATTCCTTTAATTCGGCCCATCCCTTCCTTTCCCATAAGGGATACTTTTAGTTAATTTAATATCTATAGAAACAATGCTAATGACTGGCTTGCTGTTAATAAATACATGGATAAATCTCTGTTCTGGGATCTCAGCTCTGAAGGCTGTGAGACCCCTGATTTCCCACTTCACACCTCTATATTTCTGTGTGTGTGCCTTTAATTCTTCTAGCGCCACTGGATTAGGGTCTCCCCGACCGAGCTGGCCTCGGCACCGAGTAAGTTTTGAACACCATTCAAAACCATAGAGTAAGTAAGCAAAACTCCCTGAGAAAGGTAATTAAAATAACAATCTTATACAGGAAATTAAAAGCCCTTCATAGCCAAACTCAACACAGCAAGTATATTGTTGGGAAATCCTAACCTACCCATCTAATTGTCATTGTTCATTATGTGACTCACAGGGTGGACCTTTTAAAACAGGCCCCTTCTGAATACCTATTGTATAGTATGGGCCTGTAATAAAGGCTAAATGTAACTGATTATTCCTCTTTATAAGAGGTTCTCAATCAGGAGGGCCAAACAGAATCTTCTGTGGAACTTTGAAATTCTCCCTCTCCTCCCCAAATATGCACAATCTTCTATATTTTTCTATCCCCCTTTCCAGCTAAACTGCTTGAAAAAATAATCCCTGACTCCACTGCCTTTCCCTCCTTTCCTTGTTCAATTCCCTCCCGTCCAACACCCACGACTCTCTCCACACTGAAACTTATTTTGTCGTGGTTCACATTGACCTTGTTGTGGTTAAATCTAACAGTTTACAGCCAGCATCTTTCCTAACTCCTAAGCTGCTTTGCACAGTTGACCATGGCTTCCTTTAAATACTCTTCTCTTGGCTTCCTTGATTCCATATTCTCCTGATTTTCCTTCATATTCTTGGATACTCTTTCTGAGTACCCTTTAAAGGAGGTTTCCTAGTGGAAGCATCCCTGCTTCCCCTGCCCCCCATAACATCTCCTATTTCCAATGTCTCCTCAACGTTAAGCATGTAAATAACCATTCAATTTTTAGAAACTGTAATTCCTACAATGAGTTTGGTATTGCACCCCCAGGATTCACTCCCTTCCTTAAATTGAAATCAGTCAACAGTAGCACCAATTTGGGGGTCAAATAGCCATCATCAATTATTCTGCTAAAATTATCTGGTTTCTTTGCTGCTGTTCCAGTTAACCCTTGTCTATTTCATATTTACCATTGTATCCTCAGCATCTGGAGGAGGACCTGGCCATATCAGTATGCATCAGTATGATTTTGGCAGCAAGTAATGGAAACTCCAACTCAAAATGATCTAAGCAAAATAGAAATGTTATCTTTCCTATAACTGGAGGTCCAGCATAGAGTACACCAGTGATTTCATGAGGCCAGCAAGAGCTAAGATTTTTCCAGCCCCACCACTTAGTTATCTTCTACGTCATCTTCATCCTAAGGCTGATGCCATTCGTGACACAACAGGGATACCAGTTAGAGACACGGGAAACAACATGTTTACTTGTTTGAGAGAATTCCTGTCCTTTTATAGCTCTGTACATCTAGTTAACACTGGATAAGCAACAATAGTAACTGGGCTAGTTATTTTATTTTTAGGGGGTGGAAGGGAGGAACACCCATTTGGAGCATTTTACCCAGAAGTGAAAAACTCTTGGTATAGATAATATATAAAGCCAATCAGATTTCATGTATATAATATGATTACAGAGACGATACTGACCCCATGTAAGCAAAACATTTTTGAGATTTCCTGGGGTATGAATCTCTTTCCATTCCTTAAAGTCAAGCCCGTTCAGGAACAAGTTTACAACTTTTGCTGTAAGTAAAGTGCTTTACCTTGAAAATTTCATTCTGCTTTTCCAATCCCCAATTCCTGGGACTAACTACCCCAGAATTTCTGAGGAAGAAAGATTTTTTTCTGTGTGGTTCTTTAAGTCTTGCCCTCAAACTCAGGGGGAAAATATATATATATATATATATATATATACACACACACACATATATATATATATATATACACACACACATATATATATACACATATATATATACACACATATATATACACATACATATATACACATATATATATACACATATATATATACACATATATATATACACACATATACACACACACACACACACATACACACAGACACACAGACACACACATATATATACACACACACACGTATATATATATAACTTCAGAAGCACCCTGAAATTGTATTTTTTGAATGGATGACCCTGCTAAACAGCTTCAGTTTCTTCTAACTGCTTCAAATTGCCCAAACTTCAAACACTGACTTAAAAGCCATTAAAGGCAAGCTAGTTTCCCTTTCTCTGTGGTGTAATCCTCTACATATTTCCTAGCTTGGCTGTCGTCCTTCCTCTTGCTCGGTTTCAAATCTGGGTTTCCTTTCCCTTGGCTTATATGCTATTCTTAGCCCAATGCCTGTCCTTTGGATTTGTCAGCCACATTTATCCCGGATTAAACTCTCAGCATTGTCTCAAAGCTTTGCTTGAATGCTGCCCTGGCTGGATCTGCTCTGAACTGTTCTGGGCTGTCAGGTTCCAGGATACTAAATTCCTCCAGCTGTCCTGAGTGTGTACTTTCTCCATTTCCTCGTGCCCACTTTCCTCATTTTATGTTTAATTTTTTTCTTGTAATCCATAATTATCAGTACCAGGCTGTCTAAACACTAATTTCCCCTGCATCATTCATTACAGAATAGCTTACACAAGAAGGCATTTGCATTTACATGAGACAACTTTAGCTCTGCCTGTCCAGGGGCACGGGTTCAGCTCAGGTTGGAAAAGCTGGCTCACTTCAATACGGCTGACCCCGTTTGCTTTACTTGAGTTAAATGAGTGTGTCTAATTGAAGATCTTGTTCACTCCATAGACATCAATGTCTGAGCCAATAATCAGTGGGATCTAACTAATTCAGGCTTGCTTCATTTATAACATCTGAAAGGACTCTTTACATACAATTCTGGGAAAGTAGTAACATCATTTATTAAGGGAAAAGCAACACAATAATTTAGATCAGGGTGGCCAAACTTTTTCTTTGAAGAGTCAAATAATACATAAGTCCTCACTTTAACGTTTTCAATAGGTTCTTGGAAACTGCAACTTTAAGTGAAACGACATATAATGAAACCAATCTTACCATAGGCTAATTAATCTAAACAAGAGTTAAATTCCTCCTACATATTTCTGGTCACAAAATCATCACCAAACTTCTAAATAAAAACCCAAAACACTTCTAATATTAAACATTGAAATAAATGTGGGCTATACATACATTTAAGATTAATTAAAACAAATGAGATAATTATTTACCCAATTTTTGGTGAATCATTGAGTGATGGCAGTTGTAGTAGTCATGGGTTAAATCAAAGAATAAATATTTGCAAAACGAAAATTGTAAGGAGTACCTCCTACCACCACACAACTCAAAAACAAACAAAAACCAACACAGCAGGCTCTCTGAGTGCTTTCATGCTGCATCGTTTATTGTTATGCATTTGTATGATTACCATATACTTTATGACATTTTTACTCTGAAATAATTTATATTAATTAATTTATTTATTCATTTTCTAAACCACTTATTCAGGGTCAGAGTGGCCGGAGCCTATCCCAGCAGCTCAGCGAGCAAGGCAGAAACCCACCCTGGACAGGATGCCATCCCATGGTAGGGGCACTCACACACACACACCCACACTCATGCCTACTGGGATAACTTAGACACGCCAACCCATCTCACGTTCACATCTTTGGGTTGTGGGAGGAAACCAGAGTGCCCAGAGAAAGCCCATGAAGACAATGGTAGAACATGCGAACTCCCCTTGTCTAGATCTGGCTGGGAATCAATTCTTTTCTCATCAACAAACATGACATTAAATGAAATGATGTTATTTGAGAACCTCCTGTAAATAATTTTGGCTTTGTGACCCTACAGTATCTGTGGCAACTACTCAACTCTGCCTCTGTAGTATGAAAGCAGCCATAGTGGGTATGGCTGTGCTCCAGTAAAGTTTTATTTACAAAAACATATGGTGGGCTAGATTCTGCCCTCAGAAGTAGTTGTCAGCCTCTGATGTAGATGACCAATATGCAGGTGACCAAAGTTCTTAAGTGTTCCCCTAGGTGGTATATTATGTGTACCAGGAGGATGAGAAGGCCTGAGTCCTGTTTGCTGGAAATTCAGTTTATCTGATTGCAAATAATATAAAATACTTTTATATTAAGACAAACTCAGTTATTTTATGGAATGGAATACATGATGGCTAATTTTTGGTGTCAACTTGACTGGATTAAGGAATATCTAGAGAGCTGGAAAAGCATCACTTCTGGGTGTGTCTGTGAGGGGGTTTCCAGAGGAGATTGGCATGAGTCAGTGAACTGTGTGGAGCAGATTTGCCCTCAATGTCAGCAGGCATCATCCAATCAGCTGGGAGCCTGGATAGAACAGAAGACAGAGAAAAGGTGAGTTTCTCTCTCTCTCTCTCTCTCTCTCTCTCCTGGAGGTGGCGTGTTCTTCTTCTCCTCCCCTTGGACATAAGCACTCCAAGCTCTCTGGCCTTTTGACTCTAAGACATGCCAGCCGCCCCCGGGGTTCTCAGGCCATTGGCCTTGGACTGAAAATTATTTCATCTGCTTCCCTGGTTCTGAGGCTTTTGAACTTGGACTGAGCTGTCCTACCAGTATCCCACGGTCTCCAGTTTGCAGATGGCCTGCCATGGGAATTCTCAGCCTCCATAATCCCATCAGTTAATTCTCTTAATAAATCCCCTCTCAAATATCTACATCTACCTATCTACCTTATTGATTCTGTCTCTCTGGAGAACCCTAAATCATATAGAATACATTTATAGGCCTTTAAGAGTGAAAATGTGCAGCTTTAAAGGGCTGTGGACTTTGTTAAGACAGGCTCTTGGGAATACATTTTTAGCTCTCCTCTGCTATTACGGGAATTTGGGTGGAAAAGTTTGAGAGCCACTGACTTAGAGACACTTACGTAACTAATTACTACATGGGAACACCAGTGTGGTCTCATTTAATCACAGCCCCTTCATTTATCTGGAGATGTCGGAAACGCAGCTAATGCTTTCCCATTGCATTGTTTCGAGGTTAATATGCTCAGTGCTCTTCTGATATTTCATATGGGTCTCTGCCTACTAGTCACTGGGACTCTGAAACTGTCGTTTCCCAGAAGCAGCCAATTATTTCAGTAGAGAGTCCTGAGGTTTTCTGCTATTGCTTTGCAGAAGTTGCTGCAATTGTTACATCTTTTCTGGCTCACCTCAAATTTGAACATTATAATTTCATATTCAGAGTCTCCTGCTTATCTTGTGCCCCAGTTTCAGCCATTTATTAAGCCTGTCTTGTCTTTTTGGCCATCTACTACTCTCAGGCAGGTCTTCAGAGGTCTTGTTACTCAGACACAGATGAGCAGCATGAGCATCATCTTGGAGCTTGTTAGAATTGCAGGATCCCAGGCCCCATCCCAGACCTAGTGGGTTAGAATTTGTATTTAAACAAAATCTCCAGTGATTTATATATACATTGAAGTATGTGAAGGCAACCTTTTCATGGCCACAAGGATCTCATTGGTCACTTGTTTTGTTTCTGGTTACATGGAAGCACCATTCAGTTTTCACATGCTGTGACTGTTAATTTTATGTGTCAACATGGCTGAGATATGGGGCCCAGTAGTATGGTCAGACACTAGTCTAGCTTTGCTGTGAATGTATTTTATAGATGTGACTAACATTTACAACTAGTTGACTTTAAGTTGTGAGAATTGTTAACATCAAAATGGAGTCACTTGTGAAAAAAAAATACAGCTGAAGAAAGTCATGAAAGGAGAGTTCTTATGCATAAATGACTTTTAGTAAGAATGATCACATAAGACTGCAAAAACCACAACCTTGCACAAAGGCCATTGCAACTTTACATAGAAAAACTTCTGCAAGACATCTGCCCAGCAACTGCCTGTCCAACCTTGTTATTGATCCTTGTAGCAAAGATAATTATCTTGCAATAATTATGTAATCTTCCTCATTTTTCTTTTAAAAACCTTTGTCTTCCTTTACCTCCCTGAATACTCACACAGTTTACTATGGCACACATACAGTGTGTGTCCTATTTCTGAATAGTTATAGTGTCCTATCCCTGAATAAATGTTTTCTTTTAAAGAGCATCTCTCTGTTTGTTATTTAGGTTGACATAAATGTGTCCAGAAGCAGGACCTGAAGCAAGAGCACTTTTAGAAGGAATCTGCGATTCTTGGAACTGGTGTGCAGTATTCACTTGAGATCTCTGAGCTCGCCACGTGCATGCCTTGTCTTTTCTGACCTGGTGAATCTTCTCTTAGGCTGAGTCTCTTTTTGGTAGAGGCTTTTTGACTTTCTTCAGGATTTGGTTTGGTACTAAGGCAGCCTTAAATAAAGGAACTTGCATCCCTCTTAAAACTATGGAAGTTTTGGGGGTTTGTTTGTTTGTTTTGCAAACGCTTTCTGGTGTAAAGATAAGAGTACTCTAGTTTTTACAGAATTTATATTGTTTCTCAGGCATGACTTTTCTGGTGAATTCACATTGGTTCTGGACACCTAGTTTAATGTTTTGTTTGGTCTGCATACATGGGTTAAAGTTTTTGTGAACACTCTGATTTTGGTTTAGTTACACATGTCTGTAAGTAACTTGGATCTTCTTTTCTCTAGCTTATTTCTGAAAAGCTTCTGAGAGCGAAAATATACATCCTAAATGGCGGACACAGAATGACTAATTTAAAAAGCGAATACCTGAAACACTAGTCCAAATTCCTGACATTCTCTGACAGGATTTATGGGATTTTCTTTGCTCTTGAGAGATTAATAAGAAAGAAAGTGAGATTCTCAAACATTAAGGCATGCCAGGTTTTCTGAGACTCCAGCTGGCTACATATGATGGCCTGTTCTCATGCACATTTTTAAACTAATGAGCAAACTTTCCTTCATGTCAAGGAAAATTCAGAGCTCAATGGCCATTATTCAAACTCTCTAAGCTTGTTAAAAATCTACAACCAACCATAGAGTTAACATGCAGAGCTTTCTAAGTTCTCAATCTCTCTATTTTTCCTTCTGGCTATTTTGAATCTGCTAATTTTCTACTAGTGTTGAGATAAACTCACTGCTTATGGCACACCAGACAAGATTTAAAAAAAAAAGTTTCAAAGATTTTTTTTTAAATTAATGGCTGTACAAATTACAACAGCTCCATGGCAACAAACAACCTACACATCTTTTGGGAATTAGGTTTTTTGACTTAGCAATTGCTTGGAGTAACAGAATAGTTAAATGAATATTTATATTCTAAAAGAAAGGAGGCTGGGTGTGGTGTCTCACGCCTATAATCCCAGCACTTTGGGAGGCCAAGGTGGGCAGATCACAAGGTCAGGAGTTCAAGACCAGCCTGGCCAAAGAGACCAGCGTGACTAACATGGTGAAACCTTGTCTCTACTAAGAATACAAAAATTAGCCAGGTGTGGGGGCAGGTGCCTGTAATCCCAGCTACTTGGGAGGCTGAGGCAGGAGAATTGCTTGAACCCAGGAGGTGAAAGTTGCAGTCAGCTGAGATTGTGCCATTGCACTCCAGCCTGGGCGACAGAGTGAGACTTTGAGTCAAAAGGAGGAAAGAAGGAAGGAGGAAAGGAAGGAAGGAAGAAAGGAAGGAAGGAAGGAGAAAGAAGGAGGGGAAGGAAGGAAGGAAGGAAAATAGATACATATCTATAACAGACTCTCAGATCAAACAGGTCAAGATATTAAACTTAGATCAATAATACAAAGTATCTCCAGCATAAAAAATTCCTTTGTTTGCCACTCAGGAGCCAGAAAAAAAGCAAATAAATAAAACTGCAAGTAGCTTTTTAAAAATGCTTCTCTACTCATATTGACTAGTCAAACATATTGGCAAACATGAGATAGATTTGTTATTCATTCAAGGACACTTGAAGGTTTGGATTTTCTTGTACAGTTCATCCAATACTAGCTAAAATGTATATTGAAATTTTAAACATTGAACATGTAACCCTAAACTTAACTGCAACTGAAAGGAAGAAAAAAAAAAGAGTTTTGTTTTTTTTTTTTAACCCAAACTGTTTTATCCAAAATTTTGTTCCACAGCTTTCATTAGATTACCTATCAGGGCAAATAAAGTTTAGCAATATGAACAGGTTCTATTTTGTCAGAAATACAGTTTGGATTCAAATGTCTTTAATCAATTGCTATGTTAATGTTACTGTTTTACTGTCTCAAGACTAAAATTTCAAAATAAAAGCTAGGGAACCTGCTTCTGTCTATATATTTGTGTTGTCTGTATGTTTTTATGTTGTGTGTAGGTGATATTTTCTTACTACAATATATGAAAGAGCTCTGATTAACTTAAAAGAAAAAAGTGCCTAAATATTTTATCAAAAATATAACAAACCCAAATATTTTTAATGTGACTTAAGTAAATATTTGATAAATTATTTGGTTTTAAATTTGTTGATAAAGTAAAAATAGAAATGTCTTCAGAATTGTCAATATACATTTTTGCCTAGATTTACTGGTCAATTTTATATTTGTCTTTGATAGATGTTTTAAAGTGTCAGGGTGTGACACAAAGCTTGTAAAACTATAAATTTAGCCTAGAAACAGAATGACCTTGTTTAATATTGTTGATATAATGAAAACAGCTGTATGTTTTGAGGTATTGGGAAAATATTCATTTATTTAACTTTAATATTTTTACTTAGGTGAACACCTAATAATCATAGGTTATGAAAATATTTAACAGGAAAACAACTTAAAACATCTACTAGCTTTGTCTAATATCTCAGTTTTCATAAGTTAAACTGTTTAAAATACAGTGGTTAAATTGAAACGGGATCAACATATATAAATAAACTTTTTACATAATTTAAAGTCTTAATGTTATGTTAAATAAAGTGATAGATACTCATTAAATATCTAAGTCATTTTTAAATAAGATAAAATACTTGATATGTGAGAGATGGTTTATAATTTTTTGCCTCCTAAGTTTTCACTAGAAATTAAGGTTACTAAGAGTTTAACATTTTAATCAATATATAATTCTATATATAAAGTATATCAAAAGATGTATTTTAATGATAAAGCCATAAAATATATTCTTTATTCAGAAAAAAGAATAATTTTGTCTAAATTCAGAGTTTATTATAAGTTGTCTCAAAAAATAAATTTAGGAAGTTAATAGAAACAAGATAGAAAGGAACCAGTAAGAAGGAGAGGAAAATGTGAAGAAATTTATAAGTATGGAAATGTATTTTTTGATAAGAAAGGTTAAAAAGACAATAATTTTGTATGAGATAGAATCTTGTGTAGTAAATTTTTGTTCTGGAGTAAAATGACTGGTTATTTAAGAAAGAGGAAGTATAGGGCAAAGCAGAAATTCTAAACATGTTACCAAGGGCCTATGCAGGTTGTAAAAGGTCTGTAAAGAATGAATTTATAAAATAAATTTTTTGTGTGTGATGAAGTTGGCTATTATTAGAACAAAATTATTTATAAGCCTTTTTAAAGATTGAACTTTAATATTAAAAATACATTAATTCAAAACTAAAAAATGTGTTCCACTATGTTAGAACAAGGTTTATTTTGTTTTTAAAAAAATGTATTTTAGAGATGAGGTCTCACTAAGCTGCTGAAGCTGAAGTTGAACTATTTGGCTCAAGCAATCCTCCTGCCTCAGCGTCTCAAGTAGCTGGGACTACATGTGCACACCACTATGCCTGGTTTGTTTCTTTTCTTTCCTTTTTTTTTTAATGAAGTATCAATCTGTTCTTAGTAAACAAGTTAAACAGTATGTTTGTTTCTTTCTCTCCTTTTTTTAATGAAGTATCAATCTGCTCTTAGTAAACATTGCAAGAGGTTTTGATGTTTATTCTGAAATAAATTTCTTTAAATTTTTTATAATCTCTTGAATTGCAGCTTCTTCCTGTTTTACATGTTCTATTTCTGTCACAGTGCTTCCTGAGATCCATTTAATTTCTCTAGTTTCAGGTTAAAAATGCTATCTTTTTCATTTAGAATGGTAATTTCATTTCTTAAGGTAGAGTTTTCTTATTGGGGCTTCTCAGATTTCTAGCTCAGAAATTCAACTTTGATTGCACGTGATTTGCATGTCATACTTTATTGCTTTCTGCTCTTCCTCTTTCTCCCTTTGACAAGGTCTGGAATGATAAGTCTCTCCTTCCACTTTTTTGTCAGCTCCTGTAACTTTTTTTTCTTATGGTTCTGACTCTACTCTTACGGCCCAATGCTAAAATGTTTATCTTGAACTTTTAGAAAAGCAATGATTCCCTCCAATATAACTTGATTCTGTACTCAGCTTTTCTTGATGTGTCTGAATTATTCCATGTAATCCCTGTCTTGGGTACTAGTTTTCTTGTTTACTTCTTTTATAATACGATGTATACTCATAAACTTGGAAACATTCTCTTCTTTTGCAAAATTAAATTGAAGTACTTATTCATCAGGTTCAAATTCCAGGTTATCTAAATGGGCTTTCCATAAGAAAAAGGAATCACACTGCAGAAAGTATTTGGGTTTTTGTTTGTTTGTTTTTATTGTTTTGGTAGTCAGCATAAGAAACAAAGATTTTGTATTTATCAAGATAATTTTATGTCGCTTTTATTAGGTTTTTGGTTACTTAGGAAAACTGAGCTTTAAAAGAGTTGTTTTTTTTAATATCTATGTAACTTGCTGTGTTGCTTTTGAAGTCTTTTGTTTATCACACTGGTTAAATGAATGATTATTATTATTTCACAGTGACCTGTGGTCTGTTTTGATAAAGTGTTTGAAGTCTTTTGACATCTTTGATGGGCTTCATTAGTGTCAAAATTATAAATTAAAAATTTTTGACCTAAAATTAACTTGGAGATTTTCTAGTCAGGCCCCTGGAGAACCTCGAAAGATATATCTCCTTTCTTGTAGAGATATTAGATGAGTAGGCGTATTTGTTAAGTTGCATGGGAAGCACTGGCAAATGATAAATGATACTAGATCTTCTTTCAGTTACATTTACGAGTATGTTTTTTGTATTAGTGTTCAAAAATTATTTAAAACTCTTAAAAATTTAATGTCATTGGTCATAGTTCTGGTTACATGTTGTATGCCACAAAAATAACCAAATGCATTGTAAATTGCTGATTATAATGAGCTTCCATCAGATTTTTGACTGTGGTTATTCTAAGTTTTTATCATTCACAGTTATTGTTTTAATTTTTCTCTAAAAGCATTTGCAATCAGATTTATGGAAAAGACTCTAATAAGTACTCTTAAATAAAGGTTTGCAATAATTTTAAGACCAATGAACTAAATAAAAAATTTCAGAACGCTAATGAATAAACTGTTGAATTTGTAAAACTACTAATCAAAATCAAGCAGAACAAAAATTAAAAGGTTAACTGATGATTAATTAACTGTGATTAAATAACTGATAAGATAAAGTTTTTGTGACTTTCATTTAAAACACTATTGGTTCTTTATTTAAATGTTTTATTTTCCAGATTCAAGAAAACTTTCTCTCTTAAGCTAGCTATAGTTTACAACAATTTGGTAAAGTATACTTTTGTGAACAAATGTATAAGAATGTGCTTTTTCTCCCTACTTGATCCCTCTAAAATTCAGACTCTATCCATGAACATTCTTATAGAAATAGAGTTGTTTGCATAAGTGAAATAAGAATTTGCTCTCTCTTTATAACAGGATATAACTGTAAACTTTGTTTATATTACCAAGGCTTTGACTGAAATGCAATATTTGAAAGTGTGCATAGAATGCCTCCTTTCAAGGGTTCCTAGCCTTACAGTGAATAAGTAAAAATTGTCACTTCCTGCAGACCCAAGACTTTTAGACTACAGATTTTGTATCTGTTATTTGTTAAACTTTTGCAGTACAACTCCTAACAGAATAATGCTAGCCCAACACTTTGAGATAATAACAAAAGATATGGAACAGGCAAAATTGAACTTAACAGTGGACTTTGGGTAGACTTAGCCTGAGAAGCACTCCCTCTAATCCTTTCTTGCCACTCAAATGTGGCTAAAGGGGTTTTGACACTGGGTCCTAGCTGCATTCAATGCCTCCAATGTGGAACCAGACCAGCAACCTAGGACAGGTCCATCCTGGCACTGGAGAACAATAAAAACCTAACTATAGATGATTGCTCAATGATTCTTTTAGAGAAAGATCTTGATCAAAAGAGGAAAATGTGAAAGTTGTCAGAATCAAAATAAAGTCACTTGTGTCAAGAAAAAAAATGAAATGAAAGAAAGAAACCTGATAGAGCTAGGGAAGGCCATGAAGGAAAGATTCTCATGCATAAATAATTGATAACAATAACTGTTATAAAAGATGGCAAAAACCATAACCTGGCACAAAAGTTATTGCAATCTCACACACAAAAAATACGTCTGTGAAGACATCTGCCCAGCAACTGCTTATCCAACCTCAGACTTGTGCCAGACTTGTTATTGGTCCTCAAAGCCAAGGATGATTACCTTAAAACAATTATGTAATCCTACTCATTTTCCTTTAAAAATCTTTGTCTTCCTTCACCTCTTTGGCCATGCACATAGTTTACTATGACATGTGTATTCTCATTGTCACATCCTATTCTCAAATAAATATTATTTTCTTTTAAAGAGCCCTTCCATTTTTTTATTTGGTTGACAAATTAAAGGAGATTATTCTAGATAATGTGGGTGAACCCCATCCAATTATTTGAAGGCCTTAAGCACAAAAAGTGAGGTTTATTGGAGAAGAAGGAATTCTGTCTCAATATTGTAAAATAGAAGTACTGCCTGAGTCTCAAGCCTTCTCTTGTCCTGCATATTTTAGACTCAAGCTTGCAACAACAACTCTTGCTTGACTTTCTAGTTTGCTGGACTGCTTTATCAATTTTGGACTTGCCCCCCTCCATAATCATGTGAGCCAATTCATGAAAACAAATCTCTCTCGCTCTTTCTCTCTCTCTCTATATATATATTCAGTCATGCATTGCTTAATAATGGGGATGTGTTATGGGAAATGTGTCATTAGGTGATTTCATTGTTGTGTGAACATCATAGAATGTACATACACAAACCTAAATAGTATAGCCTTCTACACACCTGGCATATCAGGTAGACCCTATTGCTCTTAGGCCACAAAACTATATAGCATGTTACTGTGTTGAATACTGAATACTGTAGGCAATTGTAATATAATGGTTAAGTATTATTATATCAAAATATAGAACAGGTACAGTAAAAATATGACATACAAGATTAAAAATAGTACTCCCATATAAGACACTTACCATGAATGGAGCTTGCAGGGCTGGAAGGTGTTCTGGGTAAGTCAGTGAGTGGTGAGTCAATGTGAAAGCTGAGGACATTACCTTACACTACTGTAGACTTTATAAACACTGTACACTTAGGGAACACTAAATTTACAAAACCTTCCTTTCTTCAATAATAAATTAACCTTAGCTTACTATAACTTTTTATGTTTAAACTTTTTAATTGTTTTTAAGTTTTTGATGCTTTTGTAATAACACTTACTTAGCTTAAAACACACATTATAAAGCTGTAGAGAAATTATTTATTTGTTTATGTCCTTATTCTACAAGTTTTTTCCTGTTTTTAAATTTTTGTTACTTTTTGAACTTTTCTGTTAAAAACTAAGGCACAAACACATGCATTATTCTAGGCCTACATGGGTTCAGGATCATTAATATCACTTCTTCCATATCCACATCTTGTCCTCCTGGAAGGTCTTCAGAGGCAATAACAGGCGTGGAGCTGTCGTCTCCTATGATAGCAATGCCTTCTGGAATACCCCATGAAGGACCTGCCTGATGCTGTTTCAGAGTTAACTTTTTTTTTTGTAATAAGTCAAAGGCATACACTCCAAAATAATAACAAAAAGTATAGTATAGTAAATACACAAACCACTAACGTAGTTATTTAGTATCATCATCAAGTATTATGTACTGTGCGTAATTATATATGTTATACTTTTAAATGACAGGCAGTGAAGTAAGTTTGTTCACATCAGTGTCATCATGAACATGTAAGTAATGTATTGCATTATGACAGCTACAACACCACCTGGCGATAGGAAATTTTCAGCTCCGTTATAATCTTATGAGACCACCATCATAAATGAGCTCCCTCCTTGACTGAAACATCATTATATAGCACATTACTGTATATGTATATCTTATTGGTTTTGTGTCTCTCGAGAATCCTGACCAATACAAGTGCCAAACAGTAACTTCTCATGGGCAGTTATGTATTTTAGCCTGACTGGTACCATCATCCATCCACCCACTCATTAATTCATTAATTCACTCAACAAGATTTTTTAAGCATCTATATATAATGCCTGTGAGATTACACAGAAAAGAAACACCTCAAAGAACTTCCATGCTAGTAAGACAGACAGCCTGAATATTAAACACATAAATCATCCAGTCAAGGGGCAGTAATGGAGCCATGGAAAAAGTGCAGAAGTAGCAGAGAGAATAGCAGCAGCTGGAGATGGTGTGTGAATACTTTGTGGAGGAAGTATTGTGAACACAAAACAGCTTTAAACCCCGCCAACATCATTCAGCAAAGATGAAGGTGTTTTGAAACATTCATTAATCCTTTAAAATCCAATATGTAACATCATCTATGCACACACACCAGGACTAGATTACAAAAATTTTCTTTTTAAAAAAGATTGAGCACTTAATTTTTTTCTCAATCTAGAAATTTTATTAAAATGCACTTAGCATAAGAAATAAAAATTTGTAACAGTGTCAGGCTTATATGGACATTCATTATATATGTTTTTTAACTTTTAAGTTCACGGGTACAAGTGCAGGTTTGCTACCTAGGTGAACTATAATAGTTTTTCCATGTGGGAACAAAAGATAACCACAACAAAGAAGCATATGCAAGAAATAACGAGATAATTTTTGTCACTTTGACCTTTCAATTGTCTTTTAATCTCGTCAGAATAATCCAATTTCCTTTTCTTTTTCTTATATATTCTGATGATCATTTTTCTGATCTACTTTTACCTAATGTGATCCTGCTCAGGTCAGAACTCAACATAAGAAATTAACTTTTCTTTTTCCTGTATGTCTTTTAGGGACTCACAAGTTAACTTTCATCCTTGTATTAAATTATAGGATAAAATTATAAAACGAAAACATAAGATTCTGAACTACTGATGTACTGAACTGAACAGAGTCATTTAGACCTTTGAGAATGCCCTTGTGCAGTGAGTCCAAGAAAGCTACAATTAAGCTTGCTACCATTTTTTACTGCTTGTCACAAAAATGCCTCAAAGCTGGTCTGTATCAGCCACTCCAGTTTACAAATGAGAAACTGGAGGCACTAGAAGGTAAAGTAATTTTATTCCATGAGTCAGCAGAGCCCTGGAAGGCCATGAGGAAATATGAGCTGCAGGCAATTTGGGGTAAGATAGTTCTTAAGTCAGTGAGCAACCTTCTGAAGAGGCAGATTTAAAATTAAAGGCTATAATTAACTCTCTAAGCTAAAGCTTTCTACCGTCCTGTTCATTATGAAATAATGAAAACAATTTCATATAATTTGAAGAAATAAGTAGAGGAAGGCTGATTAGAAATGGGGAACATCTGTGGGCTGTGCATGTGTAATGACACCATGCTAATGACACTGCTGCTGTTGTGGCATGTGTGAGTGTGATCGCTGTATTCATGCAGTAGGAGCCAACGTTCTAGTGCACATGATGAGTAATATAGTATATGCAGATAATAATGTACTTCTGGAAACAGGGGACTCTGAATTATCCAGAAAAATATTTTTAAAACCACCAGACTCCTCACAATTCACTTCTATAGCTAGTAGGAAGCTGACGCATTATTAAGTGATGGAGTTTGAGGTTTGGACCAAGAATAATAACCCAAGATGGCAGCCCAAGCAGATATGGGAGGTTGAGAAGCTGAGGAAACTGGTAGATTGGAGTGCATGGCTTATAGACTCTGCTTTGCCCTGAACTTGCTTCATCTTTCTGGGTAAGTTTTTTCCTGTCTGTTTCTTCATTTGCGGTGAAAGAAAGGAGCTGGATTAGGTGATTTCCAGGGTCTCATACACTCTTGCATTCTCTGATTGCATATTTGTGTAACCTGTTTCCCCTGGAGTCCCAGGAGAGACCTGCTCTGCAGCCAGCGCCTGCAGGGCCACTTCCAGGCAAACATGTCAATGAACAGCTGATCATATTCTGTAAACTCAGCACTCTTGCTCTTTTCCCTCTTCCTGTAGTAGTGACCTCTCCTTCCCAAGAGAGGCTACTCCTTAACTGGGAAGACTGCTCTGAGACTCCTCCCAGGATATGATGGAAACAGCAAGTAATTTCAAGTCTGATTTGAAGAGTAGAGTTCAAATCCTGTTTTCTGTAATGACTGACTGTGTGCTGGTGGTGGTTTCCTACTGACTAGCTGTGTGACCTGAGGCTCTTTCTAAGCCACAGTTTCTTCATCCACAAAATGAATATAATAATAGTATCTATCTCACAGTTTTATTGCATGAATTAAAGAAAAAAAGACAGTAATAAGGGATTTTGCCTAAAAGACTCTCTGGCACATATCAGATTTCAAAAATGTTAGTTCTGTCCCTACTCTCTTCACACTCTATGCTTTATTAGTGCTTAGAGATAAAAGGATGATACTCCAAAAGTCAAATTTTAGACAGCATCCAGTGATGAAGGATAGATTTGGCTTCTCATCCTTGCAACTCCATTATCTAGGCAGTTACATATTCTACCAAAACAGCAGGTCTAGATCTTAAGTACACCACCAATTCTCTTTTGATTAGGCTAGAAAATAGGGCCCTAAGCTAGCAACCCACTAAAGACTGGGTAAGAATAAATAGCAGCGTGAAGGCCCTTTATACAAGTCTGACATTTCTTATTTATGCCATACCTGTGGGGCTGAAGAGCTAAAACAGAACATAGAGATCCTTCCAATGTGGTCAATAGGGGGAATGTAATGGATGATGATGTAATGCTTTCGTGAGCCAAAAGAAGCCGGAGCAGCTCAACTGCCCAGAGAAATAAGAGTAAATAGGAAGGATTATGGCCCAGGAGTGAGGACTAGGGTGTGGTAATGCAAGCACTGTGATTTTTTTTTTAATGTATATATATTTAAAGCCAACTATAGCAAGGAAGAGGTAAGAAATTTACCCACTGAATTCAGACCTTCTATAAATATTATTCCTTCCTACCAAGATCTAAATCTTCTACAAAATGAAATTTCTTTTTAGGAGGACAACAGCAGCTGCTCATTGACTAGAGAAATCAAAACTGAATATGAAAGTTCCTCACTATCCATTAATTCTGAAGAACACAAAGAACACTTATGACAAGATGTCTATCTGGACAAAGTGTTTTTCGTCCCTTTGCTGTAAGAAACCCTTTGTAGAAAGCAAATACCCTGAGGCAAAATGGTCTTGCTACTATTTACTAAGTTGGTTCCCCATCTCCACATCCCCCACCTGCATTTTTTTTTTAATGTCTTAGCTTAAGTTCTAAGAAGATAAACCATGGTAAGAAGCATGGCCAAAAAAAAAAAAAAAAGTGCTTTATACAGCACTTACAATGTCTGGGTCCTCACAAGACAGAGAGAGACTAAATTGCCTGAAGCTGCACATTAGCAACTGTACTATAAAGAGAAACCAAGTTACCTGTCAGAGAATCAAGGATGGTTCTAAATGTGTTGCCAGTTTATTTTAGTTCCAGGCATACAGCTGGGTTTGGAAGTTGCAAAATGTAAAGAAGGTGTGGTCTCTGACCTTAAGGCACTGAAAAATTAATGAGTGCAACAGACTACTTCTCCTTTGCTATTGTTAACAGGTTGGAACTCAGCATTGAGAGCTTCTATTTGCAGAGGTAGATGCCCAAAGAGCAAAGTGGTCAAGGTGACTCAGACAGTGTAAATCTAAGGGCAAAATGGTGCTAACCTTGCCACCACACCCACTGCATGCCTGGTCTTTCCTTTTGTCTTTTCTAAGTCACATTTTGCAGACTAATAGCCAAGAATAAGGAATGATCCTGGGACCCATGGACAAGTTTGACACTATGAAGCAGTTTCCAGACATCGTATTCCCATGGGTTTCTTGTTCACATCCTTGGCAATGTGAAAATCTATGTGCTACGTCCATTATCTATGTGGTGCGTCCATTATCACACCACTTAGTGTTTCTCTGAACAAAATGCTCAAAATTAAGCTAATGTGTTATCTTCAAAACAAAGGAAATCAAAGTGCTGTGCTAGTTTTGTTAGTTGTTCTAACATCTTGAGAAATTGAACACATACAGGACCAATTCCTGCTTTTCTTCGGCAGATATTTTTGCAGTCTCTAAAATGCAGATTGCCAATGAAATGTTTTAGATTCCAATTTAAATGAAGCATGGCTCTTAGTTTTCTTGACATGAATCAAGGTGAGCTTAGATTTTCAAGACAGATATCATGCCTTATGAATTCTTGACTTAAAATAAAGGACAAAATTACTATTTGCAAATGCACAGTATATATGAACTATAGGGTGTGTCTGGGACTATACAGTTAAATAATGCCATCTGAATGATTCATTGAAATTATTGGTGTTTCTCAAGCTATTTTTATTTTCTCGCATTAGTAATTGTGTGAAAATTACTAACGTTGTAAGTAAAGTTGAGTGAGTGGGTGCTATCACGGGTCAGCCAGGATCCCAGCTTTTATTTTGTACCAGCTTGACAAAATGCTTCTGAAGGAATGATGGAGGTGTCTGTGGTCAGGCTTTGGCACACACACAGAAGCCATGGAGCCTGACCAGCTCAGCAATAAGAGTTTTAAGAGGTTGGCAAGGAAATGGCAGGATCTGTTGTAGAAGACAGCAGATATGGGTGGATCTGCTTAAATATGAGATCTTGATCTATTTCCCCTCCATGAAAATGCACATTAGGTTATAGACCTTCCTGAGAACCACAATTTGAAAGAACCATACATCCATATAGTATTCTCTTTTTACTCAAGTAAGATAGGTTAATACAGGGAAAAAGAAGAACCAAGTGTGGTTGTATTAGTCCATTTTCACACTGCTGAGACTACCTGAGACTGGGCAATTTACAAAAGAAAGAGGTTTAAATGGACTTACAGTTCCACATGGCTGGTGAGGCCTCACAATCATAGTGGAAGGTGAAAGGCACATCTCACGTGGTGGCAGACAGGAGAAGGCAGCTTGTGCAGGGAAACTCCCCCTTATAAAACCATCAGATCTCATGAGACTTATTCACTATCATGAGAACAGCAAGGGAAAGACCTGCCCCCATGATTCAATTACCTCCTACCAGGTCCCTCCCACAACATATGGGAATTCAAGATGAGATGTGGGTGCGGAGATAGTTAAACCATATTAGTGGTTAACAGATAAATAAGTACTTTCACTTGAAGGTAAACATTGAAAGTCAAACGCTGAAGTTATTCAGGCTATGCTCACAAACTCAAGAATGAGCCAACTGACTCCTAATCACTGAATGCATTTGAGATTCTTTTCAAACTGGCCACATTTATACAAAATTAAAAAGGAGCAGGCTTTCCCCTAATCTATGTGCTATTTCATCCCATATACTCCCGCAAACCTAGTGAGCAAGTACATGAGGACTTTGTGCAAAGACGAAGTGACCTTAATGTAGTTTGGAGGAGCTAGAGGTGCTGCAGGAGACAATGGCCCACAGTCCTGCACCCCAGTCCAGCCCTCTACTGCTGAAGGCACTGTTCATGTGGTGAAAAGTAGAAAATGTCCTTACATTAGTAAGCTCCCTTTAAAAATGCCTGCTTTGAAAAAATAAACAAGAGAGCCAGTGAGTTCTGCAAGGGGGTTGGGGGGGGGGTTGAGTAGTGGAAAACACAAAATTGGATCTATAACTTATACTGAGCTACCTGGATAAATCCCATATGGATTAAAAATTTAGATGTTGAAAAAGGGAAAATAATAAAAGAAGAAAAATACAAATTTCTTTGTAATTAGAAACCAAAATTCATGAAGGAAAAGTTGTTTGTTAGATGAAATAAAATTTTTGTAAAGTTTATTTATGCAAAAAATTGTGAACGAAATAAAAAACAATTGACATATTGGAAAACATATTTGCAATTCATATAACAAAAGATTAGTCTCCCTAATATATAACACTTACAGAAATTCATTCAAAAACCCCAACAATCCAAAAGAAAAATAGGCAAGGAATGAACAAATGGTCCACAAAAAAGTAAATAATGACTCTTAGGCATATGAAGAAACACAACCTCTTCAATAGTAGGATGCATGCAAATTGAAACTACGTTGAGAAACAATTTTCTACCAATCGATAAAAATCCAAAGTAGTAGCACTCTGTTGTCCTGACTGCAGAGAAATAGGTGCTGTGATGTATTGCTGGTGGGAAGGTAAATTACTATAACTTCTGTAGAGAACAATTTGCATTATCTATCAAAATTACAAATGCATATTTCATTTGACCAAGAAATTTCACTTCTTGATGTTTACACAAATTTTTCACTATGGCACTTTTTTATAATAGTACAAATCAGTGAAAGAAGTTAAATAAGTTGATACATTTGTATGATAGAATTCTATATAGCAGTTTACCCAAAAAAAGAAGAAATGAAATATCTACTGATATGGAATAATTCTATGATTTATTGATAAGAAAGAAATGGTGCATTCTAGCATGTACAACATGCCCATTTGGGGGAGCGGGAAATTGATCAGGAACCTGTATGCACATTCACTGACATATTCAAGAAGTAACTCTGGAAGGTCATCTAAGATATTGCTAACAGTGGCTACCTGGATGGTGAACGAATGGAGCCTGAAGGTAGGAAGAAGAATTTCCGTTCTCGAAAAGAATGAGTTTCCAGAAGTACAGCTTTCTGGGATTAGAGGAACAGTCTAGGATCATAGAATTGACCAGGCTTTGTGGCCTCCTTGGGATCAGACACATGGTTTTGGCTTCGTTATCCCAGAGTTCACGCCAGCAGCACTGGCCAGCTTGCAGGCTATAACAGCACAGGCCATTCCAGAATCAAAGATTAAAGTTAGAAGCTACATTAAGGAGCCTTTGAAATAAGATTTGAGCTCAAGCCTTCTAAGTCCTTCTTTTATTCTACTTATCTTCCATTAGACCAACAGTTCTCAACTGGGGATAATTTTGTCCCCAGGGCACAATTTTGATTGTCATTATTAGGAAAGGAGGGAGTATGCTACTGGCGTCTAGTGGCTAGAAGCCAAGGAAGCTGCTAAACATCCTACAATGCATAGGAGCAAAAAATCAAATCAAATAAAATAAATTTGGCCTAAAATAGTAAAATTGAGATTGAGAACCTTGCCCTAGATAAGATGGCAAAGGAAGGATGAAACTTGTGAGGCCAAGCAAAAACAAATTAAGGAATCTTGTACCATAAATAACCTTTCAATCCACCCCTGTGTCTGAGGTAACTTAATTAGAGTCCTGTGTAGGGGCAAGAGATGGATGATTTTTCTATACGCTGGTGTGACAAACACTGTAAAACTTAATCTTGAATCAAACACGAGCTAAATCTTAAAGTGCAGTGCCATAGTCAAAGAATAACAATTCCTTAAATTTCTACATGTGTTGGAAATTGTTTTCCACTGTTGGCACCTGTCTTTACTGCCCATTTCACTCACAGTCACAATGAGGCTTGATTTACGGAAGACCCGCTATTTAGAAAACCTGCAGAGAATCAATAAAATCAGTGCTCCCACTGCGGAAAGGCTGCTGTCTCTGGGAGGTAGCTGAGCAGCTGCTAAGGAGTCTCCCTTTAATGCCAGCGGCAAAGAGAAAGAAGAAAGAAGCTCTGACTCACTCACTGCCAGACAAATGGGGCGGGGGTGCAGGAGAAAGGGGAGAGAGATGTCTGGAAGAGATGAGAGAATCACTCGGGAAATCATTTCCGATGGCAGAAACACAACAACTGCATTCCGATGCCAGGGATAACATAATCGGAAAGAATGATTCCAAGTAGTAAAGAACAGATAATCAACAGAGTGGAAGAGAGTGCTGGCATTCTCCTCAAATGAGCACCACTGTTCCCAAGCCGCTAATCGAATTTCCATGGGAGCTAAGTGGTGAGGACGAGATCAGGACCTGGGACATTCCGAGAGTGCGCACGCAGCTTCCCTCCGGATGCCTGGTATTTAGCCACTGCCTGTGGGAAATGGTCACTTTCTCACTTTTGCAGGAATTGGGGAAAAAAAAAAAAAGGCTGGGCACGGTGGTTCACGCCTGTAATTCCAGCACTTTGGGAGGCCGAGGCGGGTGGATCATCTGAGGTTGGGAGTTCTAGACCAGCCTGACCAACATGGAGACACCTCATCTCTACTAAAAATACAAAATTAGACGAGCATGGTGGTGCATGCCTGTAATCCCACCTATTCAGGAGGCTGAGGCAGGGGAATCGCTTGAAGCCAGGAGGCGGAGGTTGCGGTGAGCCGAGATCACGAAATCACACTCCAGCCTTGGGCAACAAGAGCGAAACTCCGCCTCAAAAAAAAAAAAAAAAAAAAAAAAAAAAAAAAAAAAAAAAAAAAAAAAAAAAAGAGGCGTGGTGCCCCTCTGCCCTGAAGAACTCCGCCTGGAGATCTGGCTTCATGGAGCTTTTCCTGGCTTCCTTATGGTGCCAGTTCAGCACTCTCAATGAATGAAACAGTGGCCTTCACGGCACTTCCCCACTCCTCCACTCTCCTTCAATTGATTGTCACTGAGTCATCATGTCGCAATCTCTTTTTAAAACTGTTCTTTCTTCTGCTGGTTTCAATTATTCCCTCCTGGCCAAGATTGTGAAACTGGCTGCTGTTGAACAAGAGCTGGAACTCAGGCACTTAGAGATACAGTACTAGTGAACTCAGTGGGGAGGGAGGAAGGCAGTCAGACTCCTAGGTTAAAGCAACTCAAACAATATTGACCAATTATCTTTGTCTACCACTTTATGCCCTCATGGGAAAGTACTAGCAATGAACAATCCCCCAAAAATGACAGAAAACAGCATGCCCCTCAAGAAATGAAAGGAATAAGAATCTACCTCCAATCTTTTTCTCCTTTGAAGGTTCACTGGGAGAACTATTCAATGCAGAGATGAAGATTCAGGATTAGCCACTATAATTGTCTAACTACTGAGCCAGATTTGGCATTTCCTTGGAATGATACTAAAAATCAAAAGAACTTCACTTTGCATGACCTTTAGTGCTGTATTTGAGGCGGTTGCCACATACTTTGTCTTATTCAACCTTTGCAACACCCCTGGGAAACTGCTGTAGTATTTCCCATTCTGAAGGTGACTGTAAATTGCTTAAAATCACAGAGCCCATAACACAGATGTTTCTTCTGTGCTAAGATCACAAAGCCCATAACATAGATGGCTTTTCTACACCCTGGTGCTATAAACACTTTGTAGCAACCAGAAAGAACTTGAGAGAACAGAAACAATAAAGATTTATTTAGCATTCACTATGTGTCAAGCACTGTGTTAAGTGTTTGCATTCGTTACTTTCTTTTTAATCCTAATCACAATCCTGCAATGTGGGTGCCAATTTTCAACATTGACTAATGGAAGATTATCTAAAACGAGATACACATATATATGGCAGAAAGGTGGGATCTCATTAACAAAAATTGAGAGGTACAATCTGCTTCACCAGATGAAAATATTGTCTAATCTCCTATTTTTTCTGTTAACAATTTAGGAATTCACATACATTCATACTAGAAAGTCTGAGATCTCATTCCTGGAGTATCAACACTGTATACATGTTCTCTCATTGAAACTGTTCAAGAATTACTCAGCTCAAAAGAATTAATTCTCTTTCCAAATGCCAGGCAGAGAGTAAACTAGCATCTGGCTGGTCCCCCCGTGTCACCGATTCTGTTCCTTTGCCTCAGTGTCTATTATTGTCACATAGTGTCTCACAGAACACTTTGGTGTTTCCAAGGCCCCAAGGTCCATGGGATAATCACTGTCGGTAAAGCCTCTACTTGTCCTGATTATAGCAGAGGCTCCTGGAAAACCCGCCTATTTGAGCTGTTTACTTTGTACACACATATTTAACCATTGATACCAAAACAGGACCAATATGCCTGAGTAGGGTGGGTCTGCAGGGTTCTCAGCCTTATCTGCCTCCTGTATCAGAGTCAGCCCTATGCCAGGGGTCTCTAGGCCCTAGTTAAAATACACACTCCCTTTTCATTCATGGCAACCTTCCCTCCAAGACCTGTGATGTCCTTTCCTACCAGGGGACATCTTTCATTGCCATTCCAACACAGTAGAAAGGTTTTTCTAACACCAAAACCCATGAAGAAAACAAAAGAACCTTGATCTCTTTACTTCCAAGCAGTTACTTGGTGCCTGGATAAATTTTCCCACTTTCTTTTCAGGACCATTTTCTAATCCAAATGACATTGGAAGGGTCACTTTCAGGGGCCTGCATATGGTCTATTATTTCTCCTCCCCTCCTCCCCAGGACAATAGGAATATGTTGGTCTTGCCTTACCCTAACTGACGTAGGCCCCTCAAGTAATTTCTCCTATAATAATAATAATAAAAAATGTACCTCAAGGTGATTCTGCCTGTAGGCACAGAATAACTTGGCACAATTTTCAGAGTTCAATATCACTAGACACTCTTGACTGTGTTTGAATCTATCAATTGGACAACATTGTTAATTCTACTAGTGCTATCTGTTCCCCCTAAATATGCACAGCAAAACAGTTTATATTGAGATCTAAGCTACATATTTTCTCAAACTACTGGCATAAAACAGAAACAAACATCTAAATAATTCAAAAATATCTTAATAACTAACCCATCACTGCAGAAGTCACAGCTGATAAATATCTTTGGTTCTATCAACATACGGTTATATGTTGTTAGACTTGGTGCTGCAGATGGTATGTTTCCTTGTGACACATTATAAGCAAAATAAAAATGCATAAATGTCTCCAAAACAATAACAAAAGAGAGAAACAAAATCCTACCCACAGGAAGCAGGCTACAGTCTTATTTTGTGAAGCCATGAGCCATTTCAAATAATGCAAAGAAACTTCCTTTACCCCTTTACTCCGGGAGGAATGTTGAACATTTAAAGGAATATTACCTCACCAGATAGATAGCGTTAAACACATGTGCTTTCTTCTTTTGTTCTCTTCCAGCTCCTCATTAAAACAAAAGACAATGAACTTTGTCTTAAAGGTATAAACCATAGGGGCAAAAAAATGGGAGAGGGCATGGCAGCATCAAAAATCTCGAAAACAGGAGAGATGAAAAAGGCAGCCTCTTTTTTCCAGGTGTAATGGCTCACACCTGGAATCTCAGCACTTTGGGAGGCTGAATCAGGCAGATTGCTTGAGCTCAGAAGTTTGAGACCAGTCTGGGGCAATATGGCAAAACTTCATCTCTACTCTGGAGACTGAGGTGGGAGGATTGCTTGAGCCCAGGAGGTTGAGCCTGCAGTGAGCCGAGATCATACCACTGCACTCCAGCCTGGGCAACAGAGTGAGATTTTATCTTCAAAAAAGGAAAAGAAGGGAAGGGAAGGGGGGGGAGGGGAGGAGAGGAGAGGGGAAGAGGAGGGGAGAGGAGAGAAAGGGGAGGGGAGAGGAGGGAAAGGGGAGGGGAGAGGAGGGGAAGGGGAGGGGAGAGGAGGGGATGGGAAGGGAGAGGAGGGGAAGGGGAGGGGCAAGGGAAGGGGAGGGGAAAGGGAAGGGGAGGGGAAAGGGGAGGGGAGAGGAGGAGACGGGAGATGGGAGGAGGGGCGAGGGGACGGGGAAGGGAAGGGTGGGAGGGAAGGGGAGGGAAGGGGAGGGAACGGGAAGGGATGGGATGGGAGGGGAGGGGAGGGGAAGGGGAGGGGAGGGAAAAGAAAAAAGAAAAGAAAAGAGAAAAGAAAAAGGCAGCAGATCTGGGGAAAATGAATCCGAAACTGATGATAAGGAAAGCTGAAAAGCAATCTAATTTGTGCCATGAAAGAAGACAAAATGTTCTGAAGCTGACAGCATCAGGTAACTCTTGAAGGGGTTGAGGAGAGATGGGCTGGCTAAAATAGGGAGAATGAGTTGAAACTATAAGAGGCTGCTGAATCCCCAGACCCCTTTCCTCACTCACTCCGCTAGGTAGATGGCTGAGCCTTTCCACTGCAGTAGCAGATTGGAAGTTTACTCTGCATAGAGGGTAAAACAGTCTCCAAACTGGAACATTAACCACAGTTAAGGGTGGAGATGCTCTTTGGCAGTAAATGTTTTAGTAGGACTCATGCCTTCTCTATAACCTGCCATTTCCACTCCTAGGAATATGCACAACAGGCAGGTGTGCACAGCCCGCCAAAATACAGGTTCAAAGATGTTCACAGAATTATTTGTAGAAGTCAAAAACTGGAAACAGTGCAAAGGTTCATCAACAATAGAATGGCCAAATAAATTGTGGCATGTTCTTCCAATGGAAACTCACAAACACAATATTGAATGAAAGACGTCTGACGAAAAGGTTATTTATAAGTTTTTAGTTATAAAAAAGCTCACAAAACAGGCAAACCTAATCCTATGGTATCAAAAATCAGGGTAATGGTTAATTTAAGAGAAGTAGGAGGATATAAAGCCTGGGAGGGGACATTAAGGGAGCCTTTGGGATGCTTCTCTTTCTTGAGATGAGTGTGGTTATGTGGGTGTGTTCACTCTGTGATCATTTGTTGAGCTGAACGCTTATGATTAGGTCACTTTTTATATGAATATCATACTTCAATAATAAAGTTAATTTTTAAAAAGCGACTCAAATAAGAGATCTGTAGATTGCATATCAAGTCCAGAAGTCTTAAAGAACCCCTATGTTCAGTGTAGGGTGGGTTTCTTTGTAAAACTTGCCATCAGTGGAAAGGAAGTAGATAGAGGAGGTTGACGAAAGGGAGCCCTTTTAACCCAGGAATCTGTTCAGAGAGGCCACCTGCACCTAGGCTGTGACTTCAATCACTTACAGTTACTAGGCACAAGCAGCTCATTCGCCGTACACTGGATATTCAGCATAAAAAAGTTTTCTTCATTTCTCCCCAGACCATTTTGGTGGGCAGAATCCTAAAACATTCCCAAGATTTAGGGCCCCTGGTGTACTCGCACCTTCTCCCAATTATTCAATTAAACACCAATTCGCATGCTGAAGTGAAGGGATTTCTTGGATGTAATTAAGATACCAAATAAGGAGACTATCCTGGGAGAGCCTAACCTACAATGAGACCTTTAAAGGCAGAGAATTTTTCTGGATGGCCAGAGCAGAAGAGTTCAGAGAGATATGCTCAGGCTGGCCCAGAAAAATGTAAACCTCCATGCATGAACTGCCTGTGGGGGCCAGAGGCAAGGACCTGTGGCATCTTCTAGAAGCTGAGAATGGCCCCTGGGTAAAAGCCAGCAGGAAAATGGAGAGTGCACAACTACTACTGAGAAAAAAATGAACTTTTCCAACAACCAGTGAGGTTGAAAGCACTCCATTTGAAAACCACGCCCCTGTAGACACCTACATTTCAGCCTGATCAGCCCCTGAGCAGAGATCCCAGCCCTGCCATTCCTGGACTTCCAACCTACAGAAACTGTTAGATAATAAATTTGTGTTGTTTGAAGCCACTGAGTTTGTGGTAACTTTTTATGCTGCAATAGAACACTGATGCAAGCACTTTCTCCCACTATTTCTCTCATCCATCATCTCATTTTATATGTTATATTGATAAGGTGCTAATTACTAGTAACAGTTGCCCTCCTCAGACTTCTAAAATTATCTAATACAAGAGTTTCCTTTCACTTCTTTCAGCAGTAGATCAATGGAGTCCATATTAATACCTTACTAGCATTTAGAACTCGTGGGCCTATAACCTAAAAGACTAAAAATTGGTCAAAATTGAAATCTAGAAGATGAAGAATAGTGTGAAAAATGGAACACACATGTTTTGACCAGAAGCATTAGCATGAATGAGTAATCTCTGAGAGATGAGTAAGAACAAAAATATTTTTTAAAGTAGTATGTAAGAAATTAACCATAGAATTTGTTTCAACAGGGGTATAGAGAAAATTTAATAGATTTTTAAAAGCTTTAAACCAATCTGTGTGTTACAGAAGCAATAAATGGGGAAGCAAAGAACAATGGTCTGATACCAAAAGAACCCCACAGGCCAGTCTAGAAGTTCTTCAGCAGGAGATCATTGTCTTGGATGCATGGGTGGAGCCATGCTGCAGATCCTTTGTCTCTGTTGCGCAGATTGCATAATTGGTCCACTTAACTCTCCCTGACTTTGCCGGGTCCTCACGCTTCTGTCACCACCTATGCAGGCTGCTTTGTATTTCTTCATCATTGTTATGTTCAACATGAGGCCACCGTTCAAAAACATTATAAATAGGATTTGATAACAAACTTTCTAACTGCAATGAAAATAACGTCCAGGGTTTCAAGCACACACATCCTCTATATTAAAATGAGGTCTGAGTTGAGAAAAGCTGTATTTTGTGAGGGTCTGAGTTGAGAAAAGCACTCACAGGTGCTGGCTGAATGCTTGAGGATTTATAGAAGTAGAAAATTCTGCAGACCTTTGTGTGCTGTGCCAGCGGGGGTCAGGAAAGTTCTGAGAAATGACCTAATTAAATCAGTACATAATAGGAGAATAAAAATGCCTCACAGGCCTAAAGACACAATGAGTCTTTGACCAGATGCAGACTTTCACTGCATTTAAAGAAAGTACAGCTAAAGAAAGAAGTGGTCAGCAGGAAAAACAGCAAATGACAGCCAGACCCTCACTGTGTACCCACAGCTGGTTACATGAGAGAAAATATATCTGGGAGGTGAGAGTATTCTCAGTGAGAAGATGAAATTTCACAGGTGGCAGAGTTATTTCAAGATTTTCTAGACTTTGGAGAAACTATTTCCCCAAACTAATATCCCTTTCCTGAATTTTTATGAGGAAGGTATTATGGATAAATAACTGGAACATTGCAAGTTCTTTTTTGTTTGTTTGTTTGGGTTTTTTGTTTTTTGTTTTTTTGTTTGTTTGTTTTGTTTGTTTTTTTTGAGACAGAGTCTCGCTCTGTCGCCCAGGCGGTAGTGCAGTGGCGAGATCTCGGCTCACTGCAACCTCCAACTCCTGGGTTCAATTCTCCTACCTCAGCTTCCCGAGTAGCTGGGATTACCAGCACCCGCCATCATGCTCAGATAATGTTTGCATTTTTAGTTTACATTTTAGACAGGACCATGATCTCTCCTGTTTAAAATTTCCACTGAAAGCTCTCCTCCTAACTGCAGCTGATCTGGCCACAGTGGTTTCCATAGCAGTTGGTTTTCACAGCCACTGCAGAATTCACCTTCTACATCTTCTCATCTCTTCTTAAAACAAACTCTACATTGGTAAACGGCTGATTTCTGTGGGGGTATTGTCCTTACAAGCTTTTCATAAAACATCAATAATTTCTACATTATTCCACTCAAGCTTCACCATAAATTTAATGTTTGTTCTTGCTGCAACTTTAGCGGAATTCATGTTGCTCTGATAGGAGATGTTTTCAGTGGATGTCTCATCCTTCTTTATGCCTCAAACTACGTCTAGTTCAGAAAGGTTGTAAAAAGTTACTACAAGTTTATTTTAGTGCAAACAAACTGAAATCCATGAATAGTTTTTTAACCATGTGCATTTTCTATGAATTTTTTGAAGACCCCCAGTATTCAACATTGCCCATGTCCTGGGACAGAAGTGGATGTGGTCCACTTCCTGTCCTCCAATTGCCCACAGTGGAAGAGTGCACAGAGCAGGGAAACGCAACCCCAGAGAGATCCTGCCCGCCAGCATGCAGCGGACTGCTGCACCAGTCCTGGGTCCGTGGGATGTTGTCTGGGCCCGAACAAGTTGAACAACCTCCATGAACCTCATTTTACTCCTAAGTAGCCCAGTTCCAGTAGCCATTATAGGACTGCTGTGCAGGCACAGTAAATTAACTCAGGAAAAGCAACCTAGCTCCAAGGTTAGCAACCAGGAGATCCAGTTGCTTCCATTAGCAGACCCTCTGAGGCATTCCGAAGCTGGAGTCTGGTGGAAGATGAGATTTAGTGTGATTAGAATAAAGTACCAACGTAATCAAGAAGAAGCCCCACCCACTCTGACCCATGCCTATATAAAGGCGATGCGCGACCACCGCGACACTGATTGAAGCCGCCAGTGGGGAGAGGAGCAGAGCCAGGCCGGTGCTCCCGAAGGCAGCAAGATGTTGCGAGCCACAGCTCCCTGCTGGTTCCCACCTGGATACCCAGAAGCTAAGAAGGTGGCCGAGGAGGCGGCCCTCGAGGCTCCAGAATTCCCACTGCCCTCTCATCAGCCTGCCCAGAGCTTCGGGCTCTGGGTGCCCCAGATGCACAAGCAGGCCTCAGCATTTGTGGACATCCAGGCGGAGCCCCAGAACAGGGGTCCGGCGGTGCCCCCAGCGTGGCCCAAGATGGTGACGGAGTCGTGCTACTTCCCTGCGCAGAGGGGATCGGCCTGCCGCTTGCCAGCCGCCCCAAGGCTGACAGAGAGGCCCTCGGGAGTCCGCATCTCAGCCCCCAGGAAGAGGAAGACGATCGCCCACTCTTCCAGCCCTTGCTTGGTCACAGGTTACACAGATGCCAAGAGAACCCGGGTGGCCAGCAGCAGCCAACGCTCCCGTGGCTCCAAGGTCGGCAGACAGCCAGGGAAGACGCGCAACAGGTCAGGGATGGCATGCAAGACCACCGCCACCACCAGCTCTAAGCGAATCGTCCGTCGTGCATCCTTACCGAGTTTGAGTTTGAAGAAACCCATTATCCTCCGAAGCTCTGGGTGCCAAGTCCCCACCGTCCTCCGCCGAGGCTATCTCCAACTGTTCACCGAAGAGTGTCTCAAGTTCTGCGCCTCCAAGCAGGAGGCCGAGGAGAAGGCGCTGAACGAGGAGAAGGTGGCCTACGACTGCAGCCCCAACAAGAACAGGTACCTGAACGTGGTCCTGAACACCCTCAAGAGACTGAAGGGCCTGACCCCCAGCTCCATGCCCGGCCTCAGCAGGGCCGCCCTGTACAGCCGCCTCCAGGAGTTCCTGCTCACCCAGGACCAGCTCAAGGAGAACGGCTACCCCTTCCCGCACCCCGAGCGGCCCGGAGGCGCCGTCCTCTTCACTGGCCAGGGGAAGGGGCCCGGCGACTCCTCCTGCAGGGTCTGCTGCCGTTGTGGCACCGAGTACCTGGTGTCCTCCTCGGGCCGCTGTGTACGCGACCAGTTGTGTTATTATCACTGGGGGCGGGTCCGCTCGAGCCAGGTGGCTGGAGGCCGGGTTAGCCAGTACACCTGCTGTGCAGCTGCTCCTGGCTCTGTGGGCTGCCAGGTGGCAAAGCAGCACGTGCGGGACGGCCGCAAGGAGAGCCTCGATGGCTTCGTGGAGACCTTCAAGAAAGAGTTGTCCAGAGACGCTTATCCAGGAATCTACGCCTTGGACTGTGAGATGTGCTACACCACGCATGGCCTAGAGCTGACCCGCGTCACCGTGGTGGACGCCGACATGCGAGTGGTGTACGACACCTTCGTCAAGCCCGACAACGAGATCGTGGACTACAACACCAGGTTTTCCGGAGTCACCGAGGCCGACGTCGCCAAGACGAGCATCACGTTGCCCCAAGTCCAAGCCATCCTGCTGAGCTTTTTCAGCGCCCAAACCATCCTCATCGGGCACAGCCTGGAGAGCGACCTGCTGGCCCTGAAGCTCATCCACAGCACCGTGGTGGACACGGCCGTGCTCTTCCCGCACTACCTGGGTTTCCCCTACAAGCGCTCCCTCAGGAATCTCGCGGCCGACTACCTGGCACAGATCATCCAGGACAGCCAGGACGGCCACAACTCCAGCGAGGACGCAAACGCCTGCCTGCAGCTGGTGATGTGGAAGGTCCGACAGCGCGCCCAGATCCAGCCACGCCACCGGTCCGCCTCTCCCGCCGCCCTGGCCTGTCCTTAGCCCCAGGCCTCTTCCAAAACCGCCATCAGTCCCGAGAGCTCACCCTGCCCACCTCGCCGCAAAGCGAAAGAAACTGGAGCAGCCGGCGGCAGGAGAGGGCAAAAAGCCAAGAGTAACCCCAACCCCCCACTCCCGGTCCCCCGGAATCCCTGCCGCGGCCCCTCGGGCCTGTCCACATCCCTCTGCCCCTCCCAGACCTCTGTCCTTCCACCAATCGCCTCCCGCAGCCCCGAGCCGCCACTCCCAGTCCCCCGAGTCCCTGCCGCGCGCCCTCGCGCCTGTCCACATCCCTCTGCCCATCCGAGACCTCTGTCCTTACACCACTAGCCACCCCACGTGGGACTTCCATGGCTTCTGAGTACAAGGCCAGCCCCCCGGCCCACCAGCTTTCGGAATGCCTGCTTACCTCTTTTTCTGTAGAGGCACCACAGGGAGGTGGGTGAAGCACTTCGGCTCTGGAGTTACAGATCTGGGTTCAAGGCCAAATTCCACCACTTACTAGGTTTGTAATATTGGACAGATAACGTCTTTGCGCTTCTACCTTTTGGTCTTTAAAGTGTGATCAAAAGAGACTTAGACTCCCACATAGTAATAATAATAATAATGGCAAACTTAACACCCCACTGTCAACATTAGACACACCAACGAGACAGAAAGTTAAAAAAGGATATCCGGGAATTGAGCTCAGCTCTGCACCAAGCGGACCTAGGAGACATCTACAGAACGCTCCACCCCAAATCAACAGAATATACATTCTTCTCAGCACCACATCACACTTATTTCCACATTGACCACATAGTTGGAAGTAAAGCACTCCTCAGTAAAAGTAAAATAACAGAAATTATTACAAACGGTCTCTCAGACCACATTGCAATCACACTAGACCTCAGGATTGAGAAACTCACTCAAAACCGCACAACTGCATGGAAACCGGACAAGCTGTTCCTGAATGAGTACTGGGTACATAACGAAATGAAGGCAGAAATAAAGATATTCTCTGAAAGCAATGAGAACAAAGACACAACATACCAGAATCTCTGGGACACATTTAAAGCAGTGTGTAGAGGGAAATTTATAGCACTAAATGCCCACAAGGGAAAGGAGGAAAGATCAAAAATGCATACCCTAACATCACCATTAAAAGGATGAGAGAAGCAAGAGCAAACACATTCAAAAGCTAGCAGAAGGCAAGAAATAACTAAGATCCGAGCAGAATTGAAGGAGATAGAGACCCAAAAAACCCTTCAAAAAATCAATGAATCCAGGAGCGGGTTTTTTGAAACCATCAACAAAATTGATAGACCACTAGCAAGACTATTAAAGAATGAAAGGAAGAAGAATCAAGCAGATGCAATAAAAAATGATAAAGGGGATATCACCACTGATCCCACAGAAGTACAAACTACCATGAGAGAATACTGTCAACACCTCTAGGCAAACAAACTCGGAAATCTAGAAGAAATGAATAAATTCCTGGACACATGCAACCTCCCCAGAGTAAACCAGGAAGAAGTTGAATGCCTGAATAGACCAATAACAGGCTCTGAAATTGAGGCAATAATTAATAGCCTATCAAGCAATAAAACTCCAGGACCAGACGGATTCACAGCCGAATTCTACCAGAAGTACAAGGAGGAGCTGGTACCATTCCTTCGGAAACTATTCCAATCAACAGAAAAAGAGGGAATCCTCCCTATCTCATTTTATGAGGCCAGCATCATCCTGATCCCAAAGGCTGAGAGAGACACAACCAACAAAGAGAATTTTCGGCCCATATCCCTGAGGAACACCGATGGAAAAATCCTCCATAAAATGCTGGCAAACCGAATCCAGCAGCACATCAAAGAGCTTATCCATTATGATCAAGTGGGCTTCATCCCTGACATGCAAGGCTGGTCCAACATATGCAAATCAATAAACATAATCCAGCATATAATCGGAACCAAAGACAGAAACCGCGTGATTATCTCAACAGATGCAGAAAAGGCCTTTGACAAAATTCAACAGCCTTTCATGCCAAAAACTCTCAATAAATTAGGTACTGATGGGACATACCTCAAAATAATAAGGGCTATTTAGGGCAAACCCACAGCCAATATCATACTGAATGGGCAAAAAGTGGAAGCATTCCCTTTGCAAACTGCCACAAGACAGGGGTGCCCTCTCTCACCACTCCTATTCAACATAGTGTTGGAACTTCTGGCCAGGGCAATCAGGCAGGAGAAAGAAATAAAGAGTAATCAATTAGGAAAAGAGGAAGTCAAATTGTCCCTGTTTGTAGATGACATGATTGAATATTTAGAAAAACCCATCGTCTCAGCCCAAAATCTCCTTAAGCTGATAAGCAACTTCAGCAAAGTCTCAGGATACAAAATCGATGTGCAAAAATCACAAGCATTCTCATACACCAATAACAGGCAAACAGAGAGCCAAATCATGACTGAGCTCCCATTCACAATTGCTTCAAAGAGAATAAAATACTGAGGAATCCAACTAACAAGGGATGCGATGTGCGAAGGACCTCTTCAAGGAGAACTACAAACCACTGCTCCACGAAATAAAAGAGGACACAAACCAATGGAAGAATATTCCATGCTCACGGTTAGGAAGAATCAGTATCGTGAAAATGGCCATACTGCCCAAGGTATATTATAGATCCAATGCCATCCCCATCAAGCTACCAAGGACTTTCTTCACAGAATTGGAAAAAACTACTTGAAAGTTTACATGGAACCACAAAAGGGCCCCCACTGCCAAGATAATCCTAAGCCAAAAGAACAAAGTTGGAGGCATCAAGCTACCCGACTTCAAACTACACTACAAGCCTACAGTAACCAAACAGCATGCTGTTGGCTGCCTTTTTGGTTACTGTAGACCAATGGAACAGAATAGAGCCCTCAGAAATAATACGACACATCTACAACCATCGGATCTTTGACAAACCTGACAAAAACAAGAAATGGGGAAAGGATTCCCTATTTAATAAATGGTGCTGGGAAAACTGGCTAGCCATATGTCCGAAGGTGAAATTGGATCCCTTCCTTACACCTTATACAAAAGTTTATTCAAGACGGATGAAAGACTTAAATGTTACATCTTAAGCCATACAAACCCTAGGAGAAAACCTAGGCAATACCATTCAGGACATAGGCATGGGCAAGGACCTCATGTCTAAAACGCCAAAAGCAAAGGCAACAAAAGCCAATATTGACAAACGGCATCTAATTACACTAAAGAGTTTCTGCACAGCTAAAGAAACTCCCATCAGAGTGAACAGGCATGCTACAGAAAGGGAGAAAATTTTTGCAATCTACTCATCTGACAAAGGGCTAATATCCAGAATCTACTAAGAACTCAAACAGAGTTACAAGAAAAACCAAACAACCCCATCAACAAGTGCAGGAAGGATATGAAGAGACACTTCTAAAAAGAAGACATTTATGCAGCCAACAGACACATGAAAAAATGCTCATCAACACTGGTCATCAGAGAAATGCAAATCAAATCCGCAAAGAGATATCGTCTCACACCAGTTAGAATAGCGATCAATAAAAAAGTCAGGAAACAACAGGTGCTGGAGAGGTAGTGGAGAAATAGGGACACTTTTAAACTGCTGGTGGGACTGTAAACCAGTTCAGCGGTTGTGGAAGATAGTGTGGCGAATCCTCAAGGATCTAGAATTAGAAATACCATTTGACCCAGCCGTCCCATTACTGGGTATACACCCATAGGACTATAAATCATGCTGCTAAAAGGACACACGCAGACGTATGTTTATTGCGGCACCGTTCACAGTAGCAAAGACTTGGAACCAGCCCAGATGTCCATCAATGATAGACTGGATTAAGGAAACGTGGCACAAATACACCGTGGAATACTATGCAGCCATAAAAAAGCATGTGTTCATGCCCTTCGGAGGGACACGGATGAAGCTGGAAACCATCATTCTTAGCAAACTATCGCAAGGACAAAAAAACCAAACACCGCGTGATCCCACTCATAGGTGGGAATTGAACTAGGAGAACACTTGGACGCAGAAAGGGGAACATCACACACCGGGGCCTGTCATGGGCGGGGGGAGGGGGAGGGATAACATTAAGAGATATACCTAATGTAAATGACTAGTGAATGGGTGCAGCACACCAACATGGCACGTGCTTACATACGTAATAAACCTGCACGTTGTGCACATGTACCCTAGTAATTAAAGTATAATTTAAAAAAAAATGGAAAACGAAAGTGTGATCCTAATGTCATGGTGCGGACTGAATGAAGCAGCACATGGCAAGCCTTAAAACGATCGCACATAGTAGGTGTTCAATTAATGTTAACTATATTTCTTTTCTATAATAGTTTATAAAGGGAATTCATGAACACTATGTGATTAATCCTTGGAACAACCCAACAGGTAGGTAAATAAAGCCTAATTTTATACCTAAAGAAACCAAGCAGCTTAACTTGCCCAAAATAATAATGATTGTAATGAGCACTGGCTGTTGGTTTCTTATGTACTTGGTACTTTGCACGTATTAACCCAGTCAGTCCTCCTAATAGTTGTGAGAGAGATAGCATTCTTATCCCCATTTTACAGATGAGGAACCTGAAGCCCAGGTGATAAGTAGTTTATCCAAGGTATCATAGCTAGAAGTCGGGTGCAGGCAGTCTGGCTCCAGAGCCCCTGCTCTGTCCGCTGACCTAGCTGACTTCCCAAGAGTCAAAGTGGATTCTTCCCCAAGACCAACCAATTACAATGACTGAATCAGTCAGTCAACTTCGAACTGGGCTCCAAGAGAGAACGAACCATCATGCCTCTCTAAATCCTCATTTCTAGTTTGAATCTTCAAGGAGAGATAGACACTAAGTAGCTAGTTTTGCTGGAATGGCTGATTTTATCAATGTTTTCGGTGTGTGAGTGTGTGTGTGTGTATATGTATAGAACTAAATTAAACTGATAATTTGAATGCTTACACTTCCATTAGTTCAATTTGTGTATGTGAGCCCTCACACACATACATACACACACACAAACTGTTCCAGAACAGTGACTTAGTGAAAAACTGGATTTCCACTCTGTCAGACAAATTTCGGAAAGCACTGAAGTAGGGCATTTCTGATTGATTTTACCGTTCCCGGAATTTTATTTTCCTTTATCACTTAGACCCCTTCTGTGGGGATTTAATAAATAAACGTCTTTTGTAGTGTATGTTATTTCATTTTATTTTTATAATTTATATGAATTTTAATTTTAACTTGACAAATAAAAATTATATATATTTATGGCATACAACATGATGTTTCATATGTGTATACATTGTGGAATGACAAAATCAAGCTAATTAACACACTCGTTTCCTCACATACTGATTTTAATGTGATGAGGACATGTCTAAAATCTACTCTTATAGCAATTTTCAAGTATACAATACATACTTATACACTGTAGATGCCAGGCTGTTCAATAGATCTCTAGAACCATTCCTCTCTGAAATTTTGTATCATGAGACTATCATCTCTCCAGTCCCTCCCTGACCCCTGCCTCGGGTAACCACCGTTCTGCTCTCTACAGCTATGAGTTGCATTGTTTGAGATTGCACATATAAGTGAGATCATGCAGTATTTGTCTTTTTGTGCTTGCTTTTTAAATCTTTATTATGTAATTATTTATTTTTTGAGACAGGGTCTCAGTCTGTCACCCAGGCTGGAGTACAGTGACACAAACACGGCTCACTCACCACGGCCTCCACCTCCCGGGGTCGAGAGTTCCTCCCGCTTCAGCCTCCTGAATAGCTAGGACTACAGGCGTCCAACGCCACACTTGGCTAATTTTTGTGTTTCTTTTAGAGATGGGGTTTCACCATGTTGCCCAGGTTCATCTCCAACTCCTGGGCTCAACGCTTCCACCTGCCTTGGCCTCCCAAAGTACTGGGATTACAGGCATGAGCCACCGTGCCTGGCCTTTGCTTTCTTTCACTCAGTGTACCATCCTCTAGGCTCATTCGTGTTGCCAATGAGATGATTTCTTTCATTTTTAAGGCTGAATTGTGTTCTATTGGGTATATGTACCGCTTTTCTTTTTATGTTTAATTTTTTTTGGTTTTTTGAGACAGAGTTTCGCTCGCGTCGCCCAGGCTGGAGTGCAGTGGCGTGATTTCGAGTCACTACAACCTCTGCCTCCCAGGTTGAAGTGATTCTCCTGCCTCACCTGAGATTAGAGGCATGTACCGGCATGTCCGGCTAATTTTGTGTTTCTAGTAGAGATGGGGTTTCACCATGTTGGCCAGGCTGGTCTTGAACTCCAACAATTCTAATTCAACTAATTTATTTTATAGAAATATTTATGTGTGAGAAACAATATTTTCAAGAGTCAAAGATTTAAAACTGCTTAATTGTACATCACTAAGTGGCTGGCTAATAAATTATAGTACGTTCATCCTTACGGAAGAATACTTTGCAGCTAAAACAGAACGAAAGAGAGGAAACTCTTCAAAATGTTAACTGGGAATGACGTTCAAGACTTATTGTTAAATAAAACAAATTGAGAAGAAGAGTCGTTTATTGGTACTAAATTTGTGTCAGTAAAAATGGATTCTATACGTGGGATGGTTTATAAGTATGTGGAAAAATTCTTTGATGGTTTTTCCTTGAAAAAGTGAAACCTAAATCCACTCCGTTTGGATGTGGGCCTATTTACGGTTGTTGCTTCCTAAACATAAACTACGTTTAGGCTGATATTTCAGACAATAAAACCTTTGTGTGCCCGTAGCGGGAAGATCTCGGTTGCTGAGTGCAGGGAAGGAGGATGTAATTCCATCATATATACTCTCTGTGCCTACCGCATTTGGAACCATGCGAGTGATACCTATTTATAAAATAAAATAAACCAAGCAAAAGTACGAACTTAGCAACACTATATTGAGTTAATAGAACGGTATCTTGTATTTCTTCTGTCCAGGTATACTTATAAATGCCTGCAGGGATTTCACCACCTCAGGGTGGAGAGACTGAATGCTTGTGAGGGAATTAGGATGGTGGAATATTGGTGTTACCAGGGAAGGGGGCGGGATGTTTGAAAATGCTATGTTTACTCGTTCTTGGGTTCCAATAAAGGAGAAACAGGGCACAGGAGTCGGAAGGACTAGTGGCAATAGTGATGAAAGGACCTCCTTATCATGCTGGCTATGTTAATTACCCTGGTGTAGGAAGCCATACACTGAGGCGGAAGATCGCAAGTCAGAGTGGCCGGCAGGCACAACCTCCTGGCACACCAGAGGCAGGTCTTCAATACCCACTGGTTTCCCCAACAGGCTGCGTAAGGGACCCTGAGCCACAGTGAGTTGGTCAAATGCTCCTGACAGTGTGGAGAAACCAACAGGCAAAACGTGGGTGCAAAAGTGATGAGACCCCACACTTTACACTCGTGGTGACAATGAAGCTATTAAGTAACAGCTTCTCAACCTATGCTGTTTCCTGTTGGATGCACATAATCCATTTGCACTGCAGACAATTTTAGGATGTGGTTTACAGTAAGGTGGATGGTACCTTATGGCAAAAATCTCTCAGAAATTTATGTGTGGTTTTAAAGTCATTCCAGTCCTAGCACGTTGTGCTTTTCAGAGACGCCATAGCTGTTTTTCCCTTTGTAATATCAAAGCAGTAATATGTTCTCTGGAGGCCTGTTGGGTGAATTTAATGGAATCAAGTTAAGTAGGTGCCAGAACCATTGCTGTTTTCCCTCCATAGCCCTGCCACCCACTGTAAAAAGGTTGATGAGATTACTTAATGATTTCCAATTAAGTTGTATTTCCAAATATCATGATTTCCATTTTAATGTAGTTGGTATGGAGCTCTGTGAGTGTGTGCTTCTTTTATTATGGATCACGTTCAGCTTCTTTTTATTTGCCTCCTAGTCATAATAGTAAAACTCTACTCCTCTACTCCGAGGAGTCCCTACCACCCATCTCATCACTTTCCAGCCCAGCACTCTTCATGCTCATTCATTTAAAGCATTCAACATTGTGTAAATGAATCTTGGAAGGCAAAAGCTACTGAATTTAGCGAATTTGTGGAGGCATTGCCACAAATCAGCCAGGTGAAGTTTCACACAATCGAAGACTGCACAACTCCTAGAAGGCAGCACTATGCTGCAAACCCAGACGGCCACTCTTCTCACCCCTCGTCCGTTTGCTGTTCTGGATAATGAGGTTCAAAAGTCACCTAGGCAACTGCCAAAATAGCTGAAATGGAGAAAGGGCTTCAGGCTGGTGACTAGCAGAGGTCCACCTGACCCCCGTAAGCTGCTGAAGAAGTAGGGCTGCCAGAAATGTCCCACTAGGGAATTTGGTAGAGACGAAGACATGCTCACCGGACAAGGGTTCCTCCCAGGATACGCCCGAGCGGAAGAAGCGGGCTCTGAGCCACGCCCTTTCACCCTCCTCTACCCCGCCCTGGGCTGGTGAAGGTGCACGCCAGGATGTGGACTACTGAGCCCTCAAGAAATAAGTCCTTCCACTTTGACCCCATGGAGGATTGCCTGTGAGGAACTTAAACGAGTCTACCAGTGTCTAGACACGGGGGCAGGTCTGTCCGGCACAGCAGCTCCCTCAAGGAGGAGAAGAGTGAGGAGAAAGGAAACTCAAGTCTCACCATTCTGTCCTGGGAGAGAAGAGGAGGATCTCATCTCTCATCTGTCCAAACAAGGCAAGGAGACTTTCTCTCATCTTTCCAAGCAAGGCAAGGAGACTTTTTATCATTAGGAAACAAAAAGAATTTAGAAGGAATGAAAGCAGCCCGTAAGGTGAATTCCTAAGGACTGCCCATTGAAACTGACAAAATTGCCCTTGTTTGATGAGAGGAATGAGCAGAGAATTGATGTGGTGAACAAGGATCTAGTGAGACTTTCCCAGCATGTTTCTACCAAAGCTTTATCTAAGCTTCTCAGAACACTCTCCTAATAAGCAGATGTTTGGCCTTTCAGAAAGTCAACAAGCAAAATGCCTTGAGTGTCCCAAAACACTGATGCCATGATGTGGGCTCCTGACTGGCCTCCTTTTCCTTTGACTGGACCACTGCCACCTCTTGGTAGCCATCGCTTTCATGATGCTTTGCCTTCGAGATCATATTGGTGAAGCCATGTTCCAACTGCCGCTTACAATTTGTCAGAGGGATGCGTCAGGATCGTGATCCCTCCTGCTTAAAATTTCCACTGATAGCTCTCGTCGTAACTGCAGCTGATCTGGGCACAGTGGTTTTCACAGCCACTGAAGGATTCATCTTCCACATCTTCTCACCTCTTCTTGAAACAAGCTATACATTCGTAAAGAGTTCATTTCTTTGGGGTAGTGTCCTTACAAGCTTTTCTTAAAACGTCAATGATTTCTTCAATCTTCCACCCAAGCTTCACCATAAATTTGATGTTTCCTCTTGCTGCAATTTTCGTGGAATTCATGTTGCTCTGATGGGAGTCCTTTTCAGTGGATGTCTCATCCTTCTTAGTGCCTCAAACTAGATCTAGTTCAGAAAGGTTATCAGAAGTTAGGACAAGTTTATTTTAGTGCAAACCAGTGGAAATCCATGCATAGTTTCTTCACCATGTGCATTTTCTATGAACCTTTGGAAGACCACCTGTGTTGAACATTGCCCAAGTCCTGGGAGAGAAGTGGGTGCGGTCCGCTTCCTGTCCTCAATTTGCCCGCAGCGGCGGAGTGCACAGAGCAGGGAAAGGCAGCCCCAGAGGGATCCCGCCCTCCAGCATGCAGCAGACTGCTGGCCCAGTCCTGGCTCCAAGGGGTGCTGTGTGGGCCCAAGCAAGTTGACCAACCTCCCTGAACCTTAATTTAATCCTAGGTAGCCCAATTCCAGTAGCCATTATAGGACTGCCTTGCAGGGACAGTTACTTAACTCAGGAAAAGCAACCTAGCTCCAAGTTTAGCAACCGGGAGTTCCAGTTGATTCCATTAGCGCACCCCCTGAGGCATTCCCAAGCTGGAGTCTGGTGGAAGATGAGGCTCAGTGTGATTGGACTGAAGCACCAACCTATCAAGGAGAAGTCCCACCCAGTCTGCCCTGTGCCTATATAAAGGCGACAAGTGGCGGCCGCAGCACTCATTGAAGCCGCCAGTTGGGAGAGGAGCAGAGCCAGGCCGGTGCTCCCGAAGGCAGCAAGATGTTGCGAGCCACAGCTCCCTGCTGGTTCCCCCCTGGATACCCAGAAGCTAAGAAGGTGGCCGAGGAGGCGGCCCTGGAGGCAAGCCGCCATTTGGGAGGGGAGCAGAGCCAGGCCGGTGCTCCCGAAGGCAGCAAGATGTTGCGAGCCACAGCTCCCTGCTGGTTCCGCCCTGGATACCCAGAAGCTAAGAAGGTGGCCAAGGAGGCGGCCCCGGAGGCAAGCCGCCATTTGGGAGCGGAGCAGAGCCCGGCCGGTGCTCCCGAAGGCAGCAAGATGTTGCGAGCCACAGCTCCCTGCTGGTTCCCACCTGGATACCCAGAAGCTAAGAAGGTGGCCGAGGAGGCGGCCCTCGAGGCTCCAGAATTCCCACTGCCCTCTCATCAGCCTGCCCAGAGCTTCGGGCTCTGGGTGCCCCAGATGCACAAGCAGGCCTCAGCATTTGTGGACATCCAGGCGGAGCCCCAGAACAGGGGTCCGGCGGTGCCCCCAGCGTGGCCCAAGATGGTGACGGAGTCGTGCTACTTCCCTGCACAGAGGGGATCGGCCTGCCGCTTGCCAGCCACCCCAAGGCTGACAGAGAGGCCCTCGGGAGTCCGCATCTCAGCCCCCAGGAAGAGGAAGACGATCGCCCACTCTTCCAGCCCTTGCTTGGTCACAGGTTACACAGATGCCAAGAGAACCCGGGTGGCCAGCAGCAGCCAACGCTCCCGTGGCTCCAAGGTCGGCAGACAGCCAGGGAAGACGCGCAACAGGTCAGGGATGGCATGCAAGACCACCGCCACCACCAGCTCTAAGCGAATCGTCCGTCGTGCATCCTTACCGAGTTTGAGTTTGAAGAAACCCATTATCCTCCGAAGCTCTGGGTGCCAAGTCCCCACCGTCCTCCGCCGAGGCTATCTCCAACTGTTCACCGAAGAGTGTCTCAAGTTCTGCGCCTCCAAGCAGGAGGCCGAGGAGAAGGCGCTGAACGAGGAGAAGGTGGCCTACGACTGCAGCCCCAACAAGAACAGGTACCTGAACGTGGTCCTGAACACCCTCAAGAGACTGAAGGGCCTGACCCCCAGCTCCATGCCCGGCCTCAGCAGGGCCGCCCTGTACAGCCGCCTCCAGGAGTTCCTGCTCACCCAGGACCAGCTCAAGGAGAACGGCTACCCCTTCCCGCACCCCGAGCGGCCCGGAGGCGCCGTCCTCTTCACTGGCCAGGGGAAGGGGCCCGGCGACTCCTCCTGCAGGGTCTGCTGCCGTTGTGGCACCGAGTACCTGGTGTCCTCCTCGGGCCGCTGTGTACGCGACCAGTTGTGTTATCACTGGGGGCGGGTCCGCTCGAGCCAGGTGGCTGGAGGCCGGGTTAGCCAGTACACCTGCTGTGCAGCTGCTCCTGGCTCTGTGGGCTGCCAGGTGGCAAAGCAGCACGTGCGGGACGGCCGCAAGGAGAGCCTCGATGGCTTCGTGGAGACCTTCAAGAAAGAGTTGTCCAGAGACGCTTATCCAGGAATCTACGCCTTGGACTGTGAGATGTGCTACACCACGCATGGCCTAGAGCTGACCCGCGTCACCGTGGTGGACGCCGACATGCGAGTGGTGTACGACACCTTCGTCAAGCCCGACAACGAGATCGTGGACTACAACACCAGGTTTTCCGGAGTCACCGAGGCCGACGTCGCCAAGACGAGCATCACGTTGCCCCAAGTCCAAGCCATCCTGCTGAGCTTTTTCAGCGCCCAAACCATCCTCATCGGGCACAGCCTGGAGAGCGACCTGCTGGCCCTGAAGCTCATCCACAGCACCGTGGTGGACACGGCCGTGCTCTTCCCGCACTACCTGGGTTTCCCCTACAAGCGCTCCCTCAGGAATCTCGCGGCCGACTACCTGGCACAGATCATCCAGGACAGCCAGGACGGCCACAACTCCAGCGAGGACGCAAACGCCTGCCTGCAGCTGGTGATGTGGAAGGTCCGACAGCGCGCCCAGATCCAGCCACGCCACCGGTCCGCCTCTCCCGCCGCCCTGGCCTGTCCTTAGCCCCAGGCCTCTTCCAAAACCGCCATCAGTCCCGAGAGCTCACCCTGCCCACCTCGCCGCAAAGCGAAAGAAACTGGAGCAGCCGGCGGCAGGAGAGGGCAAAAAGCCAAGAGTAACCCCAACCCCCCACTCCCGGTCCCCCGGAATCCCTGCCGCGGCCCCTCGGGCCTGTCCACATCCCTCTGCCCCTCCCAGACCTCTGTCCTTCCACCAATCGCCTCCCGCAGCCCCGAGCCGCCACTCCCAGTCCCCCGAGTCCCTGCCGCGCGCCCTCGCGCCTGTCCACATCCCTCTGCCCATCCGAGACCTCTGTCCTTACACCACTAGCCACCCCACGTGGGACTTCCATGGCTTCTGAGTACAAGGCCAGCCCCCCGGCCCACCAGCTTTCGGAATGCCTGCTTACCTCTTTTTCTGTAGAGGCACCACAGGGAGGTGGGTGAAGCACTTCGGCTCTGGAGTTACAGATCTGGGTTCAAGGCCAAATTCCACCACTTACTAGGTTTGTAATATTGGACAGATAACGTCTTTGCGCTTCTACCTTTTGGTCTTTAAAGTGTGATCAAAAGAGACTTAGACTCCCACATAGTAATAATAATAATAATGGCAAACTTAACACCCCACTGTCAACATTAGACACACCAACGAGACAGAAAGTTAAAAAAGGATATCCGGGAATTGAGCTCAGCTCTGCACCAAGCGGACCTAGGAGACATCTACAGAACGCTCCACCCCAAATCAACAGAATATACATTCTTCTCAGCACCACATCACACTTATTTCCACATTGACCACATAGTTGGAAGTAAAGCACTCCTCAGTAAAAGTAAAATTACAGAAATTATTACAAACGGTCTCTCAGACCACATTGCAATCACACTAGACCTCAGGATTGAGAAAGTCACTCAAAACCGCTCAACTGCATGGAAACCGGACAAGCTGCTCCTGAATGAGTACTGGGTACATAACGAAATGAAGGCAGAAATAAAGATATTCTCTGAAAGCAATGAGAACAAAGACACAACATACCAGAATCTCTGGGACACATTTAAAGCAGTGTGTAGAGGGAAATTTATAGCACTAAATGCCCACAAGGGAAAGCAGGAAAGATCAAAAATGCATACCCTAACATCACCATTAAAAGGATGAGAGAAGCAAGAGCAAACACATTCAAAAGCTAGCAGAAGGCAAGAATTAACTAAGATCCGAGCAGAACTGAAGGAGATAGAGACCCAAAAAACCCTTCAAAAAATCAATGAATCCAGGAGCGGGTTTTTTGAAACCATCAACAAAATTGATAGACCACTAGCAAGACTATTAAAGAATGAAAGGAAGAAGAATCAAGCAGATGCAATAAAAAATGATAAAGGGGATATCACCACTGATCCCACAGAAGTACAAACTACCATGAGAGAATACTGTCAACACCTCTAGGCAAACAAACTCGGAAATCTAGAAGAAATGAATAAATTCCTGGACACATGCAACCTCCCCAGAGTAAACCAGGAAGAAGTTGAATGCCTGAATAGACCAATAACAGGCTCTGAAATTGAGGCAATAATTAATAGCCTATCAAGCAATAAAACTCCAGGACCAGACGGATTCACAGCCGAATTCTACCAGAAGTACAAGGAGGAGCTGGTACCATTCCTTCGGAAACTATTCCAATCAACAGAAAAAGAGGGAATCCTCCCTATCTCATTTTATGAGGCCAGCATCATCCTGATCCCAAAGGCTGAGAGAGACACAACCAACAAAGAGAATTTTCGGCCCATATCCCTGAGGAACACCGATGGAAAAATCCTCCATAAAATGCTGGCAAACCGAATCCAGCAGCACATCAAAGAGCTTATCCATTATGATCAAGTGGGCTTCATCCCTGACATGCAAGGCTGGTCCAACATATGCAAATCAATAAACATAATCCAGCATATAATCGGAACCAAAGACAGAAACCGCGTGATTATCTCAACAGATGCAGAAAAGGCCTTTGACAAAATTCAACAGCCTTTCATGCCAAAAACTCTCAATAAATTAGGTACTGATGGGACATACCTCAAAATAATAAGGGCTATTTAGGGCAAACCCACAGCCAATATCATACTGAATGGGCAAAAAGTGGAAGCATTCCCTTTGCAAACTGCCACAAGACAGGGGTGCCCTCTCTCACCACTCCTATTCAACATAGTGTTGGAACTTCTGGCCAGGGCAATCAGGCAGGAGAAAGAAACAAAGAGTAATCAATTAGGAAAAGAGGAAGTCAAATTGTCCCTGTTTGTAGATGACACGATTGAATATTTAGAAAACCCCATCGTCTCAGCCCAAAATCTCCTTAAGCTGATAAGCAACTTCAGCAAAGTCTCAGGATACAAAATCGATGTGCAAAAATCACAAGCATTCTCATACACCAATAACAGGCAAACAGAGAGCCAAATCATGACTGAGCTCCCATTCACAATTGCTTCAAAGAGAATAAAATACTGAGGAATCCAACTAACAAGGGATGCGATGTGCGAAGGACCTCTTCAAGGAGAACTACAAACCACTGCTCCACGAAATAAAAGAGGACACAAACCAATGGAAGAATATTCCATGCTCACGGTTAGGAAGAATCAGTATCGTGAAAATGGCCATACTGCCCAAGGTATATTATAGATCCAATGCCATCCCCATCAAGCTACCAAGGACTTTCTTCACAGAATTGGAAAAAACTACTTGAAAGTTTACATGGAACCACAAAAGGGCCCCCACTGCCAAGATAATCCTAAGCCAAAAGAACAAAGGTGGAGGCATCAAGCTACCCGACTTCAAACTACACTACAAGCCTACAGTAACCAAACAGCATGCTGTTGGTTGCCTTTTTGGTTACTGTAGACCAATGGAACAGAATAGAGCCCTCAGAAATAATACGACACATCTACAACCGTCGGATCTTTGACAAACCTGACAAAAACAAGAAATGGGGAAAGGATTCCCTATTTAATAAATGGTGCTGGGAAAACTGGCTAGCCATATGTCCGAAGGTGAAATTGGATCCCTTCCTTACACCTTATGCAAAAGTTTATTCAAGACGGATGAAAGACTTAAATGTTACATCTTAAGCCAAACAAACCCTAGGAGAAAACCTAGGCAATACCATTCAGGACATAGGCATGGGCAAGGACCTCATGTCTAAAACGCCAAAAGCAAAGGCAACAAAAGCCAATATTGACAAACGGCATCTAATTACACTAAAGAGTTTCTGCACAGCTAAAGAAACTCCCATCAGAGTGAACAGGCATGCTACAGAAAGGGAGAAAATTTTTGCAATCTACTCATCTGACAAAGGGCTAATATCCAGAATCTACTAAGAACTCAAACAGAGTTACAAGAAAAACCAAACAACCCCATCAACAAGTGCGGGAAGGATATGAAGAGACACTTCTAAAAAGAAGACATTTATGCAGCCAACAGACACATGAAAAAATGCTCATCAACACTGGTCATCAGAGAAATGCAAATCAAATCCGCAAAGAGATATCGTCTCACACCAGTTAGAATAGCGATCAATAAAAAAGTCAGGAAACAACAGGTGCTGGAGAGGTAGTGGAGAAATAGGGACACTTTTACACTGCTGGTGGGACTGTAAACCAGTTCAGCGGTTGTGGAAGATAGTGTGGCGAATCCTCAAGGATCTAGAATTAGAAATACCATTTGACCCAGCCGTCCCATTACTGGGTATACACCCATAGGACTATAAATCATGCTGCTAAAAGGACACACGCAGATGTATGTTTATTGCAGCACCGTTCACAGTAGCAAAGACTTGGAACCAGCCCAGATGTCCATCAATGATAGACTGGATTAAGGAAACGTGGCACAAATACACCATGGAATACTATGCAGCCATAAAAAAGCATGTGTTCATGCCCTTCGGAGGGACACGGATGAAGCTGGAAACCATCATTCTTAGCAAACTATCGCAAGGACAAAAAAACCAAACACCGCGTGATCCCACTCATAGGTGGGAATTGAACTAGGAGAACACTTGGACGCAGAAAGGGGAACATCACACACCGGGGCCTGTCATGGGCGGGGGGAGGGGGAGGGATAACATTAAGAGACATACCTAACGTAAATGACTAGTGAATGGGTGCAGCACACCAACATGGCACGTGCTTACATACGTAATAAACCTGCACGTTGTGCACATGTACCCTAGTAATTAAAGTATAATTTAAAAAAAAATGGAAAACGAAAGTGTGATCCTAATGTCATGGTGCGGACTGAATGAAGCAGCACATGGCAAGCCTTAAAACGATCGCACATAGTAGGTGTTCAATTAATGTTAACTATATTTCTTTTTTATAATAGTTTATAAAGGGAATTCATGAACACTATGTGATTAATCCTTGGAACAACCCAACAGGTAGGTAAATAAAGCCTAATTTTATACCTAAAGAAACCATGCGGCTTAACTTGCCCAAAATAATAATGATTGTAATGAGCACTGGCTGTTGGTTTCTTATGTACTTGGTACTTTGCACGTATTAACCCAGTCAGTCCTCCTAATAGTTGTGAGAGAGATAGCATTCTTATCCCCATTTTACAGATGAGGAACCTGAAGCCCAGGTGATAAGTAGTTTATCCAAGGTATCATAGCTAGAAGTCGGGTGCAGGCAGTCTGGCTCCAGAGCCCCTGCTCTGTCCGCTGACCTAGCTGACTTCCCAAGAGTCAAAGTGGATTCTTCCCCAAGACCAACCAATTACAATGACTGAATCAGTCAGTCAACTTCGAACTGGGCTCCAAGAGAGAACGAACCATCATGCCTCTCTAAATCCTCATTTCTAGTTTGAATCTTCAAGGAGAGATAGACACTAAGTAGCTAGTTTTGCTGGAATGGCTGATTTTATCAATGTTTTCGGTGTGTGAGTGTGTGTGTGTGTATATGTATAGAACTAAATTAAACTGATAATTTGAATGCTTACACTTCCATTAGTTCAATTTGTGTATGTGAGCCCTCACACACATACATACACACACACAAACTGTTCCAGAACAGTGACTTAGTGAAAAACTGGATTTCCACTCTGTCAGACAAATTTCGGAAAGCACTGAAGTAGGGCATTTCTGATTGATTTTACCGTTCCCGGAATTTTATTTTCCTTTATCACTTAGACCCCTTCTGTGGGGATTTAATAAATAAACGTCTTTTGTAGTGTATGTTATTTCATTTTACTTTTATAATTTATATGAATTTTAATTTTAACTTGACAAATAAAAATTATATATATTTATGGCATACAACATGATGTTTCATACGTGTATACATTGTGGAATGACAAAATCAAGCTAATTAACACACTCGTTTCCTCACATACTGATTTTAATGTGATGAGGACATGTCTAAAATCTACTCTTATAGCAATTTTCAAGTATACAATACATACTTATACACTGTAGATGCCAGGCTGTTCAATAGATCTCTAGAACCATTCCTCTCTGAAATTTTGTATCATGAGACTATCATCTCTCCAGTCCCTCCCTGACCCCTGCCTCGGGTAACCACCGTTCTGCTCTCTGCAGCTATGAGTTGCATTGTTTGAGATTGCACATATAAGTGAGATCATGCAGTATTTGTCTTTTTGTGCTTGCTTTTTAAATCTTTATTATGTAATTATTTATTTTTTGAGACAGGGTCTCAGTCTGTCACCCAGGCTGGAGTACAGTGACACAAACACGGCTCACTCACCCACCACGGCCTCCACCTCCCGGGGTCGAGAGTTCCTCCCGCTTCAGCCTCCTGAATAGCTAGGACTACAGGCGTCCAACGCCACACTTGGCTAATTTTTGTGTTTCTTTTAGAGATGGGGTTTCACCATGTTGCCCAGGTTCATCTCCAACTCCTGGGCTCAACGCTTCCACCTGCCTTGGCCTCCCAAAGTACTGGGATTACAGGCATGAGCCACCGTGCCTGGCCTTTGCTTTCTTTCACTCAGTGTACCATCCTCTAGGCTCATTCGTGTTGCCAATGAGATGATTTCTTTCTTTTTTAAGGCTGAATTGTGTTCTATTGGGTATATGTACCGCTTTTCTTTTTATGTTTAATTTTTTTTGGTTTTTTGAGACAGAGTTTCGCTCGCGTCGCCCAGGCTGGAGTGCAGTGGCGTGATTTCGAGTCACTACAACCTCTGCCTCCCAGGTTGAAGTGATTCTCCTGCCTCACCTGAGATTAGAGGCATGTACCGGCATGTCCGGCTAATTTTGTGTTTCTAGTAGAGATGGGGTTTCACCATGTTGGCCAGGCTGGTCTTGAACTCCAACAATTCTAATTCAACTAATTTATTTTATAGAAATATTTATGTGTGAGAAACAATATTTTCAAGAGTCAAAGATTTAAAACTGCTTAATTGTACATCACTAAGTGGCTGGCTAATAAATTATAGTACGTTCATCCTTACGGAAGAATACTTTGCAGCTAAAACAGAACGAAAGAGAGGAAACTCTTCAAAATGTTAACTGGGAATGACGTTCAAGACTTATTGTTAAATAAAACAAATTGAGAAGAAGAGTCGTTTATTGGTACTAAATTTGTGTCAGTAAAAATGGATTCTATACGTGGGATGGTTTATAAGTATGTGGAAAAATTCTTTGATGGTTTTTCCTTGAAAAAGTGAAACCTAAATCCACTCCGTTTGGATGTGGGCCTATTTACGGTTGTTGCTTCCTAAACATAAACTACGTTTAGGCTGATATTTCAGACAATGAAACCTTTGAGTGCCCGTAGCGGGAAGATCTCGGTTGCTGAGTGCAGGGAAGGAGGATGTAATTCCATCATATATACTCTCTGTGCCTACCGCATTTGGAACCATGCGAGTGATACGTATTTATAAAATAACATAAACCAAGCACAAGTACGAACTTAGCAACACTATATTGAGTTAATAGAACGGTATCTTGTATTTCTTCTGTCCAGGTATACTTATAAATGCCTGCAGGGATTTCACCACCTCAGGGTGGAGAGACTCAATGCTTGTGAGGGAATTAGGATGGTGGAATATTGGTGTTACCAGGGAAGGGGGCGGGATGTTTGAAAATGCTATGTTTACTCGTTCTTGGGTTCCAATAAAGGAGAAACAGGGCACAGGAGTCGGAAGGACTAGTGGCAATAGTGATGAAAGGACCTCCTTATCATGCTGGCTATGTTAATTACCCAGGTGTAGGAAGCCATACACTGAGGCGGAAGATCGCAAGTCAGAGTGGCCGGCAGGCACAACCTCCTGGCACACCAGAGGCAGGTCTTCAATACCCACTGGTTTCCCCAACAGGCTGCGTAAGGGACCCTGAGCCACAGTGAGTTGGTCAAATGCTCCTGACAGTGTGGAGAAACCAACAGGCAAAACGTGGGTGCAAAAGTGATGAGACCCCACACTTTACACTCGTGGTGACAATGAAGCTATTAAGTAACAGCTTCTCAACCTATGCTGTTTCCTGTTGGATGCACATAATCCATTTGCACTGCAGACAATTTTAGGATGTGGTTTACAGTAAGGTGGATGGTACCTTATGGCAAAAATCTCTCAGAAATTTATGTGTGGTTTTAAAGTCATTCCAGTCCTAGCACGTTGTGCTTTTCAGAGACGCCATAGCTGTTTTTCCCTTTGTAATATCAAAGCAGTAATATGTTCTCTGGAGGCCTGTTGGGTGAATTTAATGGAATCAAGTTAAGTAGGTGCCAGAACCATTGCTGTTTTCCCTCCATAGCCCTGCCACCCACTGTAAAAAGGTTGATGAGATTACTTAATGATTTCCAATTAAGTTGTATTTCCAAATATCATGATTTCCATTTTAATGTAGTTGGTATGGAGCTCTGTGAGTGTGTGCTTCTTTTATTATGGATCACGTTCAGCTTCTTTTTATTTGCCTCCTAGTCATAATAGTAAAACTCTACTCCTCTACTCCGAGGAGTCCCTACCACCCATCTCATCACTTTCCAGCCCAGCACTCTTCATGCTCATTCATTTAAAGCATTCAACATTGTGTAAATGAATCTTGGAAGGCAAAAGCTACTGAATTTAGCGAATTTGTGGAGGCATTGCCACAAATCAGCCAGGTGAAGTTTCACACAATCGAAGACTGCACAACTCCTAGAAGGCAGCACTATGCTGCAAACCCAGACGGCCACTCTTCTCACCCCTCGTCCGTTTGCTGTTCTGGATAATGAGGTTCAAAAGTCACCTAGGCAACTGCCAAAATAGCTGAAATGGAGAAAGGGCTTCAGGCTGGTGACTAGCAGAGGTCCACCTGACCCCCGTAAGCTGCTGAACAAGTAGGGCTGCCAGAAATGTCCCACTAGGGAATTTGGTAGAGACGAAGACATGCTCACCGGACAAGGGTTCCTCCCAGGATACGCCCGAGCGGAAGAAGCGGGCTCTGAGCCACGCCCTTTCACCCTCCTCTACCCCGCCCTGGGCTGGTGAAGGTGCGCGCCAGGATGTGGACTACTGAGCCCTGAAGAAATAAGTCCTTCCACTTTGACCCCATGGAGGATTGCCTGTGAGGAACTTAAACGAGTCTACCAGTGTCTAGACACGGGGGCAGGTCTGTCCGGCACAGCAGCTCCCTCAAGGAGGAGAAGAGTGAGGAGAAAGGAAACTCAAGTCTCACCATTCTGTCCTGGGAGAGAAGAGGAGGATCTCATCTCTCATCTGTCCAAACAAGGCAAGGAGACTTTCTCTCATCTTTCCAAGCAAGGCAAGGAGACTTTTTATCATTAGGAAACAAAAAGAATTTAGAAGGAATGAAAGCAGCCCGTAAGGTGAATTCCTAAGGACTGCCCATTGAAACTGACAAAATTGCCCTTGTTTGATGAGAGGAATGAGCAGAGCATTGATGTGGTGAACAAGGATCTAGTGAGACTTTCCCAGCATGTTTCTACCAAAGCTTTACCTAAGCTTCTCAGAACACTCTCCTAATAAGCAGATGTTTGGCCTTTCAGAAAGTCAACAAGCAAAATGCCTTGAGTGTCCCAAAACACTGATGCCATGATGTGGGCTCCTGACTGGCCTCCTTTTCCTTTGACTGGACCACTGCCACCTCTTGGTAGCCATCGCTTTCATGATGCTTTGCCTTCGAGATCATATTGGTGAAGCCATGTTCCAACTGCCGCTTACAATTTGTCAGAGGGATGCGTCAGGATCGTGATCCCTCCTGTTTAAAATTTCCACTGATAGCTCTCGTCGTAACTGCAGCTGATCTGGGCACAGTGGTTTTCACAGCCACTGCAGGATTCATCTTCCACATCTTCTCACCTCTTCTTGAAACAAGCTATACATTCGAAAAGAGTTCATTTCTTTGGGGTAGTGTCCTTACAAGCTTTTCTTAAAACGTCAATGATGTCTTCAATCTTCCACCCAAGCTTCACCATAAATTTGATGTTTCCTCTTGCTGCAATTTTCGTGGAATTCATGTTGCTCTGACGGGAGTCCTTTTCAGTGGATGTCTCATCCTTCTTAGTGCCTCAAACTAGATCTAGTTCAGAAAGGTTATCAGAAGTTAGGACAAGTTTATTTTAGTGCAAACCAGTGGAAATCCATGCATAGTTTCTTCACCATGTGCATTTTCTATGAACCTTTGGAAGACCACCTGTGTTGAACATTGCCCAAGTCCTGGGAGAGAAGTGGGTGCGGTCCGCTTCCTGTCCTCAATTTGCCCGCAGCGGCGGAGTGCACAGAGCAGGGAAAGGCAGCCCCAGAGGGATCCCGCCCTCCAGCATGCAGCAGACTGCTGGCCCAGTCCTGGCTCCAAGGGGTGCTGTGTGGGCCCAAGCAAGTTGACCAACCTCCCTGAACCTTAATTTAATCCTAGGTAGCCCAATTCCAGTAGCCATTATAGGACTGCCCTGCAGGGACAGTTACTTAACTCAGGAAAAGCAACCTAGCTCCAAGTTTAGCAACCGGGAGTTCCAGTTGATTCCATTAGCGCACCCCCTGAGGCATTCCCAAGCTGGAGTCTGGTGGAAGATGAGGCTCAGTGTGATTGGACTGAAGCACCAACCTATCAAGGAGAAGTCCCACCCAGTCTGCCCTGTGCCTATATAAAGGCGACAAGTGGCGGCCGCAGCACTCATTGAAGCCGCCAGTTGGGAGAGGAGCAGAGCCAGGCCGGTGCTCCCGAAGGCAGCAAGATGTTGCGAGCCACAGCTCCCTGCTGGTTCCCCCCTGGATACCCAGAAGCTAAGAAGGTGGCCGAGGAGGCGGCCCTGGAGGCAAGCCGCCATTTGGGAGGGGAGCAGAGCCAGGCCGGTGCTCCCGAAGGCAGCAAGATGTTGCGAGCCACAGCTCCCTGCTGGTTCCGCCCTGGATACCCAGAAGCTAAGAAGCTGGCCAAGGAGGCGGCCCCGGAGGCAAGCCGCCATTTGGGAGCGGAGCAGAGCCCGGCCGGTGCTCCCGAAGGCAGCAAGATGTTGCGAGCCACAGCTCCCTGCTGGTTCCCACCTGGATACCCAGAAGCTAAGAAGGTGGCCGAGGAGGCGGCCCTCGAGGCTCCAGAATTCCCACTGCCCTCTCATCAGCCTGCCCAGAGCTTCGGGCTCTGGGTGCCCCAGATGCACAAGCAGGCCTCAGCATTTGTGGACATCCAGGCGGAGCCCCAGAACAGGGGTCCGGCGGTGCCCCCAGCGTGGCCCAAGATGGTGACGGAGTCGTGCTACTTCCCTGCGCAGAGGGGATCGGCCTGCCGCTTGCCAGCCGCCCCAAGGCTGACAGAGAGGCCCTCGGGAGTCCGCATCTCAGCCCCCAGGAAGAGGAAGACGATCGCCCACTCTTCCAGCCCTTGCTTGGTCACAGGTTACACAGATGCCAAGAGAACCCGGGTGGCCAGCAGCAGCCAACGCTCCCGTGGCTCCAAGGTCGGCAGACAGCCAGGGAAGACGCGCAACAGGTCAGGGATGGCATGCAAGACCACCGCCACCACCAGCTCTAAGCGAATCGTCCGTCGTGCATCCTTACCGAGTTTGAGTTTGAAGAAACCCATTATCCTCCGAAGCTCTGGGTGCCAAGTCCCCACCGTCCTCCGCCGAGGCTATCTCCAACTGTTCACCGAAGAGTGTCTCAAGTTCTGCGCCTCCAAGCAGGAGGCCGAGGAGAAGGCGCTGAACGAGGAGAAGGTGGCCTACGACTGCAGCCCCAACAAGAACAGGTACCTGAACGTGGTCCTGAACACCCTCAAGAGACTGAAGGGCCTGACCCCCAGCTCCATGCCCGGCCTCAGCAGGGCCGCCCTGTACAGCCGCCTCCAGGAGTTCCTGCTCACCCAGGACCAGCTCAAGGAGAACGGCTACCCCTTCCCGCACCCCGAGCGGCCCGGAGGCGCCGTCCTCTTCACTGGCCAGGGGAAGGGGCCCGGCGACTCCTCCTGCAGGGTCTGCTGCCGTTGTGGCACCGAGTACCTGGTGTCCTCCTCGGGCCGCTGTGTACGCGACCAGTTGTGTTATTATCACTGGGGGCGGGTCCGCTCGAGCCAGGTGGCTGGAGGCCGGGTTAGCCAGTACACCTGCTGTGCAGCTGCTCCTGGCTCTGTGGGCTGCCAGGTGGCAAAGCAGCACGTGCGGGACGGCCGCAAGGAGAGCCTCGATGGCTTCGTGGAGACCTTCAAGAAAGAGTTGTCCAGAGACGCTTATCCAGGAATCTACGCCTTGGACTGTGAGATGTGCTACACCACGCATGGCCTAGAGCTGACCCGCGTCACCGTGGTGGACGCCGACATGCGAGTGGTGTACGACACCTTCGTCAAGCCCGACAACGAGATCGTGGACTACAACACCAGGTTTTCCGGAGTCACCGAGGCCGACGTCGCCAAGACGAGCATCACGTTGCCCCAAGTCCAAGCCATCCTGCTGAGCTTTTTCAGCGCCCAAACCATCCTCATCGGGCACAGCCTGGAGAGCGACCTGCTGGCCCTGAAGCTCATCCACAGCACCGTGGTGGACACGGCCGTGCTCTTCCCGCACTACCTGGGTTTCCCCTACAAGCGCTCCCTCAGGAATCTCGCGGCCGACTACCTGGCACAGATCATCCAGGACAGCCAGGACGGCCACAACTCCAGCGAGGACGCAAACGCCTGCCTGCAGCTGGTGATGTGGAAGGTCCGACAGCGCGCCCAGATCCAGCCACGCCACCGGTCCGCCTCTCCCGCCGCCCTGGCCTGTCCTTAGCCCCAGGCCTCTTCCAAAACCGCCATCAGTCCCGAGAGCTCACCCTGCCCACCTCGCCGCAAAGCGAAAGAAACTGGAGCAGCCGGCGGCAGGAGAGGGCAAAAAGCCAAGAGTAACCCCAACCCCCCACTCCCGGTCCCCCGGAATCCCTGCCGCGGCCCCTCGGGCCTGTCCACATCCCTCTGCCCCTCCCAGACCTCTGTCCTTCCACCAATCGCCTCCCGCAGCCCCGAGCCGCCACTCCCAGTCCCCCGAGTCCCTGCCGCGCGCCCTCGCGCCTGTCCACATCCCTCTGCCCATCCGAGACCTCTGTCCTTACACCACTAGCCACCCCACGTGGGACTTCCATGGCTTCTGAGTACAAGGCCAGCCCCCCGGCCCACCAGCTTTCGGAATGCCTGCTTACCTCTTTTTCTGTAGAGGCACCACAGGGAGGTGGGTGAAGCACTTCGGCTCTGGAGTTACAGATCTGGGTTCAAGGCCAAATTCCACCACTTACTAGGTTTGTAATATTGGACAGATAACGTCTTTGCGCTTCTACCTTTTGGTCTTTAAAGTGTGATCAAAAGAGACTTAGACTCCCACATAGTAATAATAATAATAATGGCAAACTTAACACCCCACTGTCAACATTAGACACACCAACGAGACAGAAAGTTAAAAAAGGATATCCGGGAATTGAGCTCAGCTCTGCACCAAGCGGACCTAGGAGACATCTACAGAACGCTCCACCCCAAATCAACAGAATATACATTCTTCTCAGCACCACATCACACTTATTTCCACATTGACCACATAGTTGGAAGTAAAGCACTCCTCAGTAAAAGTAAAATTACAGAAATTATTACAAACGGTCTCTCAGACCACATTGCAATCACACTAGACCTCAGGATTGAGAAAGTCACTCAAAACCGCTCAACTGCATGGAAACCGGACAAGCTGCTCCTGAATGAGTACTGGGTACATAACGAAATGAAGGCAGAAATAAAGATATTCTCTGAAAGCAATGAGAACAAAGACACAACATACCAGAATCTCTGGGACACATTTAAAGCAGTGTGTAGAGGGAAATTTATAGCACTAAATGCCCACAAGGGAAAGCAGGAAAGATCAAAAATGCATACCCTAACATCACCATTAAAAGGATGAGAGAAGCAAGAGCAAACACATTCAAAAGCTAGCAGAAGGCAAGAATTAACTAAGATCCGAGCAGAACTGAAGGAGATAGAGACCCAAAAAACCCTTCAAAAAATCAATGAATCCAGGAGCGGGTTTTTTGAAACCATCAACAAAATTGATAGACCACTAGCAAGACTATTAAAGAATGAAAGGAAGAAGAATCAAGCAGATGCAATAAAAAATGATAAAGGGGATATCACCACTGATCCCACAGAAGTACAAACTACCATGAGAGAATACTGTCAACACCTCTAGGCAAACAAACTCGGAAATCTAGAAGAAATGAATAAATTCCTGGACACATGCAACCTCCCCAGAGTAAACCAGGAAGAAGTTGAATGCCTGAATAGACCAATAACAGGCTCTGAAATTGAGGCAATAATTAATAGCCTATCAAGCAATAAAACTCCAGGACCAGACGGATTCACAGCCGAATTCTACCAGAAGTACAAGGAGGAGCTGGTACCATTCCTTCGGAAACTATTCCAATCAACAGAAAAAGAGGGAATCCTCCCTATCTCATTTTATGAGGCCAGCATCATCCTGATCCCAAAGGCTGAGAGAGACACAACCAACAAAGAGAATTTTCGGCCCATATCCCTGAGGAACACCGATGGAAAAATCCTCCATAAAATGCTGGCAAACCGAATCCAGCAGCACATCAAAGAGCTTATCCATTATGATCAAGTGGGCTTCATCCCTGACATGCAAGGCTGGTCCAACATATGCAAATCAATAAACATAATCCAGCATATAATCGGAACCAAAGACAGAAACCGCGTGATTATCTCAACAGATGCAGAAAAGGCCTTTGACAAAATTCAACAGCCTTTCATGCCAAAAACTCTCAATAAATTAGGTACTGATGGGACATACCTCAAAATAATAAGGGCTATTTAGGGCAAACCCACAGCCAATATCATACTGAATGGGCAAAAAGTGGAAGCATTCCCTTTGCAAACTGCCACAAGACAGGGGTGCCCTCTCTCACCACTCCTATTCAACATAGTGTTGGAACTTCTGGCCAGGGCAATCAGGCAGGAGAAAGAAATAAAGAGTAATCAATTAGGAAAAGAGGAAGTCAAATTGTCCCTGTTTGTAGATGACACGATTGAATATTTAGAAAACCCCATCGTCTCAGCCCAAAATCTCCTTAAGCTGATAAGCAACTTCAGCAAAGTCTCAGGATACAAAATCGATGTGCAAAAATCACAAGCATTCTCATACACCAATAACAGGCAAACAGAGAGCCAAATCATGACTGAGCTCCCATTCACAATTGCTTCAAAGAGAATAAAATACTGAGGAATCCAACTAACAAGGGATGCGATGTGCGAAGGACCTCTTCAAGGAGAACTACAAACCACTGCTCCACGAAATAAAAGAGGACACAAACCAATGGAAGAATATTCCATGCTCACGGTTAGGAAGAATCAGTATCGTGAAAATGGCCATACTGCCCAAGGTATATTATAGATCCAATGCCATCCCCATCAAGCTACCAAGGACTTTCTTCACAGAATTGGAAAAAACTACTTGAAAGTTTACATGGAACCACAAAAGGGCCCCCACTGCCAAGATAATCCTAAGCCAAAAGAACAAAGGTGGAGGCATCAAGCTACCCGACTTCAAACTACACTACAAGCCTACAGTAACCAAACAGCATGCTGTTGGTTGCCTTTTTGGTTACTGTAGACCAATGGAACAGAATAGAGCCCTCAGAAATAATACGACACATCTACAACCGTCGGATCTTTGACAAACCTGACAAAAACAAGAAATGGGGAAAGGATTCCCTATTTAATAAATGGTGCTGGGAAAACTGGCTAGCCATATGTCCGAAGGTGAAATTGGATCCCTTCCTTACACCTTATGCAAAAGTTTATTCAAGACGGATGAAAGACTTAAATGTTACATCTTAAGCCATACAAACCCTAGGAGAAAACCTAGGCAATACCATTCAGGACATAGGCATGGGCAAGGACCTCATGTCTAAAACGCCAAAAGCAAAGGCAACAAAAGCCAATATTGACAAACGGCATCTAATTACACTAAAGAGTTTCTGCACAGCTAAAGAAACTCCCATCAGAGTGAACAGGCATGCTACAGAAAGGGAGAAAATTTTTGCAATCTACTCATCTGACAAAGGGCTAATATCCAGAATCTACTAAGAACTCAAACAGAGTTACAAGAAAATCCAAACAACCCCATCAACAAGTGCGGGAAGGATATGAAGAGACACTTCTAAAAAGAAGACATTTATGCAGCCAACAGACACATGAAAAAATGCTCATCAACACTGGTCATCAGAGAAATGCAAATCAAATCCGCAAAGAGATATCGTCTCACACCAGTTACAATAGCGATCAATAAAAAAGTCAAGAAACAACAGGTGCTGGAGAGGTAGTGGAGAAATAGGGACACTTTTACACTGCTGGTGGGACTGTAAACCAGTTCAGCGGTTGTGGAAGATAGTGTGGCGAATCCTCAAGGATCTAGAATTAGAAATACCATTTGACCCAGCCGTCCCATTACTGGGTATACACCCATAGGACTATAAATCATGCTGCTAAAAGGACACACGCAGACGTATGTTTATTGCGGCACCGTTCACAGTAGCAAAGACTTGGAACCAGCCCAGATGTCCATCAATGATAGACTGGATTAAGGAAACGTGGCACAAATACACCGTGGAATACTATGCAGCCATAAAAAAGCATGTGTTCATGCCCTTCGGAGGGACACGGATGAAGCTGGAAACCATCATTCTTAGCAAACTATCGCAAGGACAAAAAAACCAAACACCGCGTGATCCCACTCATAGGTGGGAATTGAACTAGGAGAACACTTGGACGCAGAAAGGGGAACATCACACACCGGGGCCTGTCATGGGCGGGGGGAGGGGGAGGGATAACATTAAGAGATATACCTAATGTAAATGACTAGTGAATGGGTGCAGCACACCAACATGGCACGTGCTTACATACGTAATAAACCTGCACGTTGTGCACATGTACCCTAGTAATTAAAGTATAATTTAAAAAAAAATGGAAAACGAAAGTGTGATCCTAATGTCATGGTGCGGACTGAATGAAGCAGCACATGGCAAGCCTTAAAACGATCGCACATAGTAGGTGTTCAATTAATGTTAACTATATTTCTTTTCTATAATAGTTTATAAAGGGAATTCATGAACACTATGTGATTAATCCTTGGAACAACCCAACAGGTAGGTAAATAAAGCCTAATTTTATACCTAAAGAAACCATGCGGCTTAACTTGCCCAAAATAATAATGATTGTAATGAGCACTGGCTGTTGGTTTCTTATGTACTTGGTACTTTGCACGTATTAACCCAGTCTGTCCTCCTAACAGTTGTGAGAGAGATAGCATTCTTATCCCCATTTTACAGATGAGGAACCTGAAGCCCAGGTGATAAGTAGTTTATCCAAGGTATCATAGCTAGAAGTCGGGTGCAGGCAGTCTGGCTCCAGAGCCCCTGCTCTGTCCGCTGACCTAGCTGACTTCCCAAGAGTCAAAGTGGATTCTTCCCCAAGACCAACCAATTACAATGACTGAATCAGTCAGTCAACTTCGAACTGGGCTCCAAGAGAGAACGAACCATCATGCCTCTCTAAATCCTCATTTCTAGTTTGAATCTTCAAGGAGAGATAGACACTAAGTAGCTAGTTTTGCTGGAATGGCTGATTTTATCAATGTTTTCGGTGTGTGAGTGTGTGTGTGTGTATATGTATAGAACTAAATTAAACTGATAATTTGAATGCTTACACTTCCATTAGTTCAATTTGTGTATGTGAGCCCTGACACACATACATACACACACACAAACTGTTCCAGAACAGTGACTTAGTGAAAAACTGGATTTCCACTCTGTCAGACAAATTTCGGAAAGCACTGAAGTAGGGCATTTCTGATTGATTTTACCGTTCCCGGAATTTTATTTTCCTTTATCACTTAGACCCTTTCTGTGGGGATTTAATAAATAAACGTCTTTTGTAGTGTATGTTATTTCATTTTATTTTTATAATTTATATGAATTTTAATTTTAACTTGACAAATAAAAATTATATATATTTATGGCATACAACATGATGTTTCATACGTGTATACATTGTGGAATGACAAAATCAAGCTAATTAACACACTCGTTTCCTCACATACTGATTTTAATGTGATGAGGACATGTCTAAAATCTACTCTTATAGCAATTTTCAAGTATACAATACATACTTATACACTGTAGATGCCAGGCTGTTCAATAGATCTCTAGAACCATTCCTCTCTGAAATTTTGTATCATGAGACTATCATCTCTCCAGTCCCTCCCTGACCCCTGCCTCGGGTAACCACCGTTCTGCTCTCTACAGCTATGAGTTGCATTGTTTGAGATTGCACATATAAGTGAGATCATGCAGTATTTGTCTTTTTGTGCTTGCTTTTTAAATTTTATTATGTAATTATTTATTTTTTGAGACAGGGTCTCAGTCTGTCACCCAGGCTGGAGTACAGTGACACAAACACGGCTCACTCACCCACCACGGCCTCCACCTCCCGGGGTCGAGAGTTCCTCCCGCTTCAGCCTCCTGAATAGCTAGGACTACAGGCGTCCAACGCCACACTTGGCTAATTTTTGTGTTTCTTTTAGAGATGGGGTTTCACCATGTTGCCCAGGTTCATCTCCAACTCCTGGGCTCAACGCTTCCACCTGCCTTGGCCTCCCAAAGTACTGGGATTACAGGCATGAGCCACCGTGCCTGGCCTTTGCTTTCTTTCACTCAGTGTACCATCCTCTAGGCTCATTCGTGTTGCCAATGAGATGATTTCTTTCTTTTTTAAGGCTGAATTGTGTTCTATTGGGAATATGTACCGCTTTTCTTTTTATGTTTAATTTTTTTTGGTTTTTTGAGACAGAGTTTCGCTCGCGTCGCCCAGGCTGGAGTGCAGTGGCGTGATTTCGAGTCACTACAACCTCTGCCTCCCAGGTTGAAGTGATTCTCCTGCCTCACCTGAGATTAGAGGCATGTACCGGCATGTCCGGCTAATTTTGTGTTTCTAGTAGAGATGGGGTTTCACCATGTTGGCCAGGCTGGTCTTGAACTCCAACAATTCTAATTCAACTAATTTATTTTATAGAAATATTTATGTGTGAGAAACAATATTTTCAAGAGTCAAAGATTTAAAACTGCTTAATTGTACATCACTAAGTGGCTGGCTAATAAATTATAGTACGTTCATCCTTACGGAAGAATACTTTGCAGCTAAAACAGAACGAAAGAGAGGAAACTCTTCAAAATGTTAACTGGGAATGACGTTCAAGACTTATTGTTAAATAAAACAAATTGAGAAGAAGAGTCGTTTATTGGTACTAAATTTGTGTCAGTAAAAATGGATTCTATACGTGGGATGGTTTATAAGTATGTGGAAAAATTCTTTGATGGTTTTTCCTTGAAAAAGTGAAACCTAAATCCACTCCGTTTGGATGTGGGCCTATTTACGGTTGTTGCTTCCTAAACATAAACTACGTTTAGGCTGATATTTCAGACAATGAAACCTTTCAGTGCCCGTAGCGGGAAGATCTCGGTTGCTGAGTGCAGGGAAGGAGGATGTAATTCCATCATATATACTCTCTGTGCCTACCGCATTTGGAACCATGCGAGTGATACGTATTTATAAAATAACATAAACCAAGCACAAGTACGAACTTAGCAACACTATATTGAGTTAATAGAACGGTATCTTGTATTTCTTCTGTCCAGGTATACTTATAAATGCCTGCAGGGATTTCACCACCTCAGGGTGGAGAGACTCAATGCTTGTGAGGCAATTAGGATGGTGGAATATTGGTGTTACCAGGGAAGGGGGCGGGATGTTTGAAAATGCTATGTTTACTCGTTCTTGGGTTCCAATAAAGGAGAAACAGGGCACAGGAGTCGGAAGGACTAGTGGCAATAGTGATGAAAGGACCTCCTTATCATGCTGGCTATGTTAATTACCCAGGTGTAGGAAGCCATACACTGAGGCGGAAGATCGCAAGTCAGAGTGGCCGGCAGGCACAACCTCCTGGCACACCAGAGGCAGGTCTTCAATACCCACTGGTTTCCCCAACAGGCTGCGTAAGGGACCCTGAGCCACAGTGAGTTGGTCAAATGCTCCTGACAGTGTGGAGAAACCAACAGGCAAAACGTGGGTGCAAAAGTGATGAGACCCCACACTTTACACTCGTGGTGACAATGAAGCTATTAAGTAACAGCTTCTCAACCTATGCTGTTTCCTGTTGGATGCACATAATCCATTTGCACTGCAGACAATTTTAGGATGTGGTTTACAGTAAGGTGGATGGTACCTTATGGCAAAAATCTCTCAGAAATTTATGTGTGGTTTTAAAGTCATTCCAGTCCTAGCACGTTGTGCTTTTCAGAGACGCCATAGCTGTTTTTCCCTTTGTAATATCAAAGCAGTAATATGTTCTCTGGAGGCCTGTTGGGTGAATTTAATGGAATCAAGTTAAGTAGGTGCCAGAACCATTGCTGTTTTCCCTCCATAGCCCTGCCACCCACTGTAAAAAGGTTGATGAGATTACTTAATGATTTCCAATTAAGTTGTATTTCCAAATATCATGATTTCCATTTTAATGTAGTTGGTATGGAGCTCTGTGAGTGTGTGCTTCTTTTATTATGGATCACGTTCAGCTTCTTTTTATTTGCCTCCTAGTCATAATAGTAAAACTCTACTCCTCTACTCCGAGGAGTCCCTACCACCCATCTCATCACTTTCCAGCCCAGCACTCTTCATGCTCATTCATTTAAAGCATTCAACATTGTGTAAATGAATCTTGGAAGGCCAAAGCTACTGAATTTAGCGAATTTGTGGAGGCATTGCCACAAATCAGCCAGGTGAAGTTTCACACAATCGAAGACTGCACAACTCCTAGAAGGCAGCACTATGCTGCAAACCCAGACGGCCACTCTTCTCACCCCTCGTCCGTTTGCTGTTCTGGATAATGAGGTTCAAAAGCAACCTAGGCAACTGCCAAAATAGCTGAAATGGAGAAAGGGCTTCAGGCTGGTGACTAGCAGAGGTCCACCTGACCCCCGTAAGCTGCTGAACAAGTAGGGCTGCCAGAAATGTCCCACTAGGGAATTTGGTAGAGACGAAGACATGCTCACCGGACAAGGGTTCCTCCCAGGATACGCCCGAGCGGAAGAAGCGGGCTCTGAGCCACGCCCTTTCACCCTCCTCTACCCCGCCCTGGGCTGGTGAAGGTGCGCGCCAGGATGTGGACTACTGAGCCCTGAAGAAATAAGTCCTTCCACTTTGACCCCATGGAGGATTGCCTGTGAGGAACTTAAACGAGTCTACCAGTGTCTAGACACGGGGGCAGGTCTGTCCGGCACAGCAGCTCCCTCAAGGAGGAGAAGAGTGAGGAGAAAGGAAACTCAAGTCTCACCATTCTGTCCTGGGAGAGAAGAGGAGGATCTCATCTCTCATCTGTCCAAACAAGGCAAGGAGACTTTCTCTCATCTTTCCAAGCAAGGCAAGGAGACTTTTTATCATTAGGAAACAAAAAGAATTTAGAAGGAATGAAAGCAGCCCGTAAGGTGAATTCCTAAGGACTGCCCATTGAAACTGACAAAATTGCCCTTGTTTGATGAGAGGAATGAGCAGAGCATTGATGTGGTGAACAAGGATCTAGTGAGACTTTCCCAGCATGTTTCTACCAAAGCTTTATCTAAGCTTCTCAGAACACTCTCCTAATAAGCAGATGTTTGGCCTTTCAGAAAGTCAACAAGCAAAATGCCTTGAGTGTCCCAAAACACTGATGCCATGATGTGGGCTCCTGACTGGCCTCCTTTTCCTTTGACTGGACCACTGCCACCTCTTGGTAGCCATCGCTTTCATGATGCTTTGCCTTGGCGATCATATTGGTGAAGCCATGTTCCAACTGCCGCTTACAATTTGTCAGAGGGATGCGTCAGGATCGTGATCCCTCCTGTTTAAAATTTCCACTGATAGCTCTCGTCGTAACTGCAGCTGATCTGGGCACAGTGGTTTTCACAGCCACTGCAGGATTCATCTTCCACATCTTCTCACCTCTTCTTGAAACAAGCTATACATTCGTAAAGAGTTCATTTCTTTGGGGTAGTGTCCTTACAAGCTTTTCTTAAAACGTCAATGATTTCTTCAATCTTCCACCCAAGCTTCACCATAAATTTGATGTTTCCTCTTGCTGCAATTTTCGTGGAATTCATGTTGCTCTGATGGGAGTCCTTTTCAGTGGATGTCTCATCCTTCTTAGTGCCTCAAACTAGATCTAGTTCAGAAAGGTTATCAGAAGTTAGGACAAGTTTATTTTAGTGCAAACCAGTGGAAATCCATGCATAGTTTCTTCACCATGTGCATTTTCTATGAACCTTTGGAAGACCACCTGTGTTGAACATTGCCCAAGTCCTGGGAGAGAAGTGGGTGCGGTCCGCTTCCTGTCCTCAATTTGCCCGCAGCGGCGGAGTGCACAGAGCAGGGAAAGGCAGCCCCAGAGGGATCCCGCCCTCCAGCATGCAGCAGACTGCTGGCCCAGTCCTGGCTCCAAGGAGTGCTGTGTGGGCCCAAGCAAGTTGACCAACCTCCCTGAACCTTAATTTAATCCTAGGTAGCCCAATTCCAGTAGCCATTATAGGACTGCCCTGCAGGGACAGTTACTTAACTCAGGAAAAGCAACCTAGCTCCAAGTTTAGCAACCGGGAGTTCCAGTTGATTCCATTAGCGCACCCCCTGAGGCATTCCCAAGCTGGAGTCTGGTGGAAGATGAGGCTCAGTGTGATTGGACTGAAGCACCAACCTATCAAGGAGAAGTCCCACCCAGTCTGCCCTGTGCCTATATAAAGGCGACAAGTGGCGGCCGCAGCACTCATTGAAGCCGCCAGTTGGGAGAGGAGCAGAGCCAGGCCGGTGCTCCCGAAGGCAGCAAGATGTTGCGAGCCACAGCTCCCTGCTGGTTCCCCCCTGGATACCCAGAAGCTAAGAAGGTGGCCGAGGAGGCGGCCCTGGAGGCAAGCCGCCATTTGGGAGGGGAGCAGAGCCAGGCCGGTGCTCCCGAAGGCAGCAAGATGTTGCGAGCCACAGCTCCCTGCTGGTTCCGCCCTGGATACCCAGAAGCTAAGAAGGTGGCCAAGGAGGCGGCCCCGGAGGCAAGCCGCCATTTGGGAGCGGAGCAGAGCCCGGCCGGTGCTCCCGAAGGCAGCAAGATGTTGCGAGCCACAGCTCCCTGCTGGTTCCCACCTGGATACCCAGAAGCTAAGAAGGTGGCCGAGGAGGCGGCCCTCGAGGCTCCAGAATTCCCACTGCCCTCTCATCAGCCTGCCCAGAGCTTCGGGCTCTGGGTGCCCCAGATGCACAAGCAGGCCTCAGCATTTGTGGACATCCAGGCGGAGCCCCAGAACAGGGGTCCGGCGGTGCCCCCAGCGTGGCCCAAGATGGTGACGGAGTCGTGCTACTTCCCTGCGCAGAGGGGATCGGCCTGCCGCTTGCCAGCCGCCCCAAGGCTGACAGAGAGGCCCTCGGGAGTCCGCATCTCAGCCCCCAGGAAGAGGAAGACGATCGCCCACTCTTCCAGCCCTTGCTTGGTCACAGGTTACACAGATGCCAAGAGAACCCGGGTGGCCAGCAGCAGCCAACGCTCCCGTGGCTCCAAGGTCGGCAGACAGCCAGGGAAGACGCGCAACAGGTCAGGGATGGCATGCAAGACCACCGCCACCACCAGCTCTAAGCGAATCGTCCGTCGTGCATCCTTACCGAGTTTGAGTTTGAAGAAACCCATTATCCTCCGAAGCTCTGGGTGCCAAGTCCCCACCGTCCTCCGCCGAGGCTATCTCCAGCTGTTCACCGAAGAGTGTCTCAAGTTCTGCGCCTCCAAGCAGGAGGCCGAGGAGAAGGCGCTGAACGAGGAGAAGGTGGCCTACGACTGCAGCCCCAACAAGAACAGGTACCTGAACGTGGTCCTGAACACCCTCAAGAGACTGAAGGGCCTGACCCCCAGCTCCATGCCCGGCCTCAGCAGGGCCGCCCTGTACAGCCGCCTCCAGGAGTTCCTGCTCACCCAGGACCAGCTCAAGGAGAACGGCTACCCCTTCCCGCACCCCGAGCGGCCCGGAGGCGCCGTCCTCTTCACTGGCCAGGGGAAGGGGCCCGGCGACTCCTCCTGCAGGGTCTGCTGCCGTTGTGGCACCGAGTACCTGGTGTCCTCCTCGGGCCGCTGTGTACGCGACCAGTTGTGTTATTATCACTGGGGGCGGGTCCGCTCGAGCCAGGTGGCTGGAGGCCGGGTTAGCCAGTACACCTGCTGTGCAGCTGCTCCTGGCTCTGTGGGCTGCCAGGTGGCAAAGCAGCACGTGCGGGACGGCCGCAAGGAGAGCCTCGATGGCTTCGTGGAGACCTTCAAGAAAGAGTTGTCCAGAGACGCTTATCCAGGAATCTACGCCTTGGACTGTGAGATGTGCTACACCACGCATGGCCTAGAGCTGACCCGCGTCACCGTGGTGGACGCCGACATGCGAGTGGTGTACGACACCTTCGTCAAGCCCGACAACGAGATCGTGGACTACAACACCAGGTTTTCCGGAGTCACCGAGGCCGACGTCGCCAAGACGAGCATCACGTTGCCCCAAGTCCAAGCCATCCTGCTGAGCTTTTTCAGCGCCCAAACCATCCTCATCGGGCACAGCCTGGAGAGCGACCTGCTGGCCCTGAAGCTCATCCACAGCACCGTGGTGGACACGGCCGTGCTCTTCCCGCACTACCTGGGTTTCCCCTACAAGCGCTCCCTCAGGAATCTCGCGGCCGACTACCTGGCACAGATCATCCAGGACAGCCAGGACGGCCACAACTCCAGCGAGGACGCAAACGCCTGCCTGCAGCTGGTGATGTGGAAGGTCCGACAGCGCGCCCAGATCCAGCCACGCCACCGGTCCGCCTCTCCCGCCGCCCTGGCCTGTCCTTAGCCCCAGGCCTCTTCCAAAACCGCCATCAGTCCCGAGAGCTCACCCTGCCCACCTCGCCGCAAAGCGAAAGAAACTGGAGCAGCCGGCGGCAGGAGAGGGCAAAAAGCCAAGAGTAACCCCAACCCCCCACTCCCGGTCCCCCGGAATCCCTGCCGCGGCCCCTCGGGCCTGTCCACATCCCTCTGCCCCTCCCAGACCTCTGTCCTTCCACCAATCGCCTCCCGCAGCCCCGAGCCGCCACTCCCAGTCCCCCGAGTCCCTGCCGCGCGCCCTCGCGCCTGTCCACATCCCTCTGCCCATCCGAGACCTCTGTCCTTACACCACTAGCCACCCCACGTGGGACTTCCATGGCTTCTGAGTACAAGGCCAGCCCCCCGGCCCACCAGCTTTCGGAATGCCTGCTTACCTCTTTTTCTGTAGAGGCACCACAGGGAGGTGGGTGAAGCACTTCGGCTCTGGAGTTACAGATCTGGGTTCAAGGCCAAATTCCACCACTTACTAGGTTTGTAATATTGGACAGATAACGTCTTTGCGCTTCTACCTTTTGGTCTTTAAAGTGTGATCAAAAGAGACTTAGACTCCCACATAGTAATAATAATAATAATGGCAAACTTAACACCCCACTGTCAACATTAGACACACCAACGAGACAGAAAGTTAAAAAAGGATATCCGGGAATTGAGCTCAGCTCTGCACCAAGCGGACCTAGGAGACATCTACAGAACGCTCCACCCCAAATCAACAGAATATACATTCTTCTCAGCACCACATCACACTTATTTCCACATTGACCACATAGTTGGAAGTAAAGCACTCCTCAGTAAAAGTAAAATAACAGAAATTATTACAAACGGTCTCTCAGACCACATTGCAATCACACTAGACCTCAGGATTGAGAAACTCACTCAAAACCGCACAACTGCATGGAAACCGGACAAGCTGTTCCTGAATGAGTACTGGGTACATAACGAAATGAAGGCAGAAATAAAGATATTCTCTGAAAGCAATGAGAACAAAGACACAACATACCAGAATCTCTGGGACACATTTAAAGCAGTGTGTAGAGGGAAATTTATAGCACTAAATGCCCACAAGGGAAAGGAGGAAAGATCAAAAATGCATACCCTAACATCACCATTAAAAGGATGAGAGAAGCAAGAGCAAACACATTCAAAAGCTAGCAGAAGGCAAGAAATAACTAAGATCCGAGCAGAATTGAAGGAGATAGAGACCCAAAAAACCCTTCAAAAAATCAATGAATCCAGGAGCGGGTTTTTTGAAACCATCAACAAAATTGATAGACCACTAGCAAGACTATTAAAGAATGAAAGGAAGAAGAATCAAGCAGATGCAATAAAAAATGATAAAGGGGATATCACCACTGATCCCACAGAAGTACAAACTACCATGAGAGAATACTGTCAACACCTCTAGGCAAACAAACTCGGAAATCTAGAAGAAATGAATAAATTCCTGGACACATGCAACCTCCCCAGAGTAAACCAGGAAGAAGTTGAATGCCTGAATAGACCAATAACAGGCTCTGAAATTGAGGCAATAATTAATAGCCTATCAAGCAATAAAACTCCAGGACCAGACGGATTCACAGCCGAATTCTACCAGAAGTACAAGGAGGAGCTGGTACCATTCCTTCGGAAACTATTCCAATCAACAGAAAAAGAGGGAATCCTCCCTATCTCATTTTATGAGGCCAGCATCATCCTGATCCCAAAGGCTGAGAGAGACACAACCAACAAAGAGAATTTTCGGCCCATATCCCTGAGGAACACCGATGGAAAAATCCTCCATAAAATGCTGGCAAACCGAATCCAGCAGCACATCAAAGAGCTTATCCATTATGATCAAGTGGGCTTCATCCCTGACATGCAAGGCTGGTCCAACATATGCAAATCAATAAACATAATCCAGCATATAATCGGAACCAAAGACAGAAACCGCGTGATTATCTCAACAGATGCAGAAAAGGCCTTTGACAAAATTCAACAGCCTTTCATGCCAAAAACTCTCAATAAATTAGGTACTGATGGGACATACCTCAAAATAATAAGGGCTATTTAGGGCAAACCCACAGCCAATATCATACTGAATGGGCAAAAAGTGGAAGCATTCCCTTTGCAAACTGCCACAAGACAGGGGTGCCCTCTCTCACCACTCCTATTCAACATAGTGTTGGAACTTCTGGCCAGGGCAATCAGGCAGGAGAAAGAAATAAAGAGTAATCAATTAGGAAAAGAGGAAGTCAAATTGTCCCTGTTTGTAGATGACATGATTGAATATTTAGAAAAACCCATCGTCTCAGCCCAAAATCTCCTTAAGCTGATAAGCAACTTCAGCAAAGTCTCAGGATACAAAATCGATGTGCAAAAATCACAAGCATTCTTATACACCAATAACAGGCAAACAGAGAGCCAAATCATGACTGAGCTCCCATTCACAATTGCTTCAAAGAGAATAAAATACTGAGGAATCCAACTAACAAGGGATGCGATGTGCGAAGGACCTCTTCAAGGAGAACTACAAACCACTGCTCCACGAAATAAAAGAGGACACAAACCAATGGAAGAATATTCCATGCTCACGGTTAGGAAGAATCAGTATCGTGAAAATGGCCATACTGCCCAAGGTATATTATAGATCCAATGCCATCCCCATCAAGCTACCAAGGACTTTCTTCACAGAATTGGAAAAAACTACTTGAAAGTTTACATGGAACCACAAAAGGGCCCCCACTGCCAAGATAATCCTAAGCCAAAAGAACAAAGTTGGAGGCATCAAGCTACCCGACTTCAAACTACACTACAAGCCTACAGTAACCAAACAGCATGCTGTTGGCTGCCTTTTTGGTTACTGTAGACCAATGGAACAGAATAGAGCCCTCAGAAATAATACGACACATCTACAACCATCGGATCTTTGACAAACCTGACAAAAACAAGAAATGGGGAAAGGATTCCCTATTTAATAAATGGTGCTGGGAAAACTGGCTAGCCATATGTCCGAAGGTGAAATTGGATCCCTTCCTTACACCTTATACAAAAGTTTATTCAAGACGGATGAAAGACTTAAATGTTACATCTTAAGCCATACAAACCCTAGGAGAAAACCTAGGCAATACCATTCAGGACATAGGCATGGGCAAGGACCTCATGTCTAAAACGCCAAAAGCAAAGGCAACAAAAGCCAATATTGACAAACGGCATCTAATTACACTAAAGAGTTTCTGCACAGCTAAAGAAACTCCCATCAGAGTGAACAGGCATGCTACAGAAAGGGAGAAAATTTTTGCAATCTACTCATCTGACAAAGGGCTAATATCCAGAATCTACTAAGAACTCAAACAGAGTTACAAGAAAAACCAAACAACCCCATCAACAAGTGCAGGAAGGATATGAAGAGACACTTCTAAAAAGAAGACATTTATGCAGCCAACAGACACATGAAAAAATGCTCATCAACACTGGTCATCAGAGAAATGCAAATCAAATCCGCAAAGAGATATCGTCTCACACCAGTTAGAATAGCGATCAATAAAAAAGTCAGGAAACAACAGGTGCTGGAGAGGTAGTGGAGAAATAGGGACACTTTTAAACTGCTGGTGGGACTGTAAACCAGTTCAGCGGTTGTGGAAGATAGTGTGGCGAATCCTCAAGGATCTAGAATTAGAAATACCATTTGACCCAGCCGTCCCATTACTGGGTATACACCCATAGGACTATAAATCATGCTGCTAAAAGGACACACGCAGACGTATGTTTATTGCGGCACCGTTCACAGTAGCAAAGACTTGGAACCAGCCCAGATGTCCATCAATGATAGACTGGATTAAGGAAACGTGGCACAAATACACCGTGGAATACTATGCAGCCATAAAAAAGCATGTGTTCATGCCCTTCGGAGGGACACGGATGAAGCTGGAAACCATCATTCTTAGCAAACTATCGCAAGGACAAAAAAACCAAACACCGCGTGATCCCACTCATAGGTGGGAATTGAACTAGGAGAACACTTGGACGCAGAAAGGGGAACATCACACACCGGGGCCTGTCATGGGCGGGGGGAGGGGGAGGGATAACATTAAGAGATATACCTAATGTAAATGACTAGTGAATGGGTGCAGCACACCAACATGGCACGTGCTTACATACGTAATAAACCTGCACGTTGTGCACATGTACCCTAGTAATTAAAGTATAATTTAAAAAAAAATGGAAAACGAAAGTGTGATCCTAATGTCATGGTGCGGACTGAATGAAGCAGCACATGGCAAGCCTTAAAACGATCGCACATAGTAGGTGTTCAATTAATGTTAACTATATTTCTTTTCTATAATAGTTTATAAAGGGAATTCATGAACACTATGTGATTAATCCTTGGAACAACCCAACAGGTAGGTAAATAAAGCCTAATTTTATACCTAAAGAAACCATGCGGCTTAACTTGCCCAAAATAATAATGATTGTAATGAGCACTGGCTGTTGGTTTCTTATGTACTTGGTACTTTGCACGTATTAACCCAGTCAGTCCTCCTAATAGTTGTGAGAGAGATAGCATTCTTATCCCCATTTTACAGATGAGGAACCTGAAGCCCAGGTGATAAGTAGTTTATCCAAGGTATCATAGCTAGAAGTCGGGTGCAGGCAGTCTGGCTCCAGAGCCCCTGCTCTGTCCGCTGACCTAGCTGACTTCCCAAGAGTCAAAGTGGATTCTTCCCCAAGACCAACCAATTACAATGACTGAATCAGTCAGTCAACTTCGAACTGGGCTCCAAGAGAGAACGAACCATCATGCCTCTCTAAATCCTCATTTCTAGTTTGAATCTTCAAGGAGAGATAGACACTAAGTAGCTAGTTTTGCTGGAATGGCTGATTTTATCAATGTTTTCGGTGTGTGAGTGTGTGTGTGTGTATATGTATAGAACTAAATTAAACTGATAATTTGAATGCTTACACTTCCATTAGTTCAATTTGTGTATGTGAGCCCTCACACACATACATACACACACACAAACTGTTCCAGAACAGTGACTTAGTGAAAAACTGGATTTCCACTCTGTCAGACAAATTTCGGAAAGCACTGAAGTAGGGCATTTCTGATTGATTTTACCGTTCCCGGAATTTTATTTTCCTTTATCACTTAGACCCCTTCTGTGGGGATTTAATAAATAAACGTCTTTTGTAGTGTATGTTATTTCATTTTATTTTTATAATTTATATGAATTTTAATTTTAACTTGACAAATAAAAATTATATATATTTATGGCATACAACATGATGTTTCATATGTGTATACATTGTGGAATGACAAAATCAAGCTAATTAACACACTCGTTTCCTCACATACTGATTTTAATGTGATGAGGACATGTCTAAAATCTACTCTTATAGCAATTTTCAAGTATACAATACATACTTATACACTGTAGATGCCAGGCTGTTCAATAGATCTCTAGAACCATTCCTCTCTGAAATTTTGTATCATGAGACTATCATCTCTCCAGTCCCTCCCTGACCCCTGCCTCGGGTAACCACCGTTCTGCTCTCTACAGCTATGAGTTGCATTGTTTGAGATTGCACATATAAGTGAGATCATGCAGTATTTGTCTTTTTGTGCTTGCTTTTTAAATCTTTATTATGTAATTATTTATTTTTTGAGACAGGGTCTCAGTCTGTCACCCAGGCTGGAGTACAGTGACACAAACACGGCTCACTCACCACGGCCTCCACCTCCCGGGGTCGAGAGTTCCTCCCGCTTCAGCCTCCTGAATAGCTAGGACTACAGGCGTCCAACGCCACACTTGGCTAATTTTTGTGTTTCTTTTAGAGATGGGGTTTCACCATGTTGCCCAGGTTCATCTCCAACTCCTGGGCTCAACGCTTCCACCTGCCTTGGCCTCCCAAAGTACTGGGATTACAGGCATGAGCCACCGTGCCTGGCCTTTGCTTTCTTTCACTCAGTGTACCATCCTCTAGGCTCATTCGTGTTGCCAATGAGATGATTTCTTTCTTTTTTAAGGCTGAATTGTGTTCTATTGGGTATATGTACCGCTTTTCTTTTTATGTTTAATTTTTTTTGGTTTTTTGAGACAGAGTTTCGCTCGCGTCGCCCAGGCTGGAGTGCAGTGGCGTGATTTCGAGTCACTACAACCTCTGCCTCCCAGGTTGAAGTGATTCTCCTGCCTCACCTGAGATTAGAGGCATGTACCGGCATGTCCGGCTAATTTTGTGTTTCTAGTAGAGATGGGGTTTCACCATGTTGGCCAGGCTGGTCTTGAACTCCAACAATTCTAATTCAACTAATTTATTTTATAGAAATATTTATGTGTGAGAAACAATATTTTCAAGAGTCAAAGATTTAAAACTGCTTAATTGTACATCACTAAGTGGCTGGCTAATAAATTATAGTACGTTCATCCTTACGGAAGAATACTTTGCAGCTAAAACAGAACGAAAGAGAGGAAACTCTTCAAAATGTTAACTGGGAATGACGTTCAAGACTTATTGTTAAATAAAACAAATTGAGAAGAAGAGTCGTTTATTGGTACTAAATTTGTGTCAGTAAAAATGGATTCTATACGTGGGATGGTTTATAAGTATGTGGAAAAATTCTTTGATGGTTTTTCCTTGAAAAAGTGAAACCTAAATCCACTCCGTTTGGATGTGGGCCCATTTACGGTTGTTGCTTCCTAAACATAAACTACGTTTAGGCTGATATTTCAGACAATGAAACCTTTGAGTGCCTGTAGCGGGAAGATCTCGGTTGCTGAGTGCAGGGAAGGAGGATGTAATTCCATCATATATACTCTCTGTGCCTACCGCATTTGGAACCATGCGAGTGATACCTATTTATAAAATAACATAAACCAAGCAAAAGTACGAACTTAGCAACACTATATTGAGTTAATAGAACGGTATCTTGTATTTCTTCTGTCCAGGTATACTTATAAATGCCTGCAGGGATTTCACCACCTCAGGGTGGAGAGACTGAATGCTTGTGAGGGAATTAGGATGGTGGAATATTGGTGTTACCAGGGAAGGGGGCGGGATGTTTGAAAATGCTATGTTTACTCGTTCTTGGGTTCCAATAAAGGAGAAACAGGGCACAGGAGTCGGAAGGATTAGTGGCAATAGTGATGAAAGGACCTCCTTATCATGCTGGCAATGTTAATTACCCAGGTGTAGGAAGCCATACACTGAGGCGGAAGATCGCAAGTCAGAGTGGCCGGCAGGCACAACCTCCTGGCACACCAGAGGCAGGTCTTCAATACCCACTGGTTTCCCCAACAGGCTGCGTAAGGGACCCTGAGCCACAGTGAGTTGGTCAAATGCTCCTGACAGTGTGGAGAAACCAACAGGCAAAACGTGGGTGCAAAAGTGAGGAGACCCCGCACTTTACACTCGTGGTGACAATGAAGCTATTAAGTAACAGCTTCTCAACCTATGCTGTTTCCTGTTGGATGCACATAATCCATTTGCACTGCAGACAATTTTAGGATGTGGTTTACAGTAAGGTGGATGGTACCTTATGGCAAAAATCTCTCAGAAATTTATGTGTGGTTTTAAAGTCATTCCAGTCCTAGCACGTTGTGCTTTTCAGAGACGCCATAGCTGTTTTTCCCTTTGTAATATCAAAGCAGTAATATGTTCTCTGGAGGCCTGTTGGGTGAATTTAATGGAATCAAGTTAAGTAGGTGCCAGAACCATTGCTGTTTTCCCTCCATAGCCCTGCCACCCACTGTAAAAAGGTTGATGAGATTACTTAATGATTTCCAATTAAGTTGTATTTCCAAATATCATGATTTCCATTTTAATGTAGTTGGTATGGAGCTCTGTGAGTGTGTGCTTCTTTTATTATGGATCACGTTCAGCTTCTTTTTATTTGCCTCCTAGTCATAATAGTAAAACTCTACTCCTCTACTCCGAGGAGTCCCTACCACCCATCTCATCACTTTCCAGCCCAGCACTCTTCATGCTCATTCATTTAAAGCATTCAACATTGTGTAAATGAATCTTGGAAGGCAAAAGCTACTGAATTTAGCGAATTTGTGGAGGCATTGCCACAAATCAGCCAGGTGAAGTTTCACACAATCGAAGACTGCACAACTCCTAGAAGGCAGCACTATGCTGCAAACCCAGACGGCCACTCTTCTCACCCCTCGTCCGTTTGCTGTTCTGGATAATGAGGTTCAAAAGTCACCTAGGCAACTGCCAAAATAGCTGAAATGGAGAAAGGGCTTCAGGCTGGTGACTAGCAGAGGTCCACCTGACCCCCGTAAGCTGCTGAACAAGTAGGGCTGCCAGAAATGTCCCACTAGGGAATTTGGTAGAGACGAAGACATGCTCACCGGACAAGGGTTCCTCCCAGGATACGCCCGAGCGGAAGAAGCGGGCTCTGAGCCACGCCCTTTCACCCTCCTCTACCCCGCCCTGGGCTGGTGAAGGTGCGCGCCAGGATGTGGACTACTGAGCCCTGAAGAAATAAGTCCTTCCACTTTGACCCCATGGAGGATTGCCTGTGAGGAACTTAAACGAGTCTACCAGTGTCTAGACACGGGGGCAGGTCTGTCCGGCACAGCAGCTCCCTCAAGGAGGAGAAGAGTGAGGAGAAAGGAAACTCAAGTCTCACCATTCTGTCCTGGGAGAGAAGAGGAGGATCTCATCTCTCATCTGTCCAAACAAGGCAAGGAGACTTTCTCTCATCTTTCCAAGCAAGGCAAGGAGACTTTTTATCATTAGGAAACAAAAAGAATTTAGAAGGAATGAAAGCAGCCCGTAAGGTGAATTCCTAAGGACTGCCCATTGAAACTGACAAAATTGCCCTTGTTTGATGAGAGGAATGAGCAGAGCATTGATGTGGTGAACAAGGATCTAGTGAGACTTTCCCAGCATGTTTCTACCAAAGCTTTATCTAAGCTTCTCAGAACACTCTCCTAATAAGCAGATGTTTGGCCTTTCAGAAAGTCAACAAGCAAAATGCCTTGAGTGTCCCAAAACACTGATGCCATGATGTGGGCTCCTGACTGGCCTCCTTTTCCTTTGACTGGACCACTGCCACCTCTTGGTAGCCATCGCTTTCATGATGCTTTGCCTTGGCGATCATATTGGTGAAGCCATGTTCCAACTTCCGCTTACAATTTGTCAGAGGGATGCGTCAGGATCGTGATCCCTCCTGTTTAAAATTTCCACTGATAGCTCTCGTCGTAACTGCAGCTGATCTGGGCACAGTGGTTTTCACAGCCACTGCAGGTTGAAGTGATTCTCCTGCCTCACCTGAGATTAGAGGCATGTACCGGCATGTCCGGCTAATTTTGTGTTTCTAGTAGAGATGGGGTTTCACCATGTTGGCCAGGCTGGTCTTGAACTCCAACAATTCTAATTCAACTAATTTATTTTATAGAAATATTTATGTGTGAGAAACAATATTTTCAAGAGTCAAAGATTTAAAACTGCTTAATTGTACATCACTAAGTGGCTGGCTAATAAATTATAGTACGTTCATCCTTACGGAAGAATACTTTGCAGCTAAAACAGAACGAAAGATAGGAAACTCTTCAAAATGTTAACTGGGAATGACGTTCAAGACTTATTGTTAAATAAAACAAATTGAGAAGAAGAGTCGTTTATTGGTACTAAATTTGTGTCAGTAAAAATGGATTCTATACGTGGGATGGTTTATAAGTATGTGGAAAAATTCTTTGATGGTTTTTCCTTGAAAAAGTGAAACCTAAATCCACTCCGTTTGGATGTGGGACTATTTACGGTTGTTGCTTCCTAAACATAAACTACGTTTAGGCTGATATTTCAGACAATGAAACCTTTGAGTGCCCGTAGCGGGATGATCTCGGTTGGTGAGTGCAGGGAAGGAGGATGTAATTCCATCATATATACTCTCTGTGCCTACCGCATTTGGAACCATGCGAGTGATACGTATTTATAAAATAAAATAAAACAAGCACAAGTACGAACTTAGCAACACTATATTGAGTTAATAGAACGGTATCTTGTATTTCTTCTGTCCAGGTATACTTATAAATGCCTGCAGGGATTTCACCACCTCAGGGTGGAGAGACTGAATGCTTGTGAGGGAATTAGGATGGTGGAATATTGGTGTTACCAGGGAAGGGGGCGGGATGTTTGAAAATGCTATGTTTACTCGTTCTTGGGTTCCAATAAAGGAGAAACAGGGCACAGGAGTCGGAAGGACTAGTGGCAATAGTGATGAAAGGACCTCCTTATCATGCTGGCAATGTTAATTACCCAGGTGTAGGAAGCCATACACTGAGGCGGAAGATCACAAGTCAGAGTGGCCGGCAGGCACAACCTCCTGGCACACCAGAGGCAGGTCTTCAATACCCACTGGTTTCCCCAACAGGCTGCGTAAGGGATCCTGAGCCACAGTGAGTTGGTCAAATGCTCCTGACAGTGTGGAGAAACCAACAGGCAAAACGTGGGTGCAAAAGTGATGAGACCCCACACTTTACACTCGTGGTGACAATGAAGCTATTAAGTAACAGCTTCTCAACCTATGCTGTTTCCTGTTGGATGCACATAATCCATTTGCACTGCAGACAATTTTAGGATGTGGTTTACAGTAAGGTGGATGGTACCTTACGGCAAAAATCTCTCAGAAATTTATGTGTGGTTTTAAAGTCATTCCAGTCCTAGCACGTTGTGCTTTTCAGAGACGCCATAGCTGTTTTTCCCTTTGTAATATCAAAGCAGTAATATGTTCTCTGGAGGCCTGTTGGGTGAATTTAATGGAATCAAGTTAAGTAGGTGCCAGAACCATTGCTGTTTTCCCTCCATAGCCCTGCCACCCACTGTAAAAAGGTTGATGAGATTACTTAATGATTTCCAATTAAGTTGTATTTCCAAATATCATGATTTCCATTTTAATGTAGTTGGTATGGAGCTCTGTGAGTGTGTGCTTCTTTTATTATGGATCACGTTCAGCTTCTTTTTATTTGCCTCCTAGTCATAATAGTAAAACTCTACTCCTCTACTCCGAGGAGTCCCTACCACCCATCTCATCACTTTCCAGCCCAGCACTCTTCATGCTCATTCATTTAAAGCATTCAACATTGTGTAAATGAATCTTGGAAGGCAAAAGCTACTGAATTTAGCGAATTTGTGGAGGCATTGCCACAAATCAGCCAGGTGAAGTTTCACACAATCGAAGACTGCACAACTCCTAGAAGGCAGCACTATGCTGCAAACCCAGACGGCCACTCTTCTCACCCCTCGTCCGTTTGCTGTTCTGGATAATGAGGTTCAAAAGTCACCTAGGCAACTGCCAAAATAGCTGAAATGGAGAAAGGGCTTCAGGCTGGTGACTAGCAGAGGTCCACCTGACCCCCGTAAGCTGCTGAACAAGTAGGGCTGCCAGAAATGTCCCACTAGGGAATTTGGTAGAGACGAAGACATGCTCACCGGACAAGGGTTCCTCCCAGGATACGCCCGAGCGGAAGAAGCGGGCTCTGAGCCACGCCCTTTCACCCTCCTCTACCCCGCCCTGGGCTGGTGAAGGTGCGCGCCAGGATGTGGACTACTGAGCCCTGAAGAAATAAGTCCTTCCACTTTGACCCCATGGAGGATTGCCTGTGAGGAACTTAAACGAGTCTACCAGTGTCTAGACACGGGGGCAGGTCTGTCCGGCACAGCAGCTCCCTCAAGGAGGAGAAGAGTGAGGAGAAAGGAAACTCAAGTCTCACCATTCTGTCCTGGGAGAGAAGAGGAGGATCTCATCTCTCATCTGTCCAAACAAGGCAAGGAGACTTTCTCTCATCTTTCCAAGCAAGGCAAGGAGACTTTTTATCATTAGGAAACAAAAAGAATTTAGAAGGAATGAAAGCAGCCCGTAAGGTGAATTCCTAAGGACTGCCCATTGAAACTGACAAAATTGCCCTTGTTTGATGAGAGGAATGAGCAGAGCATTGATGTGGTGAACAAGGATCTAGTGAGACTTTCCCAGCATGTTTCTACCAAAGCTTTATCTAAGCTTCTCAGAACACTCTCCTAATAAGCAGATGTTTGGCCTTTCAGAAAGTCAACAAGCAAAATGCGTTGAGTGTCCCAAAACACTGATGCCATGATGTGGGCTCCTGACTGGCCTCCTTTTCCTTTGACTGGACCACTGCCACCTCTTGGTAGCCATCGCTTTCATGATGCTTTGCCTTGGCGATCATATTGGTGAAGCCATGTTCCAACTGCCGCTTACAATTTGTCAGAGGGATGCGTCAGGATCGTGATCCCTCCTGTTTAAAATTTCCACTGATAGCTCTCGTCGTAACTGCAGCTGATCTGGGCACAGTGGTTTTCACAGCCACTGCAGGATTCATCTTCCACATCTTCTCACCTCTTCTTGAAACAAGCTATACATTCGTAAAGAGTTCATTTCTTTGGGGTAGTGTCCTTACAAGCTTTTCTTAAAACGTCAATGATTTCTTCAATCTTCCACCCAAGCTTCACCATAAATTTGATGTTTCCTCTTGCTGCAATTTTCGTGGAATTCATGTTGCTCTGATGGGAGTCCTTTTCAGTGGATGTCTCATCCTTCTTAGTGCCTCAAACTAGATCTAGTTCAGAAAGGTTATCAGAAGTTAGGACAAGTTTATTTTAGTGCAAACCAGTGGAAATCCATGCATAGTTTCTTCACCATGTGCATTTTCTATGAACCTTTGGAAGACCACCTGTGTTGAACATTGCCCAAGTCCTGGGAGAGAAGTGGGTGCGGTCCGCTTCCTGTCCTCAATTTGCCCGCAGCGGCGGAGTGCACAGAGCAGGGAAAGGCAGCCCCAGAGGGATCCCGCCCTCCAGCATGCAGCAGACTGCTGGCCCAGTCCTGGCTCCAAGGAGTGCTGTGTGGGCCCAAGCAAGTTGACCAACCTCCCTGAACCTTAATTTAATCCTAGGTAGCCCAATTCCAGTAGCCATTATAGGACTGCCCTGCAGGGACAGTTACTTAACTCAGGAAAAGCAACCTAGCTCCAAGTTTAGCAACCGGGAGTTCCAGTTGATTCCATTAGCGCACCCCCTGAGGCATTCCCAAGCTGGAGTCTGGTGGAAGATGAGGCTCAGTGTGATTGGACTGAAGCACCAACCTATCAAGGAGAAGTCCCACCCAGTCTGCCCTGTGCCTATATAAAGGCGACAAGTGGCGGCCGCAGCACTCATTGAAGCCGCCAGTTGGGAGAGGAGCAGAGCCAGGCCGGTGCTCCCGAAGGCAGCAAGATGTTGCGAGCCACAGCTCCCTGCTGGTTCCCCCCTGGATACCCAGAAGCTAAGAAGGTGGCCGAGGAGGCGGCCCTGGAGGCAAGCCGCCATTTGGGAGGGGAGCAGAGCCAGGCCGGTGCTCCCGAAGGCAGCAAGATGTTGCGAGCCACAGCTCCCTGCTGGTTCCGCCCTGGATACCCAGAAGCTAAGAAGGTGGCCAAGGAGGCGGCCCCGGAGGCAAGCCGCCATTTGGGAGCGGAGCAGAGCCCGGCCGGTGCTCCCGAAGGCAGCAAGATGTTGCGAGCCACAGCTCCCTGCTGGTTCCCACCTGGATACCCAGAAGCTAAGAAGGTGGCCGAGGAGGCGGCCCTCGAGGCTCCAGAATTCCCACTGCCCTCTCATCAGCCTGCCCAGAGCTTCGGGCTCTGGGTGCCCCAGATGCACAAGCAGGCCTCAGCATTTGTGGACATCCAGGCGGAGCCCCAGAACAGGGGTCCGGCGGTGCCCCCAGCGTGGCCCAAGATGGTGACGGAGTCGTGCTACTTCCCTGCGCAGAGGGGATCGGCCTGCCGCTTGCCAGCCGCCCCAAGGCTGACAGAGAGGCCCTCGGGAGTCCGCATCTCAGCCCCCAGGAAGAGGAAGACGATCGCCCACTCTTCCAGCCCTTGCTTGGTCACAGGTTACACAGATGCCAAGAGAACCCGGGTGGCCAGCAGCAGCCAACGCTCCCGTGGCTCCAAGGTCGGCAGACAGCCAGGGAAGACGCGCAACAGGTCAGGGATGGCATGCAAGACCACCGCCACCACCAGCTCTAAGCGAATCGTCCGTCGTGCATCCTTACCGAGTTTGAGTTTGAAGAAACCCATTATCCTCCGAAGCTCTGGGTGCCAAGTCCCCACCGTCCTCCGCCGAGGCTATCTCCAACTGTTCACCGAAGAGTGTCTCAAGTTCTGCGCCTCCAAGCAGGAGGCCGAGGAGAAGGCGCTGAACGAGGAGAAGGTGGCCTACGACTGCAGCCCCAACAAGAACAGGTACCTGAACGTGGTCCTGAACACCCTCAAGAGACTGAAGGGCCTGACCCCCAGCTCCATGCCCGGCCTCAGCAGGGCCGCCCTGTACAGCCGCCTCCAGGAGTTCCTGCTCACCCAGGACCAGCTCAAGGAGAACGGCTACCCCTTCCCGCACCCCGAGCGGCCCGGAGGCGCCGTCCTCTTCACTGGCCAGGGGAAGGGGCCCGGCGACTCCTCCTGCAGGGTCTGCTGCCGTTGTGGCACCGAGTACCTGGTGTCCTCCTCGGGCCGCTGTGTACGCGACCAGTTGTGTTATTATCACTGGGGGCGGGTCCGCTCGAGCCAGGTGGCTGGAGGCCGGGTTAGCCAGTACACCTGCTGTGCAGCTGCTCCTGGCTCTGTGGGCTGCCAGGTGGCAAAGCAGCACGTGCGGGACGGCCGCAAGGAGAGCCTCGATGGCTTCGTGGAGACCTTCAAGAAAGAGTTGTCCAGAGACGCTTATCCAGGAATCTACGCCTTGGACTGTGAGATGTGCTACACCACGCATGGCCTAGAGCTGACCCGCGTCACCGTGGTGGACGCCGACATGCGAGTGGTGTACGACACCTTCGTCAAGCCCGACAACGAGATCGTGGACTACAACACCAGGTTTTCCGGAGTCACCGAGGCCGACGTCGCCAAGACGAGCATCACGTTGCCCCAAGTCCAAGCCATCCTGCTGAGCTTTTTCAGCGCCCAAACCATCCTCATCGGGCACAGCCTGGAGAGCGACCTGCTGGCCCTGAAGCTCATCCACAGCACCGTGGTGGACACGGCCGTGCTCTTCCCGCACTACCTGGGTTTCCCCTACAAGCGCTCCCTCAGGAATCTCGCGGCCGACTACCTGGCACAGATCATCCAGGACAGCCAGGACGGCCACAACTCCAGCGAGGACGCAAACGCCTGCCTGCAGCTGGTGATGTGGAAGGTCCGACAGCGCGCCCAGATCCAGCCACGCCACCGGTCCGCCTCTCCCGCCGCCCTGGCCTGTCCTTAGCCCCAGGCCTCTTCCAAAACCGCCATCAGTCCCGAGAGCTCACCCTGCCCACCTCGCCGCAAAGCGAAAGAAACTGGAGCAGCCGGCGGCAGGAGAGGGCAAAAAGCCAAGAGTAACCCCAACCCCCCACTCCCGGTCCCCCGGAATCCCTGCCGCGGCCCCTCGGGCCTGTCCACATCCCTCTGCCCCTCCCAGACCTCTGTCCTTCCACCAATCGCCTCCCGCAGCCCCGAGCCGCCACTCCCAGTCCCCCGAGTCCCTGCCGCGCGCCCTCGCGCCTGTCCACATCCCTCTGCCCATCCGAGACCTCTGTCCTTACACCACTAGCCACCCCACGTGGGACTTCCATGGCTTCTGAGTACAAGGCCAGCCCCCCGGCCCACCAGCTTTCGGAATGCCTGCTTACCTCTTTTTCTGTAGAGGCACCACAGGGAGGTGGGTGAAGCACTTCGGCTCTGGAGTTACAGATCTGGGTTCAAGGCCAAATTCCACCACTTACTAGGTTTGTAATATTGGACAGATAACGTCTTTGCGCTTCTACCTTTTGGTCTTTAAAGTGTGATCAAAAGAGACTTAGACTCCCACATAATAATAATAATAATAATGGCAAACTTAACACCCCACTGTCAACATTAGACACACCAACGAGACAGAAAGTTAAAAAAGGATATCCGGGAATTGAGCTCAGCTCTGCACCAAGCGGACCTAGGAGACATGTACAGAACGCTCCACCCCAAATCAACAGAATATACATTCTTCTCAGCACCACATCACACTTATTTCCACATTGACCACATAGTTGGAAGTAAAGCACTCCTCAGTAAAAGTAAAATTACAGAAATTATTACAAACGGTCTCTCAGACCACATTGCAATCACACTAGACCTCAGGATTGAGAAACTCACTCAAAACCGCTCAACTGCATGGAAACCGGACAAGCTGCTCCTGAATGAGTACTGGGTACATAACGAAATGAAGGCAGAAATAAAGATATTCTCTGAAAGCAATGAGAACAAAGACACAACATACCAGAATCTCTGGGACACATTTAAAGCAGTGTGTAGAGGGAAATTTATAGCACTAAATGCCCACAAGGGAAAGCAGGAAAGATCAAAAATGCATACCCTAACATCACCATTAAAAGGATGAGAGAAGCAAGAGCAAACACATTCAAAAGCTAGCAGAAGGCAAGAAATAACTAAGATCCGAGCAGAACTGAAGGAGATAGAGACCCAAAAAACCCTTCAAAAAATCAATGAATCCAGGAGCGGGTTTTTTGAAACCATCAACAAAATTGATAGACCACTAGCAAGACTATTAAAGAATGAAAGAAAGAAGAATCAAGCAGATGCAATAAAAAATGATAAAGGGGATATCACCACTGATCCCACAGAAGTACAAACTACCATGAGAGAATACTGTCAACACCTCTAGGCAAACAAACTCGGAAATCTAGAAGAAATGAATAAATTCCTGGACACATGCAACCTCCCCAGAGTAAACCAGGAAGAAGTTGAATGCCTGAATAGACCAATAACAGGCTCTGAAATTGAGGCAATAATTAATAGCCTATCAAGCAATAAAACTCCAGGACCAGACGGATTCACAGCCGAATTCTACCAGAAGTACAAGGAGGAGCTGGTACCATTCCTTCGGAAACTATTCCAATCAACAGAAAAAGAGGGAATCCTCCCTATCTCATTTTATGAGGCCAGCATCATCCTGATCCCAAAGGCTGAGAGAGACACAACCAACAAAGAGAATTTTCGGCCCATATCCCTGAGGAACACCGATGGAAAAATCCTCCATAAAATGCTGGCAAACCGAATCCAGCAGCACATCAAAGAGCTTATCCATTATGATCAAGTGGGCTTCATCCCTGACATGCAAGGCTGGTCCAACATATGCAAATCAATAAACATAATCCAGCATATAATCGGAACCAAAGACAGAAACCGCGTGATTATCTCAACAGATGCAGAAAAGGCCTTTGACAAAATTCAACAGCCTTTCATGCCAAAAACTCTCAATAAATTAGGTACTGATGGGACATACCTCAAAATAATAAGGGCTATTTAGGGCAAACCCACAGCCAATATCATACTGAATGGGCAAAAAGTGGAAGCATTCCCTTTGCAAACTGCCACAAGACAGGGGTGCCCTCTCTCACCACTCCTATTCAACATAGTGTTGGAACTTCTGGCCAGGGCAATCAGGCAGGAGAAAGAAATAAAGAGTAATCAATTAGGAAAAGAGGAAGTCAAATTGTCCCTGTTTGTAGATGACATGATTGAATATTTAGAAAAACCCATCGTCTCAGCCCAAAATCTCCTTAAGCTGATAAGCAACTTCAGCAAAGTCTCAGGATACAAAATCGATGTGCAAAAATCACAAGCATTCTTATACACCAATAACAGGCAAACAGAGAGCCAAATCATGACTGAGCTCCCATTCACAATTGCTTCAAAGAGAATAAAATACTGAGGAATCCAACTAACAAGGGATGCGATGTGCGAAGGACCTCTTCAAGGAGAACTACAAACCACTGCTCCACGAAATAAAAGAGGACACAAACCAATGGAAGAATATTCCATGCTCACGGTTAGGAAGAATCAGTATCGTGAAAATGGCCATACTGCCCAAGGTATATTATAGATCCAATGCCATCCCCATCAAGCTACCAAGGACTTTCTTCACAGAATTGGAAAAAACTACTTGAAAGTTTACATGGAACCACAAAAGGGCCCCCACTGCCAAGATAATCCTAAGCCAAAAGAACAAAGTTGGAGGCATCAAGCTACCCGACTTCAAACTACACTACAAGCCTACAGTAACCAAACAGCATGCTGTTGGTTGCCTTTTTGGTTACTGTAGACCAATGGAACAGAATAGAGCCCTCAGAAATAATACGACACATCTACAACCATCGGATCTTTGACAAACCTGACAAAAACAAGAAATGGGGAAAGGATTCCCTATTTAATAAATGGTGCTGGGAAAACTGGCTAGCCATATGTCCGAAGGTGAAATTGGATCCCTTCCTTACACCTTATACAAAAGTTTATTCAAGACGGATGAAAGACTTAAATGTTACATCTTAAGCCATACGAACCCTAGGAGAAAACCTAGGCAATACCATTCAGGACATAGGCATGGGCAAGGACCTCATGTCTAAAACGCCAAAAGCAAAGACAACAAAAGCCTATATTGACAAACGGCATCTAATTACACTAAAGAGTTTCTGCACAGCTAAAGAAACTCCCATCAGAGTGAACAGGCATGCTACAGAAAGGGAGAAAATTTTTGCAATCTACTCATCTGACAAAGGGCTAATATCCAGAATCTACTAAGAACTCAAACAGAGTTACAAGAAAAACCAAACAACCCCATCAACAAGTGCGGGAAGGATATGAAGAGACACTTTTAAAAAGAAGACATTTATGCAGCCAACAGACACATGAAAAAATGCTCATCAACACTGGTCATCAGAGAAATGCAAATCAAATCCGCAAAGAGATATCGTCTCACACCAGTTACAATAGCGATCAATAAAAAAGTCAGGAAACAACAGGTGCTGGAGAGGTAGTGGAGAAATAGGGACACTTTTACACTGCTGGTGGGACTGTAAACCAGTTCAGCGGTTGTGGAAGATAGTGTGGCGAATCCTCAAGGATCTAGAGTTAGAAATACCATTTGACCCAGCCGTCCCATTACTGGGTATACACCCATAGGACTATAAATCATGCTGCTAAAAGGACACACGCAGACGTATGTTTATTGCGGCACCGTTCACAGTAGCAAAGACTTGGAACCAGCCCAGATGTCCATCAATGATAGACTGGATTAAGGAAACGTGGCACAAATACACCGTGGAATACTATGCAGCCATAAAAAAGCATGTGTTCATGCCCTTCGGAGGGACACGGATGAAGCTGGAAACCATCATTCTTAGCAAACTATCGCAAGGACAAAAAAACCAAACACCGCGTGATCCCACTCATAGGTGGGAATTGAACTAGGAGAACACTTGGACGCAGAAAGGGGAACATCACACACCGGGGCCTGTCATGGGCGGGGGGAGGGGGAGGGATAACATTAAGAGATATACCTAATGTAAATGACTAGTGAATGGGTGCAGCACACCAACATGGCACGTGCTTACATACGTAATAAACCTGCACGTTGTGCACATGTACCCTAGTAATTAAAGTATAATTTAAAAAAAAATGGAAAACGAAAGTGTGATCCTAATGTCATGGTGCGGACTGAATGAAGCAGCACATGGCAAGCCTTAAAACGATCGCACATAGTAGGTGTTCAATTAATGTTAACTATATTTCTTTTCTATAATAGTTTATAAAGGGAATTCATGAACACTATGTGATTAATCCTTGGAACAACCCAACAGGTAGGTAAATAAAGCCTAATTTTATACCTAAAGAAACCATGCGGCTTAACTTGCCCAAAATAATAATGATTGTAATGAGCACTGGCTGTTGGTTTCTTATGTACTTGGTACTTTGCACGTATTAACCCAGTCAGTCCTCCTAATAGTTGTGAGAGAGATAGCATTCTTATCCCCATTTTACAGATGAGGAACCTGAAGCCCAGGTGATAAGTAGTTTATCCAAGGTATCATAGCTAGAAGTCGGGTGCAGGCAGTCTGGCTCCAGAGCCCCTGCTCTGTCCGCTGACCTAGCTGACTTCCCAAGAGTCAAAGTGGATTCTTCCCCAAGACCAACCAATTACAATGACTGAATCAGTCAGTCAACTTCGAACTGGGCTCCAAGAGAGAACGAACCATCATGCCTCTCTAAATCCTCATTTCTAGTTTGAATCTTCAAGGAGAGATAGACACTAAGTAGCTAGTTTTGCTGGAATGGCTGATTTTATCAATGTTTTCGGTGTGTGAGTGTGTGTGTGTGTATATGTATAGAACTAAATTAAACTGATAATTTGAATGCTTACACTTCCATTAGTTCAATTTGTGTATGTGAGCCCTCACACACATACATACACACACACAAACTGTTCCAGAACAGTGACTTAGTGAAAAACTGGATTTCCACTCTGTCAGACAAATTTCGGAAAGCACTGAAGTAGGGCATTTCTGATTGATTTTACCGTTCCCGGAATTTTATTTTCCTTTATCACTTAGACCCCTTCTGTGGGGATTTAATAAATAAACGTCTTTTGTAGTGTATGTTATTTCATTTTATTTTTATAATTTATATGAATTTTAATTTTAACTTGACAAATAAAAATTATATATATTTATGGCATACAACATGATGTTTCATACGTGTATACATTGTGGAATGACAAAATCAAGCTAATTAACACACTCGTTTCCTCACATACTGATTTTAATGTGATGAGGACATGTCTAAAATCTACTCTTATAGCAATTTTCAAGTATACAATACATAGTTATACACTGTAGATGCCAGGCTGTTCAATAGATCTCTAGAACCATTCCTCTCTGAAATTTTGTATCATGAGACTATCATCTCTCCAGTCCCTCCCTGACCCCTGCCTCGGGTAACCACCGTTCTGCTCTCTACAGCTATGAGTTGCATTGTTTGAGATTGCACATATAAGTGAGATCATGCAGTATTTGTCTTTTTGTGCTTGCTTTTTAAATTTTATTATGTAATTATTTATTTTTTGAGACAGGGTCTCAGTCTGTCACCCAGGCTGGAGTACAGTGACACAAACACGGCTCACTCACCCACCACGGCCTCCACCTCCCGGGGTCGAGAGTTCCTCCCGCTTCAGCCTCCTGAATAGCTAGGACTACAGGCGTCCAACGCCACACTTGGCTAATTTTTGTGTTTCTTTTAGAGATGGGGTTTCACCATGTTGCCCAGGTTCATCTCCAACTCCTGGGCTCAACGCTTCCACCTGCCTTGGCCTCCCAAAGTACTGGGATTACAGGCATGAGCCACCGTGCCTGGCCTTTGCTTTCTTTCACTCAGTGTACCATCCTCTAGGCTCATTCGTGTTGCCAATGAGATGATTTCTTTCTTTTTTAAGGCTGAATTGTGTTCTATTGGGAATATGTACCGCTTTTCTTTTTATGTTTAATTTTTTTTGGTTTTTTGAGACAGAGTTTCGCTCGCGTCGCCCAGGCTGGAGTGCAGTGGCGTGATTTCGAGTCACTACAACCTCTGCCTCCCAGGTTGAAGTGATTCTCCTGCCTCACCTGAGATTAGAGGCATGTACCGGCATGTCCGGCTAATTTTGTGTTTCTAGTAGAGATGGGGTTTCACCATGTTGGCCAGGCTGGTCTTGAACTCCAACAATTCTAATTCAACTAATTTATTTTATAGAAATATTTATGTGTGAGAAACAATATTTTCAAGAGTCAAAGATTTAAAACTGCTTAATTGTACATCACTAAGTGGCTGGCTAATAAATTATAGTACGTTCATCCTTACGGAAGAATACTTTGCAGCTAAAACAGAACGAAAGAGAGGAAACTCTTCAAAATGTTAACTGGGAATGACGTTCAAGACTTATTGTTAAATAAAACAAATTGAGAAGAAGAGTCGTTTATTGGTACTAAATTTGTGTCAGTAAAAATGGATTCTATACGTGGGATGCTTTATAAGTATGTGGAAAAATTCTTTGATGGTTTTTCCTTGAAAAAGTGAAACCTAAATCCACTCCGTTTGGATGTGGGCCTATTTACGGTTGTTGCTTCCTAAACATAAACTACGTTTAGGCTGATATTTCAGACAATGAAACCTTTGAGTGCCCGTAGCGGGAAGATCTCGGTTGCTGAGTGCAGGGAAGGAGGATGTAATTCCATCATATATACTCTCTGTGCCTACCGCATTTGGAACCATGCGAGTGATACGTATTTATAAAATAACATAAACCAAGCACAAGTACGAACTTAGCAACACTATATTGAGTTAATAGAACGGTATCTTGTATTTCTTCTGTCCAGGTATACTTATAAATGCCTGCAGGGATTTCACCACCTCAGGGTGGAGAGACTGAATGCTTGTGAGGGAATTAGGATGGTGGAATATTGGTGTTACCAGGGAAGGGGGCGGGATGTTTGAAAATGCTATGTTTACTCGTTCTTGGGTTCCAATAAAGGAGAAACAGGGCACAGGAGTCGGAAGGATTAGTGGCAATAGTGATGAAAGGACCTCCTTATCATGCTGGCAATGTTAATTACCCAGGTGTAGGAAGCCATACACTGAGGCGGAAGATCGCAAGTCAGAGTGGCCGGCAGGCACAACCTCCTGGCACACCAGAGGCAGGTCTTCAATACCCACTGGTTTCCCCAACAGGCTGCGTAAGGGACCCTGAGCCACAGTGAGTTGGTCAAATGCTCCTGACAGTGTGGAGAAACCAACAGGCAAAACGTGGGTGCAAAAGTGAGGAGACCCCGCACTTTACACTCGTGGTGACAATGAAGCTATTAAGTAACAGCTTCTCAACCTATGCTGTTTCCTGTTGGATGCACATAATCCATTTGCACTGCAGACAATTTTAGGATGTGGTTTACAGTAAGGTGGATGGTACCTTATGGCAAAAATCTCTCAGAAATTTATGTGTGGTTTTAAAGTCATTCCAGTCCTAGCACGTTGTGCTTTTCAGAGACGCCATAGCTGTTTTTCCCTTTGTAATATCAAAGCAGTAATATGTTCTCTGGAGGCCTGTTGGGTGAATTTAATGGAATCAAGTTAAGTAGGTGCCAGAACCATTGCTGTTTTCCCTCCATAGCCCTGCCACCCACTGTAAAAAGGTTGATGAGATTACTTAATGATTTCCAATTAAGTTGTATTTCCAAATATCATGATTTCCATTTTAATGTAGTTGGTATGGAGCTCTGTGAGTGTGTGCTTCTTTTATTATGGATCACGTTCAGCTTCTTTTTATTTGCCTCCTAGTCATAATAGTAAAACTCTACTCCTCTACTCCGAGGAGTCCCTACCACCCATCTCATCACTTTCCAGCCCAGCACTCTTCATGCTCATTCATTTAAAGCATTCAACATTGTGTAAATGAATCTTGGAAGGCAAAAGCTACTGAATTTAGCGAATTTGTGGAGGCATTGCCACAAATCAGCCAGGTGAAGTTTCACACAATCGAAGACTGCACAACTCCTAGAAGGCAGCACTATGCTGCAAACCCAGACGGCCACTCTTCTCACCCCTCGTCCGTTTGCTGTTCTGGATAATGAGGTTCAAAAGTCACCTAGGCAACTGCCAAAATAGCTGAAATGGAGAAAGGGCTTCAGGCTGGTGACTAGCAGAGGTCCACCTGACCCCCGTAAGCTGCTGAAGAAGTAGGGCTGCCAGAAATGTCCCACTAGGGAATTTGGTAGAGACGAAGACATGCTCACCGGACAAGGGTTCCTCCCAGGATACGCCCGAGCGGAAGAAGCGGGCTCTGAGCCACGCCCTTTCACCCTCCTCTACCCCGCCCTGGGCTGGTGAAGGTGCACGCCAGGATGTGGACTACTGAGCCCTCAAGAAATAAGTCCTTCCACTTTGACCCCATGGAGGATTGCCTGTGAGGAACTTAAACGAGTCTACCAGTGTCTAGACACGGGGGCAGGTCTGTCCGGCACAGCAGCTCCCTCAAGGAGGAGAAGAGTGAGGAGAAAGGAAACTCAAGTCTCACCATTCTGTCCTGGGAGAGAAGAGGAGGATCTCATCTCTCATCTGTCCAAACAAGGCAAGGAGACTTTCTCTCATCTTTCCAAGCAAGGCAAGGAGACTTTTTATCATTAGGAAACAAAAAGAATTTAGAAGGAATGAAAGCAGCCCGTAAGGTGAATTCCTAAGGACTGCCCATTGAAACTGACAAAATTGCCCTTGTTTGATGAGAGGAATGAGCAGAGAATTGATGTGGTGAACAAGGATCTAGTGAGACTTTCCCAGCATGTTTCTACCAAAGCTTTATCTAAGCTTCTCAGAACACTCTCCTAATAAGCAGATGTTTGGCCTTTCAGAAAGTCAACAAGCAAAATGCCTTGAGTGTCCCAAAACACTGATGCCATGATGTGGGCTCCTGACTGGCCTCCTTTTCCTTTGACTGGACCACTGCCACCTCTTGGTAGCCATCGCTTTCATGATGCTTTGCCTTCGAGATCATATTGGTGAAGCCATGTTCCAACTGCCGCTTACAATTTGTCAGAGGGATGCGTCAGGATCGTGATCCCTCCTGCTTAAAATTTCCACTGATAGCTCTCGTCGTAACTGCAGCTGATCTGGGCACAGTGGTTTTCACAGCCACTGAAGGATTCATCTTCCACATCTTCTCACCTCTTCTTGAAACAAGCTATACATTCGTAAAGAGTTCATTTCTTTGGGGTAGTGTCCTTACAAGCTTTTCTTAAAACGTCAATGATTTCTTCAATCTTCCACCCAAGCTTCACCATAAATTTGATGTTTCCTCTTGCTGCAATTTTCGTGGAATTCATGTTGCTCTGATGGGAGTCCTTTTCAGTGGATGTCTCATCCTTCTTAGTGCCTCAAACTAGATCTAGTTCAGAAAGGTTATCAGAAGTTAGGACAAGTTTATTTTAGTGCAAACCAGTGGAAATCCATGCATAGTTTCTTCACCATGTGCATTTTCTATGAACCTTTGGAAGACCACCTGTGTTGAACATTGCCCAAGTCCTGGGAGAGAAGTGGGTGCGGTCCGCTTCCTGTCCTCAATTTGCCCGCAGCGGCGGAGTGCACAGAGCAGGGAAAGGCAGCCCCAGAGGGATCCCGCCCTCCAGCATGCAGCAGACTGCTGGCCCAGTCCTGGCTCCAAGGGGTGCTGTGTGGGCCCAAGCAAGTTGACCAACCTCCCTGAACCTTAATTTAATCCTAGGTAGCCCAATTCCAGTAGCCATTATAGGACTGCCTTGCAGGGACAGTTACTTAACTCAGGAAAAGCAACCTAGCTCCAAGTTTAGCAACCGGGAGTTCCAGTTGATTCCATTAGCGCACCCCCTGAGGCATTCCCAAGCTGGAGTCTGGTGGAAGATGAGGCTCAGTGTGATTGGACTGAAGCACCAACCTATCAAGGAGAAGTCCCACCCAGTCTGCCCTGTGCCTATATAAAGGCGACAAGTGGCGGCCGCAGCACTCATTGAAGCCGCCAGTTGGGAGAGGAGCAGAGCCAGGCCGGTGCTCCCGAAGGCAGCAAGATGTTGCGAGCCACAGCTCCCTGCTGGTTCCCCCCTGGATACCCAGAAGCTAAGAAGGTGGCCGAGGAGGCGGCCCTGGAGGCAAGCCGCCATTTGGGAGGGGAGCAGAGCCAGGCCGGTGCTCCCGAAGGCAGCAAGATGTTGCGAGCCACAGCTCCCTGCTGGTTCCGCCCTGGATACCCAGAAGCTAAGAAGGTGGCCAAGGAGGCGGCCCCGGAGGCAAGCCGCCATTTGGGAGCGGAGCAGAGCCCGGCCGGTGCTCCCGAAGGCAGCAAGATGTTGCGAGCCACAGCTCCCTGCTGGTTCCCACCTGGATACCCAGAAGCTAAGAAGGTGGCCGAGGAGGCGGCCCTCGAGGCTCCAGAATTCCCACTGCCCTCTCATCAGCCTGCCCAGAGCTTCGGGCTCTGGGTGCCCCAGATGCACAAGCAGGCCTCAGCATTTGTGGACATCCAGGCGGAGCCCCAGAACAGGGGTCCGGCGGTGCCCCCAGCGTGGCCCAAGATGGTGACGGAGTCGTGCTACTTCCCTGCACAGAGGGGATCGGCCTGCCGCTTGCCAGCCACCCCAAGGCTGACAGAGAGGCCCTCGGGAGTCCGCATCTCAGCCCCCAGGAAGAGGAAGACGATCGCCCACTCCTTCCAGCCCTTGCTTGGTCACAGGTTACACAGATGCCAAGAGAACCCGGGTGGCCAGCAGCAGCCAACGGTCCCGTGGCTCCAAGGTCGGCAGACAGCCAGGGAAGACGCGCAACAGGTCAGGGATGGCATGCAAGACCACCGCCACCACCAGCTCTAAGCGAATCGTCCGTCGTGCATCCTTACCGAGTTTGAGTTTGAAGAAACCCATTATCCTCCGAAGCTCTGGGTGCCAAGTCCCCACCGTCCTCCGCCGAGGCTATCTCCAGCTGTTCACCGAAGAGTGTCTCAAGTTCTGCGCCTCCAAGCAGGAGGCCGAGGAGAAGGCGCTGAACGAGGAGAAGGTGGCCTACGACTGCAGCCCCAACAAGAACAGGTACCTGAACGTGGTCCTGAACACCCTCAAGAGACTGAAGGGCCTGACCCCCAGCTCCATGCCCGGCCTCAGCAGGGCCGCCCTGTACAGCCGCCTCCAGGAGTTCCTGCTCACCCAGGACCAGCTCAAGGAGAACGGCTACCCCTTCCCGCACCCCGAGCGGCCCGGAGGCGCCGTCCTCTTCACTGGCCAGGGGAAGGGGCCCGGCGACTCCTCCTGCAGGGTCTGCTGCCGTTGTGGCACCGAGTACCTGGTGTCCTCCTCGGGCCGCTGTGTACGCGACCAGTTGTGTTATTATCACTGGGGGCGGGTCCGCTCGAGCCAGGTGGCTGGAGGCCGGGTTAGCCAGTACACCTGCTGTGCAGCTGCTCCTGGCTCTGTGGGCTGCCAGGTGGCAAAGCAGCACGTGCGGGACGGCCCGCAAGGAGAGCCTCGATGGCTTCGTGGAGACCTTCAAGAAAGAGTTGTCCAGAGACGCTTATCCAGGAATCTACGCCTTGGACTGTGAGATGTGCTACACCACGCATGGCCTAGAGCTGACCCGCGTCACCGTGGTGGACGCCGACATGCGAGTGGTGTACGACACCTTCGTCAAGCCCGACAACGAGATCGTGGACTACAACACCAGGTTTTCCGGAGTCACCGAGGCCGACGTCGCCAAGACGAGCATCACGTTGCCCCAAGTCCAAGCCATCCTGCTGAGCTTTTTCAGCGCCCAAACCATCCTCATCGGGCACAGCCTGGAGAGCGACCTGCTGGCCCTGAAGCTCATCCACAGCACCGTGGTGGACACGGCCGTGCTCTTCCCGCACTACCTGGGTTTCCCCTACAAGCGCTCCCTCAGGAATCTCGCGGCCGACTACCTGGCACAGATCATCCAGGACAGCCAGGACGGCCACAACTCCAGCGAGGACGCAAACGCCTGCCTGCAGCTGGTGATGTGGAAGGTCCGACAGCGCGCCCAGATCCAGCCACGCCACCGGTCCGCCTCTCCCGCCGCCCTGGCCTGTCCTTAGCCCCAGGCCTCTTCCAAAACCGCCATCAGTCCCGAGAGCTCACCCTGCCCACCTCGCCGCAAGCGAAAGAAACTGGAGCAGCCGGCGGCAGGAGAGGGCAAAAAGCCAAGAGTAACCCCAACCCCCCACTCCCGGTCCCCCGGAATCCCTGCCGCGGCCCCTCGGGCCTGTCCACATCCCTCTGCCCCTCCCAGACCTCTGTCCTTCCACCAATCGCCTCCCGCAGCCCCGAGCCGCCACTCCCAGTCCCCCGAGTCCCTGCCGCGCGCCCTCGCGCCTGTCCACATCCCTCTGCCCATCCGAGACCTCTGTCCTTACACCACTAGCCACCCCACGTGGGACTTCCATGGCTTCTGAGTACAAGGCCAGCCCCCCGGCCCACCAGCTTTCGGAATGCCTGCTTACCTCTTTTTCTGTAGAGGCACCACAGGGAGGTGGGTGAAGCACTTCGGCTCTGGAGTTACAGATCTGGGTTCAAGGCCAAATTCCACCACTTACTAGGTTTGTAATATTGGACAGATAACGTCTTTGCGCTTCTACCTTTTGGTCTTTAAAGTGTGATCAAAAGAGACTTAGACTCCCACATAGTAATAATAATAATAATGGCAAACTTAACACCCCACTGTCAACATTAGACACACCAACGAGACAGAAAGTTAAAAAAGGATATCCGGGAATTGAGCTCAGCTCTGCACCAAGCGGACCTAGGAGACATCTACAGAACGCTCCACCCCAAATCAACAGAATATACATTCTTCTCAGCACCACATCACACTTATTTCCACATTGACCACATAGTTGGAAGTAAAGCACTCCTCAGTAAAAGTAAAATAACAGAAATTATTACAAACGGTCTCTCAGACCACATTGCAATCACACTAGACCTCAGGATTGAGAAACTCACTCAAAACCGCACAACTGCATGGAAACCGGACAAGCTGTTCCTGAATGAGTACTGGGTACATAACGAAATGAAGGCAGAAATAAAGATATTCTCTGAAAGCAATGAGAACAAAGACACAACATACCAGAATCTCTGGGACACATTTAAAGCAGTGTGTAGAGGGAAATTTATAGCACTAAATGCCCACAAGGGAAAGGAGGAAAGATCAAAAATGCATACCCTAACATCACCATTAAAAGGATGAGAGAAGCAAGAGCAAACACATTCAAAAGCTAGCAGAAGGCAAGAAATAACTAAGATCCGAGCAGAATTGAAGGAGATAGAGACCCAAAAAACCCTTCAAAAAATCAATGAATCCAGGAGCGGGTTTTTTGAAACCATCAACAAAATTGATAGACCACTAGCAAGACTATTAAAGAATGAAAGGAAGAAGAATCAAGCAGATGCAATAAAAAATGATAAAGGGGATATCACCACTGATCCCACAGAAGTACAAACTACCATGAGAGAATACTGTCAACACCTCTAGGCAAACAAACTCGGAAATCTAGAAGAAATGAATAAATTCCTGGACACATGCAACCTCCCCAGAGTAAACCAGGAAGAAGTTGAATGCCTGAATAGACCAATAACAGGCTCTGAAATTGAGGCAATAATTAATAGCCTATCAAGCAATAAAACTCCAGGACCAGACGGATTCACAGCCGAATTCTACCAGAAGTACAAGGAGGAGCTGGTACCATTCCTTCGGAAACTATTCCAATCAACAGAAAAAGAGGGAATCCTCCCTATCTCATTTTATGAGGCCAGCATCATCCTGATCCCAAAGGCTGAGAGAGACACAACCAACAAAGAGAATTTTCGGCCCATATCCCTGAGGAACACCGATGGAAAAATCCTCCATAAAATGCTGGCAAACCGAATCCAGCAGCACATCAAAGAGCTTATCCATTATGATCAAGTGGGCTTCATCCCTGACATGCAAGGCTGGTCCAACATATGCAAATCAATAAACATAATCCAGCATATAATCGGAACCAAAGACAGAAACCGCGTGATTATCTCAACAGATGCAGAAAAGGCCTTTGACAAAATTCAACAGCCTTTCATGCCAAAAACTCTCAATAAATTAGGTACTGATGGGACATACCTCAAAATAATAAGGGCTATTTAGGGCAAACCCACAGCCAATATCATACTGAATGGGCAAAAAGTGGAAGCATTCCCTTTGCAAACTGCCACAAGACAGGGGTGCCCTCTCTCACCACTCCTATTCAACATAGTGTTGGAACTTCTGGCCAGGGCAATCAGGCAGGAGAAAGAAATAAAGAGTAATCAATTAGGAAAAGAGGAAGTCAAATTGTCCCTGTTTGTAGATGACATGATTGAATATTTAGAAAAACCCATCGTCTCAGCCCAAAATCTCCTTAAGCTGATAAGCAACTTCAGCAAAGTCTCAGGATACAAAATCGATGTGCAAAAATCACAAGCATTCTTATACACCAATAACAGGCAAACAGAGAGCCAAATCATGACTGAGCTCCCATTCACAATTGCTTCAAAGAGAATAAAATACTGAGGAATCCAACTAACAAGGGATGCGATGTGCGAAGGACCTCTTCAAGGAGAACTACAAACCACTGCTCCACGAAATAAAAGAGGACACAAACCAATGGAAGAATATTCCATGCTCACGGTTAGGAAGAATCAGTATCGTGAAAATGGCCATACTGCCCAAGGTATATTATAGATCCAATGCCATCCCCATCAAGCTACCAAGGACTTTCTTCACAGAATTGGAAAAAACTACTTGAAAGTTTACATGGAACCACAAAAGGGCCCCCACTGCCAAGATAATCCTAAGCCAAAAGAACAAAGTTGGAGGCATCAAGCTACCCGACTTCAAACTACACTACAAGCCTACAGTAACCAAACAGCATGCTGTTGGCTGCCTTTTTGGTTACTGTAGACCAATGGAACAGAATAGAGCCCTCAGAAATAATACGACACATCTACAACCATCGGATCTTTGACAAACCTGACAAAAACAAGAAATGGGGAAAGGATTCCCTATTTAATAAATGGTGCTGGGAAAACTGGCTAGCCATATGTCCGAAGGTGAAATTGGATCCCTTCCTTACACCTTATACAAAAGTTTATTCAAGACGGATGAAAGACTTAAATGTTACATCTTAAGCCATACAAACCCTAGGAGAAAACCTAGGCAATACCATTCAGGACATAGGCATGGGCAAGGACCTCATGTCTAAAACGCCAAAAGCAAAGGCAACAAAAGCCAATATTGACAAACGGCATCTAATTACACTAAAGAGTTTCTGCACAGCTAAAGAAACTCCCATCAGAGTGAACAGGCATGCTACAGAAAGGGAGAAAATTTTTGCAATCTACTCATCTGACAAAGGGCTAATATCCAGAATCTACTAAGAACTCAAACAGAGTTACAAGAAAAACCAAACAACCCCATCAACAAGTGCAGGAAGGATATGAAGAGACACTTCTAAAAAGAAGACATTTATGCAGCCAACAGACACATGAAAAAATGCTCATCAACACTGGTCATCAGAGAAATGCAAATCAAATCCGCAAAGAGATATCGTCTCACACCAGTTAGAATAGCGATCAATAAAAAAGTCAGGAAACAACAGGTGCTGGAGAGGTAGTGGAGAAATAGGGACACTTTTAAACTGCTGGTGGGACTGTAAACCAGTTCAGCGGTTGTGGAAGATAGTGTGGCGAATCCTCAAGGATCTAGAATTAGAAATACCATTTGACCCAGCCGTCCCATTACTGGGTATACACCCATAGGACTATAAATCATGCTGCTAAAAGGACACACGCAGACGTATGTTTATTGCGGCACCGTTCACAGTAGCAAAGACTTGGAACCAGCCCAGATGTCCATCAATGATAGACTGGATTAAGGAAACGTGGCACAAATACACCGTGGAATACTATGCAGCCATAAAAAAGCATGTGTTCATGCCCTTCGGAGGGACACGGATGAAGCTGGAAACCATCATTCTTAGCAAACTATCGCAAGGACAAAAAAACCAAACACCGCGTGATCCCACTCATAGGTGGGAATTGAACTAGGAGAACACTTGGACGCAGAAAGGGGAACATCACACACCGGGGCCTGTCATGGGCGGGGGGAGGGGGAGGGATAACATTAAGAGATATACCTAATGTAAATGACTAGTGAATGGGTGCAGCACACCAACATGGCACGTGCTTACATACGTAATAAACCTGCACGTTGTGCACATGTACCCTAGTAATTAAAGTATAATTTTAAAAAAAATGGAAAACGAAAGTGTGATCCTAATGTCATGGTGCGGACTGAATGAAGCAGCACATGGCAAGCCTTAAAACGATCGCACATAGTAGGTGTTCAATTAATGTTAACTATATTTCTTTTCTATAATAGTTTATAAAGGGAATTCATGAACACTATGTGATTAATCCTTGGAACAACCCAACAGGTAGGTAAATAAAGCCTAATTTTATACCTAAAGAAACCATGCAGCTTAACTTGCCCAAAATAATAATGATTGTAATGAGCACTGGCTGTTGGTTTCTTATGTACTTGGTACTTTGCACGTATTAACCCAGTCAGTCCTCCTAATAGTTGTGAGAGAGATAGCATTCTTATCCCCATTTTACAGATGAGGAACCTGAAGCCCAGGTGATAAGTAGTTTATCCAAGGTATCATAGCTAGAAGTCGGGTGCAGGCAGTCTGGCTCCAGAGCCCCTGCTCTGTCCGCTGACCTAGCTGACTTCCCAAGAGTCAAAGTGGATTCTTCCCCAAGACCAACCAATTACAATGACTGAATCAGTCAGTCAACTTCGAACTGGGCTCCAAGAGAGAACGAACCATCATGCCTCTCTAAATCCTCATTTCTAGTTTGAATCTTCAAGGAGAGATAGACACTAAGTAGCTAGTTTTGCTGGAATGGCTGATTTTATCAATGTTTTCGGTGTGTGAGTGTGTGTGTGTGTATATGTATAGAACTAAATTAAACTGATAATTTGAATGCTTACACTTCCATTAGTTCAATTTGTGTATGTGAGCCCTCACACACATACATACACACACACAAACTGTTCCAGAACAGTGACTTAGTGAAAAACTGGATTTCCACTCTGTCAGACAAATTTCGGAAAGCACTGAAGTAGGGCATTTCTGATTGATTTTACCGTTCCCGGAATTTTATTTTCCTTTATCACTTAGACCCCTTCTGTGGGGATTTAATAAATAAACGTCTTTTGTAGTGTATGTTATTTCATTTTACTTTTATAATTTATATGAATTTTAATTTTAACTTGACAAATAAAAATTATATATATTTATGGCATACAACATGATGTTTCATACGTGTATACATTGTGGAATGACAAAATCAAGCTAATTAACACACTCGTTTCCTCACATACTGATTTTAATGTGATGAGGACATGTCTAAAATCTACTCTTATAGCAATTTTCAAGTATACAATACATACTTATACACTGTAGATGCCAGGCTGTTCAATAGATCTCTAGAACCATTCCTCTCTGAAATTTTGTATCATGAGACTATCATCTCTCCAGTCCCTCCCTGACCCCTGCCTCGGGTAACCACCGTTCTGCTCTCTGCAGCTATGAGTTGCATTGTTTGAGATTGCACATATAAGTGAGATCATGCAGTATTTGTCTTTTTGTGCTTGCTTTTTAAATCTTTATTATGTAATTATTTATTTTTTGAGACAGGGTCTCAGTCTGTCACCCAGGCTGGAGTACAGTGACACAAACACGGCTCACTCACCCACCACGGCCTCCACCTCCCGGGGTCGAGAGTTCCTCCCGCTTCAGCCTCCTGAATAGCTAGGACTACAGGCGTCCAACGCCACACTTGGCTAATTTTTGTGTTTCTTTTAGAGATGGGGTTTCACCATGTTGCCCAGGTTCATCTCCAACTCCTGGGCTCAACGCTTCCACCTGCCTTGGCCTCCCAAAGTACTGGGATTACAGGCATGAGCCACCGTGCCTGGCCTTTGCTTTCTTTCACTCAGTGTACCATCCTCTAGGCTCATTCGTGTTGCCAATGAGATGATTTCTTTCTTTTTTAAGGCTGAATTGTGTTCTATTGGGTATATGTACCGCTTTTCTTTTTATGTTTAATTTTTTTTGGTTTTTTGAGACAGAGTTTCGCTCGCGTCGCCCAGGCTGGAGTGCAGTGGCGTGATTTCGAGTCACTACAACCTCTGCCTCCCAGGTTGAAGTGATTCTCCTGCCTCACCTGAGATTAGAGGCATGTACCGGCATGTCCGGCTAATTTTGTGTTTCTAGTAGAGATGGGGTTTCACCATGTTGGCCAGGCTGGTCTTGAACTCCAACAATTCTAATTCAACTAATTTATTTTATAGAAATATTTATGTGTGAGAAACAATATTTTCAAGAGTCAAAGATTTAAAACTGCTTAATTGTACATCACTAAGTGGCTGGCTAATAAATTATAGTACGTTCATCCTTACGGAAGAATACTTTGCAGCTAAAACAGAACGAAAGAGAGGAAACTCTTCAAAATGTTAACTGGGAATGACGTTCAAGACTTATTGTTAAATAAAACAAATTGAGAAGAAGAGTCGTTTATTGGTACTAAATTTGTGTCAGTAAAAATGGATTCTATACGTGGGATGGTTTATAAGTATGTGGAAAAATTCTTTGATGGTTTTTCCTTGAAAAAGTGAAACCTAAATCCACTCCGTTTGGATGTGGGCCCATTTACGGTTGTTGCTTCCTAAACATAAACTACGTTTAGGCTGATATTTCAGACAATGAAACCTTTGAGTGCCTGTAGCGGGAAGATCTCGGTTGCTGAGTGCAGGGAAGGAGGATGTAATTCCATCATATATACTCTCTGTGCCTACCGCATTTGGAACCATGCGAGTGATACCTATTTATAAAATAACATAAACCAAGCAAAAGTACGAACTTAGCAACACTATATTGAGTTAATAGAACGGTATCTTGTATTTCTTCTGTCCAGGTATACTTATAAATGCCTGCAGGGATTTCACCACCTCAGGGTGGAGAGACTGAATGCTTGTGAGGGAATTAGGATGGTGGAATATTGGTGTTACCAGGGAAGGGGGCGGGATGTTTGAAAATGCTATGTTTACTCGTTCTTGGGTTCCAATAAAGGAGAAACAGGGCACAGGAGTCGGAAGGACTAGTGGCAATAGTGATGAAAGGACCTCCTTATCATGCTGGCAATGTTAATTACCCAGGTGTAGGAAGCCATACACTGAGGCGGAAGATCGCAAGTCAGAGTGGCCGGCAGGCACAACCTCCTGGCACACCAGAGGCAGGTCTTCAATACCCACTGGTTTCCCCAACAGGCTGCGTAAGGGACCCTGAGCCACAGTGAGTTGGTCAAATGCTCCTGACAGTGTGGAGAAACCAACAGGCAAAACGTGGGTGCAAAAGTGAGGAGACCCCGCACTTTACACTCGTGGTGACAATGAAGCTATTAAGTAACAGCTTCTCAACCTATGCTGTTTCCTGTTGGATGCACATAATCCATTTGCACTGCAGACAATTTTAGGATGTGGTTTACAGTAAGGTGGATGGTACCTTATGGCAAAAATCTCTCAGAAATTTATGTGTGGTTTTAAAGTCATTCCAGTCCTAGCACGTTGTGCTTTTCAGAGACGCCATAGCTGTTTTTCCCTTTGTAATATCAAAGCAGTAATATGTTCTCTGGAGGCCTGTTGGGTGAATTTAATGGAATCAAGTTAAGTAGGTGCCAGAACCATTGCTGTTTTCCCTCCATAGCCCTGCCACCCACTGTAAAAAGGTTGATGAGATTACTTAATGATTTCCAATTAAGTTGTATTTCCAAATATCATGATTTCCATTTTAATGTAGTTGGTATGGAGCTCTGTGAGTGTGTGCTTCTTTTATTATGGATCACGTTCAGCTTCTTTTTATTTGCCTCCTAGTCATAATAGTAAAACTCTACTCCTCTACTCCGAGGAGTCCCTACCACCCATCTCATCACTTTCCAGCCCAGCACTCTTCATGCTCATTCATTTAAAGCATTCAACATTGTGTAAATGAATCTTGGAAGGCAAAAGCTACTGAATTTAGCGAATTTGTGGAGGCATTGCCACAAATCAGCCAGGTGAAGTTTCACACAATCGAAGACTGCACAACTCCTAGAAGGCAGCACTATGCTGCAAACCCAGACGGCCACTCTTCTCACCCCTCGTCCGTTTGCTGTTCTGGATAATGAGGTTCAAAAGTCACCTAGGCAACTGCCAAAATAGCTGAAATGGAGAAAGGGCTTCAGGCTGGTGACTAGCAGAGGTCCACCTGACCCCCGTAAGCTGCTGAACAAGTAGGGCTGCCAGAAATGTCCCACTAGGGAATTTGGTAGAGACGAAGACATGCTCACCGGACAAGGGTTCCTCCCAGGATACGCCCGAGCGGAAGAAGCGGGCTCTGAGCCACGCCCTTTCACCCTCCTCTACCCCGCCCTGGGCTGGTGAAGGTGCGCGCCAGGATGTGGACTACTGAGCCCTGAAGAAATAAGTCCTTCCACTTTGACCCCATGGAGGATTGCCTGTGAGGAACTTAAACGAGTCTACCAGTGTCTAGACACGGGGGCAGGTCTGTCCGGCACAGCAGCTCCCTCAAGGAGGAGAAGAGTGAGGAGAAAGGAAACTCAAGTCTCACCATTCTGTCCTGGGAGAGAAGAGGAGGATCTCATCTCTCATCTGTCCAAACAAGGCAAGGAGACTTTCTCTCATCTTTCCAAGCAAGGCAAGGAGACTTTTTATCATTAGGAAACAAAAAGAATTTAGAAGGAATGAAAGCAGCCCGTAAGGTGAATTCCTAAGGACTGCCCATTGAAACTGACAAAATTGCCCTTGTTTGATGAGAGGAATGAGCAGAGCATTGATGTGGTGAACAAGGATCTAGTGAGACTTTCCCAGCATGTTTCTACCAAAGCTTTATCTAAGCTTCTCAGAACACTCTCCTAATAAGCAGATGTTTGGCCTTTCAGAAAGTCAACAAGCAAAATGCCTTGAGTGTCCCAAAACACTGATGCCATGATGTGGGCTCCTGACTGGCCTCCTTTTCCTTTGACTGGACCACTGCCACCTCTTGGTAGCCATCGCTTTCATGATGCTTTGCCTTGGCGATCATATTGGTGAAGCCATGTTCCAACTTCCGCTTACAATTTGTCAGAGGGATGCGTCAGGATCGTGATCCCTCCTGTTTAAAATTTCCACTGATAGCTCTCGTCGTAACTGCAGCTGATCTGGGCACAGTGGTTTTCACAGCCACTGCAGGTTGAAGTGATTCTCCTGCCTCACCTGAGATTAGAGGCATGTACCGGCATGTCCGGCTAATTTTGTGTTTCTAGTAGAGATGGGGTTTCACCATGTTGGCCAGGCTGGTCTTGAACTCCAACAATTCTAATTCAACTAATTTATTTTATAGAAATATTTATGTGTGAGAAACAATATTTTCAAGAGTCAAAGATTTAAAACTGCTTAATTGTACATCACTAAGTGGCTGGCTAATAAATTATAGTACGTTCATCCTTACGGAAGAATACTTTGCAGCTAAAACAGAACGAAAGATAGGAAACTCTTCAAAATGTTAACTGGGAATGACGTTCAAGACTTATTGTTAAATAAAACAAATTGAGAAGAAGAGTCGTTTATTGGTACTAAATTTGTGTCAGTAAAAATGGATTCTATACGTGGGATGGTTTATAAGTATGTGGAAAAATTCTTTGATGGTTTTTCCTTGAAAAAGTGAAACCTAAATCCACTCCGTTTGGATGTGGGACTATTTACGGTTGTTGCTTCCTAAACATAAACTACGTTTAGGCTGATATTTCAGACAATGAAACCTTTGAGTGCCCGTAGCGGGATGATCTCGGTTGGTGAGTGCAGGGAAGGAGGATGTAATTCCATCATATATACTCTCTGTGCCTACCGCATTTGGAACCATGCGAGTGATACGTATTTATAAAATAAAATAAACCAAGCACAAGTACGAACTTAGCAACACTATATTGAGTTAATAGAACGGTATCTTGTATTTCTTCTGTCCAGGTATACTTATAAATGCCTGCAGGGATTTCACCACCTCAGGGTGGAGAGACTGAATGCTTGTGAGGGAATTAGGATGGTGGAATATTGGTGTTACCAGGGAAGGGGGCGGGATGTTTGAAAATGCTATGTTTACTCGTTCTTGGGTTCCAATAAAGGAGAAACAGGGCACAGGAGTCGGAAGGACTAGTGGCAATAGTGATGAAAGGACCTCCTTATCATGCTGGCAATGTTAATTACCCAGGTGTAGGAAGCCATACACTGAGGCGGAAGATCACAAGTCAGAGTGGCCGGCAGGCACAACCTCCTGGCACACCAGAGGCAGGTCTTCAATACCCACTGGTTTCCCCAACAGGCTGCGTAAGGGATCCTGAGCCACAGTGAGTTGGTCAAATGCTCCTGACAGTGTGGAGAAACCAACAGGCAAAACGTGGGTGCAAAAGTGATGAGACCCCACACTTTACACTCGTGGTGACAATGAAGCTATTAAGTAACAGCTTCTCAACCTATGCTGTTTCCTGTTGGATGCACATAATCCATTTGCACTGCAGACAATTTTAGGATGTGGTTTACAGTAAGGTGGATGGTACCTTACGGCAAAAATCTCTCAGAAATTTATGTGTGGTTTTAAAGTCATTCCAGTCCTAGCACGTTGTGCTTTTCAGAGACGCCATAGCTGTTTTTCCCTTTGTAATATCAAAGCAGTAATATGTTCTCTGGAGGCCTGTTGGGTGAATTTAATGGAATCAAGTTAAGTAGGTGCCAGAACCATTGCTGTTTTCCCTCCATAGCCCTGCCACCCACTGTAAAAAGGTTGATGAGATTACTTAATGATTTCCAATTAAGTTGTATTTCCAAATATCATGATTTCCATTTTAATGTAGTTGGTATGGAGCTCTGTGAGTGTGTGCTTCTTTTATTATGGATCACGTTCAGCTTCTTTTTATTTGCCTCCTAGTCATAATAGTAAAACTCTACTCCTCTACTCCGAGGAGTCCCTACCACCCATCTCATCACTTTCCAGCCCAGCACTCTTCATGCTCATTCATTTAAAGCATTCAACATTGTGTAAATGAATCTTGGAAGGCAAAAGCTACTGAATTTAGCGAATTTGTGGAGGCATTGCCACAAATCAGCCAGGTGAAGTTTCACACAATCGAAGACTGCACAACTCCTAGAAGGCAGCACTATGCTGCAAACCCAGACGGCCACTCTTCTCACCCCTCGTCCGTTTGCTGTTCTGGATAATGAGGTTCAAAAGTCACCTAGGCAACTGCCAAAATAGCTGAAATGGAGAAAGGGCTTCAGGCTGGTGACTAGCAGAGGTCCACCTGACCCCCGTAAGCTGCTGAACAAGTAGGGCTGCCAGAAATGTCCCACTAGGGAATTTGGTAGAGACGAAGACATGCTCACCGGACAAGGGTTCCTCCCAGGATACGCCCGAGCGGAAGAAGCGGGCTCTGAGCCACGCCCTTTCACCCTCCTCTACCCCGCCCTGGGCTGGTGAAGGTGCGCGCCAGGATGTGGACTACTGAGCCCTGAAGAAATAAGTCCTTCCACTTTGACCCCATGGAGGATTGCCTGTGAGGAACTTAAACGAGTCTACCAGTGTCTAGACACGGGGGCAGGTCTGTCCGGCACAGCAGCTCCCTCAAGGAGGAGAAGAGTGAGGAGAAAGGAAACTCAAGTCTCACCATTCTGTCCTGGGAGAGAAGAGGAGGATCTCATCTCTCATCTGTCCAAACAAGGCAAGGAGACTTTCTCTCATCTTTCCAAGCAAGGCAAGGAGACTTTTTATCATTAGGAAACAAAAAGAATTTAGAAGGAATGAAAGCAGCCCGTAAGGTGAATTCCTAAGGACTGCCCATTGAAACTGACAAAATTGCCCTTGTTTGATGAGAGGAATGAGCAGAGCATTGATGTGGTGAACAAGGATCTAGTGAGACTTTCCCAGCATGTTTCTACCAAAGCTTTATCTAAGCTTCTCAGAACACTCTCCTAATAAGCAGATGTTTGGCCTTTCAGAAAGTCAACAAGCAAAATGCCTTGAGTGTCCCAAAACACTGATGCCATGATGTGGGCTCCTGACTGGCCTCCTTTTCCTTTGACTGGACCACTGCCACCTCTTGGTAGCCATCGCTTTCATGATGCTTTGCCTTGGCGATCATATTGGTGAAGCCATGTTCCAACTTCCGCTTACAATTTGTCAGAGGGATGCGTCAGGATCGTGATCCCTCCTGTTTAAAATTTCCACTGATAGCTCTCGTCGTAACTGCAGCTGATCTGGGCACAGTGGTTTTCACAGCCACTGCAGGTTGAAGTGATTCTCCTGCCTCACCTGAGATTAGAGGCATGTACCGGCATGTCCGGCTAATTTTGTGTTTCTAGTAGAGATGGGGTTTCACCATGTTGGCCAGGCTGGTCTTGAACTCCAACAATTCTAATTCAACTAATTTATTTTATAGAAATATTTATGTGTGAGAAACAATATTTTCAAGAGTCAAAGATTTAAAACTGCTTAATTGTACATCACTAAGTGGCTGGCTAATAAATTATAGTACGTTCATCCTTACGGAAGAATACTTTGCAGCTAAAACAGAACGAAAGATAGGAAACTCTTCAAAATGTTAACTGGGAATGACGTTCAAGACTTATTGTTAAATAAAACAAATTGAGAAGAAGAGTCGTTTATTGGTACTAAATTTGTGTCAGTAAAAATGGATTCTATACGTGGGATGGTTTATAAGTATGTGGAAAAATTCTTTGATGGTTTTTCCTTGAAAAAGTGAAACCTAAATCCACTCCGTTTGGATGTGGGACTATTTACGGTTGTTGCTTCCTAAACATAAACTACGTTTAGGCTGATATTTCAGACAATGAAACCTTTGAGTGCCCGTAGCGGGATGATCTCGGTTGGTGAGTGCAGGGAAGGAGGATGTAATTCCATCATATATACTCTCTGTGCCTACCGCATTTGGAACCATGCGAGTGATACGTATTTATAAAATAAAATAAACCAAGCACAAGTACGAACTTAGCAACACTATATTGAGTTAATAGAACGGTATCTTGTATTTCTTCTGTCCAGGTATACTTATAAATGCCTGCAGGGATTTCACCACCTCAGGGTGGAGAGACTGAATGCTTGTGAGGGAATTAGGATGGTGGAATATTGGTGTTACCAGGGAAGGGGGCGGGATGTTTGAAAATGCTATGTTTACTCGTTCTTGGGTTCCAATAAAGGAGAAACAGGGCACAGGAGTCGGAAGGACTAGTGGCAATAGTGATGAAAGGACCTCCTTATCATGCTGGCAATGTTAATTACCCAGGTGTAGGAAGCCATACACTGAGGCGGAAGATCACAAGTCAGAGTGGCCGGCAGGCACAACCTCCTGGCACACCAGAGGCAGGTCTTCAATACCCACTGGTTTCCCCAACAGGCTGCGTAAGGGATCCTGAGCCACAGTGAGTTGGTCAAATGCTCCTGACAGTGTGGAGAAACCAACAGGCAAAACGTGGGTGCAAAAGTGATGAGACCCCACACTTTACACTCGTGGTGACAATGAAGCTATTAAGTAACAGCTTCTCAACCTATGCTGTTTCCTGTTGGATGCACATAATCCATTTGCACTGCAGACAATTTTAGGATGTGGTTTACAGTAAGGTGGATGGTACCTTTACGGCAAAAATCTCTCAGAAATTTATGTGTGGTTTTTAAAGTCATTTCCAGTCCTAGCACGTTGTGCTTTTCAGAGACGCCATAGCTGTTTTTCCCTTTGTAATATCAAAGCAGTAATATGTTCTCTGGAGGCCTGTTGGGTGAATTTAATGGAATCAAGTTAAGTAGGTGCCAGAACCATTGCTGTTTTCCCTCCATAGCCCTGCCACCCACTGTAAAAAGGTTGATGAGATTACTTAATGATTTCCAATTAAGTTGTATTTCCAAATATCATGATTTCCATTTTAATGTAGTTGGTATGGAGCTCTGTGAGTGTGTGCTTCTTTTATTATGGATCACGTTCAGCTTCTTTTTATTTGCCTCCTAGTCATAATAGTAAAACTCTACTCCTCTACTCCGAGGAGTCCCTACCACCCATCTCATCACTTTCCAGCCCAGCACTCTTCATGCTCATTCATTTAAAGCATTCAACATTGTGTAAATGAATCTTGGAAGGCAAAAGCTACTGAATTTAGCGAATTTGTGGAGGCATTGCCACAAATCAGCCAGGTGAAGTTTCACACAATCGAAGACTGCACAACTCCTAGAAGGCAGCACTATGCTGCAAACCCAGACGGCCACTCTTCTCACCCCTCGTCCGTTTGCTGTTCTGGATAATGAGGTTCAAAAGTCACCTAGGCAACTGCCAAAATAGCTGAAATGGAGAAAGGGCTTCAGGCTGGTGACTAGCAGAGGTCCACCTGACCCCCGTAAGCTGCTGAACAAGTAGGGCTGCCAGAAATGTCCCACTAGGGAATTTGGTAGAGACGAAGACATGCTCACCGGACAAGGGTTCCTCCCAGGATACGCCCGAGCGGAAGAAGCGGGCTCTGAGCCACGCCCTTTCACCCTCCTCTACCCCGCCCTGGGCTGGTGAAGGTGCGCGCCAGGATGTGGACTACTGAGCCCTGAAGAAATAAGTCCTTCCACTTTGACCCCATGGAGGATTGCCTGTGAGGAACTTAAACGAGTCTACCAGTGTCTAGACACGGGGGCAGGTCTGTCCGGCACAGCAGCTCCCTCAAGGAGGAGAAGAGTGAGGAGAAAGGAAACTCAAGTCTCACCATTCTGTCCTGGGAGAGAAGAGGAGGATCTCATCTCTCATCTGTCCAAACAAGGCAAGGAGACTTTCTCTCATCTTTCCAAGCAAGGCAAGGAGACTTTTTATCATTAGGAAACAAAAAGAATTTAGAAGGAATGAAAGCAGCCCGTAAGGTGAATTCCTAAGGACTGCCCATTGAAACTGACAAAATTGCCCTTGTTTGATGAGAGGAATGAGCAGAGCATTGATGTGGTGAACAAGGATCTAGTGAGACTTTCCCAGCATGTTTCTACCAAAGCTTTATCTAAGCTTCTCAGAACACTCTCCTAATAAGCAGATGTTTGGCCTTTCAGAAAGTCAACAAGCAAAATGCCTTGAGTGTCCCAAAACACTGATGCCATGATGTGGGCTCCTGACTGGCCTCCTTTTCCTTTGACTGGACCACTGCCACCTCTTGGTAGCCATCGCTTTCATGATGCTTTGCCTTGGCGATCATATTGGTGAAGCCATGTTCCAACTGCCGCTTACAATTTGTCAGAGGGATGCGTCAGGATCGTGATCCCTCCTGTTTAAAATTTCCACTGATAGCTCTCGTCGTAACTGCAGCTGATCTGGGCACAGTGGTTTTCACAGCCACTGCAGGATTCATCTTCCACATCTTCTCACCTCTTCTTGAAACAAGCTATACATTCGTAAAGAGTTCATTTCTTTGGGGTAGTGTCCTTACAAGCTTTTCTTAAAACGTCAATGATTTCTTCAATCTTCCACCCAAGCTTCACCATAAATTTGATGTTTCCTCTTGCTGCAATTTTCGTGGAATTCATGTTGCTCTGATGGGAGTCCTTTTCAGTGGATGTCTCATCCTTCTTAGTGCCTCAAACTAGATCTAGTTCAGAAAGGTTATCAGAAGTTAGGACAAGTTTATTTTAGTGCAAACCAGTGGAAATCCATGCATAGTTTCTTCACCATGTGCATTTTCTATGAACCTTTGGAAGACCACCTGTGTTGAACATTGCCCAAGTCCTGGGAGAGAAGTGGGTGCGGTCCGCTTCCTGTCCTCAATTTGCCCGCAGCGGCGGAGTGCACAGAGCAGGGAAAGGCAGCCCCAGAGGGATCCCGCCCTCCAGCATGCAGCAGACTGCTGGCCCAGTCCTGGCTCCAAGGAGTGCTGTGTGGGCCCAAGCAAGTTGACCAACCTCCCTGAACCTTAATTTAATCCTAGGTAGCCCAATTCCAGTAGCCATTATAGGACTGCCCTGCAGGGACAGTTACTTAACTCAGGAAAAGCAACCTAGCTCCAAGTTTAGCAACCGGGAGTTCCAGTTGATTCCATTAGCGCACCCCCTGAGGCATTCCCAAGCTGGAGTCTGGTGGAAGATGAGGCTCAGTGTGATTGGACTGAAGCACCAACCTATCAAGGAGAAGTCCCACCCAGTCTGCCCTGTGCCTATATAAAGGCGACAAGTGGCGGCCGCAGCACTCATTGAAGCCGCCAGTTGGGAGAGGAGCAGAGCCAGGCCGGTGCTCCCGAAGGCAGCAAGATGTTGCGAGCCACAGCTCCCTGCTGGTTCCCCCCTGGATACCCAGAAGCTAAGAAGGTGGCCGAGGAGGCGGCCCTGGAGGCAAGCCGCCATTTGGGAGGGGAGCAGAGCCAGGCCGGTGCTCCCGAAGGCAGCAAGATGTTGCGAGCCACAGCTCCCTGCTGGTTCCGCCCTGGATACCCAGAAGCTAAGAAGGTGGCCAAGGAGGCGGCCCCGGAGGCAAGCCGCCATTTGGGAGCGGAGCAGAGCCCGGCCGGTGCTCCCGAAGGCAGCAAGATGTTGCGAGCCACAGCTCCCTGCTGGTTCCCACCTGGATACCCAGAAGCTAAGAAGGTGGCCGAGGAGGCGGCCCTCGAGGCTCCAGAATTCCCACTGCCCTCTCATCAGCCTGCCCAGAGCTTCGGGCTCTGGGTGCCCCAGATGCACAAGCAGGCCTCAGCATTTGTGGACATCCAGGCGGAGCCCCAGAACAGGGGTCCGGCGGTGCCCCCAGCGTGGCCCAAGATGGTGACGGAGTCGTGCTACTTCCCTGCGCAGAGGGGATCGGCCTGCCGCTTGCCAGCCGCCCCAAGGCTGACAGAGAGGCCCTCGGGAGTCCGCATCTCAGCCCCCAGGAAGAGGAAGACGATCGCCCACTCTTCCAGCCCTTGCTTGGTCACAGGTTACACAGATGCCAAGAGAACCCGGGTGGCCAGCAGCAGCCAACGCTCCCGTGGCTCCAAGGTCGGCAGACAGCCAGGGAAGACGCGCAACAGGTCAGGGATGGCATGCAAGACCACCGCCACCACCAGCTCTAAGCGAATCGTCCGTCGTGCATCCTTACCGAGTTTGAGTTTGAAGAAACCCATTATCCTCCGAAGCTCTGGGTGCCAAGTCCCCACCGTCCTCCGCCGAGGCTATCTCCAGCTGTTCACCGAAGAGTGTCTCAAGTTCTGCGCCTCCAAGCAGGAGGCCGAGGAGAAGGCGCTGAACGAGGAGAAGGTGGCCTACGACTGCAGCCCCAACAAGAACAGGTACCTGAACGTGGTCCTGAACACCCTCAAGAGACTGAAGGGCCTGACCCCCAGCTCCATGCCCGGCCTCAGCAGGGCCGCCCTGTACAGCCGCCTCCAGGAGTTCCTGCTCACCCAGGACCAGCTCAAGGAGAACGGCTACCCCTTCCCGCACCCCGAGCGGCCCGGAGGCGCCGTCCTCTTCACTGGCCAGGGGAAGGGGCCCGGCGACTCCTCCTGCAGGGTCTGCTGCCGTTGTGGCACCGAGTACCTGGTGTCCTCCTCGGGCCGCTGTGTACGCGACCAGTTGTGTTATTATCACTGGGGGCGGGTCCGCTCGAGCCAGGTGGCTGGAGGCCGGGTTAGCCAGTACACCTGCTGTGCAGCTGCTCCTGGCTCTGTGGGCTGCCAGGTGGCAAAGCAGCACGTGCGGGACGGCCGCAAGGAGAGCCTCGATGGCTTCGTGGAGACCTTCAAGAAAGAGTTGTCCAGAGACGCTTATCCAGGAATCTACGCCTTGGACTGTGAGATGTGCTACACCACGCATGGCCTAGAGCTGACCCGCGTCACCGTGGTGGACGCCGACATGCGAGTGGTGTACGACACCTTCGTCAAGCCCGACAACGAGATCGTGGACTACAACACCAGGTTTTCCGGAGTCACCGAGGCCGACGTCGCCAAGACGAGCATCACGTTGCCCCAAGTCCAAGCCATCCTGCTGAGCTTTTTCAGCGCCCAAACCATCCTCATCGGGCACAGCCTGGAGAGCGACCTGCTGGCCCTGAAGCTCATCCACAGCACCGTGGTGGACACGGCCGTGCTCTTCCCGCACTACCTGGGTTTCCCCTACAAGCGCTCCCTCAGGAATCTCGCGGCCGACTACCTGGCACAGATCATCCAGGACAGCCAGGACGGCCACAACTCCAGCGAGGACGCAAACGCCTGCCTGCAGCTGGTGATGTGGAAGGTCCGACAGCGCGCCCAGATCCAGCCACGCCACCGGTCCGCCTCTCCCGCCGCCCTGGCCTGTCCTTAGCCCCAGGCCTCTTCCAAAACCGCCATCAGTCCCGAGAGCTCACCCTGCCCACCTCGCCGCAAAGCGAAAGAAACTGGAGCAGCCGGCGGCAGGAGAGGGCAAAAAGCCAAGAGTAACCCCAACCCCCCACTCCCGGTCCCCCGGAATCCCTGCCGCGGCCCCTCGGGCCTGTCCACATCCCTCTGCCCCTCCCAGACCTCTGTCCTTCCACCAATCGCCTCCCGCAGCCCCGAGCCGCCACTCCCAGTCCCCCGAGTCCCTGCCGCGCGCCCTCGCGCCTGTCCACATCCCTCTGCCCATCCGAGACCTCTGTCCTTACACCACTAGCCACCCCACGTGGGACTTCCATGGCTTCTGAGTACAAGGCCAGCCCCCCGGCCCACCAGCTTTCGGAATGCCTGCTTACCTCTTTTTCTGTAGAGGCACCACAGGGAGGTGGGTGAAGCACTTCGGCTCTGGAGTTACAGATCTGGGTTCAAGGCCAAATTCCACCACTTACTAGGTTTGTAATATTGGACAGATAACGTCTTTGCGCTTCTACCTTTTGGTCTTTAAAGTGTGATCAAAAGAGACTTAGACTCCCACATAGTAATAATAATAATAATGGCAAACTTAACACCCCACTGTCAACATTAGACACACCAACGAGACAGAAAGTTAAAAAAGGATATCCGGGAATTGAGCTCAGCTCTGCACCAAGCGGACCTAGGAGACATCTACAGAACGCTCCACCCCAAATCAACAGAATATACATTCTTCTCAGCACCACATCACACTTATTTCCACATTGACCACATAGTTGGAAGTAAAGCACTCCTCAGTAAAAGTAAAATAACAGAAATTATTACAAACGGTCTCTCAGACCACATTGCAATCACACTAGACCTCAGGATTGAGAAACTCACTCAAAACCGCACAACTGCATGGAAACCGGACAAGCTGTTCCTGAATGAGTACTGGGTACATAACGAAATGAAGGCAGAAATAGAGATATTCTCTGAAAGCAATGAGAACAAAGACACAACATACCAGAATCTCTGGGACACATTTAAAGCAGTGTGTAGAGGGAAATTTATAGCACTAAATGCCCACAAGGGAAAGGAGGAAAGATCAAAAATGCATACCCTAACATCACCATTAAAAGGATGAGAGAAGCAAGAGCAAACACATTCAAAAGCTAGCAGAAGGCAAGAAATAACTAAGATCCGAGCAGAACTGAAGGAGATAGAGACCCAAAAAACCCTTCAAAAAATCAATGAATCCAGGAGCGGGTTTTTTGAAACCATCAACAAAATTGATAGACCACTAGCAAGACTATTAAAGAATGAAAGGAAGAAGAATCAAGCAGATGCAATAAAAAATGATAAAGGGGATATCACCACTGATCCCACAGAAGTACAAACTACCATGAGAGAATACTGTCAACACCTCTAGGCAAACAAACTCGAAAATCTAGAAGAAATGAATAAATTCCTGGACACATGCAACCTCCCCAGAGTAAACCAGGAAGAAGTTGAATGCCTGAATAGACCAATAACAGGCTCTGAAATTGAGGCAATAATTAATAGCCTATCAAGCAATAAAACTCCAGGACCAGACGGATTCACAGCCGAATTCTACCAGAAGTACAAGGAGGAGCTGGTACCATTCCTTCGGAAACTATTCCAATCAACAGAAAAAGAGGGAATCCTCCCTATCTCATTTTATGAGGCCAGCATCATCCTGATCCCAAAGGCTGAGAGAGACACAACCAACAAAGAGAATTTTCGGCCCATATCCCTGAGGAACACCGATGGAAAAATCCTCCATAAAATGCTGGCAAACCGAATCCAGCAGCACATCAAAGAGCTTATCCATTATGATCAAGTGGGCTTCATCCCTGACATGCAAGGCTGGTCCAACATATGCAAATCAATAAACATAATCCAGCATATAATCGGAACCAAAGACAGAAACCGCGTGATTATCTCAACAGATGCAGAAAAGGCCTTTGACAAAATTCAACAGCCTTTCATGCCAAAAACTCTCAATAAATTAGGTACTGATGGGACATACCTCAAAATAATAAGGGCTATTTAGGGCAAATCCAGTTTTTCACTAAGTCACTGTTCTGGAACAGTTTGTGTGTGTGTATGTATGTGTGTGAGGGCTCACATACACAAATTGAACTAATGGAAGTGTAAGCATTCAAATTATCAGTTTAATTTAGTTCTATACATATACACACACACACACTCACACACCGAAAACATTGATAAAATCAGCCATTCCAGCAAAACTAGCTACTTAGTGTCTATCTCTCCTTGAAGATTCAAACTAGAAATGAGGATTTAGAGAGGCATGATGGTTCGTTCTCTCTTGGAGCCCAGTTCGAAGTTGACTGACTGATTCAGTCATTGTAATTGGTTGGTCTTGGGGAAGAATCCACTTTGACTCTTGGGAAGTCAGCTAGGTCAGCGGACAGAGCAGGGGCTCTGGAGCCAGACTGCCTGCACCCGACTTCTAGCTATGATAACTTGGATAACCTACTTATCACCTGGGCTTCAGGTTCCTCATCTGTAAAATGGGGATAAGAATGCTATCTCTCTCACAACTGTTAGGAGGACTGACTGGGTTAATACGTGCAAAGTACCAAGTACATAAGAAACCAACAGCCAGTGCTCATTACAATCATTATTATTTTGGGCAAGTTAAGCCGCATGGTTTCTTTAGGTATAAAATTAGGCTTTATTTACCTACCTGTTGGGTTGTTCCAAGGATTAATCACATAGTGTTCATGAATTCCCTTTATAAACTATTATACAAAAGAAATATAGTTAACATTAATTGAACACCTACTATGTGCGATCGTTTTAAGGCTTGCCATGTGCTGCTTCATTCAGTCCGCACCATGACATTAGGATCACACTTTCGTTTTCCATTTTTTTTTAAATTATACTTTAATTACTAGGGTACATGTGCACAACGTGCAGGTTTATTACGTATGTAAGCACGTGCCATGTTGGTGTGCTGCACCCATTCACTAGTCATTTACATTAGGTATATCTCTTAATGTTATCCCTCCCCCTCCCCCCGCCCATGACAGGCCCCGGTGTGTGATGTTCCCCTTTCTGCGTCCAAGTGTTCTCCTAGTTCAATTCCCACCTATGAGTGGGATCACGCGGTGTTTGGTTTTTTTGTCCTTGCGATAGTTTGCTAAGAATGATGGTTTCCAGCTTCATCCGTGTCCCTCCGAAGGGCATGAACACATGCTTTTTTATGGCTGCATAGTATTCCACGGTGTATTTGTGCCACGTTTCCTTAATCCAGTCTATCATTGATGGACATCTGGGCTGGTTCCAAGTCTTTGCTACTGTGAACGGTGCCGCAATAAACATGCGTCTGCGTGTGTCCTTTTAGCAGCATGATTTATAGTCGTATGGGTGTATACCCAGTAATGGGACGGCTGGGTCAAATGGTATTTCTAATTCTAGATCCTTGAGGATTCGCCACACTATCTTCCACAACCGCTGAACTGGTTTACAGTCCCACCAGCAGTGTAAAAGTGTTCCTATTTCTCCACTACCTCTCCAGCACCTGTTGTTTCCTGACTTTTTTATTGATCGCTATTCTAACTGGTGTGAGACGATATCTCTTTGCGGATTTGATTTGCATTTCTCTGATGATCAGTGTTGATGGGCATTTTTTCATGTGTCTGTTGGCTGCATAAATGTCTTCTTTTTAGAAGTGTCTCTTCATATCCTTCCCGCACTTGTTGATGGGGTTGTTTGGTTTTTCTTGTAACTCTGTTTGAGTTCTTAGTAGATTCTGGATATTAGCCCTTTGTCAGATGAGTAGATTGCAAAAATTTTCTCCCTTTCTGTAGCATGCCTGTTCACTCTGATGGGAGTTTCTTTAGCTGTGCAGAAACTCTTTAGTGTAATTAGATGCCGTTTGTCAATATTGGCTTTTGTTGCCTTTGCTTTTGGCGTTTTAGACATGAGGTCCTTGCTCATACCTATGTCCTGAATGGTATTGCCTAGGTTTTCTCCTAGGGTTTGTATGGCTTAAGATGTAACATTTAAGTCTTTCATCCGTCTTGAATAAACTTTTGCATAAGGTGTAAGGAAGGGATCCAATTTCACCTTTGGACATATGGCTAGCCAGTTTTCCCAGCACCATTTATTAAATAGGGAATCCTTTCCCCATTTCTTGTTTTTGTCAGGTTTGTCAAAGATCCGACGGTTGTAGATGTGTCGTATTATTTCTGAGGGCTCTATTCTGTTCCATTGGTCTACAGTAACCAAAAAGGCAACCAACAGCATGCTGTTTGGTTACTGTAGGCTTGTAGTGTAGTTTGAAGTCGGGTAGCTTGATGCCTCCACCTTTGTTCTTTTGGCTTAGGATTATCTTGGCAGTGGGGGCCCTTTTGTGGTTCCATGTAAACTTTCAAGTAGTTTTTTCCAATTCTGTGAAGAAAGTCCTTGGTAGCTTGATGGGGATGGCATTGGATCTATAATATACCTTGGGCAGTATGGCCATTTTCACGATACTGATTCTTCCTAACCGTGAGCATGGAATATTCTTCCATTGGTTTGTGTCCTCTTTTATTTCGTGGAGCAGTGGTTTGTAGTTCTCCTTGAAGAGGTCCTTCGCACATCGCATCCCTTGTTAGTTGGATTCCTCAGTATTTTATTCTCTTTGAAGCAATTGTGAATGGGAGCTCAGTCATGATTTGGCTCTCTGTTTGCCTGTTATTGGTGTATAAGAATGCTTGTGATTTTTGCACATCGATTTTGTATCCTGAGACTTTGCTGAAGTTGCTTATCAGCTTAAGGAGATTTTGGGCTGAGACGATGGGTTTTTCTAAATATTCAATCGTGTCATCTACAAACAGGGACAATTTGACTTCCTCTTTTCCTAATTGATTACTCTTTATTTCTTTCTCCTGCCTGATTGCCCTGGCCAGAAGTTCCAACACTATGTTGAATAGGAGTGGTGAGAGAGGGCACCCCTGTCTTGTGGCAGTTTGCAAAGGGAATGCTTCCACTTTTTGCCCATTCAGTATGATATTGGCTGTGGGTTTGCCCTAAATAGCCCTTATTATTTTGAGGTATGTCCCATCAGTACCTAATTTATTGAGAGTTTTTGGCATGAAAGGCTGTTGAATTTTGTCAAAGGCCTTTTCTGCATCTGTTGAGATAATCACGCGGTTTCTGTCTTTGGTTCCGATTATATGCTGGATTATGTTTATTGATTTGCATATGTTGGACCAGCCTTGCATGTCAGGGATGAAGCCCACTTGATCATAATGGATAAGCTCTTTGATGTGCTGCTGGATTCGGTTTGCCAGCATTTTATGGAGGATTTTTCCATCGGTGTTCCTCAGGGATATGGGCCGAAAATTCTCTTTGTTGGTTGTGTCTCTCTCAGCCTTTGGGATCAGGATGATGCTGGCCTCATAAAATGAGATAGGGAGGATTCCCTCTTTTTCTGTTGATTGGAATAGTTTCCGAAGGAATGGTACCAGCTCCTCCTTGTACTTCTGGTAGAATTCGGCTGTGAATCCGTCTGGTCCTGGAGTTTTATTGCTTGATAGGCTATTAATTATTGCCTCAATTTCAGAGCCTGTTATTGGTCTATTCAGGCATTCAACTTCTTCCTGGTTTACTCTGGGGAGGTTGCATGTGTCCAGGAATTTATTCATTTCTTCTAGATTTCCGAGTTTGTTTGCCTAGAGGTGTTGACAGTATTCTCTCATGGTAGTTTGTACTTCTGTGGGATCAGTGGTGATATCCCCTTTATCATTTTTTATTGCATCTGCTTGATTCTTCTTCCTTTCATTCTTTAATAGTCTTGCTAGTGGTCTATCAATTTTGTTGATGGTTTCAAAAAACCCGCTCCTGGATTCATTGATTTTTTGAAGGGTTTTTTGGGTCTCTATCTCCTTCAATTCTGCTCGGATCTTAGTTATTTCTTGCCTTCTGCTAGCTTTTGAATGTGTTTGCTCTTGCTTCTCTCATCCTTTTAATGGTGATGTTAGGGTATGCATTTTTGATCTTTCCTCCTTTCCCTTGTGGGCATTTAGTGCTATAAATTTCCCTCTACACACTGCTTTAAATGTGTCCCAGAGATTCTGGTATGTTGTGTCTTTGTTCTCATTGCTTTCAGAGAATATCTTTATTTCTGCCTTCATTTCGTTATGTACCCAGTACTCATTCAGGAACAGCTTGTCCGGTTTCCATGCAGTTGTGCGGTTTTGAGTGAGTTTCTCAATCCTGAGGTCTAGTGTGATTGCAATGTGGTCTGAGAGACCGTTTGTAATAATTTCTGTTATTTTACTTTTACTGAGGAGTGCTTTACTTCCAACTATGTGGTCAATGTGGAAATAAGTGTGATGTGGTGCTGAGAAGAATGTATATTCTGTTGATTTGGGGTGGAGCGTTCTGTAGATGTCTCCTAGGTCCGCTTGGTGCAGAGCTGAGCTCAATTCCCGGATATCCTTTTTTAACTTTCTGTCTCGTTGGTGTGTCTAATGTTGACAGTGGGGTGTTAAGTTTGCCATTATTATTATTATTACTATGTGGGAGTCTAAGTCTCTTTTGATCACACTTTAAAGACCAAAAGGTAGAAGCGCAAAGACGTTATCTGTCCAATATTACAAACCTAGTAAGTGGTGGAATTTGGCCTTGAACCCAGATCTGTAACTCCAGAGCCGAAGTGCTTCACCCACCTCCCTGTGGTGCCTCTACAGAAAAAGAGGTAAGCAGGCATTCCGAAAGCTGGTGGGCCGGGGGGCTGGCCTTGTACTCAGAAGCCATGGAAGTCCCACGTGGGGTGGCTAGTGGTGTAAGGACAGAGGTCTCGGATGGGCAGAGGGATGTGGACAGGCGCGAGGGCGCGCGGCAGGGACTCGGGGGACTGGGAGTGGCGGCTCGGGGCTGCGGGAGGCGATTGGTGGAAGGACAGAGGTCTGGGAGGGGCAGAGGGATGTGGACAGGCCCGAGGGGCCGCGGCAGGGATTCCGGGGGACCGGGAGTGGGGGGTTGGGGTTACTCTTGGCTTTTTGCCCTCTCCTGCCGCCGGCTGCTCCAGTTTCTTTCGCTTTGCGGCGAGGTGGGCAGGGTGAGCTCTCGGGACTGATGGCGGTTTTGGAAGAGGCCTGGGGCTAAGGACAGGCCAGGGCGGCGGGAGAGGCGGACCGGTGGCGTGGCTGGATCTGGGCGCGCTGTCGGACCTTCCACATCACCAGCTGCAGGCAGGCGTTTGCGTCCTCGCTGGAGTTGTGGCCGTCCTGGCTGTCCTGGATGATCTGTGCCAGGTAGTCGGCCGCGAGATTCCTGAGGGAGCGCTTGTAGGGGAAACCCAGGTAGTGCGGGAAGAGCACGGCCGTGTCCACCACGGTGCTGTGGATGAGCTTCAGGGCCAGCAGGTCGCTCTCCAGGCTGTGCCCGATGAGGATGGTTTGGGCGCTGAAAAAGCTCAGCAGGATGGCTTGGACTTGGGGCAACGTGATGCTCGTCTTGGCGACGTCGGCCTCGGTGACTCCGGAAAACCTGGTGTTGTAGTCCACGATCTCGTTGTCGGGCTTGACGAAGGTGTCGTACACCACTCGCATGTCGGCGTCCACCACGGTGACGCGGGTCAGCTCTAGGCCATGCGTGGTGTAGCACATCTCACAGTCCAAGGCGTAGATTCCTGGATAAGCGTCTCTGGACAACTCTTTCTTGAAGGTCTCCACGAAGCCATCGAGGCTCTCCTTGCGGCCGTCCCGCACGTGCTGCTTTGCCACCTGGCAGCCCACAGAGCCAGGAGCAGCTGCACAGCAGGTGTACTGGCTAACCCGGCCTCCAGCCACCTGGCTCGAGCGGACCCGCCCCCAGTGATAATAACACAACTGGTCGCGTACACAGCGGCCCGAGGAGGACACCAGGTACTCGGTGCCACAACGGCAGCAGACCCTGCAGGAGGAGTCGCCGGGCCCCTTCCCCTGGCCAGTGAAGAGGACGGCGCCTCCGGGCCGCTCGGGGTGCGGGAAGGGGTAGCCGTTCTCCTTGAGCTGGTCCTGGGTGAGCAGGAACTCCTGGAGGCGGCTGTACAGGGCGGCCCTGCTGAGGCCGGGCATGGAGCTGGGGGTCAGGCCCTTCAGTCTCTTGAGGGTGTTCAGGACCACGTTCAGGTACCTGTTCTTGTTGGGGCTGCAGTCGTAGGCCACCTTCTCCTCGTTCAGCGCCTTCTCCTCGGCCTCCTGCTTGGAGGCGCAGAACTTGAGACACTCTTCGGTGAACAGCTGGAGATAGCCTCGGCGGAGGACGGTGGGGACTTGGCACCCAGAGCTTCGGAGGATAATGGGTTTCTTCAAACTCAAACTCGGTAAGGATGCACGACGGACGATTCGCTTAGAGCTGGTGGTGGCGGTGGTCTTGCATGCCATCCCTGACCTGTTGCGCGTCTTCCCTGGCTGTCTGCCGACCTTGGAGCCACGGGAGCGTTGGCTGCTGCTGGCCACCCGGGTTCTCTTGGCATCTGTGTAACCTGTGACCAAGCAAGGGCTGGAAGAGTGGGCGATCGTCTTCCTCTTCCTGGGGGCTGAGATGCGGACTCCCGAGGGCCTCTCTGTCAGCCTTGGGGCGGCTGGCAAGCGGCAGGCCGATCCCCTCTGCGCAGGGAAGTAGCACGACTCCGTCACCATCTTGGGCCACGCTGGGGGCACCGCCGGACCCCTGTTCTGGGGCTCCGCCTGGATGTCCACAAATGCTGAGGCCTGCTTGTGCATCTGGGGCACCCAGAGCCCGAAGCTCTGGGCAGGCTGATGAGAGGGCAGTGGGAATTCTGGAGCCTCGAGGGCCGCCTCCTCGGCCACCTTCTTAGCTTCTGGGTATCCAGGTGGGAACCAGCAGGGAGCTGTGGCTCGCAACATCTTGCTGCCTTCGGGAGCACCGGCCGGGCTCTGCTCCGCTCCCAAATGGCGGCTTGCCTCCGGGGCCGCCTCCTTGGCCACCTTCTTAGCTTCTGGGTATCCAGGGCGGAACCAGCAGGGAGCTGTGGCTCGCAACATCTTGCTGCCTTCGGGAGCACCGGCCTGGCTCTGCTCCCCTCCCAAATGGCGGCTTGCCTCCAGGGCCGCCTCCTCGGCCACCTTCTTAGCTTCTGGGTATCCAGGGGGGAACCAGCAGGGAGCTGTGGCTCGCAACATCTTGCTGCCTTCGGGAGCACCGGCCTGGCTCTGCTCCTCTCCCAACTGGCGGCTTCAATGAGTGCTGCGGCCGCCACTTGTCGCCTTTATATAGGCACAGGGCAGACTGGGTGGGACTTCTCCTTGATAGGTTGGTGCTTCAGTCCAATCACACTGAGCCTCATCTTCCACCAGACTCCAGCTTGGGAATGCCTCGGGGGGTGCGCTAATGGAATCAACTGGAACTCCCGGTTGCTAAACTTGGAGCTAGGTTGCTTTTCCTGAGTTAAGTAACTGTCCCTGCAGGGCAGTCCTATAATGGCTACTGGAATTGGGCTACCTAGGATTAAATTAAGGTTCAGGGAGGTTGGTCAACTTGCTTGGGCCCACACAGCACCCCTTGGAGCCAGGACTGGGCCAGCAGTCTGCTGCATGCTGGAGGGCGGGATCCCTCTGGGGCTGCCTTTCCCTGCTCTGTGCACTCCGCCGCTGCGGGCAAATTGAGGACAGGAAGCGGACCGCACCCACTTCTCTCCCAGGACTTGGGCAATGTTCAACACAGGTGGTCTTCCAAAGGTTCATAGAAAATGCACATGGTGAAGAAACTATGCATGGATTTCCACTGGTTTGCACTAAAATAAACTTGTCCTAACTTCTGATAACCTTTCTGAACTAGATCTAGTTTGAGGCACTAAGAAGGATGAGACATCCACTGAAAAGGACTCCCGTCAGAGCAACATGAATTCCACGAAAATTGCAGCAAGAGGAAACATCAAATTTATGGTGAAGCTTGGGTGGAAGATTGAAGAAATCATTGACGTTTTAAGAAAAGCTTGTAAGGACACTACCCCAAAGAAATGAACTCTTTACGAATGTATAGCTTGTTTCAAGAAGAGGTGAGAAGATGTGGAAGATGAATCCTGCAGTGGCTGTGAAAACCACTGTGCCCAGATCAGCTGCAGTTACGACGAGAGCTATCAGTGGAAATTTTAAACAGGAGGGATCACGATCCTGACGCATCCCTCTGACAAATTGTAAGCGGCAGTTGGAACATGGCTTCACCAATATGATCGCCAAGGCAAAGCATCATGAAAGCGATGGCTACCAAGAGGTGGCAGTGGTCCAGTCAAAGGAAAAGGAGGCCAGTCAGGAGCCCACATCATGGCATCAGTGTTTTGGGACACTCAAGGCATTTTGCTTGTTGACTTTCTGAAAGGCCAAACATCTGCTTATTAGGAGAGTGTTCTGAGAAGCTTAGATAAAGCTTTGGTAGAAACATGCTGGGAAAGTCTCACTAGATCCTTGTTCACCACATCAATGCTCTGCTCATTCCTCTCATCAAACAAGGGCAATTTTGTCAGTTTCAATGGGCAGTCCTTAGGAATTCACCTTACGGGCTGCTTTCATTCCTTCTAAATTCTTTTTGTTTCCTAATGATAAAAAGTCTCCTTGCCTTGCTTGGAAAGATGAGAGAAAGTCTCCTTGCCTTGTTTGGACAGATGAGAGATGAGATCCTCCTCTTCTCTCCCAGGACAGAATGGTGAGACTTGAGTTTCCTTTCTCCTCACTCTTCTCCTCCTTGAGGGAGCTGCTGTGCCGGACAGACCTGCCCCCGTGTCTAGACACTGGTAGACTCGTTTAAGTTCCTCACAGGCAATCCTCCATGGGGTCAAAGTGGAAGGACTTATTTCTTCAGGGCTCAGTAGTCCACATCCTGGCGCGCACCTTCACCAGCCCAGGGCGGGGTAGAGGAGGGTGAAAGGGCGTGGCTCAGAGCCCGCTTCTTCCGCTCGGGCGTATCCTGGGAGGAACCCTTGTCCGGTGAGCATGTCTTCGTCTCTACCAAATTCCCTAGTGGGACATTTCTGGCAGCCCTACTTCTTCAGCAGCTTACGGGGGTCAGGTGGACCTCTGCTAGTCACCAGCCTGAAGCCCTTTCTCCATTTCAGCTATTTTGGCAGTTGCCTAGGTGACTTTTGAACCTCATTATCCAGAACAGCAAACGGACGAGGGGTGAGAAGAGTGGCCGTCTGGGTTTGCAGCATAGTGCTGCCTTCTAGGAGTTGTGCAGTCTTCGATTGTGTGAAACTTCACCTGGCTGATTTGTGGCAATGCCTCCACAAATTCGCTAAATTCAGTAGCTTTTGCCTTCCAAGATTCATTTACACAATGTTGAATGCTTTAAATGAATGAGCATGAAGAGTGCTGGGCTGGAAAGTGATGAGATGGGTGGTAGGGACTCCTCGGAGTAGAGGAGTAGAGTTTTACTATTATGACTAGGAGGCAAATAAAAAGAAGCTGAACGTGATCCATAATAAAAGAAGCACACACTCACAGAGCTCCATACCAACTACATTAAAATGGAAATCATGATATTTGGAAATACAACTTAATTGGAAATCATTAAGTAATCTCATCAACCTTTTTACAGTGGGTGGCAGGGCTATGGAGGGAAAACAGCAATGGTTCTGGCACCTACTTAACTTGATTCCATTAAATTCACCCAACAGGCCTCCAGAGAACATATTACTGCTTTGATATTACAAAGGGAAAAACAGCTATGGCGTCTCTGAAAAGCACAACGTGCTAGGACTGGAATGACTTTAAAACCACACATAAATTTCTGAGAGATTTTTGCCGTAAGGTACCATCCACCTTACTGTAAACCACATCCTAAAATTGTCTGCAGTGCAAATGGATTATGTGCATCCAACAGGAAACAGCATAGGTTGAGAAGCTGTTACTTAATAGCTTCATTGTCACCACGAGTGTAAAGTGTGGGGTCTCATCACTTTTGCACCCACGTTTTGCCTGTTGGTTTCTCCACACTGTCAGGAGCATTTGACCAACTCACTGTGGCTCAGGATCCCTTACGCAGCCTGTTGGGGAAACCAGTGGGTATTGAAGACCTGCCTCTGGTGTGCCAGGAGGTTGTGCCTGCCGGCCACTCTGACTTGTGATCTTCCGCCTCAGTGTATGGCTTCCTACACCTGGGTAATTAACATTGCCAGCATGATAAGGAGGTCCTTTCATCACTATTGCCACTAGTCCTTCCGACTCCTGTGCCCTGTTTCTCCTTTATTGGAACCCAAGAACGAGTAAACATAGCATTTTCAAACATCCCGCCCCCTTCCCTGGTAACACCAATATTCCACCATCCTAATTCCCTCACAAGCATTCAGTCTCTCCACCCTGAGGTGGTGAAATCCCTGCAGGCATTTATAAGTATACCTGGACAGAAGAAATACAAGATACCGTTCTATTAACTCAATATAGTGTTGCTAAGTTCGTACTTGTGCTTGGTTTATTTTATTTTATAAATACGTATCACTCGCATGGTTCCAAATGCGGTAGGCACAGAGAGTATATATGATGGAATTACATCCTCCTTCCCTGCACTCACCAACCGAGATCATCCCGCTACGGGCACTCAAAGGTTTCATTGTCTGAAATATCAGCCTAAACGTAGTTTATGTTTAGGAAGCAACAACCGTAAATAGTCCCACATCCAAACGGAGTGGATTTAGGTTTCACTTTTTCAAGGAAAAACCATCAAAGAATTTTTCCACATACTTATAAACCATCCCACGTATAGAATCCATTTTTACTGACACAAATTTAGTACCAATAAACGACTCTTCTTCTCAATTTGTTTTATTTAACAATAAGTCTTGAACGTCATTCCCAGTTAACATTTTGAAGAGTTTCCTATCTTTCGTTCTGTTTTAGCTGCAAAGTATTCTTCCGTAAGGATGAACGTACTATAATTTATTAGCCAGCCACTTAGTGATGTACAATTAAGCAGTTTTAAATCTTTGACTCTTGAAAATATTGTTTCTCACACATAAATATTTCTATAAAATAAATTAGTTGAATTAGAATTGTTGGAGTTCAAGACCAGCCTGGCCAACATGGTGAAACCCCATCTCTACTAGAAACACAAAATTAGCCGGACATGCCGGTACATGCCTCTAATCTCAGGTGAGGCAGGAGAATCACTTCAACCTGCAGTGGCTGTGAAAACCACTGTGCCCAGATCAGCTGCAGTTACGACGAGAGCTATCAGTGGAAATTTTAAACAGGAGGGATCACGATCCTGACGCATCCCTCTGACAAATTGTAAGCGGAAGTTGGAACATGGCTTCACCAATATGATCGCCAAGGCAAAGCATCATGAAAGCGATGGCTACCAAGAGGTGGCAGTGGTCCAGTCAAAGGAAAAGGAGGCCAGTCAGGAGCCCACATCATGGCATCAGTGTTTTGGGACACTCAAGGCATTTTGCTTGTTGACTTTCTGAAAGGCCAAACATCTGCTTATTAGGAGAGTGTTCTGAGAAGCTTAGATAAAGCTTTGGTAGAAACATGCTGGGAAAGTCTCACTAGATCCTTGTTCACCACATCAATGCTCTGCTCATTCCTCTCATCAAACAAGGGCAATTTTGTCAGTTTCAATGGGCAGTCCTTAGGAATTCACCTTACGGGCTGCTTTCATTCCTTCTAAATTCTTTTTGTTTCCTAATGATAAAAAGTCTCCTTGCCTTGCTTGGAAAGATGAGAGAAAGTCTCCTTGCCTTGTTTGGACAGATGAGAGATGAGATCCTCCTCTTCTCTCCCAGGACAGAATGGTGAGACTTGAGTTTCCTTTCTCCTCACTCTTCTCCTCCTTGAGGGAGCTGCTGTGCCGGACAGACCTGCCCCCGTGTCTAGACACTGGTAGACTCGTTTAAGTTCCTCACAGGCAATCCTCCATGGGGTCAAAGTGGAAGGACTTATTTCTTCAGGGCTCAGTAGTCCACATCCTGGCGCGCACCTTCACCAGCCCAGGGCGGGGTAGAGGAGGGTGAAAGGGCGTGGCTCAGAGCCCGCTTCTTCCGCTCGGGCGTATCCTGGGAGGAACCCTTGTCCGGTGAGCATGTCTTCGTCTCTACCAAATTCCCTAGTGGGACATTTCTGGCAGCCCTACTTGTTCAGCAGCTTACGGGGGTCAGGTGGACCTCTGCTAGTCACCAGCCTGAAGCCCTTTCTCCATTTCAGCTATTTTGGCAGTTGCCTAGGTGACTTTTGAACCTCATTATCCAGAACAGCAAACGGACGAGGGGTGAGAAGAGTGGCCGTCTGGGTTTGCAGCATAGTGCTGCCTTCTAGGAGTTGTGCAGTCTTCGATTGTGTGAAACTTCACCTGGCTGATTTGTGGCAATGCCTCCACAAATTCGCTAAATTCAGTAGCTTTTGCCTTCCAAGATTCATTTACACAATGTTGAATGCTTTAAATGAATGAGCATGAAGAGTGCTGGGCTGGAAAGTGATGAGATGGGTGGTAGGGACTCCTCGGAGTAGAGGAGTAGAGTTTTACTATTATGACTAGGAGGCAAATAAAAAGAAGCTGAACGTGATCCATAATAAAAGAAGCACACACTCACAGAGCTCCATACCAACTACATTAAAATGGAAATCATGATATTTGGAAATACAACTTAATTGGAAATCATTAAGTAATCTCATCAACCTTTTTACAGTGGGTGGCAGGGCTATGGAGGGAAAACAGCAATGGTTCTGGCACCTACTTAACTTGATTCCATTAAATTCACCCAACAGGCCTCCAGAGAACATATTACTGCTTTGATATTACAAAGGGAAAAACAGCTATGGCGTCTCTGAAAAGCACAACGTGCTAGGACTGGAATGACTTTAAAACCACACATAAATTTCTGAGAGATTTTTGCCGTAAGGTACCATCCACCTTACTGTAAACCACATCCTAAAATTGTCTGCAGTGCAAATGGATTATGTGCATCCAACAGGAAACAGCATAGGTTGAGAAGCTGTTACTTAATAGCTTCATTGTCACCACGAGTGTAAAGTGTGGGGTCTCATCACTTTTGCACCCACGTTTTGCCTGTTGGTTTCTCCACACTGTCAGGAGCATTTGACCAACTCACTGTGGCTCAGGATCCCTTACGCAGCCTGTTGGGGAAACCAGTGGGTATTGAAGACCTGCCTCTGGTGTGCCAGGAGGTTGTGCCTGCCGGCCACTCTGACTTGTGATCTTCCGCCTCAGTGTATGGCTTCCTACACCTGGGTAATTAACATTGCCAGCATGATAAGGAGGTCCTTTCATCACTATTGCCACTAGTCCTTCCGACTCCTGTGCCCTGTTTCTCCTTTATTGGAACCCAAGAACGAGTAAACATAGCATTTTCAAACATCCCGCCCCCTTCCCTGGTAACACCAATATTCCACCATCCTAATTCCCTCACAAGCATTCAGTCTCTCCACCCTGAGGTGGTGAAATCCCTGCAGGCATTTATAAGTATACCTGGACAGAAGAAATACAAGATACCGTTCTATTAACTCAATATAGTGTTGCTAAGTTCGTACTTGTGCTTGGTTTATTTTATTTTATAAATACGTATCACTCGCATGGTTCCAAATGCGGTAGGCACAGAGAGTATATATGATGGAATTACATCCTCCTTCCCTGCACTCACCAACCGAGATCATCCCGCTACGGGCACTCAAAGGTTTCATTGTCTGAAATATCAGCCTAAACGTAGTTTATGTTTAGGAAGCAACAACCGTAAATAGTCCCACATCCAAACGGAGTGGATTTAGGTTTCACTTTTTCAAGGAAAAACCATCAAAGAATTTTTCCACATACTTATAAACCATCCCACGTATAGAATCCATTTTTACTGACACAAATTTAGTACCAATAAACGACTCTTCTTCTCAATTTGTTTTATTTAACAATAAGTCTTGAACGTCATTCCCAGTTAACATTTTGAAGAGTTTCCTATCTTTCGTTCTGTTTTAGCTGCAAAGTATTCTTCCGTAAGGATGAACGTACTATAATTTATTAGCCAGCCACTTAGTGATGTACAATTAAGCAGTTTTAAATCTTTGACTCTTGAAAATATTGTTTCTCACACATAAATATTTCTATAAAATAAATTAGTTGAATTAGAATTGTTGGAGTTCAAGACCAGCCTGGCCAACATGGTGAAACCCCATCTCTACTAGAAACACAAAATTAGCCGGACATGCCGGTACATGCCTCTAATCTCAGGTGAGGCAGGAGAATCACTTCAACCTGCAGTGGCTGTGAAAACCACTGTGCCCAGATCAGCTGCAGTTACGACGAGAGCTATCAGTGGAAATTTTAAACAGGAGGGATCACGATCCTGACGCATCCCTCTGACAAATTGTAAGCGGAAGTTGGAACATGGCTTCACCAATATGATCGCCAAGGCAAAGCATCATGAAAGCGATGGCTACCAAGAGGTGGCAGTGGTCCAGTCAAAGGAAAAGGAGGCCAGTCAGGAGCCCACATCATGGCATCAGTGTTTTGGGACACTCAAGGCATTTTGCTTGTTGACTTTCTGAAAGGCCAAACATCTGCTTATTAGGAGAGTGTTCTGAGAAGCTTAGATAAAGCTTTGGTAGAAACATGCTGGGAAAGTCTCACTAGATCCTTGTTCACCACATCAATGCTCTGCTCATTCCTCTCATCAAACAAGGGCAATTTTGTCAGTTTCAATGGGCAGTCCTTAGGAATTCACCTTACGGGCTGCTTTCATTCCTTCTAAATTCTTTTTGTTTCCTAATGATAAAAAGTCTCCTTGCCTTGCTTGGAAAGATGAGAGAAAGTCTCCTTGCCTTGTTTGGACAGATGAGAGATGAGATCCTCCTCTTCTCTCCCAGGACAGAATGGTGAGACTTGAGTTTCCTTTCTCCTCACTCTTCTCCTCCTTGAGGGAGCTGCTGTGCCGGACAGACCTGCCCCCGTGTCTAGACACTGGTAGACTCGTTTAAGTTCCTCACAGGCAATCCTCCATGGGGTCAAAGTGGAAGGACTTATTTCTTCAGGGCTCAGTAGTCCACATCCTGGCGCGCACCTTCACCAGCCCAGGGCGGGGTAGAGGAGGGTGAAAGGGCGTGGCTCAGAGCCCGCTTCTTCCGCTCGGGCGTATCCTGGGAGGAACCCTTGTCCGGTGAGCATGTCTTCGTCTCTACCAAATTCCCTAGTGGGACATTTCTGGCAGCCCTACTTGTTCAGCAGCTTACGGGGGTCAGGTGGACCTCTGCTAGTCACCAGCCTGAAGCCCTTTCTCCATTTCAGCTATTTTGGCAGTTGCCTAGGTGACTTTTGAACCTCATTATCCAGAACAGCAAACGGACGAGGGGTGAGAAGAGTGGCCGTCTGGGTTTGCAGCATAGTGCTGCCTTCTAGGAGTTGTGCAGTCTTCGATTGTGTGAAACTTCACCTGGCTGATTTGTGGCAATGCCTCCACAAATTCGCTAAATTCAGTAGCTTTTGCCTTCCAAGATTCATTTACACAATGTTGAATGCTTTAAATGAATGAGCATGAAGAGTGCTGGGCTGGAAAGTGATGAGATGGGTGGTAGGGACTCCTCGGAGTAGAGGAGTAGAGTTTTACTATTATGACTAGGAGGCAAATAAAAAGAAGCTGAACGTGATCCATAATAAAAGAAGCACACACTCACAGAGCTCCATACCAACTACATTAAAATGGAAATCATGATATTTGGAAATACAACTTAATTGGAAATCATTAAGTAATCTCATCAACCTTTTTACAGTGGGTGGCAGGGCTATGGAGGGAAAACAGCAATGGTTCTGGCACCTACTTAACTTGATTCCATTAAATTCACCCAACAGGCCTCCAGAGAACATATTACTGCTTTGATATTACAAAGGGAAAAACAGCTATGGCGTCTCTGAAAAGCACAACGTGCTAGGACTGGAATGACTTTAAAACCACACATAAATTTCTGAGAGATTTTTGCCGTAAGGTACCATCCACCTTACTGTAAACCACATCCTAAAATTGTCTGCAGTGCAAATGGATTATGTGCATCCAACAGGAAACAGCATAGGTTGAGAAGCTGTTACTTAATAGCTTCATTGTCACCACGAGTGTAAAGTGTGGGGTCTCATCACTTTTGCACCCACGTTTTGCCTGTTGGTTTCTCCACACTGTCAGGAGCATTTGACCAACTCACTGTGGCTCAGGATCCCTTACGCAGCCTGTTGGGGAAACCAGTGGGTATTGAAGACCTGCCTCTGGTGTGCCAGGAGGTTGTGCCTGCCGGCCACTCTGACTTGTGATCTTCCGCCTCAGTGTATGGCTTCCTACACCTGGGTAATTAACATTGCCAGCATGATAAGGAGGTCCTTTCATCACTATTGCCACTAGTCCTTCCGACTCCTGTGCCCTGTTTCTCCTTTATTGGAACCCAAGAACGAGTAAACATAGCATTTTCAAACATCCCGCCCCCTTCCCTGGTAACACCAATATTCCACCATCCTAATTCCCTCACAAGCATTCAGTCTCTCCACCCTGAGGTGGTGAAATCCCTGCAGGCATTTATAAGTATACCTGGACAGAAGAAATACAAGATACCGTTCTATTAACTCAATATAGTGTTGCTAAGTTCGTACTTGTGCTTGGTTTATTTTATTTTATAAATACGTATCACTCGCATGGTTCCAAATGCGGTAGGCACAGAGAGTATATATGATGGAATTACATCCTCCTTCCCTGCACTCACCAACCGAGATCATCCCGCTACGGGCACTCAAAGGTTTCATTGTCTGAAATATCAGCCTAAACGTAGTTTATGTTTAGGAAGCAACAACCGTAAATAGTCCCACATCCAAACGGAGTGGATTTAGGTTTCACTTTTTCAAGGAAAAACCATCAAAGAATTTTTCCACATACTTATAAACCATCCCACGTATAGAATCCATTTTTACTGACACAAATTTAGTACCAATAAACGACTCTTCTTCTCAATTTGTTTTATTTAACAATAAGTCTTGAACGTCATTCCCAGTTAACATTTTGAAGAGTTTCCTATCTTTCGTTCTGTTTTAGCTGCAAAGTATTCTTCCGTAAGGATGAACGTACTATAATTTATTAGCCAGCCACTTAGTGATGTACAATTAAGCAGTTTTAAATCTTTGACTCTTGAAAATATTGTTTCTCACACATAAATATTTCTATAAAATAAATTAGTTGAATTAGAATTGTTGGAGTTCAAGACCAGCCTGGCCAACATGGTGAAACCCCATCTCTACTAGAAACACAAAATTAGCCGGACATGCCGGTACATGCCTCTAATCTCAGGTGAGGCAGGAGAATCACTTCAACCTGCAGTGGCTGTGAAAACCACTGTGCCCAGATCAGCTGCAGTTACGACGAGAGCTATCAGTGGAAATTTTAAACAGGAGGGATCACGATCCTGACGCATCCCTCTGACAAATTGTAAGCGGAAGTTGGAACATGGCTTCACCAATATGATCGCCAAGGCAAAGCATCATGAAAGCGATGGCTACCAAGAGGTGGCAGTGGTCCAGTCAAAGGAAAAGGAGGCCAGTCAGGAGCCCACATCATGGCATCAGTGTTTTGGGACACTCAAGGCATTTTGCTTGTTGACTTTCTGAAAGGCCAAACATCTGCTTATTAGGAGAGTGTTCTGAGAAGCTTAGATAAAGCTTTGGTAGAAACATGCTGGGAAAGTCTCACTAGATCCTTGTTCACCACATCAATGCTCTGCTCATTCCTCTCATCAAACAAGGGCAATTTTGTCAGTTTCAATGGGCAGTCCTTAGGAATTCACCTTACGGGCTGCTTTCATTCCTTCTAAATTCTTTTTGTTTCCTAATGATAAAAAGTCTCCTTGCCTTGCTTGGAAAGATGAGAGAAAGTCTCCTTGCCTTGTTTGGACAGATGAGAGATGAGATCCTCCTCTTCTCTCCCAGGACAGAATGGTGAGACTTGAGTTTCCTTTCTCCTCACTCTTCTCCTCCTTGAGGGAGCTGCTGTGCCGGACAGACCTGCCCCCGTGTCTAGACACTGGTAGACTCGTTTAAGTTCCTCACAGGCAATCCTCCATGGGGTCAAAGTGGAAGGACTTATTTCTTCAGGGCTCAGTAGTCCACATCCTGGCGCGCACCTTCACCAGCCCAGGGCGGGGTAGAGGAGGGTGAAAGGGCGTGGCTCAGAGCCCGCTTCTTCCGCTCGGGCGTATCCTGGGAGGAACCCTTGTCCGGTGAGCATGTCTTCGTCTCTACCAAATTCCCTAGTGGGACATTTCTGGCAGCCCTACTTGTTCAGCAGCTTACGGGGGTCAGGTGGACCTCTGCTAGTCACCAGCCTGAAGCCCTTTCTCCATTTCAGCTATTTTGGCAGTTGCCTAGGTGACTTTTGAACCTCATTATCCAGAACAGCAAACGGACGAGGGGTGAGAAGAGTGGCCGTCTGGGTTTGCAGCATAGTGCTGCCTTCTAGGAGTTGTGCAGTCTTCGATTGTGTGAAACTTCACCTGGCTGATTTGTGGCAATGCCTCCACAAATTCGCTAAATTCAGTAGCTTTTGCCTTCCAAGATTCATTTACACAATGTTGAATGCTTTAAAGGAATGAGCATGAAGAGTGCTGGGCTGGAAAGTGATGAGATGGGTGGTAGGGACTCCTCGGAGTAGAGGAGTAGAGTTTTACTATTATGACTAGGAGGCAAATAAAAAGAAGCTGAACGTGATCCATAATAAAAGAAGCACACACTCACAGAGCTCCATACCAACTACATTAAAATGGAAATCATGATATTTGGAAATACAACTTAATTGGAAATCATTAAGTAATCTCATCAACCTTTTTACAGTGGGTGGCAGGGCTATGGAGGGAAAACAGCAATGGTTCTGGCACCTACTTAACTTGATTCCATTAAATTCACCCAACAGGCCTCCAGAGAACATATTACTGCTTTGATATTACAAAGGGAAAAACAGCTATGGCGTCTCTGAAAAGCACAACGTGCTAGGACTGGAATGACTTTAAAACCACACATAAATTTCTGAGAGATTTTTGCCATAAGGTACCATCCACCTTACTGTAAACCACATCCTAAAATTGTCTGCAGTGCAAATGGATTATGTGCATCCAACAGGAAACAGCATAGGTTGAGAAGCTGTTACTTAATAGCTTCATTGTCACCACGAGTGTAAAGTGTGGGGTCTCATCACTTTTGCACCCACGTTTTGCCTGTTGGTTTCTCCACACTGTCAGGAGCATTTGACCAACTCACTGTGGCTCAGGGTCCCTTACGCAGCCTGTTGGGGAAACCAGTGGGTATTGAAGACCTGCCTCTGGTGTGCCAGGAGGTTGTGCCTGCCGGCCACTCTGACTTGCGATCTTCCGCCTCAGTGTATGGCTTCCTACACCTGGGTAATTAACATAGCCAGCATGATAAGGAGGTCCTTTCATCACTATTGCCACTAGTCCTTCCGACTCCTGTGCCCTGTTTCTCCTTTATTGGAACCCAAGAACGAGTAAACATAGCATTTTCAAACATCCCGCCCCCTTCCCTGGTAACACCAATATTCCACCATCCTAATTCCCTCACAAGCATTGAGTCTCTCCACCCTGAGGTGATGAAATCCCTGCAGGCATTTATAAGTATACCTGGACAGAAGAAATACAAGATACCGTTCTATTAACTCAATATAGTGTTGCTAAGTTCGTACTTGTGCTTGGTTTATGTTATTTTATAAATACGTATCACTCGCATGGTTCCAAATGCGGTAGGCACAGAGAGTATATATGATGGAATTACATCCTCCTTCCCTGCACTCAGCAACCGAGATCTTCCCGCTACGGGCACTCAAAGGTTTCATTGTCTGAAATATCAGCCTAAACGTAGTTTATGTTTAGGAAGCAACAACCGTAAATAGGCCCACATCCAAACGGAGTGGATTTAGGTTTCACTTTTTCAAGGAAAAACCATCAAAGAATTTTTCCACATACTTATAAACCATCCCACGTATAGAATCCATTTTTACTGACACAAATTTAGTACCAATAAACGACTCTTCTTCTCAATTTGTTTTATTTAACAATAAGTCTTGAACGTCATTCCCAGTTAACATTTTGAAGAGTTTCCTCTCTTTCGTTCTGTTTTAGCTGCAAAGTATTCTTCCGTAAGGATGAACGTACTATAATTTATTAGCCAGCCACTTAGTGATGTACAATTAAGCAGTTTTAAATCTTTGACTCTTGAAAATATTGTTTCTCACACATAAATATTTCTATAAAATAAATTAGTTGAATTAGAATTGTTGGAGTTCAAGACCAGCCTGGCCAACATGGTGAAACCCCATCTCTACTAGAAACACAAAATTAGCCGGACATGCCGGTACATGCCTCTAATCTCAGGTGAGGCAGGAGAATCACTTCAACCTGGGAGGCAGAGGTTGTAGTGACTCGAAATCACGCCACTGCACTCCAGCCTGGGCGACGCGAGCGAAACTCTGTCTCAAAAAACCAAAAAAAATTAAACATAAAAAGAAAAGCGGTACATATACCCAATAGAACACAATTCAGCCTTAAAAAAGAAAGAAATCATCTCATTGGCAACACGAATGAGCCTAGAGGATGGTACACTGAGTGAAAGAAAGCAAAGGCCAGGCACGGTGGCTCATGCCTGTAATCCCAGTACTTTGGGAGGCCAAGGCAGGTGGAAGCGTTGAGCCCAGGAGTTGGAGATGAACCTGGGCAACATGGTGAAACCCCATCTCTAAAAGAAACACAAAAATTAGCCAAGTGTGGCGTTGGACGCCTGTAGTCCTAGCTATTCAGGAGGCTGAAGCGGGAGGAACTCTCGACCCCGGGAGGTGGAGGCCGTGGTGGGTGAGTGAGCCGTGTTTGTGTCACTGTACTCCAGCCTGGGTGACAGACTGAGACCCTGTCTCAAAAAATAAATAATTACATAATAAAGATTTAAAAAGCAAGCACAAAAAGACAAATACTGCATGATCTCACTTATATGTGCAATCTCAAACAATGCAACTCATAGCTGCAGAGAGCAGAACGGTGGTTACCCGAGGCAGGGGTCAGGGAGGGACTGGAGAGATGATAGTCTCATGATACAAAATTTCAGAGAGGAATGGTTCTAGAGATCTATTGAACAGCCTGGCATCTACAGTGTATAAGTATGTATTGTATACTTGAAAATTGCTATAAGAGTAGATTTTAGACATGTCCTCATCACATTAAAATCAGTATGTGAGGAAACGAGTGTGTTAATTAGCTTGATTTTGTCATTCCACAATGTATACACGTATGAAACATCATGTTGTATGCCATAAATATATATAATTTTTATTTGTCAAGTTAAAATTAAAATTCATATAAATTATAAAAGTAAAATGAAATAACATACACTACAAAAGACGTTTATTTATTAAATCCCCACAGAAGGGGTCTAAGTGATAAAGGAAAATAAAATTCCGGGAACGGTAAAATCAATCAGAAATGCCCTACTTCAGTGCTTTCCGAAATTTGTCTGACAGAGTGGAAATCCAGTTTTTCACTAAGTCACTGTTCTGGAACAGTTTGTGTGTGTGTATGTATGTGTGTGAGGGCTCACATACACAAATTGAACTAATGGAAGTGTAAGCATTCAAATTATCAGTTTAATTTAGTTCTATACATATACACACACACACACTCACACACCGAAAACATTGATAAAATCAGCCATTCCAGCAAAACTAGCTACTTAGTGTCTATCTCTCCTTGAAGATTCAAACTAGAAATGAGGATTTAGAGAGGCATGATGGTTCGTTCTCTCTTGGAGCCCAGTTCGAAGTTGACTGACTGATTCAGTCATTGTAATTGGTTGGTCTTGGGGAAGAATCCACTTTGACTCTTGGGAAGTCAGCTAGGTCAGCGGACAGAGCAGGGGCTCTGGAGCCAGACTGCCTGCACCCGACTTCTAGCTATGATACCTTGGATAAACTACTTATCACCTGGGCTTCAGGTTCCTCATCTGTAAAATGGGGATAAGAATGCTATCTCTCTCACAACTATTAGGAGGACTGACTGGGTTAATACGTGCAAAGTACCAAGTACATAAGAAACCAACAGCCAGTGCTCATTACAATCATTATTATTTTGGGCAAGTTAAGCCGCATGGTTTCTTTAGGTATAAAATTAGGCTTTATTTACCTACCTGTTGGGTTGTTCCAAGGATTAATCACATAGTGTTCATGAATTCCCTTTATAAACTATTATAAAAAAGAAATATAGTTAACATTAATTGAACACCTACTATGTGCGATCGTTTTAAGGCTTGCCATGTGCTGCTTCATTCAGTCCGCACCATGACATTAGGATCACACTTTCGTTTTCCATTTTTTTTTAAATTATACTTTAATTACTAGGGTACATGTGCACAACGTGCAGGTTTATTACGTATGTAAGCACGTGCCATGTTGGTGTGCTGCACCCATTCACTAGTCATTTACGTTAGGTATGTCTCTTAATGTTATCCCTCCCCCTCCCCCCGCCCATGACAGGCCCCGGTGTGTGATGTTCCCCTTTCTGCGTCCAAGTGTTCTCCTAGTTCAATTCCCACCTATGAGTGGGATCACGCGGTGTTTGGTTTTTTTGTCCTTGCGATAGTTTGCTAAGAATGATGGTTTCCAGCTTCATCCGTGTCCCTCCGAAGGGCATGAACACATGCTTTTTTATGGCTGCATAGTATTCCATGGTGTATTTGTGCCACGTTTCCTTAATCCAGTCTATCATTGATGGACATCTGGGCTGGTTCCAAGTCTTTGCTACTGTGAACGGTGCTGCAATAAACATACATCTGCGTGTGTCCTTTTAGCAGCATGATTTATAGTCCTATGGGTGTATACCCAGTAATGGGACGGCTGGGTCAAATGGTATTTCTAATTCTAGATCCTTGAGGATTCGCCACACTATCTTCCACAACCGCTGAACTGGTTTACAGTCCCACCAGCAGTGTAAAAGTGTCCCTATTTCTCCACTACCTCTCCAGCACCTGTTGTTTCTTGACTTTTTTATTGATCGCTATTGTAACTGGTGTGAGACGATATCTCTTTGCGGATTTGATTTGCATTTCTCTGATGACCAGTGTTGATGAGCATTTTTTCATGTGTCTGTTGGCTGCATAAATGTCTTCTTTTTAGAAGTGTCTCTTCATATCCTTCCCGCACTTGTTGATGGGGTTGTTTGGATTTTCTTGTAACTCTGTTTGAGTTCTTAGTAGATTCTGGATATTAGCCCTTTGTCAGATGAGTAGATTGCAAAAATTTTCTCCCTTTCTGTAGCATGCCTGTTCACTCTGATGGGAGTTTCTTTAGCTGTGCAGAAACTCTTTAGTGTAATTAGATGCCGTTTGTCAATATTGGCTTTTGTTGCCTTTGCTTTTGGCGTTTTAGACATGAGGTCCTTGCCCATGCCTATGTCCTGAATGGTATTGCCTAGGTTTTCTCCTAGGGTTTGTATGGCTTAAGATGTAACATTTAAGTCTTTCATCCGTCTTGAATAAACTTTTGCATAAGGTGTAAGGAAGGGATCCAATTTCACCTTCGGACATATGGCTAGCCAGTTTTCCCAGCACCATTTATTAAATAGGGAATCCTTTCCCCATTTCTTGTTTTTGTCAGGTTTGTCAAAGATCCGACGGTTGTAGATGTGTCGTATTATTTCTGAGGGCTCTATTCTGTTCCATTGGTCTACAGTAACCAAAAAGGCAACCAACAGCATGCTGTTTGGTTACTGTAGGCTTGTAGTGTAGTTTGAAGTCGGGTAGCTTGATGCCTCCACCTTTGTTCTTTTGGCTTAGGATTATCTTGGCAGTGGGGGCCCTTTTGTGGTTCCATGTAAACTTTCAAGTAGTTTTTTCCAATTCTGTGAAGAAAGTCCTTGGTAGCTTGATGGGGATGGCATTGGATCTATAATATACCTTGGGCAGTATGGCCATTTTCACGATACTGATTCTTCCTAACCGTGAGCATGGAATATTCTTCCATTGGTTTGTGTCCTCTTTTATTTCGTGGAGCAGTGGTTTGTAGTTCTCCTTGAAGAGGTCCTTCGCACATCGCATCCCTTGTTAGTTGGATTCCTCAGTATTTTATTCTCTTTGAAGCAATTGTGAATGGGAGCTCAGTCATGATTTGGCTCTCTGTTTGCCTGTTATTGGTGTATGAGAATGCTTGTGATTTTTGCACATCGATTTTGTATCCTGAGACTTTGCTGAAGTTGCTTATCAGCTTAAGGAGATTTTGGGCTGAGACGATGGGGTTTTCTAAATATTCAATCGTGTCATCTACAAACAGGGACAATTTGACTTCCTCTTTTCCTAATTGATTACTCTTTGTTTCTTTCTCCTGCCTGATTGCCCTGGCCAGAAGTTCCAACACTATGTTGAATAGGAGTGGTGAGAGAGGGCACCCCTGTCTTGTGGCAGTTTGCAAAGGGAATGCTTCCACTTTTTGCCCATTCAGTATGATATTGGCTGTGGGTTTGCCCTAAATAGCCCTTATTATTTTGAGGTATGTCCCATCAGTACCTAATTTATTGAGAGTTTTTGGCATGAAAGGCTGTTGAATTTTGTCAAAGGCCTTTTCTGCATCTGTTGAGATAATCACGCGGTTTCTGTCTTTGGTTCCGATTATATGCTGGATTATGTTTATTGATTTGCATATGTTGGACCAGCCTTGCATGTCAGGGATGAAGCCCACTTGATCATAATGGATAAGCTCTTTGATGTGCTGCTGGATTCGGTTTGCCAGCATTTTATGGAGGATTTTTCCATCGGTGTTCCTCAGGGATATGGGCCGAAAATTCTCTTTGTTGGTTGTGTCTCTCTCAGCCTTTGGGATCAGGATGATGCTGGCCTCATAAAATGAGATAGGGAGGATTCCCTCTTTTTCTGTTGATTGGAATAGTTTCCGAAGGAATGGTACCAGCTCCTCCTTGTACTTCTGGTAGAATTCGGCTGTGAATCCGTCTGGTCCTGGAGTTTTATTGCTTGATAGGCTATTAATTATTGCCTCAATTTCAGAGCCTGTTATTGGTCTATTCAGGCATTCAACTTCTTCCTGGTTTACTCTGGGGAGGTTGCATGTGTCCAGGAATTTATTCATTTCTTCTAGATTTCCGAGTTTGTTTGCCTAGAGGTGTTGACAGTATTCTCTCATGGTAGTTTGTACTTCTGGGGGATCAGTGGTGATATCCCCTTTATCATTTTTTATTGCATCTGCTTGATTCTTCTTTCTTTCATTCTTTAATAGTCTTGCTAGTGGTCTATCAATTTTGTGGATGGTTTCAAAAAACCCGCTCCTGGATTCATTGATTTTTTGAAGGGTTTTTTGGGTCTCTATCTCCTTCAGTTCTGCTCGGATCTTAGTTAATTCTTGCCTTCTGCTAGCTTTTGAATGTGTTTGCTCTTGCTTCTCTCATCCTTTTAATGGTGATGTTAGGGTATGCATTTTTGATCTTTCCTGCTTTCCCTTGTGGGCATTTAGTGCTATAAATTTCCCTCTACACACTGCTTTAAATGTGTCCCAGAGATTCTGGTATGTTGTGTCTTTGTTCTCATTGCTTTCAGAGAATATCTTTATTTCTGCCTTCATTTCGTTATGTACCCAGTACTCATTCAGGAGCAGCTTGTCCGGTTTCCATGCAGTTGAGCGGTTTTGAGTGACTTTCTCAATCCTGAGGTCTAGTGTGATTGCAATGTGGTCTGAGAGACCGTTTGTAATAATTTCTGTAATTTTACTTTTACTGAGGAGTGCTTTACTTCCAACTATGTGGTCAATGTGGAAATAAGTGTGATGTGGTGCTGAGAAGAATGTATATTCTGTTGATTTGGGGTGGAGCGTTCTGTAGATGTCTCCTAGGTCCGCTTGGTGCAGAGCTGAGCTCAATTCCCGGATATCCTTTTTTAACTTTCTGTCTCGTTGGTGTGTCTAATGTTGACAGTGGGGTGTTAAGTTTGCCATTATTATTATTATTACTATGTGGGAGTCTAAGTCTCTTTTGATCACACTTTAAAGACCAAAAGGTAGAAGCGCAAAGACGTTATCTGTCCAATATTACAAACCTAGTAAGTGGTGGAATTTGGCCTTGAACCCAGATCTGTAACTCCAGAGCCGAAGTGCTTCACCCACCTCCCTGTGGTGCCTCTACAGAAAAAGAGGTAAGCAGGCATTCCGAAAGCTGGTGGGCCGGGGGGCTGGCCTTGTACTCAGAAGCCATGGAAGTCCCACGTGGGGTGGCTAGTGGTGTAAGGACAGAGGTCTCGGATGGGCAGAGGGATGTGGACAGGCGCGAGGGCGCGCGGCAGGGACTCGGGGGACTGGGAGTGGCGGCTCGGGGCTGCGGGAGGCGATTGGTGGAAGGACAGAGGTCTGGGAGGGGCAGAGGGATGTGGACAGGCCCGAGGGGCCGCGGCAGGGATTCCGGGGGACCGGGAGTGGGGGGTTGGGGTTACTCTTGGCTTTTTGCCCTCTCCTGCTGCCGGCTGCTCCAGTTTTTTTTGCTTTGCGGGGGAGGGTGGTGGGCAGGGTGAGCTCTCGGGACTGATGGCGGTTTTGGAAGAGGCCTGGGGCTAAGGACAGGCCAGGGCGGCGGGAGAGGCGGACCGGTGGCGTGGCTGGATCTGGGCGCGCTGTCGGACCTTCCACATCACCAGCTGCAGGCAGGCGTTTGCGTCCTCGCTGGAGTTGTGGCCGTCCTGGCTGTCCTGGATGATCTGTGCCAGGTAGTCGGCCGCGAGATTCCTGAGGGAGCGCTTGTAGGGGAAACCCAGGTAGTGCGGGAAGAGCACGGCCGTGTCCACCACGGTGCTGTGGATGAGCTTCAGGGCCAGCAGGTCGCTCTCCAGGCTGTGCCCGATGAGGATGGTTTGGGCGCTGAAAAAGCTCAGCAGGATGGCTTGGACTTGGGGCAACGTGATGCTCGTCTTGGCGACGTCGGCCTCGGTGACTCCGGAAAACCTGGTGTTGTAGTCCACGATCTCGTTGTCGGGCTTGACGAAGGTGTCGTACACCACTCGCATGTCGGCGTCCACCACGGTGACGCGGGTCAGCTCTAGGCCATGCGTGGTGTAGCACATCTCACAGTCCAAGGCGTAGATTCCTGGATAAGCGTCTCTGGACAACTCTTTCTTGAAGGTCTCCACGAAGCCATCGAGGCTCTCCTTGCGGCCGTCCCGCACGTGCTGCTTTGCCACCTGGCAGCCCACAGAGCCAGGAGCAGCTGCACAGCAGGTGTACTGGCTAACCCGGCCTCCAGCCACCTGGCTCGAGCGGACCCGCCCCCAGTGATAATAACACAACTGGTCGCGTACACAGCGGCCCGAGGAGGACACCAGGTACTCGGTGCCACAACGGCAGCAGACCCTGCAGGAGGAGTCGCCGGGCCCCTTCCCCTGGCCAGTGAAGAGGACGGCGCCTCCGGGCCGCTCGGGGTGCGGGAAGGGGTAGCCGTTCTCCTTGAGCTGGTCCTGGGTGAGCAGGAACTCCTGGAGGCGGCTGTACAGGGCGGCCCTGCTGAGGCCGGGCATGGAGCTGGGGGTCAGGCCCTTCAGTCTCTTGAGGGTGTTCAGGACCACGTTCAGGTACCTGTTCTTGTTGGGGCTGCAGTCGTAGGCCACCTTCTCCTCGTTCAGCGCCTTCTCCTCGGCCTCCTGCTTGGAGGCGCAGAACTTGAGACACTCTTCGGTGAACAGTTGGAGATAGCCTCGGCGGAGGACGGTGGGGACTTGGCACCCAGAGCTTCGGAGGATAATGGGTTTCTTCAAACTCAAACTCGGTAAGGATGCACGACGGACGATTCGCTTAGAGCTGGTGGTGGCGGTGGTCTTGCATGCCATCCCTGACCTGTTGCGCGTCTTCCCTGGCTGTCTGCCGACCTTGGAGCCACGGGAGCGTTGGCTGCTGCTGGCCACCCGGGTTCTCTTGGCATCTGTGTAACCTGTGACCAAGCAAGGGCTGGAAGAGTGGGCGATCGTCTTCCTCTTCCTGGGGGCTGAGATGCGGACTCCCGAGGGCCTCTCTGTCAGCCTTGGGGCGGCTGGCAAGCGGCAGGCCGATCCCCTCTGCGCAGGGAAGTAGCACGACTCCGTCACCATCTTGGGCCACGCTGGGGGCACCGCCGGACCCCTGTTCTGGGGCTCCGCCTGGATGTCCACAAATGCTGAGGCCTGCTTGTGCATCTGGGGCACCCAGAGCCCGAAGCTCTGGGCAGGCTGATGAGAGGGCAGTGGGAATTC